>NC_000004.12:67671381-68921381 GCF_000001405.40 Homo sapiens
AGACCACCTCCCACTTGATCATATATTGACTTTACTGATCAAAATGGATACATATAGCTTTTTTTTTTTTACAAGACATAAAACTGGGCAGAAACTTAGAAGCTTTTTTTTTAAAGTTTAACTCTAAAGAGCATATAAATTACGTAAACAAAGGTTTTAATTTATAACCTTGTGTAGTTATTTTGTAATACTGCTGTGCCCTATTGTAAGTTCAGTGGCTATTCTGTCTTAATCACATGCTTAAATTGTAAACCACAACACGAATGCTCTAGAGCATAAATATGCTATATAAATACAACAATCCAAAAATTTTCAACACACCTACATCATAAATTATGATTTTGCCTTGGTGCCTAACTCAAAGAAACAAGTAGCTTTTTCCTTTTTCCAGTGGAACAACCCCAAAAACAAACGAGATGAGGTTAGTAATGAATTCAATTACAAGCGAAGAACTGTGATTTTTCCCATCTAAACCTCTTCCCAATGTCACTGTGCACCTAATTATGCTGGAGGTTTAAAAATCTATGAGTAATTCTTGATCACTCACTCTTTCCTTTACAACTCACACTCATCTATCTACAAGTTCTGTTAGGCCCCCACCCCACCCCACCTTTTTTTTAAACAAAAGATACCTCAAATTCAATGACTTCTGACTATCTCTCTTCCCAACTCTTTTGTCTAAGATACCAGCATCTCTCAGCTGAACTACTGCAGTAACTGCTAACTAGTCTAGCTGCCTCTACTCTACTCTTATAATCCAACAGTTCTATTTCTTTTGGTTATCTTTCATGACTTCTTCATACTCTTTTGAATTATTGAGGACCCAAAGAGCTTTTATGTAAGTTACACCTATCAATATTTACTGTGTTAGAAATTAAAACTGAGAGAAATTTAAATCACAAGAATATACATATTCCATTGTCAGAGCAAGGATATCACCACACATCATATAGACTCTGGAAAACTCCACTCTGCCGCCTAAGATAATCAGAATGAAAAAGGCAAATAACATCTTAGTAATATGAAAATAAAAAGTTCGAGTGTGCAGAACCACTGAAAGGGTCTGAGGGATTCTTAGTGTCCCTGGACCACACTTTGAAAACTACAATTATAGTCTTCTCTCCATACAGCAAGCCATAGTGATCCTTTAAAAATATAAAACAGATTAAAACTCACAGGCCTAAAAACTCAAATGTCTTCGAAGATCTTGTAACGTATGGCCCCCAACCTACTTCTCCCAAACTAATCTTCTGGTATATTTTATTCCTACTATCCTCTCCTCTTTACCACTCTATTTTGGTCCTGTTTGCCTCTTATTGTTCCTCAAAACCGCCAACCTAATTTTTACACTTGCAAATGTTTACATTTGCTGATTCCCCTGCTTTGAATGCCTTCCCCCAGATCTTTATATAGCCTGTTCTTTCTCATTACTCGGAGCCCTACTCAAACATCATCTCCTTAGTGAAGACTTCTCTAACCTTCTAATCTAAGAGAACCAGAACTGTCCTTCTCCCTACATCATGCAGATATCATTCTCTATTTTTCTTTACTCAGATTTTTCTTCTTCATAGGACTTGAAACTATTTAAAAACGCATGATGTATTTATTTTCTTGTTTACTGTACATCTTCCCTAGCAGAAGGTAATTTTCATGAGTAAAAAAATTTGTCTCTATTCACTAATGTATTTCTAGTGGCTATAACTGTCTCCAATACATAGATAGTCAATGAATATTCATTGAATGAACCACTGAACCTCTAGAAAATCACCATCATAACGACATTTAAAATTAGAGGCTGGGCGCAGTGGCTCACCTGAGGTCAGGAGTTCAAGACCAGCCTGGCCAACATGGTAAAACCCCGTCTCTACTAAAAATACAAAAAATTAGCTGGGCTTGGTGGCGGGTGCCTGTAAGATCCCAGCTACTCAGGGGACTGAGACAGGAGAATAGCTTGAACCCGGGAGGCGGAGGTTGGGGTGAGCCAAGATTGTGTCACTGCACTCCAGCCTGGGCGATAGAATGAGACTCTGTCTCGGGAAAAAAAAAAAAAAAAAAAAATTAGATGATGATTTCAATGTTTATCATCCTTTCCATTCCTAACATTAATTCTTCCTTAGTTTTGGCAATCTGTCTATAAACCAAACTTAGATCCTAGTTTTAAAAACAGGAAATGAATATATCAAAATTAATGAAAAAAATGATTGTGATTAATATGTAAAAAGTTTCTTATATAACCCATCAATGAGTTAAAAATTCTACTAGTGAAAGTGTTCTTCCTTGGTTAACTACATGTCATTACTAAATGATACAATTACCTTAATTGGAGGGCACTGAGAACGGCAAAAGTCATTGATCTTCTTCTGCAATGGAAGTTTCATCTCAGTCAATACTACACACTGTTGAGAAAACAACAAATTAAAAACTAGAAAATACATAATTATTTTTTGTAGTATACAATAATCAGAAGCATGTCAGTTTGCGTTGTGCTAAAGACACATCGCTAATCTCATTGAAAAGTTATAATCCTACGGAATTCCATTCCAAGGTTAATACCTTCACAAAGTATAGGTAACAGAAGTAAAAATAACATATACAGGGGAAAACCTGCACACATAAAACTTGATAACCATCACACGCTTTATGATTAGAAGCAAACCTTAATATCCTATGCAGTATTTATGGACTCTAAGTGATTAGATTTGTTTCATCTATTACTATCACACAAATATTAACCTAGCTACCAGAGTATTACTTTCATGCTAGCTTAAAAACCTGACAACATTTTTAAGAGACACATTAGTTGGCTACTAGAACATGTCCATCTGTGGATTTAGTTTTTTTAAATCTAGCTTGCAATATGGTTTGCTTCCTGTAGGGAGACATTCCTCCATGGGCCTCTCAGTCTATACAGTCTCACAAGGTATGCCATGAATGCAAGGCCCTTACCGCTCTTTACTTGAGGTCATTTCTCAGAATTGTATTTGCTGTGTAAAAACTTGAGGGATGAGGTAAGGTCTTCCTCAGGGACAAAGAGACGTCTTAGCTTGCTTTAAAACAGCCAGTTCCCCAAGCTCAGTGTTCTTCTCTAAAGCAACCTACTGCATGTGCATTCACTGAGCCCTCTGCCTTGAACTAGAGGGACTTGGGGGACGGGGGCGAGGAAGAAAATGCAATATATGCTCATATTTTTTATTATGCACTGAGTAATAAACTTCTTAGTCTCTGACCCAGGAATCTCATATTTCCTGCATCTGTGAAACAGTAACAGGATAGTTTGCAAATAATAAAAAAATCAAAGACTCGACCCATCACATATTGAATCTGATTTGTGTTTGATCAATGTTAGAAAATTCTCAGCCACAATTTCTTTGAATATTGCTCTTTTCTATTGCTTTCTATCTAGAAATCCAATTTCATAAATTGGACCTTTTCATTCAAGCTCTCATTTATTTTAACTTGTCCATAATATTTTCTCTTATTTCTGTTTTGGGTTTTTTTTTTGAGACACAGTCTCACTCTGTTGCCCAGGCTGGCGTGCAGTGGTGCGATCTGGGCTCACTGCAAAACAACCTCTGCCTCCCAGGTTCAAGCGATTCTCCTGCCTCAGCCTCCCCAGTAGCTGGGATTACAGGCACATGCCACCATGCCCAGCTAATTTTTGTATTTTTAGTAGAGACGGGGTTTCGCCATGCTGGCCAGGCTGGTCTCGAACTCCTGACCTCAGGTTTTCTGCCTGCCTTGACTTCCAAAGTGCTGGGATATTTTCTTTATTTCTATGTGCTATAGCTTTGGTAATTTCCTCAGGTCTATCTTTCAATTCACTAATGTTTATTCCAGCTATATCTATTCACTGTTTAATCTATCCACTGAATTTTAATTTTTAAGACTTCATGTTCATTTCCATAAGTTGTACCTGGTTCTTTATCACATCTGCCTGGTCTTTTTCAATAGTGTCTTATTTGTATATTATATATTTAATCCCTTCTTTTACGATTTACTAGTTTTGAACATCTGTATTTTATAATCTTTCTCAAATAATTCTATTCTCCTAAATTCTTGGAGGTTTAGGCTGGGCACGGTGGCTCACACCTATAATCCCAGCACTTTGGGAGGCCAATGCGGGAGGATCACCTGAGGTCAGAAGTTCGAGACCAGCCTGGCCAACATGGTGAAGCCCCATCTCTACTAAAAATATAAAAATTAGCAGGGCGTGGTGGCACGTGCCTGTGATCCCAGCTACTTGGGAGGCTGAAGTAGGAGAATCACTTGAACCCAGGAGGCAGAGGTTGCAGTGAGCCCAGACTATGCCACTGCACTCCAGCCTGGGAGACAGAGCAAGACTCCATCAGAAAGGAAAGAGAAAGAGGAAAGAGGAAAGAAGAAAGGAAAGGAAAAGAAAGGAAAAGAAGAGAAAGAAAGAAAAATAAATAAAAATTCTTTGAGGTTTAATAGTTTGTTGACTCTTGGTCATATTGAGCTGCTTTTTCCCATCTTGTTATTTTGTACTGTGAACTCAAAGGGACTTTATATACTGGAATACCCTGTAACTTAGTTGAGGGTATATTTCTCTAGATTTGTTTAATTTTGTTTTTGTCTGGCACTTTAGGGTATGGCCATTATGGCCATTATAGTACTACCTTTTTTTTTTTTTTTTTTTTTGAGATGGAGTTTTGTTCTTGTTGCCCAGGCTGGAGTGCAGTGGCTCAATTTTGGCTCACTGCAACTTCCGCCTCCCGGGTTCAAGCGATTCTCCTGCCTCAGCCTCCCGAGTAGCTGGGATTACAGGCATGCACCACCACGCCCGGCTAATTTTTGTATTATTAGTAGAGACAGGGTTTCTCCATGTTGGTCAGGCTGGTCTCGAACTCCTGACCTTAGGTGATCCGCCCACCTCGGCCTCCCAAAGTGCTGGGATTATAGGCGTGAGCCACCGCGCCCAGCCTATAGTACTACTTTTTACATTAAGTTCTCAGTTTAGGAATTTCCAGATCACAAAAGATAATAAAGTTTAATCTCTAAACCTATGTGACAGCACGCCTAATGGTTATGAATTCCCCAGGAAAACCTTTACTTTTCATCCAGAGCTTAAGAGAAAACAAAACAGACAAGATTGGTAAAGATTGTTCTTGTCCACCCTTTCACTGAGGGCATAGCTCTCTGAGGCTCCAGCTTTATGAAGAAGGGGAGGTCTCAATTCAATTTCTCTAGTTTATGTAGTTCTAGGTCTGAATCTTCTGTTTCTATGTGAACATCAATTCCCAAGAACTTTGGTTACTGTGACAGGCAACTCCTGTCGCTAAGAGTACCTACAGATAACAGTTCACTAGTCTTTTAGCTAACTGTTCATTTGTGGCCTCTGAGCATTTTCCTTACATTATTTTGAGCTCGGATAGTCATTTAAAAGAAAGTCTGTTTAGAAATTCTAGGTGCTTTGTAGCAGGATGAATTTTAAGTTATCTACTCCAGAACAGAAGTCTATACCCATTTTTAAATGGATCACAGCATAATTTACTCACAGAAAAAAAAAAAAAAATCAGGGTCAACCTAGTCACTTTTACAATATCCAAGGTCCTGGGAATTTTGTTGTTGTTATTTAAGGAATTGTTACCTATAATAGATTGAACTACTGATCCATGTATTTTTACTCCCCTGTAATTGTACTGCTTGCCCATGGCTTTAGGAAGAGTACTTTTCTGCTTCTTGACTTTAGGCTTGATAACATTGACTTGCTTTGGCCGACAGGATGTTAATGGACACAACAAAAACAGAAGCTTGAAATGTGCATGTGTGGCTGGACTTGACCTTCTGTTTCTCCTACTACCATGAGAACATGACCTAGGTAGCCTCCTGGTCCCAGAAGAGAGACACATGGGGGAGAACCCAAACTCTGGAGTTTAATCCAGGCTGAGTTCAGCCTAGAAACCCCAACTGACATATTCAGGTACACAGGAAAGAAATAAATGCATGTTGCTATAAACCAGAGTTTTGAGTAGTTTTTAATGGATATTACTGAGAAAAAAGCCAACTGATATAACTACTTTGTCAGTAGTTCTTAGGTCCCTTCCTTAAAATGGAGAATTTGAAAGGTTTTATTCTAATATGTCTTCTACCTTGAAATTTTTTTGTTCTGTTTCTCAATACACTAGGTTAAATTAGTTAAACATATTAATATTTAACAATTTTGCCCTGGAACCTGTCAATAACATTTAATACAAAATGGAGTACTAACCTGGTATTTATCTAAAAAGGAGAGATCTGTGGTCTCATTGAAAGGAACAGAAGATGATGTGACATGAACGTATGGATTTAGTTCTGCAATATGTTTAAGTACAGCTTCAGCCCTAAAAAAATAAAATAAATTTTTACTGTTCTTTAATTCAATATACTCAAATCTCTTCAAGTTGGACACTGTAATGACATCAGAGGAACCTGACATGTTACAAAATTTCAATGGAAACTTACCTTGTAGAAGAAAGAAACCAAAACTTACTTGTCTTTACAGGTAACCATACAATCTTGAAATGATATACTATCATATTCTACAATAAACCACACAATCTCAAAGTGTACCCTAATAGTTCCAAGCTCCAGGCTCCTTAACTTTCTTAATAATTTAGCAACACTAAAGTCCTTCTTTAATAAATTCAAGGAAATACATTTCTAGGTAGCAGTGTAATATATATATATCTTTTATATATATAATATATATAAAAGATATATTATATGTAATATATATTATATAATACATATTATGTAAATATATAAAAAATTTGACAAATACAAATAATTAAGTATATATCAATATTTATTTAGCCACAGTAGTAGGAATTTATGGTGATCAATTAAATAACTATGACTGATTGGTGTTCTAGATAAAGGAAATATTCTAAGTAAATGAGTTAAAAAAAAACTCATAATACATAAAAATATCTTTACCTGTATAAAGTAGAGCACTTTATATTTAAACAACTATGACTGATTGGTGTTCTAGATAAAGGAAATATTTTAAGTAAATAAATTTAAAAAAACTCATGATAATACATCAAAATATCTTTACCTGTTTCTCTTATTAACAACATCATCTTCACTGAGAAAGAAGTTGGTTCCTAGATCCCATGCTTGGCATTTTTCTGTATCATGAATTGTAACTGCCTTCAAAAAAGAAAAAAGTATTGGTTGAAGTCAGGAGTTCAAGGATATGCACTCTCTCCAGTATTACTGACAATGTACTAGAACTATTATTTTGTGTAATTAGACAATGAAAAGTAAACAAAGGCATAAGAATTAAAATATGTAAAGATGTTCAACCTTGCCCAGAAATGAAATAACTTTTCTCACTTGTTAGATTGGCATAAATCCACAGTTTGACAACATAGTCTATTGGTGATGGTGAGGTGAATGAGCGACTCTCATTATTACTGATTAACAAGGTAAACTGGCTCAACCTCAACGGAAAGGAATTTGGCAATCTCTAGCAAAAAGACATATGCATTTATCCTGTGATGCAGCAATCCCACTTTTAGGACTCCATCTCAAAGACACACTGGGAGAAATACAAAAAGCTATATATACAAGAGTATTAAATATAGCACACTATTTGTAAGAGCAAAAGACTGGAAATAATCAAAATGCCCACCAATGGGGAACTGGCTTTAAGATGATACATCCGTACAATGTATAATCATGCAACTATTAAAAAAAGAATGAAAGATGTATTTATAAATATGGAGTAATCTCCAGGATATGCTATAAAGAGATAGCAAGGTAAAGAAAAGTAGAGCACTTTATATGAGAAAGGTGGGAGGAGATAAACATATATACCCACACATAAACAGATACACATGTATGTGTGTATGCATTTACCTATCTACAAAAACAAATGAAGAATAAACCAAATATAAAAAGACAGTAACCTAATAAGTGAAGGAGGAAACAAGGTAACAAGAAGCTAGACTTACCTGAAAATACTTTGTTTAAAAAATCTGACTTTGAATCATAAATCTCACATAATAGTAAAACTAAATTTTTTAAAAAGCAATCTCTAAAAATCCAAAGCAAAACAAATACATGGACTAAACTGTTTATGGAGTCTGCTACACACAGAGATTTATTTAAAGTGACTTTTAAAAGCAGTTAATTTGCCTGCCAAATCCAGGTAGGATCAAAAAACTCTAAATTTTTTTCAATAATACATTATTATTAACAATATTGGAATTGGTATTCTGAAACTATGCCATACAAGTAAAATATAATAGGATAAAGAATATATAGCATATATAGGATAAAGCACGTAATGGATCATTAGAAACCAAAATCCTAATAAGATACAAATATAAAATCACAGAAATAAATATCCTATAATCCAAAGTAAAAATTAGAAATTTTAGTAATACTTTATAAGCCTAAACCTGAAAATCAGAAATTTCAGTATTTACTCATTACGAACGTTCTAGCTCTGCCCACTGAAAAGACTTTGTAAACAGCGACAAAGACTACTGGGGGCTGTGTCTCAAAGCCTCAAAAAACAGGAAGAGAACCACAATAACCAAAGATGGAACAATCTGAGCATCAATGAAAATAACTATAATAGATCAAAACACATCAAATTATGTTTAAATCCATGAGTTTATCATAATGTACACATACATATAAATTCACTGGTCAATACTACGAAATGATGACAGGAAACCACTGATTTTGAAAACTGGTAAGTTAATGGGGAAAAATGTAGTATTTATCCTGCATTTTGTAAATGTACAATCCATACTTTCGTGAAACCAAGAAAGTCATGACTGGAATTTTTTTCTAAAATATAATTCCAGCTAATAAATGAGAAAAGAATGATAAAACATCATCACTGCCCCTAATGAAATAATGAATCTAGGCAATAATAATTAACAGCTAATAATAATCACAAAAAGAGAGACAACAGAATATTACTGTCTCCTGATGGGAGAACAGCTATGAAACAGTCTTGCCAAAAAGAATCAAATCTGAACTGGATTCTCTGGCTATAACTACCAGTTTACAGGAAATACACATGTAGAAATACCTGTGACAAATGACTAGTTTCTTCAACAAATAAATTGCAAGAAAAAACCTAGGCAAGGAAGGGAAATCTATAGATTAAAATAAACCAAGTTCAGTATACGAATTTTACTTGGATCCTGATTAGAATGATACAAGCTTTCAATAAAATGTCTTAAGACATTTGGGAAAATTTGAACTCTAACTAGACATTTGATGACTGTGGTAGACAGGCTTTTAAGATGGCCACAATGTTTCCTGCTTCATAGTATTTAGGCTTTCGTGTGATCTCCCACCTTGAGTGTGGCCTGGACCCACTTCTGAGATTAGGTTACAAAAGACTGACTTGTCTTGTTAACACACTCTCTTCTCCTGTCTTACTTGTTTACTCTGATGAAGCAAACTGCCACACTGTGAACTGCCCTATGGAGAAAGCCATACAAGCAAGGAATTGAGGGTGACCTTTGGTCAAGAGCCAGCAGGAACTGAGGTCCTCAGTTTAACAATACATGAAGAACTAAATCCTACCAAGAACCACATGAGCCAGCTTGGGAAGCAGATCCTTCCCCAGTCTAGCCTCAAGATGACTGCAGGCCCTGCTAATACCTTGACTGCAGCCTTGTAAGAGACTCCCAGAGAAACCCCAACCAGAGTCATGCCCGAATCCTGACTCACAGAAACTATGAGACAACAAATGTTGCTTAAGCTACAAATTTTGGGGTAAACTGTTTTATAGCAACATGTAAACTAATACAATGGTATTAAGAGCTTGTTACATTTTAGGTGTGAAAATTATATTGCTGCTTCAAAAGATATTCTTATCTTTTAAAGATACTACTAAAATATTTAAGGATGATATAATACAATGTCTGAAATTTACATCAAAATAATTTGGCAGTTGGGGGCAATAAGGAATGGGAAGAAGATATATGAAACAAATGTCCCCAAGAGTTGGTAACTGATGCTTTCTGATGGGTATGTGGGGTTTTGTTACACAATTCTTTCTTTGTATATTTTTTAAATTTCCATGATTTTTTTTAAAAAGTAGAGCATTAAAGACAATAATTAAAACAAAGTATAAACAATATTACCATAACAAATGAGCCAAAAAAAAAGGCTCATAACAATTTTTCTTACAGAGGACATTTACTTACCTTAATCCCTGCAAGAACAAGATTCTTTGCTAGAAAGGCAAAAGAAAAAGGAATAGCTCAATATTGGGAATACACACTAGATATGTCTTCACAGAGCTTAGTCACATATCTGACTGCATACTTTTAACTTCTTTTTTTACTACTTAATACAAGTTCCTTGTCTTAAAAAAGTTACAAAATACAGGTTAAAAGTGAAAAAATTAAAATGTGCATAATCACAACACCCAGAGATAATCACTCCTAAAATTTCAACGTATTCTTCCAGATATGTTTTTATGAATACAGTATATGTATGTGTGCTTATAATGAATTAATGGATATAGAGAATGATAATTAATGGCTATTAACATCACAAAAAGAAGCAATGAGTCATTATTGGTTCTTTGTGGAAGAATATAACATCACGAAATAGTCTTGACAAAGATTAAAAACTCAATCTGATCAACATTTTGGATCTAACTTCCTTTATAGGAAATATAAGGGGATGAAGTTAAGTTATTTAAACTATCTTCATTGCTCAAAAGTGTCAAAAATTAGGAATATAAATATTGCTTACCAATTTCCAAACCAAGACCACCCATCCCACTTAAGAAAACATGGGACTTGGCCATCTTCTGCATTGCTGTGTCTCCAAGAACGTACCTCTGTCGACTACACGGAAAACACAATAAAAAACAAAAAATTATTTCACTGAAATTATAATATCTCTTAAAGTTGTTTGCAAACTAAAAGCCTAGGAACTCAATCCGGCCCACAGACTTGTTATGAATGATTTGCACAGTGTTTAAACATTTCTGAATTAAATGCCAAATATATGACATATTTTGAAAAATCAGATAATTTGGCACCACAATCCATATTCCCTCAAGGCAATAGACAGATGGAGGTGAGTAAGAGTTGCCCTGTTTAGGCAGGAGGATTATGTGCTCCAGATTTGCCACAATCAATTCCTTCCTGTTCCTCTCATTTATTACCTCAGTGGCCACTATAAGCATTTGAGTTTGCCATTTCCACCTTAAAACTTTCACTATCAACAGGATTTCTGAGGCAACAACAACAAAAAAAATTTGGTTCTCTTCTTGGAGTTCAGATGTTATATAAAGGACCTTGTTAAGTTATGCATCCTAATAGCCACAAGGTAGTAACAGGATGGGAATTTCAAAAAATATACGTTAGTAATTTAAAAGTCTGATATAGTAATAAAGTCAATTGTAAGTGTTTATCTGAAAGAACAATGAGAAACTTGATGCTATCTTTGGAGATAATATAAATTCCAATGAATTCTTATGAGAAACATTTTAAAGATTAGTTCGATATAAATAAATAATTTCAGAACCCCTTGGGTTATAAGTATTTACTTTCAGAATTAACACATACATGTTTAATGCACATTTGTTTTAAAAATAAATATTTAATTTCCATTATTTCAGCTTTTCATATTCAACATAAAAGCCTGAAAAGGGATTTCTTATCTAGAGAGACAAAACTTTATAAACACAAGCTATCTTTATTTCCTTCCCTGTTTCATACAAAATATAATAAAACCTAAACTTTTCTTTTTAAATTGGTACTCAAGACTTTTGTTTTAGAAAGTAAAAACTATCCATTTACACATCAAATATTTATTGAAAATCTACTATAGTATGTACGAAAGTTCTTATATAGTCTTACCACCCTTATGCGTACCCAGAAATAATATACTTAGGTTTTACCTGATTTTAGACTTTGTATAGATGGAATCACTTTGAGTGTCTTTTATCTTGTTTCTTTTGAATGAAATTATTTATGAGATGGACTTATACTGATGTCTGCAACTGGTCATTAATATTCATTTATATTGTATTCTGACCATTCTTATAAACATCTCCTGGTACACACTTAAGAGTTGTTTCTCTGATACAAGCTTGTCCAACCCACGGTCCACAGGCTGCATGCGGCCCAGGACAGCTTTGAATGCGGCCCAATACAAATTCGTAAACTTTCTTAAAACATTATGAGATTTTTTTGCAATTTTTTTTTTTTTTTAGTTCATCAGCTATCATTACTGTTAGTGGATTCTATGTGTGGTCCAAGACAATTATTCTTCTTCCAATGTGGCCCAGGGAAGCAAAAAGATTGGACACCCCTGCTCTAATGTATATCCCCAGAGAGGAAATGCAGGATTTAAGAATATGTATACTTCAACTTCATTAGACAGTGCCAAACTGTTTTCCAAAATGGACGTACCAGGACAGTTGTGGTGGCTCACGCCTATAATCCCAGCACTTTGGGAGGCCTACATGGGTGGATTACTTGAGCTCAGGAGTTCAAGACCAGCCTGGGCAACACAGCAAAACCCCATCTCTATAAAAACTACAAAAATTAGCAGGATGAGGTGGTGGGTGCCTGCAGTTAAGTCCCAGCTACTCGGATGGCTGAGGCAGGAGAATTGCTTGAGCCAGGAGGTGGAGGTTGCAGTGAGCCAAGATCATGCCACTGCACTCCAGCTTGGGCGACGGGAATGAAATCCTGTTTCAAACAAAACAAAACAACCCCCTGCCCCCAGCCCAAAATCAAAGTGGATGCAGCAAGTTACCCTTCTTTTGGCAGTGTATCAAAGTCTCTGCAATTTCACAACCTGGCTGTGCAGGCTTGGTCTTTAGAAGGGCATGCTTACAGGGCTGGCCCTTGGTTGGCACTTGTAAACTTGGCTCTTGAAATATTTCCTACACTAATAAATCTAATTTTCTTTTTTTTCTAGTTACCTGAAATAAAACCCATTAATATTTAGATTTTAGTTTCTCAACTACTAATGTAAAATGTAACATTAAGAGCATCTCAAGTTTTGATAAGAGCACTTCATTATTTTCCCATTTTAATTATGATTCTTTTTTTATGTGTTAATCCAAAGTATATTTTGAAATTTCTAATTTTATGGGACATTTTTAAGTTATCGTTTGTATTAATTTCCCGCTTAAATGCAATGTGAATAGATATCACAATCTGTGTAACTCTTTAATATTTGAGAATTTCTTTGGTCAATTTTACAGTTGCATGTGTTCCTGAAAAGAATGTGGATTCTACAGCTGTTAAAGACACAAGATATGCATTAGGTTAATTTTAATAATCATGTTGATGAAATCTATACCTGTTTGGGTTTTTTGTCTGCTTGTTTTCTTGATTACTAAAAGCAACATTTCAAAAATCTTCCACTACAACCATAAATTTGTCTACTGTCTTTGTATCTCAGTACCTGAACTGTGCCTGGCATGTAATAATAACTGAGTTTTTACTATGCACCACATGTTGTTTTAAGTGTTTTACTTGTATTAACTCATTTATTCCTCACAAAAATACTATGAGATAATTTCTATTATTATTCTCATTTTTACAGATAGGAATACATAAGCACCTAGAATTAAGTAAGTAGTGGAGGTTAAGAGTCAATCCAGGCAGTCTAGCCTTAGCATCCATACTCTTAACTATTATGCCACAATGCATACAGATTAAGAAAGCCAAATCATTCCTCAAGGTTTATGAGAGAGAGAAAAAAACAACCATCAGTTCCCTGACCTAATTCTTTCCTACCCTGATTCCCACTCCCCAAAGATAACTAGTCTCAATTTTTTAGTCATTTCTCTTAATATTTACTCCCATATTTCTAAATAACACGTGTATACTTTTATTTCTTGATTTTTTGAGTTTTATATATTACCTATTAACTTCCTACTAAGAAAGATAAATGATCTTTCTGAAACAGATCTAGTCAAACCATTTTCTTGCTTAAAAAACCCCAGTGGTTTTCTATTTCCTTTACAATAAAGTCTAAATTCTTTAGTCACAAGGCATTCATGAACTAGTCCCTGCTTAGTTCTCTAGTGTCATCTTTTGCCTCAGGATGAATCATACCCAATTTAGATGAGACTGGACTTTTTTGAGTTGATGTTTGAACAAGTTCAGATTTTTTTTACTACTGGGAGGTAATAAAAGTATTTTGCATTATGAGGACAAAAATTTGGGGGGCCAGGAGCAAATGCTACACTTTGAATGTGTTTCCCGGAGTTTGTGTGTTGGAAACTTAAACCCCGTTACGTAGGACCTAATGGGAGGTGTTGCCTAGTGGGAGGTGTTTAGGTCATGAGGGCTCTACCCTCGTGAATTGATTAATACCATTATTGTAGGAGTGGTTTCATTATTGTGGGAGTGGGTTATATCTAAAAGTAGGTTCAGCCCCCTATTGCCCTCTCTTACTCTTGCCCTTCTGCCTTCCACCATGGGACGATGCAGTAATAAGCCCCTCACCAGATATGACCCCTTGATCTTACACTTCCTAGCCTCCATAACTGTGAGCCAAATAAATTTCTGTTTAGTCACCAAAGGGAAAGGTACTAATTAAGTGCCTTCTTTGTACCAAGTAATATGTCAGGTACTTTGCAGTTAAATGACACTTAAATGCTGTGAAGTTCATAATGTTAACAGGTAGTAAAGATGGGATTAAAGAGCTGAGAGTATAACTGCAAGTCCAGCATTGTTACATTACAGCTGACTCATACTAAGTGACCATATAGCAGTGAATGTAGCAGAAATCCCTATCGATTAAAAATTCACCCTTTTATGAAAGAACAACATCTCCCTATAGTTTTTACCCACTAGTCTTAGTTTTATTCCCTTGGGGCCATAGAGAACTTGTCTAAATCCTTCTTTGATGTAACACCCCTCCAAACATTTGAAGATGGCATTCAGGTTCTAGAGTTTTCTTTCTCTAAGCTAAACATCTCCAGTTCCTTAAACAATTCCAAGCATAACATCATTTTGAGTCCCCCTCAACATTAATCACTTTCTTCTGGACACACTTCATTATCTTCATCATGCACGCATATATTTATTAACATACCGATTTCAAGCCAGTCACTCGCTTGGGGTTCACTGTGCAGAGATCATAATAACAACAACTTCGTATGGCTGCTACGAGGATTACATATTAAATAAAATATGTAAACTACTAGAATCCCTGTGACATGGTACTGGGAGAGACAGATAGACAAAAGATGAGTGGTTGCCTGAAGAAATGAAAGTTGGAGTGAGAAGAAAAGAATTATAAACGGGCATAAATAAAATGTTTGGGTGTAGTAGGGTGCGATGGCTCACACCTGTAATCCCAGCAATTTGGGAGGCTGAAGCGGGAGGATCACTTGAGACCAGGAGTTTGAGACCAGCCTGGGCAATACGGTGAGACACCCACCTCTACATAAAAATGTGAAAATTAGCCAGGTGTGGTGGCACACACCTGTGGTCCTACCTTCTCAGGAGGCTGAGGTGGGAGGATTGCTTGAGCCTAACAGTTTGAGGTTACAGAGAGCTATGATCACGCCACTGCCCCCAAGCCTGGGCAACAGCAAGATCCTGTCTCTAAAAAAAAAAAAAAAAAAAAAAAAAAAAAAAAAAAAAATCAAAAACAACCTACCGTTTTTACATAAAATCTTTAAGACTATGTTTTTTTTTTTTTTTTTTTGAGACAGAGTCTCACTTTGTCGCCCAGGCTGGACTGCAGTGGTGCGATCTTGGCTCCCTGCAACCTCTGCCTCCCGGGTTCAAGTGATTCTCCTGTCTCAGCCTCCCGAGTAGCTGGGATTACAGGTGCGTGCCACCATGCCTGGCTAATTTTTGTATTTTTAGTAGAGAGGGGGTTTCACCATGTTGGTCAGGCTGGTCTCAAACTCCTGACCTTGTCATCCGCCTGCCTCAGCCTCCCAAAGTGCTGGGATTACAGGCGTCAGCCACTGCACCCGACCAATATTATCCTTAAGATATAAAATATTATTATTCCTATTTACACATGAGAAACTGTGTAAAAGAAAGATTAAGCAACTAGCTCCAGTTCATATAAAAGTCAGGATTGGGATATGAACTCTTACATCTGTCTCCAAAGGCCATGTTAATTCTACTGTACCAATGTTTCTCTAACAAGTAGATATTTGCTGAACATCTACTCATTTTACATTTAAAGTATGTAGTTGTATGCAGTTAAAAATGAAGGTCTTGAACTTGGAAGGAAAAATCTGAAGAGAGACTCAAATATCACTAACATAAAGAGATACCTAAAATCATGGGAATAAATGATGTGAACTAGAATATGAACTAAGAAAAATCCTCATAATTTAGCTCCCAGTCATAAGTTAGAATATGTGGTATTTGGTTTTCTGTTCCTACATTAGTTTGCTAAGGATAATCGCTTCCAGCTCCAACCACGTCCCTGCAAAGGACATGATCTCATTCTTTTAAATAATCAGTACCACAAACCCACATGACGCAAGTTTACATATGTAGCAACCCTGCATTTGTACCCCTGAATTTAACAGTTAAAAAAGAAAAAGAAAAATCCTAAAGTTGGAACCTGGCATTTATGATGCAGGAAAAAAGAATTTAAGAAAAATATCTGAGAAAGAAGAGTCATAGTAGTAAAAGCAAATTCAAAAAGACTGGTATTCCGGAAGCTAGAGGAAAGCGTTTCCTCTAGGATTACACTGGAATAAAAGGTTTAGATGCTTAAAGTAGTATTACATCTAAAGACCTAGGAATGTCCTGATTCTGCTTTGATATTAACCCTTTCTTCATATAGTGATCTCTACAAAGGAAATTATATGCAAGGAAGAACAGAATAGATAAAAATACCATGTTATTATCATCTGAATCAGCCTTAATCACATTCAATGGAGGGTACTTTCATAAAAGCAGCTAGAAAACCAAGCCTGGAGTCCTAAATTGGGACTCATTCATTTCTTCAGATACATCTTGTGATCAGCAGACTCACGCACATCTTCAGAGAAAAAGAAAGAAATGGCCAGAGAATAGGCTCAAGTCTAATTCACCTAACAATAAAGACCAAAAATAGAGAGAACTCAGAATACCATCAGAGGTAGTAAAAAAATAAAACCCCTCTGAGAGAGACAGAATGCAGAATACTATCAGAGGCAGTCCAAAATAAAACCCCTTTGAGAGAGAGAACTCAGAATACCATCAGAGTCAGTCCAAAATAAAACCCCTCTGAGATTCTAAGAAAAAGTTTAGAATCTGTTGATCAGTAAACTATGAGGTGGCTTAAGATTCAGTAGTAATAAGAAAAATAAAATTTTTCTCCAGAAAGATGCTTTGTTCAACTGGGTACTAAAATTGCTCTAAAAGATATTTCCTAGTTAAATATATATGTACAAATATTAAAAACATCTTAGTTGATATTTAAGATTTGTAGATTTTTTGAAAGGTTTCGTTTTATAGGGAAATCTAATTGTTTAGAAGGAAAATTATAACCTAAGATGCAGTTATTTATGCCTGTAAAAAACCTGTGTATCTAGTAAATACTAACTAAATTTCAATAATAGCATCCAGGAAAACAAAAACAATACTGGATATTTACTAGATTTCAATTACACAGAGTTCCTGACTTATGATGGTCTAACGTACTGATTTTTCAACTCTACAATGGTGCAGAAGTGACACACCTTCAGTAGAAACCATACTTTGGGTACCCATACAACCGTTCTGATTTTTACTTTCAGTACAGTATTCTCAATAAATTCTATGAGATATTCAACACTTTATTATAAAATAGTCTTTGTGTTAGATGATTTTGCCTAACTATAGGCTAATGTAAGTGTTCCAAGAATATCTAAGATACGCTAGGCTAAGATGTAATGTTCAGGTTAGGTGTACTATATGCATTTTCAACTTAATAATATTTTCAACTTATGGGTTTATCAGGACATAACTCCATTTTAAATCAAGAAGCATCTGTATAGTATACAAGTATCTAGGAGGAAATAAACAACATTTGAAGTATCAACCTTACATATCTCAACATATAAGATGCCAGAAAGTTACACTCTTTAATTTTCAGGAAAAATGAATTTACATGTATCTGGGCTGTTATAAAGACACTCATTTGCTCAAAATGCCCCAAATGCCCCAATTCCTGAGAAAAGAGAAATGTTTGTTTCTCTATCTAACTTTTTTGGCTGTCAGAATTTTCCAGATATAAAGGATGGTCTTATTGTAGCAGCTTCATGTCAGAATTCAGAAGTCAGGGAATGTGGTACCTGGCCAGTAATACTGGTTTTTGCTTAAGGATGGAATGTGTAAGTGCCTTCTTAGTATCATCACTTCTTCTATTGTTAGTACCATCTGCACCTTTTTCAGACTTTTTTGTCATATCCTTAGTTTTGGTTCCTGCCAACTACTTAGGCAACGTACCTAGTCTTAGGTTCCAGACTACAAGCCAATCTGAACCCACTGTCTTCCCTAATCATTCAATAATCATTTAATGAGTATCTTCTAAGACTCAGACACTGTCACAGTCTACGACTTAGAAAAGCTCATGGTCTGACAGAGTTGACATACATGTGAACAAATACTATGTGATAATGTGCTTATTTAATAGCAATAAAAATAAGATGCTTTAGGGCTAAGCAGAAAGGAGGAGAAGTAACTCAGGCAAGATATCACAGAGCAGACATAGGAGTGAGTTCTTAAAGGATCACTGGAAGGTATTTTTGAGGCACAAAAGAGCATTACAGGAACAGACAGTTGAGGTAAAAAGGTATAAACTGCAATTACCTATCTTATCTTTGATAAAAAAGTAGTCTAGTATGGCCAGTGTATTCAGAGGAAAAGGTGGTTGGGGCCTTCAATAAATGGTGCTGGGAAAACTAGATTTCCAAATGCAAAAGAATGAAACTGGACCCTTATACCATACAAAATAATCAAATCAAAATGAATCAAAGACTTAAATGTAAGATCTGCAACTATAAAACTCCCAGAAGAAAACAGGAAAGAGGCCTCATAACACTGGTGTTGGCACAGATTTCCTGGATAACACCAAAGGCACACACAACAAAAGCAAAAATTGTCAAGTGGGACTATATGAAACTAAAAACCAGTAAAGGAAACAGTCAACAAAATCAAAAGACAACCTACAGAATGAGAGAAAGTATTTATAAACCATGTATGTGATAAGGGGTTAATAATATCCAAAGGAATGCCTATAACTCAATACCAAAAAACCCCTGAACTGACCCAATTTTTAAAAATGGACAAAGAGTTTGAATAGATCTTTCTCCAAAAACATGCACATAGCCAACAAGTATATGAAAAGGTGCTCAACATTCACTAATCATCAAATACAAACCAAAACCACAATGAGAGATCACCTCACACCTGTATGGATGACCATTATAAAACAAAACAAAACAAAACAAAACATAACAAGTATTGGCAACAATGTGGAGAAATTGGAACTTTTGTGCACTGTTGGAAATGTAGAATGGTGCAGCTGCCATGGAAAACAGTATGAAGCTTCCTCAAAAATTAAAAAATAGAATTACCACATAATCCAGCAATTCCATTTTGGGTTATTTCTCCAAAAGAATTAGAAACAAGATCTTGAAGAAATATTTGCTACACAGATCTGCTATATGACAATGTACACAGAGTTAAAAATATAGTTGTCCCGTGAACAACATGGGTTTCAAACACACAGGTCCATTTATATGCAGATTTTTTTCAATAAATATACTGAAAATTTTTTTGGACATTTGTGACAACTTGAAAAAAACTCACGGATGAACTTTGTAGCCTAGAAATACCCAAAAATTAAGAAAATGTCATGAATGCATGAAATCTATGTACATATTAGTCTATTTTATCATTTACTACCATAAAATATACACAAATTATAAAAAGTTAAAATTTATCAAAACTATGCGTACACTTACAGACCATAGATGTCGCCATTTGCAGTTAAGAGGAATGTAAACAGATGTAAAGATGCAGTATTCAGTCATAAGTGCATAAAAGTCACTGTAGTACATACTGCACTACTGTAATAATTTTGTAGCTACTTCCAGTTGCTATTGTGGTGAGCTTAAGTGATGTATCTGGTTAAAGCACATGTGACTCTATTCATCTTTGCCTGAGCAGTTCCTCTCTCCAGTAAATTGAATATTGCAGGAAAAAGTGATGTCTTGAGATTCTTGCATATTTTTTCATCATGTTTAATGTGCAATACTGTAAACCTTGAATGACATCATGGGACCCATACAAAGTGCCACCAGTAATGTTGCAAGTGCTCCCAAGAAGCTGAGAAAAGTCATGACATTACAATAAAAAGTTGAATTGCTTGATTATGTACTGTAGACTGAGGTCTGCAGCTATGGTTGCCTGACATTTCAAGATAAAATGAATCCAGTGGAAGGACCATTGTAAAAAAAAAAAAGAAAAGCCATCATTGTAACTACACCAGCAAGTATGAAAACCTTACACTTTTTGTGAAAGATTTTTTTATCTTATATTGAAAATGCAGCACTGATATGGGTGCAGGATTGCTGAAAGAAAGTCATAGACTCTAACATGATTTGAGAAAAAGCGAAGTCATTATAAGACCACTTAAAGCAAAAAGAAGGTAAAGGATATAAAGCTGTAGAATTCTTTTTTTTCCATAGGTTACTGGGGTACACAGGTGGTGTTTGGTTACTTAAGTTCTTTAGTGGTGATTTGTGCGATTTTGGTGCACCCATCACCCAAGCAGTAAAGCTGTAGAATTTAATGCCAGCAAAGGATAGTTTGATAACTTTAGAAAGAGGTTTGTCTTAAAAAAAAGTCAGACACAACATGAGAAGCAGCTTCTGCCGATCAAGAGGCAGCAATGAGTTTCTAGACGCCATAAGGAAAATCACTGAAGAGAAAGGATATCTACCTGAATAGGTTTTTAATGTAGAAGAAAGTGCTCTATTTTGAAAAAAATTGCCACAAAGGACATTTATTAGTAAGGAAGAGAAGCAAGCACCAGGATTTAAGGCAGAAATGGATAGTTAACTCTACTGTTTTCTGCAAATGCTTTCAGGTTTATGATCAGGACTGCCCTTACATATAAAGCTGCTAACCCCTGAGCATTGGAGGGAAAAGATAAACACCAGCGGCCAGTCCTCCGGCTACATAACAAGCAGGCCTGGACAAGAACCCTTTTTCTGGATTGGTTCCATTGATGCTTTGATTCTGAGGTCAGGAAGTACCTTGCCAGCAAGAACTTTTAAAGTTCTTTTGCTATTGGACAATACACCTGGCCACCCAGAACCCCAAAGTTCAACAATGAAGGTGCTGAAGTGGTTTACTTGCTTCAAAACACAACATCTCAAATTCAGCTTCTAGATCAGGGCATCATAAAGGACCTTTAAGGCTCATTACACAAGGTACTCTATAGAAAGGATTGTCAATGCTATGGAAGAGAACCCCAAGAAAGAGAACATCATTAAAGTCTGGAAGATTATACCATTGAAGATGCTATCGTTGTTACTGACATCAGACAATCTGGCAGAAGGGTTCCGACGATTCAAGATTGCATTGATTTCTTTAATGACATGGACCCTTCTACAACAGGGGCACCAAAAAGAAACTAAAGAAAATGACAGGAGGATCAGTATTGTATAGAAACATTTTTCCAGAAATGAGAAAGCAAAAAAAGTCACATAGTAGTTACATATTTCCATAGTTACACTGTGTGTGCCTGCCTCTCTTTCCCTACCCTTCTGCCTCCACCTCTTTTGATTCTGCCACCCCTAAGACAACAAAACCAACTCCTCCCCTTCCTCCTCCTCAGCCTACTCAACATGAAGACAACAAAGATGAAGACCTTTATGATAATCCAGTTCCATCTAATGAACAATAAATATATTTTCTCTTTCTTACATGATTTTCTTAACATTTTATTTTCTCTAGCTTACTTTATTCTAAGAATACTGTGTATATATATATATACAGTATATAATACATATAATATTAAAAATGTGTGTTAATTGATTATTTACATTATCAGTAAAATTTCCAGTCAATAGTAAGGCTATTAGCATTTAAGCTTTGGGAGAGTCAAAAGTCATATGTGGATTTTCGACTGCACAAGAGGTAGGGTGGTAGGGGAGTTGGCACTCCTAACTCCTTCATTGTTCAAGTGTCAACTATACTATACTACACACTTAAAAACTTGTTAGTAGGGTAGAGTTCATGTTATGTGTTTTTACTACAATAATAACTTTTTAGAAGGTAAGTTGGAGTTATGTTCAAAATAACTCGGTAAGCTATAGTATTTGGACTTGTACTATGAGACAAAATGGTCGGAACTGTGGCTGTGTGAAAGAGAACGGAGAGAAAAGAGAACTTCTGGAATTTATCTTTATCTTACCCTACCTTCATCAAGCTTACTGATGAAATCTATCTCCCTGAGATATTAAGAGGCTAAGGATCCTCATTTCATGCCTTGTCCCTAAAATAAATCATTGTCCAAAGTCCTAGGTCTTATACTAGTCCCCATAAGCAACAGATACAGATTTTTAAAAAGAGAAAATACAGCTGGGCACGGTGGCTCGCGCCTGTAATCCCAGCACTTTGGGAAGCCAAGGTGGGCAGATCATGAGGTCAAGAGACTGAGATCATCCTGGCCAACATGGTGAAACCCCGCCTCTACTAAAAAAAATACAAAAATTAGCTGGGTGTGGTGGTGCATGCCTGTAGTCCCAGCTACTCAGGAGGCTGAGGCAGGAGAATTGCTTGAACCCAAGAGGCGGAGGTTGCCATGAGCCGAGATCGCGCCACTGCACTCCAGCCTGGATGACAGAGCAAGACTCCATCTCAAAAAAAAAAAAAAAAAAAAAAAAAAAAAGAAAAAATACAAAACTACCAAATCTTCAGATTCAGTCACTATAAAAAAAAAAACCCTCAAACATTTAAGTTAATTTTTAAAATCTAAGAAAATAAGAGCTGGTTATTGTGTGAAAATCTCACATTTTGGCATTTTGGTCTTTGTATTTCTTTTTTTTTTTTTCTTGACATGGAGTTTTGCTCTGTAGCCCAGGCTGGAACACAGTGGTGCCATCTCAGCTCACTGCAAGCTCTGCCTCCCCGGTTCATGCCATTCTCCTGCCTCAGCCTCCCGACTAGCTGGGATTACAGGCGCCCGCCACCGCCACCACACCCGGCTAATTTTTTGTATTTTTAGTAGAGACGGGGTTTCACTGTGTTAGCCAGGATGGTCTCGATCTCCTGACCTCGTGATCCACCCGCCTCGGCCTCCCAAAGTGCTGGGATTACAGGCATGAGCCACTGTGCCTGGCCACATCTTTGTATTTCTACTAAGAAAACCTATATGTAGTCAGTAACTCTTTTAGTATTCCCTAATAATTCACTCTTTTAGTACCCACATAAATTTCTGGCTTCCTGCCCTCACTATGACAAATTCTTAAGGAAGATATTAAAACTCAAATATGCACATTGGTAAACAACTAGATGTTTGCAATAAGACACGCATACCAAGTGCTAACAGCTACACCAAAAGATACTCTCCGTCAAACAAAAGAAAATGGCTTACCTCTAATAATAACAGCTAAACTGCTATATTCTATAACTCTCAGTAAAGCAAACTGCAGCCTACTTACGTAGCATTGTAAATGGAAAGTTTAGTCACTGGCCTACTGAAAATTATGTTTATCAGCATTATAGGGTTGGAGGGACATTAAAAAAGTTTCACAAGGATTAAACTAAAAAATGAATAAAATTAGTCAATACTATCTCAAAGAGGTGCCATTTGTTAAACCAAGAAAAACATGACCAAAAGGACATTAAGAATATAATTATAGATTAAGAATCCCAACGTAAGAGTCCCACTCTCCCTTTTTGCTTATTATCTTCAAGCCACACTGACCTGCTTGCTGTTTTGCAAGAAGGCAAGCTTGCTCTCATTTCAGAGATTTTACACTATTTCTTCTGCTTAGAATGTTCTTTCTTAAAAATCTTGAAATAGTTGACTTCTTATCACTTAAGCCTCTATTAAAATATTGTATTACAAATATCACACACATCATTTCTGATCACCCTATCAATAAAATGGCTACTCTTATCCTTAGGTCACTGCCTAACTCATTAACCTGTCATAGTTTCTTCAAATCACTTACCATTAACTGTTTGTCTGCCACTCCTATCAAAAAAATGTATGGTCTTAAAAACTCACTACTGTAATCCAAATACCTAAAACAGTACCAGGCATTTAATAATAATAGATAACCCTGTGCTACACACTGTTTTAAGTGCTTTAAATGTACTAATTCAGTTAACCCTTATACAACAACTTAAGGTGACTTCTAAACCATATTTTATAATCAAGAAATCATCTTTAAAATAATTTTCACATGAGCAAGATTGTTAGTCTTCTATCTCTTTTCCCAAGCATAGAGTACAAAACAGGATTTGGACTCAACATGCCAGATGGTATGTATTAGCTCCTAATAAAGTGCCCATTATTGACTCTGCATCTTTTTCTTTACTTTAAAAAGTATTCAAATTTCATGAAAAAGTATAGTTTAAAAAGTCTCATCAAATTTCATTCAAATCACAACTATTCAATCATACAATACTTTAATTACTAAAAAAGTATTCCAATTTCCTGAAAAAGCATAGTTTTAAAAGTCCCATCAAATTCCATTCAAATTACAACTCTTCAATCACACAGTATTTCTCCACTGTCTATAAATTACAGAACAGGAAATATTTTAATGAGATTACAATGAAGTAATATTCTCTAGATGTTATTGTATGACTAAAGTGAAATATTATTCTTCATCAACTCCTGCACTATCAAGAACTTAAATACGTATTATTGTCCAAAAATGAAAGGGTTATTTTGCAAGGGCAGCAAAATCCTTCTTAGTCCTATCACCTAAACCTAAAACAACTGAGATTTAAATATTATCCGAATGTAGATAAAAAAAATCACAGAAACCCTAATTTTAACTTGAGAGGAACTCTTTATATATATGTGTGTATATATACACACACATATACATATATACACACATATATATACACATATACACATATATATACATATACATATATACACATATATACACACACATATATATACACACATACATATATACATACACACACACACACACACACACACATATAATTCTGCATAGGCTGAATGGTATCTTCAAAGAGACTACTTGATTATTTGAGAACAATTAATGGGGAAAATAAGTTTCAGTTTCTATGAGATTCTTACCTATACAATGCATCATCGATTTCCACAGATGCTGTTGACATAATGGGCAAATTTTTATTTGTGCTGGAAAAAAAAACATGGTTATTAAATATTCACATTTTATAATGTAATATTTGATTACTTGTGTGATCAGATTCACCAGTTACTAAAGGTTTTCACAAACCAAACATATATTTTATTAACAACCACTTTACTTATATTTTTTAAATGGCCTGAAATTAAATTATCGGATTGCTTGTTCTATCCTGTGTAAATTTTAAGATTACAGAGCTCATCATCTTTTATTCTCAGATCTCAGGTGTTGTTTTATCACTGGTACATAAATACATATATATATATTTTGTTGTTGTTGTTGTTTGTTTGTTTGTTTTCTTTTTTGAGATGGGAGTCTCACTCTGTTACCGAGACTGGAGTGCAGAGGCACGATCTTGGCTTACTGCAACGTCCACCTCCTGGTTTCAGACGATTTTCATGCCTCAGCCTCCCAAGTGGCTGGGACTACAAGTGCACACCACCACATCCAATTAATTTTGTAATTTTAGTAGAGATGGGGTTTTACCATGTTGGCCAGGCTGGTCTTGAACTACTGACCTCAAGAGATCCACCCGCCTCAGCGTCCCAAAGTGCTAGGATTACAGGCGTGGGCCACTGTGCCCGCCTGTTTGGTACATATATTCTAATGGATCTGTATTTCAGCAATTCTGTACCATGAACTTTCTCTATATATACAGTCTTCCCAGATAAACTCATTCAATCCTATTGATGAATATATATTGATTATATTGAAACTTATTTCTCCACGTGTGATCTTTCCTCTGACCTCCAGATTGTATACAACTGCCAAAACAATAACTATTCTGATGTCTTAACTGGTATCACAAACATAACAAACTCCAAAGAGAATTCAATTACCCCTGCTTAATCTATTCTTCCTGTCTTTCCTAACTCATTTTCCGCTACCATCATTTACTGGGTTGGGCCTGAAATCTAGGGATCTTCTTGCTTAAATCATTCCCCAGTTTTCTCCATCTGAGACCTGTTAGCTCTACCTTCATAAGATATCTCAAACCTGATCATTTCTTACTATTTCAATCAGTACAATCTCAAGCCAAACCATCATCACATTTCACCTGGGCTATTTCAAAGACCTAGCTAGTCTCCTTATTTCCAGTATTGCCCTTCCCCTTTATTCTCCATAAAACAGTCTAAATATCTTAAAATGCAGTCAGAAATTATTCCCTGAATTTGGACTACCCTTCAGTGGATTTCCTTTACTCTTAAAACAAAATTCAAACACCTCACTATGCTTGAGAGGGCCAATGTGTCCTGTCTCCCAATTATCTCTCCAATTTCAACTCCCACCAGTCTCCGTTTTCGCTTACTATCTTCAAGCCACACTGACTTGTTTGCTGTTTCGCAAGAAGGCAAGCTTGCTCTCATTTCAGAGTTTTTACCTATTTCTTCTGCTTAGAATGTTCTTTCTTAAAATCTCGGAATAGCTGACTTCTTGTCACTTAAGCCTCTATTAAAATATTGTGTCACAAATACCACACACCTCATTCCTGATCACCCTATCAATAAAATGGCTACTCTTATCCTTAGGTTGCTGCCTAACTCATTAACCTGTCAGTTTCTTCAAATCACTTACCGTTAACTGTCTGCCACTACTACCAAAAAAATGTATGGTCTGTTAAAAACTCACTACTGTATTCCAAATACCTAAAACAGTACCAGGCATTTAATAATAATAGATAACCCTGTGCTACATATTTAAGTGCTTTAGATGTACTTATTCAGTTAACCCTTACAACAACCTTGTCCAAACAGTGGGCAAGCACTATTGCTATCTCCAACGAACAGATGGAAAAAAGAGGCTGAGGGAGGTTAACTTAAAATTTGCCCAAAGTCACAGAGCAGGCAAATGGCACTGCCAGGATCTGAACCCAGGCAGTCTAGCTCTTGACTACCACACATACTGCCTACTGTTTCTGATATTAGACATAAAGGAAACACTTAAAAAAACCTGTTAAATGGGATGGGCGCGGTGGCTCATGCTTGTAATCCCAGCACTTTGGGAGGCCAAGGCAGGCGGACCACCTGAAGTCAGGAGTTCGAGACCAGCCTGACCAACGTGGTGAAACCCTGTCTCTACTAAAAATACAAAAATTAGCCAGATGTAGTAGCAGGCGCCTGTATTCCCAGCTACTTGGGAGGCTGAGGTGGGAGAATCGCTTGAACCCGGGAGGAGGAGGCTGCAGTGAGCCAAGATCCCACCACTGTACTCCAGCCTGGGTGACAAGAGCAAGACTCTGTCAAAAAACAAACAAACAAAACAAAACAAAAAAACCCTGTTAAATGAATAAATTTTAAAGGAAAAAAACTAATCTAAATATGCAAATCTGACAAAGTATACTTATTATAGTAACATATTATTTATAGCAGTGCTCGTCCCATTTTCACAGCATGGCCTTCAAAAAACGTATCTGTACTAAACACTGGCAAGCAGAGATAATTCCCAGGTACAGGGAACCAGTCTGGAGCATTTGGAGCTGAACCACTGTGAGAGCTGAGATCAATATACTGGCAGAAGTGGAGGCCATTCCTAGTTCTGAGAAGCTCTAGTTGTCAATTAAAAGATTCTAAAAACAATGCGATGGCATCAAATTCAGGCTTGGAATCCAACTTTCTAGTCCTAGCATTGATAAATAAGCCAAAGAATTTGTAAACAAAGGTAATTAAAATGTTATCATTTATCTCACCAAACACTGGCACATATCAAATGATACCAGCTTCTAGCTAATTAAACGGATAGCTATTAAAAAAACTGATTCCAATTACCAAGGCAAATCAGAAGATAGCTGTGTTCTAAGAGATCACCTACCTAATAAAAAACACACACATACACAATATACCCTGTTTGGGCATTGTAACAAAATATAAAAATTAACAAAATTTGTTTCTTTTCTTTTTTTTTGAGACAGGGTCTCTCTCTGTCACCCAGACTGGAGTGCAGTGGCACGATCTCGGCTCACTGCAGCCTCGATCTCTCTAGACTCAAGCGATCCTCTCATCTTAGCCTCCCGAGTAGCTGGGACTACAGGCGTGCATCACCTACGCCCAGCTAATTTTTTTGTATTTTGTAGAGACGCGGTTTCGCCATGTTGCCCAGGCTAGTCTAAGAACTCCTGAGCTCAAGCGACCCGCCTGCTTCGACCTCCCAAAGCGCTGGGATTGCAAGCGTTTGAGCCACTGCGCCCGGCCAAAGTTTTTTATTATCTACTTTCCTATCATTTTATCCCTAGTACACTTTCACTTGCTGTTTTCCTTGCATGGCGGGGGCAATAGGCCTGGTGGGTAAATCTGAATAAAAACGAGAACAGCTGCAGTCTAACTAGCTCTGCCACTTAATGGCGTGACTGGCCCTTTTCAGAAAGTTGTGCCTCACTGGAATGTTTCAAAAATATGTAAAAATAATATGATCTATAAGACAATCAAAAACGCTTCAAATAAGGCGCGGGTTATATTACATAATATCCCTCCACTCTGGCAGTGTTGGCAATGGCAGACAACACCATGAAACTGAAAGCATCCCTTCAGTCTGAAACTGGCGAAAAGGCTACAGGTTTACAAAGTCTCACATCAGCTGAAAATAATACATCCATCAATTCTATCTTTGGCATGGTGTATTCTGACAGTGGTGGATAGAATGTAACCACTTGCTTTATTAATTATGAGATGATTGAAAGAGGAACTACTAACCAAGAAATTGGTAAAGGCCTAGCACAAATATTTTCCCCCTAATTTTACAGGGGCGGGAAAGACCTGAAGAACTTCAAAACCAAGTGGGAAATAAGAATGGGTAACTTGTGTATTTTTTTTTCCTGGCTTTTTTTTTTTCCTTCTTCCGAAGTCAACAAAGGCCTCAGGGTGTCCAGATTGCTACTGATTCATTCTTACCAAGTTCCTTCTGGTAATAGTTTTCAAAAGAGGATCTCAGTGGAGGTGCACAGTGGCGCTCCTAGCTTTCTTTTTACGGAAAGGAGGAAAGGTGCTTGGCACCAGTCGGGGAAGCTCACGCCAAGTGACCGAGACCAGAACTCGCTCTCGACCGGAGCCCCCCAAGTCTGGTGACTTGGAGGAAGGAGGATCCCGAATCCCAGCCAGAACTGAGAAAGCCCTCAAAGGTGCGGAAAGGGGACTTTTCCCTCAGGAAAGCCGGCAACAGCAGAGGCCCTAGCCCACGTCGCCACACCCACTCCGCGCGCGCCCCTCGCCTCCCAGGGCCGGCTCTGCTCGGCCCCGCGGCCTCTCGGGCGCCCCCAGCCCGCCGGAAAGAAAGAAGCAGAAACCCGGAGCCTGGGTCCCACCCGCGACCCCTCACCTTCGCCCTTCTCGTCCTCTCACCTGCCAGTCCCCCAGGAAGAACAGGACGCCTCTTCCCCCTGATGGGCGGCCACAGGCTCGGATCCTTCCATTGCCGCCTGAGACACCGCCGCCGGCTACTGGAAGGTAGGAAGGGGCGGGACCGTGGGGGGGTCAAGGGGCGGGCGGAGACGTCATCAGAGGGGGCGGGCCTGGGGAAGCTAGGAGCCCGGCAGCGCCTTCCCGTCAACCCTAGGGGCGTCCTGGTTTCCGGTTTGGGTGTGGCCGCATGGCGTGCTGTGGTGCAGGTGGCCGAAGGGGGCGTTACTGTTGCGACTGGCATCCGCATCCGGCAGATGTAGATGGAACCAAAGTCCAGAAGTTACGCGTCACCCTTGCTCTACAGCCAAACATGCAGGACTCTAGTAACCCGCGAAATGATGGGATAGCGTTGCAAATCCTTAAAAGAGTCTTAACGGTAAGAAGAGGAAACAGCTTTATTTTATAAATAAACTGAAGGCTGCTAATAGCTCCAGATTGTCAGTGAGGGGATACCACTTAAAGATGTTATACATTTAATAAATAATTTTGGGAGTCCACTACATGTGAGGCGCTGCCTCAGATTTAATAGAATCATGTGACTTTTAGTGCCATAGATGTCGTTAGATCATCCAGTTTGGTCCCTTAAATTTGTGGGTAAGGGAAAGGAACTTCCGGTCAGTGCAAGTGACTTGGTCAAGGTTATAGAGCTAGTCACTGTTAGATTACCAGAACACATATCTAAAAAGTTCTCATATAATTCTTTTTCATTTACTTCCGTGTCACCTTTCTTAGAAAGCAAAAATGAGTTGGACACAATAACATTAGGATTTGTCTTTCACTAAATAACACTGTATATTTGAATAAACATCTGCAGGATTTTTAAAATTAGCATATACTTTGGGTATTATGTAATTTTCTGTGATGTATCATATTTTTAATTAGAAATTTTTCCTCTCATATGGAGATGAGGGTCCAGGCAAAACTGTATTATCCTTCGTGCCCTCTATTCTCTTCAAAATTGCACATCTTAAAATACCTGGAAGCTTTATGTTGCTCACCTATAGCATTATCCGTGTTCCTCAATCCAGTTGTGAACCTTTTCCACATTAAAATGTTCTTGATCTGTGTTCTATTCTTTCAAGGCTCTGCTCTAGCACTAAGATAATGCTACAGGACTGAAGATAATGAAAAAGATTGAAGAAAGCAGAAACAGAACAAAAATCAGATTATTTCAAAGTTTCTTTCCTTGTAAAGGTTAAAACAGAGCATACTTCCTTATTATGCCCACTAGGTTAACTAGAATCTCCTGTTTTTTTAAAAAAAACTGGCTCATTTTTTCAAAATCCACTTTAATTACATGGTGCTTAGCACAAGCAACTCCATTCTGGTTTGATCTGATGGGGCCTAGTGTAGAAGGCTAGGCCAAAACAATGGCCTGCCATTACCCACGCTTCTTCATATTTTAACATCCATGAATAGAGGATGAATTTTTAAAAAATAAATACAGAAAACGATGCATCTTAAAATTGAGGGCATGTTAGATTTGATAAAATATGGTGTGAATTATTTCAGGCATGTAACAAGCAACCAGATTTAACAGATTTTAATGTTTTGTCACATATGTAAAATGGGAAAGAAAACTAGGCGATCACAGCTTTTTGACAGTGAGGCTTTATGTCATAAGAAAGTAGAATGACATATTGAGGAAACTTAAGGGAAAAATATGTAGGCCAAAGATTTTACATTCAGCAAAACTAATATACAAAAGGTACAAACTGTTATCAACAATTGATATATCAATTTGGTGAGACTAGTGTTTTCATGAGCCCCTCCTTAATAATTAATTGGAGAAAGTGTCTGACAATCAGAATTATTACAGAAACATTGATCTAAGGATTGACTCGGTTTCTTTACAGCAAATCATAATCTGTTGCATTTATTAGCTTTTGTGTTTCTTGTAGTTTATTCTTTATTACTAATTCTCCTGAGTTCTGTCACCTCATTTCTGAGGTTTTTCTAATTCAGAATCAAGTTCTTCCATATCTTTTATCATTTCTCTAATGTCATTTAGCTAGTTTCAAAATAATAAATTGTTTTGTAGTGCATCTTTCAGGCATGTTTTTATTATCTTTGATGATGATGTTATATTCCTTATTCTCTTCACATAATAACTGCATGGATTTGAACTTGATGCTTTTTTTGTTGCTCTTTTTTTTTTTTTTTTTTTTTTTTTTTTGAGACAGAGCCTTGCTCTGTTGCCCAGGTTGGAGTGCAGTGGCGGGATCTTGGCTCACTGCAAGTTCTGCCTCCCGGATTCACGCCATTCTCCTGCCTCAGCCTCCCGAGTAGCTGGAACTACAGGCACCTGCCACCACGCCCGGCTAATTTTTTGTATTTTTAGTAGAGACGGGGTTTCACCGTGTTAGCCAGGATGGTCTCGATCTCCTGACCTCGTGATCCACCCCTTGGCCTCCCAAAGTGCTGGGATTACAGGCGTGAGTTATTGCTCATTTTTATGTGAAATTGGTGTTCCTGAACTAATATGAGACAGGCTTCTTAGCCCAATAAGCCTAAGTTTATCAGGAACAAAACTGTATTCCAAGAAAGTCAGGTATATTAGTCTGTTTTCACACTGCTATAAAGAAATACCCGAGACTGGGTAATTTATAAAGGAAAGAGATTTAGTTGACTCACAGTTCCACATGGCTGGGGAGTCCTCAGGAAACTTAAATCATAGCAGAAGGTGAAGGAGAAGCAAGACATATCTTACACGGTGGCAGGAGAGAAGTGAGATCGTGGGAAAACTGCCACTTTTAAAACCATCAGATCTCATGAGAACTCCCTCATTATCACAAGAATAGCATGGGGGAACTGCCCCCATAATCTAATCACCTCCCACCAGGTCTCTCCTTGCACACATGGGAATTAAAATTTGAAGTGAGATTTGGGTGGGGACACAGAGCAGACCATATCATCAGGTTTACTGGCTCATTGCAAGGAGGGAGCCCACATTCCAGAAGAACCATGGGGTACCTCACCAACAGAGGAAGAGATAGATTTATTGTAGGAATTTGGGGAAGTATGGAGTTTAGAAGGAATTGAAATGAAGTAGTGCTTTGATAGACTCAAAAGAAAGCAAGGCTGTTTGTAAAGAATTCTACACTACATCTAAACTATTACTAATGGCAAAAACTGCAATTACTTTTGCACCAACGTAATACAAGATGGACCCAGGGTTCTGTTTTTTGGAAATTGCAAAGTTCTGCCTCTCAGAAGTAGAAACTATTTCTCTGTGTCAATGTGACTTTAGATATTCTAGCCAAGAGTGAGATATTTCAATCTTAATAATAGGATTTAAACAGCAGAGTTTTTGACAATCTTTTGATATTGTCATAAATGTTCTATGATTTTAGAGAAAAGGGCATTGTGTGAGTAAAAAATCAGTTACTCTAAGGGTGTGTGTGTGTGTGTGTGTGTGTGTGTGTGTGTGTGTGTGTTTGAGACATTTTAAAGCATCTTCCAGAGAGAAATAGTATTTTCTGTTAATTTCACAGCTGGCTTTATTTATGCCTGTTATCCCATAGCTGATGAATGGCAAAGCAGATTTTTACTTTCTTATTCTATGCTTATTTGCTTTCTCACAGGTTTTGGGAAAACTTTTCTAATTTCAGAGAATTCCCTTTTCTGTTGCTTTTGTGTAATGTTCAGCAATATTATGGTTTTATTTCCTTTTTAAATTAATACATACATAATAAGCATATATTTATGGGGTATTTTGATATTTGCGTACAAGGTATAATGATAAAACCAAGGTAATTGTGATATCCATCACCTCAAACATTGTTTATTTCTTTGTGTTAGGAACATTTCACATCTTGCCTTCTAGCTATTTTGAAATATATGATAAATTATTGTTAACTATAGTCACCCTCTAGTGCTATCGAACACTAGAAATTGTTTCCTCTATCTAATTGTATTTTTGTACCCATTACGCAACCTTTTTCATCCTCCTTACCCCCAACCTTCCCAGCCTCTGGTAACCATCATTCTACTCTCTACTGCCATGAGATCCACTTTTTTAGCTCTCACTTATGAGTGAGAATATGTGCTATTTGTCTTTCTATGCCTGGCATTTCACTTAACATAATGACCTCCAGTTCCATCTATGGTGCTTCAAACTACATGATTTCATGTTTTTGTGTAGATGACACATTTTTAAAATCCATTCATCTGTTGATGGACACTTAGATTGATTCCATATCTTGGCTATTGTGAATAGTACTGTAATAAACATGGGCATGCAGATACCTTTTAAATTTATTGAATTCCGTTTTTGGATGTATACTCAGGAATGGGATTGTTGGATCATGTGGTAGATCTATTTTTAGATTTTTGAGAAACTTCCATACTGTTTTTCATAGTTTCTGTACTAATTTACGTTCCCACCAGCAATGCACTAGTGTTCTCCTTTTGCCACATCCTCACCAGCATCTGTTATTTTCTGCCTTTTTGGTAATAGTAATCTTAACTGAGGTGAGATGATGTCTTATTGTGGTTTTGATTTGCATTTCCCTGGTGACTGGTGATGTTGAGCATTTTTTCATATGTCTGTTGGCCATTTATATGTCTTCTTTTGATAAATGCCTGTTTAGATCATTTGCCCATTTTAAAATTGGATTATTTGGGGGTTTTTGCTATGGAGTTGTTTGAGTTCCTTATATATTCTGATTATTAATCTCTTGTATGAGTAGTTTTCAAATATTTTCTTCCATTCACTGGGTTGTCTGTTCTCTGTATTGATTGTTTACTTTGCTCTACGGAAGGATTTTAGCTTGATGTAATTCCGTTTGTCTATTTTTGCTTTGGTTGCCTGTACCTTTGAGGTCTTACCCCAAAAATTTTTGCTCAGACCAGTGTCCTAAAGTATGTCCTCAATGTTTTCTTCTAGGAGTGTCATAGGTTCAGGTCTTACAAGTAAGGCTTTAATGCATTTTGATTTGATTTTTGCCTATGATGAGATATAGCAATCTAATTTCATTTTTCTGCATATGGATATTCAGTTTTTCCCAGCACCATTTATTGAAAAGACTGTCCTTTCCCCACTGAATGTCTTTAACACCTTTGTTGAAAATAAGTTGAACTTTACTGAATTTGTTTATCAACTTCAAGAGTACTTTGATGAAGCTTTTAGGACTTTTTAAAAAGTGTAATATCATGTTTTCTGCAAATAGGTACAATTTCACTTTCTCCTTTACAGTTTGAATGCCTTTTGTTTCTCTATTCTCTACATGTTCTCTCCTGTTTCATTGCTCTATGTGTATGTTTTTATACCAATACCATAATCCTTTGTAGTATATTTTGAAGTCTACTGTGATGCCTCCAGCTTTGTTCTTTTTGCTCAGGATTGCTATGGCTATTCATGGTCTTTTGTGGTTCCATATGAACGCTAGGAGTTTTTTTTCTATTTCTGTGAAGAATGTCATTGGAATTTTGATAGTAATTGCATTGAATCTGTGGATGACTTTTGGCATTGTGGTCATTTAAAAAATATCAATTCTTCCAGTCTGTGAGCATGTGATACCTTTTCATTTTTTGTGTGTGACCTCTTCAATTTCCTTAATCAGTGTTTCATAATTTTCCTTATAAGAATTTTTCATCTCCTTGGTTACATTTATTTCTAGGGTGTATTACTCCATTTTCACACTGCTGATAAAGACGTACCTGAGACTGGGCAATTTACAAAAGAAAGGTTTATTGGACTTACCGTTCCGCATGGCTGGGGAGGCCTCACAATCATGGTGGAAGGTGAAAGGCACATCTTACATGGTAGCAGACAAGAGAAGAGAACTTGTGCAGGGAAACTCCCCTTTTAAAAACCATCAGATCTCATGAGACTCATTCACTATCACTGGACAGTACAGGAAAGACCTGCTCCCATAATTCAATCACCTACCACTGGCTTGCTCCCATGACAAGTGGGAATTGTGGGAGTTACAATTCAAGATGAGATTTGGGTGAGGACACAGCCAAACCATATCATAGGGTTTCTTTTTTTGTAACTTATTGTAAATAAGATTGCTTTCTTGATTTCTGTTTTCACTAGTTTCTTGTAGATATATAAAAACACTACTCATTTTTGTATGTTAATTTTGTATCCTGCACTTTACTGAGTTTTTTTAAATCAATTCTAAGAGTATTTTGATAAATCTTTAAAAGCTTTCTTTATATAAGATTATGTTGTCTGCAAACAGGGACAATTTGACTTTCTTCTTTACAATTTGAATGCCTTTTATTCTTTCTCTTTCCTAATTGCTCTGGTTAGAACTTCCAGTACTACACTGAATAAGTGTGGTGAAAATGAATATCCATGTCTTATTTTAGTTCTTAGAGGAAAAGCTTTCAGCTTTTCCCCATTTAGCATAATCTTAGCCTTGGGTTTATCATATATGGCCTTTATTGTGTTATGTTCTTTTAAACCTAGTCTATACCTAGAAGATTTTTATTATGAAGGGTGTTGCATTTTATTAATACTTTTCCAACAACTATTGAAATGATTAAGTCATGGTTTTTTTTATTTTTTGGGGGGGGTGGGGTAGGTTGGGATGGAGTCTCGCTCTGTTGCCCAGGCTGGAGTGCAATGGCATGATCTCGGCTCACTGCAAGCTCCTCCTCCCGGGTTCCAGCAATTCTCCTGCCTCAGCCTCCCAAGTAGCTGGGACTACAGGCATGTGTCACCGCGTCTGGCTAATTTTTGTACTTTTAGTAGAGATGGGGTTTCACCATGTTGGCCAGGCTGGTCTCGAACTCCTGACCTCAGGTGATCTGCCTGCCTTGGCCTCCCAAAGTGCTGGGATTACAGGCATGAGCCACTGCACCCAGTCAATTAAGTGGTTTTTGTCCTTCGTTTTGTTGATGTGATGTATCATGTTTATTGATTTTCATATGTTAATCCATCCTTGCATCCCTAGGGTAAATTCCACTTGATCATGGTGAATAATCTTTTTAATGTGCTGCTGGATTCAGTTCGCTGGTATTTTGTTGAGGATTTTTGCATCTATGTTCATCATAGGTTTTGTCCTATAGTTTTGTTTTTTTGTTGTGTCCTTGTCTGGTTTTGGTATTAGGGTATGCTGGTCTCAGAATAAGTTGAAAGAATCCTCTCCTCTTTAATTTGAAGAGTTTGAGAAGAATTGATATTAGTTCCTTAAATGTTTGATAGTATTCAACAGTGAAGCCACCAGGTCCTAGGCTTTTCTTTGATGGGACACTTTTTGTTACTAATTCAATTTAATTACTTGTAGTTGGTCTGTTTGGGTTTCCTATTTGTTCTTGGTTCAAACTTGGTAGGTGTAAATGTCCAGGAATTTATCCATTTTCATTAGGCTTGCCAATTTATTGGCATATAGTTATTCATAATAGTCTCTAATGATCCTTTGTAGTTCTGTGGTATCAGTGGTAATGTCTCCTTTTTCATTTCTGATTTTTAAAATTTGGGTCTTTTTTTTTTTCTTGGTTAGCCTACGTAATTGTTTTTTAATCTCAATTTGCTTTATTTCTGCTCTGGTTTTATTTATTTTCTTCTACTAGTTTTGAGGTTGTTTTGTTCTTGCTTTTCTAGTTCCTTGAAATGCATTGTTAGGTTTATTTGAAGTCTTTCTATTTTTTTGATGCAGGTGTTTATTGCTATAAATAGCAATATATTGCTTTTTTTCAATATTCTTTTGCTGTATTCCATTGGTTTTGGTATCATATGTTTTTATTTTCATTTGATTCAAGAAATTTTTAGATTTCCTTTCTAATATCTACATTGATCCATTGATCATTCAGGAGTATGTTGTTTAACTTCCATGCATTTGTATAGTTTTGAAAGATTTTCTTGTTATTGATTTATAGTTTTCATTGTGGACAGAAAAGATACTTGATATGATTTCAATTTTTTTATATTTTTTGAGACTTGTTTTGTGGCCTAACGTGGTCTATTCTGGAAAATTTTCCATGTGCTGATGAAAAGAATGTGCATTTTCTGACTGTTGGATGAAATGTGCTATAAATGTCTATTAGGTCCATTTGATCTGAAGTGCAGTTTAAATTAAATATTTCTTTGTTAATTTTTGTGTAGATGATCTGTCAAATGCTAAGAGCAAGGTGTTGATATCCCCAACTTTTATTGTATTGGAGCCTATCTCTTCCTTTATATGTAATAATATTTGCTTTAAATATCAGGGTGCTCCAATGTTGGATGCATATATATTTACAATTGTTATGTCTTCTTTCTAAATTGATCCCTTTATCATTATATAATAACCTTGTCTCTTTTTGTTGCTTTTGACTTAAAGACTGCTTTATTATATAAAAGTATAGCTATTCCTGGTCACATTTGGTTTCCATTTGCATGTGGATTAGTCAATTTTCTTACTGCTATGAAGAAATACCCAAGATTGGGTAATTTATAAAGAAATAGAGGTTTAATGGACTCACAGTTCCACATGGTTGGGGAGGCCTCACAATCATGGCAGAAGTTGAAGGAGGAGCAAGGGCATATCTTACATGGCAGCAGGTAGGAGCACATATGCAGGGGAACTGCCCTTTATATAACCATCAGATTTCATGAGATGTATTCACTATCATGAGAACAGCATGGGAAAAATCTATCCAATGATTCAGTTATCTCCCACCAGGTCCCTCCTGTGATACATGGGGATTACGGAAGCTACAATTCAAGATGAGATTTGGGTGGGGACATAACCAAACCATATCATTCCAACTCTGGCCCCTCCCAAACTTCATGTCCTCACATTCCAAAACCAATCAGGCCTTCCCAGCAGTTCCCCCAAAGTCTTAACTTATTTCAGCATTAACTCAAAAGTCCACAGTCCAAAGTCTCATCTGAGACAAGGTAAGTCCCTTCTGCCTATGAGCCTGTAAAGTCAAAAGCCAGTTAGTTACTTCCTAGATACAATGGAGGTACAGGCATTGGGTAAATACACCCATTTCAAATGGAAGAAATTGGCCGAAATGACAGGGCTACAGGCCTCGTGCAAGTCCGAAATCCAGCGGGGCCATATGGGTCTGCAGCAACCTCAATTCTTGCCTCTTCAGAAAAAAGAATTTGACTGAGGGGCATAAGGCAGAAAAAGAGACCAAGGTAAGTTTCAGAGCAGGAATAAAAGTTTATTAAAAAGCTTTAGAGCAGGAAAGAAAGCAAAGTATGCTTGGAAGAGACCCAAGTGGGCACTGAGAAGGTCAAATGCAGTGTTTAACCTTGATTCTAGGACCTTATAGGCTGGCCCTCCTTCCCATGTCTTGCACCCCTTTCCCATAATTCTTCCCTTAAGGTGAAATGCCTGGATGTGCAGTGCCCTCGTTACACTTGGGAGGTGAGCACAAGCAGTGTGTTTAGAAAGTTGTTTGTATGCCCATTTGAGGCTTTCTTCCCTTTTCTGGTGTTGTGCCCCCGGAAGCTCATGTTCTACCATTTTGTCTCTTAATGCACATGCCCGGGAAGTTGCTTCTCACTGGCATCTGCATTCAATGAACACTTTAGTGCAATAGGTGTGGACCATCAGGAAATGGCCTCTCCCTGGTGTCGGATGCCAATGTTTTATAGTTACAGAACATTTTAAAATGTATTATTTTTACTCCATACTCCTGAATTATTGAGTATTAGCACAGAAAGGATGCTTGACCATCATCTAAATGTTCAACTCCTTTGTTTCACAGAGGATGACCCAAAGACATTAAATGGCTTGAATAAATTCACATAATTGTAGATGCAGAGTCAAGACTAGAACCTAGTTTTCTTCCTAATCTAGTGTTTTTCTAGTATATTATGCCAGACATATTATGTTCAAAAACTGGAACATCTGTTTTGTGGCTATCAAAAAGATTAGGAAATACTGAGTCCTGAGATCAGGCCTTCATGAACACAGTTGGAGAGTAGCTGACCTTTCGCATTTGAAGACTGGCTTCTTTGCCCAAAGGTATTGTAGTAACATTTGAATGAGTTGGAGGCAACTAATTAGAACCCAGAGGGAATTCCATCGTAAAGAAAATAACCCTTTCAATAAATGTGAATAATTATCTACTTAAATTATCTATAAATTAGAATATGTGTGCCATACACAATGTTTATATCCCCACCAAATTCATATGTTCAAACCTAATTCCCAGTGTCATGTGAGGCCTCTGGGACATGAGAGCTTAGAGAACTCCCTTGCCTTTTTAGCCATGGGCAGGTGAGAAGACAGCTGTCTGTAAATTAGGATGTGCACCCTCATTAGACACCGAATCTGCCAGTGCCTTAACCTTTAACTTCCGAAACTCCAAAACTGTGAGAAATAAGTTTCTGTCATTTATAAGCCACCCAGTCTATGGTAGTTTTTTTTTTAATAAAATAGCTCTTTTTTTATTCACTTTGATTTGGATCATTGGAAATATTCAACAATAAATAAAACAGAGCAGGGGATGAGGAAAACAGGATCTTGCTAACATCATTCAGATGCATCCCAACCAGTGCTCAGCTTCACAACAACACGGAGAGAGGTAAGGGAGAATAGAGAGCAAATTTTAAAACACCAACAGCCAAACACACAAGACTGCACAGAAGAAAAAGTGCTCAAGAAACTTTGGTTTTGAAGGGAATTCAGTGGAGGGAAACGACTGTGTAGGAGGAAGGGAATAAACCCATAATCACCCTAAGAGGCAGGGGCTTGGACGGGGAGGCCCTGATGCAGGCTATGGTTAAATCTGACATCCCGGAGCTCAGAACATGCAACCGATGGCAGTTTTGTACTAGGAAGAAGCTGAGTGATGAGGCTGGGTGATGGTATCACCTGATAGGCTGGGAGGGAGAACAGGAGGTGCAAAGGCGGCTCACTGTCAGTAGGAAATTCAGTGCTCTTTTGATAAGAAAAAAAATCGGTAATATCCTAATCCTGACAAGCTGAGATGCTGCTTTGCCTGTCTCTGCCTTTTCTTCTAAGTCTTCCTCCTTTTCTTTGCACAGGTGTCAGGTAGCACCCCAGGGGTGCAGGAGCTGGTGTTTTCATGGCAAACAAGAAGAGGGAGGTTGACTCTATATCAAAACTAGCTAGCCCAGTCCATGGGGCAGGATGATCCTGGTGGCATGCAGTCACATTTGCTGCAAACCAGATGTTCATGATGGATATAATGATACCCCCAGGGCTTTTCATAGGGGCGAGGACAGGTGCTGGTTCCTGATGACACATGCCTGGCATCCAGTGATCTTTAGCTGGACGGTGGCCCCTCAGGGCGTGGGCTTCCCTGCATAAAGTAGTTTTGATCCTAACCAGGTGAGGGAGAGTGAGTTCTTTTGGTTTCTCTGTTACTTGTTTTCAGATTACCTCAAAGCAAACATCCCTGTTCTAAATGTTCTCTGTGGTTTTATTCTACCTTTGCCAAGAAGCCAGAGTCACATCCAGGTGGGACTGGCCTCTAGCATGGCTTTCTGGCCACATCAGAGAATGGGATTCCATCAAAACCTCTCAACAAGCCCTTTCCCTAAAGAATCACCCAGATCTTAACTGCCCTCTCCCCCTTCTTGACTTTTTTTTTCTATTTTACATTCTATTTTCTCATATCTGGCTTTTCTCTCTAAGCCTAGCCAAATGCTTTGCTGAATGATGCTAGGACTAGCCAGAGTTTTAAAAGGCATTCATCCATTTATGAACTTTCTTCCAGCCCAGGATCCCTGCAGAGCACCGGAGGTTACAAATCTGCCCTCCTTTCTCCCCTAAAAGGTGACTGAGGGGAGGGGAGGGGCATGTAGCTCAGCTATAGCAAATCAGTACCCTGACTCACTGGGGAGACCCAGGGGGCTGGGATGTTGCTGACACTTCATGGGCCACCTTGTCAGCCTATCTTTGTGGCTTCAGGTTCAGCTCTGGGTGCTGCAGGCAGGGACCCGTCTACTCCCTGCCTGAGCCCAGGGCCGGTCTCCAAGGAGCTCTCTGCCTGCAGAGTAGAAAGAGCCCTAGGCTGGGATTCAGGGGCCTGAGGGAGCCCCTGCCACTGCCTGCCCAGCAAGAGTGCTCCTCATTCTCCTGCTGACAGCATGCATGGTGCCCTTTGGCTAACACTCTTGTCTAATTCCCAGCCACCTTCACCCCAGGGTTGCATTTGGTTTAAGCCAAACTGGTGCATTTAGTTCTGGCCACAACAATTGGCTTTTATTCTGTTAAGTGCCCATTGCTAAGCCAATGAGACATAAGAGATGTCTGCTGGGCTTCTTTTATGTCTCATAAGAGAAATGCCATCTCCTGCACTGGAGGGTGTGAGAAGGCAGAGACAAGAGCTTGCCTAGGGCCATGCAGGCAGCCTGCGGACACAGCTCAGTGCTGAGAGAGCAGAGGAGAGTCAGACACCTCCATTCTGGTTACACTTTTTCCAGATGCTGAATAGAGACTCGCTGGGAAAGCCCGCCTCCAGACAATTTAAACATGGTGCCAGGAACACCCCGTTGTTGCTGAAACTCTGACTTGTGCTATCTGTCCCAGCCAGTTCCTGATTGCCAGTCACTTCCCTCCTTCGTACTCCACCAGGAAAAGGCCACGCCTCCCCATGCAGCAGTGGCCTTTTAGGAAACGTGCTTAACAGGATAGGTGGTTTTTCTGATTAAACATCAGTAACTAGAGTCAACAATCACTGTCCTCCCATGCCTGGCACTCTCCACTCCCCACCCAACTGCAATGTGGCCTTGCTTTTCTTATCAGTAAAATGGGAGAGCTGGATTTGGGGGCTGGAAGATATCTCACAGCTTGACCATCCTAGTGGAACGGAGGGAGACCAGACAGAGAGCAGACGACCGACCCAGGCAGCATCCGGCTCAGACACAGACATATCTTCATTTCAAGGGACCTATTCTTACTCAAAGAAAACCCAGAGAAGTCGATTGCTCAGCCTGAGCCGGTCATCCCTAAATGGAGTCAGCTTTTAGGAGAAGAGGAAGAGTTCAGGAGACAGCATCGCTCTTTGTATCAGTGTTTGACTAGCCAATCAAGAAACGTTTGCTGAATTCTTCATGTCATACATGTCTGTGAGCTCTGCCCTTCGAGGATGTCTGTTGTGAATGATGACTCAGTGATTACCAGCCTTTATCAGAAAAAAAAAAAAGTCTTAAAGTTTTGGAGGATGTTAAAGCTGAAACAGGTTTTTTGTTTGTTTGTTTAACACTTTCCACATTCTGAACCCTTGAGAATCTAATAAAAGCTATGGAACCTCTCTCCAGAAAAATGCTCATATGCAGAGATTCAGAGAAAAAAACAAACTTAGCATGCAACTTCCAGGGACTCTTGTGAATGGCCTGAAGCGACCTTTACCCATGACTGGTGTCCCCAAGCTCCTCCCTCCCAGTGTGCAGAGGGGGTTTCCCTGAGCCTGGGAGCACAGGCCCCATGCCTCCTTCACACTCCACCAGGAAAAGGTCACACCTCCTCAAGGCAGCAGTGGCCTTTTAAGAGATTTTTTTTTTTTTAAAGAAAAGTGGTTTTTCTGCTTAAACATTAGTAACTGGAGCCAACAATCACTGTCCCCACCATGCCTGTCACTCTTCACTCCCCACCCAGCAGCAATAAGGTTTCATAGAGTTTTGGAGACTCCTAGCCTGAGAATGAATTCCAGTCCACAGTGAGGAAGAAGGAAGGTTGGGTTGGAATGGGAGGATGCTGTGGACATTCCACAAACCATCCAAGCCCTAGATACCCCCAATATCCCAAGTCCAAGGACTCCTACAAACCTTCCTTAAGCCTCCCTATTTCCCAGCTGCTGGGTGAGGCAAGCTTCATTAAAACACCAGGACCACCAACACACCAGGACCACCAACAGAGCCACAGTGCAAACAATGTCAATTGAATTTTTAAAAAATCAATCAATAATCAGGAAGCCTAACGAGGAAAAGAGAGTAGTTGGGGAGCGAGAAGATGAGGTATGTGCCAGTCGCCATTCCTGGGATGTCCCTGGCCCAGCCCCCCAGTGACAGCCCCAAGGTGGCCAGCAGGGACTTGACCCTGAGCTCAGGCCCTTGGGGAAAATGCTGCTGGAAGCCTCCTGTGTGGCCTTGGTGGTTAAGGGCACCATATTGAGTAGTCTGAGAAAGAATGTATGGTCCCATTCTGACGCACTGCTAGGGGGCGCTGAATATCCTCAGAGCTTTGTTCTAATTCAGGTGCCAGCTCAGGAAACCAGAAAAGATGTTTCCAGCTACGGAGCAAGTGGGGCCACTGGTGGGGATCCCTTTCCCCAAGTAGGGGCTTTTGCCTTATTTCAGCCAATACGTGCTTTTCTTCCCCAAATGCAAAGGCATATGGAAGCGGTCAGATCTGCTCTTGCCACGATTAGAGCCATGAGACTGATTATCCAAAGGAATAGCTGCTTGGGAAGAGGCATCTTCAGGAGTTAGAAACATGGTGCCAAGTTTTTTGTTTTTTTTTCCTTTTTTCTTTCTTTCTTTTAGAGACAGGGTCTCACTCTGGGCTGGAGTGCATTGGTGAGATCACAGCTCACTGCAGCCTTGAACTCCTGGGTACAAGAGATCCTCCCACCTCAGCCTCCCTAGTAGCTGGGGCTACAAGTGTGTGCCACCATGCCTGGCTAATTTTAAAAAAATATTTTATTTTTGTAGAGATAGGAGTCTCACTATGTTGTCCAGGCTGGTCTTGAACTCCTGGGCTCAAGGGATCCTCCTGCCTTGGCCTCCCAAGTTGTTGGGATTACAGGTGTGAGCCACGGCACCTGGCCTCAAGTTTCTGTGAAAATCTTTGGGGTAGAAGCCTCTGGTGGCACTTAAATGAGCTTTGGGAAGAAGGGGATGACAGGGTTATCACGCCAAGGGAGAGGCCAGGCTTCATGCAAAGAAGGGCAGCATCTCACCCCCAGCGCGGATACCGCCCAGCGTTTCTCTGTGCTGGAGGTAATCACCACTCAAGTTTCTCTGCCAGTCTTCCTTGGGAAACCATGCTGTCTCTCAGAATATGGGCGTCTTCCACATTTGTTCCCCAATCCCACCCCAGGAGCCAAAATGATTTTAATATGTGGAGGTTGAACCTTTTCCAGCGTCTCCCCAGCCCTGGGGCAGCAGTCGGGGGACGTTGTCCCCACCCAAGACAGGTTTTGAGACATGCTCCGCCATGATAGGTAGTGACCTTGCTGAGTAGATGCTGCCAACGGCTGGGTGCAAGAGGCTGCAAGTGGCACTTGGGCACACACCTGAGGCTGACCCTCCAAGATCCCGGATGGACTGGCTCTGGCAAGATGCTGGGGCTGGAAACGCAGAGGCATGATGGTGCATCCATCCTCAACCCTTCACTGTGTCATCTCCCCTTGAAGATCCGGATTTTATTCATGAAGCCAAGGTGGCCGTCACGTTAGACTCAAAGCCTGCATCGTGCACCCCCGTCTTGTGAAAAGACCCCGCAGACAGGTTGTTCTCCCAGTAGTGGTGTCAGTTCCCTTTGCTATCTGCTCAGAAGCTATACAAGTCTACCTAATCGCAGACATGCATTGAGAAGATGACCGAGAGGATGCTGGTGAGTGGGTACCGCCTGTGGCTCTGCAGCCAGTTGTCGAAGACATACTTGATGAAGGCTGGGTGGTAGATCAGGATCTTATCCTGTTTCACTCTGATCTTCACGAGGACCGGGGTGTAGGTGTGGGAAATGGCACCCGTGGTGGTGGTGCTCACCACCCACTCCAAGTTCATGGTCTTTAAGGGCACCAGGACCATGCTGACATTGTCCCCCAGCTCCCGGAAGCTCTCAGGGTACACCAGATGGTGGGCGGTTTTGCTCCCGGCAGCAGCTTCAAACCCTGCCGTGGGTGCCTTGTTCATCCTGAGCATAAAATTGTGACTCTATCGCAGGCCTATATGACAATTGCCTCAGGTTGCCCGAGTTGCCCACGACAGCACAGTGCCAGCAGCCCACCGACCTCTTCTCCAGCATTGGGTCCACATTCCCAGGTACTGCTCTGAATTCCTTGATGGTATTGTTGATGATATTGGGCTTCTTCTCCTGCTGGAGCCTCAGCCACCATTGGTAGGTGTTGTCCTCCAAGAGCGCGTTCTGGGCAGTCAGCAGCAGCTGCACTATCTGGTTGAACCTCTCATCGAACCAGGCTGAGAGCCCATGCTGCCTGATGCAGTGGGTGCAAGTGCAGGGCCTGTGCTTGATCAGTCTCTTCAGGTTCTCCAAGAGCTCCAGGACCATCTTCTTGGGGAACCAGGTGGTGGCCACCATGGCGTGGGAGTAGTTCAGGAAGGAGGTGAGGAAGATGAAGAGCACGAGGAAGGTGAGCACTTTCAGGGTCCTCTTCCGCAGGGTCACCATCTTCACTGTCCTGATGGCGACCTCCCTGCAATGGGTGGCAGGAACTCCCTCCTTTTCAGAAAATAAAGTAGCCTATTCTTCTGCAATCCTTAAAGAGCTGATAACGTCTCTTGATAAAGCTTTAACCAGTGATTTCCATTCCCATCCGAAGAAGCTAAGAGGTAATTAACCTCTGTGACAGTCCAGGCTCTCTGAGGAGTGAGGACCTTGAAGGAAGGGTCTTGGTATAGCAGGGAGGGAAGCTGTCTCTGCCGCCCTCCTCCGAGTGTGGTTTCTGATGATCCTTAATTAGGGCTTTGTCTTTCATGCTGTCACCAGAGACATGGTGGGTTATATGACAAGCTTGATGAAGGCCACAGAAGGTTGGCTGTCATTGGCTGTGTGACTTTAGTGGAGTCTCTTAACCTCTCTGAGCCTCAGTTTCTTCATCTCCATAGGCTGAGTGACTGTCCATCTCAGGTCCCCAAATGGAATTGTCCTGGCCCAAGCTCAAAGCATTTGCTCACTGCAGCTCTTGCAGATGTTAATTTCCTCTCATTGACATTTCCAGTTAAAGAAGGTAAAATCTGAAAATGGTACCAGCATGGCTGGAGACACGCTGGAGTTTCTGGGATTTGGGCATGAGGGAGTTTGGAGTAGATAAAAGGGTGTGAGTGTCCCGGATACTCGCCCCCTTCCCAGCTCACATCGCTTCTTCCTTCTCTCTCCGCTCCTCTTCCTCCTCCTCCTCCCTCCAGTTTAGGGGTCTTTGTCTTTGCAAAGCATTGAAACTGTCTGGCACAGTGGGCTCCACTGGCAGAGACTGGAGCCGGGGAAGTGGGGAGGCAGGGTGAGGGTGGGAGAGGGCTCAGGAATACCTTCTCCTGGTTGTAGTGGGAGTGAAAGGTGGGGTGACTGGGGAGGGGCCGCCTTCCCTGGCCAGGGGCTGGGAGCAGGGTGTAGTTTGTTATAGCAGCCTAAATAGACTAAGACTATGTGCATATCACATTTTCTAGGAATATTTTTGAAAACTTGCATGTAGAACAGTAAGAGAAATTATCATAGACTAACAATTGAAATATAATTCTCCAAGACTTAAAAAAAATAAATATTTTAAATTAAATCTTTAAACAATAAAGCATAATTATTAATATTTGATTGTTGGAAAGTATACACAACATTTTCCCCTTTGTATTAACATAAATATTAGCTTATGATAACAATACTCACTTAAAGTCCTTTAGGCACTTGGGTATAGAAAATAAAATATAATTTTACTTTACTGCTACTTATAAGAGAGTAAGCAAAATTAGATCTGGTTACTCTATTTTCAACACTGTTAGCATTACTGACCTAAGAAAAAAAATACTCTTAATGTATATGTCTATATAACTTTTTAAGTTCCATGATAGTTAAAATGGGAAAAACTTTATTGATTGTTAAGATTTCAAACTCCTTTTAGTCTGTTCACTGAGATATTAAATTTCAGGAGACAGAAACCAAAGAAAGATGAAATTTCTTTTTAGGAGGCTTAAAGGACACAAATTCTGGTCCAGGTTAGAATGAGTGTTTGGTGTCTGTTCCCACCCCTAGCCATCACACTGAATGCTCCCAGCCCAGAATGCTGGTCACTGTGTGGCCAGCAAGGCCTGCATGTGCTACAGATGCTGCTCCCAGCCAATGCAGAGTGCTGCTTGTAGATGACAGCATCAGTCTCCCTCATCAGATCTGAGGATAGGATGCCGCCATCTTAAAGGACCTCTAAAATTGCTTCCTGGATGGCGCTCTCTGAATCATCAAGATGAACAAGGAGTTCCTTATACAGATATTGAATGTTGTTTTGATGATAAGACTATCTATCAGTGCTTTTGATGCATTTCAGCCAGGTGATTAAGGTGGATGCAGCTGCTATTATTATGTTGTTGAAAATGTCATCTAGATGTTTTTAGAGTTCAGGGTAAATCTCAATGAATTTATCTGCATTAATCACATCACCAGAGGTTTTAAAAAATATATGTATTAATTTTAAATCCTATAAAATTAATACAGAAAATATAAATGATTGGGTCATTTAACTATATTTTTTTAAATAAACTGAAAGATAAAGAACACAACACTTCACACATTTTATATTTCTCTTACATACTCTGGAATCATACACAGTTCTTTTCTTTTTAAAGCACAACATTAAAACCTTTAAAAGGCATTTAAGGGTTTGGTCAAGTGAATATGATAAAACATACTTGTCTGTATAAAGAGAAAATGAAATTGTAGTCACTGTTATGTACTGACATTAGTTACAACCTAGTTTTAATTCTTAAAACAATTTTGATTAGCAAAGCTAAAAAAAATGGATGTTTCAGTTAAATGTTTTAAAGAGGTACAGATTTTTACAAGGACATAATATAAGTTATTGTTCTGTAGAAATATCCTATTAAATATTGTATGTCCCTCCCTCTGTACACTTTGTAAAGAAAGTAAAATACATAAAAAGAAAATCATATAGGGATGTGTGACATTATTGTAATTGTGTACTTGAGAATAACGTGCAAAAATAAAAATCAGAATATTTTCCTGTTAAAAAAATAATAATAATAATAATTTTGCATGGAATTAACTAAGTCAGTTGAGAATATTCTTCCAGGGTGGTCAGAATTTGAGGTATCAGTATTCCCTACTACACTTCCTGTATCTGTTTGACCAACAGGACCTTGCAGCTAGGGAGCACCCAGAGGCAGGACACAATGGCTGTCCTCCCACATGCCTTTGCAGATGTCCTTTATCACTGTCTCAGGGTAGCTGTGAAACTGCCTTTGGGAGGTGATGGTGTCCTTTGGCCTCAGCAGCACTTTGGACAGGATGGAAAAAAGTTTTAGACACATCTGCAGGTCTCTGGCTGGCTGGAGATAGGCATTGGGTGTGGGGACCAAGTGTTGTGGCACTTCTTTTACAACAGAGCCTGAGTGACAAGTACGTTGAGCTGCATAAGTTCTGCAGAGTACATAGTCCAGTCGTTGTGTGATGTGGTTGACCACATCTGTGTATTTCCCACAGAAATCCTGGCTGACATTGACTTCTCCACTGCAACCATCGAGTTCATTGTCTCCTAAACCTTGCCATGGAGGCCTGTGGCACCTGAGCCAGCCATTATCATCACCAGCACTTCCATGAGCTACAAGCTGGACCCACTGCAGTCCTCCTGACACACTGAAATCAGAGCCTGCACACAGAGCAGCAGATGCTTCAATGTAAAGGTCATTTCCAGGTCCTTGACAGGCGTGCATCTGGGCCAGATCCATGGCAATAACCTTCAGGTTGAGGCTAGAGGGCTTCAGATGGGCAGCTTCGAATGACAGGAGCAAGGCACAAGAGGCCGGAAAGGGAGGGTGACATTTTCAGCATCTATAAGATCAACTTTAGAAACATTTGGGGGTTGACAAATTCCCATCAAGCTCTGTGGATCTTGTACAACTGCTCACCACCGGCTTCTCATCAGCACATGATTGGTGCAGGGTTCTGAGGATGATTTTGAGATGTTCCCTGATGTGGTCTTGTGAGGAGATTTCATGACAGATGGCAGGAAGCTTCGTGGAGAGATTTCTGAAGACACTCCTGAGCTCCCAACACCGGGCAACTCTCTTCCAGAGGATAGTGGGGTGGAGGGTAGAAGAGAGGCAAAGTCAGGTTTGTCCTTCGGATCCCCTTCATTCTCCTTTTGCCACCGTAAACCAACTTTTGCTTACAGTTAGACACCAGTTTTCGGCAGATGAAATCCCTCTGATTTCAGGCATTTTGTCAATTAAGCTGCTCAGCAACAATAGGATAAACTTATGAAAAGAAAGGAGTAGCAGTCCCACAGACAAAGCATCCAGCCCCTGCACTGAGACAGTATAGGGAAGGGACTTGGTCCTGGCAGACAGGACAGATAATCAACATCCTAGTGGGCCTTACACATGTGGGCATATTCTTTTCCATACCTTCTTGTCTGTTTTAACAAGCTAACCCCAGTCACAGTAGCAGAGAGAGGGTCCATCCTAACTTAGCTGACCAGGCTGGATTCCTAATCATAAAACCAAAAAAGGAAGAACCTAACCATTTCTCTCTTTCAGCTATGTGTTCCAAGATTACTGAAGCAGGATTCTGGCCTTCCTGATAAGAACATGACCAGATCCAGCTGGTTTGCAACAAGATGAACTTCAGTGCTGAGCTTTCACCAAGTTTTTCTCACTACAATCTCATTGTAATACTAAAATCTCCACCCAAGATGGAGGTTATCTGCCATTTTCTGTACATGTGTTACCAGAAAGGGGTCCTGATCCAGACCCCAAAAGAGGGTTCTTGGATCTCACGCAACAAAGAGTTCGGGGCGAGTCCATAGAGTAAAGTGAAAGCAAGTTCATCAAGAAAGCAAAGGAATAAAGAATGCCTACTCCATAGGCAGAGCAGTGGCTTTGGCTGCTCAGCTGCTTGTACTTGTTACTTCTTGAGTATATGCTAAACAAGGGATTGATTACTCCTTGTTTAGCAGTTTTCTGGGAAAGGAGTGGGCAATTCCCAGAACTGAGGGTTCCTCCCCTTTTTAGACCATATAGGGTGACTTCCTGATGTTGCCATGGCATTTGTAAACTGTCATGGCGCTAGTGGGAGTGTCTTTTAGCATGCTAATGCATGAGCAGTGAGGATGACCCGAGGTCATTTTTGTTACCATCTTGGTTTTGGTGGGTTTTGGCTGGTTTTGGCCGGCTTCTTTACCACTTCTTTTTATCAGCAAGGTCTTTGTGACCTGTACTTAGTGCCGACTTCCTGTCTCATCCTGTGAGTAAGAATGCCTAATCTCTCAGGAATGCAGCCCAGTAGGTCTCAACCTTATTTTACCCAGCCCCCATTCAAGATGGAGTGACTCTGGTTCAAATGCCTCTGACACATGTGCCTCATGTTTGGGCATGAGACCTCACTGTGTAGGTGCAGAGAAGACCCTGCCTAAACATTGCCTACACGTTGCTCCTTTTTCCTGCCTCAACTTCCTTAAAATGACAAGAGCAGAGCCCTTTTGGGAGCTAACATCAGGACTCCTTTTCTGTACTCTGCTCCGTTGTGCTGCTAGAGCCACAAGCCTATTAAACTTTGCCTGAAATAAATTCCTATTTGCGCTGGTGTTAATTTTTACTTATGAGTGAGCCAAGAACTCAGGCCAGAGTTGCGGTAACACCACCAGAAGAGGTCTCCGCTTGTCAGACTTGAGGGATATCATCAATGAGCCTCTGAGCTAATGGTGTAAACCAAAAATAAAATTCTAAGCCCCCCGCCAGCCAAACCATCTGAATGGACTTCCTCCTCAGCCAGGGTGCTCTTAAAATTTAACCTGAGAGACTGGTTCAGGTCATGATGGGAAGTAGGGGTTGGACATGCCTCATTATACCTCTCCAGCATTAACATCAACATAAACCCTAAGTCTAAGAAATTTTTACAACCTATTCTCTCTGAAGCTGACTACCTTGGAGGCTTCATCTGTTTCATAAAATTTTGGTCTCCACAACCTCTTACTTCAACCCAGATATTTCCTTTCTATTGATCCCAGGTCTTTAGATAAACTTAACCAATTGTCAACCAAAAAATTTTTAAATCTGCCTATAAACTGGAAGCTCCGCACTCCGCTCCCCTCCCCTCCCCGCCCTTCGAGTTGTCCTGCCTTTCTGGACAGAACCAATGTATTTCTTAAATGTACTTGAAGTCTCATGTCTCCCTAAAATGTATAAAACCCAGCTGCTCCCTGACCACCTTGGGTACATGTTTTCAGGGTCTCCTGAGGGCTGTGTCATGGGTTATAGTCACTCAAATTTGGCTTAGAATAAATCTCTCCAAATATTTTACAAAGTTTGACTCTTTTCTTCGATAACGGAAACACATGATGCCTAGATAGGGAGTGAACTAAGTGTCTCCTAAGGTCACTGCCAGGTGGGACAGCTGCAGAGTGTCCTGCACAGCACCTTGCAGACCTCCCATGGCTGCCTGCTCTGTAGGGCCTCAGGAGGGCTGCATGGCATGCTGCAGGCCTAGGCCCAGCAGGTGTGCAGCCAGAGTGCTGCACTCTCTGCTGGTGACAAAGAAGAAATTACTTAGGCCAATAGTAAGGGTATGGGAGTCCTCAGTAAGGCTTTTCTTTTAACGAAAAGCAGCCGCAAATCATTTTCTAACAAAGGGCAGCCTGTAAAGTTGAACTGCAGACACAGACAAGCAAGTTGGGAGCTTGCAGGGGTGAATGCTGGCAGGAACTAGGGACTAGATACGTTCAAGATGGCGGTTCCATCTTCCCTTCTCTGCCAGCCAGTGTACAGTAAGGAACAGACAAGATGGCGCTGGGATCAACTGGAAAGTCCATTTGCATAATAAGATTAGGGTGGGGAAACCAGCCTTTCTCACTCGCAATGTAAAAGTCATACCTGATCGAACCAATCTGTGAGCCCTATGTAAATCAGACACTGCCTCCTCAAACCTGACTGAAAAATCAGGTGCGTTGGCCAACCAGCCAGCCCTTTCAGCTCAGAGACCCCTCTCTCTATAAAGAGAGCTGTTTCTCTTTCTTTTCTCTTCTGCCTATTAAACCTCCTCTCCAAACTTCCTGGTGTGTGTCCGTGTTCTAAATTTTCCTGGCATGCAATGACGAGCTCCAGGATATATATCCCAGACAATGTAGCTGCTTTACTGGGTCAGCCAGGCAGAGCAGCAGGCAGGGCAGCTGCAGGCGTGCCCAGGGGCACTGGGTGGCGCTCTGGCCTCACTGCCTCTCCCAGCGAGTGATAGCAGCCCAGCTTGCAGATGGCCTCCAGCTGAGGCATCCAGCACTTGGGGCGTCACTCAGCTCTGCGGCCTCCGCTGCTTGGGACCAGCCTGCGGCCGACACCACTATCTTCCTACTTTATTGTTTGACTTAACTACTTAAGCAACAGTGACTGGAGACAAAATATAATAACTTCAAAATATAATAATAAATGTGTATAAAATAAAATGACTTTCTAGGCTTTATGGTATAAATGCATCAGGATCTGCCTGCTAATGCAGCTAGACTGTAGTATGTAAGAGGAAGAGTGTTCAAAATAAAACTAGAGAGGAGCCTAAATAAAACTAGAGAGTTCAAAATAAAACTAGAGAGGAGCCAAAATAAAAAGAGTGTTCAAAATAAAACTAGAGAGGAGCCGAGTTACTTGGGAATTTGTAAATACAACAGGTATTTCAGGTTCAAGTTCAGGGATGATAGCCTTTCCTTCTTAAGCCTATTCTTTTTTTTTTTTTTTTTTTTTTAGACGGAATCTCACTCTGTTGCCCAGGCTGGAGTGCAGTGGTGAGATCTTGGCTCGCTGCAACCTCTGCCTCCAAGATTCAATTGATTCTCCTGCCTCAGCTTCCTGAGTAGCTGGGATTACAGGTGCCCTCCATGGATCTCAGATAATTTTTGTACTTTTAGTATAGGGGGGTTTCACCATGTTCGCTAGGCTGGCTTGAACTCCTGATCAAGTGATCCACCTGTCTGGGCCTCCCCAAGTGCTGGGATTACAGGTGTGAGCCACCACACTGAGCCTTAAGCTTATTCTTTCTGTCATCTCTCTCCATACACACTCATGCATACACACATCTATATGTCATTCTGTTTGTTAAAGCCTTTACTTTCATGGATGAAAATAGAAAAAAATTTGTAGGTACACAAGAGTTATGCAGGAGCAATCACATTTGAAAGTAAAGACAATCTAATCAGACACTGATGACTTAAGTTAAAGATAAACTGTGCTAAGATGTGGCAAGTTAAAGGGAATAGACAACTTATATTTCTCTCCTTCTTTCCCTGATCCTCTGAAATCCACATTGCCTTATAATCTTTCCCTAGGCCATCCATGCTTCTGAATACTCCCCTTCTTTCATCTCTTCACCCTTATACACAGTGAACAAAGGCACTCTTGGCATGACCAACTTGCGGTCTAGGCAAGTCCAGGCTTCAGCTATGACTGCAGTATTGCTCCATGAGCACACAACTGCATTTACTTTGGCAGTCTCTACTAGAACTGCAGTGGGACACTGATAATTGATTCCAACCTTGAAGCCAGAGAGGCACAGATCTGCAAATTTGTCTTGATGGTGGCAATGCAGCCTTCATATTTGTGGAAACCATATTACACTGATATAGTAATAATGTATTATTACCATAATACTATACAATAGGTAGTGAGCCATACATTTATCATTTCAAGTGTCACATATCATCTGGTTGGCTAGCTCAGAGCAAGCATTAGTTATCTCTGCTACAGAAAATGTTTGTGGTAGGTTTTCCCAGCAGAGATAGCTGGATATATACACGGAGGGAAGTAGACATAAAGATAGAGAATAAGTATAAAATTTTGATATATTGACATTCAAGGCACCATGAAATCTGAGAGAAACAATGATGGAGAATACACACTGGTTGAAAATGTGCTTAAGGTTATTGTGTATTGGGTGCTCAATATTAAGGTTTCTACATAAATATTATAGATGGCCTCATTATCTAATATGAAGACACAATCAAAGTGCTAAAGAGTTGATGGAATTGAAGACCTCAGCTTCAGCTAAGGAAAGCTAAGGAGCTGGGTAAATGGAGAATTTTGCTCCTATAATCAACTGATAGAGATTCTATCAACAGAAAGGCAAATAAAAACTGTAGTTACCACCAACCAGCAAAAATTCAAGAAAGCCTGAAGACCTGTACTTAAGTCAGCTAGCTTCTGAATCCAATCCAACACTTAGTCAATGCTTTCCTTTTCAACGGTGTAGTGACTAGAGGCAAAGCTATTTGATGCATCTTCTTTGCTAGTGATCGCTTCCTAAGGCAAACTTCATCACCACGTATTGGCTCTAGGTCCACAAACAATTTTGTGGAGCCATGCTTGACCACAATAGTCCCGTTGAAGAAGGTATTAAAGGAGTCATCTTCTCTCAGAATGCTCTTATTGTTTGGCATTGGATTTGGGCTAAATTTTGTATTCCAGGCATTAGAGCTCCTACCAGTTATTTACATTATTTACAATCTGGATAATACCCTCACTGATGTAATTAGGGATGCTTTAATGCATAGTGGCAGGGATAGGAAGTAAAGATGTGAGAGCAAATATTAAGTCCAGGTTATCATCTCCGACTAACTGAGAATCAAAGTATCTATTTTTATGAAGCAGTGAAATGACAGTTTTAGTATGCCAAGAGGTAAACACTACTCAGAAAAGTTTTCCTACATGTTCTTTATTATCAAATAAAGATAATAATAATAATAATAATAATAATAATTTAAAAATTACCTGCATGAATTCTTAGCCCTCTGCTGGTGAGATTCTGTCGTTATTTCTATGTCTTGGGAAATTGAAGATGAAGGAAATAGGTAATAAATAGATTTTACACCATAAAGTTTTGTGGATAGATCTGATGAATGCTTTAAATGCCAGATGGTCCCATTACTTTTATTACTTCCACTGGACAGAAATGATGGACATTGATGACACCTAATTGCAAACTCTATTTAGTTGCTGAAAGTGTGACAGACACCATACACCTTGTTTCTTAATAGATCTCCTTTCTTCTTGCTAACGGGACCCCACTTTTGTTCAGATATAGTGCTGCCATGAGCTTCATGGCAGGCTGTTTTTCCCTAGCTCTGCACACTGAGTTATGACTGTGAAACTGTCCCTATCAACTGCATAAAATTAGCCAGGGAAGAAGGGAAGGAGAGAAACAAAAACGAACCAAGCTTGTAGCACATTCAGCATTAATCATTAGGTCAGCTTGCTGTCTGACCTGCTTCCTCATGGTTGTTTCCTGCCTATTGCCCCAGAATCACGTAGACCCTGTCACAAGATTATAGTTCCCCTAGATAACATCTTAAGCATTGTGAAGCTTTTATCCATTTGAGATATTCTTTCAAGTCCCGCATACCGGTGAAACTACTGATGTGAAACTACTGATGCCAGCAGGTCTGAAGGACCCCATGAGGTGCTGACTCAGCAAAGAATGCAGTTTCCACATCCTGATGATTTCATCTCTCTTCTCCTGACCCATCAGCAACCTCAATTTTCCAGCCCCTGGCTGTCCACAACCCCTTAAAAACGTCAGCCCAGAACTCTCATGGAGATGGATTTGAGGGTTTTTCCCATGTCCTTGCTCAGCTGCCCTGTAATCATTAAACTCTCTGCTGCTAACTCTGCTGTCTCAGTGTATTGGTCTGTTATTGCATAGCAGGCATATGAACCTGGTGGTCCTGTAACAATTGGTCTAAAATAATCATAATCTCAATCCACTCAAAAGTGGATTGGCTTAGACATTGACATATGAGACAATTCTGAGTAATAGAATTACTCAGTGAGGGATAGTCTTTCAGATGGGTGACTAAAGAAGATTCTTCCTTTTGATAAGAACAGACACATTAAGGAAATATTCTTTTTTGTGTCTTTGGGCTTGTTCTATGAGGGAGTGACACTTGCAGCTGTTACAGGTTTCTCCTGAACATTATGGAGAAGCCTGAGATCAAAAGCTGACAGAGTGAATATGCTGAAGTCCTAAATTCACTGGAGTTCTGAATCAACTCACCCTGGGATTGACTGTTACGTGAAATAGTAAATGTCATTTTGCTTAAGTCATTTTTAGTTGTGTTTTCAGTTACTTGTAGCTTAAAGCATTCTAACTGATAAAGGTAGTATTTTTCTCTATTATCTAATAAAAACATTGAGATAGCAAACGTATCATTTCCACACAAAGATATCACAAAGAATTTTGCAGGGCTTTGCATATTTTATTTCTCTTAGTATGTATATATATTTACAAAATTACAAATATGTATAATCTATATGCATTATAAATGATATATAAATTATATTTATAATTATATTACATATAAATTATATGTTATACAGGTATATGTACTATATATTTTGTGTATGTATTACACATGTATATATGTGTACATATGTCTATACATGTATATATTCATGTGTATATATGTGTATATACAGATACACATATAGCTATTAAATTAAGTATAGATATATCTATAAAATATATATTACATATGCACATATATATTTCCCTGGAGTATAGGGTAGGCCTTGCTGTGTTATTCTTTAAGAACAATGATGACATTTTATTAATTCTATCTTTTCCTAGGAGAAGGGAAAATGTTACATTGTCAAAGTCCCAAAGCCTTTCAGCCTGAAGCCAGGAACAATTGTTCAAAGTTTCTTTGGAACATCAAGGAAGGAAATCCAGATTTTACTTTAAGTGCAATGGGGAGTCATTAAGGATTTTGTGTAGGTGAGTTACATTTCGATTATATTTTGAAAAGAGCATTCTAGCTGCATAGTGGAGAATTGGTTATAGGAGAACAAGAGGGAATCGATGAGAAGAATGTGGCTCTAATCAGGTGACAGAAGTGATGACAGATTGGACTAGATCAGTAACAATGAAGATATAAATTTGTGAAATGGAGATAGAGATTTGGGAAATATTTTGCAGACTGAATCAATTAGACTTGTTGACGGGCTGGATATAAGATACCAGTGAAAGATGAATAAAGGATGAATCCCAGGTTTTGGCTTGAAAAAACTGGGCAGTGTTGATGCCTTCATTGAGATGGGAAGAATAGATGAGAAAGTGATTTAGGGGAGAGAGAGAGAGTTCATTATAACATCACAGATTTATTTAGTTTAAGATGTCTAATGGCTGTGCATTTGGAGAAACCAAGTAGGAATTTGGATCTATGATTCCATAGCACATGAGAGATATCTGAGCTAAATATATAAATTTAATTATATATATTTAATTTAATTATATATTTAATATATATATAAATTTATATGTAATATATAATATATAAATATATAAATTTAATTTTATATAATATACAATATATAAATATATAAATTTAATTATATATATATGCATGCACATTTTTGTGCACATACACGTATGTACAAACACACATACATATATAGGATTGGGTGATATTCCCAAGGGGGAGAGAATGAACAAACAAACCAAGAATCCCTAAATATGAGCCCACATAAATGTTAGGTAGAAGAGGAAAAGGAAAAACACAGAAAAAACTGCTAGTGAGGTAGGAGGAAAACCAGGAGGAGATGGTTTCACAGAGCTAAGAGTGTCTGTATAGGTTTCACAGAGCTAAGAGTGAACTGATATAGGAATTTATCACTGTCCAGTTCCACTCAAGTATTGATACTGGGCTTTCTTTTCCACACCACCACCACTCCTCACGGTATAGACTGATGAAAATAGGGATTTTCACACAGGGTATCATTCACATGGGGGCTCAACACTGTTTTAGGATGATGACTGTTTTCATGAATGATAAATGGATGATATGCAGGTATCTGAAAATGGAAGGACGTCACTAGACAGAAGAAAAACAGCAATGGGATATCTTAGTCAGAGATGAGATTTACTTACTTGAAGAGGGAGGGATGGCTTTCAGACACTGTATGGATGGAATACTTGTGTCTCCCCAGATTAATCTGTTGAAGCCCTAACCTCTAATGTGATGGTATTATAGGAGGTGGGGCCTTTGGGAGGTAGTTTCAGATATGGTTGTGATGGCAGGCCCCTCATGATGGGATTAGCATCCTTATAAAAAGAGACAAGAGTGTGCTCTCTCTCTCTCTCTCCCCTCCCTTCCCATGTGAAGATACAGCAAAAAGACAACAATCTTCAAGCCACAATGGCCCTCACCAGAACCCAGCCATGTGGTCAGCCTGATCTCGGACTTCACAGCCAGCAGAACTGTGAGAATTAAATCTTATGTTTAAATCACCTAGCCTATGGTATTTTAATTATTTATTTATTTTTATTATGCTTTAAGTTCTAGGGTACATGTGCACAACGTGCAGGTTTGTTACATATGTATACATGTGCTGTGTTGGTTTGCTGCACCTGTTAACTCGTCATTTACGTTAGGTATTTCACCTAATGCTATCCCTCCTCCATGACCCCACCCCACAACGGGCCCCGGTGTGTGATGTTCCCCAACCTATGTCCACGTGTTCTCATTGTTCAATTTCCACCTATGAGTGAGAACATGCGGTGTTTGGTTTTCTGTCCTTGCAATAGTTTACTCAGAATGATGGTTTCCAGCTTCATCCATGTCCCTACCAAGGACATGAACTCATCGTTTTTTATGGCTGCATAGTATTCCATGGCGTATATGTGCCACATTTTCTTAATCCAGTCTATCATTGATGGACATTTGGGTTGGTTCCAAGTCTTTGCTATTGTGAATAGTGCCGCAATAAACATGTGCATGCATGTTTCTTTATAGTAGCATGATTCATAATCCTTTGGGTATATACTCAGTAATGGGATGGCTGGGTCAAGTGGTATTTCTAGTTCTAGATCCTTGAGGAATCACCACACTGTCTTCTACAATGGTTGAACTAGTTTACAGTCCCACCAACAGTGTAAAAGCATTCCTATTTCTCCACATCCTCTCCAGCACCTGTTGTTTCCTGACTTTTTAATGATTGCCATTCTAACTGGTGTGAGATGGTGTCTCATTGTGGTTTTGATTTGCATTTCTCTGATGACCAGTGATCATGAGCATCTTTTCATGTGTCTGTTGGCTGCATAAATGTCTTCTTTTGAAAAGTGTCTGTTCATATCCTTTGCCCACTTTTTGATGGGGTTGTTTGATTTTTTTCTTCTAAATTCGTTTAAGTTCTTTGTAGATTCTTGATATTAGCCTTTTGTCAGATGGGTAGATTGCAAAAATTTTCTTCCATTCTGTAGGTCACCTGTTCACTCTGATGGTAGTTTCTTTTGCTGTGCAGAAGCTCTTTAGTTTAATTAGATCCCATTTGTCTATTTTGGCTTTTGTTGCCATTGCTTTTGGTGTTTTAGTCATGAAATCCTTGCCCATGCCTATGTCCTGAATGGTATTGCCTAGGTTTTCTTCTAGGGTTTTTATGGTTTTAGGTCTAACATGTCTTTAATCCATCTTGAACTAATTTTTGTATAAGGTGTAAGGAAGGGATCCAGTTTCAGCTTTCTACATATGGCTAGCCAGTTTTCCCAGCACCATTTATTAAATAGGGAATCCTTTCCCCATTTCTTGTTTTTGTCAGGTTTGTCAAAGATCAGATGGTTTCCTTAAGCTGATAAGCAACTTCAACAAAGTCTCAGGATACAAAATCAATGTGCAAAAATCATAAGCATTCTTATACACCAATAACAGACAAACAGCCAAATCATGAGTGAACTTCCATTCATAATTGCACAAAGAGAATCAAATACCTAGGAATCCAGCTTACAAGGGATGTGAAGGACCTCTTCAAGGAGAACTACAAACCACTGCTCAATGAAATAAAAGGGGACACAAACAAATGGAAGAACATTCCATGCTCATGGTTAGGAAGAATCAATATCGTGAAAATGGCCATACTGCCCAAGATAATTTATAGATTCAATGCCATCCCCATCAAGCTACCAATGACTTTCTTCACAGAATTGGAAGAAACTACGTTAAAGTTCATATGGAACCAGAAAAGAGCCTGCACTGCCAAGACAACCCTAAGCAAAAAGAACAAAGCTGGAGGCATCATGCCACCTGACTTCAAACTATACTACAAGGCTACAGTAACCAAAGCAGCATGGTACTGGTACCAAAACAGAGATATAGACCAACGGAACAGAACAGAGGCCTCAGAAATAACACCACGCATCTACAGTCTATGGTATTTTACTATGGAAGCCCACCCTAAGATTTCAATTTAGCTTCCATGTAGTTCCCTGGTGCTTGGCAATCTCCTGACTCACTACCTTGTCACATGGTCTATCCCAAGTCAGTCCTTCTCCTCTTCCCATATCCCCCTACTCCAATATTCACCCATATGTGGCCAAGTCTTCCTCCACCTGAGCTCCTTGCAGAGGAATGAACAATTGTTTGAACATTAATGAATATTAAAGTAAGTAAAGAAGAGACAAATCTCCACTTGTTTTGATAGTAGGGTGATCTTTGGTGAGCTTAGGAAAAGTTTCAACCAAGTAGTCATAGCATGATCCAAGTTAACATGCATTGAGCCAGGCGTGATGGTTCATGCCTGTAATCCCAGCACTTTGGGAGGCTCATGGGGGCAGATCACTTGTGGTCAGGAGTTCACGACCAGCCTGGCCAACATGGTGAAACCTCGTCTATACTAAAAGTACAAAAATTAGCCAGGCATGGTGGTGCATGCCTGTAATCCCAGCTACTTGGGAGGCTGAGGCAGGAGAATTGCTTGAACTTGGGAGGTGGAGGTTGAAGTGAGCCGAGATCGTGCCACTGCACTTCAGCCTGGGCAACAGAGTGAGACTCTGTCTAAAAAAAAAAAAAAAAAAATCAAGGCAAGTTAACAGGCATTGAAGATTAAAAGGGGAGTAAAGAAGGGGAGTTATCTGGTGTTAACAACTCTAGAAATTTTCTGTGAAGGTGAGTTTAGAAATGGTAGGACACGAAGCTGAAATTGAATATATGGTTGAAAAGGATTTTTTTGAAGACTTAGGATAAGAAAGCACTGTTACATGCCAGTGAGAATTTGGTAAAAAGGGGGAGATCTATGGTGTAAGAGAGAGAAAGAGGGAATAGTTGAAGAAATTATGTCCTCAAAGTGTAAGAGGGTATGATAGCTACAGCATAAGTAGAGGGGTTCAGCTTTAAGAGGAGCAGGGACAAGTCTTCCATCATGATATGAAAATAGAAAAAAATGTAGTTTAAGAAGATTTAAAATTTAGTAGTGGGAATTTGAGATGCTCTCCTCTGATGGATCTGTCAATTTTTGCATATTTATTTCTTTGGAATCTGTTTTCTATTGAATTTGAGGGTGCTAATCTGATGATGGTTTTATTTTGTCAATTAGCTGGTCATCAAATAGTTATCTGATAGCAATGGACTTGGGAAGACTTTGGGGAGTTGGTTTCTGGAACTACATCTATTGGGATAGGCAGCTGTGGTAGAGGAACCAGCTGTTAATAATGATAGAAGGTACCTCCTAGGAAGTAGAACACAATTGGCACATTTAGTGATAGATAATGGAAAGTTCAGGAGAGAAACTAGTGATGAAGGAATGGATTAGAGCATAGCAAGATACATTCTATCAGGTGGGTTGAACATAGTAATTAGCAATCTATAATTAGCAATTTTGGTACATAGACTGGCATATAGTTTGTAGCAGGAAAGCCTGCCATCAGTTAGCCTGTTCTCCCCAATTAACATTGGTTTAAGAGCACACTTCAGGCCAGGCACGGTGGCTCACACCTGTAATGCCAGCACTTTGGGAGGCCAAAGCTGGTGGAGGTCAAAAGTTTGAGACCATCTTGGACAACATGGTGAAAACCCGTCTCTACTAAAAATACAAAAATTAGCTGGGCTTGGTGGTGAGCGCCTGTAATTCCAGCTACTAGGGAAGCTGAGGCATGAGAATCACTTGAACCTGGGAGACAGAGGTTGCGGTGAGCCGAGATAGTGGCCATTGCACTCCTGCCTAGGAGACAAGAGCGAAACTCCATCTCAAAAAAACAAAACAAAACAACAACAAAAAAACAGACTTCAGTTCCAAGAATTTTAGAGAGAAGGCATTAAAGGCATTAGAATGGCAAGAGTAAGGCAGGCCTTATCCTAGCTTTCTGGGGAGATCACTGAGATAGTAAATTCGGCATAGAAAATAAGATGTGAATCACTTTACCAGGACTGGCATGTTAATTTGGGAGGTGGTCTTACAAATAATGCAGGGGTTTAGTTCCTACTATAAGGATCCATGTTTTCTGAGGTCTGAAGTTTTTACATATGGGTAGGCTTTCTATAAGTGGGTATGAAAGGAAATATTTTGCTAGACGAGGTGGCCCATGCCTGTAATCCCAGTACTTTGGGAGGCTGAGGTGGGAGGATCACTTGAGGCCAGGAGTTTTGAGACCAGCCTGGGCAACATAATGAGACCCTTTCTCTACAAGAATAAAAATAAAAAAATTAGCCAGGCATAGGAGTGCACGCCTGCAGTCCCAGTTACTTAGGAGGCTAAGGCAGAAGGATTGCTTGAGCTTAGGAGTTGGAGGTTGCAGTGAGCTATTATCACACCTCTCCAACCTGGGTGAAAGAGCGAGACCCTATCTCTGACAACAACAAAAAACTAAAACATTATACTAACGAATACCACAAACATCATTAAATCTATAAAAAATAATGTAATATTTTCTTATTAACTGCTTGACATAACTCTAAAGTACTTTTTTTCTTCTAAAATATTTTGGCTGCATGCTACTTGATTATATTTTAGTATAGCAATATTTTATAATACCATTTTTTATACATTGATAGCTTCGAAAGGTTTCTTTCAGTTTTACAACTATTTATTACTAATGACATCCTAGCATGAAATCTGACACATTGCAATGCATAAAAAATATGTATTTGCTGTTTCTAGTACTGCTATGGTTTTGTGCCCTAGAAGCACAGGAATTCTCATAAATTGGATCTTGTACATTTCCAATCAAAAGAAAAAAATGTAGGGGGGTTTATAGTTGTATACGCTGCTGCATTGTTCAGTGTACTTCTGAAAAGAGAGAATTTCCATTTTGACTAGGATTTGATAAGGACCAAATCTATTCCTTATGCTTTTCCTGCTAAGTATATTAATTTTCTATTGTTGCAAAACAAATCACCACAAACTTAGTGTCTTAAAACAATACATGTTTATCTCATAGCTTGTATGGGTAGGGAGTCCAGGTACAAACTGAATCTTTTGCTCAGGGTTTCACTGGGCTATAATCAAGGTGCTTGCAGACTGCGTGCTTATCTGGAGGTTTGACAAAGGAAGAATCCACTTCTAGGCTTTTTCAGGATGCTGGAAGAATTCATTTCTCTGTCTGACTGAAGGCCCTAGCTTCTTACTGGCTGTCCACTGGGGGCTACTCTCAGGTCCTAGAGGCTGTCCACAATTCTCTGCCACATAGCTCTCTGCAAAGGCATTTTACAATATGACTGTTTGCTTAAGGGTGAATTTCTCACTTCAGTTTGCTAAGATAGTCTTATATAATGTAATGTAATCACAGGGCTGATATCCTAGCACCTTTTCTTGATAATGTAACCTGATTAAGGAATGACATCATTAATTTGCCATAGGCAAAGTATGATTGAAAGCAAGTCACAGGTTCCAATCATGCTCAAAGAAAGGGGATTATATAAGGGCATACCTTATTGGGAATCACCTTTGGGTGTACATGTACAATAATTTTCCATGGAGAAGCTTCTGTACATTTTGTGTCTTGTTTTCTTCTCACCACTTACATGGTTCTGCTGCCATAGGTCTAGACACATTGATATCATGATATGACCTCTGGCCCTACACTTTCCTGTCACTATGCCAGGTAAGTCACTATAGTAGGTATTTTTTCTAGTATTATGCCTGGAAGTTTCTTGCAATGGTTAGCAACGACTTAGCTCAACATGAAAGCGACCAGGAACCACATGCTATCCCTCTAGAGTCAATCTAAAGATATTCTTAATTCAAATTCCCCTTGGCTGGGTCCCAAAAGTACACATGGCCATCTCAATACCACTTCATCTGAGGGGAAGGGTGACAGAGGGAAAGCAAGAGTGGAAAGAGACAGTCTTAACCAATTGCAATTAAAATACTTTTTTTGGTGTGGGTTTTATAAAAACATGTGACCACGTGAAAACATATTTTCCAGGGCCCCAAGAGTGGACTGAAATAAGTGAGGAATTTGGAAATTAAGTTTCATTAGCTTTATAGGAAATCCATTTCAATTTGCCATTTATTTATTAACTTACTCGATAATTGTTCTCTGAATCTGAAGTGATGGCCAGAATTTTTAAAAAGTGTGAACATTTCTTATCCAATGAACTAGTTATAAAATCAAACAAATAAATGAAGAAAAAAACAGGAGCCAAGAGTTCCCAAGAAAGTAAGTAATTAGGCAGAACCTATCCGCTATACATCAGATAAAGATTCTAACCACTAGAGTTTAAAATATTTGGATTTAATTCATGAAAAACAATGAAAATCCTTTCCTTTCCCTTAGAGCTACATTTATTGTGCAATCATTGTGCTTCAGGGCTTCATTTAGTTTTTATGCATTGTATTTAAATTATGTGCTACTTAAATTTGTGGCATATGTAGTTTAAATTTTGTTTTGAAAAGTTAATTGGTGATTATTGCAAGGACTGCAGTTTTCTGACCCAAAAGGTCTATTTTTCTCTCTTCCTCCTCCCCACCCCAAAAATAAAAAATAAAAAAAGCCTTCAATTTTTTTTAGTTATCAGATTGCTGAGTGTTCAGGGAAACTGAACACTGTCCCACAAGACAAATTATTCCTTTAAAGTATTCGAGATAATCTTTGCTAGTGATTTGTTTAGGGTCAGTCATGTGTCCCAGTTCTAGCCAATTTAAGGGGAAGTACTGAGAGTTATGGGAAAGAGAGATCCATAATGAGAAGTGACCCTTTCTTTCTGCCTTTGACCCCTAGAATGGTGACAGCCAACTTCTAGTCAGGAAAAAAAAAAAAAGCCTAGTATAATCAGAGAAGCTGACTCAAAGCTCTGACTTAACTGATTCTGCATGTCTACCTCTGCACATCCTATAACATGAGATGGAAAAATGCCACTTCTAGTTTGACATTTTTATTCCTTACAACAGAACACCTTCTAATAGAAACAATGATGTATAAAATAAAAGTCAGACAAACACACACACATATAACATTTATTATGTTTTCTCTTAATACACATGCAATATGAGTTCATTTTGGGAATTTGGAATTACAGGAATTCACAAGGAAGAAATTTTTAAGAAATCATGCAGATAACTATATTAACAGTTTTCATATATGTTTATCTATTGCTGCTATGCATACATTTTATATAACTTTTAAAGTTAGACTAATTGTTTTAAACTTGATTCCTAATAATCATAAAAATGATAAGCAAGATTATATTGAATCTGATTTTTTTTCTTTTAAAATTTCTTTTATTCATATGAGCACAATGTATAGTAATTAGAGAAGCCCAAGGCATTGGTTCAATGTAGGAAAGTGGACCACAGGTAAAATAGATGGAGTTCTAGAAGTATTTTAACTGCCTAAAAACATTATCTCTTCATGACTACCACCTAAGTTCTAAGACAAAGTCACTCTCAGGAAATTTCAGACTAATTTATGCTATGTTCCCTGGTAGATAATGTTTGTGGTACCTTCCCCAGAGTATTTTTTTAGCTACTATATTTCTATATTTCTGTTGAATAGGCTTAAATTGAACTAATGTAGGCTTTGTTTAATTTATTGTCATTAGTTAATGTCACTCCTGTACTAAACTGAATTGCTAAAAGAAATTCCATTTTTAACTAGTTTTATAGGCTAAGTAAAGGAAGAGAAACCAAGATAGAATCTCCAATATCTGATATATTAGATTGACTCTGTGGAACATTTCCTTTTTTACAAGGAGTCCTCACCTTTTATTATAATAGGACATAAAATAAATGATTGTAATATCAAATATGAAATATTGTCTGTTGAGTGGAATATCTTTAATTTCAAAGCCATATTTATCTTTTGTGCCATAAATTTTAGTTTATATATTACATTATAATGTATAGATTATACATTATAATTTATGAACCATAATATTCATATAGAATAATTATTTGTGTTATGTTTTTTATTACATATTGAACCTTAAGAGAGTTTGTTGGTTTGAAAACAATAAGCATATTGAAGCAATCTTGTTTCAATATTTACATTTTTATGTTTGCATATAAATAGATGAATAGATTATGTTATATTTTTATTGTAATAGATTTCTTTATATATATACAAAGTCAACTAGGACTTCTTAACCTTTTTTTGTGCTATGAGCTGCTGTGGCAGTCTGGTCCATCCCTCTCAGGACTGTGTTTTTAAATGCATAAAATAATACAAATAGGACTAAAATAAAAAATACATTGAAATATATATATTTTTTGCATGAAATGTAGGTTAAGAACCCCTGAGTCAAGATTTCGAATAGCCCTTTAGTTAATGTGTAAAAAAAAAAAATGCCTGAGGCAATTCCTAAGACAGAGAGATCCATAATGAGCACACAAGAAGAACCAAGCTGAGATACATTCGTTAACACGTGTGTGATAAAGCCCTTAGATTGTATCTGTACAAGTGTGTTATTTTTGATTTTAAATCCAGAAGTAAGAATTATCAGTTTAGGAATAAGTATATGATAGAGACTTAGAGGACACTGGTTTTGTTTCAACTTATCTACATCCCTGTGTTATCTACAAGAACTATAAAATCTTGGAATGGGTTTATGTGCCAACTTGAGCATTTTAGCACACTACAGAATTTTAGCCTTGTCCAATTCAACTGTAGAACTGGGCCATGAATTGGTTAATTAAAGGTATGAGTTTAATGGAAAAGAAGCTATGAATGAAAGAGTGAGTAGACAGAGGGAGTTCAATTGAGACAGAATTGGAAAGTAAGGTAGGATATGAAAAAAACAACAACACAACACTATAAAACTGAAGTATGAGAGGAGAAAATCAAAGAAAGAAAGGACGTGCCATTAGTTGGCAATTTGCTTTCCATAATACCACACACCTGGAGTATTTAGAAATTACATTTCATCTTTTTTTGTGGCAGTACATAGCTCATATAAATATAATGGTATCTTACCTATTTAAAAAATGTTAAATGGCTTAATTTCTTTTAAGACTCTTATGTTTTTCACATTAAATGGGTATTATACTCCCATTATTTTCATCCCTTTCCATTTTTCATGGAAGAGGTAGACACAAGCCTGAATTACATAAAGAGGTCTTGTTGTGCAGACATATTTTGGAAACCATACTATTTAATGTGAATATCAGTAGGTGTTAGTTGTGCCATGGGCTGCTGTGGCAGTCTAGTCTATCCCCTTAAGATTGTGTTTTTTAAATGCACAAAATAATACAAATAGGGCTGAAATAAAAACATTACATGGAAATATAGTGTTGTGCATAGACTGCAGGTTAAGAAACCCTGCATCAAGATCTTTCCCTCCTTCCCCTGACATGTTCTGTCTTCTTTGATCTGTACAGACTGAAGCTGTAGTTTTCTCTCCAGAGTTCCTTTTGTGTATCAAGCATCTTTTTGCTTGTGCATTTGCTTAATTTTGTTTTAATTATTCTCAGTTATTTATGAAATATGGATTTAGTAAGATCAGGAGAGAGACAAAAAATTCTTCACATTAAAATAGAAGTCATACTATGCATAGAGCGTACTCACTATGAGTATTTTCTTAGTTGCATTTGGAAACATTGTTATTTTATGGCAATTAATTGCCACAAACTCCACAGACTAGATAGCTTAGAGGAATGTTCTAAACCCCTGTCCAAATCCTAACCCCTCTAAAATTTCCCTTTATATAGAGATACTTCACAACCTGTACCACATAAATAGGATGAAGGAGAACTACTCATAGTCTTGTCAGGTTGCTGGAGTGGTTGGTGGGATTGGTTACTGACTCCTCCAAATGTCAGAATGCTTTTGAAGCCAAAGAGAAAAATAGATTCATTTTTTTTCTTTTTAACTATAGGAGGGAAAGTTGATATTATGGGCAAAGGGCTCTGTGCTCTATGTATTATATAGCATACAACTCTAATTGCTAATATGCCCCTTTTGGAGAAAAACTCACCAAAGCATGCTGAGTTTAGACCTGTGTTGTGGTTTCTCACCTTTGTTTTTTTGGCATCCTTGTGCCTTAGGCTGAAGGTATTTTAAATATTAGTACATTATTATGCAAAGAGAAAGTGATAAGAAACCTACATAATGTGTTATATGAGGTCAGAAAAGGCAGAGATTAATTTAGAAGCTTATGAGGAAGAGAAAATATTTTAGTATTTTTCCTGAAGACTTTTCCTTAATAATTGAGGCTCTGAAGACTGAGTTTCTAAAAGAATGATAACTTAAGTGTAAATCCTACTTTGTTTGTATGTAAACATGCTCCAACATTTGTGTTAATCATTCCCAGATGGAGAGATTCATTACCTTACCCTTCTTCATATGACTTCTTGTGTAGTCTATCAATCACAGAGAAAAATATCCATAGATAAGTGGATCAAAGCATGGGTTTAAAAAGGCAAAGAGAAAGAAGAAGTGATTTACTGGGTCTGACAACCTGTTTAACATTTCAGGATCAAACCAATACCAAATTCCTAGGACATAGTAGGGAGTCCAGCAGACAGTAAATGAAGTGGCAAATGCAACCGTCATTTTTAGAGTCTTCAGCCGTGCTCTTGGTATATTGTTCTTGGACTGATTCAGTTGTAGTTCTGTTGGATAGAGAAAAGAGCAGGTGTTTAAAGATCAGTTTTCTTACAAAACCAAAGTGGACAAAAAGGAAGACAGCATCACTAATTCAACTTAATCAATGGGAGAAAATTTCCATTATTTTAAATAATAATAATTTGTTTGAAAAGCATGTTTTAATAAGAGTTTTCCACTATGTCACATAATGAATAGAAAAGTTTGAAGATGATAGTGCTCTTATTTCTGCCAAAGTAATCTGGATTTGAAATATGGGGTACTCAAACTCTTAACATATAAATTTAAAAGAGTAGATGAGGTTGAGCTCAGTTGAATTCTTTCTTAAAAAAATTATTTTTTTATTTTAATAGGTTTTTTTGGGGACTGATGGTGTTTGGCTATATGAATAAGTTCTTTGGTGGTGAGTTCTGAGATCTCGGTGGACCCATCACCTGAGCAGTGTACGCTGTACCAAATGTGTAGTCTTTTATCCCTTGCCACCCCCAACCCTTTCCCCTGAGTTTCCAAAGTCCAGTGTATCATTGTTATGCCTTTGCATCATCATAGCTTAGCTCCCACATATGAATGAGAACATATGATGTTTGGTTTTCTATTCCTGAGTTACTTCACTTAGAATAATAGTCTCCAATTCTATCCAGGTTGCTGCAAATGCCATTATTTTGTTCCTTTTTTATGGCTGAGCAGTATTCTATAGTACATATATACCACATTTTTTTATTCACTCATTGATTGATGGGCATTTGGGCTGGTTCTGTGTTTTTGCAATTGCAAACTGTGCTGCTATGAACATTCCTGTGCAAGTATCTTTTTCATATAATGCCTTTTTTCCCTCCTGGGTAGATACCTAGTAGTGGGATTGCTGGATCAAACGATGGTTCTACTTTTAGTTCTTTAAGGAATCTCCACACTGTTTTCCATGGTGGTTGTACTAGTTAACATTCCCACCAACAGTGTAAAAGTGTTCCCTTTTCACTGCATCCCTGCCAACATCTATTATTTTTTGATTTTTTGATTATGGCCATTCTTGCAGGAGTGAGGTGGTATCACATTGTGGTTTTGATTTGCATTTCCCTGATCATTAGTGATGTTGAGCATTTTCCCCTATGCTTCTTGGCCATTTGTATATCTTCTTTTGAGAATTGTCTATTCATGTCCTTAGCCCACTTTTCGATGGGATTGTTTGTTTTCTTCTTGCTGATTTGTTTGAGTTCTTTGTAGATTCTGGGTATTAGTCCTTTGTCAGATGGACAGATTGTGAAGATTTTCTCCCACTCTGTGGGCCGTCTGTTAACTCTGCTGATTATTTCTTTTGCTGTGCAGAAGCTTTTTAGTTTAATGAAGTCCCATCTATTTATCTTTGTTTTTGTTGCATTTGGTTTTGGGCTCTTGGTCAGGAAGTCTTTGCCTAAGCCAGTGTCTTAAAGGGTTTTTCCAATGTTATCTTCTAGAATCTTTATGGTTTCAGGTCTTAGATTTCAGTCTTTGATCCATCTTGAGTTGATTTTTGTGTAGGATGAGAGATGAGGATCCAGTTTCATTCTTCTACACATGGCTAGCCAATTATCCCAGCACCATTTGTTGAATAGGATGTCCTTTCCCCACTGTATGTTTTTGTTTGCTTTGTGAATTCTGACTTCAAAACAAAATTATGTTCACTGAGTATCTCTGCCACTAAGGATAGTAAGTATCATATGTGGATGAAAGTGTACTACCCCAAATTATCTATCTCAACTGTGTGCTTCTTTCTATGATATCTGAAATAATTTCACTTTTCATATTAATACAGCCATTAAAGTTCATAGGTTACACTTGTGAAGAAATTTGCTGGAAATTAATGGAATTGCTGACTTTTTACAGTCAGGCTGCCTACCTGAAATTTTGGACTTAGTTCTTAAAGGTAAAAAGGTGCAATTTTGAAGTGCTCAAAATCTGTTCTTGTATTTCATAATCGAGAACTTCTGTGTCAAGTAAGAAATACTCTTCACACACTATATTTTTTTTGAGGGAAACAGATAGTGCTATTCAGAAATAGTCATTCTGAAATTTCTTATTAATTGGTCACCAAAGGGTGGACATATAGAGGAGAACATTTACATGCATGGTGTTTTAATTATAAAATTAATTTTTATCTAGAAATATTAAAGTAATTTATTAAATACAGACTGATTATGGATTTTTAGCAGACAAAACCAATTACTGTTTACTCTGTGCCTTGAGGCCTTGCTCTTTTCACATACTATTCTTTTTTTTTTTCCTGAGTTTCGCTCTTGCTGCCCAGGCTGGAGTGCAATGGTACAATCTTGGCTCACTGCAGCCTTTGCCTCCTGGGTTCAAGTGATTCTCTTGCCTCAGCCTCCTGAGTAGCTGGGACTACAGGCATGTGCCACCACACCCGGCTAATTTTTGTATTTTTGGTAGAGACAGGTTTCATCGTCTTGGTCAGGCTGGCCTCGAACTCCTGACTGCAGGTGGTCCACCTGCTTCGGCCTCCCAAAGTGCTGGGATCACAGGCATGAGCCACCGCACCTGGCCTTCACACACTATCGTTTAATCCTCAATATCTGTAAACTTTGGTGACACATCCATTTAAAATTCAAAAAACCATCTTGGCTTAGCACATGACTGAAAATGAAAAAATATCAAGGCAACCACAACATGTCATGCTTTTTCTTCTTTTGAAACATCATCACAGTTGATAATTGGTTTACTGTTTATGACTTTTCTGCTAGACTGTAGTCTCCATGAAAGCAGGATACTTACTAGGTTTTTCTTATTCACCATGGTATCCCCACCTAGCACAGTTTCCAGCAACATTGAGTAGTCAGTATGTATTAATCAAATAAATAAAATAATAAATAAATAAATGTGTTCATAATATTTATTGCTTCCTGCCTCTGCTTTTTTGTTTTTCTGCTTATGTACTGCTCATATTTCTTCAGATTAACTCCTATTTGAGATCCACCTTCTTATTTTCCCTCTACCCTTCTTAGATATCGCTTATAAAATGGAATCTCTCGAGATAAGATTTTGAAGGCAAATTGTTCTTGCAGTATACTTTTTTGGAAATATTAAATACCATTTTGTGCTGGCAGGTGGAAACTGCCCAATTCCCTATTAGAGAGCATCACCATGAATATTTTCTTTTGAAAATATCTACTGAGACTATTCATGCTATAATAATTAAGATGATTTCCCTGATAAGTTGTACCAGATATAACTTATGCACTATGTCATTGATAACACGTCTTTTGGATGTCATGCCAACATAACAATGTTTATTTCATGAATTTATAAATTTTAGTTTTTGGGAATGCACCATTTTACTAAAGCAAAAAAGGTACAAACACATGTGTGAAGTTTTGAATGAAATAATCATTTACATAGTCAATATTTCGCATATTAACATACACACAAATGTGCATAGTTTATGTCGTGTAAATATATGGGATTTGAATATAAAATGAAACAGCTTACTTTAGCTAATTTATTGGATAGCATTTAACAAGTTGTACTTTGCTATAGTCTAGATATCACAATTTGTACTTGCTGCCCAGCAGAAACCATTTGCCAATTCTTATCCTGGGTTTTAATGGAATAATCATTCTTTCTTATTTAATTTCATGGTGCAAATGTAGAACAGCAGAAGATATTAAGTAACCTTATCTGTAAATTGATTATGATAAAACCATAATAAAAATATTACCTTATGGGGTGATTGTGAATATTAAATGAGCTAATATATGCAAACTGCTTAGAACAGTATCTGTCACATAGTTCATGCCACTCTGTTTTGAGCATTGCTATTTAAAAACTGCCCACAAATGACACTAACTCTAAGGAATACATACCGTGGGGGTCCTGATGAAGGACCCGTGTCAGGGTGAAGATGATTTTTGCATTGCAGATCAGCATGATGAAAAGAGGGATGATGAAGAGGCAGCTGAAGGTGAAAAAGTTATAAAATGCTTGATGCCACCATTGTGAAAAACTGCAGTGTGTTACACATTGAGAGAAAACTTTTGTCTGTCCAGAGCTGTCTGCTAGATGAATCATCCTGAAGATGTATAACTGTATGAGACAATAAAAAGCTATGTTACTTTTTTCCATATGGTATTTGAAAGTTTTCTCTTTGGTACTCTGCTAGCCTTCTAACATGTTACCTAAAGCAATTTCTAAGCTCCTTAGTGTTATACTTCTGACGTTTCTATGAAAAGTCATGTGAATATTTACTTAAAATATGTTTGGGTAAGTGTCAATAGATCTGTAAGATTTTGGATTTTTTAGAAATTATTTCAACCTTGAAGAATAATCATCCCTCAAGGATTTAAACGTTGTTTGTATTTCAGTTTCCAGTACAATTATGCTGAGTAAACTTTTTGCAAGTGATTTTGCTCATAAGTTATATCTGCAGTAACTACAACTGTGTCTGGCACTTAAAATGTACCCCCCAAAATACATATTTAAATTTTATTTTAGAGACAGAAGCCCTATTAAAATGACATTTTAAAAAATGGTCAAAAGACATGAAGAGACAGTTGCTCAAAGAATGATGGAATATGTCAAAACAAAACAAAAAAAAACAAACAAAACAACCCAGGAACCAGCTGAAAAGAGCTTCCACTGGCCAAATCTGGGGCAGTTTAAGCATTAAAATACAAAAAAGAAACTGATCTAAAAGAATGAGAAACTATTGAATAAAGTATGAGCCCATACTTATAAAAATTACAAGATAACAAAAACAACAAATAAATGGGGGGAGAAAAACCTCTTCCATAATGTAGAATGCCAACTAATAAATGAAAAGGAATAAACGGAATTAGTGATTACCAAATGTTAATCACTATAATAAGTGATTACAGCAAGAATCATCAATAGCTGGTAAAAATAGTGGGTGGAAGTTTGAGGAGAACAGGATGTTTACAAAATCTCAAAGTATCAGTCTGCAGGTTACTTATTCATTGTAAGGAATACAATAATAACTTTACAGAAGAGAAATAGCTAGATAAGTATGTTAACATTGCCAATAATAGGACCTATTGACAATGTCTGTCTCCTTATGTAATGCATTGAGAACTTAGCATCACTAATTTGGTATTTTTGCTTAAAGTGTATAACCTGAATCTAACCTTGAGAGGACAAATCCCAACTGAGAGACATTTTACAAAATGACTGGTCTGCACTCTCCAAAAATGTCAATATCATGAAACACAAAGAAAGACTGAGAAATGGTTCCAGCTAAAAGAATACTAAAGAGGTATGCAACTGAATCCACCACATAATCTTGGATTTTCTTTTGTTAAAAGGGCAAAAATTAAACCGGGATAACTTATGAGCTCTGAATAGAACATATAAATTAAATAGTGGTATTGTATCAATGTTAAATTTCTTATTTTGACAATCATTACTGTGGCTGTGTGTGAGAGGCCTTAAACACACATTGAAGTATTGAGGGGTAAAGAAAAATCATGTCTACAGCTTACTTTTAAGCAATTGGGAAAAAGTAGATAAGATAAAATAAATAAGCAAATGTAAAATATTAATATTTGAGAAAATCTGGGTGAAGGTATCCAGAAATATGTATGATTCTTGTAACCATTCTCTGAGTGTCAAATTATTTTTAAAAAGCCTTTATCCTACAACTTTTAAAAACACAAACTGAATCAACAATTAAGAAAATGTTGCAAGTAATTTTCAAAAATAAATTCTAGTGGACATTTATTCATTATTCCTCTATTCATTAAACACTTCTTACCTACTTATTTATAAGCTTTTCCCCTGAGAAGTTTCATTTTACTGTGAAACATTATTAAAATGAAATGATGAGAGTTTAAGCATTTTTAAATTGATAGCAAGTAAATTCAAACAAAAGTGTTACAATATTTTTTATTTTAAGCAAATGAGGGATTCCATTTTTTTAAAGTTTTTGATTGAATTAGAAAATTTTAATTACAATATTAAGAAACATGATTCTTTTCTACCCTACCAACAAAAAACACTATTAAATATTTTAAAAATACTTCATTTTTTTTTAAAAGGCATACTCCACTCCCACTCCCATCACCTCAAAAGGGAAAGAAACCTTGGCCCTGTTAAATAAGTTAAAAAGTTGATTTTCAGTTTCAGAGCTTTTTTCATTTTCAAGGGGAAAAAATGATTTTAAATTCATCCACTAGAGGGCGTCTAATAATTTTACTATCACTCCAGTCAAGAAACCCCAACAAGTGCATTCAGCTAATTTTATCTTATGATTCAGACTTTTTTCCCACATTACAAAGTGAGACTTTTAGTTTTCTGTAATTCTTTGCAACCTGACCTTATTTAAAGTTCAGCTTTGAATTAGATCCAACAGAGGCTGTGAGTTAAAGTCTTTGGAAGGCTTACTTCACGTAGAACCTGAGAATCTTATATTTCTTTAAGGTTTTAGCTACTTCCCTCTGCACCATCCCAGCTGGACTTGGAACCATATGACCTGAGTTTTACTTTCTGCTCTGCCCTGGGCCACATTTTCGTCTTAATATTTCATGTTTTAAAGGCATAATGATGTCACTGACTGGCTGATGAAATCCCAAGCGTAGGTAGTATGCTACATGAGGGGTGAGTTTTTTGCTAACACCACAAAGGTCTCTGGCCCAATGAGTGGAGTTTGATAGGAGTTCTTGTGACAAGTCTAATGTTATTGCATGCCAGTTTTGAGGAGAGATGAAAACATTTGAAAAGCAGTGTGTTTTTTTTCTACGTTTGTCTGTATTTCTTACTCAGGCCTCTCAGGCATTACTTGGCCTTTCTGTTTTCACACCAACTTGGTGAGTTCTACTATAAGATTCTAAAAAGATGGGTAGTGCGTGGTTCAAATTGGTTCATTTGTAACTGGAAAAAATTTATAATTAAAAAAATAAAATATGTTTAAAAAAGCCATAATGATGAAACTTTCAATTAGCAATGACTTTGAAACATAGTACTATGATTGAGTTAATGGCTATCTTATTTAACACATGCTTATTTTTTAAGCAACTCTTTGGTAAAATAAACTATAGCTGGCATTCTCTGTCATAAAAGATAAAGCAGTTATATCCTTCAATCAGGGAATTTAATATTTGGTAGTGCAGATTTAAAATGTATGTGACCCAGGTAATACAAGATAGACCAATAAATTTTAAGAAAGGTATAATAAAGTGTACACAAATTCAGAATCTTACTTGCCCATAAATTAACTTGCTATTGTCTTAGTTCCGTTTATTTTGTGCTCCAAGGCCATGTTCATTTGAATGATTTATGTAGAGATCCACTTTGCTTTTAGTTGTTCATTTGTCCTTGGATTATATTTCTTTAATTTTGGTATATTTCTCCTCTCTTGCCCCTGGCCCTGGTTCTTATCAGTGTTTGCTTTATTTTGCCATAAACAAGAACATTCTGTTTTTGTTTTTCACAGTCAATTGCAGTTGTTCATTTCTTCTTAGAATATTATCTTTAACACTCACCTTACCCACACTAATTACACCCTTACCTAGTGTTGTCCACAGGTAATTATCTTCAGATGTGTGCTTCAGTTTCCTCATCTACATACATGGAGAAAATAGTAATATCTACCTCTAAGGCCTATCATGACAATAAATGAGTTAATACATGCAAAGCACCTGGAATAGTGCCTGGAACACAGCACTTTATAAATCTTTACCATTATTATAATTAAAACTTGAGGCACACAATTTTTATATGTATCCATATGCGTTTATATGTTTATAAATGTGTATCATATATATTTTTTTCTTGATGTGTTTTAAGCATCAGTTTTCACTTCAAGCTTTTTCTGCCTTTTTCTTCCCCAGCCTCCTACAGGTAAAAAGGAAATAGACAATATTGCAGTGTTCACTGGGCAGAGTTGGGTAGAGTGTAGTAGTTAAAAGAGCTGGCTGCACCCATTAACTCGCATGGCACATGTATACATATGTAACAAACCTGCACGTTGTGCACGTGTACCCTAAAACTTAAAGTATAATAATAATAATAAAATAAATAAATAAATAAATAAATGGGAAGCCTCTGACTGTTAAAAAAAAAAGAGCTGGCTATGGATATGGCCATATATAGATAACTAAATATACTGATATACTGAGATTTCCACTTAGTAAACAGTAATTTTGGGCATGTTATATAATATTGGAGGTTTAGTTTCTTCATGTGTAAAATAAAGATAATGATTGTGCATAATTTATGTGATTGTTGGAAGCATTATATGAAATATTGCATGTAAAAGCTTATTTATTTAATATTTATTCACTGCCTGTTCTGTGAACCTAGCATGTAAAAGCTTTTAGCCAAATTCCTGGCACATATTTATGTCTTCAAGCATTATTTATCATCATCAACATTATTGCTATTGTTATTTCTGCTAGTAGCACAGTACTATGTTGTAGCACAATGTTAGGCATATTGTACCTGTGTGATAATATTTATTGAATTTAAACCGTTGGCCAATGTCAGTAGTGCATTCTACACCAGTAAATTCTCTGTGTGTTAAGGCAAGCCTCCACACATCTTCAGACAACATATCTTTACACTAAGGACTAAGGAGTGGCCCACATTTCTTGCCGGCAGGCCTGGGTTAACCATAGAATTTAAAAGCTGTCAATATGTAATACTCTGTATTAGTACAGATAAACTAGTGATAAGCTTAACACAGATAAGCTATGAACTCTTTCTGCAAATAACCTGCTACTCTGGAATTCTTGTGGTATTAAATGACTCTTATTAGAAACCATGTGATTTTAAATTAGATACGGGCACATCTAATTTAGGAAATGTCTTCTCTTCAATTTATATTTACCACCCTAACCACAGATGGTCTTAAACCAAAGCTATCCCAGGGTGTTTGCTGCTTTTTCTTTTCCTCCTTCCCTCCTTCGTTTTTCTTTTCTACCTTTCCTCCTTTTTCCTCCCCTTCCCTCCTTTCCCTCCCTCCCTGCCTCCTTTCCTTCGTTCCTTCCTTCTTTCCTTCCTTCCTTCCTTCCGTCTTTCCCCACTTTTATATACGATACCTCCAAGACTTGAATTACTGTGCTCTGACATGTATAATTAGCAGAGTGAGTATGATAGCTTTGTGACCAGGGAGTAGTTTACTAATCAGTCAGAATGCATGCTATAATTTTGAAAAATTTGAAATAATCCACTTTTATATAAGCATTTCTTTTTGCTGTTTCTTAAAGAACCAACAATTCCATACTCATATTTCTGTACTTTTTCTTTCCTGACTTCAAAACCTCTTTTATGAAGGTAAGAAGAAAGGATGGTCTTAGGAAGAAAGGAAAAGAAGAAAAATAAATATTAAATTAGTATTTAAAATTAAGGTGTAAAGTCTTAGATGATTTTATAAATTGTATGACTTATTCTTTACAATTACTCTTTTAAATGTAAGTAATTTGCTCAGAGTCACATAGCTGGTAGGCAGTATTACTGAGATTTGAGCCCAACTCCATTTGAATCTCACACTCATGCCACTTTTACTATCCCATTGGCTTTTGAACTTTGCTGCAAGGAGATAGGAAGTCTTTAGTAACTGTGACTGAGAGCTAGTGAATAACCAAGTGGAGGACTGGTCCTCCTTTCCCTCTATTTTAACCAGAGCAGCTCCACTTATATCTGTTTCATTCATTATGGCTTTTTGTACAGGATTTTTTGTACTGTATTTTATTTAAAAATTTTTAACAGACACATAATAATTGTACATATTTATGGGGTACATTGTGATATAGAATTTTTTAAAAAGAATTCTATTACTAGCATAAAGTTTGAAAGTTTCTATGCCACACTATGCTAAAACTTCTGAGAATGCACTGCCGAATTATCACAGAACATAGCTTCTGAGGTTAATAATGAGGAAAGTGGAAAATCTAGGAGGCCAATTTGAAATTTGGTCATTCTGAGCTGAGGCAAAATGTCATAAATTCCCAGATCCCCAGCCCTGAGTGGTGAAAACATGTTTGTTAAGTGTTTTTTTTTCAACTGAGGTATGAATTACTCAAATAATAGAAAATCGGTATGTGCACCAAAGGATGAAAATTAAAGTTACCCTTTTAATGTAAATTAGGCACAATAGGACGTGCCTTTGTCAATTACATTTTTTATAATTGACCACAGAGCATGGTGAAGCATGAGACACACTCATCATGCATCACAGTCTAGAAATAAAAAGCCCTCTTTCTCTCTCATGTTCCTCATCAAATATATGTAACATTAGTTATGGGATTGAAATTTCTTTTATTCAGAGAAATTGAAGAGAGCCATAATAAAAGGAAAGAATAAGACAACACGAGTCCAACAGAGCACGTGACACTGGGAATGCTAATGAATCCTTTTAAATCAGTGCTTTTTGAACTGCAGGATATGCTCAGCAATGAGTTGTAATCAACAGTAAAAAATAAAATGTAACAGAATAGAATATTTATTTCATCAAAATTTTTTCTCAGTTATATGTGTGAGAGAAAGAGACAGAGACACAAACAAGGTTTCAGTGTAGTGTGTATTTCTTACTTTGGATTATTGCAAAAGGATTTGAATGCCATTGTCTTCATAGGTTTAGACCTTAGCTCTCTTATATATGAAATAGGGATAATAACACAGCTCCTATTTACCTTATAGAGTTAACGTAAATATCAGCATTACTTATGTGAGGTTATTCAGGAAACTTCAGCAAAGTGCTTTAAAGTGTTGTTGAAAGTAAGGATGAGTCATGTGTTTTACAAAATAAAATAACACCATTTTCTGTGGCTCACATTCACATAAATCTCTCTAGTAATGTATTTGAGGTCAGACTATTACATGAAATTCCTAAACAATTCAAAGTTAAGTTCCTATTTTCTTTTTGCTACATCAAGTTAGATAAATATTTGGCATTATCTTTCTATTATTGCTGTTAATACTTAGATGAAAATAATTGGATTGATAAAGCAATATTTTATTTATAGCTTCTAGGAGACTTCTTCTAAGAAGAATCAAATCGTGAGTTTGCCCTTCAGTTATTATTGCAGATAGGATTATTTCTACTTTGGTTTGGATTTTAATCTACATCAGCACCTCAAATTACCAACTACTTTACACATAGTTGTAATTACACAGATCTTATATTGCCAACAGTCATGTCCTAAAGCAAATGATTTTACTTCTCATAGCCTGCCTTCCCTCTCCCTTCTACAAACAAACAGGCAGACAAACAAACACTCCCCTTCCCACCGGATCATTTCAATGGTTTTACTATTTTAATTCCTAGGCTAAAAAAATTGGAACTTTATTTCCCCCTGCTCTATTATTAACTCTCTCAATCCAATTTGTTGTCAGGTTTTGTATTTTATTTGAAATGTCTCTTTTACTATCTATTCTCTTTGATACCACCCTAGCCCCCTGATCACCTCATTGCCAGATGATTTTTAAAAAAGTCTTTGTTTTATTCCACTCCATTTGGGCCATTTGGGCCTACATAAATTTTCCCAAAGCCTTTTTTTTTTCTTTTTTGAGACAGGTTCTCATTCTGTCACCGAGATTGCAGTGCAGTTGCAGTGATGCATCATGGCTCTCTGCAACCTCTGCCTCCCAGGCTCAAGCGATTCTCCCACCTCAGCCTCCCAAGTAGCTGGGACCACAGGTGCGGGTCATCATGACCAGCATTTAAGCAATTTTTTTTTTAATAATTTGTTGATATGGGGCCTCCCTATATTGCCCAGTCTGGTCTCGAACTCCTGGGCTCAAGTGATCCTCCCACCACAACCTCCCTCCCAACCTCCCAGGTAACTTGGACCATAGGTGCAAAAGTGGAAAGAAAGAATGTGGAAAATTTTAAGAGCATAAGCCTTAGCTAAATCACCTCATTTCAGGTGATATATTTGCTAAACTTATTCTTATGTATTGCATCACTGTGAAATAAATCATATATTTTTCTTCAGAAAATGAAAACATTTTAGTTTTTCCCATTATTCTTATTATGAAACACACACATATTCAAAAGAAATATTAAAGTGAGAAATTGATGGGATAAAACAGTTATCCAGCTTTCTAGTGTCTTGTGCTATATAGTGAGTTCTGCATGGCAGTTTTTTTTTGTTGTTGTTGTTTTTTAACCATCTGGTCAGTAAAAAAAAGTCTAGATAAATTTCCATTTTCAGAGGCAAGTTTTGGAGGATCCTAGTTAATTCTGATTTATTTCTTGACACATCCTTGTATCCTGGGTTTATCATGTAGTACATTTAAATGCAAGAGAAAACTTGTTCATCTGCTATTAACATTCTTTGTTATTTTCAAGAATTTGTCCTTTTCTTCGGGGATCTGATTGTTAAAATGGCAGGTTCAGCAGGTCAGTTAACTAGGCTGCTTCTGGTGAAGGCAACCTGGAAAGATAATTGCCCTCTGTGGGGAGGGCCTGTGCCTACTCTGTCAGTCATATGGCTTTCTCAATAAGCTGCCTCCAGCAAAACTCAAGCTAACTTTAGGGAAATATTTGGATTTCCAAACATCCAAGATGTCTTACTTTTCTTCTATATTCAGTCCCACTTAGCTGCAAACTGCAGAGCAACATACTAACAAAGAATAATTCTCTCTAAGCTGCAGTGACAGAATTCTTAAAATTTCCACTGAAGAAACCCTAAATAAGAAACATTATAAATATTTTCTACCTAGGCAAATTTCATAATTCCTAAAAATTATCTCAACTAAACATTAAAGCCATGTCAACCAAAACAAAAAGAAAAACAGATAAAAGAATAGGATGGAGATAAGGTCAAGTTTGAGAATCGCATTTTTTTTGGGGAAGCATTTGCTACATAATAGAGATTATGTGAGCTACTTTATTTATTTATTCATCACAAAAGCAGTATTAAGTAAGCATTAACCCCCATGTTACATTTTATCGGTAAAGGAACTGAAACCAGAGAGGTTAAGAAGTTTGCCCAAGGTAACAGAACAGAGCCAGAATTAAACTTCACTCTCTGACTTCCAGAACCCAAGCTCTTAAAGGTAATACAGTACTTCCTTTGATAAGACCTTATATCAAATTTAGATAGGAAATCTATGATCACCATATCCAAATAAGTTTGTGTATAATGGCTTACCTGTGGTCCTGCAAAGACACTACTGAGGATCCAGGCCAGGCCAACCATGGACTGTCCGACTTTGCTGTTGCTTTTCAAAGCTAGGGGCCTCGTGATAGCCAGGGAGCGGTCCAGGCTGATCACCACCATCATGAAGGCTGGGGCATACATGGAGAAAAGCTTTAGATAACTGAGAACTTTGCAGAGTAACTCTCCAGCATACCATTGGACTGTAATGTTCCACATCCCATCCAGTGGCATGACAATCAGAGTCTCCAACAGGTTGGCTAAGGTCAGATGTTTTAAGAGCAGCTTCATTCTTGAGAGCTTTTTCCCTTTCTCTTTCTTCTGTGTCCACTTCTGAAGTTTCAACAAGAAAGAAGCATTAAAGGTCGCAGAGAGCAGAAAAAGGAAGAAAGTAACCGTCACTCGGATCTTTCCAGACAAGGTCAGAGTGGGGAGGTTGCCCTGCATCAGTGGGATGCTGTTGTTGATGGCTGAACAGTGATTTTGATTCTGTTCAGGAGAGGCACTGTTTGCCATATTTTCCCAGGACAGAGCTTCAAGCCTTGTGTCTCTGGTGCATCTGATATTTTATTGTAACCGAATCTAAAGTCCTGTTTTATTTCTGCCTTCTTTAGATGGAAACGTCACAGGTTTAGACGTATGTCAAATTTTGTCCCTGAGATACTTAATGTGAAAGATCAAGGTTAACTTGTTTTGTGTATTGGTAATCCAACAGAGTGCTAAAACAGAGCAGGCCAAATGCATTCTGAGGGCCACATGTAACTGTAGCACCTCAGCAGATGGTCTGGCTTTCACAACACTCTTCCTAAGTGAAGAAGGATAGTCACAGCCTAATTTTGAATTTAAAAGTCAGTCATGATATTATGATTTAAATAACTTTAAAAAATTTTTCTAAAAACTATTTAGTGTTAGTGTTCTGTCCAACATACAGATGTATAATGATAATGAAGAAAAATGAAAACAACTAGATCCAATTAAAATCCATTGTCTTAAGGAATTAACACATTTCTCAAAAACATTTCTTTGTTTTCCTTTTCAAACACACTGTTGAGCACTCGAACACTGGACAAATATATTCACTTAAAATTATTCTACAACAAATTAAAACTTTAAATTAGAATCAATCCAACTGACTGCATTCAAATTTATTAATCAATCTTACTGATCCAATCCATGCTTAAGTTAGAGTAAAACGGTTAATCAGTTTTTAAATTATTGCCTTGGTTTTTATAATTATCTAAATATTGTAGTTGCTGTTATTACACATTAATGCATAAGGAAACTAGTTATTGAAGAGAATACTGTGTAACTGCTGTAAGTGCATTTATATGTGTTTATGTTAGTATAATATGAATATGTTCTTTTATAGGTTATCTGATCATTTCAAATTGGGACCACTTAGGAACTTTTTCTGTGTTGTTTCTTTAACTTTCATGGTGAGTGCTGGATAGTTATTCATCAATACTGGTAAGACTTACATTGGAATTTATTAAATCACCAGCTTGATTTGTCTAATGCCAACAAGTTTGCTTCTGCAGCAGCCAAAGCAGGTACAATGTTAAGGATAAAAGTGGCTATTTTGACTTAGATGGTGCATTCTTATTGGTTCATTTATTATACTTGTTTATTCTGTCTTAAATATTTATTTATTTAATAAATAGTTACTAAATATTTACTATATACATTATCTTAGCCTTTGCTGGTGATAAAAAGTGAACACAACATCATCCAGCCCCTTTAAGGAGCTTGTTACCACAGAAGGTTAGATAAATGTTTTAGATATATCTTATGTATCTCCTCAGCTTCTCTGTGTACTGGCTGTCTCCTGAATCTTGAGCAGCTTAGACCAGTCCTGTACCTGAGCTCCTTTTTGACTGTCACTATATGTCCAGAATTACCAGCTTCTCTCACTACTTCCAGACTTGAAATATTTATATCCTCTATTTATATAGAGTATCAAGGAAAGAGATTTTCTCACACCTGAGATTTGTGACCATAAAATTTTTACCTACGTCAAAACTAAGTTCTGACTCATCTAGGAGAATTACAAAAAAAAAATTGTGCCTACTATATTAGCTATAATAAGTTCCTTATAAGCAATCAGTCTTGAATAAGATAATTTATTTTTCTGAAGAACTCAAAAGGCTTTGCATATACATCATGTCAGTTAATCTGATCAGGGCCATATGCCTGAAATGAACAAAACAGGATAACCATTGGAAAGACATACAAATATGAAAAGTGTTTGTAAGTGGACCAGCAACCAAAAAACAAAGGAAAGAACATTTATGTAAAAATCCAATTTTAGTGAAGTATATTTTGCTCTTTGTCTTCTATATCTAGGGGAAAAAGATTAGAGCATATCATTCATTATTTGTCCCTTTTCCTCCCATTCCTTCCCTTCCCCTTCCTTCCCTTCCCTTCCCTTCCCCTTCCCTTCCCCTTCCCTTCCCCTTCCTTCCCTTTTCCTCCTTTCATTCCTCTCTTCCTCCCTCCCTCCCTCCCTTTCTTTGTTAATGATGGACTGATTCATTAGGGAAGAGGTTGCAACCGAGCTGAATGGGACTACAGCATATAGCGTAATAAGTGGCTGGGGAATGGGGTATGAGGACAGGGAGGGCATGCTTAGAAGCTGGAGCAGCACATGCAAACACGAAGACAATGTGAGAAAGTTCAAAGGGTATGTGAAAGCAAAAGTGTAAATAATTAGGCAGACTTCAGATCTGGAGAGCCTATATTCCAAGAAAAGGAGTTTAGGCTTTACCTATATAAAGAATGGAGTAATATACTCCTTTCTTTATATATACTTAGTGTATTGTGTAGCATACAGAGAATGCCTTGAAGGGATTTGGGAAATAGTGGGCAATCAAAATTCAGGGAGGTTAATCTATTTGGAAAACCCTTGCTATCAACACAACATGAAAGGTATAAAGCCCTCAAGTGCAGGGTGTGGCTATGAAAGTCGGTAGAGGAAGTAGAGGGCGAATGATGTTTGACGCATTTGAGGAGCTCTAAGTTGTTGAATCTAAGTTGTTGGATGAGTCAACTATATAGATTTTGAAGGTGCTGTCAATACTGATAATATTACTCATAGTTAATATTTATTGGGTACTTACTTTGTGTCGAGCACTTTTCTAAGCATGTTACACGTATTAACACATTTAGACCTTACAACAACCCTAGAAGTCAGTACTATTATTTTCGTCTTATGGTTGAGGAAGGTGAAGCAGAGACATTTACATACCTGATCCATATTAGAGTTTGTCATGGGGGAGCGGTGGCTATCTAGGCCCGAGGTGCAGGGACAAAAGGGTTTACCGTTGTAGGTAAAAGAAAGGCAAATTTGTTAGAGAAGGGAGGAAAATACGTTGCCAGGGAGACAATGGGCAGGATCAGCGGAAGGGAAGCTGACTGCAAAGAAACAAAGGCTTGCTGGAGATTTTATAGGATAGTGTTTATGCTGTATGCTGAAGAGGGCTTTGTGCAGTACTGATAATGCCAAGGTTGCAGTGAGCTAACTTGCAGGTGTCTGGTGATAGTTGGGCATAGGAAGATTGAGAGTTATTTGCACAGGAGGGCTATGTGTCCTTGTAGCTTATCTGCTTTTTCTTTTTGCTTTCCCCTGCTCCCACCAGCCTGACTCCTTTTCCCTAATTAGGACACCACAGAATTGTGTTACATCTCATGCAGTCTGCCTTCAGAGCTCCTGTCTTTAACTACTATGCAATGCTACTTTCTGGTAGCAGTTGGGGTGGAAAGGTCTATGAGCCAGGTGCCATAGTCCTTAGTGAATGAAGGGCCGTGTTAACAGGCCCTTTTAGTTGCAGGAAAGGGAGACTGTTTTAGATAATGGAGTTATCTTTCATGATACACAAGACCTAGAAAGCCAACAGGAGCCCAGGCAGCTCTAAGGATGAGCAACTCCTGCTGATTCATCACCTGAGTTGGTTTTCAATTATAGTATCTTTTTTTTCTTCATAGTGTTTTTCCCATCATCTTCTTGAACCTAACTAGCCAGTTTTTTTTTTTTTTTTTTTGAATTACAAGTCCAACTTCTGAAGGGAAAGAGTGATGATGGTTTAGAAGTGACCCAGGGGAGCAAGAAATATTTTTCATACCTCTTTACTCATGAGAATAAAATAATAGAGGAAGGCAGCTCTTTCAAATAAGAAGAATGTGTATGAAAATGTATTTGGGAAAAAATTTTGTTTCCTGTAAGGAGAGAAGATGGAAGTAGCACAATATCAGAAAAAAAAGAATTTTTTTTTTTTTAGTTTTTGAAAACATGACTTACTTTGTTGAGCAAAGAATGATAGTGTCTACGACAACTGTGAAATGAGTAAAAGGGGAACTTTTAAAATTTAAGTTTAAATGGAAGCATTTGAGGAAGGACTGTGGATGAAGTAGTATGAGGAAATATATACACAAAATTGTTGTGAAGGAGAGCAACAAATTCTAAAAGCCATACAAATTTTTCTAAGCCATGTTAAATTATGCATAGCATTTAACATGGCAGATTCACTTTCATTATTCCAAGAGTGCTCATTATTTGGAGAATCACACTGTAAAACATTGTTGCAATTTTTATTTCAGTATAGATGTGTTAGAGGTAAATGATGGGAAATTATGGTTAAATATGTACGATTTTGGAGATCAGATTAAGGAAATGCATATATAATATAAATCACCAACATATGAAATGAACAGAAAAGCAGAAGCATAATAAGTATGTTTACTTATCAAAATTTATGTTCACTAAATACTAAAAGTAGTAATCTTTTACTTTTAAGTATAATTAACAATATATAAAAAGATTTAAACCAGGAATATAAGAATTATATTTATTTCAACAATTCAATTAACCACTTATTAAGCATTATGTACTACACACTATACTTGTGGATACCAAAAATAAGGCTAGCCAAAGCTCGTATTTGATATTTCCAAACATATTTTATAATTATATTGTATTGTTATGAATTTTTTTTTTCAATCAAGAGTCTTGCTCTGTCGCCCAGGCTGGAGTGCAGTGGCACGATCTCGGCTCACTGCAACCTTCGCCTCCTGGGTTCAAGTGGTTCTTCGGCCTCAGCCTCCCAAGTAGCTGGGACTACAGGTGTGCACCACCATGCACAGCTAATTTTTGTATTTTTAGTAGAGACAGGGTTTCACCATATTGCCCAGGCTGGCTCGAACTCCTGACCTCGTGATCCACCCACCTCGGCCTCCCAAAGTGCTGGGATTACAGGCAGGAGCCACCGCGTGAGGCCGAGATATTCTTATTTACATAAACTTTATGTAGTTTGCTTGTATTAAAAAGAGTATAATTTCAATTTTGTTCTTTTGCTGATAATCTTCTGTTGACACACAGCATTTCCATTTCATGATGCAATTCAATTTTAAAATACAATGTATCTTATTTCCACCTTCTTCAGAATTGGAAATTTGAAAGCTAGATCCCCAATAATTGTATTAATTAAGAATTTATGCCGGGCACGGTGGCTCGCACCTGTAATCCCAGCACTTTGGGAGGCCAAGCTGGGTGGATCACAGGGTGAGCAGTTCAAGATCAGCCTGGCCAACATGGTGAAACCCCGCCTCTACTAAAAATATAAAAATTAGCTGGGCATGGTGGCATGCACCTGTAATCCCAGCTATTCAGGAGGCTGAGGCAGGAGAATCACTTGAACCCAGGAGGTGGAGGTTGCAGTGAGTTGAGATCACACCACTGCACTCCATCCTGGGTGACAGAGTGAGACTCTGTCTCAAAAACAAACAAAAACAGAATTTATGATGCAAATGCATAATAATATAAATAAGATTTTAAAATACAATTTAGAAAAATATGATTATTAGTATTGGTTTCTCTTTAAGTTTCAGTAAGACTGGGCACACATGAAATTGACATCCTGTTAATTTCTATATAACATATTCACTTTTATTATTATTTCTTCTTTTCTTATTTTAGGACTTTTAAAATAAAATAGCTTTTTAAAAATTGAATTTTATAAAAATAAATATTGTATTTTTAAAATATTTAAGGATCAAGATTAAAACAAAGATGAAGCTTGGGCAATATAGGGAGAGCCTATCTCTACAAAAAAATTATTTAAAAATTAGTCAAGCATGGTGGCACCCACCTGTAGTCCAGGTACTCTGGAGGCTAAGGTGGGAGGATCCCTTGAACCCAGGAGGCGAATGTTGCAGCGAGCTGAGATTGAGCCACTCCAGTCTGAGACAGAGCAAGATCCTGTCTCACAAAACAAAAAAATACCGTTGAAGCCTAGAGATGCTGTAGTTATTTAATAAAATCTTTGAAAAATAGTTTTATTCAGGTAAATCACTCACTTCCTTTATAGTTACTTTTATCTGAAATTTTTCCACTAATTGATTTGCTAGGTTGTATAATTTGGAAATTTATTAGCATTATTTTTCAAAGGTAGAAATGATAACAGGAACGGGAAGAATAAAAACCCCTTTCTTCTGCTTATTTCTCTTTATCTATGATGCAGATATCACATACACAAGGCCTTTGTTTTAAGGTGTAATTTCGTAGATAGGGGTGTATATCTATGATATAGTATTACTTGCATAGAATTTTTTCTTTACAAACATCCATAAAAACAAAGAAAAATCTTTTAAAGCAAGAGTCTTCGAATAGTTAAACTTGATTAACTGGCGTTCTACTAACCAGGGTTATGGTTAGTTACCTGAAAATTCACTTGCATTCTGCTGTGAGAAACAGACAAATAAAAAGGAAAAAAAAGTGTAACAAGTGTTTTGTCAAATGTAAGAATATGTCCTAAACTTAGTATAGTGTTTTTTTTTAAATGCTTTTTTGTTTTTGTTTAAATGCTTAAACCACCTGCATTTAACTTTACCATACAATACAAGGAAACTTCCTCATTGGAAAGATGAACTTTAGACAAGATATTCTGGAACAATAATGATTCAATTGGGTTTACTGTATTGGATTTATTGAATTAGAAAAATACACACATGTATTTTAGGGAAAGTATAAGAAAAATGTTTCCCTTAACAGTTCAAGTCAGTGGAAAACTAAATCAACTCATGTATTAAGTTGAATTCCGTAGAGCAGAGCTGGAGATGGGGATTCTTGTGCAAGCGACTTGAGAGTGTGCTTTAAGGTGAAACCTCTAAGAGAGTGAGGAAAGCAAGACAGGGCAGAGGAAGAATCGAAGCAAATGTGTGTTCAGCTGAAGTCTAACCTTCCTTAGCCTGATCCCACATGGGACACTGGGTATAAATGGAACCACAGACTTGCCCCACCATTAGGAAAGGAGGCTGAGCTTTGGCACTCCTTTATCAGTTACCATCTGGCTGGGGCCTATTGTTTATGTGGGGAGAAGTATAACTTCTCAGGTGTTTTTGGATGGTGGCTCCCATAAACTGATGGCATTTCTCAGAAGAGGGTAGCTATGAGCTCTTGGCAGCCAATACTCTCAACAGCTGATGGAAGAGTCTTGATGTCTGAGAAAGGGCCCCTGGTGGGACACCACCAATGTCCATTACAACCAGTATAATCTATTCAAAGAACACTGAGAAATCAATGTTCGAGGGAAACAGCTTTTCTTATAATGGAATTTAAACTATATTTTCATAATGAATATAGTATAGAAGAAAGAACACTTTATCGGGAATTAGGAGTTCCCAGTTCTCTTGTGTAATCCTCATCTCCTAGCTCTCACAGCTATTATCTGTAAAATTTGTAACATAATCTTTAAGTTCTCTTTAGCTTAAAAGTCATTTTCTATTATTCTCTTTTATTATACACAGTTTTCTGCTCATTAACATGATCTATTTTCATTTGTTGGATATATCTTATTTAAAAGAGTCATAAGAACTATCATTTCCAAATTTCACTCATTTATTTAACAAATATTTATTCGAGTTTTGGGCAATGAGAAATAGAATAAGACAGAGCTCATAATCTCATGAAGTTTATGTTTTTTTAATAAGCAAATTTTAAGAAATGTTGTTTAAAATATATGGGAAGGCAAGAAGTTTTCATCTTAGAAAAATAATTAATTTGAGTTTATATTAAAATCTCTACACAGCAAAGAGTTAAAAGGAATATAATAAGGATATCGTTTTTCTGACATTTGAAAATGTATGTAGAGTGGATTTTTTTTAAGTAAGAGGATTCTTGAAAATAAAGAAAGAATAAACTCTTTAGAAAGGTTTTTTTGGTCTTGCATTGTTTACTTGTTGAAAATTCTTTTTGGTTAAAATTATTAAAGAAGCCAGCCTCTTCCACTTAAACTGTGAGATCTTCTGAGAGGATGTAAACAAATATGCCAAAAAGACTCTGAGCAATCTTAAGTGCGTTTTCTAGCAGCATGAACAAAGGCAGTCTGCTCAGCAAAAGAACCCTGAAAAGCAGCCAAAGCAGCAGTCTAAGTAAAAGGGAGAGAACTCAGAGGTCAAAGTGAAAGTGTTAGTGAAAGTAGCAAATCTCTTACTAGATATTGAATTACCCGGTGAGGGAGTCTATAAGCCACAGCTGAGTGCAATCACAAAGATGCCAAAAGAGATGCCAGATAGTTCATGTTAGTAGTCACAAATGCATGTAGTTTAAAAGGCGAAAAGAAACCAGCTGAGAAGTGAAACTTAAGTTTATTAAAATTTTACTAGCATATTGTCAGGATGTATTGATAGAGAAAGTATATTGTCTATTTTGTTTCAACATGCAGCACGTGTAGTGATATTTGTATTCTATTTAACGGACCTATTTAATAAACTTGGTAATAATTAATTTATATTCAGCATATTCAGTTTTCACTATTATTTCAAGGTTTTTAAATTTTAAAATATTTAATTGACAAATAAGGATTTTATGTATTCTGTTTACAACATGATGATTTGATATACCTATACATTGTGTAACGATTACAATCTAATTAATTAACACATTCATCAGAACTCGAGCTGTACATTAGATCCCCAGAACTAGTCATCTTATAACTGTACTCTTTGATTAACATCTCCCTATTTCCCCCAAACCCCAGCCCCTGGCACCGCTTGTTATATTTTTTGAATGAGGTTGACTTTTTTTCAATCATGAAATATTTGTCATTCTGTGTCTAGGTTATTTTACTTAGCATAATGCCCTCCAGGTTTATCTATGTTGACACAAATGGTGGGATTTACTTCTTTTCTATGGCTGAATAATGCTTCGTCTGTGTGTGTGTGTGTGTGTGTGTGTGTGTGTATCACATTTAAAAAAATTCATTCATCCATTAACGGACACTCAGGTTGTTTCCATGTTTTAATTATTGTGAATAAATGCTGTAATCAACACTGGGATGGAGATATCTCATTGAGATACTGATTTCACTCCCTTGGATATATACCCAGAAGTAGGATTGCTAGATCTTATAGTAGATCTGTTTTTAATTTTTTGAGGAATCTCCATACTGTTTTCCATAATGACTGTACCAATTTACCCTCCTACCAACAGTGTACAAGGGTTCCCTTTTCTCCACACACTCACCAATACTTGTCTTTTTTATAAAAGCCATCCTAACAGGTGTGAGGCATTAGCTCATTGAGGTGTTATTTAATTGTGGTTTTAATTTGCACTCTCTGGTGATTAGTGATGTTGAGCATCTTTTCGTGTACGTGTACTTGTTGGCTATTTCCATGTCTTCTTTGGAAAAATATCTATTTAGGTCATTTGCCCATTGTTAAATTGGGTTATTGGGTTTTTTTGGTATTAAATTGTGTGAGTTCCATATATATTTTGGACATATGATTATAATACCCTTAGCAGGTATATGGTTTGGCAATATTTTCTCCCATTTCATAGGTTGTCTTTTCATTTGTTCATTGTTTCTTTTGCTGTGCAGAAGTTTTTCAGTTTGATGCGGTACCACTTGTTTTTGTTTGTTTGTTTGTTTTTGCTTTTGTTGCCTATTCTTTTGGTGTCATATCCAAAAAATCATCTCCAAAACCAATATCAAGGAGCTTTTCCCCCTACATTTTCTTCTAAGAGTTTTGCAGTTTCAGATTTTACGTTTAAGTCTTTAATCCATTTTAAGTTAGTTTTTGCATATGACGTAAGATCAGGATCCAATTTCATTCTTTTGTGTGTGTTTTCATCATGAATTCTTGCCAGATACTTTTTATAGCATAAATGCTGAGATTTGAAGAGTTATGATGCAGGTGCCCAGGTGGGGAGACATTATTAATAGTAATAATGGTGTCTCCCCACTGTTACTGTCTTGGCTTGGAGAGAGGAAAAGGGAATCCATTATTATACAGCACGTCATCATGCAGGTAACTTACAGCCAACTTATGTGGAGGCACATTCTTAAAATGTATTAACGTATCTGTCTTTGTGTTAAATTATTTTCTAAATTAAAAATAAAATATTTTGTATGCTAGATAAAAATAATACTTACCAATTACCCAATGAAAAATGTGCTACATTCTCAATCAATACACTGTTATTCAAAATAATATAATTACACAACAAACAAAGATTTTATATTTTCATGTGTTTTTAACTTGTAAGTAACAGATTTTCAGATTTTGCATACTATGCATATTCTGTTATCTTGGAAAAAACCAACATAGCCTAGTGATTTAAGCTACCAGTACTCCTCTTTACCTATTTTTTTGTGTGCATGTAAACCATATACAATTCCTACAGGAAAAAGAAGCATTTTATTTTTCTGGAAATGTCCCTCCCTTATCCAAAGAGATATCAATCAAAAGTCCATCACAGGAGTGATATCCTGATCCAAACTTGTAATCAGAGGCATCCTCGGGACTTTTTAATTTTTATTTTTACTGTAGCCAGTGGGCAAGATTACTGTATTTTTGTCTGAGACTGGTAGCTTAGCACTAACGATAATCTAAGTCTAGAATCAGTGAACATGTCTTCACCACCTCATAGGGAAGTGTCTGCCTATGAATGAAGACTAAGGAGAGGAGAGTTAAGATGTGACTAGAGAGGAAGAGAGAGACACTGTTTGAGCTCCTGGATCCAGTCTCAGCTATGTCAAAGGATGTAGATCTCTAAATTTATTAGTTAGATGAGCCAATAAATGTCTTCTTTTTACTTAGGCTAGTGTTGATTGAGTTTCTGTCACTTGCAACCCAAGAATCCTGGACATTATGCCTACAGTTTTATTTTGTTTATGCTTAATTTCTAAAACATCAAAAAATAAAAAGTTAAACATCAAAAAGTATCTTATAAGTGTATGATGATATGTCAAATATTTTAAAAGCAATTAAATAATAAAGCTACTGTAATGAGTCATCCATAAAGTTTATGACAAATGTTCCATTTTAGAAGACTATGGAAGGTAGAGCTTTGGTTATAATCATGTCACATAACATAGTATAGATGCTAAAACTGTGAGCTCTGGAATCCAATTGTCTGATTTTGAATCCCAGCTCAGTTCATTATAAATTCTCTGTTTTTTGGCAAGTTACTTGACTTCTTTACCTCAGTTTCCCCAAGGTGACCGTCATCACAGCGCTGGGGGGACAGTTCAACGTAATAATACATGTAAAGTGTGCCTGGCACATAGTAAGGAATCAGCAAATATTATCTGCTATAAGTGCAATTTTGAGGGGGTTTATGAAAAAATTTACATCAAAACGAAGGCAATTGGTGGTAGCTGTAGGATTGTCAGCAATGAAGAAGAGGAGGATAAACTACTGAAGAGACACTTGTGGACTACAATCTGGGAAAGCACTCTGATGAGATCATTTTTAGTTAAATGCCAACTGACTTGCTAATTTGGCATAACAGTGCCTTTATAAACATCCGTACCCTCAGCTAGGATTTCTGTATGGGGAATAAAGTGAGTGAAGTGGAAGCAAAATTTTCTATTATTTATTCTGGTTGATAATTTGTATGATTGAGAAACTTTAGTAGTTTGGAGAAATACAGTACAGTAGTGTTTGCATGGTCTATTCAAGGCACTTATTGAAACATAGCCCATGTGTCTGAGGATTATTTTACTATTAAGTGTGTGTATATTTGAGAACCATTTTCTGGCTTCACTTTCATGCTTGAAGTAGAATGAGAACAAATCAGCAAGCATTGTGACCTATTCAGTGTACTTCAGGGGATTATCATGTTGTTTTGTGTCACTCAAGGTTAGGAAGTCATAAATAGATCAGGGATTAGTGTTGGCACAAGAACCAGAAAGAAAACAGGTAGATACATTTTCCTGGGTAACTTTTATAGGCAATATTATTGCAACTCACTAGACTACAACCTACTAATATGTTGATCCTATGGAATCCATGTGCTTGTCATCAGGGGATGACTCAGAAGGGAGTATGTTGCTAATAGCTACTCTATGATTCTCCAAGAGTCCCGGATCTGCAAATTGGTACAGAAAACTTCCTTAATAAACTGTAATCCATGTTTACTCATATAATTACCATTGATCTGAAAAGGTAAAAGGGAAAATTGTATGTCCTAGTCCATTAGTCTCATTAAACTTTTGTCAAATTATAATAAACAGAAAGTTTTCATAGTTCTAAAATAGTATGTGTTTAAATGCAACATTAAATGTTCATAAGGAGAGGTGACATCTAAGTTAAATATGGTTTGGGAATTACAAACATGTAACAAGCATATAACATTTGAGCTTTAATCTACAGAGAAATTTTGCACTAAAGACCAGTTTTGGATAGGATCCAGTCTCAATAGTATGTCACTTGAGTGTAGACACTAGGCTTGTTTGGAAGAGCACGTTCATTTCTCCAGCTTTCAATACCAGCAGGGAACCTTTAGCAAGGATGCCTTTAGAATCTGTACCAACCAGTGGTCCACCAGAGTCACCCTAGAGAGAACACACACACACACACACACACACACACACACACACACACACATATATATACTTATTATTTTCATCTACTGATCTTTAGGCCATTTTCCCAGAATGATGGAACACCTCGGCATCTGGATTTCCCTTTGCTGTAATTCTTCCTATCATCCTGGATAATTTTCAACATCTGTTGATGACACATGTAATACTTTAGCTCACAGTCTCTTGGCTTCCTTGACTCTGATCATTTTATTGAATCTTTCCATGTTACTCCTTGTTATCACCTGGAACTGCTCCACTTCTGAAACACCATTATTCAGTATTACGATTGAGTGCATCTACCCCTTAAGTTTTTTTGTTCCACTTATTCCACTTTTTACTTTGTGTCTGCTCTTCAGTCTCACTAAGAATGTGAATCCCTGGACTCCTCTATGAATGTATTAGCTCATGTCCTCCTGCTCTTCTTTCTTTATGCCAGCTATATTTCATAATGCACCATACCACTATTCTGTCAACAGCTTCTCAGCTCCCTATCTTTCTCCCCATCATAGCCTGGGCCAAACCAGACACTGTGAAGCCATGTTACAAATTTACATCCTCAAACCAACACCTCTAAGCAATATTTACGTGTCTTTAGCCAGCTTCTTTTCTTTTCTTTTTTTTTTTCCAGATGACTGTTAGCATTTTTTTTTAACAATGAAGTATTTTTTAAAAACTTTTAGGTTGAGGGGCACACATGCACATTTGTTATATAGGTGAATTGCGTGTCATGGGGGTTTGGGGTCTAGGTTCTTTCATCACCCAGGTAACTAGCATAGTACCTGACATGCAGTTTTTCAATCCTTACCTTCCTCCCACCTTTCACCCTCAAGTAGGCTCTGGTGTCTGTTGTTCCTTTCTTTGTGTCCATATGCACTCAATGTCAGCTCCCACTTATAAGTGAGAACATGCGTTATTTGGTTTTCTGCTCCTGTATTAGTTTGCTTAGGATGATTAACCAGCTCCCTTTCTAATTTTTCAGGGCGGCCATTCCAAACTCTTGTGATTTCACAATTTTTGAAAATCCCGTTCCCTCATTCTGAATCTAGTGTATTACTTTTAAATTCTCAGAGTAAGTGGAGAGTAACAGTTGAGAATCCCTTCATTCCTTGTCTTGCCTTTTTGGCTTCTCAGATCACTTAAGTCAATCCACATCTGTGTCTACTTTTCTTCTTCTCAGACAGATAAATGTATTTCATCTTTTAAAAAATTGAGATCTGATCTACAAATAAACATTGTATAGATTTAAGGTGTACAATGTGATGTTTTGATATACATATTCATTGTGAAATGATTCCCCCAATCAAGGTAATTAACCTATTCATAACCTCACATATTTACTTTTTTTTGGTGAGAACACTTAAGATCTCTTTGAGAAAATTTTAAGTATACAATACATTATTATTAATGGTAATCACCATGCTGTACATTAGATATCTAGAACTTATAACTGAAAGTTTGTACTCCTTGATCAACATCCCTTTACTTTCCCCAACAACTCCCCAAGGCTCCATCCGTGGCAACTATTGTTATACTATGTTTCAATGAGTTTGATTTTTTTTTAGATTCTAGGTATAAGTGAATGTATGGATTATTTTTCTTTCTGTGTCTGGCTTATTTTACTTAGCATAGTGTCCTCTAAGTTTATCATTGTTGTTGAAAATGACAGGATTTTTTTTTCTTTTATATGGCTGAATAATGCTCGTGTGTGTGTGTGTATCACAATTTTTTAATCTACTCATTCGTAGATGGACACTTAGTTTCCATATCTTGGCTATTGAGGATAAAGCTAGAATGAACATAGGAGTGTAAATATTTCTTTAAAATCCTGTTTACAATTCTTTTGGATAAATACTTAGAAGTGTGATTGCTGGATGCCATAAAAATATGATAATTCTATTTTTAGTGTTTTTGAAGACAATTCATACTTTTTTCCATAATGGCTGTACCAATTTACATTCCCACCAATGGTGTACTCTTACCAGAACTTTTTGTTAATAGTCATCCTAACATGTGCAAGGTATAACCTCATTATGGTTTTAATTTATGCTTTCCTAGTGCTTAGTGATGTTGAGCATCTTTTCATGTACCTGTCAGCCATTTGCATGTCTTCATTGGAAAAATGTCTACTCAGTTTATTTGTTCATTTTAAAATTAGGCTATTTTGTGTTTTCTTTTTAGCATTGAGTTGTGTGAGTACCCAAGAGTTCCTACAAAGAGGCTTGATGGAAGAGACTTAATAATGTTTACAGAATGTACCAAGAGGTCCATCAGGGTGGGTCAGTTTGGAAAATACAGAAGAAAACTCACATTAATAGAAAGTTCAAATACCTATGTAGTAGGAAGGAGACTGAGTGAAAAACACATGCAAGAGATTAGTTTTGAATAGTGAAAGAAACTTGTTTATCCCAAGCCCAGAGGGTGAGAATGAGTACAAACATAAATGTATCAAGGAGAAAGGAAATTAAAGGACTTCTCATATGATTGCTTCCATTTTTTCTCTGGTTAGTAGGAGAAAATATAATATGCTAAAGAAGATAAGGACATGGTGAGGTACGTAGGTAAAGAATATAATGAAAGTCCGGCATAGCACTATAAAAATGCATTAATAATTGTACAGTGTGTTAAGGACCCACATGTGATTATGTAACTCCAGTTTACAAGAAGGCATGATTTCTTCTAGCTGTTCTCAGCAGCTTGCATATAACAGCAAATACAGTTGATAGATCGTTCTGTGGTTGATGATTATTTGAATGGGTGTCGGGTAAGTCAAGGATGAAGTCACCGAGAGTGCTGTCAATAGAGTGGCTGAAATAATAAAACAAGGGTCCTAGGCTGTTTAAGGTTAGGAGAGAGTCATGAGGGTGGGGGGTTGATGGACTGAGAAGAAATTAAGAGGAACAGAGTTTTAAGCTCTTCATGATACTGAAGAATGGGTTTAGTGGGACAGTTGCAAAGCTAGAAATTTGTAATTAGAGATGATGATTATGTATTGCAAATACTTGTTTGCATGTCTGCTAGCTCCTAGAGTACAGGAATATGCTGTGTTCATTTTAACTTCCCTGAACATAGCACCGTATCTGGCACATAGGTAGTAGTCAATAAATAATCACTACATGAAAGATTGCATGAATAAAATAAAGGTTTTCTTGGATTTATCACTGATTCTACCTGCTTAGAAACTTTTGTTAGCTCTGGGACTATTGTTCATAAACAGCAACAATTGTTAAAAGCACATTAAGCATAAGGAAAAACATCTTAGTGTAGAGTTCAGAGCATAGGCCCTAGAGCCCAATTTCCTGCGTTTAAATCTCAGTTCTTTTGCCGCTTAATAGCTCTGTGAGTTTAGACAAATTACTTGATCTTTTTGTCTCAATTTCCTCATCTAGAAATAGGGCTTACAATAGCACAAATATACTGCAGAGGACTGAGGTAACTATAATAAATTAATATTTGTAAAGTGCTGAAAACAGTGCTTGGCACATGGGAATACTATATAAGAGTTGTTAAATCAATAAAATATTTAGGATGTTGGAATCACATTGTGAAAGCTCCATGATTGTTAATTTTGCTATTAGACACAGCTGAATGTTTCTCAGTGAAATGACAATCATACTAAAGTCACCAGTAAACCATCTCATCTCTTCATTGCTTATTCTAAATTGAGTTTCTTTCCCACTCCTGCTCACAGCTTTATACAGCAAGGTAATTTAGCACTTTAGGACTTTAATGAGACCTATTTGATATCATTGTAATTCTAATTAGATACTTTGGCTAGGAAACATACTTAAGCCTTTAAAAATTGTCAATCCCTTGAGAAAACTGAACTGATTATTTGGAAATTTAAAACTACAAGAATAAAGTTCTTGAAATTAGAATAAACAGACTTACCTGGCAGGCATCCACACGTGGCTCCAGGAACCCGGCACACAACATTCCAGATGTGATGACTCTGCCATCTGCCTCCCCATTGTTGCAGGTCCTATTATCTATAATCTTCACTAATCCCTTGTGGAGTACATTAGAAGTTGTTCGTAAAGGAAGAAAATTGTATAATTTTTATTGATGTCACTATTAATCTTTCTGGCTAGGCTATTAGTATCTAACTTTAACACTATGTACAATTTCTAAATCAAATCAGTGTAAAGTATAATTAAGCTTTTAGCTGTAGTAACAAAAAAGCAAGTAATGTTTATAAACATACCAAGCTGTTGCTGAAAAATGACCATTTTTAGAAATATTTAGTGTGTACATCTATATGTAATAAGATTTTTTCTTTTGAATTGTTTTGAAATTTTATATGTATTACATGTATTAATATGTAATAATATGTTTATTAATGTATTAATATGTTGTATATAAGTAAAAAAATAACATGAGCATATTTTGAATAACTCAATAAGCTATGTTTTAGAAGATAACTCATGGAAACTACATCTTATTTCTTATTCTGTACAGAAAAGATGTCTTAGAAAACAAAATGAATCAGGTGCTGTGGCTCACGCCTGTAATCCCAGCACTTTGGGAGGCCGAGGTGGGCGGATCACCTGAGATCAGGAGTTCGAGATCAGCCTGACCAACATGGTGAAACCCTGTCTCTATTAAAAACACAAAAATTAGCCAAGTGTTGTGGTTCATGCCTGCAGTTCCAGCTACTTGGTAGGCTGAGGCAGGAGAATCACTTGAACCTGAGAGGCGGAGGTTGCAGGGAGCCGAGATCATGCCATTGCACTCCAGCCTGGGCAACAGAGTGAGACTCTGTCTCGAAAAAAACAAAAACAAAACAAAAACAAAAAAAAAAACCAACCAACCAAACAAACAAAAACAAAAGAAAACAAAATGAAAAACTCATATTGCAGGAGCATACATTTTATGATTATTTAAAAATTTTTAAGCTAAATTTTTACTGTAATTCTGAATCTTGAAATTAATTTTAGGTTTATTTTTCTGCTTTCAAACTGCATTTACAGACATTAATAGCCACTAAGTGTTCACATTATTAGGGTCATGGGGATGCATATATTTAAATCTTTGCTCAAGTATCACCTTGTCACCTCATTAAAAATGCTGAATCCCCTACAGTCCCTATTTTTTTCTATGGCACTTAACTGCATAAAATTTGCTATAACTTACTTATTTCTTTTAATATACTTACATCCTTCATTTCATGAAATTGTCCATTTTCCTTTGTTAAGGATGAAAGCTTTTTCCTTTTTTTTTTTTTAACTAAGAAAATAGGCAGGAATTATCTGCCCATTTCATTCATTAACGTATCCAAACCACCTAGAACAATCCCTGAACAAAGGTGGTAATTATTTTCCATTAGTAAATGAATAAATGAATGAAGGAAATGAATTACTTATTCAAATAATATATTTCTTGAAAAACTGCCATCTTAAGAGGAATTATAGTAAGCAGCTCTATGAAGTTATAGTTTCTGCATGAATGTTGTTGAGGATAATTTTCAATCCATTCCACATTGTACTCTTAAAAATGATCCAGAGAAAGTATTTTTCAGTTTAGGTGTAATTCTGAGTATTTTACTTTTTAACTCCTGAAATTCAAGCCATATAACGGAGTCAGGTGAGGAACTCACCATCAGACTTTAAATGATCCCCATGCAGTAACCACTGCTTCTGAATTGTATAGGAATATATAATTAACATCTGGAAGACATGCTTTTTGGATGTTGCTTGTATATAACACTGGTGAAGATAGATGCACAACAGCAATGTCATTATCGTGTGCAGGGTAATGGTAGTTTTCTTGAATTATAACATTCTTGATATTTCACTGTGTTTGTGGGTTACTTAAAATAACATTCCATTCTTTGGGATCATGGACCCTAAAAAATAGATTTATTAATTAAAAGTCCTGTGTATTGTACTTGTAGGAATTAATGTCTTACAATTTTAAAAACAATTACGTATGTTTTGAGTTCCCATGATACTTGTAAGCATACAAAAATAAAGTTGTGTATAAGAGAAAAATAAAAATAATGATAACATGAGCAGATTTTGAATAATGCAATGTTATGTTTAGAAGATAACCCATGAAAACTACATTTTATTTCTTATTCTGTATAGAAAAGACTGAAGGGGATTTAGAAAAATAAATGATGACAATATAGGATAATAAGATTAAACAAAAAGTGGGCAAGGGTATGGGAAAGTGAACTAAGGGAAATTATGGAAATAGTCTAAATCTTCTTTTTGACCATTAAAATCTATAAAAAGAAATGTATTTCTGACTTATTATTATTTGTTAATCCAGGATTTTTATATTAAGTGCTGAAAAATAGTGCTGCTGAAACATTTTCAAACTCTCTACTAAAGCAACATAAGAAGCAAGCATGATTTTGAAGAGAGCTGAGCAGGTTTGGGAGAGATTTTTTTGCTTAAAAAAGACCCAATGAGGGCTATATAAAATCAATGGAAGTTAATGAAAAATATCATCAAACAAAAGGGTAAACAAGTCTTAGTGAAAAAGGGCAAACTATTGGTGCAATAATATACCCTTTAAAGACATCATCATTTCAAATAGGGCTGTACAAATATAGAAAGATGTAGGATGAATTCAAAACCTATGACTAAATAATTTAAACCAAACGCAATAATGATGAGAAAGAAAGAAGATCCATGTTCAATTGGGGATTTATAGTTTCTTTATAAAGATGAAGTACAGTGACTCTAGTGTAGTGGTTCTCAATGGGGGACAATTTCATCCCCCACATTTAGCAATGTCTGGAGACATTTTGGTTGTCAATACTGAGGGGTGCTACTAATGTTAGGAGTCAGGTATGCCACTAAATATCCTCCAATGCACAGGACAACTTTAACAAAGAATTACTTATACAGTCTAAACTGTCTATACTGCCATTTTTGACAAATCCTGCTTCAGCCTATGTCTGTCATTATGTTGATAATTAACTGAGTAATTTTGAGGCCATACCTCACAGTATTAAACAGTTGGATGTGTAGTTGTGTGGGTGTATTATTGAAAGACAGTAGGCTTTTAAGGACTTGAGTGACTTTGAGGCCTTACCTTATGAAGCAGTGAGCAGCAGTGATAAGCCAGCTGTTACTAAGCCATGTGGCTCCGCGTCGGTAGACATTGTTCTGTGGAAGGCTAGCTTGCCAGGGCCATTCTCCTTCCTCAGCATCCAGACCCTCTGCTATTCTGTTGCCAGAGGGAGTTATTGTGCATTGTCCACAACCTGCTCAAAATACAGTTCTGCTTATGCACGTATATTGGTATAGTAGAACCTACCACAGAGAATCTATCCCATAAAAGGAACTCAAGAAATATTTGTAGAAATGAAGTCCATATTGGGCCAGGTGCGGTGGCTCCCGCCTGTGTAATGCCAGCATTTTGGGAGGCCAAGGTGGGCAGATCACAAGGTTAGGAGATCGAGACCATCCTGGTCAACATGGTGAAAGCCAGTCTCTACTAAAAATACAAAAATTAGCTGGGTGTGGTGGTGTGTGCTTGTAATCCCAGCTACTCAGGAGGCTGAGGCAAGAGAATCACTTGAACCAGGGAGTCAGAGGTTGCAGTGAGCCGAGATTACACCACTGCACTCCAGCCTGGCAACAGAGCAAGACTCTGTCTCAAAAAAAAAAAAAAAAAAAAAAAAGAAAAAAGAAATGAAGTCCATATTGTATTATCCATGAGCTAGCTTTTGTTTTTGTATTTCTTTAAGCTTTTGCTTTTCTATTTCTTTAAGAAAATATCAGGAAGATATTTTGAAATAAAAATGATCACTTGATTACAAAGCCCTTTTCTGTAATGGGTATATTGCAAAGCATTTGTACAAATTTGTATAATTTGTATAATAAAAATATTTGCCATAATCAATGCGTGGGCATAAATTAATGCAGTGGCTTTCAATCAGGACAATTTTGTACACCACCTCTCCAGGAGAGATATATTTGGCAATTCCTGTGTTAGAGCAGGTAGTTAGGTAGACATGAACAGAGCAGGAGAGCACCCCCGCAACCAGGAATGTCAGGTGACCATCAGGTGATGGTGAGGTGGTTGTTAAACTGTCTCTCTAAAGTAATAATTGGTCACAGCCAGTGCCAGGGAAAGGCAGTCACCCAATAGGTAGAAGACACCTGATGTGGGTGATCAGCAGCTTCCCAATAAGATCTCAGGAGTTGGGTAATTGGGCTCAAGCATGAGCACTAAGAGGGAAAACGGTGGAGTTTAACTGGTATATGATCTTCCTTTAGGAAATCTCAACTGGTAAAAGAAAAACGCCTCAAATGAGCATGCATACAACTTTTGTAAACACACTGTGCATGCAGCCCATCCCAAGTGCTGGCAGGCCACTGTACCTGTGGACAGCTCACCCCAAGGGAAGAATCAGGGGATAAGTAAAGCAGATCCCGGAAGCATGTCAACATGAAAAATCCCAAGTCAAATGTCAAACTGTGCACTTGATCTCTCAAGTCACTTGTTTAGCCCTCTTCCAAGTATACTTTACTTCCTTTTGTTCCTGCTCTAAAACTTTTAAATCAACTTTCAGTTCAGCTCTAAAATAATTTCTCTGGTCTCTCATTCTGCCTTATGCCCCTTCAGTTGAATTCTTTTTTCTGAGGAGGCAAGAATTGAGGTTGCTGCAGACCCATACAGATTGGTTGCTGGTAACACTTGGAGACAATTTTGATTGTCACAATTGTGGAGTGAGAAGCCTACTGGTATCTAGTGGGTAAAGGCCAGGGATACTGTTAAGTATTTTGTAATACACAGGACAGCCTCTGAAACAATTATCTGGCCCCACATGTCAATAGTGTTAAAGTTGAGAAACCGTGGGTTAGGTAAAAGTACTTGTTACTGAGAATGAGAATATTTAAATAAATTGGAAAGGTTAGATGGTCAATTGCTTCATAGGGATGTTAATTATATGTGGCTAGATGTACACTGAGATACTCTTTCCTGAGGGTGAAAGGGCATTAGAAGATAAGGGAGAATAATGTATATTTTTACAATTTTTTATTAAAATTTTTTTCATGTAAACTTTAAAAAAGGCAACTGGTCCTCTGAAGTCCTTGAGTTTGTATATTGCTTCTAATTCTAGGTTATTCTCTTGTTGCAAACCAAACTTCATGTTGTGAAGACATCCTTTTCATAAAAATCACTTGGCTAAACTGTGGCCTTTGTGGTTGCTTTTTCTAAATGAGCCAGCATTCACACTAACTTGTTGAATGTAACTCCCTTTTCCTTTTCTTCCCACTCCTTTATCATAGACAACCATGATATAATGGTTGTCCCTTACCATGGACAACCAGAGGTATAATGGTTTCTTCTTATCCTCTCTTCTGTCTGGACAACTCCTAAAGGAAGTTGGCTTTTACTCAGCTTCCTTCGGAAAAATATAAAAACAAAGATGATCCTCTGTGGGTGAGGAGAACCTCGCCTCTGTGACTCTGCTTCCATGTTTCTCCTCTTACTCAGAACTCTAATCTAATTTGTATTCATGCATTAACTTTCATTCTAAATTCTCATTTAATCATATAATTGCATGTTAGTCTTTCAGCTGCCACCTCTGCAGTTATTACCTTATTACCTCTGCTGAAGTCTTACATGTCATCTAATAGCTTTGTTATGTCAAAAGAGATCATATGAAAAATTTCAAGGACTTAAGGACTATAATGAAGATTGCTGGCTGATACTTTCAGAAACATAGGCAAATCTACTGGTTTTGTACAGCCTTCCAACTCTTGTAACTTCTACTCGTTTATTACTGCATTTTAATGCACTTTATGTTGCATGTCAAGGCTCTGTTTTTAATGCTGTTTGATTTTCTTTACCCCTCCTTTTTAAATTTAAAGTATAAAGAAGCTAAATAGGCCAAGTCAAATTCAGAATACTGGTATGGATGGTTGTTTAGTATTCCAGCTCTATCCAGCTGGAAAGAGCTGATCTCTTTCTTACCACTGCTTTTATTCCTGTCTTGACTATCTCTCTTCTATGAACCTGACAAATCTCAATTGTGGATTTGGATCATATTGGTACTGAAGTTTTTCATTAGAATAATTGACTTTAAGATATCTTATTTTATTGAGGATTGTTTGCTCATACACTGTAAGAGAGAAAAATAATCCAGTACAGGTTTCCATTTAAGTTTTGCCCAGGTTTCTCAGAAATAGCTATACTGTGACTGAGGGATAGTAAGAGCAGTCAGGGTCAGTGTCACCTGGTTCCAGAGGGTAAGTCCTCTAATCCAGCTGTCTCAGTCCGTCTCAGTCCCCAGATAACAGCAGTGCCTCTTCTGACAGCCTGCTCTAGGTTCCTGCAACCCAGAGGATCATATTTCCTAGGCAGGTAGTGGAAGAATGGAGGCAGAATGCCTTGGCCAGCCAGGAAGAAGCTGCTTGTATGTAAGGCAGCTTACTCTTTGCACACCAAATATAGGTTCCAGGATCAGAATTCTACAGTGAGTTTCTAGGCCTGGAGTTCTCATAAGCAAAATAGAAAATACTAATAGATGAAATTTACTGAGTTCATAATATGAGCCATGTACTCTGATAAGTACTTTACTTGTGTTATTTTATCTTCAAAATAATTTGGAACTGGGGCATTGATAATTTAAATAACTGTAAAAATTCATCCAGTTAGTAAGTGACAGAGCTGGGACTCAAAATTCATATGTAGCTGGTTTTAGATTCTAATTTCTTAATTACCATTGCTTGTCCCTATATCCCCTCTGCCATATGGCATGTGATAATGTATTCCTCACTTTAATCAATTATATCAGTCAATTTAAGGCCAACTCTGGCCTTAAAGCAGAGTTTCTAAAAGCAGCTTTTCTATTATTACACATTTATGGATATCATAATGACTCTCAAGAAGAGGTCTCTTTTGGCATCCAAAGAATTAATTTTCCCTTGAAAACAACTTATTACTGATGAACTAACTTGAGAAGATTTTCGGCTGCCGGCATTGCAATGTCTAAAAGTCAAGGGAAAAGAAAATGAAAATATTTACATTTATGAACACATTTTATTTTCATATTAATGTTAATTGTTTTCTTTTTGGAAACATTATTCTGTAGGCATAATCATCTTATTCAATCTTGACTATATAATTTATATGTTCATAAGTTAGTATAGAGAGTAATAACATCTTTGCATTCATTCTTCAGTTTCTAAAGAGACTCTCAAGTTCTTCATTATAAGTTATCTGAAAAAGAGGTCTGGATCCTGGAAAGCACTAAAATATATGAAAAATTGTGATCTTCTATCACATTCTGAATGTACAACACCAGAAAACAATGTATTTGACACCTTTTATGGACCACTTTAAATTCTTTTTGACTTATCTCTTATTTCTTTATTTTTATTGTATTGTATTTTATTTATTTATTTTTTTTTTGAGATGGAGTTTCACTCTTGTTGCCCAGGCTGGAGTGCAATGGTGTGATCTCGGCTCACTGCAGCCTCTGCCTCCCGGGTAGCTGGGATTACAGGCGTGCACAACGAAGCCCAGCTAATTTTGTATTTTCAGTAGCGATAGGGTTTCGCCATGTTGGTCAGGCTGGTCTCGAACTCCTGACCTCAGGTGATCCTCCTGCCTCGGCCTCCCAAAGTATTGGGATTACAGGCATGAGCGTCTGGCCCTTATCTCTTATTTCAACTGCAGTTGTGGTGACCACATAAATTTGGATCCGCTGTGCTCAAAGGTAACTTGACAAGTACCCTGCTAAAGTCAGCATCTAAGACTTCTCACTTTCTTTTCTTTTCTTTTCTTTTTTTGAGATGGCGTCTCGCTCTGTCGCCCAGGCTGGAGTGCAGTGGCGCCATCTTGGCTCACCGCAAGCTCCACCTCCCGGGTTCACGCCATTATCCTGCCTCAGCCTCCTGAGTAACTGGGACTACAGGCACCCGCCACCACGCCCGGCTAATTTTTTTTTTTTTTTTGTATTTTTAGTAGAAACGGGGTTTCACCATGTTATCCAGGATGGTCTTGATCTCCTGACCTCGTGATTCGCCCACCTCGGCCTCCCAAAGTGCTGGGATTACAGGCGTGAGCCACTGGGCCTGGCCAGATTTCTCACTTTCTGCCAGAAGAAACCTGCTGGACACTCCCAGATGGACAATTTGGAAATGCAGGAGTTGATGCCAGGATAGCCAGTGACCAATGTAAAATGGGAGCTGATGGACAAAAGCTTCCCTCTTTAGTCATAGCGGGTACAGTTCTGAAATACAACTAATTAGGTCCCAGAGGGTGGAGCTAGAGTTGCCCCTAGTGATGGCCAGCTCACTTTCAAGTCAACTACTGCATGCAAGCTTTTGTTTCAAGATCTGTTTTTTGAGAAACCAAGCTAAGACACTCAAATAATTATGTATCTTAACAAATAACATTAATAACGAGGAGTACATACATTGTTGTATTTAATGTGTTTTATTGTGTCAAGTGTATTTTACAATATTTTAACTCTTTAAAAATTAATACTCTTTGTTAAGTTTCAGTTATTCAAAACATTTGGTTAAGCATGCCATCCCATTTTCCATTCATTTTGGGTCAAAAGAAATTTAATTCAGTAATGAAGCAAACTTTAACATTGTCTGCTAATCCTTGGATAGACAAATTATTTCAGGGAATATTACAGAATGGAATTGTTTACTGGAGTAACTATTTCCTGAAATAATTTGTCTATCCATTGATAGTAGACAATGTTAAAGTTTCCTTCATTACTGAATTAAATTTAAATTAGTAGATCCCTGATAGACAAATTATTAGATCCCATATCTCTGCAGAATTTCAAACCTGTTCTAATCCCATATGAGGGATGAGTAGAATCTGCAGAATTGCAAACCTGTTCATTTCATGTGATAAATGTGCGAGGAGAGGGTGAACAAATGAGTGATGCTTCAAATTTCAAATCCAGAAGACCATAAACCTGCTTACCATATCTACTTAAGAGTTCCTCTTCAAAAATAAATCGCCAGCTGTTGCATGAATTAAATACTATGTCACTGTAGGTTCATTTTTATTAGGTTCCTGGATTTCTATAAATCCAAGAAAGAAAAGAATATTCAGTTCTACATGCCAATTACAATAACACACTCTTATTAGGTTGCACAACAAATCAGGGAGACAAAAGAACCATTTACCAGAAAGTCGACTTGTCTGAACAAAAAAGCCAAAGTAATTTAGCAGTGAGGGCTAAGTAGTCATCAGGGTTGTGAGTTGATATGAGTCACGCCTACTTAAATTGAAAGCTGGCATCTTTTCATCTAATCTTTCACAGGTGCCTTCCAAAGGCTGTTTCTTATTTGATATGATACTTCTAGGGCTCAGTTTTTAGTTTTGTGGCTTGGTAAATATATCAAACCATATTAAGAATAATTAAACTTTTATCTGGACTGGAAAAAAATGTTAATTCCTATAGCTTTGGAACTAATTATTTAGAAACCCTATAATGTTCATGGAAGTTTCTTCTTACTTTGAGATTTTCTTTATTGATGTATGTCTTGCTAAAGAGAAGAAATGACTTATAATTTACTTTTTTTTTTTTTCGTTTTGAGATGGAGACTCACTCTGTCACCCAGGCTGGAGTGCAATGGTGCAATCTCTGCTCACTGCAACCTCTGCCTCCTGGGTTCAAGTGATTCTCCTGCCTCAGTCTCCTGAGTAGCTGGGATTACAGGCGTGTGCCACTATGTTTGGCTACTTTTTGCATTTTTAGTAGAGATGGGGTTTCACCATGTTGGCCAGGCTGGTCTCGAACTCCTGACTCCGTGATCCACCCACCTTGGCCTCCCAAAGTGCTGGGATTACAGGTGTGAGCCACTGCCCCCAGCCATAATTTACTTTTAATAGTTGTATTATCCCAGATCCCTTGGGTAGGTGGAAGACAGGTTATAATGAGTGGGGAAGTGACTTAAGCCATCACCCCTTTTGGCTAAGTCGCTGCTGTGGCTGTTTTTGTTTCCTTCCTTTTAAGCCCCTTGGCACACCCTCAGAGTCTGGATATTCCTGTAGATTTACCTCTGAGTTAAGGAGTCAACATTGTAACCTAAGATACTCTGTTTACAATGTCCTATATAAAGGAAGTGACAAAAAACAATGGCACATGCCTACCAAGAGGAAATTCCATCAAAGGATAATAAGACGAAGCAGTTTTGAAAAACAGCTCAGCAAATGTGCATTGGTCTTCTCCTGTGGGGCAGGAATCAAAGAATAGATATTCTTCATGGACCATTGGTGGACCCAGCCCTCAGTGAACTTGGAGTCTAATGGAAGAGATTTAAAAAAATGTGTATAAGTTAAAATCAATGTAAAAGTGCTGTAAACCAAAAATAAAATTCTAAGTCCCCCTAACCATCTGAATGGACCCCTCCTCTCAGGCAAGATCATTCGAAAATTAACCTGAAAAACTAGTTCAAGGCCATGATTGGAAGTGGGGGTCAGATGTGTCTCATTGTACCCTCCTCCCTTTTGGAATTCCAGAAAAGCCAACCAGCATTAGGATCAACACAGACCTTAAGTCTAATAAGAAACAATCTTTTCTCTCTGAAGTCTGCTGTTTGGAGGCTTCATCTCCATGATAATGCCTTGGTTTCCCCTTATCGTAACCCAGATATTCCTTTCTATTGATAATAACTCTTTAAACCAATTGCCAATCAGAAAAATTTTAAATCTACTTGTGACCTGGAAGCCCTGCTTCAAGTTGTCCTGCCCTTCCTGATCAAACCAATGTAAGTCTTACATGTACTGATTGATGTGTTATGTCTTCCTAAAATGTATAAAAGCAAACTGTACTCTGACCACCTTTAACACATGTTATCAGGACCTCCTGAAGCTGTTTAACCTTGGCGAAATAAACTTTCTAAATTGATTGAGACCTGTTTCAGATACTTTTGGGCTCACAATAATACGGAAGAAGTATGCATAGACAGTTGAAAACACCAAGAAAAGTCACTTAGCATAGAGGAGTGACAGGGGGAATTGACATAGCTGATAACAAAAATTCTTTTGGAAGGGCAGAAGGGAGTCAAGATTTCTCTTAGGGGTAAAATAGGCAAAATTCACTGGCTGTTGAACATTAGATTAGAAAAAATCTTAGATACTTTCTAAGTGGGCCTTTTGGATCTTTAGTATAGCAGGTCCATGACCACTGTTAATATTTGCCAAGGTTAGGAAGTGAAAAATGCAACTTTGGATGCACTGGTAAGAAGGAGGGCTCATCAAAAAGTCTGATTTCCAGTGAATATTTCCCACCTTAAAAGAAGAAATCTGAAACAGATAAGGATAATCAAATCTAAACTGTGTAATTTTAAAGTATAAGGAAAGATTTTCCAGTAGCTATAGATTAAATTACACTATAAATTCTATCTAGACCACAGGCTTTAACTCTACTTAGGTGAAGTAATGACTTCACCTTCATTACTTTACATGGGTCCAAATGCTAAATTAGTGGATGAGTTTTATTTTTTACATAGTTTTGCTTTGAGCCTACCAATACAAATTTAGAAGAATTGAGCTATATTCTCTTATTGAATGCGCTTTATGTGATATTAAAAATGTTCATATGGTAGATTTCTGAAAATGTTGAAACTTACCTACATGGACTTACTGAACAAGGTAACAACTGTAAATTGTTTTATAACACAGAAAACATCTTCCACCATGGCAGTTTATTTATAATACTTTGTCCAAAAAAGCTCTAATAGGACTGGTCTACATTAAAAATAAATGAGCAGAGCATAGACCTGGATTGTGGTTGAACAAAATTTGAATTCTTTACTTACTGCAGGTTGTTTGTTTGTTTGTTTTTGTAGAGATGGGGTTTCGCTATGATGCCCTGGCTGGTCTTGAACTCCTGGCTTCAAGAGATCTTCCTGTCTTGGCCTCCCACAGTGCTGGGATTATAGGCATGAAACACCATACCTGGCCTCACTGCAGGTTTTGATTAGTCCCCCTGGCTGCATATTTGGGCTCAAAAAAATGCTTTTCTTCATGTTACTAAGTAGACTGAAATTTATCTTTGTGGTTACACATTATATATCATTTGTTATTTCTTAAAGTCATGTAGGTTAGTCTTTCACAGTACATACCTTCGATGTTTACCATTTTGACTGAAGATATAATGCTAAAGATTTTATTAAATAAAATTAAACCTTTATAAATTAATTAAAGTTAACTTATAATGAGTTGTATACACAGACAGTAGTTCTTAAGGTAGACCTGTACTTCAATTTTTTTAAACCTTTATACAGATTTCAAGAAATATGAAAAATCAGGACTATCTATTTTTATTTGGATATTATATATGCTTCTCCTATAACACAAGACTTTTTTTATTTTAAGCTTTGGAAGCAGTACAAAAGACTGTTGTGATGAAGAGAGAAGAAGACATGTAGCAAATCGTATATTTAGGCAATCATGTTGATATAGTGAGGAATGGATAATGTATGTTATAACATGTCTTATGTTTTTGATGTGCCATCCATGTGTTTCTAATGGGCCCTTTTGAACACACACTAACAGGGGTTTAATATTTAGGATTAGCACTTTCAGTTTGGAAAGTTTCCAGCTTGGTTCTTCCAGGCCCTTAGATACCTTCTAAGGGTCTGCAATTTGATGGCACAGCTCTGATGTTTCATTCAGCAGAGAAGACTGTGGGTTCCTTCAAGTTCATGCCCATTGCTTTTTTTAAGACCTATCTTAAGAGGCCTCTTTTCCAGTAAGCTTTCCTTCTTATCTCCCTCTTTTCAGATTATCACTTAGCTTCATATTTCCTTGCCAGTTTGCACATAGTAGTTTCTGATACAAATTACCCATCACCTAATAATATTAACTCATTCATTCTTAATGAATTCACTTTTTTCTCCTGGAATTTATTTCAAGTTTCTTGTTTTTACAATAAATGTATCTTTCCTATAGTTAAAAAAGCATTTCTTCTAGAAACTATATATGATGGGAAAATATAGAAAAATAAATATTTAGGTGGTAGTTAATAGACCCAATAACAACCACAACAGAATTTATAGACTTATTTTCTGCAACACTTATATGGCACTTGTATATGGCAATTACATGGTTTTTGAATTTGCACAATTTAGCTTTCATTAAACACAAACTGTAACTATTATTTTCTTCCTCAGAACATGTAGCATTCTTTCATTTCTTCAGAAATTCTACACAAGAGACAAGTATGTTGAAGGTACAAAAACGAAAAAAAAATTGAAACTTTTTTTGAAATCCTTAAGCTTAAATTTTAAATAGAAATGAGACTGGCACACTTGGTAACTATCTCTCTGTCTTTTTTTAAAAAAGAGCTATTAATATTTTGAATGCCTCTTCCTGTTCCTTATTAATTTTTTTGCCACATTATGAGCTTCAATAAAATCTCATAGGCTGGGCGCAGTGGCCCAGGCCGGTAATCTCAGCACTGTGGGAGGCCAAGGCAGTTGGATCAGTTAAGGTCAAGAGTTTGAGACAAGCCTGGCCAACATGGTGAAACCTTGTCTCCACTAAAAATACAAAATTTAGCTGGGCCTGGTGGCGGGTGCCTGTAATCCCAGCTACTCTGTAGGCGAGGCAGGAGAATCACTTGAACCCAGGAGGCGGAGGTTGCAGTGACCCAGGATTGTGCCACTGTTTTAAGAGTTCTTAGGCCGGGCGCGGTGGCTCACGCCTGAATCCCAGCACTTTGGGAGGCCGAGGCGGGGCGGATCACGAGGTCAGGAGATCAAGACCATCCCTGGTTAACATGGTGAAACCCAGTCTCTACAAAAAATACAAAAAATTAGCCGGGCGCGGTGGCGGGCGCCTGTAGTCCCAGCTACTCGGGAGGCTGAGGCAGGAGAATGGCATGAACCTGGGAGGCGGAGCTTGCAGTGAGCCGAGATTGTGCCACTGCAGTCCAGCCTGGGCAACACAGCGAGACTCCGTCTCAAAAAAAAAAAAAAAAAAAAAAGAGTTCTTTATATAATCTAGACACTAGTGCTTTGTTATATGATGTGCAAATATTTTTCCCAAGTCTGTGGCTTGTCTTTTCATCCTCTTAACAGGGTATTTCACAGAGCAGAAGTTTTTAATTTTGTTGGAGTATAAGTGTTGTGCAGTTTTCAGCATACAAATCCTGTACATAATTTGTTAGAGGCTAGAAAGGGTGAAAATATAGGGTTCCAACTCAGCCTTTGCCAGCTTGGGTGCTGGTGAGGCAATAGTTTTTCTATGGTGTCTTGGCTGGAGTAGAGCTGTAATTGTCTAAAAGAATTTTATCTTGCTAGGCTGATACTTTCCTGGTCTTTTGGCCAGAAGGAGGGGACTTTTTCTGGGGCTTCTTTTTTCTTCCTGTACCCTTGGGAGTTTTGGGGGTGCTGTCTTCTTTAGCTCCAATTTTGGAATATATGAAGCAAAAAGAAAACTCATGGAACTCAACTACCATGTTATTAAACTCTGAAGTCACTAGCCAGACTGGCTGCTTCTGTTTGTTTTGTAATTAATGGCTAGGGTTCTTAGTTGTATTTAGTGGGAGGAATAAGGAAAAACACATTTATCCCATTTTCCTGGAATGAGAAATCATGCTTCCTTACTGAATGTTTATAAAACTATTTTTATTTATCTTTTTTTGTTTTATCATCTGAAATTCTGACTCCTTTTTCTTTTTAATAAGTGAAAATATTCCATGACATTCTGCCTTTGACCCTCTGTCTTCTCATTTTCATGTATTCTTTGTAATCATATCCTTTTTCAGGATTTCATTAACAGCCTTTGGGAATGAACACTGTTTTTAGGGTTTTAGATGTCAGCTTTCTCCAGATGACCAATTCTTTATTTCTCAGTGCTTGCTAAATAATCATCTTCTGTCGTACACACCTTCTCCATTGTCTCCTTTTCTTTAAGAGGTTATCATCCCTCTAGTTACTCAGACTTAGATGTTGTATTTGATTCCTCTCACAGTTGTGACTCACATCCAAGTAGATAAGTTCTGTCAATTCTATAAATATAATCTCTGACATATGGCCACTCTTTCTAATATTATTTTCTCTACGACAGTGCAGGTTTTCAGTTCCTCACACTTGGACTATTGTAATTGCTTCCTAACTGATTCCTCTACCTGAAGACTGTCTCCCTTCTGGTTCATTTTACACAGTACTATCAGACACATTTTAGGAAACAAAACTATGATTATGTGTCTCTCATAAAGACCCTTTATACTACGAAAGCACAAACTGTTTAACCCAAAACTTTTCACTCTTAATTTTGATTATAACTCACTCAAGCCAGGAATGAGTAATACTGTGGCTTCAGGACCTCAAGTTCCTGGGAAATGAAAGGAAGCTGAGACACATTTGAAAGGAGATAGGAAAATTGGTCAAGTTGTATGTGCAATTGGCCTCCTAGGAATATATGAGGCCAAAGGGGTTTCTGAAAGGCCATAACAAATTTGGGCTTGATGGTTACTGGCAGTCCATTTCAGCAGTTTGTATTAATTAGTGTTCCCTAGAGAAATAGAACCAGCCAGGGCATAGTGTCTCATGCCTGTGATTCCAGCACTTTGGGAGGCTGAGGTGGGAGGATTGTTTGCATCCAGGAGTTCCAGACCAGCTTGGGCAACATAGTGCGACCCCATCTCTACAAAAAATAAAAAATTAGCCAGGTGTGGTGGCACATGTTTTCCTTGCTACTCAGGAAGCTGAGGCAGGAGGATCACTGGAGCCTGGGAGGTTGATTGAGGCTTCAGTGAGCCATGATTGCACCACTGCACTCAGTGTGGGCAACAGAGCAAGGCCCTGTCTCCAAAAGAAAAAAAGAAAGAAACAAAGCCAATAGTGTATGTGCATATGTATAAATATATGTGAAATATATATATTTATACATATATATATTTATTTTGAGACAGAGTCTTGCTCTGTCACCAGGCTGAAGTACAGTGGCACAATCTCTGCTCACTGCAACCTCCACCTCCCCCGGTTCAAGTGATTCTTGTGCCTCAGCCTTCTGAGTAGCTGGGACTCTAGGCACCCGCCACCACACCTGGCTAATTTTTGTTTTTTTTTTAAGGTGGAGACAGGGTTTTTTCATGTTGGCCAGGCTGGTCTCAAACTCCTGGCCTCAAATGATCCACCTGTCCTGGTCTCCCAAAGTGTAAAATGTATATTTTATGAGGAATTTGCTCACAGGATTATGGAGGCTGCGAAGTCCTGTGATTTGCTGATCTGCCACCTGCAAGCTGGAGACCTGGTGTAGTTCCAGCCTGAGTCCAAAGACTTGAGAACAGGAGAGGTGATGATGTAAGTCCCAGACTGGGGGCAGAAGAAAACCAATGTCCCAACCCAAATAGGCAGAGAGATAATTTCACCTTCTTTGGCCCTTTGGTTCTACTCAGATCCTCAATAGATTGGATGACACATGACCATGTTGGGGAGGACAATCAGCTTTGCCGAGTCTACCCGTTCAAATGTTAATCTGTTTTGCAAGCGGCCTCACAAATATACCCAGAAATAATGTTTAACAAGATATCTAGGCATTCATTCCAATGGGCAGGCAAGTTGATGCATGAAATTAACCATCACACAGGTGTATTCCAACCTCAGAACTGGTCATCAATCAACACAGTAGTGTTTGATTCCAGGTGCTCAATCCCATGGGCTTAAAGACCCCAATCATTTAATGGAGGAGGCGGCAAGAACTAGCTTAGTTATTGGTAGCCCAGTCAAAAGGGCTAAGTTTCTATGAAGAGCTTCCATTTTAGCAGAGGACAAGAATGCAAAACTACAAATTAGCTAAAGTGGAAATAGCTGTACAAAACTATCTAAAGTGGAGAAACAGACTGGGAATTCATTCAAGTAGTGTCAAAGAAAGGATGTGATGCAGAGAGCACACAGCTGAAGTTCAGGACTCATACTGGGTATATTTGATTAAAATTGGCAACATGAATTTAGAACTACACTAAATAAAGTCTATTTGGGTCTAGAGTACCAATAGCCCGCCTACTTTGATCTGAAGTTTCAAAGACATTTTCCATGTCTAGAACTGAATCAATCCTGATGGACTCCCCAAGTAGTCCAGGCTATTAACTGCATTGGCCAACAAGATGGAATATTTTAGCACTAATGATTTAAAATTAGTGCCCAACTATAAAAAATAACTGTTAGAAAATTATAATGATTTTTCCTCTGACAGAGATTAGAACATAAGAACAATTAGGCTGGGCAGGTAGGTGGCTCATGCCTGTAATCCCAGCACGTTGGGAGGCCGAGGCAGGCGGATTACTTGAGGTCAAGAGTTCAAAGCCAGCATGGCCAACATGGTGAAACCCCATCTCTACTAAAAATACAAAAAATGAGCCAGGCATAGTGGCATACACCTGTAATCCCAGCTACTCAGGAGGCTGAGGCAGGAGAATCGGTTGAGCTTGGGAGGTAGAGGTTGCAGTGAGCCAAGATTGCACCACTGTACTCTAGCCTGGGTGACAGAGTGAGACTCTGTCTCTGTCTCTCTCTCAAAAAAAAAAAGAAGAACAATCAGTCCATGGATATTTTTGTGGAAGTTTATCTCATGTGCCTTATTGGTAGTGGATTTCTTTAATTTGCTAATAATTAAACTCTCCTAAAGTATTCAGACAGTGTCTAACATATAGTTGTATTATTTAATAAAGATTTCTAACTTTAAGCATAAGACTGAATTTGAAAAATACTTTTAAAAAATCCTTTTAGTATATTCCTGGTTTTATAGAAACACATTTTGAAATACCAACAGGTACAGTTCTCCACATCGTTCAGGAGACTTGGCAACATTTTCTGTATGAATATTCTTTCTCTAAGAATAAAGCCAAGAATCAGGAAACAAGGGCATCTGTGTAGCCAAAAGATATATATATATATATATATATATATATAAAATCAATACACTGAAACTTACATAATTAAATAAGAAGGCCCAACATATTCTCATTCAAAGGCTATTAATTTTTCTAATTTATTTTTTAATTTTTTAATTTTTAGAGACAGTGTCTCACTCTGTTGCTCAGGCTGGAGTGCAATGTCGTGATTATACCTCACTGAGGTCCTAAACTCCTGGACTCTAGCAATCCTCCTCCCTTAGCCTCCTGAGTAGACTACAGGTGCATGCCACTGTACCTGACTAATTTTTATTTTTATTTTTTTATAGAGATTGGGTCTCACTTCGTTGCCTAGGCTGGTCTTAAACTCCTGGCTTCAAGTGACCCTCCAACTTCAGCCTTTCAAAATATTGGGATTGCAGGCATGAGCCACTGCACCCAGCCAGTTTTTCTAATTTATACATATAAATTACTGCAAAATATTTCAAATGAACTAGAAGAAGATAGAAGAAAGACCATAGAAAGGATCATTGAACTGACTGATACTGAGGAATGACAAATAAATAAAATATAAGGAATAAATATGAGAACTCAAATATTGGGGTCATTTGGTGATGGTGGCAATAACCGTACGTTTTCCAAAATGCCTGAAGGTCACCACAATATCCACTATATACCCTTAGTAATGTCAGAAAAGTCAGTGGTAAATTTGAGAAAGATTTTTGTAAAAATATAATTGTATTAGTTTGCTCTCACACTGCTATAAAGAACTACATGAGACTGGGTAATGTATGAAGAAAAGAGGTTTTGTTGATTCACAGTTCTGCAGGCTTAATAGGGAGCATGACTGGGAGGCCTCAGGGAACTTACGATCATGGCAGAAGGTGAAGAGGAAGCAAGCACCTTCTTCCCAAGGCGACAGGAGACAAAGAGAACAAAGAGGGATGTCCACACACTTTTAAACCATCAGATCTTGTAAGAACTCACTCACTATCGTGAGAACAGCAAGGGGAAACCACCCCCATGATCCAATGGCCTCCTACCAGGTCCCTCCCCAAACACTGGAGATTACAATTCAACATGATATTTGAGTGGAGACACAGAGCCAAACCATACCAATAATTTTAAAAAGAACTTTTATATTTTATTTAAAAGATAAACTACTCAGAAAATTTGCCAATTTAGAAAATGCTTATTTTCAGAGAATTGTGGGTGGTCAAAGTCTTACACTCTTTGGAATAATTTAAGAAAGAGATAATATAACACAGGTTTATAGAACTGAAGATTGGTTCTTGATTAAGAAAGCACACTCTGGGCAATAATATGCTTTAAAAAATGTCCTTTGGAATTTAGCAAATAATGATTCGTTAGTTCAGTTGCTTAAAGCATGATATAAATGAAGCCATGCATTGTCTCAGGATTAAGTTGCATGAAAAAGGTGTGCTCGATAACAATCTATACCTCTGTGTAGGCTAGCCACTCACAAATGAGTACTAGGCCAAGCTTCATTTTTCTTGTAGAACTCTTTGTAGTGGGTCAGGGCCATCGTCCTTGTATACTAATGTATTTGCTATTATTTTTTCTATTACTTCTATATAATTCAAATTTTTACTTTAACCAATCATGGTTTTGAGTAAGTATGTTTTTAAAAATGTTTTTCATACCTATTCCATTCATGAGATGGAGTTTGCCAGGATAGACAAGACATTTTATTTGGAAAATGATGACTATATTTTAAAATAAATGGTAGTCATACCCTTAAGTATGCCTACCAAAGTTCTGAGTAGTCAACTTTATGAGGCATTTCATTAAAAACCCTCACTTTAACGTATAAGGCATTTCTTTGCTTTTTCAAAGACTGATTTGAATTTTTCCTTCCAGAGCTTTCAGGAGAGATCTACTATGTGGTCATTTTTGCAGTTTTATAGTTGGTTCAGCTAATCTAGTGTTGTGCTCTTTCCTTTAGCTCTTGGGTTGATAGCTTATGGCAGTGATAGTCAAGTGTATCACGCCGTGAAGTCAACTGTTTGGTAAGTGAGATATCACTTGCATTTCTCTACTTGTTCTTTTCTTTCTTTTTTTTTGCATTGAAGTTTGAATTATACAAACATTAAATATCATATGTATATTCTGTTTTGATTGTTAAACTATAGAATAGCCTAATGAGATCGTATAAGAAGTCATAAATTACTTAATAAAAGAAAAATTGTTTTAACTAATTTTAACTATGTAATCATCTCTTTGTTACAGGAATGTGATATTGTTCAAGCATAAATGAATATAAATTTGAGGGCTTGGGGATGCTTAAAATCTTTTCCCATTGAAATCAATAGAATTAGGTCAAGGAATTTACCCTAGGAGAGATTTTTCAGGAAATAATTCTTTCATAGGCAGAGGAAAACTATGCTATCAATGGTTTTTCTAGGTTTTATGCTAAATAGGCAATTTTAAAGTCTTCTGATTTAGAAAGTTTAGAATTGATAGAGAAAACTTTGATCTCTCACTAAATAATACACTCCAGAAATACTGATTTTATTAATTTCTCAGAAAGTAGTAGCATTGCTACTTTTCATGAGATTCAGGAGTAATTGGAAAATAAAATTATACATTATATTTATGGATCTTAATAATTGAAGTACTTTTTACATCCTAAATCTGGGGGTAGCAATGTCTACTAGTAGCACACCTCTGCCATACTTGTCATCATCCCTCCTAAATTGAGATTCTGGAAGAAAATTAAACTCTACTGTCTATGGCAACAGTTATATGAGACGAATAAACCTCTCTCTTATGCAACTGGAATGGTATTAACTATGTATCATCTTTGGAAGAACTGAAAACACACTCACCCATGTCGTGTTTTTAGGGCTTAATTCTTTTGTGTAACATGAGTTGAGAAGGGGTACATATGTTCTCTCTTGCTATCCTGGTTGTTAGTTGCAGCTTTTATATTATGAAATATTAATTCATCCAATAAATATTTACTGCCATGTGTCTGGCCCTGTGCTAGGCTCTGACAATATAATGCTGGGCAAAAATGAACATGGCCTCTGCAAGAGGTTTGAACTATGCATTTACTAAAGTGATTATTTGACTACTGACTGTATTTCCCATCAAACTATAATCTAAAGGTGGGAAAGACAGTAACCTAGAGATTCATATCTACTGTAATCTGGAGATTCATATCTTATACAGAAATCAACTCAAAATTGATAAAAGACTTCAACATAAGACCTGAAACTGTAAAACTACTAGAAGAAAATGTAGAAGAAAAGCTCTAAGACATTGGCCTTGGCAATAATTTTTGGATATGAAACAGCACAGACAACAGAAAGGAAAATAAACAAATGGGATTACATGAAACTAAAAAGCTCCTGCAGAGTAAAGGAAAAAATCAACAAAATGAAGAGACAACCTATGGAATGGGAGAATATATTTGCAAGACACATGTCTGATAAGGGATTAATATCCAAAATATACGGAACTCAAACAATAACAAGAGAACAAATAACCCAATTAAAAATGGGGCAAAGGAAAAGCCAAAAGATAACAAGTGTTGGAGAGGGTGTGAAGAAAAGTGAACTCTTGCACACTGTTGATGGGAATGTAAATTAGTGTAGCCATTAAGAAAAACAACATGGGCCGGGCGCGGTGGCTCACGCCTGTAATCCCAGCACTTTGGGAGGCCGAGGCGGGTGGATCATGAGGTCAGGAGATCGAGACCATCCTGGCTAACAAGGTGAAACCCCGTCTCTACTAAAAATACAAAAAATTAGCCGGGCGCGGTGGCGGGCGCCTGTAGTCCCAGCTACTGGGGAGGCTGAGGCAGGAGAATGGCGTGAACCCGGGAAGCGGAGCTTGCAGTGAGCCGAGATTGCGCCACTGCAGTCCGCAGTCCGGCCTGGGCGACAGAGCGAGACTCCGTCTCAAAAAAAAAAAAAAAGAAAAACAACATGGATGTTTCTCAAAACACTAAAAACAAAACTACCATATGATCCAGCAATTCCACTGCTGGTATGTATTCAAAGGAAATACAATCAGTATGCTGAAGAGATATCTGCACTCCCATGTTCATTGCATCATTTTTCGTAATAGCCAAGATATGGAAACAACCAAAATGTCCATCAATGGATGAATGATTAAAAAAAGTGTGCTATGTATCCATAGAGGAATACTATTCTGTCATAAGAAAGAAGGAAGTCCTGTCATTTGAAACAACATGGTTGAACCTGGAGGAAATTATAAGTGAAATAAACCAGGCACAGAAAGACAAATAATGCATGATCTCACATGCCAAAACTAAAAAAATTGAACTCACAGAAGTAGAGAGTAGAATGGTGGTTACTACGGAATAGAAATTGGGTTGGGGATTTATTGGCCAAAGGATACAAGATTTCAGTCAGATGGAATAAATTCAAAAGCCGTATTGTATAACATGGTAACTGTAATTAATAACAATGTCTTGTATTCTTGAAAATTGCTAAACGAGTAGATTTTAGAATTTTGACCATGAAAATGATAAATATCTGAGGGTAATACATATGTTAACTAGATTGATATAGCCATTCTACAATGTGTATGTATTTCAAAGCATCATATTTTACATGATAAATATGTATAATTTTTCCCTGTCAATTAAAATCTATCAATAAATATGAAAAAATAAACCTTGAGAGGAAGTGCTCTGAAAAAAAGAACACCTTCTATAAGAGATGTCACAAAGGATCTTGGCCCTGGCTGGGACTGTTGGCCAAAATGGTGACAAAGGATGTACAGGCCAGTGGACTGAAAAATATGGGGCTCCGGGCATCTTGTTGACAAGAGTTTTCAACTCTTCTCATTGAGCAGCTTTCAGTCACTGTTGATTTTATCAACTAACCACAGCATTAGGTCCCATCCACACCACACAGCTTATACTGAACAAGCTTAAAATACATTTGTGAAACGATCATACTAATTGTGCCTTTCATCTCATATATACTAACTCTTTGTTTAAGCTTAAGTGTAAGTAAGCTTTTTGCTGAGAGAGACAATATTCTCTTTGAATTCCCCATAGCACCTAACAAGGCATTGTATAAATACTTAATAATTGTTCATTAAATTTAATATTTTATAATATTTATTTTATCCCCCTCAGCATTTTTTGTTAAGTTTAGATATAGATTTATAGCCTTCCTTCTTTGATGCTAAAAATGAGAACAGAGTTTTAAACATTTAGACTTGGAATGATTGGATACAAATTTAGAAAAAGAAGGGAGTTTGGGAGGCTGAGGCAGGTGGATCACCTGAGGTCAGGAGTTCAAGACCAGCGTGACCAACATGGTGAAACCCCATCTCTACTAAAAATACAAAAAAATTATCTGGGCATGGTGGTGGGCACCTGTAATCCCAGATTCTTGGGAAGCTGAGGCAGGAGAATCACTTGAACCTGGGAGACAGAGGTTTCCGTGAGCTGAGATGATGCCATTCCATTCCAGCCTGGGTGACAGAGCAAGACTCCATCTCAAAAAAAAAAGGCAGATTTTTTTTTCCACTAGGAACTTAAAAACAGATTTTTAGCATAGCCATCAGTTCTAAACTAATTCATAAAAGTAGTGTAGAGAACATACAGACCATAGAGTAAGAATTCACGGTTCAAGTCTTGGGTATGTCCATGATTTGCTTTATGACTTAGGATGAATCACTTTACTTCATTAAATTTCATTTTCTTGTCTGTAAATGTGGCAACCAGACTGGGGATTTCTAAGGATTTTTCTATCCACAAAGTCTTTTAAATGTCTACATTTCCATGCATTTACTTCAAACTAGAAATCAATAACCTATTTTCACTATTCCTGATGTTGCCGCCACTGATCTAAGATAAATGACTTAACAGGCATTAACAGCTATAGCAAATATAAATGTTAAATAGAAATTATGTAATTATGTGAGATTTTGACGTGTAGGTTTTTTGTTTGTTTGTTTGTTTGTTTTTGAGACAGAGTCTCACTGTTTCACCCAGGCTGGAGTGCAGTGGTGCGATCTGTAATCTTGGCTCTTTGTAACCTCTACCTCCTATGTAACCTCTACCTCCTAGGTTCAAGCAATTCTCGTGCCTCAGCCTCCAGAGTAGTTGAGACTACAGGCACCCGCTACCATGCCCAGATAATTTCTGTATTTTTCGTAGAGACAGGGTTTCACCATGTTGGTCAGGCTGGTTTCGAACTCTTGACCTCAGATGATCCACCCGCCTTGGCCTCCCAAATTGCTGGGATTATAGGCGTGAGCCACCGTGCCTGGCCTGATTTCTAGATTTGATCATCTATGGCAACTTTTTAAAAAATCATCAAAAAATGCTTTTTATACAGTCATTCCAGTATCATTTGGTATGTTCATAGGAAAAGAAAATAAATTTAGTATTAGCATAAACAAATAATTTGTGAATTAGAATTTTATTCCAATTTTGTGGGTCATAGTCAGTGTTCAATCAGTGAATCAACAAAATAAATCAATAATAGATTATTAAATTTTTTTCCCTAGCTTGGTTTAGTATTATAACGAATAATTATATCATTTTCCTGGGGTAGGTATTAAGTGCAGATTTTTTTTTTTTTTTTTGAGATAGGGTTTTGTGCAGTGTTGTGATCATGGCTCACTGCAGCCTCCACCTTCTGGGCTCAAGTGATCCTCCTATCTCAGTCTCCCAAATAGCTGGGACCACAGATGCATGCCATCATGCCTGACTAATTTTTTAATTTTTTTTTTTTGTAGAGATGGGGGTCTCACTGTGTTGCCCAGACTGGTTTCAAACCCCTGGTCTCAAGAGATCCACCCACCTTGGCTTCTCAAAGTATTGGGATTACAGGTGTGAGCCACCACACTCAGTCCTTAAATGTTAAGGAACACTTTGCTTGCTTATCTGTTTTTACACCTGTAAAAGCAATAATTTTCATTCCTGATTTACTTCATTCCTGTGGCTTGTAAAACCTTTTTAAATGGGCTTATTGCCTTGCTTTAAATCCATATAGAAAAATCATATATGTATGTTCCCCAAACTCAGTTGGCTCTGTAGTGAGCATCCAAGTGTAGTTACTCAGAATAAATGCAATGGCTAGGAAAATAGTCCTTTGTAAAGGATATGCTAGATAGATAGATAGATAGATGGATAGATAGATAGATAGATAGATAGATAGATATAAATAGATCTTGGCTAGTATTTATTGAGGACTGATGCTATGACAGGCACTGTCTGAAATACTTTTGATGTATTTCTTCATTTATTCTCAGAAAAAACACTGTGAAGTGGTTCGATATGGATATGATGTCATAATCTTCTTTTTGAAGATAAAGAAACTAAGACTATATCATAATGTTCTTCTTGAAGATGAAGAAATGAAGACTCTGTGAGATATAGCGATTTGTTTTTGGTGGGGGCTTGGAGGAGGAGAGGCAGAGTTGTCTCTACTGTACTAGTGCTTTGGGAGGTCATTCTTGCTTAGGAATGTCTCCACTTCCTTTCCCCTCACCCCTAGCACAGCCTGAGTTTGGAGGGAGGGTAGAAGCAGGACTATAAGTAAAAATAATAACTTATTTACTTATCAATCATCTATCTGTGTGTGTATGTGTATATGTATATATGTGTGTGTATGTGTGTGCGTGTGTAAATAGCAGGCATACCTAACTTTTCAGTAAAATTCTGTTGAGAAGAGGAATAGGTAAATGATGCTAAGGGTAAACACAGAGTCAAGAGAGAAGGTTTAGGAAAATGATAGTGTGTGAGCTAGTTATTGATATCTCTGAAGAAAAGACCATGAATACTGTAGTGCATTCTAGGAGAGCAATAGTATTATGTTATCTTATATCCTGTAAGAAAGAGCATCCTATGGAAAAGATAGAATAATGTAGTTACTTTTATGCTCAGAATAATTCACATGTTCTTAGGTGAATTCTAGGTCCCAGAGATATTTCTGCTGATTCTGTAAACCTACCGTTTTCTCTTTAAGCGGTTAAAAAAATTTCTCCCTCTTAATCCCCCACTTCTCATTTATGTCTTCTTTTTATTTGTGCAAATATTATTTGAATCATTATTTCTACCCTTTTTCTTGTTTTAGGTTTGTTTTGCCCTTCTTTTACTAGGTTCTTGCAGCAGGAGCTTAAATTACTGATTTAAGATTTTTTTCTCTGTTCTAATGCATGCTTTTGGTGTATAAAATTCCATTTTCAGCACTATTTTGACTCTGCCTTGCAAATTTGATATGTTTTATTTTCTGTTTTTATTCAGTTCAATGTATTTTCAAGATTTTCCTTAAGAATGACTCCTTGAGCCATGGATTATTTATAAATATGTTGTTTCATTTCTAAGTGTTTTGAGATATGCTAACAAGGATATTGGTCTTTTTAAAATTGATCTCTTGCATGATTTCATTGTGGTTGGAAAATGTACTATGTATGGTTTCAATTCTAAATTTTTTGAGGTTTGTTTTATGGCTCTGGATATAATCTATCTTGGTATATGTTCTGTGAGCACTTAAATAGAATGTGTTTGCTGTTGTTGGGTGGGGTTTTCTGTAAATGTTGATTAGATCCTTTTGGTTAATGGTGTTGTTGAATTCTTTCACATTCTTGTTGTTTTTCTGTGTAGTTCCAACAATTATTGAGAAAAGAATGTTGAAATCTACAATTATAATTCTAAATTTTTCTATTTGTCCTTTCAGTTCTATCAAATTTTATTTTACATATTTTGCTGCTCTGTTTTTTGGTTCATACATTTTTATGATTGGTGTGTCTTCACATGGATTGATCCTTTTATCGTTGTACAATGTGCCTCTCTGTCTCTGGTGATTTTCTTTGCTCTAAAGTCTATTTGATATTAATATAGCTATTCCTGTTTTCTTTTGATTAATGTTATATGATAGGTCTTTTTCTGTTCTTTCACTTTTAACTAACTTATATTATTGTATTTCAAGTGAGTTTTTATAGACAACATATGATTGGTGGTATTTTTTAATCTACTCTGTCAATATCTTTCAATTAGGTATTTAGATTATTTACATTTAGAGTAATTATTGATATTAGGATTCAAGTCTGCTATTTTAATGCCTTAATTAAAGCAGCCTTCAGGTGCTCCAGGGGTCTATTCATCACTACTTACAGATTTATAGGACTGTTATCTGTATTAAGTTCTATGTACAACTTGGAAATAGTAATTGGACAGAGGAAGAGGATAATAATGTTAAACACTTTTAGAATAAATTGTCTGCCATATTATTTATGAATTGGGTGACAACTTTGTCCCAATATATTTATGTTTTAATATTGTTAAATAATGTTTTACTTTGGCCTACACAGATTTGGAAGAAATGTCTCTTAAGAAGCTAATTAAATAATTTATTGTACTCACGTTTGTTGAACATTTTCTATGTGCAAACTATTATTCCAGTGAAGGGGAGTACAATGATGAACAAGATTACTAATAAATGTAAAAATGCAAAAACTATAAAAAATTAATTTTGTTTTATATGCTTTATACTATATTGCATTTTATATTAGCTTCCTAGGGCTTCCATAACAAAGTACATGGACTGAGTGGCTTTAACAACAGAAATTTATTTTCTCACAGTTCTAGAGGATAGAAGTCTGAAGTTAAAGTGTTAGCAGGTTTGGTTTTGTTCTAAGGCTTCTCTCCTTGGCTTTTAGATAGTCTTTTCCCTGTATTTTCACATGATCTTTCCTCTGCACATATGTGTGTCCTAGTTTCCTCCTCTTTTAAGGACAACAGTCATATTGGATTATGGCTTACCCTAATAACCATATTTTAACTTACTTCTATTTACTTATCTTCAAATAAAGTTACATTCTGAGGTACTAGGAATTAGGATTTCAATATAAGAATTTGAGAAAACACAATTCAGCCCATAAAAATATTTTTATATTTTATTTATATATTTTATATTAATATAATAAAACACATTTTAATATTTTATATACTAAATACCCATCTGTAATACTTTGTATATGCTTATATGTATGTATGTGTGTGTATGTTTCTAATATATAAAGAAAAATCAACATACATTGAAATGACTGTACTAATTATTAATTTGAGAGACCTATATTAATGCCTATATTATTTTTACCTGCAAACAATCAAATATTTACCAGAAAATTTGTTTTTTTAGTTTTCTAGCAATCAGTGTCTGACCAGATGATATTCTCTGAACAGATAGTATTAACTAGATCTCCAATGCAGGTAAAGTCTTATTTTTTTGGGAAACTTAATTTTACTTAAAAAGCACTCCCAACATTGTAAAGTATTTTGTTCAAATTATGTTTGCACATTGTGTGTAAAAATTAATGTCTCAATATTTCTATGGATACTTATACCCATGAAATGTTTTGTCCATTGAAAAAAACCTAAAAAAATCTCACTATGTAAGAACTTAGAGGAAGGTACTTTTTCAATCTGATCAACTCACTATTGAGTCTAGGATAGCGCTTAAAATTTTTGGAAAAAATATTGACTAAATGACATTGTAAACCTATTAAATCAATTTCTTAGGGGTGGGTATGTGCTGTAAAACATCCTCCTCTATACTGATTGGTATATATTTCCATAGTTTCCTCAACGCAGCTTGCCATGGGATAAGCCGCAATGATAGGGTAATAAATAAGTGTGAGATTTTATGTGGCAAGTATTTGGGTTATATTTTTCTATTCTTTTTAACTGTGTCCTTCTACTAGATTGAACTATTTAAAAATTGCTGCTTTTGTAGATGAAAAATTGAATAATGATAAATTTATCATAATTCAATCTATAGATACACAAATATCCTTCATTTATTTTTTCACCTTTGGTTTTGTGTACAAGACAATATAAAAGTGATTCTTGTGTGCAATAATTTGTCTAAGAGAGAGCATCATTTGTCTTCAAACTCCCATCGAACATAAATGTCCTGGAGTAAGAGACTCATAGCCTTTGAGAGCTGGAAGAAACTATGCTAATCACCCATTCCAGTTTTCTAATTTTAAATAAGGGAAACTATGGGACAGTATTTTCACTTTAGGACATTTCAAATCTAGAGAAGATTAGCATTTAAGGTAGAAATTTCTCCTTTAGTTATTATCAGCATATTTAAAGTTGGGATTAGAGTTGGGATTAAAGTTCTTCTTTCCTGATCTCCAGAAGGAAAATTAAACCATACAGTCATTTTAATTTGCAACTCTCACTTATCTTACAGCCCAAATCTAAGATCACTACAGTGACCTATCTATCTTGACTCGAATATGTGAAATTATAGTTAATGAAAAAAAATTAATTTTAAAGGTTGGTGAACTAAGTGTTTATTTCTGTCATTTTAGTCTGCATTTCTAAGATTCAGATGTTCTGCCTACTTGCAAAAGGTTTCATTGAGAAAGTAGTTATCCAGCATGTGTACATGTGTGTGTATATATACATAGATTCAATACTTATGTATACACATACACAAAATACATGTACACACAATACAAAATACATATAAAATTTATGTATACACACAGGAAAATTAGACTTTGTCAACATCCAGATTTTGTTTCTTTAAAGCATTCTCTAAAAACAATGTAATACAATAAATTATATTTTTCCAAAGTATTATTATTATGTGGAATGTTGGTTGAAAAATAGACTACCTATCATTCAACACAAATTGAGTCTTGGGTGGAAGTTAAAGTGAGGAATAAAAATCCTGCTTTGATTTTAGCAACATGCCTTAATTTTCCATATGTGTTTTATTTATTCACCAAGTATACTCTGAAGCCATTCAGATATAATAATAATACAGTGCTAATGATATAAAGGATTATTTAGATATTTCAGAAACTGTGAGTTGTACTTAAAATATTTATTATTCATTCCTTGAAAGGATGAAACCAGGGTCTGTCTACACACTCTTTCTCATACATAGTTTATGAAGCAGACGGAGCTGAGCAAGTTGACATGAAAGACATAGAACATACTACTTAGAAGCCAAGATGAAATATTTTAGCTAGTTTTGTTAATTAAATAAAAAATATTTTAACTTAATTCGATGGGAAATATTTCAAAGTTTCTCTTACAGCTAATTAAGCTAAGTATTAATGTGAATGTGTAAAGTGACTGATTTTTAAAGCTATCAGGAAATTACACTCTGCCAAATATTATACTGCAGCTAGAATCTAGATGATGGCAGGATATGAAAACCAAAAAACTGTCTAAAAATTTTATTAAAAATATGAGTCAGTCTCAATCGGTTTATCAAGGCATACATTTTGTTGGAGTGCCAGAAAAGACCATAATGTGTATGTGAACATTTGTCTTTGTGTTAAATTAATTAGCTTTAGAATAAAAATGTAAAAATTATTTGCCCACCTGTGTGTGCCATAGAACCAATCAGCAATTTGTTTGACTTTCAGGCCAATTGCGATTTAAGCATTAGGCATTGCTAATGGGAAGGAACTAAATACTCTCTAATTGTTGCTATTCTTGTTTCCAACCACAATGTTAAATCATACCACTAACAATGTATAGAAATGAAGCACTGCAGTGCTCCAATAATTAAAAATTAAGACCTAAATTCTGGCTCACCACTTTCTATAGGTAAAATAGAATAGTGCAAACATATCTATGAGTGTCTCTATATCAACATACATCATTAGAAATAGATATCTTGTGTCCTCTTGATTTTCATAGTATGATTATCTCTTTAAAAATAAAGGACATGAACAGATACTTTTCAAAAGAAGACATACTTATGACCAACAAGCATATGAAAAAAAGTTCAATGTCACTGATCATCAGATAAATACAATCAAAACAACAATGAGATACCATCTCACACTAGTCAGAATGGCTATTATTAAAAAGCAAACAAGTAACAGATGCTAGTGAGGTTGTGAAGAAAAAGGAATGCTTATACACTGTTGGTGGGAGTGTGAATTAGTTCACTCATTGCGGAAAGCAGTGTAGCAATTCTTTAAAGAGCTAAAAGCAGGACTACCATTGGACCCAGCAACCCCATTACTGGGTATATACCTAGAGAAATATAAATCATTCTACCACAAAGACACATGCACGCAAATGTTTATTGCAGCACTCACAATAGCAAAGACATGGAATCAACATAAATGCTCAGCAATGACAGATTGCATAAAGAAAATGTGGTACATATACACCATGGAATACTATGCAGCCATAAAAAGAATGATATCATGTATTTTGCAGGGACATAGATGGAGCTGGAGACCATTATCGTTAGCAAACTAACACAGGAACAAAAAAACAAATATAACATGGTCTGACTTATAAGTGGAAGCTAAATGATGAGAACTCATGAACACAAAGAAGAGAACAACAGACTCTGGGGTCCACTCAAGGGTGGAGGGTGGGAGGAGGAAGAGGAGCAGATAAGATAACTATTGTGTATTGGGCTTAATATGTGGGTGATGAAATAACATGTACAACAAACCCCGTGACATGAGTTCACCCATGTAACAAACCTTCACATGTATCACTGAACCTAAAATAAAAGCACAAAAATAATAAAAAAGAAATCTCTTAAACATCTTGAAGTTTCAGCAGGTACATACACACTTTACATGAATGCTCTAATTGTGATTGAAAGATTACTCACAAAAATGAATCAGCCAAACAGACACTAATAATTAAAATTTATCTTAATTACTTTTGTTTTTCTTTTATTTAGGATTTATAGTGCTTCTGTTTCCACAAAAATATTAAGCAAGCAACTCATTTTCAAGAACTTTAAAACACAAATTAAGTTATTTTTACAAATTTGGTCCTTTTAGAAAATTAACCTGAGAAGTAATGGCAAGCCCTCCTGCTATCACCCCCCTTGAGCCCACCTGTCCTACAGAGGTGTCCATGCCAGCTGACTCCACCAAGACTGACCCTCTGCCATCCTCTCCTGAGTGCTGAGTAAGAAGGTCATTCTCTACTTATTTAGTTTATGAGGTTCTGTGACTTTTGTGTTGTTTGTAATAATGACATAATAATACTTAGCACTTATACAACTTTTCATCTTCAAAGTGTTTTCTGAACATTTACTAATTAATTTTACATTAGTAAAACATGAGCTGTGTATATGTCACTCCATAAATAATAAATAATCATATGACCCAAGTGGAGGTAGAATTTAAAACTCAGTGTGAATGAGGAAACCACAGGGCTACCTGGTTTGAGAAGGACAGTGAGCCTTAACTCAGTTTCACATTTTTGTGAATTTGGAGACAAACGGCTGCTCTTCTCACTCCCTAGAATCCACTTCCAAAAATTATGGCAATTTTTTTTTGCTCCTATTTGATGAAAAGCCAATGACTCTCCAAGCTCTAACCCTTCCTTAGCAGCTAAATGTTCTTCAACTTATAATTCTCTTGCCTCCTTTCCTCCTTTTTTTTTTTTTTTTTTTTTTTTGAGACAGAGTCTTGCTCTGTTGCCCAGCCTGGAATGCAGTGGTGCGATCTCGGCTCACTGCAGCCTCCACCTCCTGGGTTCAAGCAGTTCTCCTGCCTCAGCCTCCTGAGTAGCTGCGACTACAGGCGCATGCCATCACGACTGGCTAATTTTTTTTGTATTTTTGGTAGAGACGGGGTGTTTTTTATTTTAAAAATATGGGTTTAACCAGTAATTTCCCAAAGTTTTGGACGGCATTCTGGTTTTTAGCAGCCAATTTTGATACTGCTGTAGAGACTAGATAGGTCATGCCTTAATGTTTAGCTACCTGGAAGGGAAAGAATTTGCTAGACGTCAGAGGCAGCAGTAAAGGAGAATTCAGTTATGCTAGGAGAAGAAGATTCTTGGGTAATAGTCTTTGTTAAAGAAACTCAAACTCAGTATATGATCAAGTAGAATCATTGTCCTACCTCCCTCCTTCCAAAAACATTTACAGGGGAAGATAATCAGGGAAGCCATATTTGCATTAGGATGAAAAGAACCATAATGTCAGTTCTTATATCAGTTATTAATAGGATCTTGATCAGATCATCTACATTTAAGAAGTCTACATTAATTGTATATATTTGAGCATTCCAGACACTATCCTTGGCATGTGTGCAAAATTCCAGTATATTATTCCCACTCTCTTTGTCTATGTAAATCCTGCTAATCCTTCGAGGTTAGCTCAATCCTACTTTCTCCATGTGGGCCTCTCAAAACATATTGCTTTATCATCTGAAGCTCATAAACTCATGGTATCTTGCAGCAAAATGTACACAGGACTTGGAGTGTATTAGACTAGGGAACAGGTGATAAGCTTCCCTAATTATTGTCCTAGAATGATTTTTGGGGATCAATGATCTTGCCACAGATTACCTTCTTCCTTCATTGACCAAAAAATATATATTGCATACCTGCTATGGCATTGATACTATGTTAGTTATAGAATTAGAAATAATACTCTAAGGTGATTACAATCTTATGATGAAAGCAATCAAATAAACTAGAAATTGAAACACATCAAAATAAACACTAGACAGAGCATATGTGGAGCACTATATGAACATAGAAGTGAAATCTAATCCCATTGTTCTGGGAGGGAGTGAGGAAAGAATACTCAGAACATGTCATATCTAACCCAACACCTAAAGGGATGCATAGAAATGTAATATTTAGACAGGTGAAGGTAATGAGTCAGCCTGGTAAAAATAAAGGGAGAACTGCAATTTGGGGTGACTGAAAATTACCCCAAGGTAACGAGCAAGTTGTAGAGGGTGCAGGAGTTTGTGCGTGTGTGTATTTGTGTGTGTGTGTATGTGTGTGTGTGTTTAGTGGATGGCAGTGGTGGAAGATGTTGACAGGAGGGAGGGTGATGGAAATCAGAAGTATCCAGATTCTGTAAGGCATGCTAGGCTACTTAGGGAGTTTGGACTTGATTTCAGAGCAATACAGTGCCAGCGAAGAGTATAAATATGATTAGATTGACATTTAATTAAAATAACTCTGGCTTGCTAATTGGAAATGCGATTGGAAAATGAAAAAACTGGAGTTGAAAGGGAACAGCTAGACAATCATTCAGGTGCTAGTGCTTTGAACTAAGATAGTGAAATGGAGATATCTGGACTTCATTGGATTTAATGATTAATTGGATATGGGGAATGAGGGAGTGGAGGAATCAAGAGCAACACTGATGAATTATTTCACGAAAGTATTGTTTTGACAGAGTTATCTATGGCATCCTGGTGAATGACATAGCAAACAATAAGCTGCATGATAATGCCTTGGTCAGTGACCAGCTTGCTAAACAACTCTATCCAAGTAATGTTGATCAGTAATTGGATATGAGTCCTAGTGAAATTACTTAGTACACACTTTGTTTTGGCTTTGCTTTATTCAATATTTTAATCAAAATTTAGGAAAGATAAAAACATTTAGGTAGGAGTAACTAATATGATAATATACCAGGTTGAGACTAAAAGGAGACATAATACCTGAGATAAAATATTTGAGACACCACTATGTTGACCTATTTTGTGGGGTTTGCCTTTTATAGAAAACAAAACAAGTGTTCAGAATAACATTTTGAAATGTTCTATGTTGTGTTTTTTTCATTTCTGGTAATTTCTTTTATATATATATATATTTTTTTTTTTTTTTTTTTTTTTTTGGAGATAGGCTCTCACTCTGTTGCCCAGGCTGGAATGTAGTGATGCAATCTCAGCTCACTGCAACCTGTCTCCCAGGTTCAAATGATTCTCATGCCTCAGCCTCACAAGTAGCTGGGATTACAGGCATGTGCCACCTTGCTCAGCTAATTTTTGTAGTTTATTTTAATAGAGACCGGGTTTGCCACATTGGCCAGGCTGGTCTCAAACTCCTGGCCTCAAGTGATCCTCCCGCCTCGGCCTCCCAAAATGCTGGGATTACAGGTGTGAGCCACCGTGCCCGGCCATTTCTGGTAATTTCATTTGATCCTATTAGATCCTATTGGTATATTAGATAAGAGACCAGGTGAGAAGCTTCCCTAATTATTGTCCTAAAATGGTTTCTGGAGATCAAAGATCCTGACACAGGTTATCTTCTTCCTTCATTGACCAAAAAATATATATTGCCACCTGCTATGGCAGTGACACGATGTTAATTATAGAATTAGAAATAATACTCTAAAGGCCAGGCACAGTGGCTCATGCCTGTAATCCCAGAAATTTGGGATTTCTGCTGAGGTGGGCAGATCACTTGAGGTCAGGAGTTCGAGACCAGCCTGGCCAACATGGTGAACCCCATTTCTACTAGAAATACAAAAATTAGCTGGGCGTTGTGGTGGGTGCCTGTAATCCCAGCTATTCAGGAGGCCGGGGCAGGAGAATCACTTGAACCCGGGAGGGGGAAGTTGCAGTGAGCTGAGATCACCCCATTGCACTCCAGCCTGGGTGACAAAACGAGACTCTGACTCAAAAAAAAAAAAAAAGAAAGAAAGAAATAATACTCTAAGGTATTAAGGGGAACACTTAATACCTTAATACATTACCCTTAATACATTAAAGATAAGAAGGGAACACTCTTCCCCTCACTTCGTGTTGTAGTTATAGCATTGAGTTCATTGCCATTGGGTAAGGCTTGTCATAGCAGACAATTTTAAATAGGCTTTTTAAGCCTATGGCAGAATCAATATCTTAAAAGAAAAATTTGTTTATTTTTAGTCAAAAGAGGCTGCTGTTCTAATTATCAAAAACAGCTTCTACACAGGGGTATTCAAGGCTATTGAAAATGTTCTGTTTCTTATATGCATTTCTGCTGCTTTGAAAAATTTTTCTCTTATATACATATCAATATAATATGCTTTTTGTATATGCATTATTTCACTACATATGAAATGTATATACTCTTATTTTAAGCTAAAACCCAACCTATACTATAGAATTGAAAAATACTTTCTTGTTCAGAGCCATTTTTCTCCTCATCTGACCAGACTAGATACATTTTCATGGACTGGAAGAGGGAGTAGAATGTCGGAAAGGAAAGCACTAGAGTGAGAAAAAGTCAATGACCTTTAACCCTTCCCATGCTTCTTCCCTAACTCAGAGTTAGTGCTGGAGAGTAGAGACAATAAAACTCAGTAAACATGAAGGGAAATGAAAGTAGAGAGGGCTTATGTCCCCCTTCACATTTGGAGCTGAAAAGTGACAAACTTGCAGAGTTCCTTGTACACCAATGGTGCTTAAGTCTTTGACTAGAGAGAGCCTCTAAGAGTATTGAGGCAGAGAGAACCCGAAATAGCCTTGTTGAGTTTGATGGTGATTGAGAGTAGTAGGGGTTAGTAGACCATGTGTTATATTCCTCTAAATAAGTTCAAGAGAAAGCTGGCAGACCAGTTGGGAGAATGTGCAGTGGTTAACAATATGATCTCTGAGTGAGAGACACGATGAGAACTCAGACTTCTGAGAGGATAGGTATGGAGGGTTGATCATGTCTGAAGACAAGACCAGACAGCACAATGTACATCTCAGGGGATGACAGTGCGAGCAGATGATGACTGAAGATCAGCCCCTCAGCCTAGTGCATTGGCAATGTATAAAGTGGGTCACTTGGAACTTAGAGAAGGATAAGGGATATGGAACTTAACTGAGAAAACCTCATACTGTCTAAGAAAACCCTGAATTGGCAAAATCTACCAAGAATAGAGTGTATATTTGCTGTCCTTAGGCAGAAAGGAGGCTTGAGAGATGTAATTTAAAAAGTTACTTTCTGGGGGGCTTGAGTTTACAGCAAGAAAATATGCCAGATGGAATAGAAAGTTTGATATAAGCTTAAAAAGAAGCAGCTTTTAAAGATCATATTCATTTTTTGTTTAAGAAAAGGGGCTTTTGGCTGGCCATGGTGGCTCACGCCTGTAAACCCAGCACTTTGGGAGGCCGAGGCGGGTGGATCACGAGGTCAGGAGTTTGAGACCAGCCTGGCCAAAATGGTGAAACCCCATCTCTACTAAAAATACAAAAGAATTAGCCAGGCATGGTGGCATGCACCTGTAGTCCCAGCTACTTGAGAGGCTGAGGCACAAGAATCCTTTGAACCCGGGAGGCGGAGGTTGCAGTGAGATAATCGTGCCACTGCACTCCAGCCTGGGAAACAGAGCGAGACTCTGTCTCAAAAAAAAAAAAGAAAGAAAGAAAAAGAAAAGAGGCTTTCATAAAAGTTTTAGTTTTTAAGCAATGAGATGTTTAGAAGTATTAAAAAAAATAGGAAGGTATCTTTAAGATATTCTATGGAAGAAGAATGCCATAGAAAGTTGTTTAAGGAAGTTATAATTCCCTAATATGTGTTTGAAAGTATCTTCTCTATACACCTAACATTTGTGATGATGTATCTTAGAACATTTTCAAAAATAAAAATAAAATATATATTTTTGTTGTTCATTTCTTCTTTTCCTTCTTATTACAATTTTTATGTCCACTTTAAAAGCTACCAGTAAAGTCAACCAACCAACCACTGGATTGAAATTTAGAAGGTTAAAAACCTATTTTCTATAGTATTATTATTTATTTATGTTTTTGTGAATTGACTGGTACATGTTTATTGAAAGGAAACGAAGTGGCAAAGTCTTCTGAATTCATTACTGCTACTAAAGAACATTCACAAAGTGACAATAAGCTCTGAACAGACCAACTTTAAAGTTTTATCCAATACACTGGAAAGCATGGACAGGAAGAATACCTCATCAATATCCCTTTCTTCAGATATGTTGTCAGGACAACATGAAATAATGAAAAAACTATTTTTAAATGAATATTAACTGATGTATTGACATATAATCTAAAAAACAATTTTGATAATTATAATGAAGCAGCAGGGAATGAATGTGAACATATATGAATATAAAGTGAATAAGGCAGAATGCAAATTTTTTTATGATTATAAACCAAGTAAAATTATGTACGTATTTATATGGGAACTGAAAGAGAATATGGAAAAGGAAAATTGCTGTGATTGATTGTTGGCAGTCATCAATTTTTTTTTAAGTTTTAAATTCCTTTCCATTATTATAAGGTTATTTACCCAACACTATCTTTTGAAATGAAGGAGCATTTTTAAAAATGTTGGCTTATTCATTTATAATCACTTTTGAACATTTCAGGTGAAATTTAAAAATAAATCTCTTTTAAAAGTAAGTATAAGATACATTTGCTTTCCCATCTAACTTTCAAATAGAACACTTTTTATAAAGAGAAAATTTGTTAGCAGTGAGGAAGCTACACAGAATAGAACATAAATATATTTCAATTTTAGAAGGCCCTTAGAAAAGAAGAAAATTTATCAGTTTTTAAGCATAAGCAAGCCATTTGAAAAGAAACATGATATGCAAAATTTTAAATTAAAATACCAATAAAGCTAATTTAAGAGTTAATTCTGGAATATATGCAATTCATAATTTGAGAAACAGTACTTTGGGTTTTGTTAACAAATATATATGTGTATACTCATTGTTGATAGTTCATATTTTAACTATTTTTATAAAAGTTACCTAACACGTAAAAAATAGTATTAGTCCAATTCTCTAGTTATTCCTACCTGAGAGTGCTTTCCTTGATTTTTTTAAGTGAATGTGTGACATTGTTGTGTTTCTATGAATACATATAATTCCTTTAAGTTCCATAATTAAAAGTACTATTGGGGGGCGGGGCCAAGATGGCCCACTAGAAGTAGTGGGGATCGGAGGTTCTTAGCAAAAAGAACCCTAACAGTGTGTGCATCCTGCACCGGCAGCCGAGGTATCCAGGTTCTGTCATCAGAACTGACTAGGAGGCTGGCATGACCTATGGAGAGAAAGGAAGAGCATTTTGGTGTGGTGGCCCACCCGAGAGCCACACACGGGGCAGGGGAGCCCCCACCCTCCAGCCAAAGGAGATGGTGAGTGAGTGTTCTACCTAGCCTGAGAAACTGTGTTTTTTCCATGGAACTGTGCAACCCACGGATTGGAAGATCCTACTCATAAGCCCACACCCACGGGGGCCTAGGGTCCTAACCACGGAGCCATGCAAATTCTCAACAGCCACTCAGAATCTGCTTAAGCCTGCGGAGCTCTAGAGGGGTGGCCAGCCTCTCAGCTGCTATTGCCTGCTGTCTAAGCCGTTTGAACTCCCTGGGGGAGGGGTGGTAGCCAACACTGGGATTGCTAGCTGCCTATCACACTAAGCTCCCAGGGCAAGGGAAGGGCAGTAACCATCTCTATAGCTCCAGGCTGCACTTTACCCCTGCTGGAGCCAGGGCGGCTGGACGGCTTGGTTCTAAGCGGTATCCTCCACAGCTCAAAACACTGGCTGTGGCAGACTGCAGTCTGCCTCTTCAGGCCTGACTCTGACCCATCCCTCTTCACTGGGCGGGGCCTCCCTGCATGAACTCCAACAACTCCAGCCAGGGGCTCGAGCTGGACTCTGATCTCGCTGGACCAGAACCCTTAGAGGTAGGGTGGCTGCAGTCTCTGCAGACCAGCAGACTTAGTCTTTCCTCCTGCTAGTCCTGAGAAATCTGTGTAGCCCAGACGAGCGGGTTTCCACCTAGCAAATCACAACCCCTCCACCAAGGAACAAAGTGCTTCATTAAATGGGTCCTACTACCCATGCCACCCAACTGGGTGAGACCCTCTAACAGGGGCTGTCAGACATCCTGTATAGGAATGTTCTTACTGGCATCAGGTCAGTGCCCCTCAAGGTCAGAGATCCCAGGGGCAGGAGTAGGCACCCATCTTTGCTGTTTTCTAGCCCCCTTGAGTGACATCTCCAGGTGCAGGAGTGAAGCAACCAGATGAATAGGGCCTGAAGTGAATCCCCAGCAAACTGCAGCAGCCTTGCAGAAGAGGGAACTGACCATTGAGAGAAAAACAAACAAACAGAAAGCAACAGCAACATCATCTACAGAAAAGTCCTCACAAAAACCTCATCCAAGGGTCAGCAGCCGCAAAGATCAAAACCAGACAAACCCATGAAGATAAGAAAGAATCAACAAAGAAACCCTGAAAACCCAAAAGGCTAAAGTGCCTCTTCTCCTCCAAATGATTGCAATGCAAGGGCACAGAACTGGGCAGAGGATGAGATGGACGAATTGACAGAGGTAGGCTTCAGAAGGTGGGTAATAACAAACTCCACTGAGCTAAAGGTGCATGTTCTAACCCAATGCAAAGAAGCTAAGAAACTTGATAAAGGATTACAGGAGCTGCTAACTAGTATAACCAGTTTAAGGAGGAACACAAATGACCTGATGGAGCTGAAAAACACAGCACAAGAGCTTCGTGAAGTATACACAAGTATCAATAGCTGAATTGACCAAGTGGAAGAAAGGATATCAAAGCTTGAAGACCATCCTGGTGAAATAGGGCATGCAGACAAGATTAGAGGAAAAAGAATGAAAAGGAATAAACAAAACCTCCAGAAATATGGTCTATGTAAGAAGACTGAACCTACAGGCCGAGCACAGTGGCTCACGCCTGTAATCCCAGGACTTTGGGAGGCTGAGGTGGGTTGATCAAGAGGTCAGCAGTTCGAGACCAGCCTGGCCAACATGGTGAAACCCCATCTCTACTAAAAATACAAAAATCAGCTGGGCGCAGTGGCAGGTGCCTGTAATCCCAGCTACTTGGGAGGCTGAGGCAGGAGAATCACTTGCCTAGATTGTGCCACTGCACTCTAGCCTGGGCAACAGAGCAAGGCTCCATCTCAAAAAAAAAAAAAAAAAAAAGACGGAACCTATGATTGATTGGAATACCTGAAAGTGATGGGGAGAAAATGGAACCAAGTTGGAAAACACACTTCAGGATACTATCCAGGAGAACTTCCTCAACCTAGCAAAACAGGCCAACATGCAAATTCAGGAACTACAGAGAACACCACTAAGATACTCCATAAGACAATAAACCCCAAGACACATAATCATCAGATTCTTCAAGGTCAAAATGAAGGAAAAAATGTTAAGAGCAGCCAGAGAGAAAGGCCAGGTCACCTACAAAGGGAAGCCCATTAGACTAATAGCAGACCTCTCAGCAGAAACCCTACAAACCAGAAGAGAGTGGGGGCCAATAGTCAACATTCTTAGAGGAAAGAATTTTCAACCCAGAAATTCATATCCAGCCAAACTAAGCTTCATAAGTGCAGGAGAAACAGAATCCTTTCCAGACAAGCAAATGCTGAGAGATTTCATCACCACCAGGCCTGCCATGCAAGAGCTCCTGAAGGAAGCACTAAATAGGAAAAGGAAAAACTGATACCAGTCACTGCAAAAACACACCAAAATATAAAGACTAATGGCACCATGAAGAAACTGTATCTAACAGTGTGGAAAATAGCCAGTTAGCATCATGATGACAGGATCAAATTCACACATAACGACATTAAACTTAAATGTAAATGGGCTAATGCCCCAATTAGAGACAGACTGGCAAATTGGATAAAGAGTCAAGACCCATTGGTGTGCTATATTCAGGAGACCCATCTCATGTGCAAAGACATACATAGGCTCAAAATAAAGGGGTGGAGGAAAGTTTATTAAGCAAATGCAAAGCAAAAAGAAGCAGGGTTCGCAATCCTAGTCACTGACAAAACAGACTTTAAATCAACAAAGATCTAAAAAGACAAAGAAGAGCATTACATAATGGTAAAGGGATCAATGCAACAAGAAGAGCTAACTATCCTAAATATATATGCACCCAATACAGGAGCACCCAGATTCATAAAGCAAGTTCTTAGAGACCTACAAAGAGACTTAGACTCCCACATAATAATAGTGGGAGACTTTAACACCCCACTGTGAATATTAGCCAGATCAACAAGACAGAAAATTAACACGGATATTCATGATTTGAACTCAGCTCTGGATCAAGTAGACCTAATAGACATCTGCAGGACTCTCCACCCCCCAAATCAACAGCATATACATTCCTCTCAGTGCCACATGGCACTTATTCTAAAATCAACCACATATTTGGAAGGAAAACACTCCTCAGCAAATGCAGAAGAAATGAAATCATAACAGTCTCTCAGACCACAGTGCAATCAAATTAGAATTCAAGATTAAGAAATGCACTCAAAACCATACAACTACACGGGAATTGAACAAGCTGCTCCTGAATGACTCCTGGGTAAATAATGAAATTAAGACAGAGATCAAGAAGTTCTTTGAAACCAATGAAAGCAAAAAGACAATGTACCAGAATCTCTGGGACACAGCTAAGGCAGTGTTAAGAGGGAAATTTATAGCACAAATGCCCACATCAGAAAGCTAGAAAGATCTCAAATCAATGCCCTAACATCATAATTAAAAGAGCTAGAGAAGCAAGAGCAAACAAATCCAAAACTAGTAGAAGATAAGAAATATCTAAGGTCAGAGCAGAACTGAAGGAGATAGAAACATGAAAAACCCTTCAAAAAATCAATGAATCCAGGAGCTGGTTTTTTGAAAAAATTAACAAAATAAATAAATAGACTACTAGCTAAACTAATAAAGAAGAAAAGAGAGAAGAATCAAATAAACCCAATAAAAAATGATAAAGGGGATATCACCACTGACCATACAGAAATACAAACTATCATCAGAGAATATCATAAACACCTCAATGTAAATAAACTAGAAAATCTAGAAGAAATAGATAAGTTCCTGGACACATATACCCTTCCAAGACTAAGCCAAGAAGAAGTCAAATACCTGAATAGACCAATAACATGTTCTGAAATTGAGGCAGTTATTAATAGCCTACCAACCAACCAAAAAAAAAAAAAAAAAAAGCCCAGGACCAGGCGGATTTATAGCCAAATTCTATCAGAGGTACAAAGAGGAGCTGGTACCATTCCTTCTGAAGCTACTTCAAACAATTGGAAAGGAAAGACTCCTCCCGAACTCATTTTATGAGGGCAGCATCATGCTGATACCAAAACCTGGCAGAGACACAATAAAAAAAGAAAACATCAGGCCAATATTCCTGATGAACATCAGTGTGAAAATTCTCAATAAAATACTGGTAAACTGAATCCAGCAGCACATTAAAAAGCCTATCCACCACAATCAAGTCAGCTTCATCCCTGGGATGCAAGGCTGGTTCAACATATGCAAATCAATAAACATAATCCATCACGTAAACAGAACCAATGACAAAAACCACATGATTATCTCAATAGATGCAGAAAAGGCCTTTGATAAAATTCAACATCCCTTCATGTTAGAAACTCACAATAAGCTAGATATTGATGGAAAATATTGAAAAATAATAAGAGCTATTTATGACAAACCCGCAGTCAATATCATACTGAATGGGCAAAAGCTGAAAGCATTCCCTTTGAAAACCGGCACAAGACAAGGATGCCCTCTGTCACCACTCCTATTCAACGTAGTATTGGAAATTCTGGCCGGGGCAATCAGGCAAGAGAAAGACATAAGCGGTATTCAAACAGGAAGAGAAAGTCAAATTGTCTCTGTTTCAGATGACATGATTCTATAGTTAGAAAATCCCATTGTCTCAGTCCCAAAACTCCTTAAGCTGATAAGCAACTTCAGCAAAGCCTCGGGATACAAAATCAATGTGCAAAAATCACAAGCATTACTATACACCAACAATAGGCATGCAGAGAGCCAAATCATGAGTGAACTCCCATTCACAATTGCTACAAAGAGAATAAAATACCTAGGAATACAGCTAAGAAGGGATGTGAAGGACCTCTTCGAGGACAACTACAAACCACTCTTCAAGGAAATCAGAGAGGACACAAACAAATGAAAAAACATTCCATCCTCATATTGATTCTCAGGAAGAATCCATATTGTGAAAATAGCCCTACTGCCCAGAGTAATTTATAGATTCAATGCTATTCCCATCAAACTACCATTGATATTCTTCACAAATTAGAAAAAAAACACTTTAAATTTCATATGGAACCAAAAAAGAGTCCATATAGCCCAGACAATCCTAAGCAAAAAGAGGCTGGAGGCATCATGCTACCTGACTTCAAACTATACTACAAGGCTACAGTAACCAAAACAGCATGGTACTGGTACCAAAACAGACATACAGACCAAAGAAACAGAACAGAGAACTCAGAAATAACAGCACACATCTACAACCATCTGATTTTCGACAAACCTGACAAAAACAAGCCATGGGGAAAGGATTCCCTGTTTAATAAATGGTGCTGGGAAAACCGCTAGCCATAGACAGAAAACTGAAACTGGGCCCCCTTCCTTACACCTAAACAAAAATTAACTCAAGATTGATTAAAGACTTAAATGTAAATCCCCAAACCATAAAAACCCTAGAAGAAAACCTAGGCAATACCATTCAGGACATAGGCATGGGCAAAGACTTCATAATGAAAACACCAAAACCAATTGCAACAAAAGCCAAAATTTACAAATGGGATCTAATTAAAGAGCTTCTGCACAGCAAACAAAACAAAACAAACAAACAAAAAACTATCACCAGAGTGAACAGGCAACCTACAGAATGGGAGAAAATTTTTAAAAAAATATTTTGTTTTAAATTATTATGGGTACGTATTTATAGGGTACATGTGATATTTTGATACAAGTATACAATGTATAATGATCAAATCTGGGTAACTGAAATAAGAATGGGAGAAAATTTTTTGCAACCTATCCATCTGACAAAGGTCTAATATCCAGAATCTATGAGGAACTTAACCAAATTTACAAGAAAAAAAAAAACCTCATTAAAAAGTGGGCAAAGGATATTAACAGGCATTTCTCAAAAGAAGACATCCATGTGGCCAATAAACATGAAAAAAGCTCAACATCACTGATCATTAGAGAAATGAAAATCAAAATCACAATGAGATACCATCTCATGCCAATCAGAATGGCAATTATTAAAAAGTCAAGAAACATAGATGCTGATGAAGGTGTGGAGAAATAGGAACACTTTTACGCTGTTGGTGGCCATGTGAGTTAGTTCAACCATTATGGAAGACAGTGTGGTGATTCCTCAAGGATCTAGAACCTGAAATACCATTTGATGCAGGAATCCCATTACTGGATATATACCCAAAGTAATATAAATTATTCTACTATAAAGACACATGCACACAAGGTTATTGCAGCACTATTTACAATAGCAAAGATGTGGAACCAACCCAAATGCCCATCAATGATAGACTGCATAAAGAAGATGTGGTACATATACACCATGGAATACTATGCAGCCATAAAAAGGAATGAGATCATGTTTTCTACAGGGACATGGATGAAGCTGGAAGCCATCATCCTCAGGAAACTAACACAGGAACAGAAAACCAAACAGTGTATGTTAGCCACCGTGCCTGGCCAGACTTCTTTTGTTTAATTTTATGATTTTCATTTTTGTTGTAGGGTGATATTCTATTGTATGACTATAACAAAATCTATCCATTCTACTGATGATGGATATTTGGTTGTTTCCACTGTTTGGCTATGATTAATAATGCTTCTTTGAATATTCCTGCACATGTACATACATTTATATCGTATTTACTTTAGCATGGAATTCCTAGGTCATAAGATATGTATATGATATCCTTTTTTAGATAGTACCATTTTGCAATTTTATTAAAGCAATTTACACTCCCCCATTCTTGCCAGTTCTTCATATTGGCAACTTTTAATTTTTACCCATTCTGATACATGTGTAGTGGTGATATATTACAATGGCTTTAATTTTCATCTTTCTTATTTCCAATAATGTTGAGCCTTTTTTTCTTACATTTATTGGCCACTTCTTTTTTTCTGATGTGCCTAATCCAACTCTTTGCTCATTTTCTATTATGTTATTGGTCTTTCAAAAATTTATTTGTAGTCGTTTTTCATGCATTCTAGATACAACGTATTTTTTAATTTATATATATTGTATAGAAATTAAAAATATGCTATTCTGGCATATCGACTATTTTTAGTTAAAGCCATTTGAAAACAGCAGGTACAAGATCACTCTGACCTTTGTGCTGTTTCTTAAAAGCAGATTACATTCCCATGTGAAAGATGTACTCCCTCAACCAAAAGGAAAGAACCATTTTATAATCAAGGATGGCATGCTGAGGCTGAGAACATTCTGCACAGATCTTGTTAAAATATCTTGTACTGTAATCTCAGCTCTTTGGTAGGCTGAAGCAGGCTGATCACTTGAGGTCAGGAGTTTAAGACCAGCCTGGCCAACATGGCGAAATCCCGTCTTTACTAAAAATACAAGAATTAACCAGGCATAATGGTGGGCACCTGTGATCCCAGCTACTTGGGAGGCTGAGGCAGGAGAATTGCTTGAATCCGGGAGGCGGAGATTGCAGTGAGCTGAGATTGCGCCACCGCATTCTAGCCTGGGGTATAGAGTGAGATTCTGTCTATAATAAAACAAAACAACAAAATAAAATATCTTCTAGCCTTCTCTTATAATTTACTTTTTTTTTTAAACCTTAGTGCTCTTCAATTCAGTATGTGTTATGTGTTCAACTCTTTTTTTGGCGGGGGGGAGGGGAGGGGACTGAGCCTCGCTTTATCGCCCAGGCTGGAGTGCAGCGGCGCGATCTCTGCTCACTGCAAACTCCGTCTCCCGGGTTCACGCCATTCTCCTGCCTCAGCCTCCTGAGTAGCTGGGACTACAGGCGCCCGCCACCGCACCCGGCTAATTTTTTGTATTTTTAGTAGAGACGGGGTTTCACCGTGTTAGCCAAGATGGTCTCGATCTCCTGACCTCGTGATCCGCCCGCCTCGGCCTCCCAAAGTGCTGAGATTACAGGTGTGAGCCACCGCGCCCGGCCGTGTTCAGCTCTTAACTGTATTTTGGGGTCTTCATTTTCTTATGAAGGCTCCTGTGCCATGTAGAACTTCTATTAACTTTGTATGATTTTCTCTTGTTGATCTGTCTTATGTCAACTTAATTCTCAGGTCTAGCTGAAAAAAACCCTAAGACGGTAAAAGTAAAATTTTCCCACCCTTACAATTGCAAATATCTTTTCTCACTCTGTTATTTCACCTTTTAATCTTACAATAGCGTCTTTTGAATAACAAAAAGTTTCTAATTAAGAAAAATTTAGCATTATTTCCTTTAAATCCCTTTTATTTGTGATACTAAAATCTGTTTTTAAATCATCTTTAAAACTTTTCTTTACCTTGAAGTCATCAAGATATCATCTTATATTATTTTCCAAAAGCTATATTTCCCATTCTCTCTTCTCGTCATTCCAACATGACTTTTTCCCCTACTTCACTGAAACTGTTCTTGTAAATGCCACAAAATTTATATTTCCTATCTCAATCCCTCCCCTGAGCTACAGATATATATTCACAACATTTTACCTGTTCTCATAGCTTGTACATTTCAAATGTATCAGATTCAGAAAGAAACTCTTGATTTTCTACTCTTCAAACTTGGTTCTCCTCCCAGATTTTCCTCTCTCAGTTATTTTCTATCTCAGGACCAAAACTTAAGTCAACTTGGATTTCTCTCTTTTCTTCAGCACCTAAATCTAATCAATTGGAAATTATTATTTTTTTCCTATGGGTATTTCCTAAATTTCAATATTTTCTACCATCTTCACTGCTAGCTCCTTAATCAAAGTCAAGCTCATCCTTTTCCTAGATGACTGCAATGGTCTATTGATTAGTTTCACTTTTACTCTTGTCCTCTGGTAGTTCTCTGTAGAGTAGCCAGATTCATCTTTAGAAAATGGAAAATTGATCATATGATTTCCCTCCATACTCATGTCCTCACATTTAGAATAAAACAGAAACTTAGTTATGTGGCCCACATGTCTATTTCTTCAGCCTCACCTAATACCAGTCTCCCCTTCATTAATTTTGTTCCAGCCACACTGGCTTCTTACTGTTTTCCAAACCCACCAACTTTGTAGTTACCTCAGGAACTTTATACTTGCTTTTTCTTTTGCCTGTCTTGCTCTTTCCCAGAATTCAGTTTGACTGGCCTAGGATAGTATCTGGCACATGGCAAGTGAGCAAAAACTATTGATAAATAAATAAATGGATGGTTAAAAAAATGAATGAATGGATAGATGAATAAATTTTGCAGAAAAATCTCTTTCTGAACATGTCAACCGTCTTAAAAACAATCTTAATTGATTCAGGTGGTAAAAGTATAGTTTTATTGTATAGATATATTGAGCAGTGGTGAAGTCTTGACTTGTCGTGCACCCATCACCTGAATTGTGAACATTGTAACCAACAGGTACTTTTTCAATCCTCACCCACCTCTCCCTTTTGAATCCCCAGTGTCTATTATTTATTCCCCACTATATGTCCATGTGTACCCATTGTTTAGCTCTCACTTGTAAGCAAGAACATGTGTCAACAGATTTTAATTGCACTAGTAATTTCAGTATAACTTGTATGGTTGGAGGTAGGTTAAATGTAATGGCATTCGTGGAAAATGCCCTGTTTGTTTTCTGAATCATCTCATCAATTTCATTTGGTTGCCTTTTTTCCAAAATGGATTGTTACTTAATTCACATTGTGATTGGTTTGATTTCTTTAGGTGATTTGTTTCATAGTTGAGTACCAGATTAAACAAACTAACAAATCGATATCCAAACTCTGAAATTCCTCTTCCTCTCAGAGATCTTATGATCCTCAGAACTGCTTATTATGGGTAGCATCTTAGACTGTGTAGCAGCCTTGGGAATAATCTGATTTTAAGCCCAACTCATTACAGAAATCTTTCAAAACATTTCCGCAAAATATCACCGCAGGTGATTATCCAGCTTCTGCTTAAAAATCTCCCATGATTTAAAAAATGCTCCCATGGAAAGAAATCTCTTTCTCCAAATGACAACTACTTCCTTTATAAATAACCCACCAAGCCTGATGCTGTGGTGCGTGCCTGTAGTCCCAGCTACTTGGGAGACTGAGGCAGGAGGATCACCTGAGCACAAGAATTTGAGGCTGTAGTGTGCTATCATTGCACCTGTGAATAGCCACTGTACTCCAGCCTGGGTAATATAGTGAGATCCTGTGTCTAAATTAAAAAAAAAAAAGACATGCAATGAAACACCAGAAATAGAGAAGGAGATAACCTGTTTCCCCTACAGAAGATTAATCAAACTGACTGTTTTGAAATGAAAAGGACTAGGTTTGATATCTGGATTATGTAGACATGTAATAAATATAAAGAGAAAAATCTATTTTTGGTCTCACTGAACCATTTCATATTTAGCAAGTTGGAAAGAAAAGGAAGTGAGTTGTGTAAACGAGAGCCTGTGAAGGATTTAGATTCATAATCTGAGAAGTTCTTAGTCTCCTTTTCCCTAACCACAGGGAAATTATCATGGTTTGTGGCAAATTGCTGCTCTGAAAGACTGTTTTGATTTTATTACAAATTAAACATATTTTTATTAGTCTTCTATGACCTTCCCATTCTTGTGTTATCTTGTCAGAAATGTTGTACTCTATCATTTCATCCTTTTTGTTATATTGCATAATGTGTTTGTCAACATCACTATTCTCTGCGTGTCTTAAGGGCAAGTATTATGTCTTATTTATCTTCGTTTCATTGGTTAGCAGAGAACCTCAAACATAGTAGGACTCAATACATTTATTAAAGGAACAGTTTACATTCTGTAATTAAGACGTTCAATTAGTGCAATAAGTAGTAAACTGTTTGCTCTAAACTTTCTTGGATAATTCTCTTTTCATTAGTTCTGTTCACTATTTTAAACTCAGGAGGATTCAGTTTTAGTGCCAAATATTCACTTCGTTTGACACATTTTTTAATTGATTAGTATATGTGCTTTTAAAAATTGATTAGTATGTATGCTGAACAGGATTTTCCTTGTTCAATCTTTCTACAACTGAATTAGGGTGCTAGAAAGTTTCTTCCAGAGCTCCCAGAATGATTTTTTAAGGACTGAAAGCATTTATAAATCGCCACTCCTCCATAACTACTCAAAATTACTTTCATGAAGCCATACATAGGTGTCAGGAAAAGTGAATTTATCAGTACATAAAAAAGAAGCTCTTAAAATAAATGCTCCCCTAGTTTTCAAATATCTTTTCACAAAATATGCATATTTTGCTAAATAATTTTTTGTTTTCAATAAATAATTGAATTTGCTCTATTTTCTGCTAAATAATTATCTTCTTTTATATAGCTTTCAATACATAAGAATAAACACAAATATCTCTGCTATTATATGAGGGCAGCTGCACACACAAACACACAAACACACTCAAGCACAAAGTCTCCCTCCCCTTGAGACTTACCCTAAATTACCAGTTCAATGTTGTCTTCACAGGGTGCAACTGAGGAGTGTCAAGCTGGACGCTTGCCTCAATTATAGCGCTGGATTAAAAGGCAGCAGAAAGTGCCAAGCCTTTAGTAGAGTATATGGGGCAGTTCTTTCATTGCAGAACCAATTAAATAAATGGTTTTGAATTGTCCTTCAAAAGTCATAACTTCCATAAATAATTAGGCAGGGAAATTATTTTAAAAAGAATTTATTTGAAATAAAGTATAGCAAAGATTTGTTTGTACAGTTCGCCAAGAGTTGGTTGCATTTTCAACTCCCTTTCCCTAAAAGTAGATGGCTTTATTGTAGGTGTTTGCACAATTTTACATCAGGAAATACAAGAAGTTTTCAGCAAATGTATGGAGCAGTCCTGATGCCCAGATGCAGGGAGTTAGCTTGTAGAAGGAGGAAGCTCTGACGCATAGATGATCATGCATAGGCAAACTTTAGCTGTACTAGGAGCTCATAAAAACTCAGGAATATTAGTGATTCAGACTACAGAGATTTTCATGCCATTACATTTTAGTGGATTTAATTTACATTATATTCTTTGGTGGGGGAGGCATGTGTATGAGAAGGGGAGAGAGAGAGAAAGAAAATGAGAGAGGAAGAGTGACAAAGTTTTTTCTGTCTTCAGGATCATTCTATTGATATTAAGCTATTTAAACTTTTCCTTTGCAAACCAACTCTTCCCCCTCTTTAAACTTTCAATTCGTTACTTAGATTTAGCGTTTGACGACCCTTTTACGCTCAAAAATATAACTGCCAGTGATAGGAAGTCTGTAGTGGGACGTTCTTCCCGATGATTAAATTTTTCATTCTTAAAATTATTATTTTGTTGTTAAAAAGTACTATGTAGTTGTAAAGCACCTGACAAGTTTGTGTAGGTATATTTCTTAGCTTCTCTATAAAATAGATATAGTCTCTCCTTTATGTAGATGAGTGATATTTTTCATGGGTCATCATGAAAAATATCTATAATTCTTTGGGTCTCAGTTGAGGAGTGAACTATTTTAGCTTTTGCCTTAAATAGCTGAAAATTATCCACTATTTCCTATGGAAGCATGTTCTTACAGAATAATTAAGGTTAGGTTATACGTATAGTACAACAGTTTCACATTTTTAATTTTAGGACTCATACTAAGTATAAGATATTGAGTAACCAAAAATTTTAAATACATATTATTTCTCTTGCCTCATACTGTTCTTTTTGTCTTGAATATTATTCTATCACTTTTTCCTTTGCATGTTTCCACAGTTTGCTTACTTCTCATCCTCAGTGAAACCCAGAGAAGACCCCTCTGACCCATCAGACCTGTGCAGGTTCCTCTACTATACATGCTCAAGGTTCCTGTTCTTCTCACTACGGGCATTTAGCACAACTGTAATGAAATTGTTAACTTTGTAATTAGTTTAGTGTGTTTCTTCTGTTACACAGCCACAGTACTATGCAACATTCATATAGTTCTCTGGAGAAAATAGAAAACCTTTAATAATAAAGAAAGGTTAAACAGTGTTTGTTAAACCATATTTATGTAACAAGATGTTAAATTAGGACATTTCTAGTTTCTTTTTCAGTTGAAATGTAAAGCTTTGGAATTTAAGACAGGCACACCTGCATACAGACTTTGCAACAGGGATGCACTTGTTGCACTAGATCCCAGTTTGTTGCCTAATCCAGTCAAGGTAGGCTGTCACTCGAGTATACACTCCTGGCTTATCCGGCAGGCCACACTGATCTCCCCAGCTTACTATCCCCACAATAAACCAAAGCCGCCGTGAGTCTTCTTGTACTAGTGGGCCACCAGAGTCACCCTGTAAAAAAACAGAATGACTGATTACTTAAGTGCAAAGACAAACCCAAAATATTAAGGAGTTTATTTCTATGGCAGTCGAGGAAGGAGTCACATTCATTATACAAATAAAGTCAGCCTATTTCCTTTTGAAATATTATACCAAGTCATGGAAAAATTACTGAAATCCTCAAAGTACCCAAGTCATTCCTTCAGCAAGTCTGAGAAGATGACAAATACATTTTTCAGATTTCCCTCAGTCACCGAGTGGTTGCCTCCTAATCATCCAGGCTTTCTCTCCTTCGGGAAAACTTCTCTGATCAACCTTTTTCCTTCACACTCTCACCCTTTCCAGCTTTGGGCTCAATTGTTCTTCATTGTGTCTTTATATCTTGTGTGTGTCTCTGTCACTGCTTCACTATTTTATAAAAGCATATTTGTGCATTTGTGTGCCTATTTACACTTAATCCCACTGGTCAGTTTTTGTTTGTTTGTTTTGTTCTGTTTTGTTTTGATGTAGCAGCTGCATGTCTCTGAAACACTCACTTGCATTTGTGATATTTATTCAATGTCTGTTTTCCCAGATATACTATAAGGTCCAACACGAAAGAGAACATACCTATTCTGTTCACTGCTGAAACCTAAGCTTCTAGCCCTTAGGAGATATTTGTTGAATGAATGAGTTTCTAGAAGTCTCACTTATCTTCCTAACCTTAGCACCCTGCGTGGTGTCTGATGCATAGTATATCATCAGAAAGTCTTCTTTTGGTGAAGAAATTTATATAGTCATAAGCAAAACACTCCTAATGACATACTTACCACCCAGTCATAATAATGAACCAACCAACCAATAAATATTTGTGCACATAATAACCTAGTTGGGGAGACAGATGGAGTATGTCTTATGTTCTGCACGATGGATTAAGTCTGTGGGTTCTGAAACTAGATAGTCTGGGTTTAAGTCCTCCACTTACCAGCTATGTGACCTTTGGTAAGCTGGTGAATAGCTCTCTGTACCTCTGTTTCCTCATATAATGTTTGTATCAGTTTAAAACTCAAAGCACTTTGAGTACAGCTTAGCATATAGTATAGTCAGTACTAATAAAAGTCAGCTATTATTACCAAGTGTGCTTCTAAGTTAGTCAGCTATTCAGTTGGCTGCTCTTAGTAGCTAGCTCATCCATACCTGTTTAATTACTGGTCTAGGTGGGGAGAAGGGTCAGTGTGTGAAGTGCCAATATGCATGGCAAGTACTTCATGAAGCTGGTCGTCACCTGCTTCTTTTAGATGACATATGCATGCTTCAGTTAACCAGTTCTCAGTTCTTTATATTATTGTTTTTGTAGTGTTTTTTTTTCTATAGTGAGAAATTATTTTGCATGATGTCTGACCAAATGTGGGCAAGCAAATGTTAAAGCAAGAGGGACTTGTAATTTTTCCATATCTAGCCAGCTTCACTGCTTGACTACAGACATTTGAATTTGTGTCCTCTCTTGTAGACCATAGACTTGCTGAATGCAGGGATAGTATTGTTGTGTTAACACAACGTCGGGTGCATAGAAAGTAATTAATATAATTCCTTTGAATTAATGATTGTAAAAATGAACAAAAGAATGGATAAAACAAATAGGATCCTGTAAGCTCTTATGTAAAGTGCTGTGTTTTTTTTTTTTTTTTAAGTGTGAACTATGCATTATAGTATTTCAGTTAAAAATCAGTGAGGCCTAGAGTGGAATATACATGGAAGGTATCATGGTGAGGTACGGCTTGAACTGGGCTTCAAGGAAGATAATAATTTGTATGCACTGAAGGACAGAAGGTAAGGGACGTTATAAATGGGAAAATAATGAATAACACCCTTTTAAAACTCATGTTTATTTTTAAGTCTTAATTAATGCTCTTAGTAGGTCTGGAATTGTCAGTGTCGAGTTGTGTTGCTTATTTGATTGATGGATTCTTTGGAAAGCTGTCATGAAACTTGAGAATTTGTTGTTTCAGGGCCAGTAGTAAAAGAGAAACAGGAAGGAGAGCAAGAAGGGTTTCCTAGCACAGAGACATCTCCACCAAAAGGAGATAAAGGACTGGGTAATTAACAGTATCTTGACAATTGAAAAACAAATCTCCACCTACACACAACTTGCAGTTGATAAAAATGTTTCATTTTGGGAAATGTGCTCATGGATTGGGGGCTTTCCATGAAATGTGAGAACTACTTTTTATCCACTTTTTAAAGACCATGAGCACTAAATATGAAAGTCAGTGACCTTTTGATGCGAAGAATAATTCTTATCCTTCTGTATACAATTCACCCATGAAAACAGCAACAAATTACTCAAGTAAACAGATTGATTTTTTAAAACTCCAGACTAAAAGAATATTTAATTTCTGACACCAGCTGTTCCTGCTACTGTGTGGAGTTGGATTTCAGATATGTGAACAAAACCTATTAAAACATATAACTGCATCAATTATGTTTAGATAATTTAATTTAAAATTTTAGAATTCAAATTTGATTTTAATCACTTTACAGTGAGAATTTCATATTTGTTGTTTGTTTTTGTGCATTTGGTTAAAAATTATGGGCTAGATCCAAATATAATAGTTATTTCTTTTCTTTTTCATTCATACTGTTTCATTATTGTAGGAGCTTTTGTGACTCAAATTACTAGGATTTTGTATAAATTTTCTATCTTCAAGGAGTCCATGAATTATTACGTATCTCTTAAAATTCATTTATTATATATCAATTAATTTTTATAATATAGTGATTAATTTTTTATTTAATCCTTCACAGCAGTTAAAAGGTTGAGGTTAAAGTTATTAACACGAGTGACCATGGTCTACATTAATAATAGTGAAATAGATGAGATTTCTTTGTTGTTTACCATGTGCCTGATATATTTAGTCTTCATTTAACTTTTCTTAGTACCCAAAAAGTTAGGTGCTATTATGATTATCCCCAGCTTTTAGTTAGAGACTTGGTAATAGAGGTTAAGGAATTCAAATCGAGGTCTTTCTGATTCTTGAGCTTTGGATGGTTAACTACTCTGTAATTTGGCCTCTCAGAGTTAATGCTTTCATGATAGATAAACTTCATTCATAAAAAAATTTATTTCTAAAATCTAGATTATAAATTTTAGAGGAACAGGGCTGTGTATTGTAACTGTTACACTTATGTCTATCACATTATCACATACTAGGAAGTGCTTATACACTTCTTGGATGATGACATGGATGAGATTGTCTTGAGCTTACCTGACATGCGTCCACTCCACCTTGAGGTACTCCAGCACACAGCATTCCAGACAAGATGGCTCCATTATAACTATGTGGTGCATTACATACATCATTACTTATTATTCTGACCTGTCCTTGCCTTAGCTCTGGAACTGTGTGGCCTGTTTGTTATAAAAGCAGGAAAAAAATGGACTTCAAGATGTGTACATTATTGACCCTATAATAAATTTGAGAAGAAATAAATGTACTCCAAACATTATTTCATATTTAACAATGAAGGCTTCTAAAGATTTACTTTGGAGTTTCTTCGCAGCCAAAATTCCCCAAGTAGATGAGGATAACCCCTTTCACAGATCAGTTTTTTTTTCTTTTTTTTCTTTAGCTTTGTGACACAGTGCCCCTTAAAATTTTAAGAAAACAAATATCTTAAAATTGACTAAAAGCTTTTAAATTATCCACTGACAGATTTTGGATTGGAAGATTACATATTGAATAACCTTTAACCTAGCAGCAAAAGAGAAACCAGTCTAGTTTCAAGGCTAAAGAACTAGTCTATTTTATATTGATGTACTCTCAGAATGACACCAATAGTTTTTCATGACTGGTGCAAATGTTATCTACTACACCAATTTACTTTGGGCCATAAGAACACAATAGAATGTGTTCTAGGACTATTAAGGCTTTGTATTATTCCTTGGAGAGACAATCTACAACATGGGTAAAAGCCCAGGGAAATTGTCAATGCTACCCTTCCACTCCTTCGCTGATACTCTTACTGGTTCTAGTAGCTCTTGTGCATTGTCCTCATTTTAGTTTCCATTTTATTCATTCAATAAACAAATATGACCAATGTTTATATACACATCGAGTTTTTGCCATATCCCAGAATACTTTAAAGGGCAGTTAATACCTTAAGGATTATTAAGCCCTCATACAATGTCTAATCTAAATCCTCCCATTGCTTTGGGAGGCCAACAAGGCAGGAGGATGGCTTGAGGGCAGGAATTCCAGACCAGCCTGGGCAACAGAGCAAGAACCTGTCTGTAGAAAAAAAAAAAAAAAGCTGGGTATGGTGGTACACACTTATTTATAATTCTAGCTACTTGGGAGGCTGAAGCAAGAGGATTTCTTAAGACCAGAGTTTGAGGCTGCAGTAAGCCATGATTGCACCACTGCACTCCAGTCTGAGAAAGTCTTTGTCTCTAAAAAACAAGCAAACAAACAAACAAACAAAATCTTTTTTATTGTTTATAGGGAAGCTATTTGAATCTTATAGAATCTCTGGATTATTAAAGAACTCGTGTCTTCATAACTTTCTTTTACATTTTCCTATTACTATATTTGAGAATTCCCATAGTTTCTGGAGCATTGCTTTGCTTTGCTAAGGAGACTCAGGGGTAGCCAGAGCTTGGGCTGAGCAGAATATAGAATGGTTCTGTCTGTAGAAGAATAGAAACACCTATTCCAGATGTTTCCTAATTTAAAAAATTACCTAATAGCAAATATAAGACATTTCTATTGTTAATTTTTTTTTCCGAGACACTTACCAGCATATTCTTGAGCGCCCCATCCTGTTACATAAGCAGTAGAGCCAGGTGGAATATTCTGGGTAGCAGCTGGGAGACACACACTATGGATATCTTTGGTAAAGGTGACACTGTTCTCAAGTCTCACAAGTGCAATGTCATTTTCATGAGTTGCAGATTTATAATTGTTATGAATTAAAATATTTCTTACTCTCATTCTTAGTTTAGGAAATGTTGTGGAAATACCAGACGTGGCAATCCAGTCACGAGGATTAGAGTTGCTAAAACATTATGAAAACATGCTATATGAGTAGGGAATTTGTGAACATTTCAGATATATAAATTCATCTTAGCCATCCTGTACCACTATCTAGAAACTATTGGATCCACATCTCTTTGCTATATTTTCCTGCATTATAAGCTGGCAAGTGAGTTTAATTCTTCACTGGCCGAATACATGGTCACTTGTCTAAAGAAATGGAGAAGATTTTAGAAAACATATCGTGGGGTGATCTTGGTGTTTTTCTATTCCAATGAAGTTATTCTGATACTTTAATGATAAGTAGCATAACACAAATATCTTTGATTTCTCTTTTGTCCATACCTCCCTTCCCATTTAAGCAACTAAGAAACCTGAAATAATAAACATTTTAGATTTAACTAATTTTTTTCAATCCCTGTCTTTTCCTTTAGCCAGGAGCTCCATTTAAATAGTAGTGATGATAAGGGGCATTCTTATCTTGTTAATGGATGAATAATTTTTCTGCACTAAGTCTGATAATGGTTGAAGATTTTGGTGTGTGTGTGTGTGTGTGTGTGCATATATATACATATGTATGTATGGGGTCTTCAAAAGTTCATTGAAAATGTATATTATAAACAAACTATGCATGGATTTCAAAGATTTTTGCATGCAGATAAACTCATACTAACTTGTCATACTGAACAAGATCTAGTTTGAGGCACTAAGAGGAATAAGACATGAATTTGAAAAGAGCTCTTATCAAAGCAACATGAATGCTGCTAAAATTGAAGCAAAAAAACGTCAAATTTATGGTGAAACTGGAAGAATGGTGAAATTATTTATGCCTTACAAAAAGTTTATGGGGACAGCATCTCCCCCAATCATCAGTTTACTAATGGATAATTTGTTTCAAGAAAGAAAGAGATGTTGTTGAGGGTGAAGCCCGCAGCAACAGATCATCCACATCAGTTTGCTAGGAAAAATTTCATCTTGTTCATGTCTCAAAGAGGACCAACAATTAACTGTGAGAAACAATAGACAACACCATAGACATCTCAACTGGTTCAGCTTATACAATTCTGACTGAAAAACTAAAGTTGAGCAAACTTTCTACTTGATGGATGCCAAAACTGTTTCGCCCAGATCAGCTGCACCCAAGGTCAGAGCTTCCAATAGAAATTTTAAACATGTCAGATCAAGATTCTGAAGTATTTCTTTGAAGAATTGTAACAGAAGATGAAATATGGCTTTACTAATACAATCTTGAAGACAAAGCACCATCAAAGCAATGGCTATAAAGAGGTAGAAGTGGTCCAGTCAAAGCAAAACCAGACTAGTCAAGAACAAAAGTCATGACAACAGACATTTGGGATGCTGAAGGCATTTTGCTTGTTGACCTTCTAAAGGGTCAGTGAAAAATAACATCTTCTTCTTATGAGAGTAAGAAAGTTAGCCAAAGCTTTAGTAGAAAAAGTGTCCAGGAAAGCTCCACCAGAGTTCTTCTCCATCACAACCATGCTCATGCTCATTCCTCTCATCAAATAAGGTTAGTTTTATGAAAGTTTCAGCAATAAATCACTAGGCATCCACCTTTCAGTCCTGATTTGACTTCCTCTGACTTATTTTTGTTCCCTAATCTTAAAACAATCTTTAAAAGGCACCCATTTTTCATCAATAAGTACTGTAAAAAAGTAATGTAAAAAAGACTGCATTGACATAGTTAAATTCTCAGGACCCTCAGTTCTTTAGGGATGGACGATATGGCTGGTATTATTGCTTACAAAAGTGTCTTGAACTTGAAGGAGCTTATGTTGAGAAATAAAGTTTATAATTTTTTATTTTATCTTTTAATTTTATTTTCCATAAACTTATCGAACTCCCCTCATATATAGGTATATGTATGTGTGTACAAGTATATGTGCACCTATATACATAGGGGGAGACAGAGAGAGAACAGTAGCGTTAAAAAAAAAAAAAGGACATTACCTTTATGACCTAGGAATGGGGACTTTTTGGCTAAACAACAAAAACACAAACTAAAAGGTAAAAATAGAATGAATTCTATTAAATCAAAATTAGATATACCATAGACAAGTTTACCAGATGGATGAGGAACCATGGGAAAATATTGGTAATGTTTAATGTCTAAAATTTTTGTAGAATATATTTTAAAAGTCTGTAAACCAGTAATAAATAAGCAGAAAAACCATTGTAAAATAGGCAAAGAATATTAGTGGCAGTTCATGGTAGGGGAGATCAAAACAGCTCTTAGATATATGAAAAGATACTCAAACTAGTAATCTGAGAAATTAAAATTATAAAAATGAGCATCTTGTGTACATTTAAAAGATTGATAAAACTTAAACAAAAGAATAATACTAAATGTTGATGTGGAGGGAAATGGGGCCTCTTTTGCAATACTGGTAAAGATTTAAGTGGCTGGAAAGTATTCTGGTATATTTAGCAGCCTGCATGTGTGCTTCTGAAATTCCTGAAGGTTTACAGAAAGATAAGTACAAATATTTTGTGTGTACTCTTTGTGGCAATGGGAAGGTAGGTCATGCAACCTAATTGGATGAAGGAAATATGGTGGCTGCATACCATGGGGTGCTATGCAGCAGTGCATCAGATGAAAATTCCAAGAATTGAGTGAAAACAGTAAGAAACAATATTAGACTTTTACACAATGCTACTTATTTAAATTAAAGACATATACATACAAAAAAACACTATAGGTTTTGTAGGTGCGTGCATGTACCTTTAAGACATGTATATTTCGAATATATTAGTATGAGGCATATGGGTGGAAGGAGGGCAGTGAAAGTGAAATCCAGGGATGACAGGAGGAAAAAAAATTAAAATGAGAGAAATGCCTTGTACAGACTGATGAAAATAAGGATCTGTGATGTGGAGGGCTGATTAACTTAACATTGTTCCTAAGGGTTGAGTAAAAACAAAATGTTACCGATAATACCAATTTAGGAGTTTTATGGAGATTAGATAGTGGAGTTAATACAGAAAATAAAAATTCTATGACCGGAAATACTTTTATAAGACACAGTAGTTTGTGTAAGAGTGAACCTGAGTTAAAAATTTTGAAGAAAAAATATTAGAAAACAAACAAACCTATGTTGTTTTTATATTCAACTTCTTTTGCTCGGAGTCTTTACAGTGAAGGTTCTGAAGAGACTCTTTTTTCTTTCCTTCCTTTTCTCTCTTCCCTCCCTCTCTTCCTTCCACTCGTTTATTTTCTTCCTTTCCTTCTTTCCAGCAAGTGAATTAGAGCATCATTTTGGAACCAGTAACATTTATATTTAAATCTTGGCTATGCCACATATGAAAAGTGTTATTTATGACAAGTTAATTAATAGCTCTGGGGTTTATTTACATATAAAATGTGATTGGTGATACCTTCTCACACAATTGTTAAGTATTAATGAGACAAATGTATTATGTCAACTATAGTGTTTGGCACAAAGTGAACTTTCATGAAGGTAGCTATTATTTTCATTAATTATAGTTCAACAAGCCATTGTTAAGTGTCTACTTTGTATAAGGAATAGTATGAGTCTCCAGGAATAAAAATATAAGTAATTATGGTCTCTTTCTTTGAGGAACTCTACACTAGTGAAGGAAACTGACAAGAGGTAAGTCAAATATCACAAATCATGAGGACAACTGTTAAAGGCAGATAAAAAAATTTCTGTGGAACTCAATGGAGAGGAAAGAGAGTATCAGGGAAAGCTACATAGAAGAGGTGATAATTCAATAATCCTCTTTGATAAGACCTCATCACTTCTATGTACTTTGATGTAAGGCTGGTCATGCCCCAAACAAATCCTCACTGATGGTTCTCAGTGACAATCAGGTCTTTAGGGAGGGGTCCAATACAAGGTTCACAGAGTCTGTTAGCTTTAGTGGATCAATCATGGTAATGAATAGAAGGATGTGGGGTGGCAAAATTCAAAGTTCCATGGATTCCTTTGGTAATCGTTGTCGATATTTATAACTGTGGCTTTCATTATAGTGATATCGTTTACTTGGTTTTTGGTGATTGGGACTGAATAGGGCTTAGAATCCAGGGAGGTTTCTATTCCGTTCTTGGTTATGCTAAGTGCCTGATAAGTCCAGGTATTTTAATTCCTGGTTCCCACACTCAAGAGTACGATTGAAATCAATGCGTGCCATTTCTGCTTTTTGGCCTTTCAAGTGGCAATGAAAATTGAAATGTTTTTGTGAATTTTGTCTCTTGGGTTATTTGGGATATAGTAATAAATTTGCCAATCTACATCAGAAAACTGATAATTCTGGGAGTATCTTTTAAAGTTTCAAATTTGTTCACTGCATATAAAAATATTAAGTCATAAAATTACCATAAGAAAAATTTGAAATAATTTGGGATTTCCTAAAACTTTAGTTCAGTAACTACCCTAGTCTTTTAAATCTTTATTCCTTCTAAATTTAACAAATACGTTTGTAACAGTCACTGTACCATGAAGTAGTGCCTATAAATCTGAAAAAACTACTTAGAAATTATCAAAAATTTCATAAAATTCAAATAGAGATGTGGTAAATATATTAACATTTCAAGGATAAGCAGATTGATCAGATACTCATAGGTAGGGAAATGTAGGAAGAGTCCAGGGGAAGAGAACAATGCTGTTTATCTGAAGCTCAAGGTACATGCTTTGAGAAATAAGACTGGATTGATCTGCCTATGGAAGGCTTTGTGTGTGTGATAAGGAGGTCCAGTTTAGAGTAAGAGTCTGAGAAGAAAATTGATATGGTCAGGGGCACACGAGTTCAAATCTCCATTATTTTTCTGGGTGAACTTTTTGAGTTAAGTTCCCAACAACTGTTGTGGTCTGCGATGCCCCAGTAACAAGGCAGGTTTGAAACAGATTTTAGTTATGCTGAAATCTAAAATCCTTCTTTTATGAGCAATGTGAACTTTTCTTTTTACCAATAAGGTAAGTTTATGCAACCTACTCGCCACTGGTAGCATATCACCCTAGTGTTGGCAATAGTTTAGTCACCTCAATTAAGAATTCTTGTAAGTTGCCTACATTAATTTTATTTATGCTACTCATTGTAATTGATCATTATTTTTGTGCATTCTGATTCCAACATTCGAGTGTAAGCTCTTTGAAGGCAGAGGCAATACTTTGTTTATACTAGTAGCTTCTACAATATATAACACTGTGCTCATACTAGATACTCAATAATCTTTATGAATGAATAAATTAATGGCATGGGGCAGTCTCTAGGTTAGCCATCAGCTCCCATGATATAATGTGCAAATCTTCCACAGCAATTCGTTTCGCTAACATTTAACGTATGTTTACATTAGTGTACTCAATGCTACCAGTAACACTAAGTCACAGATAACAGTGTTGTCCCTTAATTTGGAAAAAAAATAAAGCTTATGGAGATTTAGTAAATTTCTTAAGCTTTTATAGCTAGGATTTAAAAAACATTCTGACATATAAATCTTTGTTCTTTACTGTGCTAATATATTATTACCTGAAACAGAGAAATAGCACTAAATTAGCATGCTAAAGGGGAAAAATCCTTTTCCTTTCATGAATAGGAAGAAAATTCTTACTGATTTTTTTGCATTGAATTATTTCTGGCTCAATTCAATCCTAGGGTAGAGGGTGCAGTCTTCATGACCTGTCTATTCTAATTGTTCCCAGATGGGTAGGTAGTGGTGGCCTCACCTTCTGAAGCAGTGAGCTGCTGTCAGGATCCACATGTTATTGATCAGGCTGCCTCCACAGTGGTGGGCATTATTGAGCCGCAGACTGACTTGCCACGGCCAGCTTCCCTCCTCAGCCTCAGTGCCTCCAAGGATTCTCTGCTCAGACAATGTTATTAGGTCTGGACCGGCCCCACATTCTAATGAGAAAGGGCATTAATGTGCTGGGAAGATCATGATTCCTTTACATTTGGAAGAAGCTGAAGAGTCTTTCCATAATTTATGACTTTTATGTCTTATACATTCTTCCTCAGGACATGCTGGATTTTCCAAAAAGCATGATCGATATATTTCTACAATGCATTTGTGACTACTGTTGCTTATAGATAGCATTTTGGAGAACATTTCTGAATTTAGTTGGCATATAGGCTTCAAATTTTGAGCAGCTTCAGAGTTCCCTGGAATTCCTCATGAGTTGAGGTTAAGATAGGTCATTATTGGATGTGCCAGCTCAGGCCACAGACTCCTGGGAAATTTCCTTTTTCTCAATAGTCTTGCTATGCTCAGTGTGGTTTGTGGGCCTGCAGCATGGGCATCCCCTGGAAACTTATTAGAAGTGCTGATTCTTGGAACCACATCATGGGACAAATCTAAAGCTACATTTTGATGTGAGGTTCATGCACACATTGAAGTTGGAGGAAAACTGGTCTCATCCAAAAGACTCCTTAGTGACTGCAGTTCACCTTGTAGAATCCAGTCCACCTCCAAGACTGATGCTGTATTACCAAACATGCCCTCATAAAGGAGTCGCTATACCACAGAATATTCTTGAGGGTGACAGAGGGTTTCTAGTATCTAAATAAGGTTTATTTAAATGTTTTCAAAGAGCTCGTGAATAGTCTACTGGCCAGAGCTGAAACGGGCTGGGGTAGGCTGATCACCCAATTCCTCTCAACTCGCATTCCCATAATTTTCTTCTTTTGTGTGGTCTATTACTAAGAAATTAATGGTAAATCACACAACTATTGCTGGGCTGGCTTTTAAGTAGTGCCCTGGTTTAATAGCACAACCACCTAAAGGCTTTTTTTTCCTAGCAAATTTCCTGGATAAAGGAGGACCAGGCTTCCATTAAGAGATACATGTGTTCCTTTGTGGCATCTCCCAAACAAATACCCTAGTAAATTGCTTATCACAGTTTCATTAACAATAAGCATGAATTAAATACGTAGTGAAGCTGAAAAACACCCATAGGACTACCATCACTTTGTAAAATCACTGAAGTACCTAAGATAGGCCAGCTACCAGGTACATTGAACTAATTTTTAACTGCATTTTTTTGGTCAGAGAAGTAAGTTGCTGTTTTCTAGGGATTGCATTTCTGCTATCCTAGCCTGAGAGTACATAGGATGATGTTGAAGAGTAGTGACTTTTCCTTCAGGTTATAGACCCAAAGCTGGGAAGACTTCTGACAATTCTTTTTTATTATACTTTGTGATTAACCTGAATTCACAACAAAGCAAGCTACTCTGGTGGTTAGGAGAAGCTACATAAACGGTGTCATCAAACATAATTTGTAAGTCTACAGAAATGCCACCTTAGAACCAGGGCAGTAAAAGGTTCTCAAAGCTGCCAAAGAAATTTTCATGAGGGCAATTTTGAGTGCAGAGTGGGTAGTCCTCCACTACAACTTCTTCCTTTTTCTAAAAGGAAAGGGGAAACCTAAAGTCCACTCCATGGGACACTTGGGATCAGCACTGTCTTGTTTCAACACCACCTGAGCGAACTAAGAACAAAGACATCAACTTGATAGATACTGCCTTGGCCAAAAGTACACAAAAGACTTGCACTTTTACTCTTTATGATTTGGCAAATTACAGTTACAAAATAATATTAAAACTTACCATTAATAAGCCAATTTGCTGCAGCCTGGTCAGTAAGTGCTAGTATTAAAAAATGAGAATAAGATAAATACAATAAAGGCTGATATCATTTCACCATAATTTCTTAAAGTACAGTACCCAGACAACAAGAAGCAGAATTACTTGTTGGGGTTGGGAGGTGGTCCTCTAAAATGCAGATTCCTAGGCTTCCTTTCAGACCTGCTGAAACGATCTCTAACTCATGGGCCCTACAAATCTCTTTGTTTACAACCTTTTCCCAATTTGTTGTTATGCATACTAAAGTTTGTACTTTAATTTCTCATTAAATACTTAATAGATATCTCTTTTTTCAAGTTACTCAATTTATATGGGAAAACAGAAACATAAGCAAGTCATTGAGATGCAATGTGATAAATACTATAGGGGAAGTTAATTTATCATGTCCTCAAATATATGTATATTACTCTAATGATACCACTCTATAATAAGTGCTGCAGATTTAACTGCGAGCAAAATATAGAGGACCTGCCCTCACATAATTTACAGGTAGAAATTAATCAAGCAATCATTCAAATAAATGTAAGTGCAAAGTAGAGAAAAGAAAAAAGAGAGTAATTAAATTATATGGAGGAGATAATATTTGAGCTAGAAGAAATAGCATCTGCACTGTATTTTGAAGATCTGAAAGGAATTTTTCAGGCACACAAGAGGACAAAAGAGATTCCAGATAGAAGGTACAGTGGGCACAAATGCTTGGAGGTGTAAGATGTTTGTGGAGCAATAAAGTAAGGAGAGCTAGTGCATGTGTTGTGTTTAGGGAAATGGAGGGTGAGCCTGGAAAGGAAAATATGTCAGTATCAGAGGGTAAAGGTCTGTCTATTTCAATTTAAGAACAGCATACAAGACAGTTTTCTCTGCATGTCCAACAGCCATCTCAAACTCAGTGGGACCCAACTTTATCCAAAATTTGCTACTTATTATATCCTTTTAGTAAAATGACACCACTTCCAAAATCTGAAATTTTCTCAAACTCCTCCTTTCACATCTTATAATCTCCAGGTTCTGCACATCTGTCCTCTATCTTTTGAATTATTCCATCCTCCTCACTCCTTTTGGTACTACTTTAGTTCATGGTTTCATCATTTGACATCAGTACAGTTACAATAATTTTCTAACTGAATTCCACCACTTTTGCTCCTTTTCAGTTTATGCACCTCTACCTTACCAGACTGATCTTTTTAAAAAAATGTTATGTTAGCTCATATCCTTCCTTGATTGAAATTTTTAATTGAGAAACCCATCATTTTTATTTCCTGCAAGTTAAATTAAAACTTTTCAAGACAGGTTTCCACGCTCTCTCAAACCGACTTATGCAAAGTTATTTCCCACTAAAAGTTTCACAAGGTTTGGGTATCACATTTGTTTTGCAAACTTCAGTGGAGCCAAATCATACTTCTGGAGACAGAAAATTTTAAAAAGCTGGCCATTCTTAATTTTTTGAACAAACAGACTTAGTTTGAATCCTGACTGCCTCATATACTGACTGTGTCAGCCTAGGCAATTTATCTTTTCTAAGGGGGACAATAAAACTATCTATGGGATATGTTTGTTGTAAGGATTAATCAAGAAAAAAATTCATATAGGGCATTAAAGCCATGCCTAAAAAACAGTAAGTTCTCATTAAATAAGTGTTTTGATGATGATGGTGTGAATGATGAACACTGATCAATCATTCCAGCAGGTCCCTTTCTTCATTATTCTGTCAAAGCATCGCGTTCAGTACAGACTGTTTGCCTTTTCATGCTTTCCTTCTCTGGGAACTTTCTTTTTCTCATCTCAAAATATGTAAATCCTACCCATATTTCAAAGTCAAAGTCCATTCTCCTTCATGAAACTTTTGCTAGATATCCCAAGCACGCTGGTCTCTTTCTTCCCCAGATTCCTGCAGTGATCATTGCCTGGGCCTCACACTGGGCCCTTGATCATATTCTATCTTGATTGTCAACACTCTTGTGTTGGAATATCTTTCCCTTCAACTAGATTATGGGCTCTGGAGGTGGAAACCGCTATTCTGTGACCATCGTATCACCATATTGTCTAGTATAATGATAAATAAATAAACACTTGGGAAGTGCGTTCGGGAGCATTCCTTAATGTGTGGAAGCAGAGGTAATATTCAACTACCTAACAAACTGCAGTGCGTGAGCATTGGCCAGTCATAAAAGATGCAATCAGGCCATGGAGTTGGAGCAGTGTCTTAGAGTGCTTTGCTTTGCTAAGCATAACTCTTTAGCAGCAGGGGCAGTGGATTTGAAACATCTCGGAAGACAACTTTGTGGGCCTGATGCAGTAATTGTTTACCAACAAATAGGAAAGCATTTCAATATTTAACAGTTAGTACATCTGTAACTGGTACCTACCAGTCTAGTATGGGAATCATCAAAATCCTTTTAATCTTGAGCTCATCGAGAAGAAATAATGGCTTATTAAACTAGCAGAATGTAACCAACTTGGAGGAATGTCCTTAAATTCTATGCATATATTATTTCTTTTCTTTCAGTCATGCAAGAATTATTTATTGAATATGTGTTATATGATGGAGACTGGGTGGTAGGAGGGTAGTAGGATGAAGAAGGTTGACTGGTTCTTTCTTTTAGGATGATTACAGTGTAGGATGAAGCCAAACAATACAAAATTTACACAGATAACTTTGTAATTTCAATTGTGATAAATGTTACAAAGAAAAATGAAGAAGCCTCTGAGGTGGATCATTAATTAAATAGTTCTCTGACCTTGAGCATCTATGTACCCCTCCTATGGCCTATCCACTAATGACATCTGACAGTAACATCACTCATAAGGAATGTTGCAGGGATAATTAATGAGAATTTTTAGCAAATAAAATTTACTATATAAATGCCAAATGATTCTTTAAGTCTTAGAATGATTTACGTTAGGGAGCTATATGGTATATTTAGCTTTTTAATGGATTGTTTTCACAGTTTAGTTTCAAAGAAAGAAAAGTCAGCCTCTCAATTAAAATATGAATTTGAATTGGTAAACTTGAGGGATATATTGAAATAAAATTGTTTATGAAAAATTATACTTACATGTTATCTCAGTTGAAGGGTTTATTTCCAGGTTTCCAGAGTTATTCAGCATTTGTCGTAAAACAGACTCAATTCTGCTTTTCATTGATGCTCCATTGTTATTTCTAGTGAATTGAAATTTCATGACAACATCCGCTCTCACACCACTACCATCTTGCCTGTAAATCATAAAGATATTTTAAAAAACAAATAATATGACAATTTTTCACCATCCTGTTTATATATTCTTCTTGATTAAACCCTTTTAAAGAATTCATTTGTGGAATTTAACTTTAGACAGATCTCTGTAACAGTGTTTGCATACGTAATACTATATCACGATGCTATCTCACTTATTTGATTTCAATGCACAGAACACTGTACTCACTGTAGGATAGCTGATTTTGAAGTTATAATGCCAGAGTTTTACTGTGTAACTTTGGATAAGTTATGTAAGTTTCTTAATCTTTCTATATCTAAGTTTCTTCACATGTAAAATGGGTTATGAAGATTAGATGAATCACTATATGCAAAACTTCAAAGAAGAGTCAATAGCACACAATAAGTGTACTATAAATTTTAGCTATTCTTAGACTTCACCAGTGTTATTAAAAATAATCTCCTAAACAAATTCATAAAGTGATAGGGTTGTAAATTTGTGTGAGTTAGAGACTCAACTTAATTTTTTGATACCTAGACCATTCATCTGCCTGCAAAAGCAAATTTTAACTTTTGTCGTATATTAAGATTTCATCACTCATTTTAATTAATAATAAAGATTCCCCACAATAAACCTTGGTGACTTGATTAAATATTTGGATTATCTAAAACCTCAGTAATTTCTATTTTCTTCCAGGAAAGTTACCTCATAAACCAGTTCCTCCACCTGACATTGGCTGTCTTCTTTTCTGAAAAAGTACATTAAAGATATTTGGCTTTGAGGCTCTCATATTCTCTCTTGGCTTCCTCCTCTCACCTCAATGACCAGCTCTAACTTAATATTCATTCCAGATATGAATTTAATATTTATTTTTAAAAATGTTAGATAAACAACTTCTTGTGCTAGGCACTATTCTAAGCTTCAGAAATTAGCTGGGACTAAGATTCACAGTTGCCATATGGGTCTTGCAGTTTAGATGTAGAAACAGGCACTGAACAAATAATTACAACTTCCATGTCTAGCAATATGGAAGCCTAAATAATTTTAGAAAACACTTTCTGCATAAAACAAATAGAAAGGATAGATAATATATAATAAATTCCATTTCAAATGCAAGACTGGGTTCATAGAAAAGTAAGGAAAATCCTGGAAGACCAAAAACAAAGAAGAATGTGAATAGTATGTGGTGAGACTAGAATATTCCACAGGCTTATGTTTAGCATTTACATAGAGACTGGAGATGGGACCTTGGGCCAGTGCAAAATAGGAAGTTGAACTTGAGGTTTTAGAAAAAGGCCAGGAGTCTCAAAGAACTAAACACCCAATAACAGCATGAACTAGAATGAAAAAAATGCTCGTCATGTCATAAAAAAATAAATTTATCTGTTTCCGAGATCCAGCTTTAAATTAAGAAAAAAGAAAAAGAAGTATCACCTGAAAATTCATAAGCATGGGCCTGGCTGCACGATGTCTGAATCTTCATTAATACTACCTGAATACTCCCAGAACCTTTTTTTTTTTAATTTTATTATTATTATACTTTAAGTTTTAGGGTATATGTGCACAACGTGCAGGTTTGTTACATATGTATACATGTGCCATGTTGGTGTGCTGCACCCATTAACTCGTCATTTAGCATTAGGTGTATCTCCTAATGCTATCCCTCCCCCCTCCCCCGACAACAAATTAACAACAACAAAGTCCATGTGCTGCTGATTCCTCTAGAATGTCTGACAGATGTAACTGCTCTGGAGGTAGATATGTTAAGTCTAGGTTGTACAGGGTCCCAAGTGAGATTAAATTTAAGCATACAATTTCAGTGGTAAACAATACATCATGAGGTGTGTATTAGTTTTTTCTCACGGAGCTATAAAGAACCGCCGGAGACTGGGTAATTTACAAAGAAAAGAGGTCCTGCATGGCTGCGGAGGCCTCAGGAAATTTACAATCATGGCAGAAGGGGAAGCAAACACATCTTTCTTACATGGTGGCAGGAAAAAGAACAGAGCAAAGGGGGGAAACGTCCCTATAATCTAATCACCTCCCACAAGGTCCCTCCCACAACATGTGGGTATTATGGGAACCAGAGTTCAAGATGAGATTTTAGTGGGGGCACAGCCAAACCATACCAAGGTGGAATCAAAGTAACAAAAAGATTATCCTCAAAAACTTCACATAATAGAATCAACAGACAAGTGACTGTATTTGAAATGACAAATGACGTAAAAGAGGGAATCATAAAAATGAGATTAAGTAGAAAACATTATTTTTAAAAGATCACCTAGTATCTGATAGCACAACAGAGTCACTATGGTCAATAATAATTTAATTGTACATTTAAAAATAACTAAAAGAATATAATTGGATTGTTTGTAACACAAAGGATAAATGCTTGAGGGGATGGATACCCCATTTTACACAATGTGATTATTATGCATTGTTTGCTTGTATCAAAACATCTCATGTACTCCAAAAATACATACAACTACTAGGTACCCCCAAAAATTAAAATAAGAAATGTGTTTAAAAGACCAGGAAGATTCTCAAAAGAAACAAATAGAACTTGCAGATAGGAAAACATACTCATTGAAATTGAAAACGCAATAAATGGGTTACACAGAATACAAGTCAAAGCTGAAGAGATATTAGTTATCTAAAAGAGATGAAGAAATTACACAGACTCTACATACATAGATAAAAGATAAAATAGAGGTTGAGAGACATGATAAAGTTCCATGTAAAGCAATGCTAAAAAAGAGCCCAGAAAAAAATAAAGAAGCAGTCATACTGGAAGAGATCATGAGAATTATCCATGTGATGGTACCAAGTAGATGGCTGCATATATTCATGTTTGGAGGCAAAAGAGGACTGGCCTAGAGATACAACTTTGAGAGCACTCAGCATATGGGTGGCAGTGAAGGCCAAGGAAAGGAGAGAGTGTGACCTGAGAAGATGAGAGGCCTAGAGCACAGCCTGATGTTCAGCAACATTTAAGGAATATACAAAGAAGTAAGACCTAGTAAAGGAAACTAAGAAGGAATAGCTAGGGAGGTAAGGGGAAAATCAGGGTATACAAGGCCATGCAAACCAAGGGATAGTCCTATTTCAAGGAGTGACAGGCCAACAGGACCAAATACTGTTGAAAGGTCCAAGAATAGGACTGATGTGGTTTCTTTGGATTTTGTTATCTGGATGTCATTGTTGAATCGGCAAGAGCAGTTGATATTTTATGGTGGTATTGAAGCCAGGTTGCAGAGGATTGAGTGATAAGTGGGAAGTGAACAAAAGGAGAGAAAAGGCAGAAGGCTCATGTAGTCCTACAGGTTTTCAGGGCTTACTCACTTTTGAACATTAGTGGCTGATACAGATACTGACAAGAAAGTACTAAGTGAATGTGCACTGAATTGACCGAAAGGTGTTTTGGAAAATACCCTTCTCATGGACTCTTCTTATCCCTTTAACTCCTCATCAAAACTTACCTGACCAGACATCTGTGCTCCAGATACTTACTAGGTGACTCTCCAGAGAACAAGAATTAATTTTCTTGTGATGCTAGTATTTGAGAAAGAATTAGTATAATTCCTCTTCTACCAAAGAACTATTGCATATTATTTAAAGACTAGAGCAATGTGGTCATTTGAGACATTTGCGGGAGAGTCAGTAAAGGTGACTATTTCAGTTGGAAAGGCTGGTTTTATCACATCATATTTAACTAAGGCAGGAATGGCAAATAACTAGCATGCATGCTGCTACTCCTCCTATTATTAATTCATGATAGACATGCCTTGGATTTGGCCATAATACCCTTTTATTATAGCACATCAGGCAGATAAAACCAAAAAGCCACTTTTGATGTTGGTCATAGTGTCTTGATCTTGGATGGATACACCCAAACCACAGCATTGTACAACTCCAGGAGGGACTGTTTACATAGGCTGCACTGTGAATGATATCCACTGGAGTTTTACAATAGGATGGCCTTGTTACTGTACCTTCACCCCAACTCTCTCTCCACCCCTTCTTCCTCTTCCCAATAAGAATAGATATAATATGGTTATTTACATTAGTAGCTAAATAGATCATATGTTTGGCTTTTTTGGCATTGGTTTTTAAGCTGACTAAAATACTATTTTCATAATATTACAACAACTTATCTGAACATGTCATTTACTATTCATTCTGTGACAAAAAGTCAAGTATGCCACATTGTATCTATACTTAAATATTTTTTCTACAGTTCCACTCACCTCAGTTTGGCAACATGAGCTCTGATGAACTGATTTCTTAAATTTGATTCTTTGAATGTTTTAGTAATCTGTAGAAAGAAAGAGAGGGGGAATCTCTCTGTAAATACAGTTCTTCTTCTCCTTCCTCTCAACCTTGCAACATGAGACATGTTAATGAGGAGTAGAAAACTGAATTTTCACTTTAGTTCAACCTAATTCCATTGCAAAACACATGGGATTGATTTGGGCAGGTTCTATAACCTTTTGATGCAGTACCTATTCCTTTATCTGTTATACAGAGATGATGCTGGACAGGCTGGTTTTTTGCTAGAAGTCATTCTAAACACATCAGATGTTTTACTCAATGAGAGATTATGTTATATGGCTTGGTGGCTTTTACTAAGGGCTTGGGGCAGGAATCATGCCAGCATGAGGGAAGTCCACTGACACAACTCAAAATGTGTGATCCCAACAATTGCTTTTAATGGATGAAACCTGATTAAACCAGACTAAAATGAGTAGCAATGGAAAACTTGAAGAGAAGGGGAGAAGGAAGCAAAGGGCAGTCTTTTTTTTTTTTTTTTTTTTGGTCATTTCTAATTCATACCTAAGCATCAGAGACTATTTTTTTAGCATTAGTTGGTAATTTCTTTTTTATTTTTTAGAAATTGAGTCTCACTATGTTGTCCAGGCTGGCCTCTAACTGTTGTGCTTAAGAATCCTGCAGCCTCACAGGAAAGGTAGTGGGGAAGAGGGGAAAAGAGGTGATGGTTAATGGGTAGAAAAATATAGTTAGATGAAATGAATAAGACCTCGTATTTAATAGCACAACAGGGTGCCTATTCCAAGAGTGGAGGTGGAATGTTCCTAACACAAAGAAAGATAAATGCTTGAGGTGATGGATATCCCAATTACCCTGATGTGATTATTAAACATTATGTGTCTGTATCAGAACATGACTTGTACTCCATGGGTATGTACACCTATTATGTACCCATAATAATTAAAAATAAAATAACATAAAAAAGGATACTCCAACCTCAGTCTCCTGAGTATCTGGGACTATAAGTGTGTACCACTGTGCCTGGCTCAGTTAATAATTTATGGCCGGGCGCAGTGGCTCACGCCTGTAATCCCAGCACTTTGGGAGGCTGAGGCAGGTGGACCTTGAGGTCAGGAGATCGAGACCATCCTGGCTAACACGGTGAAACTCCGTCTCTACTAAAAATACAAAAAATTAGCTAGGCGTGGTGGCAAGTGCCTGCTGTCCCAGTTATTTGGGAGGCTGAGGCAGGAGAATCACTTGAACCGGGGAGGTAGAGGTTGCAGTGAGCCGAGATCATGCCACTGTACTCCAGCCTGGGCTACAGAACGAGACTCTGTCTCAATAATAAAAATAACACTAATTATTAATTTCTTGACTGAATCATAACTATCTCCTTGAATCACTACTCAGTCCCAGCAAGGATGTTTCTCCTGAGGCATAACATTCAGATTCATAGTCAACTGGAAGTGCTGTGGCTGATACAGTTCTCCTGAGATGCAGGGTCAGATGTATTGTGGTTTCATTGAGAAGAATGGATTATGCTGGCTTATACTGTGAGGTGGCACCTAGGTGGATGTGGATATGAAAAGGTGAAGACAAGAAAATTAAGTAGCATGCTGGATATTACATTAAGCCAGGATTTGGAGCAGATTCTTCTCAAAAATGGTAAAATTTATGCAATCTCGATTATACCACAATATATCTTACTTTTTCAATATTCACTCCTATAGGATGATTGATGTCAGACCAACATGATTCTTAACCAAATGATAATTTTCTTTTTTTTTTCCAGAGAACCTTTGAACAATTTTAAGAACAATGAGACTGTTGGTTTTATCAAAGTACTTTATGTTTCTTTTTTAAAAATTCAAGAAATACTAGTAAGTATTAAGAAGAAAGCAAAAAGTCAGGCCAGGCACAGTGGCTCACACCTGTAATCCCAGCACTTTGGGAGGCTGAGGCAAGTGGATCACTTGAGGTCAGGAGTTCGAGACCAGTCTGGCCAACATGGTGAAACCCTGTCTCTCCTAAAAATACAAAAAAAAAATTAGCCAGGTGTGGTGGCAGGCACCTGTAATCCCAACTACTTAAGAGGCTGGGGCAGGAGAATCACTTGAACCTGCAGGGCAGAGGTCGCAGTGAGTCAAGATCGCGCCAGTACACTCCAGCCTGGACAACAGAGCAAGACTCTGTTTAAAAAAAAGGAAAAAAAAGAAGAAGGCAAAAAGTCATTCTAAATTCTATGATCTAGAATTAACCATTGCTGTAATTCGATAAAGTAACTTCTAGTAATCTACTTAGAAGCATGAGCTTTAATATGTTTATTAATATGGAATGTTAAAGGAGATATTTTAATAAAAATATTTAACTTTAATTTTACTTGACTTTAATCGAAGTAGAAAAAACTGTCACAAAGCTGAAGGAATTGTTAAAATTTGATAAGTGGTTCTTGTAATTATATTTTAATTCATGATTTGGCATTGCACTGGCACCGGCTAGACTGGACTAAAATGTTAAGTATCCACCTTAACATTTCTGTTATGTGGACAACATTAAGAGGCAATTTAGTAAGGACTAAGATAATAAGCAACATAAAGAAAGCAAGTTGATTAATTGGTTGATATGCAAATACAAGAATAAAAGAAGAGGCCTATGAATAAGATTTCATATTTCACAGAGTGGGTGAAAATGTTACTACCAACTCTCATTAGAACTTAACAAATGCTTGGTAAGAAAATCAGTAAGGAGATGCTTGAAGAGTATTCTAATGAGATAGTGATAAGGGCAGTAGATGGAAAATACAGAGACAGGTTAGTTTAGCTTGCATCACAAAGTTTAATGAACCATATAAACTTTCTTCCTCTCAGTTTCTCCATCTGTAAAAGGAAAGTAGTTAACGTGTATTAAAATGATTCATCTGTATGCAGTTGACTACTGCAAATCATAGAGACGATGTATCTACTTTTCATAAGTTTTACATTCAATCTTTTAGCCTTTTCCCTCCCTCTACAATTATTAACCTGTTCAAATGAGTTTACTTTAATACACATTTTATTTTGTAACCTGTACTGCTGACACTTTCATTACATTGGACAAAAACTGAGTAAACATTGAAAAAATGAGAACTATTTAATATTTCCCTTCTGATTGAGGTGACAATATTATTTTTTAAATCTAGAATAGTCTAGAATCCTTAATATCCATAATATTCATAATCAAAAGACTGAAGCAAGTTATGGCATGTGTAAGAAAATTCTAACAAAGTGAACATCACTAAATCTGTTAGTAGAACAGGTCACATAAAGGTTGAAACACTGCACACAGGATATCTATAATTGTCACATATTTTTCATGGCTGCAATAGAAAGGTCTTATTAGTTGCCTGTGAATATATCAGATTAATCACCTTCTTTAGTGCATTATTACTTGATAGTTATAGCTTTGCTCATATTATTAGAATAGAAGTAATAGAAGTAATGCTTTTGTCATTTTAATCACTCTTCTGTTACAACTTTCTCTTTCGTTTCACCAGAAGATCTGGAAAGCTCAGTTGTCAAGGAGGAGATAAAATATGTGGCAATATGATCTATCTATTACTATAATGGTCTCCAGACATTTCTGATTATGTGCTCCTATGGGTGAAACATTTTATGCATGAGTAGCCAAAACATGTATATTTACTTATAAATTATATACATGTAATAATACTACATTACTAACAATATCCATTATAATATATTTATGAAATTAGAAATTAAAAAGGCTGAGTTATAAAATAAACACAGGTTTTTTTTGTAATGATATTTTTAATATTATAATATAAGTGGATAGAATTTATAATTTTTGAACATTGTCATAAAATGGTTCAAAGGTCTGATTCTAAGTTTAATTTCAATACTTGGCTTTAAGCATTGAAAAAGTTTCCACATAATTACCTGGCCCCATGTGCATGAAGTTTACCATTGGCATAATTCATTAAATCATGACACTAAGTTGTCAGTCTCACTCATCATGCAAATTTTTGTTAAAATTCAGCAAGTGAATTTCCATTTTCCATGATGTCAATTGGTTATTCTTGCAAACCAATTGAAAGGTGTTGTGTTTTATATATTTTTAAAGAAATGTGTACAAAATCTATTAAACATTATAGTTAATCTTTTCTCCCAAATTTTTATGTGTGCATGTCAGAGAACTTTTACAGATAACATACTTTATATGATTTTCAGTAAAACAAAACAAAAGGAAACTCAATCACCTAATGATGGACACATTGCTAAACATATTTTCATAGTCTTCTCTCTATAGCATGAATTTTATCTAAAAAGTGATTTTTTTTTTTTTGAGACAGAGTCTCACTCTGTTGCCCAGGCTGGAGTGCAATGGGTGATCTTGGCTCACTGCAACCTCTGCCTCCCAGGTTCAAGTGATTCTCCTGCCTCTGCCTCTTGAGTAGCTGGGACTACAAGCATCCACCATCATCCCTGGCTAATTTTTGTATTTTTGTAGAGATGGGGTTTCGCCATGTTGGGCAGGCTGGTCTTGAACTCCTGACCTCAGATGATCCGCCCACGTCGGCCTCCCAAAGTGCTGGGATTACAGGCCTGAGCCACTGCATCCGGCCTTAAAAAGTGATTTTCTGATACATACACCTTGAAGGAAAATGTTGTGTGTGTGTATGTGTCTAGTATGTATTAAATATCTTCTAAGAAGTGTACCACTGACTGGCATTGCTTTACCTGTTAATATGGCTTTAATAGATAAGGAAATATGTCAGTTCTGTCATTATCTTACTGTTCATTACTGTGATTACATATTAGGGTTATTACAAAGTGCAAGTTTTAAAATTTGTTTTTGTTTTGCAGGATTCCTCTCAGTTCCCTTGTTGCTTTTGGGAGGCTTAGTTTTCTTTTAGAACTAGATAATATAATCTTTCAATCTAGTTGTAAACTGCTCATCACTGAAATCTGCTGAGAGGAGGTAAAGGTGTGCTGAAGCCTGGTCAGTCCCACTGTATTACTGTCTACCCTTCCCTCAGATCTCAGAATGTCTTCACACATTTCATGTTCCCCTAAGGCATAAGACCAAACAAGGATGCTAGTGTCAATCCTGTTTAATGATTTAACTATTTGTTAGAAAGTAACAAAGCTAAGTTTCTTTTTTTGTTTTCTGTGTCTTAAGAAAAGTAATTTAGAGAAAAAATACATGTAAAATGACCTTTGAGTATTTTATTTCAGCACTCCAATGAATTGTTGGTCCTCCCTGGGATGCATATCCTCATTTTGGAGATGACTGTGAACTCCACCGTGACTGTAATCATGTCCTTATTTTGTGTTTCTTAGACACTTGCATCATTTATTCACTCAGTCAACAAATATTTGAACACCAAGTATGTGCCAAATTCTCTTCTAGGCTTTCAGTAACAATCAATTCTTGTTAAATGGATGTGCCTGAAAGGAATTTTACCCGAAATCCCTGATGGTATAAGTTATGTGATAAGATTAATTTTAAATTAATATTGCTTTCTTTCTCCTCCCATGTTCTAGTTTGTTTATGGAAATGCCATTCAATATATTTTGGGAAAAAAGTATTTGTTGTTTGCAGACATTTGTTTCAATGTCACTCCTGATGGCAAAGGAGAGATTTAATGACTCAGTTTATCCCAGGTATTAATCCTGATTGAAGTCTTTTGTTTTATTTGGAGAAAACCATGTAAGTAGAATGCATTCATAGTTTTGATACATGTACTTTGTAAACAGGTACTTTCGTTATTTCTAAATGGCCTCATTCATTTACTTATTCAACAATTGTTTTTGAGCATCTCTTGTGTGCCACCACCTCCCGCCCTCCTTCTGTCAGGTATTGGAATACAACGATGGATAGAAAACAGTAATCTGGCCATCATGAAGCTTATGTCTAATGGATGGAAATAGACCTAATCAAATAATCATTCATAATTAAGTAAAATTATAACTGTGAAAAGTGCAGCAATACAGTAGAGGGACCTGAGCCAATTAATGATATTAGAGACATTTCTTAGAGGAAATGCTTATTGAGCTGAGATTGTCAGGAAGAATCAGACTTAGCTGATTGAAGTGGAAGGAAAAAGGCTCCTCAGCAGAATGAATGGCACATGCACAGTCCTGAGGTGGGAGGAAACAGGTTGTACTTAAGGAATGAAAGAAAGCCAGTGCAACTGTACCATGGAGAGCAAGTAGGCTAGGGTGACAGGAAATTCCCAATCATGCCGGTCTTCGAACTTGAAGCATTTGGTTTTATCATAAACAATGGGAAACCATGGAAGTGTTTGAAGCAAGAGGATAATATAGTGGGATTTGCAATTTGAGAACAATCTGTCTTGCTACATATAGATAATCAGTTTTGGAGAAAAAATAATGCAAATGAACAGATTAGGTTTGTTGCTATTTTGGTACCCTAGGGTAGAGGCGATGGCTTGGATAGTCATGCAGCAATGGATATGGAGAGAGGTGAATGGATTTGAAGGAAATACAGGGGATTAAGAATACAGTGGCTGCTGATGGATAGGATATTTGGAATGATAGTAGAATTTTAAGGATGAATTCTAGGTTTTTGATTTGGATAACTGAATAAATGGTATTGCTATTAATAGGGATAGGTATTGTTGGTGGAAAGCTAGGATGGTGTGGGGACATCATGAGTTTGATTTTGAGAGATAATATATTTGAGTTGTTTTGAAACAGCCATGTAAGGATATCAAGCTGGTAACTAGAGTACAAAAGAATGTCTAGGCTGGAAATATAGTGAATCATTGGCGTATAAATACAGGTTGAAGTAATGGGCATGTATGTATGGGATCATCTAGACAGAATGATAGTGTCAGAGGAGAGGTGGACATAAGTAAAGCTTTGAGGTGTTTCAATATTTAATGGCAGTGTAGAGGAGGGGGAGCCTGTAAAGAACACAGAGAAGTAATGACCAGTGAGGCAGGCTGGGAAAATGAGGTGAATGAGTGCCATGAGTATATCACATTAAAAATAACAAAATCATAGATTTTTTGTGTAAGAATGTACTATAGAAATTATCTAGTCCAACTATTTTATTTTACTCGTGAATAAACTGAGGACCAGAAATGACAAGTGAATTGCTAAATAAAATAAAAAATTCTGAGACTATTTCACTGCTCATTCAGTGTTAACACTTTGTCTATGGGATAGAGATAACAATAATACTCATATTATCATGAGAAATGGTATGATCCTTAGATTTTGAGTCAAGAGACCCTGGTTTGAATTCTCATTATACCACTTTCCAGCTCAATGGCCTTTGATGCGTTTCTTAATCTCACAATCTTTACTTACCAGTCTATACAAATGATTTATAATTTTTATGGCATTGTATTAGAGTACTATTCATGTATCATTTTAAATGTTCAAAGTGTTTTTACAAAGGGATACATATGTAAGATTAACTAGGGAACTCATACATCAGAAGAATTTCATGGAAATCTTGAAATACTAAATATATTGTCAAGCCACAGTACTCTAAATATCCTACTGCTGCAAGCAAAGATTACTTACAGAAAGAGATTAGAGTACAGAAAAAAAGACAAAGAAGGATTTAGTGTATGATAAAGGTGACATGACAAATACATCAACTGCACTATTTAACACACTTAGTGTTTAATAGTGTGTTAAATAGGTGTTTTAACTAGAAAGCATCATCTACAAACCAGAAGGTGGCCCCTCAGACACCAGATCTGCTGGTGCATTAATCTTTGACTTCTCCTGTGAGAAATAAATTTTTGTCGTGCATATGCCACCCAGTCTATGGTATTTTGTTGCAGCCGCTCAAACAGATGAAACCAGCAACTGACAATAAACTTTGTGTGGGAAAAAAAGGGTCCCGAGTTAGGAAGAGATAAAACTGCTGGGGGTGGGTGGGGGGAAGGAAGTCCAAGGGATGTTAAGGCTCCTGCAGAGGGAGGAAACACCCTGTCAAAAGCTGACACCCCAGGGAAGCGCAGCAGCAAGGGCTCGGTGCCAGCTCTGGTGGGGTGACAGCCCCAAAAGAGAAGGAGGGTTTATGTAGTAAAGGAGTGCACTTGGACAGGCAGAGCCCCAGGTCTGCATGGTCAGGATATGCCTCCAACGGGAGCTGTGCAGTGTCAGTGTGGGTGTGCACTTGCGTGTGTGCCTTCATTTGTCTTTAAATCCCAGTCAATCAATCTTATATTTAAATTCCTTTCTCCACAATGCCTGACATTTTTAGCATTCAGCCTTAAATAGCCCAAATCCCAAAGTTTCACCATTTTCTAGTACTTTACAACTTATAGATGACTGCACACACACTCATTTCATTATTTACAGCTCAGTAGATCTCACTGGACCCATGTGGCAGGTGAGGAAAAAGCCTGTGAGCCTTCGAGTGACTTGCCTGGAAGTGGAGGAAATCAAACCAGGCCTTTGACTACCTGCCCAGGGCTATTTCTGCTGCCCCAGAGCAAACCTTTGTACACAGACTGAGAACTTTGGAAATGTACCGAAGCGGGAGCTGGTGCTGTCCTGACATTGACTCACCTCCCTACTACTGTATGTGTCTGGGAGGATGCACTGGTTTTAATGGAGATCTATTGCAGCCATTCCGTTCCCTCTGCACATTCACTTAGATGGTGGGTCCAGAGTCACAGATTCAAGAGAAGTGGCATCAATAAATCTGCATTACTTAAACCAACAAGTGGTTCAGAAAATATACTCCCAAACAACTGGGGATCCAGATCTCTAGGCATAATAAATTTCACTCATCTCCCAATTTCGGACTGCACTCCTGTGTAAAGGCAGGCAATGGCTGAGAGACAGCTCTGCAGACAGATGCTAGAACAAAAATTATCAAAAGATTTTAACTCCCTGGAGCCACTGGTGCTTTGCTGTCCTCCACTGAGGGAGGCGCACCTCCTAGCCTCACCCGGACTATAAATCTGAAGCAGCGTGTCTGGGGAGCATGGCTGAGGAGCAGTTCGTTAGGGATTGTTCATCTTGTATCTTTATTGCTGGCTCCAGCTTAGATCTTCCTCTGAGGTGGTCTGGGCATCCATTCCTTTCCCCACTGAATCACTCTGCTGAGATGTCCACAGTGAACTTTTGTCTCCCTGAACAACCTGCTTTCATTTCGGTTTCCTCTTCTAGCCAATGGCACCATTATCTACCGAAGTTAGACATTTCTGTGTTAGTGTTAACCTGTCACTTCTCATCCTGTCTTCTAATCCATTGCCAAGTTCTGTGGATCCTACCTTAAGCCCATCCTTTCCTCTCTATTCCCTGGCAGCACTTCTGGCGCCTGGTGTATCTCTGGTTTGGCCCTTGTAGGGGCTGCTCTGCTGCACTCCCACCCACCTTGGGACTGAGGTTACACCATCAAGGAGGTGGGGCAACTCACACCTAATGGTGAAGGATGGATGCTAAGGGCCCACCTCTACCCCCTGGCTCTGACTCCCTTCAGTCTTCTGTGCCAACAGCACTGTAGTTTGACTATGCCTCTGCCCAATGCTGCTTCCTTCTCTTCCTGAAGGTGTTGGTTGAGAGCACCCCAGAGACACTCCCTGCATGCAAGTCTCAGAGTCTGCTTCCCTGGGAAACTAACCTGTGATACTTGGTGCCTGGATAGCCCTAGGAAGCAAACTCTAAAACGTAGTTAGAGTTGGAAACCGTCCTGCCGGTTTCCATAGAGGACCCTGTCATTGGTGGGAGATGAGCACTGAAAGCTTTGAGTGGGGCTCCGAGAAGAAAAGGGACCAGGCTGCACTGGCAGGCTTGTTAAAACACAGATTTCTAGGCCCCAATGTCAGAATTTTTGATTTAGTATGTCTTGGTGAGCCCAAGAATTTGCATTTCTAACAAGTTTCTAGGTTATGCTAGAGACCATACTTCGAAAACCACTGAGCTAATGTTCAGTGAGAACCATCACAGCTGGAGGACTGAATCATAAGCTTATTTAATACATTTTTTTCTCTAGAAGCAAGCATCATTGAAACCAAGTTATGAGGAGACTGCAGGATGAGCATAGAATAAAGCAAGCGAAGTTAGATATATCATTTAAATGTTTAATGAGATCAGAATGAACAGTTGAATCAGAATGATTTGGGAAGAGACTCTTGGACAGGAACCAGATGTAGGGTTAACACTGGGGGAAATAAGTTCATTATGTCAGAAGTGGGAGACTCCTGTTCCTTCAATAAACATTTATTAAGCATCAACCCGACCAAATGTTGTGGATATATAAAAATGGAATGGATATGGAGCTGTCTTCATGGAACTTAGTCTAACATGGCAAATTAAACAAGTCTGCAAATATTTATAATATAAAATACATACAGGTATGTGGCATGAGATCAACACAGATACAATTTTGTGGCGAGGTGATGTGGAAGGAGGATTAATTATATCCAATCATGGAGAGCAGAGGTAGTTTCTTATAAAAGATGGCTTTTCAGGTTGGCTATAAGAATAAGTGGGGCACACGATGGCTGAAATATGAGCCAAAGCATAGACATGAGAAGGTGCTTAGCTAACAAGTTTGAATTTTATTTTGTAGGCAAAAAGTCTTGAGCTGGAGGTAACATGAAGGAAACAGGCTGTGAGAGATTTGTGTTCAGAAGTGTGTAAATTAGATTAGAAGGAAAAGAGCCTGCACACAGTGAGAACAGTTAGAAGCTCATTGCAGTGGTTCAGAAAAGCACCAAGGGATTAAAAGCCTGGATTAAGGAATATTCCAGAAAATGTAGAAATGCTGATAAAATTTTATCTTGAGCTCACCAAAGCAACCCTGCCAGGTGACTCAGTTACATGCTAAAATTGTAGAACCATTGAATTACTTTATATTCTTAGGACTTTTTTTTGAAAAGGTAAGGGTAAGTGAGTGACACTGAGACTGGTCAAAACTAAAGGGCAGCCCCTAGTTTGTGGTGACACATGAATGTTAAGGGTCCACTCGTGAGGTTTCCTGGCAGGCACCCAGAGGCTCTCTTCAAGTTAGAGCTCAAACTTGCTTTGCATATTTCTGTTCAAACTTCTATGTCTATCATTGAACCAAAGTGTAATGTTGTCCAAACTATGTTACTGCTGATATGGTAAACCTGTTTTTTAACACCTCCTGCTTTGCGTCTTTAGTTGGATAAGGAAGAGGGAAGAAGGTAAAATGAAAAGAATTTAAAAAGACAATGTCAATGCTTAATTAAACAAATAAAAAACTTTTAGTATTTGAATTCATAAACAAATAAAATGCATATTTACTCGTGGCCTTTCTAACACTTTTTACTCATGACAAAGATGTGAATAAGAACCAGTATATGAGTAAACTAACTGGATAAAAGCAGAGAGAAACACATGTTTCACCATTCAAGGAAGGAAAATATGTAGAGCACTTAGCAACTGAAAATATATTACAAAACATTAGGTTTATTATCATATTCATTTTATAATGGAATAAAGAGCAAAGACAAATATTAACTTACCAGAGATTCAATTCTTCCACTCAAAGTCCTGTATTCCTGTGTAGCTGGTGAATTTAACTGACTATTATATTCAACATTTAGGAGTTGAAAACTGCTCCTATAAAAGTAAGATTTTTGATCTGAAAAAGAAATAAAAGGGAAGGTCAGTCTTACTTTACTAAGTTGTTGAACCTTTAATTTATTCAGGATTATGGGAGGTTATATTATAGAATTTCAAAAATTTGCTTTCCTTGAAAGAAAAAGTTCTATGCTTCAGTGTAATTATGATAAAATTATTATCTTTTCAATTTTTAAAAAGATTGGCAAAGCCAGAGTGGTGTAGATGTTTAAAAATCAGAGTGGTATTATTATTTGAGAAATTAAAAATTGTCAGAAATAGTATAATTTTTATTCTTGCTATATTTTAAGGGAGATTTGTGGTGTATTCATTCAGGAAATATTAATGTATGTTTGTAATATACTATTATTTATTTATCATTAAGAAAGAACCCAAAGTAATTATGAAATTTCAAAAATTATTTCAAATAATATTCTTTATTGAGGAGTTAGTAATTCACCATTAGTTTTTCTGGAGTAAGCTAGAAAGTAAGTCATCTGACAAGATATCTAATCTAGTAATCCAATGTAAATTATTTTCATCAAAAGGCACCTTGCAAAATAAAAAACTTGACAGACCAATAACAAGTAATAAGATTGAATCAGTAGTAAAATATCTCCTAATAAATAAATGTCCAGGACCAATGGCTTTATTGCTATTCTACCAAACCTTAAAAGAAGAACTAACATCAATTCTCCTCAAACTATTCAAAAACATCAAACAGGAGGGAGTTCTCCCCAACTCATTCTATGAAGCCAGTATTATTCTGAGAGAAAACCAGACAAGGACACAATAAAAAAAAATACTACAGGCCGGGTGCAGTGGCTCATGCCTGTAATCCCAGCACTTTGGGAGGCCAAGGTGGGTGGATCACGAGGTCCGGAGTTCGAGACCAACCTGGCCAACATGGTGAAACCCTGTCTCTACTAAATATACAAAAATTAGCCAGGTGTGGTGGCAGGCGCCTGTAATCTCAGCTACTTGGGAGGCTGAGGCAGGAGAATTGCTTGAACCCGGGAGGCAGAGGTTAAAGTGAGCCAAGATCATACCACTGTGTTCCAGCCTGGGTGACAGAGCAAGACTGTCTCAAAAAAAAAAAAAAAAAAAATAGGCCAATATTACTGATGAACACAGAGGCAAAAATACTCAACAAAATACTGTCAAACTGAATCCAACAGCATATCAAAAAGATAATATACCACAATCAACTGGGATTTATCCCAGAGATGCAAGAATGATTCAACATATGCAAATCAATAAACTTAATACATCACATGAACAGAATGAAGACAAAAACCATATGATCATCTCAATAGATGTTCAATAGATTCCATATCCCATCATAACAAGAACTCTCAACAAACTAGGCTTAGAAGGGACATACCTCAACAACATAAAGGCTGACCAACCCACAGCTAACATTTTACCAAATGGGGAAAAGCTGAAAGCCTTTCCTCTAAGAACTGGAACAAGACAAAGATGTCCACTTTCATCACTCCTATTCAACATAGTACTGGAAGTCCTAACCAGAGCAATCAGGTTAGAGAAATAAATAAAAATGCATTCAAATTGGAAAAGAAGTTACATATTCAAATTGTCCCTTTTGCAGATTATATAATTTTATACCCAAAAAAACCTAAAGACTCCACCAAAAAACTCTTAGATCTGATATATAATTTCAATAAAGTTGCAGGATACAAACTCAACATACAAAAATCTATAGCATTTCTATACACCAACAATGAAATAGCTGAGAAAAAAATCAAGAAGGTAATTCCATCTTCTACAAGGACAACTGCAAAACACTGATGAAAGAAATGGAAGAGGGCACAAACAAATGGAAAGACATTCCTTGCTCATGGATTGAAAGAACTGATACCATTTAAATACTATACTCTTCAAAGCAATCTATAGATTCAATGCAATCCCTATCAAAATACCAACATCACTTTTCACAGAAATAGAAAAAGCCATCCTAAAATTTGTATGAAACAAAGAGCCCAAATAGTCGAATCACACCTGAGCAGAAAGAGCAAATTTGAAGACATCACACCACCTGACATCAAACTATACTCCAAGGCTATAGTAGCCAAAACAGAATGGTATTGGTATAAAAACAGACACATAGACCAATGAAATAGAATAGAGAGCCCAGAAAGAAATTCACCTACAGCCAACTGAATTTCAACAAAAGTGTTAAGAACAAACAATGGGGAAAGCACACTCTTTTCAATAAATAGTACTAGGAAAATTGGATATCCATTTGCAGAAGAATGAAACTGGACCCTTATCTCTCACTATATACACAAATCAACCCAAGATGTATTAAAGACTTAAATGTAAGACTTAAAACTATGGGAACTATTAAAAGAAAACATAGGGGAAACACTTCATGTCTTTAGTCTAGGGAAATAATTTATCACTATGACCTGAAAAGTACAGACAACAAAACCAAAAATAGACAAATGGGAATTAATTAAACTAAAAAGCTTCTGCACAGCAAAGGAAACAAGCAACAGAATGGAAAGACAACCTATTGAATGGGAAAAAACATTTGCCAACTGTTCATCTGACAAGAGACTAATATCCAGAATATACAAGGACTCAAACAACTCAACACTAAAAAAAAATAAAAATTCCATTAAGGAGTGGGCAAAGAACATGAGCGAACAGTTCTCAAAATAAGACATACAAATCATCAACAGGTACATGAAAAAATGCTCAACATTGCTAATCATCAGAGAAACACAAATCAAACCCACAATGAGATATCATCTCACCTCAGTTAAGATTTCTATTACCAAAAAGACAGAAAATAACAGATGCTGGTGAGAGTGCAGAGAGAAGAGAATTCTTATACACTGTTGGTGGAAATGTAAACTAGTGCAGCCATTATGGAAAACGGTATTGAGATTTCTCATAAAACTAAAATAGAACTACTATATGATCCAGCAATCCCACTACTGGATATTTATCCAAAGGAAAAGAAATCACCATGTCAAAGAGATATTTGTACTTGGGTGTTTATCGCAGCACTGTTCACAATAGCCAAGATGTGGAATCAACCTATGTGTCCATCAACAAATGAACGGATAAAGAAAATATGGTATATATATATATATATATATATATATATATATATATATATATATATATATACACACACACACACACACACACACATACACAATGGAATACTATTTGGCCATAAAAAGAATGAAATCTTGTCATCTGCAGCAACATGGATGGAATTGGAGGTCATTGTGTTAAATGAAATAAGCCAAGCACAGAAAGACAAAATTAGCCAGGCATGGTGGCTCATGCCTGTAATCCCTGTAATCCCAGTACTTGGGGAGGCAGAGCTGGGAAGATCACTTGAAGCCAGGAATTTGAGACCGGCCTGGGCAACAAAGTGAGACCCCATCTCTACTACTAAAAAAAGAGTAAAGAAGAAAGACAAGTATGTTCTAACTCATATGTGGGAGCTTAAAAAGTTGATCTCATCAATGTAGAGAGTAGAATGACAGATACTAGAGACTGGGAAGGATGGAGGGGTGTGAGGGGGATTGAAGAGAGGTTGGCTAACAGATATAAACATATAGTTAGATAAATGGTATAAGTTTTATTGTTTAATAGCAGAGCAGAGTGAAGTTAACAACAATCTATTATGTATTTCAAAGTAGCTAGAAAAGAGGACTTGAGTTGTTCTAATACATAGAAATGATAAATACTCAAAGGGCTGTATACCTCAAATACCCTGGCTTGATCATTACACATTGTATACATGTAACAAAATATCACATGTATTCCAGAAATATGTAAGATATTATGTTTCATTAAAACAACAAAAACAACAACGACAACAGGGGTCTTCCAGAGGACCTATTCAGCTGTGTGAAGGAGATAAAAGTCTCTGAAACATATCTGTACACAACTCAGAAATACTATGAAGATGTACATAACCTAATGGAATCTGTCTAGAATAAAAATGTCTACTTTCTTTTGATCGTTCATATGCATTACTTACGCAGACAAATACCTTGGTAAGGGGCAAGAGTTGGAGATCCTGGGGGAAGGGTGGTTGTTTGTAGTGGAAGATCAAGTCATTTGGGGGCCATAAGTGATCACTGGAACACAGTTTGCAGATGACTTACCAAGGGGCCTACTCTTTAAGCATGACAATGCCGTGTCATTAAGAGTGAAAATTCATTAATTTAACCTGAAACTCCATGTCTCTTTTTTCTACCTCTGTAGTTCACCTTAGGGGTAGGTGACTCCAGGTGATTTGATAGCAAAATGCAGTCAAAAGCAAAAATTTAGCCATAACCTTTACATTTGATTGGCTGAAATGATTGTGTATCATTATTGGTATTTCTAATGTTGGTAATTTTATTGCACCATTGGAAGTATTTCAATCTTTGCATAGTTAAGCATTTTTGCCTGTTTACAATTGGACATACTATAAGTTATATTCTTTCTCTTTTTCTCTTAACACTCACACATACCCATGTACACACCTGCACACCCGTACACATGATTTAAGTGATTTAATAGAATTATATTTGAAATAAAAATAACCTCAAAGTGTATTTTAAGTGAAAAAAATTCTAATATATGATATTATTTAGTAAAATTTGACACATTTTACATATCTATGTTAAAGCATCTGAAAGAGCCTTCACAGAGATTTTTAAGGAAAGTTGTTTATGAATGAGCATGATATGTGTATTCTTTACATTATTTTTTCTTGTCCACATTGTCTATTTTTAGTGATATAATAATAAAAAATTAAACAAAACAAAAGAGACAACTAAAGAACATAATGTTTTAAAAAGTTTGACTTTACCCCTTTTAACATCTCAACTGAAAATTTATCTCCTGACCATCCTAACTGTTAGGCTTGTAAGACACTGTTTTCAGAAGACAGAAGCATTATTTGTTAATAAGAATGGACAAATACTTAGGTACATCCAAATTTTAGATGTTGAAACTTAAGGTTCTTTGAAATATTTCACTGTTATGATTTTATCAGGTTATCAATGAAGGAAATCATAGTATTAATGAAAAACAAAATGAGTAAATTTTAGCATCAGAAAATTATTGAGAGTTTTTTTTTCCTTTGGATAGAATAATTCTTTTTTGAGTAACAATGTTTGGTATACTCAAAAGGTATGTTTGGGGCACTAAAAATGGCCAAAATAGGAAAGAGAAAAAATACTGATTCAGTAAAAATACAGATATGCATCTATATTTGGGGAAGAATTATAAGTAAGATATATAATCACATTATATTAAGAAATAAAAGCCATAGTAAAAGAAAGAATGCCAGACTTTAAATCTGAAATTGTATGTAGCTATTAAATCTGAAGAGTAATAATGTTCTGGTACTTACCAAAAGCTAAAAAGTAAACAAGTAGAGCTATGGTGACTGCCAGGATCACTACCCCTGCGACGACAATGAAACATACTACATATGGATTCAGAAATCTTGAAGTCGAAGTTACACGTGCTGGCCTTACAAGAGAGAGAGATCAAAGAAAGTCATTCATTTCACTGATTTCATCCATCATTTTAGTGTTCATGATTGTCTTCTGTCTTTCCCGGTCTCTTATCTGGGACATGGCTCTAGCCATAGAAACATATTCGTAGATATGAAACTGAACTTAACAAGGCTGTCCGTAGTGGTTTTTCTTTCAAGTTTTTTTTTTCAGCACAAAATGAATGAAATTCAAGTAGTCTGATGGAAGAAGAGGGAAATCTGACTTATGGTTTGGAGTTGCTTTCCTTTCTGCCAATTGATAAAGTTTTTGAGAATAACAACAAATCATTGTCAGTTCTACTGCAATGTCTTCCAAAATTCTATGCTGGACATTACTGTAGTAATCAACCTTGCCTGGGCACCATCCCCAAGGCTGTACTGAAGAGAGATCATTTGGGTGGGAAGAAGTGTCGAGGAAGATAAAGAAGCAGGGGTGGGGTGGTGAGGGGGTCAGGACGGTAGCATTTCTCATTGCAAGATTCCCCATATTATTAAAAATCGGCAGAGGCATAGAGCTAGGATCGGGGAGAATAGCAAGTAACTGAAATGAAACAGAACTGCTCCAATAGCCAATGATGTATTTGATTTATCATATTTTCCCCATGAATTTGTACTAATACATAGTCACACACACTGACACTGGGGAAGTCACCAGGGGAGCTGGATGTGAATTCCAGTTTTACCCTTTGTTTGCTTGGAGGTCATATTGTCATTTATCTGAGATTTTCTTTATCTGAAAAATAGGAATAATAATACCTACCTCAAAAGGCTGTTTTGAAGATTAAGTGGGTCATGTTACGTGTTATAAAGTATATATTTCTAGTTCAATAGGTTATCCACTTGGCTGTGAACACCTTGAAGGTAAAGATAATATTCATGCCTATGTTTAACATAGGCAAACTGTTTAACACTTTGCAGAATGCTTGGGTGATATAGGTGTTTTGTAAATATTTATGATATTTATAAATATTTATCGCCTGTGTTAATTCTTGACATGTTTCAGATTTAAAAGCCTCAATAGAGCTGAGAAGCAATTATATGTAGGCATATTCTAATTTTCATATTTTTGTATTTTGTTTTGCCAACATTCTGGTATAAGTGAGAAGGGTATGTTCTGAGGGTCAGTGCTGTGGGATACATTTCACTGCAATGTTGCCTGGTATTGTTTGGGCTCTACTCAACTCACAAGCCTATAATAGGGCACTTCTTGATATTTTGTATTGTGCCACCTGCACATTGTATGCTGTGGCACTGGAACTAGTAACATTTCAGAAGACTGTTGGAAGCAGACATAGACTTGCCAATTTTCCATTTTGTTGAATAAACACAGGACACTTTATAAAAATTGACCATGTTCAAGCATGATCACTTTTAAAAAGAGCATTTAAGTATATAACATAGAAAATAACCTCAGAAAAATTTATTAAATGCTATAACTTTATGATGTCTTTTTGCTATATTTGTCTTATTTGTTCATTTTGCTACACTAGTGAAAACTGGCTTTCCCTGACATGGGTTGAGAGTCCAGTGTTCAACAACCACTACTGTAGTAATTTTCTAGTTGAAGAAAACTGTCACTTTGACATTTGCTAACTATTTGAGTTTCAGCTTACCCATTTGTTACCTCATGGGGTTATTGTGCCTGTTACATGCAATCACAAATGCATAGTGTCTGGTATTTGTGATTTCAGTAATTAATAGTGGCTGCTGAGTAGTGAAAGAGTTAAAAATAGACAGAGTTGGAGGCAAATGTAACTCCAAAGGCTAAAGAAATCTCAAATTGTTCCTTTCTGCAACAATTAGGGATTGATTTTGTTTCCAGAGATGAGCTGATATGTCAGGATCTGTAAGCGTGGAGTGAGAAGAACTGTAAAGAAGGATTAAGTTGGAGGCTAAAATCTCCAAAAAAAGAAATCAAAAGGCTAGAGTCAATATGTGCTTTAACTTGGATGAGCCTCCCACGGGAATAACATTACAGCCAATTTTGCTTTCAGTTCACGAAAAACGTCTTGAACTCAATAACTGAAAAGCACCATGAGACATATGACTCAACAAACAAAGGGTGTGGAGCCCAAATTACCTTACGCTCACAAGCCATAACTAATTACATAAGAATGAATTGTTCCACCCTATAGAAACAACTGAGGAAATAGCATGTTTCAACTTTCAATAGCATGTTCAACTTCTAGTTGAACCTCTGAACGTTGCTAACACAAACTAAATTGTGTATAATATTTACTCTAAATATGTTTGTAAACACTGAATTTTCATTCATAATGCAATGGAAATCTGTGAAAGAAAATATATTGCTTTTAAAGCAGGGTCTTGGTCAGTTAGATTTTTAGTACTTGCATTTAAAACAGCAAAGCAAATATTCTATTGTGACCCATTTACCCAGTTTCCCTCTCACTCTTTCTCTTTTTTATTGACTTGAAAAAATTGCATGAGGGTGGAAAATTTATCTTTTTATACTTTTATTGTGAAAGCCTATCTGCCAGGCATTGTACAAGTACGTTGTCAATCTTCATGATCTTTTCATAGCTTTGTAAATTCTGTATTACGATTGCATTTTAAATATAGGAAAGGTGAGACTCAGAGAGTGAATAACTTATGTTTATTCAGGAGTGACAGAGCTGGAAACAGAAACCAGGTAAGTTTGAATAAAGACACATGAACTTCCGCTCACATACACTTTGTCCCTAAGTACATTGCTTCACACTACAGAGAATGGAAAAGCTTTGGGTTTCACGTCTCTCCTGACCTCACTTGGGGGAAGCAAAGGGAATCAATAGCTATTAATAATATATTTCTTAAGATATATCTTCAGCCCAGACCTCTCTCTTTGAACTGCACATCATCATTTCCAATTACTAATTGAACGTGTTATGGGTGCTTTACAACCACCTTAAATAGAAAAGTTCAAAACCACAATAGCGAAGACTTGGAACCAACCCAAATGTCCAACAATGATAGACTGGATTAAGAAAATGTGGCACATATACACCATGGAATACTATGCAGCCATAAAAATTGATGAGTTCATGTCCTTTGTAGGGACATAGATGAAGCTGGAAACCATCATTCTCAGCAAACTATCGCAAGGACAAAAAACCAAACACCGCATGTTCTCGCTCATAGGTGGGAATTGAACAATGAGAACACTTGGACACAGGGAGGGGAACATCACACACCGGGGACTGTTGTGGGGTGGGGGAGAGGGGAGGGATAGCATTAGGAGATATACCTAATGTAAATGACGAGTTAATGGGTGCAGCACAACAACATGGCACATGCATACATATGTAACAAAGCTGCACGTTACCCTAGAACTTAAAGTATAATAAAAAAATATATATAAAATAATAATAAAAAAATAAAAATAAAAAAAGGAAGTCACAGCAGCAAACTTAGATCTCAGTACAACTCATAACTCTTATGCTCAAACCATGACCTTGGGCAACTACACTGTGTCTTTAATTAATACATGTAAAAACTGATCAGAATGGAGCTCAGAACCTGATATACATGCAATAGCTGTTGGTTATTATTATTGCCAGTCATAGTGTTGGCAATTATGTCTCAATTTCCTTTTCTAACAAATAGAAAACCAAAACTGGTCTTGCTCAAAAAAAAAAAAAAAAAAGAAAAGAAAAGTTCAAAACCGAACGTGGTATTTTTTCTCCCATTGGACTATAGTGTTTGAGGATATGCCCAGGGTTGTATTAAAGAATTTTTCTGCAAGACATTTTTTCCAATTAAAACATGATCATTTCTTATTTATTTAAAATTTCCTTTGTTCTGATATCAGTCATGTCTTTCAAATGAAGGAAATGAGATATGAAAGATTTCTTTAATTGATTTTAAACTTCTAAGCACAGTGTTTAATTCCTACATCATAAAACACTTCTAAGGGGATGTGAAAAGGGAACTAGACTAGAGCTAGGAGATGTGGATTCAAGTACTCTTTCTGTCAAATATCAGCTATGTGATCTCACATTAATCGTAACTATTTTAAGCTTCAGATTTCAAAAAAATTTAAATGATAAAGACAATACCTTCCTCATAATTTGATTTTTTAAAATAAAATAAAATGGTGTATATACCAATGATTTGTAAACTGGAATTTAAGGTATTATTATAGAGGCAACTGAAGTATAACAGCAAGATACCTAGAACTGAAGATTTTTCTGCCAGTAACTGTTGTATGAGCTTGGATGAGTCCTTTTAACATTGTGGAATCTTAGTCCCCCTGCGACATGTTGGTGATAACAACAGTTATTGTACAGTATATGTTGTGAGAATTAGAGCAGATGGCATGCATGCTGTATAAACTATAAAGGGCTAAATAACCATAAAAAACTTTAGAGAAAAATAAATTTTTAATTAATTAGTTTAATTTATTTATTACTATTTTTATTTAAACTTACACTATCAAGAGAAAAAAGCGCATTTCTTTAAAGTATTCAGTATTACCTGTTTACCGATTTACCTATTTCACTTTTTCTCCACACTTTTTATTTTGCTCTATATCATTCTTATCACACAGGTAACTTTATAGTAAAGAAGAGGAATGTGTTGACACCTATCTCCATTGAGGTACTTTTGGAGTACAAGAGTCAATACTAGTTTTCTATTCTTCTGTAGTAATTAATTTCTTAACTCTCTAGACTGGCTCTGCAAGAAATGCTCAAAGGAATTCTAAACATGGGAATGAAAGATCGATACTCACCTATCATAAAAATACATGAAAGTATAAAACTCACTTGTCTTATAAAACAAAGAAATGAGAAAGAGAAAGAAACAAAATGGCAATATGACAGAACTCCACCAAACCATGGGGCTTATAAAACAATTACAGAAATGACAGAAAAGAAATAAAATGGCTGCATGACAGAACTCCTCCAACTATATGCTGCTTATAAAAAACTTAACTTACTGATAAAGGCACTTATAGACTAAAGGCAGAGGTATAGAAAAATATATTCCACACAGATGAAAACCAAAAGAGAATAGAAGTAGCTATGTTTATATCAGATAAAACAAGGTTTAAATCAACAGTAGTAAAAAAAGACAAAGAAAGTTATTACATGATAACAGAATCGACTCAACAAGAAGACATAACAATCCTAAATGTATACATATCCAACACTAGAGCACCCATATTCATAAAACAAATATTACCACACTTAAGAGATAGACAGGAATACAATAATGATGGAGAACTTCAACACCCCCATTGACAGTACTAGACAGATCATCGAGACAGAAAATCAACAAAGAAACACTGGACTTAAATTGGACTTAGACCAAATGGACCTAATAGACATTTACAGAAAATTCTGCCCAACTATCACAGAATATACATTTTTATCAGTACATGGAACATTCTCCAAGATAGATCATATATTAGGCCACAAAACAAGTCTGAAGAAACTTTAAAAAATCAAAATCATATTTGATATATTCTCAAATTACAATGGTCTACAACTAGAAATCAATACCAGGAGGAACTCTTAAAACTATATAAAAACATGAAAAAAAAACCCAACATGCTCCTGAATGATCTTTGGGTCAATAACAAAATAAAGAGGGGATTTAAAAAAATTTTGAAATGAATGAAAATGGAGACAAAACATACCAAACCCTCTAAAATATAGCAAAAACAGTGCTAAGAGGGAATTTTATATCATTAAATCCCAATGATGTACCTTAAGGAACTAGAAAAACAAGAACAAACCAAACTCTAAACTAGCAGAAGAAAATAAATAACAATGATCAGAGCAGAACTAAATAAAATTTAGACCAAAAAATTACAAAGGATCAATGAAAGAAAAAGTTGGTTACTTGAAAAGATAAAGAAAATTGATAGACCGCTACCTAGACTAGCCAAGAAAAAAAGTGCAGATTCAAATAAACAAAATCAGAAATGAAAAAGGAAACTACAATCATATAGAAATACAAGAACCATTAGACACTACTATGAACAACTCTATGCTCACAAACTAGAAAACCTAGAGGAAATCAATAAATTCCTGGAAACATGTAACCAGGTAGAAATCTACCAGGTTTAATTTACAGATTAAACCAGGCAAAAATAGAAATCCCAAACAGACCAATAATGAGTAGTACAATTGAATAAGAAAAAAAACATCTTTCAACAACAACAAAAATCCCAGGACCAGATGCATTCACAGCCAAACTCTACAAGATGTATAAAGAAAAACTGATGCCAATCCTAATGAAATTGTTCCAAAATATTGAGGAGGAGGGAATCTTTCCGAACTCATTCTATGACTCCAGTATTACCCTGATACCAGAATGAGACAAGGGCACACACACAAGAAGGGAAAACTGTAGGTCAAAATCCTTGATGAACACTACATAAAAATCCTCAACAAAATACTAGAAAACTGAATCCAACAGCACATCAAAATGGTAATATGCCATGGTCAACTGGGTTTTATTCCAGGGATGCAAGTATGATTCAACATACACAAATTGATAAATGTGATTCACCACATAAACAGAATTAAAAACAAAACCATATGATCATCTCAATAGATACAGAAAAGGTATTTGATAAAATTTAGCATCCTTCCATGATAAAAACCCTTACAAACTAGGCATAAAGGGAGCATACCTCAAAACAATAAAAGCTATATATGATAAACCCACAGCTAACATCATACTGTACAGGGAAAAGTTGAAAGCATTCCACCGAAGAATTGGAACAAGGCAAGGATGACCACTTTCATCACGTCTATCAAACACATTATGTGAAGTCGTAAAGAGCTATCAGGCAAGAGAAAAAATAAGATATCCAACTTGGAAAAGAGGAAGTCAAATTATCTCTACTGACAATATGATCTTATACCTAGAAAATCCTAAGACTCCTCCAAAAGACTCCTAGATTTGATAAATGACTTCAGGAATGTCTCGGGATACAAAATCAATGTACAAAAATCAGTAGCATTTTTATACATCAATAATGACCAAGCTGAGAACCAAATCAAGAAGTCAATCCTATTTATAATAGATTAAAAAATAAAATATATCGGAATATATTTAACCAAGGAAGTAAAAGATCTCTACAAGGAAAATTAAAAAACACTGATAAAAGAAATGGAGATGATACAAACAAATGGAAAACCATCCCATGCTCATGCATCGGAAGAATCAATGTCATTAAAATGACCATACTTCTCAAAGCAATCTACAAATTCAATTAAATCCCTATCACAATACCAATGTCATTTTTCACAGAATTAGAAAAAAAATCCTAAAATTCATATAAAACCAAAAAAAGAGCCAAAGAGCCAAAGCAATTCTAAGCAAAAAGAGCAAAGCTGGAGGTATCATATGACATGACTTCAAATTATACTACAAAGCTATAGTAACCAAAACAGCATCATACTGGCATAAAAATAAACACATAGATCAATGAAACAGAATAGAGAACCCAGAAATAAAGCCACTTACCTACAGCCAACGGACCTTTGACAAAGTCGACAAAAACATACACTGGGGAAAGGACACCCCATTTAATAAATGGTGGTGGTAAAATTGGACTGCTGTATATCAAAGAATAAAACTGGACCTCTATCTCTCACCATATGTAAAAATTAAGTCAAGATGGATTAAAGACTTAAATTTATGATCTGAAACTATTAAAATGCTAGAAGAAGATGTAGGGAAAACTTTTGGACATTAACCTAGGCAAAGAATTTATGACGAAGTCCTCAAAAGCAAATGCAACAAAATAAAAATAGACAAATGATACTTACTTAAACTAAAAAGCTTCTGCACAGCAAAAGAAATAATCAGCAGAGTGAACAGACAACCTGAAAATGGGAGAAAATATTTGCAAGCTATGCATCTTACAAAACACTAATGTCTAGAATCTATAAGGAACTCAAATAACAACAGCAAAATAACACAATAACCCCCTTAAAGAGTGGGCTAAGGACATGAATAGACATTTCTCAAGAGACATACAAATAGCCACAAACAAATGAAAAAAATGCTCAATATCACTAATCAGAGAAGTGCAAATTAAAACCACGATGAGATAAACTGTTACACCAGTTGGAATGGTTATTAGAAAGTCAAGGTATAACATGTTGGTGAGGATGCAGAGAAAAGGGAACACTTACACACTTTTGGTGGAAAAGTAAATTAGTAAAACCTCTATGAAAAACAATGTGGAGACTTCTCAAATAATTAAAAATAGAACTACCCTTTGATCCAGCAATCCAACTATTGGGTATCTACCCAAAGGAAAAGAAATTATATCAAAAATTACCTGTACTCATATGTTTATTGCAGCACTATTTATAATAGCAAAGATGTGTATTAAACCTAAGTGTCTATCAACAGATCACTAGATAGAGAAATATATATATATATGAATACTACTCAACCATAAAAGGAATAAAATCATGTCTTTTACAGCAATATGGATGGAACTGGAGGCTATTATCTTAGGTGAAACAACTCAGAAACAAAAAGTCAAATATTGCATGTTCTCACTTATACATGGGAGCTAAATAATGTGCACGCATGGACAGAGAGAGTAGAATAATGGAGACATGAAAGAGTGGGAGGGGAAAGAAGGATGAGAAATTACTTAATGTGTACAGTGTATCCTATTCAGGTGATGGCTACACTAAAAGCCCAGACTTCATAACAGTGCAATACCTCCATGTAACAAAACTGCACTACTACCCCTTAAAACTATTATAAAAATTCCTTCACTCGGAGGAGGGAGGAGGAAATGCCACCAATCTTCATAGAACATGTGACATGTGAGCTATGCCTTGAAAGACGGGTAGGCCCTCTGGGTAAATGAAGAAACGGGAACAGAAGAGGTAGAAGTGCAAAGTATGTTTGGCGAAAAGTAGTTGGCCCAGTGTGGTGGTTATAGGAAAGCAGATGGAAAATAATCTAGAAAAATAAGTCTGGTCAAGATTATAGAAGACTTTGTGAGTAATGGGTTTGGACTCTTTCTTGGCTTTAGGGTATCAATGAGCTTTTTGAAATGAGAAGTTAAAGAAAGCAGCAGTGTTTTAGAAAGGTTAATCTGGTGGCCCAGTTGGGCTGCAAGAGGCGGGAGTTATGAGGCAGGAGGTCTCATTGTGCAGACAAATTTATTAGTCCAGTAATGGGATATGAAGTGCTAAGGGCCATGTAGGGGCTATGTGTGTGGAAAAGAAAGGTTTGAGGAAAATATTGAAGATGAAAAATTAGAACCATTCCCTGCTAGAGAATTCAGTGCCAAGGGCAAGAGTGGAAGTCCAAGATGAAACTTTGAAGATTGAGCTTGCGTGACTGGGGATTTAGTTATACTCGTCACATGACTAGACAATTTGAGTTGTTTTGAGATGTTCTAATAATAATTTTCACTTCAGTAACTGTTAGTATTTTTGTGTTAATTCCCAGCAGTCAGCTGTTAAGATGGGTCTTGGCTGAGCAAAGGTCTTGGGACTGGAAGTGTTCTTTTTGAAGTCATTATCTTAGAGGTAGTATTTGAAGCTCTGAAAAAGAGTATTGGAAACCACTCATTTCACTGCCTTTGGATTAAAAAATACAGGCCTACAATATAAATCTCTAGGCATATTTGTAGACACACATGAATTTGATATAATAAAGAATTTCCCATTACTATAGCCTTAGGTATCTAGTAATAAGAAGAAACAACTGGCAATTATGATTACCTATACGCTATATAATTTATAATAATGTATGTAACCTATAATATATATGCAATATTACAAGTATATAATTTAGGCAGCTATCAATTAATATTTATAATCATATGATCATACCATTACCATAAGTGAAATAATTTTACATGTGAGACTAAAAACACAGACAGTGATTTATGACCGAGGGAAAATGAAACTTTACTGTGGCTTACAAATAGAAAAGAAGGAAATATGAAATTTGGTCTGTACTTCATTTACTAGCATATGCTAATTCTTCAAGAGTTACTAATAATGAATGAAAACAACATAAATAATTACTCATGCTGGCTGCTTGGGTGTGTGGTTATTTAATAAGTTGGTAGAAGGACCACACCTATTACATTAAGCCATCAATCAGTAGCTGGTTATTTTAGGTACTTACGACATGGTATAATGAGACCAAGGTCAAAGGTTTAATTTTATATAGATCTTCCCCATTAGTTCACAGATATAGGCTCAGCCCTTATTCTTATTTGCTATTTTGCAAATCTGTGCTCCTTTTTTTAGCAAACACCCTCCCCTGCCAAAAATGGAAGGAAGTCTCTAATTAAAAAAGATGGTTTTGGCACAAGCTACCCTACCTGTGGTGCTACACTGATCACCCACTAAGGACTTCATGCTCAGTTTCATACGCTTTTCTTGTGTGTGGCAATATCGTTTTTGCATATTTTAAGATTTTCTAGAATATTTAAAGTAAAATTTTTATAGTGAACATGTTTATTAGACATCCAGGATAACCATGGGTATTTATCTTGTAATATTTTGCCTCTTAATTTCTTGGTACTGCATCAAGACACTACTTCCAGGAATTTCTAATGTGGTTCCATATCTCGTTAAGTCTCTGACTTTATGTCTAACTTCACTCTACCTCCATATCCTATTCCAGACATCCTGGCCTCTCTGCCGCTCCTCAAGCACAATAGGCCCTCTCTACCTCTGGGACTTTGTGCTTGCTCTTCCGTCTGCCTGGAACACTCTTACCTCAGGTTTTCACAGGGCTTGCTCCCTGGCCTCTTGTATGTCTTTGCTCAATTGATGTCTTCTCAGTGAGACCTTGCTGACTACTCTATTAAAAATTGCACCTCCGGCCGGGCGCGGTGGCCCACGCCTGTAATCCCAGCACTTGGGGAGGCTGAGGCGGGCGGATCACGAGGTCAGGAGATCGAGACCATCCTGGCTAACATGGTGAAACCCAGTCTCTACTAAAAATACAAAAAATTAGCCGGGCGTGGTGGCGGGCGCCTATAGTCCCAGCTACTCAGGAGGCTGAGGCAGGAGACTGGCGTGAACCCGGGAGGCGGAGCTTGCAGTGAGCGGAGATGGCGCCACTGCATTCCAGCTTGGGTAATAGAGCGAGACCCTGTCTCAAAAAAAAAAAAAAAAAATTGCACCTCCTCTCTCTGCTTTATTATTATTTGCTTTATTATTTTGCAGTACACTTATAACTTTCTAATATACCCCACAATTTACTTATTTTGTTTGTTATCTGTCTCCCTCCGCCAGTTAAGAAGCTCCATAAAGGTGAGGATTTTTATGTTCCTTCCTTCCTACCAACTCATTAATAATGCCTTTATTTTAAAAGATGGTTGAACTCATTACTCTGGCTTCTAGTATATTTAATACATTCAAGAACTGTTCCTAGGAAGGCATTGGCTAGGAGCAGGAATTGATTCTCGTATTGAAAAGTCTATAAAGGAAGGTGATGAATACCAAGCCAAGAGTCTTTATTCATTAGTCAAGCTAATTTGTAGCCTTTTCAGGGAAAGAATTTCTTGACTGCAGAAGACTTATTTAAAGAAACTCAAAGTGTTTCCCTTTCAAGTCAGAGCTGTGATACAGCTCTGCACTCATAATTTGCAAGGCAAGAATTTTCAGATGCTGTTTCTGATCCTCATATGCTGTATATCTTATTTTAAACTGAAGGAGATGGTATATCTGTATTGTCACTCTCATACCTCATCTTCCTCCAGCAATGGTATAGCTAGGAGGATGGTATAGACTGCTGAGTAGGGTTTCAAGAATGCTGCTGACACAAGTCGGTAGTTTGCCATGTTTTCCTTCACTTAGCATATATCCCCATATTTAATAATAGGGTCAGCCTTGCATGATTATTAATAGATGTCTGAAGACTACTTGCCATTTCTGTGAAGAATCAGTTGAAGACTTAAAGACATATTCTGATTACTGCTGTCTTACACTTAATATACACTTACTTTGCTAAGGAAAGTAATCTTTTCTGGCATTTTACATCTGCCCAAAGTGTGGATTCTTGCTTCCATAATTCAGATTATGAGGCCTTTTGTGTCTGCAAATGAGCATGGTGGTAACATGGTAGGGGTGGCACCATCTACAAAGGTGAATCTGCCTAAATGATTTGAAAACAACAGAACAAAGGGAAATATTTTTTTCTGGAACTTTATGATGCTAAGAGTTTAAGTAAATTTCTCTAGGAATCACCAGATTTGCAAAGTGTTGGGAGCAATACTTTGTTGACTCTACTGGTGTTTAAGAACATGTACTGAGTGTTGGTAACCTGTTTCCAAGAATCATAAGAGAGAGAGCCCTGACAGGTTAGTTATGTCCTTACTGATTAATGTTAGTTAGGGATAGCCCAACATGTACTGTAGAGGGCACTGCTGTTCAATGTTAATATTTTTTTCTGAGTTCTACAAAGTGTAGTCATTCATAGAGCCATGAAGCCCATACTAGTTTCAAAACAAGAAACAACTACTTACAGACTTGCTTGCTTCCTTGCCTATTTCCCCCCAAAATGGCCAAAATAAAATTTTTCCCTGTCTGGATTTAGTTTCCAAATAGGTAGGTTTCCTTCCTCCTTTCTTTCATTCTTTATTTTCATTTTCTTTCCTTTTTCCCCCTTTATTTTTAACTAAAGATGTTTTCTAACCTTTATTGGCACAAAATAATTTTGCTGGCTACCGTAAATTATAAAAAAATACTCATGACAGTTTAAATATGTGATATTTTATTGTAAAAATGCTCTTTGGGAAATGAGTACTTGAATATCACGTATATTTGATTATCTTTTGGGATGAGGAAAATATTTTGAAATTGGATTTTGGTGATGGTTGCACATCTCTGTACATATACTAGCGATCATTGAATTGTGCACCTTAAACACGTGAAGTTTCTGTTTTATAATTTTATTTCAATAAAGTGGTTAAAATTAAATTTATCTTTTAATGATTGTTAACTTAGTGGAATAACAAAATTACCAAGTTTCCTGTGCGTAATTGACAATGAGGGTGGACTTAAACTTCCAGAACAGAAAAAGACTCAGCCCATTCAGTTCAGGTTTCAATGCTATTTCCTAGGTAGCAATTGTTAATGAGATATTGGAATACAGGAGTGTGTTAGTATTGATGGCAAGCAATTTGTTACACATAATGGTTAAAACACATCAGAGTTTTGAAATGATTTACTTCTTATACAATTTAAACTGCTTAATTCTGGGATAATATTTCTCCTACTCACTTGCATTTTTGTTTTGTTTTGTTTTCTGGGTGGAATTACAAGTAGTGCATTGGGAATTGCTTTAAACCTGGTTGGACTCATGGAGATGTGTCACATATTTTCATCAACTGTCATGTGTCAGAGTGGATAAAGGACTGAAAAAGCCTAGAGAAAACTTCATGTTTAACCTCAAGATGCCAAATGACAAAAAGCCAATTGCTCTTTGCACATTTCCAATTCTATTTCTTCTTTTCCTTCTGTAGCCCGAACTGATGAAACAGCCCAAACTTACCAAAACACAGAAACATTTATTTCTGAAATACCCAGCATTTTGAGGAGCACAGTATTCCCAGAACTCAGGAATGTGCTGCTCTGTGAGTTCTAACTTGCCAAGGCTTTCAGTGTTTCTGCAGGAGAGGAATGGGGAAATCTATTGCACACTCAGGTTAGAGACATGTTTATTCATATTTAAATACACAAGGAAATGTCTTGCTGTACCCATCTCTTCCATTCTGGGAATCTGGGAAACTAAGCCTGTAACTTGTAGCTTGTAGAATGAATGATAGAGTAGAATAAATAAGAAAGGAATATATCATTAAATGCACAGGTTAAATAAATAAAAATCTATTAATAAAGAGCCTAAAGAAAGAAAGATGACATTTCAGCACATATTGGGTGAAATAAGTTGTTTAGTCCAGCACTTCTCAATTTTTAGTGGATATGTGAATTGCCTATTAAAATGCAAATTTTAAATTAGTTAATCTGGGTTGGACCTGAGTCTGCGTTTCCAACAAGCTCCCAGGTGATGTCAATGCTATTGGTCCAAAGACTATGTTTTGTGTAGCAAGGGTTCTAGATACAATTACATTAGAAAAGATCAGAGAAAAGTGGAGTGATTGTACTGAAGGCATAATAGATCCTTCTCTGTTTCCTAAAGCCCAAGTAAATAGGCAATCCTCTTTGCTATAGGATTATTATGAAATGTTCAAAGCCTTAACTTATTGCTTCATCAAAATATACTGACCCTATTATAGAACTACAGTCATGAAACATATAACAACATCTTTGTCAATCACAGATCGCATGTATGACAGTGGTCCCATATGACTTATACACATTTTTAATGTACCTTTTTTATATTCAGATATGTGTAGATACACAAATATTTACTATTGTGTTACAATTGCCTACAGTATTCAGTACAGTAACGTGCTATACAGGTCTGTAGCCAAGGAGTAATATGCTGCATAGTCTAGGTGTGTAATAGGTTATATCATCTAGGTGCATGTAAGTATACTCTATGATGTCTGCATAAGGACAAAATCGCCTAACGATGCATTTCTCAGAATGTTTCCCTGTCAAGTAACGCATGACTGGTGGATCCATGTTTACTTTCTATAGGACTAAATCAGTGAGGGATTTAGAAGTTCCTATACACAGCTCAGTGTGATCTGATTTGTAATGCGCAATAGAAAGTGTCAAGATATTCTCCACTCATCGTTATCTCTACAAAATGTGTCCCAAAGTGGTGAGAAATTTGGTACATTACACTCTAATGGCAGTGTTTCTTGCTCCAAATGTGTGCATCCTCCAATGTTTGATTTTACCTCTATAGATAGACCTAAACCATAACATTGGTTACAGTGTTAAAAATGTTGGAGATGGGAGTGAGGAGGTGAGAAGGGAGGCACTGTGAATGATGGAGTAGAATAAATAAGAAAGAAATATATCATTAAATGCACAGGTTCAATAAATAAAAATCTATTAATAAAGAGCCTAAAGAAAGGAAGATGACATTTCAACACATATTGGGTGAAATAATTCAGAGGAGATGATAGAGTAGGGAATCCAGAAATTTACTGAAATTATTTTCTCACAGCAACTAGTTGAGGGTCATTTAGTAGAGAGGAGTGGATACTGGAATCAGAGCCTCATTTGTATTCATCATGGTTCATTCTATTTAACTATATCTACTAAATCATAATTGTTCTCATAGAAAAAAAAGGTGACTTTTAGTGAATCATGGACCAAACCCAATATTAGTTCTTTGAAATGTGCTTGAGTAATATTTAGTTGCATCAATATATTTTTAAAAACAACATCTTGCATTCAATCCCTTCTGAATTTAATCCTACTGGCTTCTTGCCTAGATTGTCTTCAGAAACACAGGAAAGAATCAAGCTTCTCAGTTTTATTTTCCCAGGAGGATTTTGTATTATAATGAAATGAACAGAGTTCCAAGGTCTATGGAATGAATACTTTTGATGCCTATACAATGTGTTCCTCAGAGCTTACGAAAGATGTTGCACATATATTCTCTTATCCAGGGAGGCAGTATGCATACTGGCAGGGTGAAAGGGGAAAGCTGTTGTAATCAGAAAAAGCTGCTCGACAGGAGGCAAATCCCTTCTTTGGATTTCAGTTTTCTTCCTTGTCATTGAATGAAGAATCAGCAAGTTTCTTCATCACCTTCACACCGTTCTCTCCATCCTCCCTTCTTAACAAGAAGGTTCCTTCTTCCTTCCCATGGCTAGCCCATGGATAGATCCTCCCACGACTCCTACACACTCTCAATCTTTGCAAACACTTTATTCCCCTGGAAGGTCTGTCTGCTCGTATATTTATTACCTGTCTCCCCATCCGCAACCCGTCCCTACAAATAAACTGTTCCGTGAGAGAGACAGCGCAGCTGAGAGCACAGACCCTGAGACTGGACTAATTGGGTTCAAATCCCATTTCTGCCATTTATTTGCTGTGTGAACCTGGGAAGTCACCTAACTCCTCAATTTCCTTGTTTGCAAAACGGAAGTGACAGTAGTACCCACCTCCTTGTTATGAGTCCAGTGAATTAAAAACTTGTTAACACAACTCAAATAATGTCTGGCATTTGGCCCTATGTCAGTGGTTGGTAAATCAAATAAATGAAAGCAAGCACTGACTGATTTGTTTTCTGCTGTATCTCCCAAAGTATTTAATGATCTGTTCATTAAGTGAATCTGTACAGTAAAAGGATAGGTTAGATGATGGAAGGTAGGCTCTGTCTACCTTGTGAATCTTGCCATGGAATCTAATACTGGCACAAAGAGTCACATAAAAAAGAGATTTCTTTCTGTCTCCTGAACAAATGTACTTGTTTACTCTCTTTCTTCTCTTTTTATATAAAGATTATTATGAAACACTAGTCCTGTCCAGGGGCCTGTGTTTTTAATTACTACACAGGCAATGCAGAAAGGTAATATATTACAATAGTAATAACCATGAGTTTTATAATCAGACAGATCCATGTGATCACTGGGAAGTAACAAAACCTCTCTGAACCTTAGTTTCCTCATTCATAAAATGGAGATAGTCACATGCCTCAGAGGGTTTTGAAGATTAAATGAGATACTGTTTATAAAGTACTTAGATTCTGTTGTATGTTCAATAAATTGTAAATTTGGTAGTCTTTCTATATGTAGAACCTAACTTTGGCTAAAAATAATATATATTTTTAACATACAATAGAATATATACATTTTATTTTTATTTTAAAATATTTAATTGACAAATACAATTTTACATATTCAAGGTGTACGACATGATATATTTTTATAATAACATTTTATAAGATTGACAGCATTTTGTGGAATCATAGCATGTTAGCAATGGAAGAGAGTTTCAAAAATATCCACTCTGACTTTGCTATTATGCAGATAAATAAAGTGATCTGCAGTGAGATTAAGTGGTACCACAGAGGGGCCAGCATTTAGACCTCTTGACTTTTTTGTCTGTGCTTTTTTTCTGAAGCCTTATTGTTTTTTGCAACCCAAGACATGGTGGGTGCTCTATAGATACAGTGCTTATTGAATGAATGTTGGAAAAACTAATAGCTATTGAATACTTATTGCAATATTCTGCCAAGCACTTAGGACATTTTTTTAATTGCCAAATAATTGTCCTTCCCTTGAAGTACTCATGTCTTACTGAAGAAGGATATTACATAGCCCCCTTAGCAGCATTTCCCACCCTTGAATATCCCTTTTTATTGAAACACTCTTTTTCTTTTGATTTCCATAATTCCATACTCTTTTTCTTTCTGACCCCATCTGTTCTCTAAATATCTTTTGGGTGTGGGTAGGTGACGGAGGAAACAAGACTGGCTGCTGAGGTGTGGTAACTTGAAACGGGCGATAGGTATGAGGATTCATTCTATTGTGCTCTGTACTTCGTTATATCTTTAAAATATTCTATAATTAAAAAAATTTTTTTTTAAATCTTTTGCTAATTGCATCTCCTCTAGTCAACCTAAGTGTCTGGTGTTGCTCCATGCTCTGTCCTGGGTGTTCTCCTTTCTCTAGTTGATCTCATTCAGTCAGTTTCAATTACCATCTAAGCCAATGGTTCTCAAATTTTTGTGTGCGTAAGAATTACTTGAAGACTTGGAAAAGTGCAAATTCCTGTACTGAATCCAGTACCCACCCAGACTATTTCAGTAGGTCTGGTCTTGCATCTCAGAGTTCTGCATTTTATACAAGTAGCCTGGGGGATTCAGAGAGAGATAAACCAAAAATTACGCCTGAGAAACATTGATCTGTACGTGATTTTCAGACTACAATATCCAGCTGTATCTTTCACATATCTCTATTCAGTGCTTAGAATTCAGCATTTGCAAAGCTGAATTGATCATCTTCTTTCTGATTCTCACAACCTTCCTTTGCCCCGTCAAATAGGCCCTTTTCTGGCATTTTCTTTCTCAGTAAATGATGCCAAAATTCACCAAGTTACTCATGTGAAAAACCTGAAAATTATACTTGACACCTCTCTCATCCCTCACATCCAGTTGAATGTCAAATCTGGTTCTTTCGACTTCTTAGACATATCTCAAGTTGTATTGCAAGTCCCACCACTTTATCCAAGCCACGTTTATCCTTTTCCTGAAATACTGAACTAGGCTCCAACTAGTCTCCCTTCATCAAAAGATATCTCCTTTCTCCACAGAGATTGTTCTCTATATGAAGCTAGAATCATCTTTTAAAAACCATCATGGCACATGTATACCTATGTAACAAACCTGCACATTCTGCACATGTACCCCAGAACTTAAAGTATAATAAAAAATGAAAACGGGGTAATTTATAAAGAAAAAAATTCTAATGTAGTAACATCTCTGCCCTGCTATGTCTTTAACAATTTTGTGTTTGAGGATGTAATGCCAGATTCTTAATATAGTCTTCAAAAACCAGCATGATCTGTTTCTTGCCTGCCTTTAAGTTTCTGCTTAAACAATGCTTCCTCAGAGAAGTCTTCCATGAGCTTCTAGACTGGTTTAGTTTTCACTATTATAATACTTATTTCAGTGTCATCGTATTAAACAAATCATAATGAAATTACATATTTCCATGTTAATCACTGGAACAGTTGTCTTTTGGATTGGAAGGTTTGTAGTTTTCAGTAAAGACTACCTTTTGCTCTACTGAGATTTCCACAGAGTAAATGTTTTCAGTGATGGTTGTTTCCATTTATCTTGATTACCCAAAGTCCTTAAACTTTTCTTCATAGCACCACAACTATAATTAGATAGGTATTTGTCTAATGTATTTTAGTGTCTGTCTTCCCAGCAAGCACCATGAGAAAAAGGTCTGGGCCTTTTTGTTCCAGTGCTGTATATCTAGCACCTAACAGCTCTTCACTCAAATTAGACACTCAATGAATGAATGAATGAATAAAGTATAATATAAGGAGTAATTGGCCAGGCACAGTGGCTCACACCTGTAATCCCAGCACTTTGGGAGGCCGAGGTGGGCAGATCATGAGGTCAGGAGTTTGAGACCAGCCTGACCAACATGGTGAAACCCCGTCTCTACTAAAAATACAAAAATTGGCTGGGCGTGGTGGCACGTGCCTGTAATTCCAGCTACACTCAGGAGGCTAAGGCAGGAGAATCACTTGAACCCAGGAGGCAGAGGTCGCAGTGAGCCGAGATTGCACCACTGCACTCCAGCCTTGGGGAGAGAGGGAGACTCTGTCTCAAAAAACATATATGGAGTAATTATATATATCATAAAAGATGTATAAGTAGAAATAAAGCACTAGGATATTTAGGATTCAAATGGTTTATTTTGCCATATGATATTAAAAGTTGCTTTGAAGTAAGAGCATTTTGTGTTTTCCAGTGAATGACAGTGGACTTAAGGGACATTAGGGACATTCCCTAATGTCCTAGGGAATCATTAGCTTATGTAATATTGCAAACCATGAGACTGGTGGAATCACACAGAATGTAAGAAGAAGAAAAACATTTAAGGCTGGGCGCAGTGGCTCACGCCTGTAATCCCAACACTTTGGGAGGCTGAGGCTGGCGGATCACGAGGTCAGGAGATCGAGACCATCCTGGCTAACACAGTGAAACCCCATCTCTACTAAAAATACAAAAAATTAGCCGGGCGCAGTGGTAGGCGCCTGTAGACCCAGCTACTCGGCAGGCTGAAGAAGGAGAATGGCATGAACCCGGGAGGCAGAGCTTGCAGATAAGGCCACTGCACTCCAGCCTGGGCGACAGAGCGAGACTCCTTCTCAAAAAAAAAAAAAAAAAAGAAAAGCACTTAAACTCTGGGGACAGGAAAATTAGTAGAATCTAGTAACAGAAACTGAGAAAGTTTGACCCATGGGATAAGCAAAAAACCAGGAAAGAATGGTGTTTTGGAAGCTTTGTGAAGATCACGTTTCAAGAAAAGAATGGTCTCTGGTGGAGTGATTATGTAAACTCACTGAGATCTGACCACTGGATTTTGCAATTTGGAGCAAGACAAGAGCTATTTCAGAGCTGTGAAGATCAGAAACTATTTGCACTGGGAAAAGGGAGGATAGATTAAAGATAAAAATGCATATACCATGTGACTCGGAAAATCTATTTCTAGGAACATATCCAAGAGAAACTCTTGCATGTTTGTACCATTGGACCCGTGTAAGACTATTCAGTGCTACATTATCTGTAATGGCAATATACTAGAAAAGTCGATATTTAAGTTATGGGTCAGGCTTACAAAGAAATATTATACAGCTATGAACATGAATAAGCTATGCACACTTTATTGTATATAACATATATAATATTGATCTCATTTATATGACTTTCAAAGGCAGGTAGAATTAAACCATAAGTTTTTTAGGAATATATCCGTGAATGGTGAAACCATGAAGAAAATGAAAGAAATTAAGATACCATGCCACGTAACAGTTACATTGTGAAAGGTGGGGAAAGGTCAGTTCGTAGACAGGAGGTGCCCATGGGGTCTTCTAAGATACTGGTGATGCTATTTTTATTAATAGATGTCTCGTACCAAGAGGTTCACTTTTTAAAATTAGACTTTAAATGTGATGTGTTTAATAATAAAAAATTAAAAAGCAAAAGGAGAGAATGGAGGAAGAAAATAAAAATAGAGGCAATAGGTTTAGACAGATCTTTAGAATAGTTTTGCTTTTAAGAGCAGGAGATGAGAAATGACACAATAGCTGGACAGGAGATATGGGTCAAGGGAGGGATTTTTTTTTAATTGGGGATAGTATGGCGTGTCTTTATGCTGACAAATATTCAGTAGAGAAGGAAACATTACATCTTAATTTATTCTTGCACTATTAAATTCAGGTAGATATCTTGGCTAAGAAGTAAACTTGTCAGAATAAAAACTTGTCTAGTTTAGGAAAAATATACTCGGTGGCTTTTATTTATTTATAATTTTTAATCTTTTTTTTTGAGACAGGTTTTTGCTCTGTCACCCCAGCTGGAGTGCAGTGGCATGATCATAGCTCACTGCAACACTGAACTTCTGGATCCAAGTGATCCTCCTACCTCGGCCTTCAGGGAATACAGGGAATACTTGTACCACCATGCCCATCAATGACTTATTGCTCCACTGTCTTGAGCCCTGAGTGCATATATTATTTTATTAATCATTGATACGCTTGTTCAAACCTCTGGCAAATGGATATTGTAAATATTCCATAGAATCTGCTTTTTCTTTCTGCTGAATGACTCATCAGTATAAACTTTTCCAAAGTCCATTTTTATTTACAACTATCTTAGGCAGTTATCCAATTAATGACTTTAGATTTGGGATGGTGCTTTTGTTTTACATGTCATGAGCATATACTAAAGCTAGAGAAGGAATACTCCCCAAAACTGTGAAATCATGCCAAGTCTTCTTTGCTCAAAAGAATGGGATCCTTCAAATGGGAGCAATACCTTTTAAGAAATTGGATTGGATAACTGTAGGTTCCCTTACAGCAGTAAATATTGAATGAATCCCTTCCTTATGACTTATTTTAGGGGTGCCAGTCATAGCAATTTGGGAGTTGCAGTAGTGTGTTAAGTAAGCAATGAATTACTGAGAAAATAGATTGGGAGTGCCTTCTGGAAGACAAGTTGGCAGTGGCATGGGATAATTTGCTAGAAAATATATAATCCCAGATGACTGACTGCAGCTGATCTTCCTGTATGCAGGCCCGTCCCACACCATCATTAGAAAAACATTTGGGCCAAATGCAGCAGCTGTTTTAGCATGTGGCTCAAGATTTTATAGGCAACAACTTGTACTAGAAATGCACTATTTTGGGCTTCATGACTGTAAATACAAATTGGTGTCCACCTGCCTAATTTCTATGAAGAAATATGTTCTTTGCCTAATGATTTACAATTTTAAGCATGTTTTTCTGAGTTCCTATAGCAGTTCAAAAACCAGGATTGAAACAACAGGCAGGATTTGGAATGCGTTTTTGACAGCGATGGCTCGTCCCCCCGCCAACTTTTGTCTCAGGTTCTTTTGGACTGTTGGGAGGCAGGGCATCTGATTGTCTTTGGCATGTCTCTGCAGTCAGTTAATCATGTCTTGAGCACAGACAAAAGGGAAGAAAATGGAAACAAGATTTGTTTGGTAGGAGGAGTCCTGCTAAGACTTGTCTGTCCCTGAGCTGAGATATGCTCATTTACCTTAAATCTTTCCATAAACTACATTCCAAATTCCAGTTTATAAATCTTTATCCTATTTCCCAAACCTCATCTCACACGTTTTCTGTAATCTGGTGGGCACAGATATTCCCTTGGTGAACCTGAGAAAATCTAGAGTGACCAAGGATCTGAAATGAGTAACACAGCTGTTCAGGTTCCTGGGCCCTACGGTAGGATTTCCTTCTTCAGACAAGGGAAGAAGGTAGATAAAGAAAGGAGCATTTCATCTTGCAGCAGCATGGAAGAGAGCTGGGAGTTTAATTTTTTATAAAAAAAGCAATCAAACCATCCAAGGCAGCCAATTTTCAACCAAAAGTATTTCAGAATTACCTGAAGATTTATCTAAAATTATGCCAAAATTACCTACAATTACCTAAAAAAAGTATATTGTACAATTTAATTTTCCTTCTGTTATTTGATATGAATACCTAGCTGCTATTTATTAGTAGTAGATACAGGCTATTAAAGAGATAAAATATTCCAAAAAGTGTGATCCTTAGAAACCAAAATTCCACAGAAGAGTTATTTGTAATTGGCAAGGTTGGCTCTGATTGAGTGTCAAATTTCCTGTACAATGATGGATCAACTTAGAAATTTGATTGATTCAAAGCCTTCTGAAATTGTACAACTCTTTCAGGATTTGTATCATTTACATGTCTTCTTTTATTATTTTCCATTGAATGATGTTTTGATATACACTTGACTGCTTATAAGGGCAATATTTTAAAATCAGAGTAATTTCTTTAAAATTAAAATATTTCAGCAAAATACATTTTAAAATGCACTATATTACCCAAATAATATTACACTTATAGATGGTTTAAGAACAATAAAAAATATAATTCATAAACTCACTGCTTTAGTATAACAAACCTGATTAATGTTCTATGTTCTTTATTAGACTTTCTCCCATGTATAGCTTTACAAAGTAGTAGTTGATGAGTAAATACAATTTTGTGATTTGTTTTTTTCACATAAAATAAGAACAAACTCAGTATGTAAATTACTTCATAGGTTTTTAAGCTACTTTAATACATTTCTTGTATCTATTACATGAATATGAAATGATTTTATTTCTTCTATCATTGGAAGCTTAGACAGCTATCCACTTTTCACTCATATATATATATTCAAGTGCATATAACTGTATATATATTTTTATTACTTAAAATGGTTTGACTTTTGATTGAATTTTCCAATGTTCAGGAGATTTAAAATAAATTCAGCTGCACTTATTATAGCTAACACATTGTTCATGCTTTTGTTGATCCTTTCAGCATGACTTATCAGTATCATGTTTTCCTGTAGTCATAGAAAAATAATATGCATAATATATACACTTAAGTGCACACATAAACATACCAAGTTACATAATTATTTCATTGTTTTGAGATGTTAACGTGTGACTTGATTATCTCACAACTTTTTTCTTTCTTTATGTGAAAGTATAGGAAAATACTTATTCATTAACTAAAAAGAAAACCAGAGAGAGATTATTTTCTCTTAAATGTTAGCAAGAACTTTCTTGAAAATAATTCTACAACTATATAAAAAGTAGAAAAATACCGTCTTTACTTTCTAAAAGTGTACTTTAGGATTTATGGCATATTTATTTAATAGCTAGCAATAAAACTGTAATGGAAGTCAAAACACAGAATCCTCGAAAAGTTCCAAACAACACAAGAATTGTTTACTGATTGCAATTTTAAAATCCACACACCACTTTTCGAAATGTTGCACATGAGAAACAAAACCACTTCCTTATTTAAAGATATGTTGTCATAACGCTAAGCTAAGTATTTTTGTGGTTGTTTTATAAAAAATTCAGTTAAGCAACTATGTACCTTATGAAAATAATATCAAGCATATTATCTAAACAATATCTAAGAGTTTCGATGAAGTTTTCAGAGAAGTAACTAGAAGATTGCTAGACACAGTCAAAATTTGCTAAGCTTCTTTATATTTTTCCCATACTGTAAGATATAGTAAAACTTTTAAAGCTACAAAGACAAAAACAGGACTTACCTATACATTTTAATCCTTAATGAAGAGGTTCTTTTTTCTGCCTACTCAACTGCTTTGAGATTCCCACTCAAATGAATGACTCTCATGTATTACGTGTGATCTATAGTTGAGGACAAAGGAGGAAATCTCATGTTAATTAAAATCTAACTTGTTAAACAAGTTTGAGGGAATCAACAAACCAATAGTATGACTTGTGGAAGATAATTGGAAATAGACAGGGAATTTCACAAATTAGTAAGAAATTTATTTATTCTGGTAAATTGAGATTAAACACAATTACAATTGACAGGTATTTTGTGAAAGCCTGTGACTACTTCACAACTGTAGAGTCACTTTTAGTTCAAGAGGATTTGACACTTATTTTGCTCATGTTATCATATTGTTATACACCTCATTCCTCAACACAGCCAGCCAAGATCCATCAGAACATACTTTCCGTACATTAATGGGCACTACCTCTGAATTCCCTCATCTGTATGATTAAATGCAGTTTTTCTCATAATATATGAAACAGAGCATAATTGAGTAGATGCACAAAGTAAGACAAGCAAACAGAATAGTTGGAACTAAAATCCACTTTGTTTTTTTCCAAATATGATCATTTGAAAAAGCTATTCTAACACACTACTACTAGAAGAGGAGCAGACAGAAGAAGACAGTATGAGTGTGTAGGGTGTTAGGGTAAGGATGGAGAGCTCAAGAAAACAGGCAAGACTAGCAGGGAGGGGAAAAAGGGCATTCCTGTCTAACATTGCAAAGAAGCAGGATATAAATTTGGAAGGTTATACTGGGGTTACTTTGTGAGAACTAATGAATGCTAAAGAATTGGAACTTGTAATAGAATTATTACAATATTATTAGTAGTACAATATGAATTCTAGTCTTAGCTTTTTCACCAACTAATTGTGTAGCTTAAGGGAAAAAATTTACTTATTTCTCCATAAGTCACATGTATCTACTAAGAAAAGTGGAAGCTGAATCAGGAGGTCTTAGAGGACTCTCAATTATAAAATTCTATGACTTCATCTTGTAAAGCACTGACAACTAATGGTTAAATTTACTCCAATACTGCAACTTCAGATGTGTTCAGTTACTTGACTTTTTCTATATAATGTGCAAATCAAACAACAGAGACAGGAATAAGTGGTTACTTATATGTTTTTTCCCAAATATATTTGGGAAATATATTTTTTACATACAGTATCTCATGCCTGACATTCTGCCATTGATTTTTTAGCAATAAATAAATAACTATAATAAGATTTAAAAGTTTAAAAAATAAAGTTACCTAAACAAACCATTTTTAAATTTTACATGTTAACTTCAAGTACCTTTAAATATAGTTATATCATGGTATATAATTTTGTATTATGCTTTTTATACTTAATATTATTTCACAAATATATCGCTATTACTAATTTTTATTTTTAGTAGCTATATATTTATAACTTTGTATTTTTATATAATTTAAAACACAAATATGGTACCAAGATTCATTAATTATTAGCAGTTTTAATGGTTGCATTTTAAAAGGTAAATCACATTACATTGAATGGACTTATCATAAAGCACCAAAGTTATTTTCTAATGTGAAGTATTTAGACATTTTCTATTTTTTTATTGTAGATGATTCTTTGAATGACCACCTTCACAAACATAGTTTTTCTTTGTCATCCTACAGTTGAATTTTTCTTCAGAATAAACTGAAGAGGCTTATTGAGCCAAGTGATTTAAATATTTTAATGGCTTATAAAATTATACTTTTGTTTTAATAATTTTTACTAGGATTTAAAGTGTTATTTTCTGTTTTTTGCTTACAGAAATTTTCTCTAATTATGCATGCTCTTTCTTGTATGTCTTTATTTCCTGGAATACTCAGCAGCAAAGGCCTTTTTACCACGTAGGTACTTACTCATCATATGTTGTTTAGATGTCTCATAATTAACGTATTAGTGCAGATCCCAGTGCCCTATTACTATTCACAACAGAACGTGGGGATGAGTCGGGGGAAAGGCATGGGGAAAATTGAATTCAGTCTGAAAGTGACTTCCCGCATGATGAGCTCAACGCAGAAAGGGAGGTGGGGCAGGAAATTATGGTTTGTGAGGCAAAGGAATTGTTCATAACAGGGACCAGTTTAAAGATGTTGACTCTTCATCTTTAGATCCTCAGGGAGTGGCAGGATAGGCCTTGACCTATTCTCTTTTTAAGAGATTGCATGAATGAGAAATGTAGAATCACGTTATACAAAAAATATAAGAGTCCTCTGCCTTCTGGTTACAGGCTGATTTTATTCTTCTGGTTGAACAGTCACAAAACCAAGGCAGCTAGACTGAGAACGAATGACAGGAACAGTTTTCAGGGACATAGCAGAGATCATTTATATTTCTGGAAGATGAACTATGCAATGTAAGAACTATTAAGATTGGTTCTTTTGCCTGCTGATGGAGAGAGAGTGTGGTTAAGAGACCCATGAAATCTTAAACTCTGGACATATTTCCCTGCAAATGTGTATTAACACACTTCGTTTAGAAGGAAGTATGAATCATTCAATGTAACCGTCATAACAATATTAGCAGAAAAAAACAACCAAAAAGCAGATGACCTGAGAAGGTGTGGGCCAGTAGTGTTTTTCTGAATTTGAAGTTTGTTTAGTCGTCAAGTCCAGGAAAGCACAGTCATATGGCTATGGTAGACAATATATTCGTCATGACCTCCCTCACAGAGTTACTGTAAAAATAGAAAAAAAAAAAAAAGATAATGGAGGTGCTCACCATATGAAAGCTATAAATGTTGTTTAAATGCAAGTATTTATATTTGTTATAAATGTAAATTTTAAAATTGGGTAATAATTGGATTTTGCAAGTGTGGCTAAATATAATTTTGTGGCTTATGACATGCAGGTAGTTGGAGGCAAAGGTACAAGTACATTCTATCATTTTTCAAAGGCATTTGTCTATTCAGAAGGCATGATGTAGTAGAAACAGTATTCTCCTTGGAGTTAGAGTACACTTTAAGTAAAATCTTGACTCTTCTCTTTACTACCCAGCAAGGTCAGGAAAATTATTTATCTCTGTAAGCCTGAGAGTTTTTTTAACATGTAAAAATTGAGTTAAAATACCATTCTCATAGAGTTGCAAAAACTACATTTAGTCAAATCAAATCAAATGAACTAATAAATGTAAAGCACTTGTCATGTTCAGTAGTTCGTAGAGTACTTGTTCCCAAGGCAGTGTGTGTGTGTGTGTGTGTGTTTGTGTGTGTGTGTGTAGGGGAGAGCTCATACAATTTGAAACTGGTCCTGGATGTTTCCAAAATACTGCCCCCACCCCCGCCCCGCTTAGATTGGCATGTTCTTTTGCTTCTACAAATTGGTCTTATTCCTAAAGCATTCATACAAACATGGTTTAAGAAATACAACACTCATTACAACCTGTGATGGCTTTCATGTTGACAGTTATTTTCTTATGTTTTCTACAAGTAATTTTTTTTTACCTGCACTTAACCATAGGAGGCCAAAGAAACATCTTGACTAGAGGCATTCTTTAATCTTGTTAAAGAAAGAAGTGTGGTTACTGTAGCCTTGTAGTATAGTTTGAAGTCAGGTAGTGTGATGCCTCCAGCTTTGTTCTTTTGGCTTAGGATTGACTTGGCGATGCGGGCTCTTTTTTGGTTCCATATGAACTTTAAAGTAGTTTTTTCCAATTCTGTGAAGAAAGTCATTGGTAGCTTGATGGGGATGGCATTGAATCTGTAAATTACCTTGGGCAGTATGGCCATTTTCACGATATTGATTCTTCCTACCCATGAGCATGGAATGTTCTTCCATTTGTTTGTGTCCTCTTTTATTTCCTTGAGCAGTGGTTTGTAGTTCTCCTTGAAGAGGTCCTTTATGTCCCTTGTAAGTTGGATTCCTAAGTATTTTATTCTCTTTGAAGCAATTGTGAATGGGAGTTCACTCATGATTTGGCTCTCTGTTTGTCTGTTGTTGGTGTATAAGAATGCTTGTGATTTTTGTACATTGATTTTGTATCCTGAGACTTTGCTGAAGTTGCTTATCAGCTTAAGGAGATTTTGGGCTGAGACAATGCATGGTACTGGTACCAAAACAGAGATATAGATCAATGGAACAGAACAGAGCCCTCAGAAATAATGCCGCATATCTACAACTATCTGATCTTTGACAAACCTGAGAAAAACAAGCAATGGGGAAAGGATTCCCTATTTAATAAATGGTGCTGGGAAAACTGGCTAGCCATATGTAGAAAGCTGAAACTGGATCCCTTCCTTACACCTTATACAAAAATCAATTCAAGATGGATTAAAGATTTAAACGTTAGACCTAAAACCATAAAAACCCTAGAAGAAAACCTAGGCATTACCATTCAGGACATAGGCGTGGGCAAGGACTTCATGTCCAAAACACCAAAAGCAATGGCAACAAAAGCCAAAATTGACAAATGGGATCTAATTAAACTAAAGAGCTTCTGCACAGCAAAAGAAACTACCATCAGAGTGAACAGGCAACCTACAACATGGGAGAAAATTTTCGCAACCTACTCATCTGACAAAGGGCTAATATCCAGAATCTACAATGAACTCAAACAAATTTACAAGAAAAAAACAAACAACCCCATCAAAAAGTGGGCGAAGGACATGAACAGACACTTCTCAAAAGAAGACATTTATGCAGCCAAAAGACACATGAAAAAATGCTCATCATCACTGGCCATCAGAGAAATGCAAATCAAAACCACTATGAGATATCATCTCACACCAGTTAGAATGGCAATCATTAAAAAGTCAGGAAAAAACAGGTGCTGGAGAGGATGTGGAGAAATAGGAACACTTTTACACTGTTGGTGGGACTGTAAACTAGTTCAACCATTGTGGAAGTCAGTGTGGCGATTCCTCAGGGATCTAGAACTAGAAATACCATTTGACCCAGCCATCCCATTACTGGGTATATACCCAAAGGACTATAAATCATGCTGCTATAAAGACACATGCACACGTATGTTTATTGCGGCATTATTCACAATAGCAAAGACTTGGAACCAACCCAAATGTCCAACAATGATAGACTGGATTAAGAAAATGTGGCACATATACACCATGGAATACTATGCAGCCATAAAAAATGATGAGTTCATGTCCTTTGTAGGGACATGGATGAAATTGGAAACCATCATTCTCAGTAAACTATCGCAAGAACAAAAAACCAGACACCGCATATTCTCACGCATAGGTGGGAATTGAACAATGAGATCACATGGACACAGGAAGGGGAATATCACACTCTGGGGACTGTGGTGGGGTCGGGGGAGGGGGGAGGGATAGCATTGGGAGATATACCTAATGCTAGATGACACGTTAGTGGGTGCAGCGCACCAGCATGGCACATGTATACATATGTAACTAACCTGCACAATGTGCACATGTACCCTAAAACTTAAAGTATAATAAAAAAAAAACATTAAAAAAAAAAGAAATGAAAAAAAAAAATAAAATAAGAAAGAAGTGTGTATCCTTTACCCCTCTCCTAAGTTCTCTGCATCAGTCCCCTTTGAGCTGCATAGAGTTGTTTTCTTATATGATGAGTAATTTTCACTTTCCTGCATGCATTCACAAATTTTACTCTTGTAATTTTCCTCCACAATGAGAAAAGCAATCAGAGCACATAAATATAATACATTTAGTATGCAACATCATACATTATTTCACCTACTGGAGGGTCTGGCTGATAAACTCTGTTATTAAAGAGATACTACTATGTATTAAAATAGATACTACATAGTATCTATTTTAAGAATTATTACATTATAAATTTATGACTATTGGTCTTAGCTGGCCCTTCAATACTGCCTAGCAATACAGCTAGGTTTCCCTGGTCAATGTCAAGCATAGGGTTTATTAAAACCATTTCAAATCTTTCTACTCTTCCCCAGTATGAATTTTCCATTCCTTATTCACTGCACTTGCTTTCAACAGATGACTTACCTTTCTACTATTGGAAAAACAAAAGAGAAGCCTTCAGATGGACACTCCCTCCACTTCCTGCTATCATGTCTACAGATCTGTACCCATCTGCCCATATTCTTCCTGTTTTAGCAGAAGAGGTTTTCTCATCCCTTGGGAGCCTAATCTTTTCATTGTGCTCTGTATTCACGTCTTCTTCTTTCGTTTTTCTAAACCTGTTTCTCCAGTATTCCCTATTTCCACAAGTCCACTCCCATTCACCCAGTTTTGAATCCCAGAAACCTAACAAACTAAGGTGTCATCCTTGACTGTATCTCTTTTCTTGGTGCCCTATATACATAAATATTTATTGAACCAATTTCTTTCCCTCTCATCCTCACTGCCACCACATGACTCCAGGCCACTGTAATCATTAGCTTGATTACTGTCACAGCCTTCTGATTAGCCCTTCTGCCTCTAATCCTTTTCCCACTCTGGTTTACTCAGCTGCAAGAATGATGATTACAAATTGAATTATGTTACTATTCTTTTAAAAACTCTTCAATAGCTTCCCGTACACTTAAGATAGAATCTGTTCTCCTTAACATGGGTGGCAACGCTCTGTAGTATCTGGCCCTTGCCCACCTTTCATGCTTATTCCCACCATACCTCTGATACTCTACACTCTATCCATTGAATTTCTTTTAGTTACTTTAATATGCTGTCTCTCTATCCCTTCCAGTTCTGTTCCTTTAGCTTGGATTATCTTTTCCTACCTCTTTCAATAATTTTTTTTCTTAGTTCCGAAATCAGAATGATCACTAAGGCCTACTTGTAGGCTTTTTCTCTTTGGGTAGGTTGGTTCCTCTGCAGTGTGATCCAACATCAGTTTACTTCTCCTCTTATACTCATTACAACACTCAGTATACTTTTTTATTTTATTTTATTTTGAGACAGGGTCTCACTCCGTTGCCTATGCAGGAGTGCATTGGCATGATTGTGTCTCACTGTAGCCTTGAACTCCTGGGCTCAAGCAATCTTCCCACCTTGGCCTCCCTAGTAGCTGGGACTACAGGTGTGCACAACCATGCTCAGCTAATATTTTAATTTTTGGTAGAGATGGGGTCTTGCTATATTGCCTAAGTTGGTCTTAAACTTTTGGCCTCAAGCAATCCTCCTGCCTTGGCCTCCCAAAGTGCTGGGATTATAGAAGTGAGCCACTGTGCCTGGCCTCAGCACACTTTTTTGAAATTTGTCTACACAGTAGACAATAGAGTCCACAAAAGAAAGGATTGCTATGTTCTCAGAGCCTGTCATCCCTATGTGGCATGGGGTTAATCATTCATTTAATAATTTAAATAATTTATATAAATTACTCAAATAATTTATTTGAATAATTTTTGAATTATTCAGTGAGTAAATAAAACGTCACTGCTTTCTGCATACTGCAACTGTGTTTCAGCTGTTACAAAATTCACTCTTATAGCAGACATGGAGATATCCTTCAGATCCTTCTTCAAGATAAAGCTTGGTGCTTAACTGCAAAGAGTATGAGTATCTGTCTTTTAACTGTAGATTTGTTTTTTATTTTGGTATGGTGAGGCTAAGCAATCAGGAGAAGATTGTCAATGAAAAGACAGTTTGTTACTCACAATTCCCAAGAGGAGGGTGCACACCATGCCACACAGTGAAGCACCAGGGTCACTCAGAAGGAAAGGGGTGAAAAAGGTACTATAAGGAAGAGCCTTTATCATTGTTTCTGTGGTAAGGAACAGGTGGGATAAGGTAAGCAGGCTTAGGATTGGCTAGTTTGAATAATTTCAGGGGCTCTCAGGTGTAGGGGCTGTCATTAGTTGCATGATACCTGGCCCTGGAGTAATTAGGGCAAGGCCCTAATAGTGGCTTGGAGTATAAGGGCTCCATAAGGCAGGTGGTAAGGGTTGGCTTGCATGTGACAGGCTAGTCCTAAGCAGTCATTTACTATCTTTAGGAATTAGTTAGCCCTGGGTGGGGCAGTCCCTCCAGGGTCAATAAGGCTGCAGATGTGAAAGCATCAGAAAAAAAAGGACATGCTTAGTACAACCTGACAGTCTAACTGATAGGTTTGTCAGGGCCTTCCTCAGCTTTCAAGCCAAGAACATGTTCTTTTCCCAGTGGCCCCCAAGCCAATGATTGAGCAAGGTGATGATACAAGAGTCTAGCTATTTCCACTCAATATGGATTTCTCTAACAAGTAGTATTTATTTCAGAGTTCCCTGTTGGCCTGGGAGAAATTTTGTCAGATTGTCACTGCTGTCTGACAGCTGCCCCTGCCCAGTCCTGCTTCTTTCCTTCTTCTTTAACAGGTGTTACTTTTCAATAAACTTTTGTACTTTAACTTTGTGTAAGTATTTGCTGTGCTGAAACCCAGCTTGTAATAGCTGATACCAAGACAACTCCAGGAAAACAGGCATCAAGATGAGATTTAGGGACTGGATTATTCACTACCCAACTGGAAATGAGGTAGGTGGCAAGCTGGCAACCTCTAACAAGAGGTGGTAGTCTGTTGAAATTTTCATTAGTAGTGAGGTAGGCCAGCATGCTAGTAGAGGTGAATGCACAAGCCAGTGTGATGATTCACATATTGAAAGGTATGGGGGCTGGGGTGATAAACATAACGAGATGAAATTGCATGGTTGCTACTTGGTTGTTTTATGCCCAACGGGTAGATAAGGAAAAGCTGAGGACAATGAACATAATTGAAAAAGCTGAGTATGTGATCCAGAGACTCCTTTTGGTAGATTATTAAGAAGCCCTAACCTTATTAGTGGGTGAGCAGGAAAAGATGAATACCAAGCACAGAGTTGGATAGAGTGGCTGAATTTCAATGATGGTTAAATGCTCAATTGAAATAGATCTGCTCTTCCGAAGTCAAGGCTCTAGTTAAGAAAACCTGGGACCTGATGCATGGGATGTGGACATCTAGCTAGATGTCCTTGAAGGTTTTGACTCTGCAGACTTCTTTTGAACCCATGGCCTTGCAGAAGTGGCCCCACTTTCTTCAACGAGAGCTGGCACTGTGAAGAGATACTGGGGAGGCCTTTTCCCCACAAGGCAATAGCTCACAAATTAGGAGCTGTGTGCCTCTCCTCTCCTGGTCACCGGGCCTATCAAAGTTAAGCTGGTTATTATCATTACCAGCTGGGAATGTGTCAGGCCTGAAGAGGGAGGAAAGAATCTACATCCCAAAGGTGCTGCATAAAGTAGCCAGCAGGCAGCAGCAGAGACTGTAGGAGTGCCCTCTGTGGGAATGGATCTTGAGGGTGCTTGGTCAAGGGGATTGGAACATAAGACTGGATAAGGAAAGTTTTGTTAATTTGGGAGTAGTCTCTCAGTATACAGGATTTAACACCTGACACGGTGCCCAGGGAATGGTGTAAACTTGCTGTTGGAGTGGCTCTTAGGAGTCTGGAAAAAGTGATGGCCCATGCTGAGCAAGGTTGAAATGCTAGGATTGTTATGGGAGGCAGTAGGGGAAGGGATTAAAGGATTCAGAGAAATGGACATGGTGTAATGTATAATATTATGTGATGCCAGAAGACCCATTAGAAAATTATATCCCCTGGGAAAGTCCAGATAATAAATGAAGACCATTAGGAATATGCTGGTGAGAGGGGCACTAGTAGGGGATCAGTTTGTCTCATTTTGCCTGGGACAATCCAGGCTTTGAAATGGAAAGTATAGCATCCTGGAAACCTCCTCAATCCTAGGCAAACTGGCAAAGTCACCTTAGAGCAGTATCATTAAGTGCTGGCAGGATAGGCACACAAATGATATGGCCACAGTGGGCAAGATGGAGGTCCTGCCTAGGCCCAACAGTAAGGACTCCCACTTACCAACAACGATGTAACAAATGCCTCCTCAGAATGCCAACCTGTCGTCAACATAAACACTACACCTACTGGATAGCTCTGTTACTCAAGGGGGCCAACTGGACAGTCAGTGGCAAGTTAGCTATATGGAATGCCTTCTATCCTGGAAGGACCAGCCATTTCTTCTCACAGGAATAGAAATCTATTCCAGGTATGGGTTTGTCTTGCCTGCCTAGAGGGCCTTAGCCAACAGCACTAACTGGGTTGTTGGAAACATTCTAACTGTGTAGATACCTTACAATTGAAGGGAGCCTCCCTTGTCTCCCAGAGATTTTTTTTAAATAACTAATTTTTTTTTTTTGAGATGGAGTCTCACTCTGTCGCCCACGCTGGAGTGCAGTGGCGCGATCTCCGCTCACTGCAAGCTCTGCCTCCTGGGTTCACTCCAGTCTCCTGTCTCAGCCTCCCGAGTAGCTGGGACTACAGGCGCCTGCCACGACGCCCGGCTAATTTTTTGTATTTTTTGGTAGAGACGGGGTTTCACCACGTTAGCCCAGATGGTCTGGATCTCCTGACCTTGTGATCCGCCCACCTCGGCCTCCCAAAGTGCTGGGATTACAGGCGTGAGCCACCGCGCCAGGCCTTTCATTGTGGTTGTTGTAAGTCATTAAAAATATATTGTCCTGCTCATTTGGAAGTGAAATAAATAAATTATTTTCACTTTTTTAACATGTAGAGACAAATTCCAAAGAAGTCACAGGTTTTTTGTTTGTTTTGCTTTGTTTTCTGCTATGAAATATGTTCTTTTCAGGTTATGACTAAGTATAATTTGAGTGTGACATAGAGTTGATTTTTTTTCCAGTGTCATAACATTTATACCTATCTTTTCATCTTAAAGGAATTCTTGAGCAGTAATAAGGCTGTATAATATAGTGGAAGGAAATCAATTATAATCTTTTAAAAGTCAGAGACATTGTCTTATTGTGTATTGATGTAGCTATATGGTAATATTTTAAAGTAGTTATTTTGGAAAAAAATATCTGTAACTGTGCAGTGTTGTAGTTTAAGGGCCTTAGAAACCATGGTATGAATTCTTATGGTGAGTTCCCCTTTTAGGAACCTAATAGGAACACAAACCAGGCCTCTGGCAAAGATGCTGCTTCGCTGGAGAGGAAGAACAAGAAGTGTGGAAGATAAAATTACATTAAGTTTTGACATAAAAACTGTTTTGTTGCCTTTTGTTTTTAGATGTTTTAAAGGAAGCATTTGTCTGTTTAAAATAGAGTGATTAGACTCTAACAAATAATAATAGTAAATGATAAGTAGTAAAAAGTCTCCCACCAAGGGAGGGAAGTACCTGGAAATATTTACTAAGGTTTCAGTTGCTCTGAGGATGAGTGTGTATTGGGGGAATAAAATATAGATGATTAGGAAGTTCTCAAGAAAATATAAAAAATAAATGGTAGAAAGAAATGTAATAGAAATATAATGTTGATTTTGCCAATATACATGAATTGTTTCAACAGAAATAGTAAGAGACAATAATTCTTCTAATGGTTTTTAAAAGAAGATGCAGTTAGCAGATAACTATGCATTAGCAGATACATAACTAAAACAAAAAAAAAGTTAAGGGTAAGAGGAAGAACAAAAACAGCAGATTACTACACAGACACAGTATAGGTAGAAGTCCAGAGCAACAACATTAATACAGATAAGAAGTACAATTTGTATTGATAAAAAGTACACAAAAATGCAACATTTTAAAAATGAGAAAAACAATGTAACACACGAGATAAGAAATGCTAACATTATGTGAAACTATGATAAAAATAGTGAATCTTAAGAAAATAATTTTATGAAACATAAAAATTATTGAAATTCATTAAAGAAGTAGGAAACTTGAAGTGAAAAATAACCATGGAAGAATGGAAAACATTATATACAATTTTTTTTTTCTAAAATGATCTGGACTCATAATGTTTCCAGAAATAGTTATTTCCTATTGTGTCCGGAATTGGTGGGTTCTTGGTCTCACTGAATTCAAGAACGAAGCTGTGGACCCTCGCGGTGAGTGTTACAGTTCTTAAAGGCCGCGTGTCCAGAATTTGTTCCTTCTGATGTTCACATGTGTTCGGAGTTTCTTCTCTCTGGTGGGTTTGTGGTCTCGCTGGCTCAGGAGTGAAGCTGCAGACCTTCCCAGTAAGTGTTACAGCTCATAAAGGAAGTGTGAACCCAAAGAGTGAACGGCAGCAAGATTTATTGCAAAGGGCAAAACAAAACACCTCCCACACTGTGGAAGGTTACCAGAGCGGGTTGCCACTGCTGGTTGGGGCAGACTGCCTTTATTCTCTTATCTGGCCCCACCCACATCCTGCTGATTGGTCCATTTTACAGAGAGCTGATTGGTCTGTTTTACAGAGAGCTGATTGGTCCATTTTGACACGGTGCTGATTGGTGCATTTACAATCCTGGAGCTAGACACAAAAGTTCTCCAAGTCCCCACTAGATTAGCTAGATACAGAGTGCTGATTGGTGTATTTACAAACCTTGAGCTAGATACAGAGTGCCGATTGGTGTATTCACAATCCCTTAGCTAGACACAAAGGTTCTCCAAGTCCCCACCAGATTAGCTAGATACAGAGTGCTGATTGGTGCATTTACAAACCATGGGCTAGACACAGGGTGCTGTTTGGTGCATATACAATCCTCCAGCTAGACATAGAAGTTCTCCAAGTCCCCACTAGACTCAGGAGCCCAGCTGGCTTCACCCAGTGGCTCCCCCATTGGGGTTGCAGGTGGAACTGCCTGCCAGTCCCCTGCTGTGCGCCCGCACTCTGGCGGTCAATGGGACCAGGCGCTGTGGAGCAGGGGATGGCACTCATGGGGAGGCTGGGGCCGTGCAGGAGCCCACGGTGGCAGGGGTTGGGGGTGAGGCTCAGGCATGGCAGGCTGCAGGTCCTGAACCCTGCCTCGCAGGGAGGCAGCTAAGGCTTGGAGAGAAATCAAGCACAGCGCCAGTGGGCTGGCACTGCTGGGGGACCCGGCACACCCTCTGCAACTGCTGGCCCGGGTGCTAAGCCCCTCACTGCCAGCGGCGGCAGGGCCGGCCGGCCACTCCAAGTGCAGGCCCACCAAGCCCACACCCACCCGGAACTCTAGCTGGCCGGCAAGTGCAGAGCGCAGCCCTGGTTCCCGCCTGTGCCTCTCCCTCTACATCTCCCCGCAGGCTGAGCGAGCCGGCTCTGGCCCCTGCCATCCCAGGAAGGGGCTCCTACAGTGCAGCGGCGGGCTGAAGGGCTCCTCAAGTGCGGCCAGAGTGGGCGCCGAGGCCGAGGAGGCGCCAAGAGCGAGCGAGGGCTGAGAGGGCTGCCAGCACGCTGTCACCTTTAACTATATTAACCATTTTTAAGAATAGAACACGCTGAAATCTTTACAGTTGATTTCATAATGTTCACATTATCTTGATTAATAAAAATCTTGTTAGAACACTCATAAATAGACTAATGTGGCTCTGAGGAATTATTAACTGCATTTAAGTATATACAGTTATTTAAATATGTACAGTTAATAATTGTATTTAATTATATACAGTTATTAATTTCTCAGAATTAATTATTTTCTCTAGATCAGGGTATGTAGGGTTGCTTAAGTGGACTGCAAGTCAAACACTGCAATTCAAAGTATTTGTCCTTATGATCACGTTAGTGTTTCTATTTGGAAATGCTGCCTTTGTTTTGTTTTACTAGAAGGACATAACATGTCCTTCTAGATCTTTAGTCATGTAAACCTTTCGTTGAACTTGGATTTTTCCTGATTTGGCTCTGGGGATCCTCAAGGGAAATTGTATTAAGTATGTTAAGGCAAACTATTTCAATAGCACCTTTCAAAGTTGGTGAAAATTTGCTTAGCTCTGTTTTTAAGGATTCATGCTATTACATTGGACCCACTCAGATAACTTAGAATTATCTTAACTACATGTTAATACTTAATAGCCTTATTTACATCTGCAGAGTTCCTTTTGTCAGGTAGCATAACACATTCATAGGCTTGACACTGGTGAAACTAGATTATCAGGAATTGGTAAGGGAAACTTTTCTCTGGGATATCTAACTTGAGAATTTGAGTCATTTTGCTCCCAGGCTCCAACTAATACAGATGATGCCTCAAAGGTAGCTGGAGAATTGCTATGGATAATAGTGTCTAACAGAATGCCAGAACCTCCTGCAATGGCCCTGGAGGGCCCAGAATTCAGAGGTGGTTTACTTCATGAGGACAGTAAGTCAGGGAGCTGCTCAACCTATGACTTTTTCTGTGCTATGATGCTACCATAGTTTAAACCACACAAAGTATTCAGTAAGTTATGCAAAGATTTTCAAAATACTACATAATATCATCTAATGTGCCCAAACCAATAATGCTTATGTCAAGGCTAAGGACAGATGAGGGTAATCTGAGAAATCACTCTCTTTTTCTGACTGCGGAAGCCTACTTGTTATCTTTGATTTTTCCTACTAACATTGGTATGACATTAGCAAGGAGGTCTCCAACATCCTCATGAAGCTATTAGATACTGCAGTGACCCTCTCTCTGCATCATCACCATCAATTTCCACAGAATTTTAAGCTACATGATATTCAGCTATTAAATTATTTAAGAAAAATACCTTTGGTTCCTATTCTCTGTTTATACCTATTGAACAAGAATTTCAATTTGATTATTACAAAAATTTCTGATTTTATGTTTTCTTTAACAATAAAATTCAGCCACAGAATTCTTCAGCTATAGAAGAGTTAGTTCCCTTATTCTAACTCCCTGCATGCCTTCATCCAGAACTCTATATTCTCCTTTTATACTCCTCTATATTCCACCACATCTCCAAGGGCCTTTAAGGATCTGGTAGCTTTTTGAAAAAGACAGATTTTGGCTGGTCGCGGTGACTCACACCTGTAATCCCAGCACTTTGGGAGCCTGAGGTGGGCGGATCACGAGGTCAAGAGATCAAGACCATCCTACCCAATCTGATGAAACCCTGTCTCTACTAAAAATACCAAAATTAGCCAGGTGTGGTGGCGCACGCCTGTAGTTCCAGCTACTCACGAGGCTGAGACAGGAGAATCGCTTGAACCTGGGAGGCAGAGGTTGCAGTGAGCCGAGATTGTGCCACTGCACTCCAGGCTGGCGACAGTGAGACTCTGTCTCAAAATAATAATAATAATAATAATAATAATAATAATAATAATGATAATAATAATAATAAATAGATTTTATTTTTCAGAGCAATTTTATGTATGTAGAAAAATTAAATGGAAAGTACAGAGAGTTTCCATATATCTTCTTACCACATCACATGCACAGCCTCCCCTACTATCAACATTCTGAACCAGAGTGGTACATTTGTTCTAATTGGTAAAGCTATATTGGTATCATTATCAACCAAAGTCTATAGTTTACATTAGGGTTCACTCTTGGTGGTGTACATTCTATGGGTTTTGACATGTGTACAATAACATGTATCCACCATTATATTATGGTACAGAGTAGTTTCACTTCTCTAAAAATCCCTGTGTTCCATCTATTTATCCTGCCCCACCCAGCAACCCCTGACCACCACTGATTCTTTTAAAATTGTCTTCTTTCACTTAGTAGTATGCATTCAAGGTTTCCATTGTATTGCCACAGTTATTTTTTTAATCCATTATCCTACTAAAGGACACCTTGATTACAACTTGTGATAATTATAATGGCTATAAACAACTATGTGCAGGTTTTTGTATGAACATAAACTTTCAACTTATTTAAGTAAATACCAAAGAGAGTGATTGCTGGATCATACATAAGAGTATGTAGGCCAGGCACGGTGGCTCACACCTGTAATCCCAGCACTTTGAGAGGCCAAGGCGGGTGGATCACAAGGTCAGGAGTTCGAGACCAGCCTGACCAACATGGTGAAACCCTGTCTCTACTAAAAATACAAAAATTAGCTGGGCATGGTGATGAGTGCCTGTAATCCCAGCTACTTGGGAGGCTGAGGCAGGAGAATCGCTTGAACCTGGGAGGTAGAGGTTGCAGTGAGCCGAGACTGCGCCATTGCACTCCAGCCTGGGCAACGGAGTGATACTCCATCTCAAAAAAAAAAAAAATATGTTTAGTTTTGTAAGAAACTGTCAAACTTTCTTCCAAAGTGGCTATGCTGTTACACATCCCCTTGATAGCTTTTTTTTAAGCACTTGGGAAATCTATAGCCCAATACAGGAGTGCCACCAGCATAGTCTCTGGGATACCAAGATGAGGTGCAAATAGCATGTCAATAGTGTGTAAATAGTGTGTAACCTTAGGGAAGACTGCTGTGTAGAGTATATTCTTTGAGGGTTCCTCTGGCCTTTGCCAGGGTCTAGAGGGCTGCTGAATCGGTCCCTCCTAAGTGCTGACAACTATTAATATTTCTCTTGTAACTTGGAGCTTCAGTTTCCACTCTATCCACATCTATTCATTCTTTCACAGTTCTCGCCTATGCCCAGTTCACTAAGAGCTCACTCTGAGTTATATCTACCTATCTCAGAAACATTAACCAGAGGCAGAAAATCCAAGTGTGAGTTAGGTTCTCAGCTAACTACTGTTTCTGCCTACTTGGAAGCAGAAGGGAGAAGTCACTGCAGTTTAACTCACTTCCTAGCTCAGAAATGTAGCAGACACATTTAGGTCTTTTAATGAATAAACCTAAGATAGTATCTTTAACTTTTCCATCCTTATTTTTTCCAATAATATTGTTACTTTATTATGCCTGATTTTACCATTTGTTGGTCTAAGAATTAGCCTTTAAATGCCCACATTCTTTTGAAACTATTCTCTAAGTGGGTTTGGATCCAGATTCCCTTCCCTACCAGTTACAATCTTCAGATTAAAAATGTGTAAAATGGCTTTTGATCGGGCTTCTCTCTAAAACTTGACCTCAGAAATTTTAACATTAGCTCAAAATACTAAGTTAATACTAGCTCAAAATACTAATACTACATTAGTTCACATATAAGTGGTTTTTCAGTTACCGAGTCTTTCTCTAAGTTTGGATGTTTCAGGCACCTCCTTATACGGAGAGTGTTGATACTCTCACTCACTGTTTTCCAGTCCTTTGTTAGCTCACAAGACCCAGATCACTTCCATTGGCATATTTTTTGGATTGACATTTAGTATTTTTCCGCTTTATTTTATTTAGTGACTTCTGGTGTAGGAGGAGTCTCTTGAGTTTAGAAAATATCAAAACAGTTTAAAAAGTTAGTTTACCAATTAAATCCTGATTACAAATGGAAATAAAAGAATAATGTGTTATACAGATAAGCAAAATCTATGAGCAAAATATCATTTTAAAAATCAATTTTAAAATACCTATTTCTATTAGCTTTTAAAAATAGATATCATGTGTTATTTTTAGTTTTATCTCTGTTGTCTCCCATTAGACAAATTCAACAAGGAAGGGCCTCAATCAGAGGAATATAATCATGGATATCGATCATGGTCATTTGGAAGTACTCAGATATGTGAAATCCATAAGAGAAACAGGAAGAAAGAACACTGGTAAATCAACTAAAACCAAAAAAGGGAATGTGAACTGTTGCAAGGCTGAGGTTTGCTTTTGGCCTTGTTTCCAAATATACCTATGGATTTGGAGTATGCTCATGTTAGGGTTTTTTGGGGAAAAGTTCATCAGTTAGAATTCCATGTATGAGTACCACAATTTTTTTTTTTTTTTTGAGATGGAGTCTCGCTCTTGTTGCCCAGGCTGGAGTGCAGTGGCACAGTCTTGGCTCACTGCAACCTGTGCTTCCTGGAGTCAAGTGATTCCCCTGCCTCAATCTCCCAAGTAGCTGGGATTATAGGCGCCCATCACCACGCCTGGCTAATTTTTGTATTTTTAGTAGAGACGGGGTTTCACCATGTTGGCCAGGCTGGTCTCGTACTCCTAACATCAGGTGATCCACCCGCCTCAGCCTCCCAAAGTGCTGGTATTACAGGCGTGAGCCACCATGTCTGGCCGAGTACCACATTTTCTTTATCCATTTATCTGTTGATGGACCCTTAGATTGCTTCCAAATTTTGGCTGTCGTTCGTGAACCATGCTACAACAAACATGGGAGTGCAGATATCTCTTTGATATACTCATTTCCTTTTTTTTTTTTTTTTGGAAGGAGGGCATATACCTAGCAGTGGGATTGCTGGATTATATGGTACCTCTATTTTTAGTTTTTTGAGGAACCTTCAAACTGATCTCCATAGTGGTTGTACTAATTTACATTCCCACAGTGTACAAGGGTTCCCTTTTCTCCACATCCTTGCCAGCATTTGTTATTGCCTGTCTTTTGGATATAAGCCATTTTAACTGGGATGAGATGATATCTCATTGTAGTTTTGATTTGCATTTCTCTGATGACCAATGACATTGAGCACCTTTTCATATGCCTGCTTGACACTTGTATGTCTTCTTTGAGAAATGTCTATTCAGATCTTTTGTTCATTTTTAAATCAGATTATTAGATTTTTCCTGTAGAGTGGTGTGAACTCCTTATATATTCTAGTTATTAATCCCTTATCAGATGGGCAGTTTGCAGATATTTTCTTCCATTCTGTGGGTCGTCTTTTCTCTTTTTTGATTGTTTCCTTTGCTGTGCAGAAGGTTTTCAACTTGATGTGATCCCATTTGTCCATTTTTTGCTTTGGTTGCCTGTGCTTGTGGGGTATTATCGCTCAAGAATTTTTTTTGTCACCGGGTGCGGTGGCTCATGCCTGTAATCCTAGAACTTTGAGAAGCTGAGGCAGGTGGATCACTTGAGGTAAGGATTTCGAGACCACCCTTACCAAAATGGTGAAACCCCATCTCTACTAAGAACACAAAAATTAGCCAGGCATGGTGGCGTACACCTGTAGTCCCAGCTATTGGGGAGGCTGAGACAGGAGAATTGCTTTAACCCAGGAGGCGGAGGTTGCAGTGAGCTGAGATCATGCGATTGCACTCCAGCCTGGGTGACAGAGAACGACTCTGTTCCCCCGCCCCACCAAAAAAAAGAAAAAAAAAACAAACTTTTTGTCCAGACCAATGTACTGGAGAGTTTCCACAAAGTTTTCTTATAGTAGTTTCATAGCTTAGAGTCTCAAATTTAAGTCTTTAATCTATTCTGATTTGATTTTTGTATATGATGAGAGATGGGGTATAGTTTCATTCTTCTGCATATGGATATCCATCCTAGCATCATTTATTGAAGAGACTGTCTTTTCCCCACTGTTTGTTCTTGGTACCTTTGTCAAAAATGAGTTTACTTTAGGTGTGTGGATTTGTTTCTGGATTCTCTATTCTGTTCCATTGTTCTATGTGTCTGTTTCTATGCCAGTACTATGCTGTTTTGGTTACAATAGCTCTGTAGTATAATTTCAAGTCAAGTAATGTGATTTCTCCAGTTTTGTTCTTATTGCTTAGGGTAGCTTTGACTATTCCAGGTCTTTTGGGATTCCATATAAATTTTAGTATTGTTTTTTCTATTTTTGTGAAGAATATCATTGGTCTTCTGATAGGGATTGCATTGAATCTACAGATTGCTTTGGATAGTATGGACATTTTAACAATATTGATCCTTCCAATCTATGAACATGGAATATCTTTCCATATTTGGTGACTTCTTCAATTTCTTTTATTAGTGTTTTACAGATTTCATCATAGAGAACTTTCACTTCTTCAGTTGAGTTAATTCCTAGGTATTTAATTTTATTTGTGGCTACTGTAAATGGAATTATGTTTTTAATTTCTTTTTCAGATTGTTTGCTGTTGGCATATAGAAATGCTACTAATGTTTTTGTGTTGATTTTTGTATCTTGCAACTTAACTGAATTTGTTTATCAGTTCTAATGGTTTTTTTTGGTGGAGTCTTTAGGTTTTTCCAACTATAAGATTATATCATCTGCAAACAAGGATAATTCGACTTCTTCCTTTCTAATTTGAATGCCCTTTATTTCCTTCTCTTATCTCATTGCTCCAGCCAGGACTTCCAGTAATATTTCAAATAACAGTGGTGAAAATGGGCATCCTTGTCACGTTCCTGATCTTAGAAAAGAGACTTTCAGTTTTTCCCCATTCAGTATGATACTAGCTATGGGTCTGTCATATATGGATTTTATTATGTTGAGGTATGTTCTTTCTATACCCAGATTTTAGATGATTTTTATTATGAAGGGATGTTGAATTTTATCAAATGCTTTTTCAGCATCAATTGAAATGATCATATGGCTTTTATCCTTCATTCTGTTGATATAATGGATCACATTAATTGATTGCATATGTTAACCCATCATTGCATCCTAGAAATAAATCCCATTTGATTATGATGAATGATCTTTTTAATATATTGTTTAATTTGGTTTGCTAGTATTTTTGCAGGATATTTGCATCAATATTCATCAGAGATATTGGCCTGTAGTTTCCTTTTTTTGGCTAGTCTTTGTCTGGTTTTGGTATGAAGGTAATTCTGCCCTTGTAGAATGAATTTGGAAGTATTTCCTTCTCCTCTGTTGTTTGTAATATTTTGAGTAGTATTGGTATTAGTTTTTCTTTAAGTGTTTGGTAGAATTCAGTAGTGAAGCCATCGGGTCCCAGGCTTTTATTTACTGGGAGATATTTTATTATAGCTTCAATCTCATTACTTGTTATTTGCCTATTAAGGTTTTAGATTTCTTCATGGTTCAATCTTGGTAGGTGGTATGTGTCTAGGAATTTGTTCATTTCTTCTAGGTTTTCCAACTTATTGACATATGCTTGCTTATAGTAGCTGCTAATGATCCTTTGAATTTCTGTGATATCAGCTGTAATGTCTCCTTTTTCATCTTTGACTTTATTTATTTGAATTGTCTGTCTTATTTTCTTAGTCCAGCTAATGGTTTATCAATTTTGTTTATCTTTTCAAAAAACTAACTTTTTGTTTCATTGATTTTTTTGTATTTAAATTTCATTTTTTTCTGCTCTGATCTTTATTATTTATTTCCATCTACTAATTTTGGGTTTGGTTTGCTCTTGCTTTCCTAGTTCTTTAAGATGCATCATTGGTTGTTTATGTGAAGTTGTTTTTTTTTGATGTAGACACTTATAGCTATAAACTTCTCTCTTAGTACTGCTTTTGCTATATTTTATAGGTTTTAGTGTGTTGTGTTTCCATTATCATTTGTTTCAAGAATTTTTTTTAATTTCCTTTTTAATTTTTAATTTCTTTAATGACTCACTGGTCATTCAGGAGTGCATTATTTACTTTACATGTATTTGTATAGTATGTATTTGTATAGTTTCCCAAATTCCTCTTGTTATTGCTTTTTAGTTCTATTCTATGGTGGTCAGACAAAACGCTGGATACTATTTCAATTTAAAAAAATGTTTTAAATGTTTTATTTTAAGCTGATAACAATTTAACACTGTTTTCATAAACAAACAAACTAGCCAATACAAAACTAACAAAGACTTTATGCCTTAATTTAGTTCCCCTGCTTTTTAACTTTTTATTGTTTCTATTTATATCGTATTGTACTGTCTTTGTCTTGAATAGTTATTGCAGTTATTGTTTTTGATTGGTTCATCATTTAGTCTTTCTACTTAAGATAAGAGTAGTTTACACACCACATTTACTGTGTTATAATATTCTGTGTTTTTCTATGTATTTCCTATTATCAGTGAGTTTTGTACCTTCTTGTCTCTAATTTTATTAACATCCTTTTCTTTCTGATTGAAGTACTCCCTGTAGCAATTCTTGTAGGACAGGTCTTGTGTTGATGAAATCTCTCAGCTTTTGATTGTCTGAGAAAGTCTTCATTTCTCCTTCATGTTTGAAATACATATTCGCTGGATATACTCTTCTGGGGTAAATATTTTTTCCTTCAGCACTTTAAATATGTCATGCTACTCTTTCCTGACTGGTAAGGTTTCCAATGAAAAGTCTGCTGCCAGATGTATTGGAGCTCCAATGTATGTCATTTGTTTCTTTTCTCTTGTTGCTTTTAGGATCCTTTCTTTATCTTTGACCTTTGGGAATTTGATTAGCAAATGCCTTGAGGTAGTCTTCTTTGGGTTAAATTGGCTTGGTGTTCTGTCACCTTCTTGTCCTTGGATATGGATATCTTTCTCTAGGTTTGTAAAGTTCTCCATTACTATCCCTTGAATGAAACTCTTCTACCTCTATCTCTTTCTCTGTTTCCTCTTTAAGGCCAAAAACTCTTAATTTGCTCTTTTTAGGCCATTTTCTAAATCTTGTAGGTGTGCTTCTTTTTTTTTTTTAATTCTTTCTTCTTTTGTTTCATCTGATTGAATTTTCAAATACCCTATCTTCAGGCTCACTAATTTTTTCTCCTGTTTAGTTACTTCTGCTATTAAAAAACTCTGATGCATTCTTCAGTATGCCAGTTGCATTTTTCAACTCCAATTTCTAATTATTTCAATCTCTTTGTTAAATTTACCTGATTGCATTCTGTATTCCTTCTCTGTCTTGTCTTGAATTTCTCTGAGTTTCTTCAACGTGGCTATTTTGAATTATCTGTTTTAAAGTTCACATATCCTTCTTTGTCCAGGATTGGTCCCTGGTGCCTTATTTTGTTCATTTGATGAGGTCACATTTTTCCTGGATGTTGTTAATGCTTGTAGATGTTCTTCAGTGTCTGAGCTTTGAAGAGTTAGGTATTTATTATAGTTTTCTCAATCTGGGCTTATTTGTACCCATCCTTCTTGGGAAGGCTTTCCAGATATTTAACAGGACTTGAGTGTTGTGATCCAAGCTCTATCTGCTTTAAGGGGGCACCCAAGGCCCAGTAACACTTTGGTTCTTGCAGATTCATAGAGTACTGCCTTGATGGTCTTGGAAAAGAGCCGAAAGGATTCTCTGGATTACCAGGCAGAGACTCTTGTTCTCTTTCCTTACTTTCTCCAAAGTGAATGAAGTCTCTCTCTGTGTTCTAAGACACCTGAAACTGGGGATGGTGTAACACAAGCATCTCTATGACCAACACTACTAGAACTGTGCTGGGTCAGACCCAAAGCCAGTACAGCTCTGAGTCTCACCCAAGGCCTGCTATAACCACTCCCTGGCTATGACCTATGTTCATTCAAGGCCCTGGGACTCTACTATCAGCAAGTGGCAAAGCCAGCCAGTCCTGTATCCTTCCCTTCAGGGTGAGTTCCCCCACCCCTGGGCATGTCCAGGGTGCCTTCTGGGAGCCAGGGACTAGAGTCAAAAATTTTAGAAGTCTACCTGACTTTCTATTGTACTGTGCCTGAGCTGGCACTCAAACCAAGAGATGCAGTCCTTCCCTTTTCCAAAGGCAGAGGAGACTCACCCCATGGCCATCACTATCACAGGCCCATGGGAGTACTGCCAGACTACTATTGATGTTCCCCTAAGGCCCAAGGGCTCTTTCGTCAGCATGTGGTGAATTCTGCCTGGCCTGAGATTCACCCTTTAGGGTGAATAGGCTCCCTTCTGGCCCAGGGAAGGTCCAGAAATGCCATCCAAGGGTCAAGTCCTAGTTGGAGACCCCAAGGGCCCACTTGGTTCTCTATGCCCCTGTGGCCAAGCTAGTACCGAAAGTGCAGGACAAAGTCCCCTTTGCTTTTCCCTCTGCTGTTCTTAAAGGAAAGGAGTCTTGTAGCCACCACAGCTGGGAATATGCTGAGTCTCATCTGAGCCCAGCCCATCTTAGAGTCTTACACAAACCCTTCGACACATTACCTAGGTATTGCTGCTGGTTCTTCAGGGCCCAAGGGCTCTTTCGTTACGGGGTGATGAATCCTGCCAGAACTGGGTCCTTCCCTTCAAGGAAACAGGGTCCCTTCTGGCCCAGGGTGTGTTTAGAAATATCATCCAGGAGCTAGGACCTGGAAAGGGGGCCTCGTGACTCTGACCCGTGCCCTATCCTGCTGTGGCTGAGCTTGTATCCAAGATGCAAGACAAAGTCCTCCCCACTATTCTGTCCTCTCTCCTCAAATGGAGGGAATGATTCTCTTTTGGGGCCATGAGTTGTGCAGCCTGGGCTTAGGGGAGAGGTGATGCAAGCACTCTCTCAGCTGGTCTCAGTAGGTTACATGTCCTCTCCAATCCACTCTCTCTGGGCCCAGTTCAGCACTGGGACACACCTAAGTGTTTCAATCCTTGTTGCCTAGCCTGCCTGTCAAGTTTATTTGGAACCGCAGTGCACTTTAGCCCGTGGTGGTGAGGCTCGCAGGAACACAAGGCTGGACCACTGGGGTAGATTATTCTCCTCTGGTTGTGGCTGGTTTACATACTCGCTCCATGGGTGGGTGTCAGCTGAGTTTAGTCTGTGTTTGTTTTCTGTTATAATAGGGCAGCACTGAGTTTAGTGCCTCAAAAATACTGTCATCTCTCTCTGCCTAGCACGCCAAAATATTCTTTGCACCACATCACTGCTTCCAGGGTACGGGGGAGGCATGGTGCCAGTGATTCAGGACTGTTTCTCCTACCTTTTCAGTGCCTCTTTCAGTGATATAAAGTTAAAACCGGATACTGTGAGTTCTCACCTTATTTTTGGTTCTTATGAAGGTGATCATTTTGTGTAGATAGTTGTTAAATTGGTGTCCTTTGGGAAGGGGGACAATCAGTGGAGGCTTCTATTCTGTTATCCTGTTCCACTCCTCCCCAAATGAATGTTAATAATACACTAAATGCTCAGACTTCACCACTGTACATATATCCATGTAACAAAACTGCACTTTGTACCCCTTAAATTTATACAAATAAAAAATATAATAGTGAATGATTATTTGAGAACATTTATTGGCATTGCCGGTCATGATTGATTAGATTGTGGAATCAATTTATTCGACGGGGTAAATGTTTTTTTAAAAGTAGAATAGAATTGAGCAGCATAGAGTACAATAAAGTAGAAAATATTAGATTTCCTTGCATTTTGTAATGGTAAGTATTGTTTTATGAAACTTCTGTTTCAATTTTTGTATGTATTTGGTTGTATATGTAGGGAGCTGTGATGTAAAATGTATTTCCTACTGTGGATTTTGGTCAAGGTAGAGGGTGTTTTTCATAAAGCCCTGTCTTCATGGAAAACTTTAATGGTGCTCTATGACTATACTCTAGTTCAGGCAGAAGCATAAGACAAATTCTTTGAGGACATTACGTGCGGGGAGATCAGTCTGTATTTGAAACAGCCACAGACTGAAGCACCAGTCATGTATTCTGTTATTTCTTTTAGGAACATGATAGTGAATGTTCAGCTTGATCAGAAAACTATAGTTTCTGAATATTTGATGTCATGACTTTGAGTCATCTCTCACATTTCTAAAAATGATCAAGTGAATCCAGAATAGTGGTTCTCAAAAGGGGACAATTTTATACCTTAGGGGACCTTTGCCAATGTCTGGAGATATTTTTTATTATAATAATTTGAGAAAAGGGGTATGCTACAGGCATCTAGTGGGATGCTGCTAAGTATTCTGCAATGAACAGGAGAGCCCCTTACAATAAAGCATTATCCAGATCAAAATATTAATAGTGCCAAGTTTGTGAACTCAGCTTCAGAGTGATCCAAACTAGTTATTTAAAAGAAATGTGATTTTAATGACAGTTGAAAGATTCATGATACTGGCCTAAAACAAACTCAGTGATATTGTTTGTAGAATGCTCTGATCACCAACTTTATTAGATTAAAAATGACATATCAATATCTGCTTACATGTGACCCAAAATGAAATGCTGCACCAAATAGTTTAAAAATACAAAGTTCATAATTCTAAGATCATTTCCTGAATCTGAACATCCAAAGTCAGCATTAAGTTTTACCACCATAATATAGAATAATTTATATGCCTATGTATATTTATATATGAAGAAGAAACTTTGTCTTGAAGTGAATTCAGAGAATTGGCAGCCAGCTGCCTAAATGAATCTCGTCATTTAAAATTCTTATCTTAAGAGTTTTCTATCTTAATACAGGTTCAATAGCTCTCACTTAAAATTTTACAGATCTGATGATTCAATAAAAATAGTTAAGAATTCAATAAAAATAGTTAAGAATATACTCATATTCTTAAACATAACATAAGTATATTGGCCTATGTGACATGCAATCTCTTCTCAGCTTTAAAATTCTATGAGTCTAAATTATGAATCAAGTGTTTTATGAGTGAACTGCATATCTCTTTTAGATATTTTAGGATTATTTTCATGCCTTCTCAATAGCATGTGAGGGAAATTATTATAAAGCAAGTTCATCGTTCCAATGATTTGTCTTATATTTGGGCTAAATGAGTAAATGACTCCCCAGCCTGCAGACCATAATATTTCACAGGCATTGCCAAGCAGAATAATTGCTTCCATAAAGCCTTAATTTAATTGTATTACGAAATACATGAGCCTTACTCTCCTAATGACTTCAGGAGACACGTTGCTGATGGAGTATGTTTTCTCTTGTGGACCACATATAACAAAGTGGTCCAAAAGAGAAAACATACTATATGTTATATGTTATAGCCCCATGTGTTATATGCAGTAGGTGCTCAAATTTTATATTTATTTTCAAATTTTTCTAAAACTAGGGTTTTATGATTGCAATAGTTGGGACATTGCCATAAGCCTTATAAGCTATTTGGCTGTAGCAATGCGAGGGCATAAAATTTTTCTTGCTACGGAGGAACATAATGTTCTTTGATTTTTCAAGGTATTAGTAAATGCTTATTTTTTTCAGGCATTTAACCCTACAATAATAATGCACAAAATTTCCCCCTTGTGGTCAAAATATGTAAGTGCATCTGTGAAATGTCAAATTTCTTATGCCGGTGTTTTGGGACTAATGAAATTACCATCACCTTCTCCCAAATTTTTAACAAATATATAGTTTTGATTAACTAATCACTCTATCTATCTATATATAATTCATTAATCGGGATTTTTCTGATTATATCTGTAGGATAAGAATATCTATGTGACTGTATGTGTGTGTGTGTGTAGAAAAGTCACCAAAAATTAGAGGTTTTATAACTAAAAAAAGTTAGAAGATCTCTGGCTTGTTTTACTATCAGACTTTGTTTCCTACATATGACTTTCTTTTATTGGTGTCTCTCAAATGGGTGTAGAAGTAGAAAATTCATTTCTTATGGTGGAAAGGTACTTTGGAAAATCTGATTGAATAAGGAAAAAGAAAAAAAAGTATTTGTGAGCTCGAGAGAAATGTAGGGAATTATACAAGGGTTTCTTGAACACTTTGTGAGTTCAAAAAGTTTCTCAGTTAAAAGGAGACCCTTGACAACGACATTCTAAAAATCCCATGGACTATCTTCAAAAATATGTATTGAGTCTCACTGGTACTTCAACATTCGTGATTTAAAGAGCTAAGTATCTCTACCGTATTTTTCAAGCCAGATCCATTACTTTACAAATAAAAGTCCCTTATAAATTGGCTAAGGATTATTGGTTGATTAAAGTGATTCTAAATAACTTACGTTGTGTGTTTCATGTTACTAGATCCAGTAATTTAATATCACTTTGTTGTACTACACCCACTAAATAGTTGAATTCTCATGCATATATGACCTGCATACAGCTTTCTTTGTTTAACTTTTATCGTGAATTAGATGCCTGTTTTTGAAGCAATCCAGTTTCGGTAATAAGTCACTTGTGTGTAGACTCCAGGCTTGTCCTTTTGACCACAGTTATCTCCCCAGCTTACAATTCCAATGAGATACCACGTATCTTTCAGATCCCTTGTGACTAAAGGTCCCCCAGAATCACCCTAAAAATAAAAACATAAGAAAAAAGAAAGAAAATTAGCTAAACATAAAGCTCATTATTTAAGATATTTTGATGAATCACATATTTTGTTACTAGACAGTACATGTATAGACTATCAACACAGAATAATTAATTGAGACATGGATTTTAATATTACAAAGAGCCTTAAGGTTCAACTTTCACATTTAAAAAATAAAATTTATTTTGTTAGAGTAAACAGCACTTAGTTAAAAAAGGCAAAAACGAAAAAACATGAAGAGGCTTGAAAAGCAGTTATGTCCCATGTTACCTCACGCAAGCTGTTCTCCAAGAGGTAGCCACTTCATGCTTGTTTAATGATTTCTTATAGTATCTAACTCCTTATCACTAGATAATATGCTCAAATTACAGCTTCTAGGTTTAGACAGTAAATATTTATTTTCTCTTACGTAGTTAGGGATTTAGTTGTTTTACAACTTCTTTGCAACTTTTCCACACCACATCTTTACATTATAGCATCTCTATTTTTGGTTAAATTAACAGCCTACATTTAGTACCAGTGTGTAAATTTTATTAATTGAAGAGTCAAGTAACATATTTGGATTACAGAAATCTTTTTTTGCTTTCCTAGAATTAATAACACAACTCTTTTTTTCATGTGGATAGTTTTCTATGTACCTGGTAAATGCTGAATGCTCCAAAAGATCTACCAACACCTCACAATAATGTTTACTAATGTTCAAGGACATCAGATAGCTTGTTAGTTCTTTTACTTCCTCTGAAGCTGTTCCACCATATCAACACACACACACACACACACACACATACACACATACACATACACATACACACAATCTTTTCTTACTTCTGCTCAAATTCGAGCTGGTTACTTTAAGCCTGGTGCAGAGCTATGGTGTTGGGATTATCTGATACCACTCTTTAGTGTTGGACTAACAGTTTCAGGTCTTACGTCTTCCACTTTCTTGATTTATTCCCTCATTTTGCTGAGGTACCCTCTCAAGTAGTTTCCTAAGAAGTAGGGTATCAGAAGTACATTTTTTTCAGTCATTGCTTGTCTAAACTTCTTAATTCCACCCTCACAGTTGATATTTAGTTAGCATGGGTAGGAATCTAGGTTGAAATAATCTTCCCTTTGAAATTTGAATGTGTTTTCCACCATCGTCTACCTTCTAGAGTTACTGTTGAGGAGTTCTATGTAGTTCTGATGGTTCTTCCTTCAAAGTTTTAAGATTGTTCTCCTTATCCCTGGCTTCTGACCCTTTATGATGGTATGTCTTGGAAAGAAGTACTTCATTTATTGTGCCCAGCACTACTTGGACCTTTTCTTCAATAGGATGCATGTAAGCTTCAGAACTAGGAGCATTCTTTATTTTTTTTTATATTGTACACTCGCGTTTTATGTTTTCAGAGCTCCTATTCATTTGGTGTTGGATCTCCTGAGCTTATCCTCTAGTTTTCTTAATTTTTCTGATTATTTTTCTCCTCTGTGTCTTTTTTGTTGTTGTTGTTCTTTCTGAGAGATTTCCTTGATTTTATCTTCCAATCCTTCCACTGGATTTTAAAAATTATGATTATATTATTGCTACATTTCCAGAGGTGATTCTTACTGTTTGGTTCTAGGGTATGGAGCTAGAAACCAGATTGGAAGCTCTGTGCTTTTGTGCTGGGTGGTGCTATGGTTTGAATGTGAGCCCAAGAGTTCATAGGTTGGGGAAACTTAATCTCCAATACAATAGTGTTGAGAGATGGGACTTAAGAAGAGGTGATTAGGTCATGAGGGCTCTGGAGAGAAAGACTTATGGAGAAAGACGAGGTGTTGGTGGTGCTTGCACTTCTGTTGTATCAGACTAGGCCCCTCACCATGTGCCCCAATTACAATCACTGTATTCCTGTCTTGGATCCTTGTACCTGAACCGCTGCCCTGATAACTTACTGTATTTTTCTATGACTAAAGCCTTGTTTTATCACTTACTTTGCACAGTTAGGCAGCAAGTTTACCTCTGCTCCCCAATCCAGTGAAGCATCTCTATGACCACCAATCCCTCCTAAGGCTTTTCAGTAATGTCATGGTTCACCTGAATTCCCCGGTCCTGTCTGCTCCAAGACTCCTGCACCTTCCACCTGTTCCCCGTGGTATGGACCTTTTGTTGGAATCCCTAAATTCTGCCTGCCTCCCTCCACATTATTAGCAACCGAGGCTGGCTGTGGACCAGATCCTGCTTTTGCCCAGCCTCTATGTCACATAGGTCCCTGCTCCTTTTCTGATAGAGGTCGCACATGTGGTACAGTTTGTGGGACTCTGGACAGGACTTTCTGCCACCTGATATCAATACCATTCCATCATTTCCACATAGAGTGGCCTCCTTAGAGTTCTAAAGTATCTCATGTTAAAAAGCAAGTGTCTCCAGGAAGAAACGTACCTTCGCTGGAAAACATCCATGTTAGAAGGCAGATGAGGGCACTGGGGAGGGCCCATGGAATCACAACATGGCCTAATCCACCTTCTCATGGTTATCTACTTGTTTCTCTTCTCATCCTCCTCATGCTGAGACCCAACCAATTACTTGGAGTTCCCTCAGATATGAATTGTAATTTCACACCTTCATAATTTTGGCTATGCTTTTTGTCTTTTCTATAACATTATTTTCTTATTCTGAAATTGGATGTTATTTATTCTTCAGGCCTTATTTACGTCTCATCTCTCTGATACTTGTTCCAAAAATGTTTCCTTCAAGAAAAATATTTGCTTTTCATTATATTATTCATAACATCACTTTATACTTCTCTGTTTATGATTATTTTCTTTCTTGAATGTGAGCCGCTTGAGAAAATAAACTGCTTTATTAATCTTTGGATTTCTGGTTAAGAAATTCTAATTTTGTTTGTTTGATAGCATCAGAGAAACTCTTACTTCATTTATCTTAATAAAACATTTAAAAGTATTTTGTGCTGTGAAATTTGCATTTGTAACTTTTTTGAGCTGACATGATATCTATGTTTTGTCCTTATGTAAAGAACATATAATATATTCTGAGCCAGATACAAATTTTTGAGTTAGTAATATAAAAAAATCCCTCCAACTTACCCTGCAGGCATCATAAATTCCTTCCATATATCCGGCACAGAACATTCCAGGTTTTATATCATTGCCATACACCTGTGGTTGCTTGCAGACATCATCACTTATGATTTTCACTCTGGCTTCTCGGAGATCATTTTGGGATTCCCCTTAAGGAAAAATAGAGTTATTCTAGTATTTACAATCAGCATCTTTGGCTAGAGTGAAGTGAGCAGACTTTCCTAATATTTTTTTCATGGTAAAATTGTCAATACAGAATGAAGTTAATATAAGCAGTTTCTAGAAAAAAGAATTTCTGGTTAAATCTGGCACATCTAACGATAATTATTGTCCAATCACATTTTTATAAAAACTTCTCAAAGCAAGAAAGCCATTTGGATTCTTTTTCCTGGAAAATCTAACCTTAAAAATAATCAGCTTATATATTTCAGGAAGGCCTTTTATCTTTTGTAAAGCTTTTATTTGTGGGTTCCAGATTGTTCCCAGAAACTCTGCATGCCTAGATGGTTTTCTCCATTGGCTTGATAAAATGCCTATAATACTATGTACATTTATTTTATTATTTAAAGTTTATGATGAGCTTTCACATATATAAGATATATGTGAAATATACATATATTATACATCATATATATATAAATGCATTAAACGGCAATGATTTCACTTCCAATGTATTACAAGTTGGTGGCTGCAGACTGTAAGCTAGGTTCTGAGTTTTAGAAACCATTATTATGGCAGGCTACGTAGAAAACTAAGAATAGCACAAGCATTCAGGGATTCTTTATACCAAACCATATATTGATTGGGAAACCATGACCCCATGGTTGGCAGAATTCTAGGATAGTCCCCAAGATTCCTGTGTGATTCCCCTCCTCCCAAATATGGGCAGGATCTGTGAATATGAGGGATGCCATTCTCATGATTAGGTTATGTTATATGGCCAAGATGAGGGAATTTTACAGATGCGATTAAGACCTCTAATGAGTTTGACTTTGAATTCATCAAAAGGAGATTATCAAAGGTGGGCCTGACCTAATCAGCTGAGCCATTTCAAAAAGGGCGAGCCTTGCTGGAGTTGAGACACTTTCCTAAAGAGTTAAAGCAGCAAGCTGGCATGCATTCTACAGCTGCGAGTAAAGGAATTCTGCCAGCAAACCTTGAGGAGACCTTCAAAGGAGCCACAGATGTGGCCACAACCCCAGCTGACACCTTGATTACAGTTTGGTGAGACCCTGAGAAGAGGACTCAACTAAGCTGTGTCTGAACGTCTGACTCATGAAAACAGTGAGATAAAAATAAATGAGTGCTGTTTTAACTGTTTGTGATTATTTGTTACACATTTATAAAAAACTAATACAAGAATACGATATATCATCAGCTATAGTCACCATGATGGATGAGAGATCTCTTGAACTTTTTCTTCCTAACTGCAAATATGAATTTGTTGACCAGCATCTCCCTAACTCCTTCCCCTGTAAAGACCCCCAGCTTCTGGTTGCCTACTGTTGATATATCGTATTCTTGAGAAACGCTACAAGAGTAGATATTAAGTGTTCTTGCCACAAAAATGATAATTATGTAAAATAAGACGCTTCTTAGTTAACTAGATTTAACACTCACAGTGTACATATACTATACTTCAACACATTATGTTGCACATGGTAAGTACATGCAATTTTATACATCAATTAAAAAAAAAACTAAGTACATTTGAAAAAACCCTAATACACCAGTTTCTTTAGAAGACGATTTCCAAGATTTATTTCTGAAGAAATGTTTGTAAACACATATTTAAAAGTGCTCGGAAGATTTAAGTGTGTAACTCAGAAATATGCTAAGAGATTTTTCAAATTATTCTGTTATTTGAATACAATTGGTTTATATATATTATACACACACACACACACACACACACACACACATTTATATTGCCTACTATATCATCAATTAAAAACATTCATGGCCTGGCGCGCGGTGGCTCACGCCTGTAATCCCAGCACTTTGGGAGGCCGAGGCAGGTGGATCACGAGGTCAGGAGATCAAAACCATCCTGGCTAACACGGTGAAACCCCTTCTTTACTAAAACTACAAAACAATTAGCCGGGCATGGTGGTGGGCGCCTGCAGTCCCAGCTACTCGGGAGGCTGAGGCAGGAGAATGGCGTGAACCCGGGAGGCGGAGTTTGCAGTGAGCCGAGATCACGCCACTGCACTCCAGCCTGGGAGACAGAGCGAGACTCTGTTTCAAAATAAAAATAAAAATAAAAATAAAAATAAAATAATGGTGAGAAGAGTAAGGTGAAACTGACAATCTAAGTATTGTAAGTAGGTGACAGTGCAAATCCACAACTTCTTCAGCAAACTAAACTGGTTGGTAAAATGTATTCCAAGTCATGAAAAGCATAGCCCATAAATTCTGGACATCCCTGAGCTATATCTCATCTTCTGTAAAAATGCTTAATGACATTTCTAGCAAAATATTGATTTTATCAAATAATCAGCTTTTTATTTATCAATTTTCTATAGTTTATTTTTAATTTTATTCATTTCTATTCTTATTCTTATTATTTCCTTCCTTATGTTTGTTTTAGGTTTATTTTTTATTTTTCTAGTTTCTTGAAGTGAGAACTTAATTATTGATTTGATATCTTTCCTTATAATATGCATTTTCTATAAATTTCCCTTTCTACACTATTTTAGCAGCATCTGGCATATATTTATATATTTTTGTTTTCATTTAGTTCTATTTGTTTTTACAAATTTCTTCGAGATATTCTCTTTATTTACATATGTTTTTTAATTGGTAAGCATTTGGGGATTTTTATGTTATCTTTCTGTTACTGATGTCTAGTTAGATTCCATTATGATCAGAGAATATACTTTGTACAATTTCAATTTTAAAAAACTTCTTAAGGTTTGCTTTACAGACTTGAATATAGCCTCTCTTGGTGAGTAACGAATGGCTGCTTTTAATCTATTAATGTACTTAACAGATTAAGAATGATAGGTTAATTTAATCTATTTAATAGATTAAAAGCACCTGTGGGTCACTCACCAAGAGAGGCCGTGTTCAAGTAGGGTGGAGTGCTCTATAAGTGTCAGATTCTGTTGCCACTCACAGCGCATTATGACAGGTATGTTTCTGTGCCAGTCTCAAACTCCTGAAAGTGATTTTTCCCACCAAGCCAAAGGGGATTTGTGATGTCTTTCCCACCACTATGAAGCAGAGAATGCAAGCCCTATCTTCAGAGAAAATCCATCCAAGAGAGTGCAGACCTAGGGAGGTGTCAGGCTTACAGCAGCACTAGATCTACTAGAATTAATAAACCATAGGTAATATTTTCTGTGATTGGTAATACAACCTTAAAGAAAGCAATGCATGTCTCACTCTGTATAAGATAAAACAAAACCACATGGGACATCTGGAAAAAATCTAGAGACCCTAAAACCGATTCCTGCCTATGTGAGTGAAAGGTTATTCCTAGTTCCTTAATGGTAGACTGAGAATCAAAAGCTTATTCTTTATAATTTCTTGTATGTAAATAAATTGTATAGAATCCTGCAAATAGATTTAGTCATTCTCAGAAAGCCCTTTTGCATTTTCTCAAGCCCAGTGTTAAAGAAACTCTCTAGCTTTTGTTATACATATGTACCTGGACCACATGGTAGAATCCAGAGCGTGTCTCACTAAGATTGCCTAGAACATTCAGTAACTAAATCATCATTATTTCTTACAAGACTAAGTTAGTATATCAAGTTGAATACTTTTAGAGGGGACAAATAGTTTGACAATTTATCTCTACACTATTCTTATTCACCATCACACTTAAATTAGCTTCTTCAGTACTGAAGCAAATTTTGCTACATAGGCATAAAGAATATTTGAGTTAGCCACTCAATCTGAGTCCTCCTAGACACAGCTGGAACAATAGAAATTAATGTGAATTCTGGCAAAGAAAAGAAATAAATATTCCTTTCTATGTATTTTTTCTTTGTTGAGGATGATGTGTTGAGGTGTTGTTAGCCACCTCTGACACTAGGTGAAGCTAGCATCCCTCTGAATGAAGACAATATAGAGAAAAGAAGGGGCAAAAAATTCAAATTCAGAGACACAGAGCCAGATGACATCATATAAACCCCTGTGTCTGAAGTGAAACTTACTACACTTTTTTGACTTCCAAATTACATGAGCCAAATTTGTGGAAGTTTTTGTTTCTTTGTTTTTTATTCTGCACTGGTTAATGTGAATTGAATTTCTGTCACACAAAGTAAGAACCCTAACTAATCCAACCAGACTGTGTGGAAATGGCTGTCAGGATAATATTGATGGAGATGAAATCACATTGCCTTAGACAGGGCTTAGCGCTCTGTTAGCTATCCTGAGATACCCACCACCATAGTAAAGTGCTCCAAATCCTGTGATGTGGACAGTCAAATTTGGTTGGAAGGATGCAGAGGCTTCTGGCAAACAAATCTGGCGTATGTCATCCGAAAAGGTGACTCTGGAAGAGACCTGCACAACAGCAATGTCGTACTCTCTTGCTGCAGAGCGGTACTTCTCATGGATAATAAATCTTCTGACATTTCTTTTCATTAAGGGAGGGTTGATTTTTGTTCCAAAACTAACAGTCCATTGATGTGGATTTTTATACCTGGAAAAGGTTAGAAATTAACAGAATATATATAAGCTGCCCAAAGTATATGAGCTAGATTAATTGCATTTAGGCTAATATAAGAGAAATACAATCCTGAGAATACTTGGCTGCAGTTATAGTTTTCTTTTATCATTTAAATATAATCTATTGCTAATGTTTTGAAAGATAAAATCATATAAATGCCATATTAGAACTGATATTTAATACAAAACTATTGAATTTTAGAACTGTAATACACATAAAATATCATTCATTTATCCCTTCCACAAATATTTACTGAGCATCTGTGTGCTGAGCCTTATCTGAACTGCTGGGGATAAAGTGATGAACAGGACCTAAGGTGCCTGCTCACAGGAGTATAAGATTCCAGAGAAGGAAAAGGATCAAAGCAAGCAAACAAATAGATAAATAATCTTAAACATTGATAAAGGCTATGAACAAAATAAAATAGGGTAACGGAATAGAGTACTAACAGGTCATTATGATTATTTTGATAACGCATTTGGGCTAAGACATAGTAAAAGAGGGTCAGTGTGAGGAGATGAGGGAAACAAGTTTCCAGGCAAAAATCCCAAGGTCTTGGGTTGGATGGGCTGCAGTCAGAACACAAGGGAAAGAATGGTTGGGGGTGAGCTTGGAGAGGTAAGCAGGGACTAGATTTTAGAGTGTTTTATAGGTCATGATAAAGTGCTTAAATTTTATTGAAGTGATATGGGAATCTACTGGATAATTAAGCCAGAGAATAATGTAGTCTCATTTACATTTTTAAAAAACATGTTGGTTCTTTCTGGGGAGTAGATTCTTGAAGGTCAAGAATGGATGTGGTAAAGTCTATTAGATGACTGCATAGTCCTTTGAGAGATGATCAAATGTGGTAAATGCGGTTGACTTCTAGCTTGTGGGCTTGGGCAATGGGTGGATTATGGTACATACAGGAATCGGAAAAATCATTTAGTAGCAATGAAAGATCATCTAGTAAAGACTGTGTTTTATACTTAAGGAAAATAAAGCCTGGATAGGTTAAACTATTTGATTCACATCACATATCTGCCTGCCTCTCTCTGCTCTTCCCTTTATAAAACACTGTCTCCCACCAATTTACATTATTTGTATTTTTCAGAAGACTTCCTGCTTTATTTTGTTATGTGTGACACTAGTCACACATCTGTCTTGGTGTATTTAGTTATTGGAAGCATATTTTAAGGAAGACACTGACAAAGTCTCGAATGTTCAGAGAATAAGAACCAATGTGGTAGGGCATCTGGAAGTTGGTTCTGGAAAAATGAGGTAATTATATATATATATATATATATATTTTTTTTTATATATACACACACACATATATGCATATATATACACACATATATATGTATGCATATATATGTGTGTGCATATATATACTTTTTTCAAAGTTCAGGGTTACATGTGCAGGTTTGTTACACAGGTAAACTTGTGTCATGGGGTTTTGTTGTACATATTATTTCATCACCCAGGTATTAAGCCTAGTACCCATTAGTTATTTTTCCTGATCCTCTCCCTCTAGCACTCTTCGGTATAGCAAAGACATAGAATCAACCTAAATGCCCATTAGTGATAGACTGGATAAAGAAAATGTGGTATACATACACCATGGAATGCTATGCAGCCATAAAAAGAACAAAATCATGCCCTTTGCAGGGACATGGATAGGGCTGGAGGTCATTATCCTTAGCAAACTAAAGCTCACAGTAATGATATTTATTTTCACTTATGGTTTGGATATTCTCCCTCATTTTATGTTTGGTCTGAAAAAGAGAAACTAAAGAATAGCTGTTATATGAATGAAGAAATAAAATTGGTTCCTGTTGTTCCAGATTAAAAGAAAAACAAATATTGATGGTAGAAGTTAATAGAGTATAGATTTGGTGTTCAATGCTATAAAGATATTTGCAAAAATAGAACTATCTACCACAAAAATGGCTAACTTTGGCAAAGTAAGTTTCCCATTACTTTGAAAAACCAGACACCAGCATAAGGGATTTCTGGCTTTCTAATATATCAGCTTACTGAGCTCTCACATCTTTCAAACATTAAGAATTTATGTAGATTATTTTTAAAAATATATTACTATTTTTTTAAGATGGGGTCTTGCATTGTCACTCAGGCTGGAGTGCAGTGGTGCAATCATAGCTTGCAGGAGCCTCAAACTCCTGGGCTTAAGGGATCCTCCTGCGTTAGCCTCCCAAGTAGCTGGGATGATAGGTAGGCACCACCATGCCCAATGGGGTTTCACTATCTTGCCCAAGCTGGTCTTGAACTCCTGAGCTCAAGTGGTCCTCTTGCCTCGGCCTCCCAAAATGCTGGGATTACAGGCATGAGCCACCATGCCAAGCCTAGATTCTTAATATGTATATTCTTTGGAATATTAAGAGTCTCTATAAAGATTTATGCTCCTAGGCAAATGAAATTTATTATAGTAACAAAAGTTAGAATTTTATAGGTCAAAAAGAATGTGAAAAGATCTAGCCTATCTATTACCTAATACACTAAGGTTCAATAATTTGCCCAGCTCTCCAACTGCCTGGGACATATTTTTCCCACTAAATCCTGCTGCCACCTATTATATAGAGATACTCAAGAAGTCTTTGTTATTACTGTAATAATTGGCAATGAAGAAGAAAGGCGATACAGTTAATCTACTTAGAAACAAATCTAAAATTCTAAATGTAATAGTGATAAAAATGACTGGTTATTATCTTGAAAAGTAAGATTAAAAGTTATAAAAAGTCATTTAATCATATATTTAATAAAATGTATGCATTCAGAAACAATTATAGGATAGCACAATTTGCTATTCTTCACTTCAGCTTTGTCTTTTGTGTCACTATTGTGAAGAGATGCTCTATTATGGGAAGGTCACATTGAGTGGCCCAAGGGCCTCTATGAATCCTTTGATACTCCGAGGAATCTCTTTTGAAGTGCCTGTCTTTATCATGCTAGCAATCTCTCATTTTGGTTGTAAACTGTTCTGATTCCACAGATCTTCATATGTCAATGCTCTAAATTTGATCTGCAGTTCTCCATCATCACGGTTACCAACTTCCGGCATTTATTGAAAATTTCCATTTTACTTTGGAATTAGTTTGATTATTTAAGATCAGTATGAGACTGGCCCAAGTGTTTGGCAGAAACAGACACTAGTTTTAAGTGGAGAGCATTGTTTGACAAAAGATTAATGGTACATGTTATTAGTGAATATTTTGTGTTAGGATGTCACAAAATAGTTCTGATTTCTTTACACAGTTTCCTTATTAAAAACTTTGAGGAAATGATTGATGGATACTAGGATAATGACTGTTACTTATTCCCATCAAATTTCTGATTAAGTATGCAAGTGTAACATTATTTTAGAAAAGAACCTGAAATAACTTTTTCTTATTTTACTTCAGTAATATTTGAGACATTAATTGTTACCAAGAATATGACAAAACTCAGGGCTTTTTAGCAGAAGTGGGTTCTAACTTAAGGTCAATAACTTACTTCTGGAAGCAGTGTGCTGCAGTGACAAGCCATGTGTTACTAATCAAGGTGGCCCCACACTGATGGATGTTATCATACTGAAGGGAAGCTTGCCAAGGCCAGGCCGCCTTGGGTGCAATGACTCCAGATGCTATTCTGTTGACGTTTAATGGAACAACTCGTTTACCACAACCTGAAAAAAGATGAGATCATTAAGTTATAAGAAACATCTTGTAATTACAGGAAATGACCCCATTCTTACTTGCCTGAAGACATTTTCGTATACTACTCCTCCTGCCCAGGACACTTACCCCACCTGTCACTGGATTCATGGCCTCTTCTCTCTCACATTTCAGGGTTCACTTTCTTACTGTGTGAGAACAGGTTAGCTGACTCTCTGATCAACTCTCATAGCACTATGCACTTCCTCTGTCATAGCATTAATCACATTATTTTCATACTTCCTGATTTATTTATATCTTTCTCTACTTTGGAATTCTAATTTTAGAGCAGGGATCATGTTTTATTCACAATGGTACCACCAACTCCTGGTCTAATTTCTGGCACTTGGTAGATGTTAAAAGATATTGTTGAATGAATAAACACATGGATAAAAATACTTAGGGTGTTTGCAAGTCACAGAGGCAAATGCATGAACATCATTGCTCAAATTCATCACTGTTTTTTGTAAAATCTTTCAAAATTTAGGCCACAGTGATTTGAAGTGATTTAATGAAGCCACTGTTAGCGATTAAGATGAATCTATTAAGCATATTTTTTTCTTCTTTTTTGAGATGGAGTCTCACTCTGTCGCTGAGGCTGGAGTGCAGTGGTGCAATCTTGGCTCACTGCAACCTCTGCCTCCCAGGTTCAAGTGATTCTCCTGCCTCAGCCTCCCAAGTAGCTGGGACTACAGGCACCTGCCACCGCACCTGGCTAATTTTTGTATTTTTAATAGAGATGGGTTTTCTTCTCCATGTTGGTCAGGCTGGTCTCGAACTCCTGACCTTAGCATATTTCACAGACAAATTGTCAGTCACAGACAATGGGTTTTATGTCCTTCCTATTGATTACTTTCTTATTATTTTATTTTGTAGCAGAAAGTACATTTTATGGCATTTTTAAAAATTAGAAAAACAAGTCCAATATTCCCAATCAAAAATAAATGCTTTCTTCAAATTGCCCCAGAAGGTTACCATGGCAATTTTTTTCTTGAACATGACTAAAAGATCAGTCCATGAGTTAGAAAAAAAATGTATTTAAATCTATCGTACAAATAGTTATTATCTCTCAAAGAAAATCTGGAGGACAGATGGGCAAGTATGAGCAAATATTTGAAAATGTCCTTTCTGATGTGAAAATTGAACTTGTTTATATAAGCTAACTTGACTTACTTGCTTGGACAGTTAACTCCCCTGTTGATGAGCTCATTGCTGAAAAAGAAGATAAAACAAATAGTGATAATTTGATATTTTCCTGGTTGGTCTCAATGACCAGGAATAATCAGAGGATACTGACCATATATGGATTCTAGACAGTTGAACATATAGATTAATTAGGAGAATGGCTATCTGATATAACAACATCTGTGTACAGTTTTTGTAGAGACTTATAGGCAGCCTCTAATTAGGTGGATACTATCACAAGCAATGGGTGAGTAAGGCACAAATAGTGGATGACTAAAGCCCACAAATAGTTTGTATTAATAGAGAACTATGGTTTTCCAGCAGTTCGGGGTAAAGCTTCTTTGCATTCCACTTCAGAAGATGGATAAATGGGACAGAGGAAACAGGTTATATTAGTTTGTTTTCACACTGCTGATAAAGACATATCTGAGACTGGGTAATTTATAAAGAAAAAGAGGTTTAATGGACTCAGAGTTCCATGTGGCTGGGGAGGCCTCACAATCATGGAGGAAGGCAAAAGGCATGTCTTACATGGTGGCAAGCAAGTCAGAGAATGTGAGCCAAGTGAAAGGGGAAGCCTCTTATAAAACCATCAGATCTCATTCACTACCATAGAACAGTATGGGGGAAACTGCACCCATGATTTAATTTATCTCCCACCAGGTCCCTCTCACAACATGTGGGAATTATGGGGGCTACAATTCGAGATGAGATTTGGGTGGGGACACAGCCAAGCCATATGGCAAGTAGACTGTCTTACAGGTCTCAAACTCAGCCTCAGCCAGAACAGATCTGCTTTGATCTCTTCTATTTACTTCGAATTTCACATAAATCTTTTTTTTTTTTTTTTTGGTTAAAGGGTTTAGAATGAAAAAACCTTGAAAACTCTTGCATAAATGATATTTAAAATGCTTTTTAAACACAGTTCCTAAATAGTAAAATTGCTTTTTTAAAGAATAAACTGTTATGTGTTTCTTATCCAAAATATACTGAATAGTGGTAAAAGCTAGTTATTGGACACAATCCAAGATTAAATTCTGTCAACTTCCAAAAAAGTGAGGAGTTTGACTAAGGAAACACAAATATTTAAACTTGTATACATGTATCAAAGCATCATGTTGTATACAGTATACAATTTTTATTTGTCAATTATATCTTACTAAAGCTGGGGAAAAATAAAGTTGGTGGAAGGTTTCATGAAAATTTTGATGATTTTCAAGTTAAAATGACTTAGCTTATTGAGCAGATGAGAATAAACTGTTTACTTTTTCCTACCAGTGCCATGTTTCTCAGACACATTCTCAGTATTCTATTCCTCATTATACAAAATAAGATTGTTTCATTCTACTAACTTTCTACAAATTCCACTGGGGAAACTAGTGATGATAAACTCTACAAAGTGGGAGCTTTTGAAAATATTCAATTCAAATATACCCTTAAAGGCATCCCAAATCATTGTATGGTGAAGAGTCAATTGCTCAGGACCATCGATTGCTGTTAGTGGTTATTCTATGGAAGGAACTCAGTTTACCGTCAAATGTAGTTTAAGGCAGTAAATTTATTTCATTTTTAAGAAAACTATATATTTTGTCCTTTGTAATGCAATAAAGTGGAAAATAGCATAAAGTTAGAATTCTTCAATTGAAACTTTGTCAACTTAGTCTGAGCAGGATGCAAGTTAGCCATTTCCAGGAATGATACCAGGATAAGTATAATGGTCGTGAATATAACCGGATTTTAAGGGAGAATGATTACACCTGGAAACAAACTGTCAATACACAAGTAACTAGTTGTTAAAGATTTCTAATTTTGACCAAAGATTTTTACTTTCCTGGTATAGAAATGGAAATAAACATTAACACTTTAGTTTTGAAAGCAACCACCTCCTAACACGGTTCTGAGTTGGGAGAAAGCTAGTTAATATTCAGGGCTCTATAGACTACAAGTATCATGATGAAAAATGAAGCAAAGTCATCTGACACATAGGCAGTGAGCTGCTTGACTACAGCCTTGGTGTTTGCAATGCAAAGAAGTTGATTTTAGCTTTGCTTTGTCACACTGTGTCTCCTGAAGGACCCACACCACACAGTTTTTTTTTGTCAAAACAAAATACAGATTCTTGACAAATTATAAATAAATCTTGGGCTACAGGATTATTTCTAGACTTAATCTAGAATCTCTACAGTTTTCTATTTATTGGTAGTCCATAAATTTTGTTTGCCCAGGAAACAATGTTTTTGCCTATAAAAAATTGACGTAAAGATTTTCCTGAGCTGTCCACTGAATGTGCCTTTCTTAAGTGCTAGTGATGGCAGCTACAGGCTGTCTGGAGCAGTGGTAGCAGGAGCGGATGCGGGAGTAGCAGTGATGGTGGTGGGTCCCCTGTGTCCCACATCCCTGAGGCAGCCGACTGTGCCACCCCCAACCTCACGTGACCAGGCAGGACCTGCTCCCAGGCCTGGAGCCTCTCCTGCTCCGGAACCTGGCCCCACATTGCCATTCTTGACCATGGCCACTGCAGGGAGGGCGTGGGGAGAAGGTGGACAGTCCTTGGAGCCCATCCCTGGGAGCCCCCCAGAGCCTGCCACCCTGGGAGCTACCACAATGGGGCTGGGCTGAGTTGCCCACTGGTGGGGGAGCAGCTTGGTCAGGCACGGAGGGGTGGGCAGAGAGGTGCTGGAGGCAGCATTGGACCCTTGCAGATGGAGAGGTGACTGGGAGACCATGGGACTACCTGCCTGCAGAGAGGAGATAGACCACTCTAGGGCCTACTGCCTACTGTGTGCTGAAAGCTGAACACTCAACAGGACAACCTGCCTGCAGAGAGGAGCTTCTACCTCCAGGGCCTCCTCTTTGCTAGGAGCTGGACACTTGTTGGGACACCCTGGCTATGAAGAGGAGCTGCCCACTGTGGGTCTCCTGTGAGCTGTTCTCTTGCTCAGTAAACCTTTCTTCGTCTTGCTCACCCTCCACTTGTCTGCATACCTCATTCTTCTTGGTCTCAGGACAAGAACTCAGGACCTGCCAAATAGCAAGACTGAAAGAGCTGTAACACAAACAGGAATGAAACATACCCCTTGCTGGCCACATTGTGGGTAAAAAGAGAGAAAAGCTGCAGCCCTTTAGGGATCCCAGACCTGGGAGCTCCCCAAGCCAGGGTTGTGACTCCCTCTTTGGGACCCTGCAGTTCCTGGCATCTCCAAGCTTCCTGGGTGCCACCACATTCCCAGGTGCCTGCCAGGGAAGCTGCTTGCAGTGAGCTTTGTCCAGCCACAGCCTCACAGAGAGACAGCACACCTGTGCCAGTGCCTGGAGCTGCCCGTCATGCTGCAGCCAGTGTGCCTGGCTGTGGGCAGTGGCCAGACCCTGTGCTCGCTCAGACAACCCTCACAGCTCCATGCCTGGGTTGGCCTTGGTGGGCATGGGATCCAGGCTGGTAGCGGAAGGTGGGCACAGTCTGCCAGGTCAAGTGGGCAGAACAAGCCCAGTGGGCCAGAGCAAAACTTGGGCAAAGGCACCAACCACTGGCCACAGAGGTTTCTGGCCAGAAAAGCAACACCCCCTAGGCTCCCATATCACTAACAAACACTGTTCTTTCTACATTGAACATTCTGAAACTTTCAAGGATCTATCTTTCTGCTACTAGTCAATCACTCAAATTAATGATTTCAGGTTTCCAAAGCATATGCACAACATAATAGTTTTCTCATTAGTAACAGCCTCTTTATTTCACATTGTGTTTTCTATTTCCTTGTATATCGTTATAATCTCTCTGTGATTTCAGGAAGAACAAACATTACCATTGGAATTTTACAGATGAGAAAATGAAGACAAAGGCATGAGCCAATTATTTGGGTGGTCCTGTGGTGACTTAGTGGAGTTAGAATTGGTCAGGTAACTCTTTTATTTTTTATTTTTTTGGAGATGGAGTCTTGCTCTGTCAAGCCCAGGCTTGAGTGCAGTGGCGCGATCTTGGCTCACTGCAACCTCCGCCTCCCGGGTTCAAGTGATTCTTCCCCCTCAGTCTCCCAAGTAGCTGGGATTACAGGTGCCCGTCACCAGGCCTGACTAATATTTTGTATTTTTAGAAGAGACGGGGTTTCACCATATTGGCCAGGCTGGTCTTGAACTCCTGACCTCAGGTGATCCACCCGCCTCGGCCTCCCAAAGTGCTGGAATTATAGGCTTGAGCCACCATGCCCAGCCTCAGGTGACTCTCAAATCAGGTTCTCCATTAGCATATCCTACCATTTAATTTAGTACAATTATTAAAATAAGCTGAAGTTTAGAAGCTGAGCCTACAAAAAACAAAAAGACCAGGCAGCCAATGAACAATTTATGCTTTACTCTGGTTTCAGATAGTTCAGGCTTTTACATTCCTGACAAATTAACTATTTATTGGAAATTACACAGAAAGCATCATGTAAATTATCAGAATGCCCATTGTTTCACAACTTCTATTCATTTGCTTCCCCATCTAACAAAGAAGATGGATTAAGCACTTGTCAGGTTCCTCCCTTCTGGCTGGGAGAGGTCCTCAGCTTTATTCCCTAAGTAGCTGACTCGTTCTCACATCAGCAAACATCTGCCCATTCCATTACCTCACATTTTTTACTTCCTTATCTGGTTTCCTCTTGAAGTGTCAGCTAGACCCTTACAAGGGCAGAGTGTCCTGTTTCATGTCTGATAAAAATCGCTTGCCCTGAATCTCTTCTGTAACACTTAGGTCTGGTATCCATTGAAATTTGTAGGAGAAATCTATACTTGTCTGTTGGAAGAAGATGCTGTGCAAACAGCTTAGCGGACGAGGGTAAACAAGTTTCTCTCTAGCTGGCTGCCTTAGAATTTTTAATATGACACTATAAGGAAGAATTTCCAAGAAACGAGTATCAAAGCCAGAATTTTTAAGATGTGTTTGACTATAGAAACCTTTTTTAATTGGAGCCTTTTAAGAAATTAGAGATTTAAATTTGATTCTTAGCTCCTTTTAATTACTGAATTCCTCAACTCTTTTTGTGTGAATTTCACTTCTATAAAGGTGAATTTGCGTACGTCACTGGAATATAAAAAGAAATTAGTTACTTAAGGTAAAGGCCATAGAGATAGACCTTGATAAAGGTTTGTTCTCCTTAATTGAGGGAAGTGATAATGGTATAATGGGCTAAGGGTGAACAAAAAAAAAGAGAAAAGTGGAACAATGTACACATAGTTTCAGTGATGTTTTCCTAGACTGTGATTTTTAAAGCATTAATGGTAAAATGACTCTAACAACTTCAAAGTTGGCTTGCCATTTTCCCAAATGCCCATAGGAAAAAAAGCTAACAAAAATTGTATATCACCATATATAGAAACTATCAATAAAAGTATGGCAACACATGAATTTGTGTTTTAGGAAGGTCCCACCCAGAAAAACAATTATTGCTAAACCCCTAGTATTTTCACTTGCTTAGTCATGGAGGCAGTGCCTGGGTGGGATTAACTCTCTGTTAGTTGTAAATGCTTGCCTATATTTTGGGATGAGTGCCAATCAATTACTGTCGGGAAAACCACTGGATGACTAACTTCAGACATGCTTACGTTAGAGACTAATACACCTTGAAATGTCACATCTTTAACTTGAATTTTTTCATCTGAATTCTAGCTATTATTTGAAATGGAAATAATGACAAATAAATTTGAGATTCGTCAAAACATGGACCTAATAGACAACTTCATATCACATAGAAGGGGACCTCCTTACCATTAACTTGAACTGATGAGGCATTTATTGGCAAGGCTCTTAAATTCCTTATCTTCTGATTTAAGATGCTTTGGATTTTCTTCTCTCTTACTGCCCTTTGTTCAGTAGAGGGGAACTGGAACACCATAATGACATCTACTTTCACACCATCTTCCTCTGGACTGTGACACACAAAAGAAAGGTACATTTTCAAAGAATACACCTGGAATTGTCCTTCAGTCTTACCTGTATCTTCCTCCCCTGAATGATCCCTCAGTTGCTGAGAGTGTCAAGTGCTGATCCTCTCATGTCATTCTGACCCAAGGTCATTTCATATGTTCCCTCTTCTAGCTTTCATTATGTTTTCAGTGCATTTCCCCCATTAATTTGAAGGATTGTTACAGCAGCTAGGAATGACAGATATAAAAAATCATCATCAAAATTACAAGCTCTGAGAGTTAGAAGAAGCCTTCATGTTTTCTTAGGCTAATCAATTGTATATTTGATACCTGAATCACTTCTACAGGGTCCATGACAATTGGCCCTCTAATGACAGTGCAGTAATTAAAAAGATAGTAAGTTTAATTTTCTAAAGAGGCTTGTTTCTCTTTGGTCAGCTCTGCTTTTAAGAGTTCATCATTTTGAGTTGAAATATGTCTCCCTATATCTCCCATTCCATAAGGCTTAGGTCTACCAGTTGGAACATACATAAAATAATTTCCTCCTCTAGCCCAAATATTTGAAGACAACAATATTGTGGTCCCCGAGTCTTCTCCAAATTAAACATGCCCAATTTCTTGAACTTTGATCATATAAACAGGTTCAAGTTCTGTTACCTGAGGAACTAAACTTTTAAATACTGTTAAAATAGGAAAAGCAATTACAGGTTTTTGTTTAAAAAAAAAAACAAAAAACCTTGAAACTAATATATATTGATCTGTTATCTCTCCTTTTTTTTTTTTTTTTTTTTTACAAAAAAAAAAAAAACTGTGAAAAACTCTAGAGGCCCATCTCCCTGAATCTTTTGGCTAAAAGGAAATTCTGAGACAATTTATGTATTTTTGTTCATTTAGGCTCTGGAATATAAAGATCTAAATAACTAGAATTTTATGTCAAATTGGCAAACAGATGACTAATTTTACTTCTTAAATCTGAGGAATTAACATTTTTACCAGGTATTATATAGTGATGGCTACCATCCAAAGGAGTTCACAGGAGTATAATAATGTTGCTACAATAATATGGTAAAGGAGAATTTGAAAACAGAAAACATGAAATCTAGAAAGTTCTAGCATTTATATGCTTTTTCCCTCCTAAGTATTGTAGGAATTACCCAATTTATGTTATAAAATCCTTACGGAAGTCACTAGTTACTCAGTCAAGACATAGAGAACTTTGAGTACACCTGCCAACAAAGCATTATTAGTCTATTGGTGAGAAAGGGATAATTATTTTCTTCAAATAAATCAAAATCTGAATATATTATTTTTCTTTATCTTTAAGAAATATGAGTCATACAGGCTCATGGATTTGTGTATATGACATGCGTGTTCTGCTATGTAGTTTTTCAAAATAACACAATTGAAACTTCTGAGCAATATCTGCAACTGATATGAGTCTTCCCCCTCCACCATGACAGAAAGAAAATTTATTACAACAGGAATATCTTTTTGTTTAGGCATGCCTTATGTCATTCGGTTACATTACAGGTAAAATTTGTGAACCCATTTTATAGCCAAGTTTGCCTGCTTAACGTGGTTGAAATAATATAATTGTCAACATAATATAACTTGGTGCATGCAACGACAAGCTGCTGGGTTTTCCCCACGTCATGGGTTCTGGTAGGTTCCAGGCCTCACAATAAGTTAATGGGGTTTGATTCCTGGTTCTGTCACTTTGGGAAACTGTCAGTTGGTGAACTTTGAACATATTTCTTACCCTTCCTGAATCTTAGTCTTTTTGTTGACAAAACGGTGGTCAGCCCTATACTTCAAGACTGCTTTAAAGGTAATGTTTATGAAAAATTCTAGCCAAAAGCCTAGTCCATGGAGACATACAATACATGAGAGTCCCTGTCTCCTTTGTTCCTTTTCCCTCCAGTCTTGTGATTCCACCTTTGCCCAAACATACATACGTCAGTCTGACTACTTGGTTCTTGATATAATTTTTCTTCCAGGCTGAATCTATAAATATCTCATCCACCTGTTACACAACAAGAGAGAAACTATGTGTTAATAATATATTTTATAATAGGAATATATCCTTGATTAAATGTTAAAGCAATCAAAAATTTTTTCACAGAACTAACATCATTATTTAAATTGGTGGATCTCAGCTTTCACAGTGCAACAGAATCATTTGATGAATTAAAAAAATTTATGGATGCCAGGGATCCTCTCCAAGAATTTTGGTTTCGATTGGTCTAGAGGGGACCTAGGCACTCATATTTTTAAAAAACCTACCCAAGTAATTCTACTGTGCTAGAGTAGGTTTCTGGAGTAGAAGATATCTTGCTAAAACACCATAGAAGGAGTAGCAGAGAGATACAGAGCAGAGATAGGATATTCAGAGAGGCTTTGAGTGGTGACAAAGAAAACCCTGCCTCAGTCCTGGATTTGAGCGTATACTACTTTTCCCAAACTGGGCAATCTTGGCAAAGTTACTGAATCAATTTGAGCCTCAGTTTTCTAACCTGTAAAACAAAGATATTGATCTGCTACTCATAAGGCTATGAAGGTTAAACAGATATAAAATGTTGGGTAAGTTTTGGTAGTTAATTGCTGATGGTCCTCTAGCCTCCATCCTGGCATTACAGGTCTTAGCTCTGCAGGTCTTTGCTTGTAAGGTGTAAGGAGGAGGCATTAGGGATTTAAGAGAGAGCCAAAATTTTTAAATTATTGTCAATTGTGGACTCTAGGGTAAATCAGGGAGGAAAAAAGAATTAGGTGGTATTCCAGTATTAGGTCAAATTTGTTACTCAGTTTATGTCACCAAGGTAGGAGAAGCAAAGCCACTGCTTTTAGTCCATATGCACAGCTTTAATCTACTGCCACGGTATTGTGATGCTGTGGTCTCTCACACCTGGCATTCGGCTTGCAGTATCCCCTAGCACTCACTTGGTAGAAATAGTGTCATCTCAATGTGGGTAAGGTACTACAGTTCATGTTGGACAGAAGAACCAAATGTGCGCACAAAATATCCTAAATTCTCAAGGAATGAGAAGAAAAACCAACTTGCATGACTGAAACACACACACACACACACACACACAAATATAGGGAAAGCTGTTTCAGGGATCAAGAAACAAGTTATAACTTCCTTAGCATGCTCAGGAATTCATAAATACCTCATCAGGAACCACATTATTTGTTATCTTCTTTAACTCTAATGACAATTCTGCGAAGAAGTATCTTCATTCCTGTTAGAAATCTGTGACTCAGAGGCATTATGTGAATTTCCCTGGCATCACGCAGATACTAGTAAGCTGGGACTGAAACCCAAGTCTTCTATCTGTAGGGTCCGCCTCTTCCCACTCAATCACACAACCACCCTGTTAAATGTGATGTAAATTTTACTTCGGTTTCTTTTGTAGAACACATAGTAATAAGTTATCAAGTAATTTATTGACCTAAAGTATAAAACTTGTAGAGATATAGATTTGGTAATAGCCTTAAACTTAAGATCAAAGATAGCATTTGGAAAATAAATTGCTAGTATCCAAAATATGTCTTTATTGGTACTTAAATAAAGAAAGCCCCATTTAGCTGAGGTGGTGTGGGGTTCATCTGCTAGAAACAAAATTCTTTTGGAAGACATGTTTTTGAAAGGGTGACTTTGTTATAACAATTTCTCTCTCATCACCCACAGCCAGCTCTACTACTCAGTATGGAGGTGAGGGATTCCAAAAAATAAAAAGGCAAACAAAATGGAACAGGGAGAGAAGTGATACAATTTAGAAGGAAAAAAGCAAATAGCAGTTGGGTATTTAAAGAAGTTTGTTTTGTAATTACCCTCTGAATAAGTTCAACCACATTTGATTCCTGGCCATTTGTAACTTTTTGGTGAAGGCATTGGATGAAGTTTTTGACTCTGGATGACATCATCAATCTGGCACCGTGCCTGCTATGAATGTCTAAACCAAGCACCAATTTTATCTTTGAATTGTTAGGTTGTCTGGGAAGATAGGAGCTGTAAAAATAACATGAGAAGAATCTAGGCAGAAGTAACTTTGGTGATCACAATAATAAAAAGGATCCTTCTTTATAAAATTCTAGGACTCTCTCTCTAGAAAAGTCTCATTTACTACATCGGAGGAGGCCTTAGAATCTTTAGGTGATACAGGTAGTCTGAGGACAACGCTTTGAGAAATGGGGCAGAGGGACTGGTAAAAAGAATTCTGATAAAATGAATTTACAGCAGGAGGAAAATCAGAAAAAACATGAACATAAGTTTTATTGTAGAATGGAGCTTATGTATAAACTAGCTTTCTAAAGACCCTGAAATTGTTTCCATGGCAGATGATGGCTTTCATTATTAGAAGCATTCTTTTTGCCAACGTTCTGGCATTCCAAGTTCCCAGAAGTTTCAGAGAAACTTATATATTTAAAGTTGTGTGCCAGGTTGTTATAAATCTATTGTTATCTATACAACCTAATAGCATTAGCAATTTGTAAATCTATCCTATCTCTCTCTTTAGGGCATTTCTAGAATTTTGTAGTTGGAGTTTGTCTCCTAGCATTGAACAAAAGACCCTCTTTCAGGGTAGTATCTCTTTCTGCTTGATAATTTTGACATGCTGGAAATTACACTGAGATTAAGTTCCAAGAGGGCAATTGAAGGTTAGTTGGATATTTAATGAAAGAGTGAGGGAGAGGCTGTCAACTCAAACAAACAGACTCGCCCAGCCATTCAGCTTTCATTCCTGAATTAACTCTGTTTATACATGTTGCCTGCTTTTCTCTGCAGGTGCTTCCTGACTGGCTCCCCTTACAGCAGTCAATGTATTCACTTAGGGAGTGTTTTGTGGCTAACACTGTAAACCTCAGATAGATATGTCACTGCAGACTGGCATATGGAATATAAATGAGATATAAAAGCTGTTTTTTCCAACGTAACACCAGGTGAGCTCCTTAGAATTAAAGAAACCAAAACCATGCTGTGAAAAAAAACTTTAGATCCTATTGCTTTCTCCTAATTACAACAAGAGTAACATGCAAAGGATATTATATAAGAGGGATTTTTAAAAGACACTTTTAGCCTTAAATAAAGCTTCACTGAGGTTTCATTGCCACAAGGATTGAACTCAAGGTAAAAATAGGGAATTTGAGCCTTTGAGCCTCTGTCCACAATGTTAGACATTCAAGGTCCTCTCCCTCTGTGACCAACTTGCCTGGCTCCATCTTCAACACCACCAGTACTTTCAGGCATGGCCCTCATTTTCCTGCATACTCACGCCTCTCAGGCTGTTCCTTTGGTCTGTAACAACCTTCTCATTCTGCAAGTTCTGTGTTCCTGAATCACAACTATCCTTCAAGGCCAATCTCAGATAATACCTTCTTTGGGGATATTCGTTAATCTCAAACTGACCTGTCTTCCCTCTGTCTCAATTTTTCTTATCCCTCTTATACCTTTTATTCTTTAATGTAAACATATATTATATATTTATGCAATATATTCACTATATATTTATGCAAATATATAGTCTCTTTTATTAAACGGCAAACCCTTTATGCATAGAGATGGCAATTTATCTTTTCATAGTCTATAAAATCTAACATAGTGCTTTGCATGCTGTTGGTATGTAGTATATTTTTGTTGAATTAACAAATTGATAAAAAGGTGAGAATTTATTTATCAGAAAGTTTTGCATTTACCAGGAAAATTTTATAAGACTTTTTAAAGTGCTTGCTTTACATCAGGTTGAGATCAATGCTCCTAGAGAAAAAAGAAAATTACACATGAATTATCGGAAGAGATTTTTTTTTCCTGTTTTTGGACATTTTAGGTAATTGATTATTTGTGGAAAGCTCCTCCTTGGTAAGACTGTAATAATTATAATAGTGGGAATCACTGTTGTCTGCCATATATGCACCAAGCACAGATGTCATTGTGTTTGAGCTCATTTGCTTTCAAATCAGCCCTCTAAGGTGAGTACTATGATTATTCACGTTTCATAGAAGAGGAAGTGACTTGCCCAAGTTGACACCACAGAGTTCACTGAAACCAGGGCCATGTAGCTTCAGAGCCTGTTAACGCCTTCACAGTGCCTACCTCAGGATGAGCATGCAGGTAGGTTCTCACTAAGACCTCCTACCCACTGATGGGCAGCAAGCAGTTTGTAAGAGGATCAGAAACTGTTGCACCCCTCTCCAAAGGCAGCCTATTTTCTTTACTCTCCAAAAATAAGAATCATAATCTTGGTAGTTTTTAGTGCAGTCCTTTTAAGTTCGTATCATATCTGTATAAAACTCTAGGTGTTTTTTTTTTTTTTGGATCCAAGAAGTCAGCTATGAACCATTCTCTCAAGCCTGGATAGAGCTTAGTCAACCTGAGCACTGAGTGATGCTCACAGAAGGCTTTTTGGCCTTCTTGGGGTCAAGCCTAACTGCCACATCTTTAAGTGCTGTGTCTATTGGAGAAAGCAGTTGGATCCAGTGTCATACAAGGTGTGTGGGTGTGGAGGGTGCCATGAAACTGTGACTTTCTGATCACCCTAAACAAAAAGGTAATCAGATCATCAAATGGGATGTGATATTTTGTGATGCCATCAGTCATTTCTTTGATTGCACTGGTCCTTCTTCAGTGTTTCTTTGTGGAATGTCAGAAAGAAATGGACAGACATCTGTCACTACTCACGTGTAACAAGTAGCAATATATTAGATATCCATATCCCAAATTGGCTTATATTTCTGAGATCACAAGGCAAAATATTTATAGAATTTAAAGATTTGCAATTAAGGATTTTAAAGAAAAAAGTATTAATTCTCAGTGTACAACAAAAACCTAGATCTTTGAATTGCTTTTGTAAAAGAGGAAAATATCTCATTTGGATCTATTTAAAGCTGTACTAAAAATATTTAAAACCAGGATACCCAAAGCAAGGGAAGGTCATTATTTAGAAGGTTCATGTCCTCTCCAGATTTGTTGTCTTCTAAATCTCTAAATTGGATTAGTTTATGAGAGAGAGAGAATCATTTTTCTTAGCCTTTTGTAGTGCCTAACATCATGCTGTATTTGCTGAATGATGATGATAAACTAAATAGATTCTCCTGTGAAGACTATGCTGTATTTACAACTTTATCAGGAAATTTAGAAATAGTTCATATTACTTCTTTTCTCAAAAACTTCCCTCAAAAAGCATACCCATCCACACCTTTCTTCCAACTATAGATTGTTCACACTAGATGTACATACACATGTCAATATATCCATCAGCTTCCTTCATCTTTCTCTATTACAGTTCCTCCTACCTTTGCCTTCCTCACCAAAAACTGATACAGGGAAATGAGAAAGAGAATATTTTTCTCTAATAAGTATACCTAATGTATCTGTCAAGAAAAAGTTAGCTAGCACAGCATAGAGGATTTATAATCTTCATGGATTTAAAAAATGAAATGAGAGAAGAATTGATTTAGATTTTAATAATTTTATCTTCTGTCTTAGCTGAGTCCCTTCCTGACAGTAGAACAATTTAGTGGAAAGAGCACATGTGTGGAGTTGCCTAGATGACTTCAAATCTCCCCTCCATCATTTTCCAGCTATGGACCTTAATTTCAGAAGCTTGGTTCTCTTACCTGTAAAGAGGAGATAAAAGTGCCTTCCTTGTGGTGTTACATCCATGTTGCTGCAAAGGACATGATTTCATCCTTTTTTATGGCTACATAGTATTCCATGGTATATATAGATATATATACATATATATCTCACAGTTTCTTTGTCCAATCCACCATTGATGGATATCTAGGTTGATTCCACATCTTTGCTATTGTGAATACTGTGGTAATTAATGTGAGAGTGCAGCTGTCTTTCTGGGAAAAAAGTTTATACTCCTTTGGGTATACACCCAGTAAGAGGATTGCTAGGTTGAATAGTAGTTCCATTTTAAGTACTTTGAGAAGTCTCCAAACTGCTTTCCACAGTGGCTGAACCCATTTACGTTTCCAACAGTATTTAAGCATTCTCTTTCCTCCGCAGTCTCATCAGCATGTTATTTTTTTAATCTTTAATAATAGCCATTGTAACTGGTATGAGATATTATCTCACTGTAGTTTTGATTTGCATTACTTGGATAATTAGTGATGTGGAGCATTTGTTCATATGTTTCTTGACTGCGTTGTATGTCTTCTTTTGTGAAGCATCTGTTCATGTTCTTTGCCTACTTTTTAATGGCGTTACTTGGTTTCTTTTGCTTGTTGAGTTGTTTAAGTTCTTTACAGATTCTGGACATTAGACCTTTTCAGATGCATAGTTTGCAAATATTTTCTCCCAGTCTGTAGGTTGTTTGTTTACTCTGTTGATAGTTTCTTTTATTGTGCAGAAGTTCTTTAGTTTAATTAGGTCCAACTTATCAATTTTTGTTTTTGTTGCAGTTGCTTTTGAGGACTTAGTCCTAAATTCTGTGCCAAGACTGATGTCTACAACAGTATTTCCTAGGTTTTCTTCTAGGGTTCTTGTATTAATTGTTTGTGGTCTTACATTTAATTCTTTACTGCATCTTGAGTTAGTTTTTGTATTTAGTGATAGGAGTCCAATTTCATTTTTCTGCTTCTGACTAGCTAGCTATTCCAGCACCATTTATTGAATAGAAAGTTCTCTCCCCATTGCTTATTTTTGTTAATTTTATTGAATATCTGATGGCTGTAGATGTGTGGCTTTATTTCTGGGTTCTCTATTCTGTTCTATTGGTTTATATGTCTGTTTTTGTACCAATGCCATTCTGTTTTGATTACTGTAGCCTTAAAGTATAGTTTGAAGTCAGATAATGTGAGGCCTCTGGCTCTGTTCTTTTTTATTAGGAGTCCTTTGGCTATTGGGGCTTTTTTTTTTTGTACCATATGAAATTTACAAAAGCTTTTTCTAACTTTGTGTGGAAAATTATGTTGGTAGTTTGATAGGAATAGCATTGAATCTGTAGATTGCTCTGGGCAGTAGGGACATTTTAACAATATTGATTCTTCCAATCCATGAGCATGGAATGTTTTTGCATTCATTTGTGTCATCTCCGATTTCTTTCAATAGTGTTTTTTTATTCTCCTTATAGAGATCTTTTACCTCCTTGGTTAGATGTATTCCTAGGTATTTCATTTGTGTGTGTGTGTCGCTATTGAAAATGGGATTGTGTTCTTGATTTGGTTCTCAGCTTGGACATTATTGTTTAGAAATGCTACTGAATTTTGTACATTGATTTTGTATCCTGAAACTTTACTGAAGTTGTTTATCAGTTTTGGAAACTTTTTGTAAAGTCTTTAGGGTTTTCTAGGCATATAATCATATTGTCAGTAAAGAGAGATAATTTGACTTCCTCTTTTCGTATTTGGATGCATTTTCCTTCTTTCTCCTGCTCGATTGCTCTTTCTAGAACTTCTAGTACTATGTTGAATAGGAGTAGTGAGAGTGAACATTCTTGTCTTTTTCCTGTTCTTAAGGATAGTGCCTCCAGCTTTTGCCCATTCAGTGTGATGATGGCTGTGGGTTTGTCACAGATGGCTCTTATTATTTTGAAGTATGTTTCTTCGATGCCTAGTCTAAGTGTTTTTATTATGAAGGGATGTTTAATTTTATCAAAAGCTTTTTCTACATATATTGAGATGATTGTATGATTTTAATTTTCTTAAATTTTTAATTTTTTTGAGATGGATTTTTGCTCTGTCACCCAGGCTGGAGTGCAATGGCACGATCTCGGCTCACTGCAACCTCTGCCTCCTGGGTTCAAGTGATTCTCCTGCCTCAGCCCTCCGAGTAGCTGGGATTACAGGCACCTGCCACCATGCCCGGCTAATTTTCGTATTTTTAATACAGATGGGGTTTCACCATGTTGGCCAGGTTGGTCTCGAACTTCTGACCTCAGGTAATTTGCCCACCATGGTCTCCCAAAGTGCTGGGATTACAAGTGTGAGCCACCATGCCTGGCTAATTGTATGATTTTTGTTTTTAATTCGGTTTATGTGGTAAATCGCATTTATTGATTTACATATGTTGAACCAGTCTTGCATCACAGAAATAAAGCCTACTTGATTTTGGAAAATTAACTTTTTGATGTGCTGCTGGATTTGGTTTGCTGGTATTTGGTTGAGGATTTTTATATCTATGTTCATCAGGGATATTGGCCTGTAATTTTCTTTTTTCATTCTGTCTTTGTGAGGTTTTGGCGTTAGGGTAATGCTGACTTCATAGAATGATTTAGGAAGAAGTCTCTTCTCAATTCTTTGGAATAGTTTCACTAGAATTGGTCCTAGCTATTTCTTGTACGTCTGGTAGAATTTGGCTGTGAATCCATCTAGTTTGGGCCTTTTTTTTTCCTTTTGGCTGGTAAGTTTTTTAAATTACTGATTTAAGTATGAACTCAATATTGGTCTGTTCAGGGTTTCAATTTCTTTCTGATTCAATCTTGGAAGATTGTGTTTTTCCAGGAATTTACCCATTTCCTCTAGATTTTCTAGTTTATCTACATAGAAGTGTTCATAAGAGTCTCAGACGATCTTTTGTATTTCTGTGGGATTGGTTGTAATGTTACCTCTATCATTTCTGATCGTGCTTATTTGTATCTTCTTTCTCTTTTTTTCTTTGTTAATCTAGCTAGCAGTCCAGACTGGTTTTGGCTGACTCACAGAGGATGCATAGTAAGGGTTTTGTGTCCTCTGCTTCACCTTTGAACATCAAATGGCTGAAAACTCCACCCTTGGATCATGCTAATGCCACCATTTTTTGAACATGCAACACATGAAGAGACATAAAGCTCAATTGCACATAGTTATGTTTCTCCTTTCATAAGTATTTGTGACTTCCCCTAGAACTTATTGAACATGTATACTTAGGCAGCTTATTCAGCATAAATTCCTGGCTTATCCTTCCCTCCCTCAAAGTGCATGCTGTCAGTTTCTGCTGGATGCCATGCTTCTCCACCTGCAGGATGGCCAGCCGGCAGTAATCAGACATCAGTAATGTCTGATTAATGGACCCTTCTCTGAAGAATGATATGAGAGATGAGATATGTCTGCTCCACTATCTCAGGGAACAGGGGCGGATTATAGCAATATCTAAATATGAACTCATTTTACTTTTGCATCTCAATTTGCATTCAAATCAGTAAAGCCCAATGTGAGGAAGAACAGGACGTGCAACCTGTCTTCCTTGGTTGTCTAATTAGCACCCATATAGGACAGAGAGAAGAATCTGGTTGTATTCATTGGGATTTAGCAACAACAAACAGGTGTGGCTCAGGATGAGGCATAAACTCTTCCTGTAATTCTTCTAAAGCTAACCTGGTGCGGGATGGGAGGAGAAAAACACCTGTCTCATTTAAACAAAGGTAAAATAATATAAAGCCTTTTCTGACCATGGGAACCCTTGTTTGGTTTTGAAGTTTTTCTGTACTTACTGTCCTCAACATGTAATTTAGCCCTTAATTATATCATGTCATGATATTCAATTCCATGTGTGTTACTCACATCTTTCCAAAAAGATTGGAAGCAATTTGAGGAGACAGATTCATGTTTCCTTTTCTGCAAGACCCAGGTGCCAAGAAATGCATGCAATGAACTCAATAATAATACCATATATTAGGAAAAGCCAAGATATTTTAACTAGTTATATTCAAAAACTGGCTCACTATATGAATTAAAAAACTGAATCTACCTAACACATCCAAAGGTGGATTCCACATGTATTGGAGACCTAATGTAAAAGATAAAACTATAAGGTTAATAAGTAACATAGTAAAATATTTTTATGTCTTAGAAGGGAAGAAGGACTTCTTAAAGAAAAGCTTCAAAATACAATCATAAGGCAAAACAGTGAAAAAATGATTACTTCAGTTACAGATTTCGGTTTCATAAAGAACAACACGGTCCATATTAGTAGAAGACAGAATGGATAAGCGCAGTGTCCACAACCAACACACTATCAATATCCAGAAAATGTAAAGAACTTCTGCAAAGCAATACAAATAAGGTGAAAAAGCAAGTTTAACAGAAAAATAGGCAAATAATATGTACAGGCAATTTATAGAAATGAAAGTCCAAAAAGTTAATAATTATACGTAACAATGCACAAACTCATTAGTAATTAGAAACATGCAAATTAAATCACAAATAAAATACTACTTTATACATATTAGGGTGGCAAATTTAGAAAGCCAAATAATACCAAGTGCTGTGGACTGAATGTTTGTGTTCCCCTGAAATTTATATTTTGAGACCTTAACTCCCAAACCGATGATAGAGGAGATGGGGCCTTTGGAGGATAGTTAGGTCATGAGGGTGGAGTTCTCATGAAAGTCATTAGTGTCCTTACAAAAGAAAGTTCTCTTATGGCTTCTGCCATGAGGGACACAGCAAGATGGTATTCTATGAACCAGGAAGCAGGCTCTCACCAGACATCTGCTAGAGCCTTGATCATCTTCATCTTGGAATCTTCAGCCTCCAGAACTATGAGAAATAATTGTTTGTTGTTTAAGATACCCAGCCTATGGTACTTTTTGTTGTAGTAGCCTAAACATACTAAGACACTAAGTGTTGGTTAGATGTGGGGACATAGAAATCCTCATGCATTGTAGATGGGCGTGCACACTGAGTCAGCCATTTTGAAGAGCAAACCTGCACCAATTGGTCAAGTTAAGTATATGTACATTCAATGACCTAGTAATTCTGCTTGCAGAAGTACTTGCATAGGTCTATAAGGGGGTAAGTAGGAGTCTGTTTAGTGTGGCATTTCTTGGCATGACAGGCAGGTAAATATGGAAGATACACACTATGAATTAGCAGCTAACAGCAATAAACTAAAGGTATATTTAGTAACATATATCTTTTAAAAAGTTCTCAGTAAAAAGAGATGAAACAAAAGTGATTTATAACACAAAATGTAAGTTAAAAGCAAGTGTACGCAAAATAGCAAAACATATTTTTGTAAGAATGAATACAAACAAAAGAATACCACATGAAACATAGAATGATTTCCTGCAAGGGGGGAGGGTAAGGGCTTATGCTATGGTGATAAAGGAGGATAAATAAATAATGACAACCAGAGAAGGGCCTTGCAGGTACCCATGATGATAATGTGTCCTTACTTAACTTAGCCTTAGCCTTTGAAGGAACACATGCTTAGGTGAAACTTAAAACTCCACTTTTAAATAGAGTTTCTGTTCAACATGCACCTCCGCATTTCTCTCACTTCTCTTAAGACCTATTGCATTCTTCTCCGTTTACTTCAGTAAAGACAGAATTGCTTAGTTAACTTACAACAACAACAGTAGCAGTAATGTTGGCCATAAAATATAAATGAAACAAATTTCAAAATTTCCCAGTAAATTGTAACATTTTCCATCATTCAAAGGTGTGTTTATCTTTTTAACTAAGGCAAGTTAAGAGTTTTCTCTTTTTGCATCGAGGAGGTTATGTGGAGTCACTTAGGACTGGAGGAGTAGAGAAGGTATTTGGGTGTATTGGTGCAGGCTCCCCGTTCATCCTAGCATAACTTAAGAACTGATTGCAAATGCTCTTTTATAAGATGCTCTGCATGTGAAAGAATGCAGAATCTATATCAATCTGTAGACATTAATTATTGGTTGGGAAAGATGAAACCACAAAATTAAGAAATTGTGAATGATTTAATGTTAACTGAAAATAGAGATTATAAACTCTACAATATTATTGTAAATATGATGCCATTAGGTATACTATGGACAAAGAGCAAATGATGACAGGAAAAAATGGTAGATGATTTGGGAAAGAAAGTGTCTTAAAAATGGTTCTTTGATTAAAACAAACCAATACATTTGTCATTTCTTTCTTTTTAAAATAAGTCTCTGCTTCTGTGCTTCCTTGTTAGAAAAATTAATTTGAACCTAGTTTTTGAGTGAGAATTCATGGGCATTCTGAGTGGAATGATTATACAACTGAGTGTGCTTTTTTTCTTTTTGGGAGCAGTCTTGCACTTTAGCTTTAACAAAATTATTAGCATTTGACTTGATTACTACAAAATAAGTCTGGTTTTTTGTCTTTATCAATATACTTACAAGATGAACGTAAATTCTGAAAATACTCAAAATCTTAAAATGTGGTCTTACAAACAAGTGTGTGGACTTATAAAAACTAGTTTTGATATGATTAGGCTTTTCTACAGGGGAAACGTGGTGGAATTGGGGAAGAAATGGGCTAGGATATCTTGGCCTCAATTCTCTTACCTTTAAATAAGGTAGCTGAGTTAGAAAGAGAGGCTTATTAGAATCACCCATTTGTTAGACATGCAGATTCCCTTACTCTCCTCTCCCCACCTACCCATCTCATCATACTCTGATTAAGCAGGTCTGGGATGGGGCCTAGCAATCTGCAAGATGATTCTAATGTTGGCGGTCTGAAAATCATGTTTTTAGAAATGGAGAAATGATCCACAAAATCCCTTCCACTTGCATTATTCTATGATAAAAAGAAGTTTACCTGACTCACCAAATTTTCGGTCGTCTCTCGTAAGTCCTTAAGTTGATATGTGTTGCTTTGTCCGAAATTGTTATTGATTTGTGGATCTAAAATTTTAAAGGAGCCATGATAGTACTCCTTTTTTTGGTCTGCAATGGAAATGAAAAATAGGAAACTAAATGGTTTGGACAAAGATTTCAGAACTCAATTACAATGGGGCCAATATAAATCTTGAATATGTCCCTGAGCCTCTTCATAATTGAGTTTTATTTAAAAAATAACAGTTAATGTTTTATATCAATTATAATAGCTGCCATTTATTGAGTTTCTACAATATGGCAGGCACTGTCCTGTGCACTTTTTATGTATTAGCCCATTTAATCCCCACACCAGCTCTCTAAGATTGGTATCACCTTCATTTTACAGATAAGGAAATTAAGGCACAGAGGCATTAAGTAAATTGTTCTGTAACTAGTAGGTGGCCTGTCCAAGTTTTAAATCCAGTCTAGCTGTAGAGCTTGAACATTTCATTGCTACATTGCTCCTTGCTGAGTTGAAATGTGTACCATCATACACTCTAGTGGAAGTAGAGATAAGTGAATGTCCTTGTGAATTTTGATTTTTAACAAGAGAGCCAGGCACACTAAGAAAAACCTGAAAAGAAAGTGTAGAGAAGAGCTGTCTGAGATTGAAGACAAGACGAGCATGAAACAGGGATAAATCTATTAGGAAATGTAAGAAAGGAAAGCAGTTGAGACTCCTAAGGAATTTGGTAATCTGAGGAGTAAGGCCCAGAGGGAGTAAGAAAGATACAGAGTTAAAGATAGAGAATGGGAAAAATACAAAACAACCTCAATCCTTGAGAAGCCTGGCTCAGGGAAGAGGGAGTGGGTTTCGAGACTACAAACCAAGGAAAGAAACAGGGATATCAGGAAGGCATATGTCTTAAGTGGGAAATCTCTGGACCTTGTAATACATTTTTGGACATCCTGATTACTTACCCATATAATCCATACTGTTAACAAACCTTACTCTCATTGTAAAGAGACTTTTATGCAACCAAATAAAGTGACCTGAGAATCTTTTGCCAATGGTATAAACTACAGCTGGGGTTATCATATAAGGCCTAGGACTATGATCTTAAGCCCTTTAAGGCTCCAAGTAGAGTCTTTGCTCCCCCATTGACTCTGTGAAGGTGACAGCAGATAAGAGCGTTAAAGTGAGCAGCCTGAGTTATTTGTTTTATCACATACATCCATGTGAGAGTCACATTGTAGAGATTTGTGAAAAAATGTAAATGGCTTGCATTCTCCCCAGAAAGAGACTGAATGTAAAAAGAGAATCTTGAAGTGCATTATTTGTGTAATTACAAATATATTAGTTGATAAAAATATAATCCCTGAATATTGTTTTGGAAAGAGTAAAATTTTTTTTCTCTAAAAATAAATGATAATATTGTGTCATACGTATAGGTTTTCAATCATTTTGAAATTCCTTATTTTATTAGACAAGTGTTTTTCTTTTGCCTTAGAAATGTTGGACAGAAAATGATGGTTCATGAGTAAAAGAGCCAATTTTAATAACTAATTTATCATAACTTTTCATTTTAATATATAATAAGTGATGAGTTGTTTATTATAATTACTAGTAAGTTTCAGACAATTACAATTTTTGATCTTTTTGTGTAGATTCTCAAAAGAATTCTGGGTTGAGAGCTCTAAGGAAATTAGAAATCTGTCTACTTTGCTTAAAGCTGTATCTTGAATATCCAGAAAAGTACTCACATATAATAAGAATTTAGTACTTGTTTGTTGATGAAATGACTGAAACAGTTAAATATACTCTGTGGAAATTTGAAGGTAAATGTGCAATTTTTTAGATGAAGTTACATTTACATATATGTAAATGGAGCTTTGCAGAAAAATAAAATCAAATAGAGTGAAATCTTTAATTTTACCTACCAAATACTAGGAAGTGAACCAGGAGACCTATGGTCACTGCCACCACTGTCAGGGACAACACAATGAGAACGGCAATCATCCATGGCTTCAGATTTCTGCTTCGGGTGCCAAATCCCACTGTCCTGAGAAAAGGAAGGGCCCACTGGTTACTCTCAGATAGCAATGCTTGCAGGTTTTCCAGCTCTCCTTAGACAAGTTCAAGTTGCTGTAGCCTACCTTTCCCTGCAAAAAGGTCTTTAATTTTGTTCAATGTCATCTTGGTCTGAGAAGATGTGTTAAAAAAAAAAAATCAGGATCTGGGAATCCTAATGTTGCTCCTGCTTTCTATTTTAGAGGCATTTGGTGGCCTCTTTGTGGTGGTCAGGAATGGTTTCTCTTAGCAGCATGGTCCAAGGTGGCATACATGCTTGAAAAGGGACCATTCCTCCTTTCTCCAGCACTTTGTTATCTCTTTTATCTGTCTATCCTTTTAGAGTTTACAAAGTGATTTTAAATCTATTATCTCATTTATTTTTATCTTTTGTCTTTTATTTTTAAGTATTATGAAAATGTTCAGACATAAAAAATTACTAAGAATAGTATAATTGAACATCCATATATATATCACATTATTATATCAATTGTTGAAAATTTTACTGTATTTGGCTCATTTATTTTTTCTGCTGCTATATTTTAATGTGAAATAAAACATCGTGACTTTTTACCAAATCATTATTATAGACAATTAGGATATATCCAACATAACCATGATACTCTTAACACTCCTAAAAAATTAATGATATTTCTGCCATATCATCTAATACCCAGTCCATCTTCAAGTTCCCTCCATGGTTTCATTATAATTACACATGATTTGTAAAAGCCAAGACATAATCGAGGACCATGCAGTGCACTTGTTTGTTATGCCTTTTTAATCTCTTTTAATCTAAAAGAGTCCTGCTTCTTTTTTAGTTTTTAATGACATTGACCATTGAAGAGATCAAGCTAAACATCCTTTAGAATATCTTACTTTCTGGACTTGTCTGAATGCTTTCCTGTGGTATTATTTAACTTGTTCTTTTATATCCCTCATTTCCTATAAATTGGATTACTTTTAGATTTTCTTTAGCTCTGAAGTCTTGATTAGATTTTGGTTAAATTCATTTGGCAAGAATACTTCAAAGGTGGTGCTGTGTATTTTATATTGCATCACACCAGGGATAAAAATTTTTCCACAATTTTGGAGGAAAAAATAACTCTTTGCTGTTCTTCTGGCACCTATGATCAGCAACAGTGCTTCTCACATTGAATCAAGTATTAGTTTGCATGTATGTTCACTTACAGATAGCTTCTCAATGGGCTGCATTAGCCTTGTTCATCTTTTTACCGCTAAGACCCAATAAGGCACCTGGACAGAGTAGGAATCATATAAATCTATGAGAGTCAGGCAGGAATGATACCAACATTACACAGGAAATAACACAGGATGAGAGAGAGGATATCTGTTTAAGGGCCCAGGTCGACTAACTCCCGTGCTTGTTCTCTAAAACTTGCTATTATAGTGAATTTTATTTATCCAATTTATCAGAGTTTATCTCTTTATGTGTATATATTGATAGCCTAAATTTTTTTGGAAACAGAGGATATTTTTCATATTTTCTTCACAGGATTGGTTGATTTATAGAAAGTTTTTCTTTTGACTATAAAACAGTTTTTTTCTTTTTTTTTTTTTTTTTTTTTGAGACGGAGTCTCACTGTGTCATCCAGGCTGCCAGGCTGGAGTGCAGTGGTGTGATCTCTGCTCACTGCAAGCTCTGCCTCCCAGGTTCACGCCATTCTCCTGCCTCAGCCTCCTGAATAGCTGGGACTAAAGGCGTCCACCACCACGCCCGGCTAATTTTTTGTATTTTTAGTAGAAACAGGGTTTCATGGTGTTAGCCAGGATGGTCTCCATCTCCTGACCTGGTGATCCACCCACCTCGGCCTCCCAAAGTGCTGGGATTACAGGCATGAGCCACTGCACCCGGTCTTACAAAAGTTTTTTATATATAAATGCCAGGATAAAAGTTAAAACTGTTTGGACCTAAAATAGTTAAGAAGATAATAGTTTTGGCATAAGTAATAAAATTAATCAAGAATCCTCATGGAATTTGGGAAACCTGAATTCTATTGAGTAAATATTGACCATATGTGCACCGACTGATTAAAAATAATCTAGAGAACTGGCTGCGGAAAGGCAGCAGGTCCTGTGATAGAAACAAGCTAACATGCTTGAATAGAACAACAAACAGAAGTCCCATGGGACATGACATTATTTAACCTCCTAAATGGCTTAAAACATACATTTATAAGTGAAGGAGACCTTAAAGATTGTTTAGTGTGATTGAATTACTTTCCATATGAGAAAAATGAAGTCCAGTGATGATTAAGTAATTTCTCCAGTATAATAGAACTACTAGTTATCTCAAACTCAGGTCTTCTTACTTCTAGGACACAAATTTATTCTCGGTGCCCCTCTCGATTGATTTCGTTCAAATTATTTAATAAATTTATCATTTATGTATTAATCTATTCATTCACTCATACATATTCAATTTGTTCAACTCTTCATTTTCTCATAGAATCTTATCAATGTGTCTTCAAGTCATTTGAAAAGAAAAAAAGACCAAAGGAGAAAAGTTAAAACTCAAGGAAATTTATAAGCTTTCAATCTATTTCCCTATTAGAGCACAGTTCCTCTGAGTAAGATAAATGGAGAAAGTAGATAAAAGAATCACATCTCCCACCACCAAGACACATAGTCACACTGAAAGGAACTGAACCGTGGGATCAGAGCTGAAGAGTGGTTCAATACCCATTGACATACTGATCAAGTGTCATGGAAGTCATATCTTCAAATCCCACGGAAGAAGCTGTGAGCATCTGAGGGAAAATGGTGGCCAGCAGACTAGGGTGATAAGTTGTTAGAGTGTTTCTCCTTTTGAGGAAACATTTAGATAATATAGCAGATGCGCACTGCCAGATTACAAAAGCTACAGAAGCCATAGGTTAAAGCTGCAGCTACTAAATCCTATATGAATAAATCTTCAACTTACTGCCTACTTTTATGAATATAAACAAGGAATACGTAAAAACAAAAATGTATCACCACCGGGCATGGTGGCTCACTCTTGTAATCCCAGCACTTTAGGAGGCTGAAGTGGGCAGGTCACTTGAAGTCAGAAGTTCAAGACCCTCCTGACCAACATGGTAAAACCTTGTCTCTACTAAAAATGCAAAAATTAATTGGGTGTGGTGGTGTACACCTGTAATTCCAGCTACTCGGGAGACTGAGGCACCAGAATTGCTTGAACCCGGGAGATGGAGGTTGCAGTGAGCTGAAATGGCGCCACTGCACTCCAGCCTGGGCGACTGGGAGACTCCATCTCAAAAAAAAGTATCATCACCTTCTCATTCTGCAGAGGCCATATTAGTCATTTGTGTAATATTACTTCATATTTGAAAAAGAAATACACTTGGTAAATCCTTTTGGGATCTAACCTTTTTGAAATTAAAGATGCACCATTTTGCTCCTGCATTTTTTTGTGCTTTGCTTGTGCTGATAAAACAAACACAGGTGTATTAATTTTCTATTGTTTTGTAACAAATTACCACAAATTTAGCAGATCAAAGCAACACCTATTTATTAGCTCACAGCTCTGTATGTGGCATGGATGGGCTTTCTGCTCAGGATCTCACATGGCTGAAATCAAGGCTTTGATTGGGCCTGCTTTCTCATCTGAAATTTGTGATCCTCTTCCAAGCTCATTTAGGTATTAGGCAGAACTCAGTTCCTTGAAGCTGAACTGAGGTCTCTGTTCTCTTGCTGGCTGTGAGTCAGAGGCCTCTCTCAGCTCCCAGATGCCATCCATTACTTGCCACTTGGCCATCTCCTTCTTCAAAGCCAGCAGTGGAGAATTTCCCTCACATCAAATCTCTCTCACACTTTGAATCTCTCTATTGGGGAAGCCCAGGCTCTTTAAAAATGTCATCCGATTAGGGTAGGCCCATCAGGGATACTCTCCCATCTTCAAGCCAATTGATTCGGGAACTTTATTACATCTGCAAAATTTCCTCACAGCAGCACCTAGATTAGAGTTTGACTGAATAATTGGGATAAAGTCTATGTACACCGGAGGGGGGAATCTTGGGGGCCCTCTTAGAATTCTGCCTACCATAACTGAAAATATGCCTTTCAGGAAAATGAACAGAAATCTACAGCCTTCAAAGAAAGCATGTGAGATTTAAATATTCTTTTATTTTTGAGGGAGAACTATTCGATGAGAAGGGAATTTTATGGTAAGCATAGAATTAAAAATAACTAAGGGATATTTTACTGAAGTAGTAATTTTGGAAATACAAAGTAAGTGCTTAAAAATTAAAATAGGAAGAAAGCTAAAAGTAATCCCTGATTATGACTACTTGGCACTCTGCAGTCTTTGGGGATGTAAAGGTGGCCAAGAAAGAGCCCCTGGTGAGGTGGAAGAGCCTTGGTGGGCCAAGGCCAAGGCAGGCATCACCTTTGGCTGTCACCTGGCCAAACAAGAGATGGGGCAGACCCCTGTGGCACAGACAGCCCCAAAGGATGTGAGTCCCCAGAGTACAGATGATCCTTATTCACAGTAACACATTATCCTTACTCAGAGTAACACAACCTATAATTTCCATGAAATCCAATTAGACCAATCCAAATCCATTAGACCTTCATTCAGTTTGATTATTTGGGATTTAGAAAGATGTAGTCATGCCAGGTTTTTTCTAAAGATGCTGTCAATGAAAACATGGTAATAATTTGAATAATTTCATGACTTTGCTTTCTGCAGTCTTGTAGACTGAAAGACACATTCATTGAAGAATATATAAAGCAGTATGGATTGTTAATGATCAGAGCTGAGAATTGCAGTTTCTCAGTAACAAAGTTCTAAGTTGGCAACTTCTGTGTATGTGAGTTCAAAGATGACTGGAGTCAAGACAAAGAGATTGTAAACCCTTTACTTCCCAAGGATCTTACTTTTCCTAGAAAAGCCTTCCCTGAAGGCAGCCACTTTGGCCACTCCAAGATCAACCACATGCTTTTGTCATTTTATCTCTAAGCTCCAAGTCTCTTCTTTTGGGGGGATATTTTTTTTTTTTTGCTTTCTTGTACATATATATTAACAGTGTATAAATGTAGATGCATGTGACTATTACACAAATGCCAATTTACAGACAGGATATTTTTTCACAAGTCTTCATAAAGAAGTCCAAAATACACTATCTGATTTTAAAAGGGATTATTGGTCAGCTTTCCAGGCCAAACTACAAGTCTACTTAACTCCTAATGTAACTGAACAAAGGTGCTAAGGTACTAAATTCCATGGAGCCATTTCACCTAGAAAGCTTTGCTTCCCTTTTCCTAGCCTAGGACCTATTTCTGAAAGAAAGTTCTTATAGAAGCAAAGTGATAACTCTCCTTTTACTAAAGGAAATTGTGGTTCTTTTTGAGGGACTGAACTTAGTCATTTTCTACAAGGAAAGCAACCTTCTGTGGTGACTTAATATACTCTGATATGTGGATATCTGTCTGGGTATGCTATGACTCTTTTAGAATGACCATTTAATACCTGAAATGATAGAATATAGAACTGCTATTTAGGAAGTGCTGACTTTGTAGGGATTGTTGATATATTTTCCCATTTTATTCTCCAAACACTGCTGTCAGCAGAATTATTTGTCATCATTTTATAGGTGAATAACTTGCTCTGAGAGAGCAATAACTTGCTCAATTCATGCAGCCAGTACGCAGAGTTAGAACCTACTGTGTGGCTGCTATGACTTAGAAGCCTGTTTTCTCTGTTATGTCAAACTGCCCTTGAGAAAGATTCTTTTTCCTTCTTCAGAATAGGCTTCCTTTTAACCCAAATGAATAATTGTGGAACTTCAAGTAGCATAAAAGGTAAGTGAAAGGATTTATAGAATCAGTGTAGAGGTGGTTTTACTGATATGAAGCTCCACCAAATCTTCATTGTGATTATGTTTCAAATTTGATTTTGCTTTCATATCTCCTCCCTTTCCACTGGCTTTAAATTCTTACATACTTTGAAAAGGTTAGAATTCCTTTCCTCCCCATCCCCACAGAGGTTCCCATAATGGTGGCCAAAGTAATGTCATTGAAAGGAGGCCTGTGAGATAAGTGTGTATGGAAAAATCAGTGACCATATTTGAGGTTGTTTGTAAACTTCAAAGGCTTTTATTTAATTTGATGCTTTTTTCTATGCTTCCAAATATTCTCTATATGTTTTAATTCTTGATATGTTATGTGTACACATATCTTCTTCCCCCTAAGTGTGCAAGATCCTGAAGATGGTGAATAAATCATACACAGCATTGGGGCATTTCTCAAATAGTGTTTCCAAGTAGTGGAGGGAGGAGAGGTTTCACACATTCAGATAGATTTGGAAAAAATGGTTTAAATCAGCAGCCCCAACCTTTTTGGCACCAGGGACTGGTTTTGTGGAAGACAAGTTTTCCATGGACAGGGGTAGGGGGGGTGGTTTGGTAATGAAATTGTTCCACCTCAGATCATCAGGCATTAGATTCTCATAAGGAGCATGTAACCTGGGTCCCTCGCATGTGCAGTTTACAATAGGGTTCATGCCTCTATGGGAAGCTAATGCCTCTGCTGATCTAACAGGAGGGAGAGCTTGGGTGGTAATGCTCACTTGCCTACTGCTCACCTCCTGCTGTGCTGCCTAGTTCCTAACAGGCCATGGACAGGTACTGATCTGCAGCCCGGGACTTGGGGATCCCTGGTTTAAATGAAGTTAAATAGAATCCTCACTTATGCAAGTCTTAGTGCCTTTAATGGTTTCAAATGAGATTAAAGATGAGCAGCTTTTCTTAGTTTTTTTTAATATATCTGATAACTAATACAACCCCAGGGCCTAATACACCACCTAGCTCTTACAGACTTGAAAACTACTTGTTGAATTAGATTGAAGTAAAAGTTTTCCAAATGTACTTTTTTACTCCCATCTCTACTGGGATGGTGGTAAAAAATTATTTCTTGGGGCCAGGTGTGGTGGCTCACGCCTGTAATCCCAACACTTTCGGAGGTAGAGGTGGGCAGATCATGTGAGGTTGGGAGTTCGAGACCAGCCTAACCAACATGGAGAAACCCCGTCTCTACTAAAAATACAAAATTAGCTGAGTGTGGTGGCACATGCCTGTAATCCCAGCTACTGGGGAGGCTGAGGCAGGAGAATTGCTTGGACCCAGGAGGCAGAGTTTGCAGTGAGCCAAGATACCATTGCACTCCAGCCTGGGCAACAAGACTGAAACTCCATCTCAAAAAAAAAAAATAGTATTTCTTGGGATCCTTCTGTTCCACAGAACAGTTTTGAAAAGGTGGCTCTAGATGTATTCTCATGGGATATCTCGTGGTCAGATAGGTCAACACAAGAGGAAGAAACAAAGAAAACATTTTCTATTCCTTCTGCCTCTAACTCCCAGATATGAGTAGGGGTGAGGTGGAGCAAAGAGGGAATTGCAGCATTAAATAAAATACCACTGTGAATCCAGACCAAAGGCAATTCTCTGTGGAAAATGATGAAGAGACTCAGGCTGAGCTGAGTTCAAGGAACTCAGGGAAGGAAAGTTAGGAACCAAGAAAAGAAAATACTTCATTTCCTCACCTATCTAGAAAAATGCCTTCATCCTGGTCCCAGGGACAGAAATTAAGCAAACTAACCAAAATGAAACAGAAAAAGGGAAAAATTAAAGCATAACTCAGGAGATTGAGGCTGAAGGGGACTGAGAGCACCTTTCCTGGGTTCCCCATGGATGTACTTCATCCCCATGGAGGGATACTTCAATCCCCTGCCACTTCAGGACAAGCCCACAGATACTCACTGTTGATCACATCTGGCCTGCCAGGCTGGAGTTACTCCAAATTCTTGTAGCCCTGTCTTTCCTCTAGCATCCATCTGACCCTAATCAGTGAAATTAATTTCAGTTCTTATCCCTTCTAGATCCCCCTGCCCTCACTCAGTTAAAGGTCCCTCTCTAGCTGTATCCTGAGCTATGACTGGCATTTAACTCCCTCTCACCTTGAGATATTAGCAAAATATGGAGTTTTATCATCCTAGCTTATAGCTGCAGAGGCTTTCTTAAATAGCATTGAACTTAGACTTTGAATTAATGATAGAGCATAGTCACATATTAGTTTAAATTAATGTGACATGAGTGAACGGACTTCTAATTGGGAGTGGTATAGCATTAACAATAAGAGCCAAAATCTGGAGCCAGACTGCTTGAGTTCAAGTCCGAGTTGGCCACTTGGTAGCTTTGCAATGTGAGGCAAAGCATTTGGCCCTTTTGTGTCTTAGTTCTTCCATTTGTAAAATGCAAATAAAATTGATACCTATCTCATAGGATTTGTATGAAGATTAAATGCATGAATACATATTAAATGTAACCTACATAGAGTAAATAATATATAAATGTGAGATGTTATCATTCTTTTTATTGTTATTATTATTACAGACTTGATAGAAATCAGCCATGCTGAGAAAATGAGCATTTTAGTGTGAGGATACATTTTGTATGTAATTTTGATGACAGTAGCACTTTAGATTTTAAGATCATCTTGGAGTTGCCCCATAGGAGGGAGTTTAGATAGGTAAGGTGTCAGGAAGTACCAGAACATTATTAATGCAACATTAACCAACACAAAGTATACTCCAGTGTGGCTTAGAATGACATAATAAAAGGAAGATGCTGTTTAATTAGTACAATATTAAAAATGGAATAAAGGGTTGAGCCACAAAGTAAAACTTATTATAAAATGTTCTACTTTTCTAGAAATGGTAGGTAGTGCTTAACATTATGCAGTATTCGTGTGTGTTTATGTTTGCACGTGTGTGTACGCACACTTAGCTTTAACATGTTTTGGCACTAGGTACAGTATCACCTATTAAAGTTTGTACGATATGGTATCAGGTTGGAGGTTTAGGCTCATGCTGAAATGATATGCCTGCATGCAAAAGGAATTGTTTGTATTCAAATGCCTGTGTCAGGGTCCTGTACAACATAAATATGCCTTCACAAACTACTTCTATGAATTTACCAGCCATTACAATATTTATGATTTCTTCTTTGTCCTTTCTTTTGTCTGTCTCAGGATCCATTTAACTGTCCATGTATCCATCCATCCATCCACTCATCCACGAATTTTTGTTTCCCACAATGTTTTAGTGGGCCTCTACTATATCTTAGGTGCTGTGTTTGGCTTAGGGAGGAAGGGATGAGTAAGACATGGTTTCTCTACCCTCATGCAATTCATGGTACAATCTTTAGTACTTTTTTCTCAAGCTGTGCTATGACATTGAAACTCATGAAGCATTGTAAACTTATTTTCTGTAAATATTTAAAATAATGCAAATAACAAATTTCCATTAAGTTAACAAAAATGAGAGTTTAAGATTTTAAAAAAGAGGTCTTCTATAGGCATCTTGGTATTGCAGATATGGAACTGCCTTTTAGGGTCAGTAGACTTTGGTGTCAGTCCTTGCTTATGACTCTAACATGTATCTTGAGAAGTTTATAAAACCTCTCTAGTTTTCAGTTTTCTTCCCTGTAAATTGGTGATAATAAATACTACCTAGAGATGTAAAGCCATGAAATAAGCAAATGAGGGACTCTAGCATAAGTCCTACTCTAGGTCAGGAGGTGTCATATAGGTGATCTCGTGTAATTGTTGCTACAGCTTGATGTGGTAGGCTTTATTATTAACAATTTACTAATGAGGAAACTTGGGTTCAGAGAGGAAAAGCAACACAAGTGGCAGAGCTAAGATAAGGGAAGGACTTATCTGTCTGACTTCAAAGCCATCTGTTCTGTTTGTAAACAGATCACCTTGATAATGATGTAAAAAAGCCTTTAATAGTGTATATTCAGATCTTGCTTATATTACTTTCATATCTCCAGTGGGTCAATTTCTTGTCATTGCCAGAGATATTTCAGAAACATATCTATGAATCTGTTGGGAATAAGGAGATATGGATAGCTTCAGTTTAATGTCCAGTAACTCTGTGATCTGAGGCAACATTTTCCCCCTATAAAATAGGGCAGGGACAGGGACTAACTCATATGAAGATTGTAAGAAATAAATGAGATAATTTGCACGAAATGATTCAAATTTAGTAAGTGTATAATAAATGGTAGCTGTTGATGCACTACAAATGAATCATCACCCACTGTGGAATCATATGCTTATCTGATCATAAATTCTTACAAACTAGGCTTCCAAGTACTTTATACACATTTCTGTCATCCTCTCTCTTTTATCTATCAACTATTATTCCTTATATGGCAGTGATACAGTTTGGCTCTGTCCCCACCCATATCTTAGCTTGAATTGTACCTCCCACAATTCCCATATGTTGTGTTGTGGGAGAGACCCAATGGGAGGTAATTGAATCATGGAGGTGGGTCTTTCCCATGCTATTCTCATGACAATGGATAAGTCTCATGAGATCTGATGGTTTTATGAGGGGGAGTTTCCCTGCACAAGCTCTCTTCTCTTGTCTGCCACTATGTAAGACATGCCTTTCATCTTCTGCCATGATTTGAGGCCTCCCCAGCCACATGGAACTGTGAGTCCATTAGACCTCTTTCTTTTGTAAATTGCCCAGTCTCAGGTATGTCTTTATCAGCAGTGTGAAAACGGACTAATACAGTAAATTGGTACCAATAGAGTGGGGTGCCACTGAAAAGATACCTGAACATGTAGAAGCAACTTTGGAACTGGGTAATATGCAGAGGTTGGAACAGTTTGGAGGGCTGAGAAGAAGATAGGAAAATTTGGGAAAGTTTGGAACTCCCTAGAGACTTGTTAAATGGCTTTGACCAAAAACCTGATAGTGATCTAGACATGAAATCCAGGCTGAGATTGTCTCAGATGGAGATAAGGAACTTGTTGGGAACCAGAGCAAAAGTGACGCTTGTTATGTTTTAGCAAAGAGGCTGTTGGCATTTTGCCCTACCCTAGAGATTTGTGGAACTTTGAACTTGAGAGAGATGATTTAGGGTATCTGGAGAAAGAAATTTCTAAGCAGCAAAGCATCCAAAAGGTTACTTGGGTGCTATTAAGGCATTCAGTTTTATAAGGAAGACAGAGCATAAAAGTTCAGAAAATTTGCATCCTGACAATGCGATAAAACAGAAAATCCCATTTTCTGAGGAGAAATTCAAGCCGGCTGCAGAAATTTGCATAAGTAATGAGGAGCTGAATGTTAATCACCAAGACAATGGGAAAATGTCTCCAGGGCATGTCAGAGGTCTTCAAGGCAGCTCCTCCCATCACAGGCCTGGAGACCTAGGAGGAAAAAATAGTTTCATGGGCCAGGTCCAGGGTCCCTCTGCTGTGTGCAGTCTAGGGACTTGTTGCCTTGTGTCCCAGTTGCTCCAGCTGTGACTAAAAGAGGCCAAGCTACAGCTTGGGTCATGGCTTCAGAAGATGCAAGCCCCAAGCCTTAGCAGCTTCCATGTGGGGTTGAGCCTGCAGGTACACAGAAGTCAAGAATTGAGGTTTGGCAACCTCCACCTAGATTTCAGAGGATGTATGGAAATGCCTAGAAGTCCAGGAAGAAGTTTGGTACAAGAGCAGTGCACTCATGGAGAACCTCTGCTAGGGAAGTGCAGAAGTGAACTATCAAGTCAGAGCCTCCACACAAAGTCCCTACTGGGGTGCTGCCTAATGGAGCTGTAAGAAGAGAACCACCGTCCTCCAGACCCCAGAATGGTAGATTCACCGACAGCTTTCACCATGCACCTGGAAAAGCCATAGACACTCAATGCCAGCCTGTGAAAGCAGCTGGGAGGGAGGCTATACCCTGCAAAGCCACAGGGTTGGAGCTGCCCAAGGCCATGGGAACCCACCTTTTGCATCAGTGTGACCTGCATGTGAGACAAGGACCCAAAGGAGATCATTTTGGAGCTTTAAGATTTGACTGCTCTGATGGATTTCAGACTTGTATGGGGCCTTTGGCCCCTTCATTTTGGCCAATTTCTCTGATTTGGAATGGGTCTATTTATCCAGTGCCTGTCCCTCTGTTGTATCTAGGAAGTAACTAACTTACTTTTGATTTTACAGGCTCATAGGCAGAAGGGACCTGCCTTGTCTCAGATGAGACTGTGGACTTTAGAGTTAGTGCTGAAATGAGTTAAGACTTTGGATGACTGTTGGGAAGGCATGATTCGTTTTAAAATGTGAGTACATGAGATTTGGGTGGGGCCAGGGGCAAAATGATATGGTTTGGCTGTGTCCCCACCCAAATCTCATCTTGAACTGTAGCTCTCACAATTCCCATGTGTCGTAGGAGGGATCTGATGGGAGGTAATTGAATCATGAAGGCAGATCTTTCCTATGCTATTCTTGTGATAATGAATAAGTCTCACAAAATCTGATGGTTTTATAAGAAGCTCTCTTCTCTTGTCTGCCACTGTGTAAGAAAGACAATCATGCCTTTTACCTTCTGCCATGATTGTGAGGCCTCCCCAGCCACATGGAACTGTGAGTGCATTAAACCTCTTTCTTTTGTAAATTGCGCAGTCTCAGGTATGTCTTTATCAGCAGCATGAAAATGGATTAATACAGGCAGAGATTTGGAAAAGAAGGAAAACAAATCAAGAAGAGGATGTTACAAATCTGCCTTTAAATCTGAATGATAAGCACATATATTTCAATTCATTGACTATAGACAGAACACTATGGAGTGACTAGTATTGTGAATATTTTACTCAAATTATAGAAAGCCTAGGAAATAACCTTCTTAACATCAACCCTGGTGAAGAATTTTTGGTGAAGAATTCCAAAAGCAATTGCAACAAAACAAAAATTGACAAGTGAGACCTAATTAAACTAAAGAGTATCTGCACAGCAAAAGAAACTATCGAATAAACAGACAATCTACAGAATCAGAGAAAATAGTCACAAACCATGCATCTGACAAAGGTCTAATACCTAGAATGCATGAAAAACTTAAATCAACAAACAAAAAACAAATAACCCCATTAAAAGTGGGCAAAAGATATGAACAGACACTTCTTAAAAGAAGACATACAGGTGGACAACAAACATGAAAAAATGCTCAACCTTACTAATCGTCAGAGAAATACTATCTCACACCCATCAGAATGGCTACTATTAAAGAGTCAAAAAACAGCAGTTGCTGGCAAGGCTGCAGAGAAAAGGGAATTTTTATACACTGTAGGTGGGAATGTAAACTAGTTCAGCCACAATGGAAAGCAGTTTGGAGATTTCTCAAAGAACTTAAGACAGAACTATTTAACACAGCAATCCCATTACTGAATATATATCCAAAGAAAAATAAATCATTATACCAAAAAGATACATGCACTCATGTTTATTGCTGTGCTATTCACAATAGCAAGACATGTAATCAGCCTAGGTGCCCATCAATAGTGGATTTCAGTTTTTTAAAATGTGTTACATATACACCATGGAATACTATGCAGCTGTAAAAAATGTATGTCCTTTGCAGCAACATAGATGAAGCTGGAGGCCATAATCCTAAGCAAACTAATGCAGGAACAGAAAACCAAATACCACATGCTCTCACCTATAAATGGGAGATAAATATTGAGCACACATAGACATAAACACGGGAATAATGGACACTGCAGACTACTAGAGGGGCAAGGTTGGGAGGAGGGCATAGATGGAAAATCTACCTATTGGGTGCTATGCCCACTACCTGGGTGCAATATATCTATGTAACAAACCTGCAGATGTATCCACTATAGCGAAAATAAATGTTGAAATTTAAAAAAATTAAATTAAAAAACAGTTATTCTTCTCTTAGAAATTACTAAAAAGAAAGAAAGAAAGTCAAGTTACCCTATTCGTTAAACTCAGGCTCTGGCTCTATTTTTCAGGTTGAAATTCCAGCTCCTTCACTTACTAGCTTGTGATATTGGGCTACTTTCTTCACCTATAAAATGGAGATAATATTACCTAAGTCATAGGATTGCTGAGATAATTAAATGCACCAACATAATGTAATATGTATATTATAGTTTGAATGCTTATTTATAGTAAGCACTATGAGTTTGCTGAAAACTAAACCAAAAAGTAATTTTTAATTGATAATTTATAACAAGTTTAGTAATTAGTAACTAACATGGTGAGTTTGCTATTTTTGTTTTAATTCTGAAGGTATAATTTTAGAATATATTAGGAATTGCTCATGGCAAATTAAAAGTTGATTAAAACAATCAACTGAAGTGAAATTAAAATGTAAAACATGAAAGCATACAAAGGACCTGCCCAGTACTATCTTTTTGTCTAAAGGTGATGAGGAAGAGGAGAATTCTGATTTTTTGCATTTATTAAACAATGCTGAAAATAAAGAGCTATGGGAAAAAGAGATGCCAGACTTCTGGGAACAGGATAAGAATCTCACCTGAAGAAGTCATTTGGTATTTTATCTTTTGTAACAAAGATAATTGAGGTACTTAAGTGAGTGAATCATGCAATTAACAAAAGTGTAGGAAAAAGTAGGTGTATGGCTATTCTTAAAGGAAAATTCAAACAGATTCACACCAAAACAGAAAGAATCCCTGCAATACACAGAAGAGGGTAACAGAACCCATAGAGAAGAGATCCAAGGTTCATGATAGCAGAAAGAGCAAGGATACAAATCGAATATATTTGACAAGGCTTCCATATTATGTTTCTTGTTAATGGAGAAGTAAGAATGGCTAGCATGACTGTAGAACATATTGTAGAATGACTGTGGGTGAGACATAGGGTATTGTAGTAATTATTAACCATCTGCTTTGCCTCAATCCTTAAGCCTACTTGTTGGTGTGACCTGACATCTCCTGCAAATCTTCCAAATCCTAAATTAATATTGCATGAATTTGGCTTAAAGAAACCATAACCATTCAATGTTTCCCACCATTTCCTTTCTTTTTCCTTTCTTTTCTTTTCTTTCCTTTCCTTTTCTTTTCCTTTTTTTTTTTTTTTTTTTTTTTTTTTTTTTTTTTTTTTTTTTTTTGAGACAGAGTCTTGTTCTGTTGCCCAGGCTGAAGTGTAGTGGCATGATTTGGCTCACTGCAACCTCCGACTCCCAAGTTGAAGTGATTTTCTTGCCTCACCCTCCCAAGTAGCTGGGCCTACAGGTGCATGCGCCACCATGCCCGGCTAATTGTTGTATTTTTAGTAGAGATGGGGTTTCACTATCTTGGCCAGGCTGGTCTCTAACTCCTAGCCTCAAGTGATTTGCCTGCCTCGGCCTCCGAAAGTGCTGGGATTACAGGCATGAGCCACCACGCCCAGCCTGTTTCCTTTATCAGCAGGTGTCACTGATGTCTGGAACAATGGCATTGACCACTGATTCTACCCTTGTAATTTACATCCCTAAGCTGCAAACACTCCTATAAATATATTAATGTTCATAGAAAAGGACACTTTTGGTGCCCATAATTATGAGCTTGATATTTTAAAAGAGTGATTTGGAGAATATGAAATATGAAAAACTGGAAATCCTGTTTTACAATATCATGATTCTATAAACATGGATATGCATTTTCACATTCAATATACTTTAATAATTTAATAGTAAATTATTAATTTTTAAAATAATTTTTTAACAGTCAAACATTAATGCTAGATATTTACATCTGCTTGCCCATTCATTTGTTCAACAAATATTTATGGAGTACTGGTTATGTTTGAAGCATTGAAGACCCTTTCTGAGGGTCTCAGAGACTTTTTGTCAATTACTATGTGATTACTGAAGGACTGATGCAAACATGCATTTTGTGAGTGGGGAAGGAAACCTAGTGAAGTTCACTAACTTAGTGGCCAATCTCGTATCAAATTATCATCTCTGAAATTCACTGGATGGAATCCTTGCCACCCAGACAGGCTGCAGTAGCTGATAAGGAAGACTCGACTCCAAGGAGTTGAGGACTGCAAGGAATTATAGCCATGATTCTGGCTTCTGACAGCCCTCTAGACCTGGAGACGTCCCCTAACTTCTGTTTTCCTCAAATTCCTTGCTTTAAAATGGGAGTTAACGATACTTGTGATACTTGTTCTACTTAGCCACAAGGCTGTCTTGGCTATTAAAGGAAATAACATACATAAAGATGTTTCAAAAATAGTACAAGTCTAAACAATGGTGAAATATTATTATCATCATGGCTGTTTAAAATCACTATTTTAACTGTATATAAAGTTATGCCAAGGAATCTTATTTTTTCATATTCTTTGCACATGGCATACCCCATTTTGAAAAACAATACCCAAATAATTCATGTATTTTTTCTTCAAAACGTAATAGGAAGAATTGTAGAGAATAGGCATGTTTTCCCAGTATTGAGCTTGTTTTCTCATTCTCCCACATGGAAGCCCTGGGTCTTCTACAATGGAGGCAGGTGTCTCTGCAGCTATTTACCTCTCAATCTGCATTAGTCCCACAAGGACCCACCATAAGGGACAAGTAAACACAGCGAAAGAGAAAACGCTATAGAAGCTAAATTTTGTCAATATTGCTGAAAGAAGGCTTGTTTTAAAACATATAAACACCCTCCTTCCACACACACAAAAAAATCAAAACCAATTAAGACACAATGTAATATAGTTTTTCATTAACCTTTTCTAAAATCTTAACTATTGAACTTGGCCACATGAAATAATGCTAACAATTTTTATACAAAAACTTTGATTTCAAACACAGAAATTAATTAATCCAGGATGCTATGATAATTCCAGAAATTTAAAAAAATCCAGTGCAGATTGAATCCACCAAAGACACCTCACTAGCAGTCCTCTTACACATCAGGAATCCGGCCACTGACAGACAGTACATCAAACAAGCCATCTATAAAACAGAACTGAACTTACCGATACATCATGTACAGGAGGAAGAATATGATCTTGCAGGTCTGCACCCACTGAACTCAACTTTCTAATCAACTATATGACATCTCTAGATGTATTAGAAGTCTACGGCTCAAAGAAATAAGGAAACAAATTACAAGTAGTTGAAATGAAACTAGTTTGACAAGTCTGAACAGAGAAGTTTCAACCCATAGAAGGCCTTGAAGAAAGCCAGAGACAGGATAGTCCCAACAAGAAAGCAATATTTTTTTAGTATGGACTAATTTTGTTAAAGGAGGAGAAACTGGTTACAAAGATTAGAATGAGAAATACCTTAGGAATGTACTAGAATTAAGAATTTAAAGAAGATTATGGTAGGTATATAAGTATTTTAAAGAAACTGTCACATAAAAGCTCTAGATAAAAACAAACAGATCTTAAAATCTAAATACATAATAAAAATATAACTCAAGAAATATTCCATAAATTCATGTTGAACAGCAGGTATCTTACAGAAGCATAGTGAATTTACTAATACATAATAGTTTTTTTAAATACCCACTTCTGAGAGTACAGGCAAATAAATTAATATAAAACTATATGTTTCCCCAAATGACTTAATGTGATAAAACATTGACAGACATTTATCAGAATGAAAAAAAGAGAAGAAATAAACATTTTCAATTAGACAAACAACATATTAATACATGTTCTTTGTAAAAAATGAGACTAAAACCATGTTTGACAATGTCCTACTCTTGGTCCCTTTCCTTCTCCCTCAGAAGCACCTAGTGTTAGGAGAAGGGGTGTTAATGCTTATAATGCATAAAAAACATTTATGCATTTTAATTTAAAAGTATCACATTGTATACATTATTGTGCAGTTTGGTTGTATTCGTTTAACATTGTGAATATCATTCCATTTTGGGGAAAACAGATCTCCCTTATTCTTTTTATTTTTGGAGACGGAGTCTCCCTCTGTCGCCCAGGCTGGAGTGCAGTGGCCCCATCTCGGCTCACTGCAAGCTCCGCCTCCCGGGTTCACGCCATTCTCTTGACTCAGTCTCCCAAGTAGCTGGGACTACAGGACCACGCCTGGCTAGTGTTTTTTTTTTTTTTTTCTATAGTTTTAGTAGAGACGGGGTTTCACCGTGTTATCCAAGATGGTCTCAATTTCCTGACCTGTTGATCCGCCTGCCTCGGCCTCCCAAAGTGCTGGGATTACAGGCGTGAGCCACCGCGCCCGGCCCAGATCTCCCTTATTCTTTTTACCAATTGCACGAAGGACGAAAATATTTAGTGTTTCTTGTTCATACCTTATAACCAAATGGTACCCATTTAAGGGGGAACACTACTTTAAATAGAGGTTTTCCAAGTCATTGCTTCTAGCACTTGGAGAAAGCACATTTGAAATCTTTTTACACAGTACAGCAGAGTGCTTTAAGTGCATAGGCTCTCTAGGAGTGCCAAGGTTCAAATCTCAGAAGTTTCCATGTCTGTAAAATAGGAATAATATTAATTATCATCTTTTAGGGTTTTTGTGAAACATATATGAGTTAATGCTGTGCATGTAAAATGTTTAAAATAGTGCCTCTTGCAATGGAAGCAAGAAGAAACATCGGCTATTATTATTAGGACTGTATTTCATTTGCATATGTTTTCTTACCTAATATTTAACAGACAAAACCTTAGTGAAGGTTATTCTAGTGAACTATACAAGGAACACACATAGGAACATTCTTTCCTTCCTTTTCCTTCCTTTCCCTCTTTTTCCTCCTTTTCTTCTGGCATAGTGCTTCATGGAATAGTGAATAGGGCATGGACTTAGAATGGAATTCTGACTCTGCTAGTTAATTTGAGCAGATTACTTAAATCCCTTGAGCATAATTTTTCTCCTATTTAGAATGGGTTGATACCATCTATATGCAGGACCTTTGTGAGTGTTAAATTGCATAATGTATGTGAAACTGTCTAGCAAAATGGCAATAAACAACGGCTTCCATTGTGAGTGGCAGAAGTCCTCATAGACAGAGCTCTAACTTTGGAGAGAGATATACCAGCCTGCAAATCCTGGCTTTACTCTCTAGCTGCTGGTTGGCATTTTTGTGTCTTAACTTCCTTGTCCGTAAATGGAATGAATAATAGCTTTCCAGACTATTGTAGGAATTATAGGAAACAGTATATGCAAAATGCCCCTCACACTATCTGGTACAAATAAGAAGGGAATCATGGACTACATTAAGGTAAAATGATGACTGCTATGAATGTCAGTGTGGCAGAACATAAGAATTTTGTTCAGAATCTCTCTGTGCATCCTAATACAATCTGGCATCTTAGCTTTCTGTCTATTTCATTGCAGGAGTGTAGAAGACTAAATGTCTGAATATCAGCATAAACTCCAGAATTGGCAGTGGGAGTTTAATAAGCTATAGGCCAACAGGAGGCAGGCAATATGACATAGCAAACAAGAAACACAACTTTGAAAGAACCAGAACCAAATTTCTGTCTTCTAATAATTATGGATTTGAGTAAATTACCTAACTTTCTGTACTTAATTTTTCTGCACTAAGAATAGTAATATATGTACAAACTAAATGAGAATAGCTCAATGGTGTTATGCGGAGTAAAAGAATCCAGATTCAAAAGTTACATATTGCATAATTCCATTCATATGACATTTCTAGAAAAGGCTATACCGGAAAGACAAAAACAAATTAGAGTTTGCCACAGTGTGATGATGGCAAAGAGGGCCTTTATGACAACGAAATTTTTGGGGAGATGAAATTTTTCTGTATCTTGTGGTGTTGGTTTTAAGACTATATGTGCTTGTCAAAAGTCATAGAACTATTCACTAAAAAGGTAAATTTTATTTAATGTAAGTTATACGTCAATAAAATTTACATTCAAAATAGTAAAACAAATGAAATTATAATTATTGCAAATAAACAGTACTCATCAAAGGCCAGCCATTGCCATCACTACTTTACATGCATTATCTTGTTTAATACTTCACAGCAGCCCTTTGGGGAGGAATTAACCTCATTTTACAGAAATAGAAACTGAGGCTCACAGATGTGAAATAATTTGACTAGTCTCATATGTCTGTAAATGATAGAGCCAGCATTTCCTTCCAGGTCTCTCTGACACAAAAGGCTCTCCCCTTTATCATTTAGAATTACTATGTGAATGGTGCTTGACATAAATCTAGCTCTAAAAAATAATAGTTTTTTTTTTTTTCCCCATCACCAGCTGATTATGGAAGTTGGCGGTGGGGGGGAATAGCAGCCCTTGTCTGCTATTTAAGTCTATCTTTTATGCTGTATCCCCTCAAACAACTACAATGTCCCAATATAACTTCCCTGATGTGATGGGAACAAAGATGTAAACTAGTATGATTGTCAACAATCACATTTTTAGTATGGAGGTAATTATTTTTTGTTTCCCTTTAGGCATCTACTTGAGTAGCTCTCAGTAATTCATAGTATGTATAAATTACCTGGACTTGTTTATGCCTAAACCTTACTTGTACAGTTGAAATTTATTGCAGAAAATCTTTCTTAAGATTGTTTTAAATTGTTAATAATGTAAATAGGCATGCTACTGCTCTCCTATTATCTCATATTAATGTGCCATTATAATGAAAAAATACTACAGTGCATAGGAATTATATCATGAGACAATAGCAACAACATACTTTCCTTGAGGAAGATGTAAGATAACTTCTCTGATTGAGATTTTTCTTCAACCGATGTTATTGTCATCCCTGAAAAGGAGAAATTACAAAACTGACACCAGGTAACAAGTAAAGTATTCTCATGTTGTAAATGAAGAAGTGGGAAATAGAACATAGATTAGGAGTCATTGCACATAGTAGCTCAGACCCTATTGTGTTATGGTATTTCAGAGAAGCCTAATATGGTAAACATCATGGAATTCCACAGATATTTGTTCAGTTCTATGATATTCCTATGATGTACTTTAAGATTAAGACAGCAAAACAAACATCATTAAGATCTGCTCCTTACATGTATAACATCAACTCTTTTTTTCTTCAACTTTTTTTTTTAATTATACTTTAAGTTTTAGGGTACATGTGCACATTGCGCAGGTTAGTTACGTATGTATACATGTGCCATGCTGGTGCGCTACACCCACTAACTCGTCATCTAGCATTAGGTATATCTCCCAATGCTATCCCTCCCACCTCCCCCCACCCCACCACAGTCTGCAGAGTGTGATATTCCCCTTCCTGTGTCCATGTGATCTCATTGTTCAATTCCCACCTATGAGTGAGAATATGTGGTGTTTGGTTTTTTGTTCTTGCAATAGTTTACTGAGAATGATGATTTCCAATTTCATCCATGTCCCTACAAAGGACATGAACTCATCATTTTTTATGGCTGCATAGTATTCCATGGTGTATATGTGCCACATTTTCTTAATCCAGTCTATCATTGTTGGACATTTGGGTTGGTTCCAAGTCTTTGCTATTGTGAATAATGCTGCAATAAACATACGTGTGCATGTGTCTTTATAGCAGCATGATTTATAGTCATTTGGGTATATACCCAGTAATGGGATGGCTGGGTCAAATGGTATTTCTAGTTCTAGATCCCTGAGGAATCGCCACACTGAATTCCACAATGGTTGAACTAGTTTACAGTCCCACCAACAGTGTAAAAGTGTTCCTATTTCTCCACATCCTCTCCAGCACCTGTTGTTTCCTGACTTTTTAATGATTGCCATTCTAACTGGTGTGAGATGGTATCTCATTGTGGTTTTGATTTGCATTTCTCTGATGGCCAGTGATGGTGAGCATTTTTTCATGTGTTTTTTTGCTGCATAAATGTCTTCTTTTGAGAAGTGTCTGTTCATGTCCTTCGCCCACTTTTTGATGGGGTTGTTTGTTTTTTTCTTGTAAATTTGTTTGAGTTCATTGTAGATTCTGGATATTAGCCCTTTGTCAGATGAGTAGGTTGCAAAAATTTTCTCCCATTTTCTAGGTTGCCTGTTCACTCTGATGGTAGTTTCTTTTGCTGTGCAGAAGCTCTTTAGTTTAATTAGATCCCATTTGTCAATTTTGGCTTTTGTTGCCATTGCTTTTGGTGTTTTAGACATGAAGTCCTTGCCCATGCCTATGTCCTGAATGATAATGCCTAGGTTTTCTTCTAGGGTTTTTATGGTTTTAGGTCTAACGTTTAAATCTTTAATCCATCTTGAATTGATTTTTGTATAAGGTGTAAGGAAGGGATCCAGTTTCAGCTTTCTACATATGGCTAGCCAGTTTTCCCAGCACCATTTATTAAATAGGGAATCCTTTCCCCATTGCTTGTTTTTCTCAGGTTTGTCAAAGATCAGATAGTTGTAGATATGCGGCGTTATTTCTGAGGGCTCTGTTCTGTTCCATTGATCTATATCTCTGTTTTGGTACCAATACCATGCTGTTTTGGTTACTGTAGCCTTGTAGTATAGTTTGAAGTCAGGTAGTGTGATGCCTCCAGCTTTGTTCTTTTGGCTTAGGATTGACTTGGCAATGCAGGCTCTTTTTTGGTTCCATATGAACTTTAAAGTAGTTTTTTCCAATTCTGTGAAGAAAGGCATTGGTAGCTTAATGGGGATGGCATTGAATCTGTAAATTACCTTGGGCAGTATGGCCATTTTCACGATATTGATTCTTCCTACCCATGAGCATGGAATGTTCTTCCATTTGCTTGTATCCTCTTTTATTTCCTTGAGCAGTTGTTTGTAGTTCTCCTTGAAGAGGTCCTTCACATCCCTTGTAAGTTGGATTCCTAGGTATTTTATTCTCTTTGAAGCAGTTGTGAATGGGAGTTCACTCATGATTTGGCTCTCTGTTTGTCTGTTGTTGGTGTATAAGAATGCTTGTGACTTTTGTACATTGATTTTGTATCCTGAGACTTTGCTGAAGTTGCTTATCAGCTTAAGGAGATTTTGGGCTGAGACAATGGGGTTTTCCAGATATACAATCATGTCGTCTGCAAACAGGGACAATTTGACTTCCTCTTTTCCTAATTGAATACCCTTTATTTCCTTCTCCTGCCTAATTGCCCTGGCCAGAACTTCCAACACTATGTTGAATAGGAGTGATGAGAGAGGGCATCCCTGTCTTGTGCCAGTTTTCAAAGGGAATGCTTCCAGTTTTTACCCATTCAGTATGATATTGGCTGTGTGTTTGTCATAGATAGCTCTTATTATTTTGAAACACGTCCCATCAATACCTAATTTATTGAGAGTTTTTAGCATGAAAGGTTGTTGAATTTTGTCAAAGGCTTTTTCTGCATCTATTGAGATAATCATGTGGTTTTCGTCTTTGGCTCTGTTTATATGCTGGATTACATTTATTGATTTGTGTATATTGAACCAGCCTTGCATCCCAGGGATGAAACCCACTTGATCATGGTGGATAAGCTTTTTGATGTGCTGCTGGATTCGGTTTGCCAGTATTTTATTGAGGAGTTTTGCATCAATGTTCATCAAGGATATTGGTCTAAAATTCTCTTTTTTGGTTGTGTCTCTGCCCAGCTTTGGTATCAGAATGATGCTGGCCTCATAAAATGAGTTAGGGAGGAGTCCCTCTTTTTCTACTGATTGGAATAGTTTCAGAAGGAATGGTACCAGTTCCTCCTTGTACCTCTGGTAGAATTCAGCTGTGAATCCATCTGGTCCTGGACTCTTTTTGGTTGGTAAACTATTGATTATTGCCACAATTTCAGCTCCTGTTATTGGTCTATTCAGAGATTCAACTTCTTCCTGGTTTAGTCTTGGGAGAGTGTATGTGTCGAGGAATTTATCCATTTCTTCTAGATTTTCTAGTTTATTTGCGTAAAAGTGTTTGTAGTATTCTCTGATGGTAGTTTGTATTTCTGTGGGATCTGTGGTGATATCCCCTTTATCATTTTTTATTGCGTCTATTTGATTTTTCTCTCTTTTTTTCTTTATTAGTCTTGCTAGCAGTCTATCAATTTTGTTGTTCCTTTCAAAAAACCAGCTCCTGGATTCACTAATTTTTTGAAGGGTTTTTTGTGTCTCTATTTCCTTCAGTTCTGCTCTGATTTTAGTTATTTCTTGCCTTCTGCTAGCTTTTGAATGTGTTTGCTCTTGCTTTTCTAGTTCTTTTAATTGTGATGTTAGGGTGTCAATTTTGGATCTTTCCTGCTTTCTCTTGTGGGCATTTAGTGCTATAAATTTCCCTCTACACACTGCTTTGAATGCGTCCCAGAGATTCTGGTATGTTGTGTCTTTGTTCTCGTTGGTTTCAAAGAACATCTTTATTTCTGCCTTCATTTCGTTATGTACCCAGTAGTCACTCAGGAGCAGGTTGTTCAGTTTCCATGTAGTTGAGTGGTTTTGAGTGAGATTCTTAATCCTGAGTTCTAGTTTGATTGCACTGTGGTCTGAGAGATAGTTTGTTATAATCTCTGTTCTTTTACATTTGCTGAGGAGAGCTTTACTTCCAAGTATGTGGTCAATTTTGGAATAGGTGTGGTGTGGTGCTGAAAAAAATGTATATTCTGTTGATTTGGGGTGGAGAGTTCTGTAGATGTCTATTAGGTCTGCTTGGTGCAGAGCTGAGTTCAATTCCTGGGTATCCTTGTTGACTTTCTGTCTCGTTGATCTGTCTAATGTTGACAGTGGGGTGTTAAAGTCTCCCATTATTAATGTGTGGGAGTCTAAGTCTCTTTGTAGGTCACTCAGGACTTGCTTTATGAATCTGGGTGCTCCTGTATTGGGTGCATATATATTTAGGATAGTTAGCTCTTCTTGTTGAATTGATCCCTTTACCATTATGTAATGGCCTTCTTTGTCTCTTTTGATCTTTGTTGGTTTAAAGTCTGTTTTATCAGACACTAGGATTGCAACCCCTGCCTTTTTTTGTTTTCCATTTGCTTGGTAGATCTTCCTCCATCCTTTTATTTTGAGCCTATGTGTGTCTCTGCACGTGAGATGGGTTTCCTGAATACAGCACACTGATGGGTCTTGAGTCTTTATCCAATTTGCCAGTCTGTGTCTTTTAATTGGAGCATTTAGTCCATTTACATTTAAAGTTAATATTGTTATGTGTGAATTTGATCCTGTCATTATGATGTTAGCTGGTGATTTTGCTCATTAGTTGATGCAGTTTCTTCCTAGTCTCGATGGTCTTTACATTTTGGCATGATTTTGCAGTGGCTGGTACTGGTTGTTCCTTTCCATGTTTAGCGCTTCCTTCAGGAGCTCTTTTAGGGCAGGCCTGGTGGTGACAAAATCTCTCAGCATTTGCTTGTCTGTAAAGTATTTTATTTCTCCTTCACTTATGAAACTTAGTTTGGCTGGATATGAAATTCCGGGTTAAAAATTCTTTTCTTTAAGAATGTTGAATATTGGCCCCCACTCTCTTCTGGCTTGTAGGGTTTCTGCCGAGAGATCCGCTGTTAGTCTGATGGGCTTCCCTTTGAAGGTAACCCGACCTTTCTCTCTTGCTGCCCTTAACATTTTTTCCTTCATTTCAACTTTGGTGAATCTGACAATTATGTGTCTTGGAGTTGCTCTTCTCGAGGAGTATCTTTGTGGCATTCTCTGTATTTCCTGAATCTGAACGTTGGACTGCCTTGCTAGGTTGGGGAAGTTCTCCTGGATAATATCCTGCAGAGTGTTTTCCAACTTGGTTCCATTCTCCCCATCACTTTCAGTTACACCAATCAGACGTAGATTTGGTCTTTTCACATAGTCCCATATTTCTTGGAGGCTTTGCTCGTTTCTTTTTATTCTTTTTTCTCTAAACTTCCCTTCTCGCTTCATTTCATTCATTTCATCTTCCATTGCTGACACCCTTTCTTCCAGTTGATCGCATCGGCTCCTGAGGCTTCTGCATTCTTCACGTAGTTCTCGAGCCTTGGTTTTCAGCTTCATCAGCTCCTTTAAGCACTTCTCTGTATTGGTTATTCTAGTTATACATTCTTATAAATTTTTTTCAAAGTTTTCAACTTCTTTGCCTTTGGTTTGAATGTCCTCCCGTAGCTCAGAGTAATTTGATCGTCTGAAGCCTTCTTCTCTCAGCTCGTCAAAGTCATTCTCCATCCAGCTTTGTTCCGTTGCTGGTGAGGAACTGCGTTCCTTTGGAGGAGGAGAGGTGCTCTGCTTTTTAGAGTTTCCAGTTTTTCTGTTCTGTTTTTTCCCCATCTTTGTGGTTTTATCTACTTTTGGTCTTTGATGATGGTGATGTACAGATGGGTTTTTGGTGTGGATGTCCTTTCTGTTTGTTAGTTTTCCTTCTAACAGACAGGACCCTCAGCTGCAGGTCTGTTGGAATACCCTGCCTTGTGAGCTGTCAGTGTGCCCCTGCTGGGGGTGCCTCCCAGTTAGGCTGCTCGGGGGTCAGGGGTCAGGGACCCACTTGAGGAGGCAGTCTGCCCGTTCTCAGATCTCCAGCTGCGTGCTGGGAGAACCACTGCTCTCTTCAAAGCTGTCAGACAGGGACATTTAAGTCTGCAGAGGTTACTGCTGTCTTTTTGTTTGTCTGTGCCCTGCCCCCAGAGGTGGAGCCTACAGAGGCAGGCAGGCCTCCTTGAGCTGTGGTGGGCTCCACCCAGTTCGAGCTTCCCGGCTGCTTTGTTTACCTAAGCAAGCCTGGGCAATGGCGGGCGCCCTTCCCCCAGCCTCGCTGCCGCCTTGCAGTTTGATCTCAGACTGCTGTGCTAGCAATCAGGGAGACTCCGTGGGCCTAGGATCCTCCGAGCCAGGTGCGGGATATAATCTCGTGGTGCACCGTTTTTTAAGCAGGTCAGAAAAGCGCAGTATTCGGGTGGGAGTGACCCGATTTTCTAGGTGCGTCTGTCACCCCTTTCTTTGACTCGGAAAGGGAACTCCCTGACCCCTTGCGCTTCCCAAGTGAGGCAATGCCTCGCCCTGCTTCGGCTGGCGCATGGTGCACGCACCCACTGACCTGCGCCCACTGTCTGGCACTCCCTAGTGAGATGAACCCGGTACCTCAGATGGAAATGCAGAAATCACCCGTCTTCTGTGTCGCTCATGCTGGGAGCTGTAGACTGGAGCTGTTCCTATTCGGCCATCTTGGCTCCTCCCCATTTCTTCAACTTTTATTTTATGTTCTGGGGTACATATGCAGGATGTGCAGGTTTGTTACACAGGTAAATGTGTGCTATGGTGGTTTGATGAACAATCAGCCCATCACCTAGATATTAAGCCCAGCATACATTAGCCATTCTTCCTGATGCTCTCCTTCCACCCACCACCCCTGATAGGCCCCAGTGTGTGTTTCCCACTACTATATGTCCATGTGTTCTCATAGTTCCATTCCCACTTATAAGTGATAATATGCAGTGTTTGATTTTTCTGTTCCTGCAGTAGTTTGCTGAGGATAATGGCTTCCAGCTTCATTCATGTCCCTGCAAAGGAAATTATCTCATTCTTTTTTATGGCTGCATAGTACTCCATGTTGTATATGTACCACATTTTTTTTAACCAGTCTGTCATTAATGGGTATTTGAGTTGATTCCATGTCATTGGGCCATTGTGAATAGTGCTGCAACGAACATACACATGCATGTATCTTTATAATTTAATTAAATCCCATTTGTCAATTTTTGCTTTTGTTGCAATTGTTTTTGGAGTTTTTATAATGAAATATTTGCCTGTGCCTATGTCCTGAATGGTATTGCCTAGATTTTCTTCTAAGGTTTTTATGGTTTGGGGGTTAACATTTAAATCTTTAATCCATCTTGAATTAATTTTTGTATAAGGTGCAAGGAAGGGGCCAGTTTCAATTTTCTGCATATGGTTAGCCAGTTCTCCCAGCACCACTTATTAAATAGGGAATCCTTTCCCCATTGCTTGTTTTTGTCAGGTTTGTTGAAGGTCAGATCTTTGTAAGCATGCAGTCTTATTTCTGAGTTCTCTATTCTGTTCCATTGGTGTGTCTGTTTTTTACCAATACCATGCTGTTTTGGTTACTGTAGCCACGTACTATAGTTTGAAGTCAGGTAGCATAATGCGTCCAGCTTTGTTCCTTTTGCTTAGGATTGTTTTGGCTATTTGGGCTCTTTTTTGGTTGCATGTGAATTTTTTTTTTTTTTTTTTTTTTTTGAGACAGGGTCTCCTTCCATCCCCCAGGCTGGAGTACAGTGACATAATATCATCTCACTGCGGCCTCCACTTCCCAGGTTCAAGTGATTCTTCTGCCTCAGCCTCTGAAGTATCTGGGATTATAGACAATCTAGTGGGTGTGATTGATGTCAAATTTTGTTGAAGCATTTTCTGTGTCAATTGACATGATTATATGTTTTTTCTTCTTTAGCTTGTTAATATGGTGTATTACATTAATTGATTTTCAAATATTGAAACCTCCTTGAATACCTGGAATAAATTCCATTTCATCATGGTGTATTCTTCTTTTTATATACTATTGGATTCAATTGGCTAAAGTTTTGTTTAGAATTTTGTGTCTAAACTAATGAGAGATATTTGTCTGCTGCTTCCTATTTTTGTTGCTCTGGTTTTAGTATCAGGATAATACTGTCTTCATCAAATGAATTAGAAAATGTTTCCCTTTCATCTGTTTTTTTTTTTTTTTTTTTGGAAGGGGTCATGTAAAATTGGTGTTAATTATTTGAATATTTTGAAAAATTCACCAGTGAAACCATTCATGCCTGAATGTTTTTTAATAGAATTTTAATTATTAATTCAATTTATTTAGTAGGAATATTTAAATTATCTATATTATCTTTGCTGAGTTTTGGTAGTTTGTGGTTTTCAAGGAATTTGTCCATCTCTTCTAAGTTGTTAAATTTATTAATGTAAACTCATTTCTGGTATTCCTTAATTAACATTTGAGGGCTGCTAGCTCTTTTGTAATATTCCATCATTTCATTCCTGATCCTGGTGATTTCAATCTTCTCTATTTTAATCTTTGTCAGTCTTCCCAGAAGTTTATCAATATTATTGATTTTCTCTTAAACAGTTTTTTTGTCACTAGTTTTTTTCTGTTGTTTCTTTGTTTGCAAATTTATTAACTGAGGTTTTTATCTTGATTAATTTTGCTCTTTATTATTTCCTTCCTACTCCTACTTAATGTTTATTTTGCTCTCATTTGCTTGTTTCTTGTAGTAGAAACTTAAAGTATTGATTTTTCCCTTTATCTTTCTATAATGGGTTCCCAGTTTTACTCCATTACAGACAGAGCACCTACTTTGTATGATTTTAATTCTTTTAAATATGTTGAGGATAATTATCCAGAATATGTTTATCTTGAGAACTGTTACATGTGTGCTTGAAAAAAAAAAGTGTATCTTGCTGTTGAGTGAAGTGTTTTATAAATGTCAATTGGACCCTATTGGTTGATAGTGTTGTTTAGATCTGTATCCTTGCTGATTTTCTGCCAGGTAATTCTATCAATTATTGAAATCAGAGGATGTTGAACTTGCCAACTACATTGTACATTTTTCTTTATCTCCTTTTACTTCTCTCAGTTTTTGCTTCATATATTTTGAAGCTCTGTTGTTTGGTGTATGAACATGTAGAATTGCTAAATATTATTGGTGGATTGATCCTTTTAGAAGTACGTATGTGCCTCTTTGGCCCTAGTAAGTTTCTTTGTTTTAAAATTTACATGTTCTGATAACAATACAGCTATTCCTTTTTAAAATAGTTTTTATGATTTATCTTTTTCCATCCTTTTATTTTCAACTTATCTATGTAGCTATATTTGAAATGAGTTTCTTTTTTGTCGATTAAAAAATAAAATAAAACTTTTTTTCTTCAACTTTTAAGTTCAGGGGTAGATGTGCAAGATATGCAGGTTTGTTTCATAGGTAAACATGTGCGATACTGGTTTGCTGCACAGAACAACCAATTGCCTAGGTATTAAGCCCAGAATCCATTAGCTATTCTTCCCTCCTCCCATGCCCCACCGTCCAACAGGTCCAAGTGTGTTGTTTCCCCTTATGTGTGTCCATGTGTTCTCATCATTCAGCTCCCACTTATAAGTGAGAACATGCAGTGTTTGGTTTTGTGTTCCTGCATTAATTTGCTATGAATATGGCTTCCAACTCCATCATTGTTCCTGCAAAGGACATGACATTATTCCTTTTTATGGCTGCATAGTATTCCATGGTGTATATGTACCACATTTTCTTTCTCCACTCTATATTTAATAGGCATTTGGGTTGATTCTGTGTCTTTGCTATTGTGAATAGTGCTGCAATGAACATACATGTATGTGTACCTTTGTAATAGAATGATTTATATTCCTTTGGGTATATACCCAGTAATGGGATTGATGGGTCAAATTGCATTTCTGCCTCTAGATCTTTGACGAATTGCCACACTGTCTTCCACAATGGTTGAATCAATTTACACTCCAACCAACAGTGTAAAAGCATTCCTTTTTCTCTGCAACCTCACCAGTATCTGTTGTTTCTTGACTTTTTAATAACAGCCATTCTGACTGGCATGAGATGGTATCTCATTGTGGTTTTGATTTGCTTTTCTCTAATGATCACTGATGTTGAGCTTTTTTTCATGTGTTTGTTGGCTGCATGTATGTCTTCTTTTGAGAATTGTGTTCATGTCCTTTACTCACTTTTTAAGGAGTTGTTTGTTTTTTTCCTTGTACATTTGTTTAAGTTCCTTGTAGACTCTGGATATTAGACCTTCGTCAGCTAGATAGATTGCAAAAATTTTCTCCCATTCTGTAGGTTGTCTGTTAGCTCTGATAATAGTTTCTTTTGCTGTACAGAAGCTCTTTAGTTCAAGTAGATGCTATTTGTCAGTCTTTGCTTTTGTTGCAATCGCTTTTGGCATTTTCATCATGAAATCTTTGCCCGTGCTTATGTCTTGAATGGTATTGCCTATATTTTTCTTCTAGGATTTTTACAGTTTTGGATCTTCCATTTAAGTCTTTAGTCCATCTTGAGTTAATTTTTGTTTATGGTGTAAGGAAGGGGTCCAGTTTCAATTTTTTGCATGTGACTAGCCAGTTCTCCCAGCACAATATATTAAGTAGAGAATCCTTTACTCATTGCTGGTTTTTGTTAGGCTTGTCGAAGATCAGATTGTTGTAGATGTGCAGTCTTATTTCTGAAATCTCTATTCTGTTCCATCAGTCTATGTGTCTATTTTTGTACAAATACCATGCTGTTTTGGTTACTGTAGCCATCTGGTATAGTTTGAAATCGGGTAACATAATGCCTCCAGCTTTGTTCCTTTTGCTTAGGATTGTCTTGGCTATTTGGGCTTTTTTTGTTCCATATGAATTTTAAAATAGTTTTTTTCTATTTCTGTGAGAAATGTCAATGGTAATTTAATGGGAATAGAATTGAATGTATAAATTACTTTGGGCAGTATGGCCATTTTCACAATATTGATTCTTCCTATCCATGAACATGGATTCTTTCTTTCCCCAAGTTTTTCCGTTTGTTTGTGTCCTCTCCAATTTCTTTGAGTAGTAGTTTGTAGTTCTCCTTGAAGAGGTCCTTCATTTCCCTTGTTAGCTGTATTCCTAGGTATTTTATTCTTTTTGTAGCAATTGTGAATGAGAGTACATTCATGATTTGGCTCTCTGATTGCCTGTTGTTGGTGTACAGAGATTTTTGCACATTGATTTTGTGTCCTGAGACTTTGCCGAAGTTGCTTATCAGCAGAAGAAGCTTTTGGGCTGAGACAATGGGGTTTTATAGATACAGGGTCATGTCATCTGCAGACAAAGATAATTTGACTTCCTCTCTTCCTATTTGAGTATCCTTTATTTCTTTCTCTTGTCTGATTGCCCTGGCCAGAACTTCCAATACTATGTTGAATAGGAGTAGTGAGAGAGGGCATACTTGTCTTGTGCTGGTTTTCAAAGGGAATCCTTCCAGCTTTTGCCCATTCAGTATGATATTGGCTGTGGGTTTGTCATAAATTGCTGTTATTATTTTGAGGTGTGTTCCTTTTTTGTCTTTATTTCTGTTTATGTGTTGAATCACATTGATTGATTTGTGCATGTTGAAACTCCCTTGCATCCCGGGGATGAAATGAACTTGATCATGGTGGATAAACTTTTTGATGTGATACTGGATTCAGTTTGCCAGTATTTTATTGATGATTTTTGTACCTATGTTCATCAGGGATATTGGCCTGAAATTTTCTTTTTTGGGGTATCAAAAAAAGTGAAGCCTTTGGTATCAGGATGATGCTGGGCTTTTAGAATAGTTTCAGTAGAATTGGTACCAGCTCTTCTTTTTACCTCTGGTGGAATTCAGCTGTGAACCTGTCTGGTTCTGGGCTTTTTTTTGGTTGGCAGGCTATTTCTTACTGCCTGAATTTCAGAACTCATTACTAGTCTATTCAGTGACTCAACTTCTTCCTGATTCAGTCTTAGGAGGGTGTATGTGTCCAGGAATTTATTCATTTCTTCTGGAGTTTGTAGTTTATGTCCATAGAGATATTTATAGTATTCTCTGATGGTCATATTTCTAAGGGTCAGTGGTAATATCCCCCTTATCATTTCTGATTGTGTCTATTTGATTATTCTCTCTTTTCTTCTTTATTGGTCTAGCTAGTGATCTATTTTATTATTTTTTTCAAAAACACAGCCCCTGGACTTACTGATTTTTTTGTGGGTTTTCTTTGTGTCTCTATTGCCTTCAGTTTTGCTCTGATCTTGGTTATTTCTTATCTTCTGTTAGCTTTGGGATTGTTTGCTCTTGGTTCTCTATTTTTTTTTTTTTTATTGAGATGGAGTCTTACTCTGTCACTCAGGCTGGAGTGCAGTGGCACAATCTCTGCTCACTGCAACCTCTGCCTCCCAGGTTAAAGTGATTTTCCTGCCTCAGCCTCCCGAGTAGCTGGAATTACAGGTGCATGCCACCAAACACAGCTAAATTTTTTTGTTTTAATTTTTAGTACAGATGGGGTTTCACTGTATTGGTGAAAACATGGTCTCCAACTCCTGACCTCAAGTGGTTTGCCTGCCTTGGCCTCCCAAAGTGCAGGGATTACAGGTGTGAGCAAATACACATGGCTGATTCTCTATTTCTTTTAGTCGTGATGTTAGGTTGTTGATTTAAGATCTTTCTAGGTTTTTGATGTGGATATTTTAGTGTTATAAATTTCCCTCTTAACACTGCTTTAACTGTGTCCCAGAGATTCTGGTATGTTGTGACTTGGTACTCAAAGGTTTCAAAGAACTTCTTGATTTCTGCCTTAATTTCATTATTTATCTAGGAGTCATTCAGGAGCAGATTGTTCAATTTTCATATAATTGTGAGGTTTTGAGTGAGTTTCTTAATCTCGAGCTTTCATTTGATTGTGCTGTGGTCTGAGAGACTGTTATGATTTCATTTATTTTTCATTTGCTGAGGAGTGCTTTACTTCTGATTATGTGATCAATTTTAGTGTAAGTGCCATGTGGTGATTAGATGAATGTATATTCTGGTTTTGTGTGTGTGTGTGTGTGTGTGTGTGTGTGTGTGTGTGTGTGTGTGTGGAGAGTTCTGTAGATATCTATCAGGTTCACTTGACCCAGCGCTGAGTTCAGGTCCTGAATATCTTTGTTAATTTTCTGTCTCAATTATCTGTCTAATGTTGTCAGTGGGGTGATAAACTCTACTATTATTGTGTGGGAGTCTAAGTCTCTTTGTAGGTCTCTAAGGATTTGCTTTATGAATCTGGGTGCTCCTATTTTGGGTGCATATATATTTAGGATAGTTAGCTCTTCTTGTTGAATTGAATCCTTTACCATTACGTAATGTCCTTTGTCTTTTCTGATCTTTGTTGGCTTAAAGTCTGTTTTGTCAGAAACTGGGATTGAAACCCCTGCTTTTTTCTATTTTCCATTTGTTTGGTAAATTTTCCTTCATCCCTTTATTTTGAGTCTATGTGTGTCTTTGCATGTGAGATGGGTCTCTTGAAGAGAGCATACTGCTTTTTCTTGACTCTATCCAGCTTGCCATTCTGTGTCTTTTAAATGGGGCATTTAGCCCGTTTACATTTAAGGTTAATGTTGTTATTTGTGAATTTTATCCTGTCATCATGATGTTAGCTGTTTATTTTGCAGACTTGTGTATGTGGTTATTTCACAGTGTCACTGGTCTGTGTAGTTCAATGTGTTTTTGTAGTGGCTGGTCATGGTTTTTCCTTTCCATATTTAGTGCTTTCTTCTGGAGCTTTTGCCAGGAAGGCCTAATGGTGATGAATTCCCTCAATGTTTGCTTGCCTGAAAAGAATTCTACTTCTCCTTCGCTTATGAAGCTTAGTTTAGCAGGACATGAAATTCTGGGTTGGATTTTTTTTCTTTAATACTGTTGAATATTGGTCTCCAATCTCTCCCGGCTTACAGGGTTTCTGCTCAGAGGTCCGCCGTTAGTCTGATGGACTTCCCTTTTTAGGTGACCTGGCCTTTCTTTCTGGCTGCACTTAACATTTTTTCTTTCATTTCGACCTTGGTGAATCTGATGATTGTGTCTTGGGTTGATCTTCTCATCGAATATCTTACTGGGGTTCTCTGGCTTTCCTGAATTTGAATGTTGGCCTGTCCTTCTAGGTTGGGGAAGTTCTCCTAGATGATATCCTGAAGTATGTTTGCCCACTTGGTTCTGTTCTCCCTGTCTCTTTCAGGTACCCCAATTAGTTGTAGGTTCAGTCCTTTGTTTTACATAATCCCTTATTTTTTGCAGTTTTTGTTTATTTCTTTTCATTCTTTTTTCTCTATTCTTGTCTGCCTGTCTTATCTCAGAAAGCTAGTCTTCAAGCTCTGAGATTCTTTCCTCAACTTTGTCATTCTGCCACTGAAACTTGTGATTGCATAGTGTAGTTCATGTATTGTGTCCATCAGGTTCATTATGTTCCTTTTTAAAGTGGCTATTTTTGTTATCACCTCCTGTATTATTTTATTATTATTCTTAGCTTCTTTGCATTGGGTTAGAACATGCTCCTTTAGCTAAGTGAAGTTGGTTATTACTCACCTTCTGAAGACTACTTCTGTCAATTTAGCCATCTTAGCCTCAGCCCATTTCTGTGCCCTTGCTGTAGAAGTGTTGTGGTCATCTGGAGGAGAAGCAGCACTCTGGCTTTTTTAGTTTTCAGCATTTTTGTGTCATATTTTTCTCATCTTTGTGGGCTTATCTACCTTCGATCTTTGAGGTTGCTGACCATTAAATAGAATTTTTGTGAGATCTTTTCTGTTGATATTGTTGTTGTTGCTTTCTGTTTGTTTGGTTTTTGGGTTTTGGGTTTTGGGTTTTTTTTGGAGATGGAGTCTCACTCTGTCACCAGTGTGGAGTGCAGTGGCACAATCTCGGCTCACTGCAACCTCTGCCTCCCCAGTTCAAGCAATTCTCCTACCTCAGCCTCCTGAGTAGCTGGGACTACAGGCACGTGCCACCATGCCCAGCTAATTTTTGTATTTTTATATACTCCAGACCCTAGTTGCCTTGGTCCCTCCCACACCTGAAGGTATCACTAGTAAAGGCTGCAAAAGAGCAAAGATTGAAGACTGCTCCTTCCTCTGGCAGCTCCATCCGAGGGGGGCACCAACCTGATGCCAGCTGAATGCTCCTGTTGGAGGTGTCTGGAGACCCATGTTGGGAGGTCTCACCGAGTCAGGAGGAAATAGATCAGAGACCTGCTTAAAGAAACAGTCTGGCTGCTCCTTGGCAGAGCAGGTTTGCTGCACTAACTGCCTAGCCTCTCCAGAGCTGGCAGCCTGGAAAGTTGAAGTCAGCTGAACCACAGAGATGGCAGCTGACCTTCCCCTGGGGCTCCATTTCAGAGAGACCTCAGAGTTCTGTACATATAAACCTGGCTGGAGTTGCTGAAATTCCCACAGGGAGGCCCCGCACAGTAAGGAGGGATGGTTCCCAGTCCCTCTTAAAGAATCTGTCTGGCCACGATCTGCAGGGGAATAGTCCATCTCAGGCAGTCTCCAGCTGGCTGCTGCTGGCCAGCTCGAATTCCAAGCCAGTGGGTCTTAACTTGTGAGGTGCCGTGGGAGTGGGGCCTGCAGAACCATGCCACTTGGCTCCCTGTATTCACCCCTTCCTAGGGGAATGCATGTGTGGATCTCTCACCTTGCCATAATTCCTGGGTATGGAACATGCAAAACTCCTGGATCTCTGTGAGTGCCAGTTAGTGCAGTTAGTTACAAGTATTTATTATAAATATGAGATTTATTTACATTAAAAGTTTAGTGTTCAAAACCTGTCTGTTTATATTGCCTACAACTCTGAGAAATGAAATTATGTTGGATATTTTGGAAAGAATGCTAAGGTAATTCTTTACTCCCTACTCCAACAACCTTGAGATGTTTATTCAGGGTGAGGAAACCTCTCTTCTTCCTTCAACAATTAAATACAAAGATACATCATTGATTCTAGTCTAATCTGAAGAAAATGTACTGGAATACAATCTGAAAGTGACTTAGTACATGATATTGGGTGTTGCAGAATTCCTGGGTCATAGAGCATACGTTTGTGTAATTCGACTAAAATGTACTGCTACTACTAGCATTCTGTGAAGGTTCCACATCCTTGCCTACACTCAACTTACTCCCTTGGTTTATTAGGTATAAAGTGATGCCTTAGTTTTGTTTTAATTATATTTCTCTGAATACTAGTTATTTGAGCATTTTTATATGCTTGCTAGCTTTTTGTTTTTGTAAATTTCCTTTTCATGTGCTTTACTCCTGTTTCTACTGAGATTACTGTTTTCCTAGTTGATTTGCAAGGTTATTTTGTATATTGTAGATATCAGTACATTGTCAGTTTTAGATATTTTAAGTATCTTCCTCAATTCTATCCTTAATGTTAGTTTGTTAGTTGCATAACAGAAATAGTCAAATATGTCTTATTTTTGCCTTACATTTAATACTTTCTATGTTTTGCTGTAACAATCTATTCCTTATCCTATGTTGCAAAGATATTCTTCCTTTTTTAATATTAACATGATCAGTTTTTCCCTTCTTACTTAGGTCTCTAATCCATTTTTGGAGTCTGCCTTTGTGCATAGTTTTAGGTAAGGTTCTATTGTTGTGGTGATCCTGAAAATGTGTCTCTTAGAATATTATTGACAGGTGGCTCAACTGCTGTGCTTTGAGCCCAAAGCTGCACTCACACTGCAGCCACATTTCCCATGAGCTCCTCCCAGCCTGTGACTAAGCACAGGAGGGTTTTTAAGGTAAGCCCATTTCTGGGAGATGTGGAATTCCTTTGATGAGTAACTTTGACGTAAGGACTCCCCAAAGGCTTGGCCAAATCTTCTTAAAACTGCACTGCAATGTGGAACTCTTCCTACCCAACTGTTTTTACGTCCTTCTGTACTACACAAGGATCAGAGCTGCATGGCATTCTGAAGTGTCTTTATGACTCTTCCAACAAGCATACTTTTTTCTTCACATATGTTTTCCTTAATAATTATCTTGCACCTCAGATTCCATCTTGAGGTCTGATAGAGTGGTCTTAGAAAATCTGGAACTGATTAGCTCACCTCAGTGTGTGTTGGGCAGAGGATGCCATGCTGAATGGCTGCAGGGCACAGATAATCCCAGGCATAAGGTGGCAGGTGCATTGTTAAAGATTTCACCAGCAGTAGCCCGGGAAAACTTTTTGGTGCTTCCTGATAGAGGGGACACCATTGCAGGTAATAGTTCAGACAGCTGAAAGATAGGAGGGAAGAATGCCTCTTACAAAGATATTGGAGTTGGCTAGTTACTGTTAAATTGCATTGTTGTCCTACATAGGGATAAGGAGAAACTGAAGGCCATTTAAAATATGTTAAAGGCTAAGCATGAGAACCAGTTACAAAAAAGCTTTTATTTCATGCAGAGGAAGAGTAGACACAGCCAAGCAGCAGGCTAAAGATCTAATAGTTAGATACCCAGAGTTTGAATGCTTAGTCAAAGCTGATCGGCTATGCTTTGGTCAGGGTCCTAATTGGGAAAACCCAGGAACTTGAAATATAAGATGGGTCAACTGGATTGATGTCTTTCGGGATGTTGGTTCTGCAGACTCCCTGAAACCTCAGAGTTTATAGAAGTAATCACTGTCTCCTTAGTAAGAGCCAGCTCTTCTCCCCTGCTGAAAGATGCTATAGAGCTGTTTCACCCACAAGGCAACAGGTGCTCCTCAAGAGATATTCTTACCTCCTCAACTGACAACCAGGCCAATGGCTCAGCTAGTAACATGCTGGGCTTGAAAAGATAGAAAAAGAGACTATGTACTAAAGAACTGTAAGAACTGGTGCGTATCTATTGGCTCCTGACATTAGGTTTTGAGGGTGGTTGATCATGGAGGGGTGAATGAAAGACTGGATAAGTAAGAATTCATTGACTTAGGAGCACTTTCTCAAGACATGGAATTTGACAACCTAGCAAAAACCCAAGGAGCAAACCTGCTAGGGTGGCTCTTAGCATCCTGGAAGAAGCCATATCCAGGATTGAATACAGATGAAGTGTCCCAGTTGCCTTAGAAGACAGCGGAGAAAGAAATAAAGAGGCTGAGGGAAGTGGGCATGTCAAAATGGATATATTATGTGAGGCCAGAAGACCCACCAGGGCATGTGTTTCATCAGGAAGCCCAGAGGACATATCATTTATGAAAGTCACTACAAATGAGCTGGTGAGAGGAGCTTGAGAATAACTAAGAAGTTCAATGATGGCTCTCGTTGCAGATGGAGGCTGCAATAAGGGAAGCACCTACAGTCCTGAGATTGTCCATAGGGATGATGGAATCCTGAAGTAATAGATGCAAAGTGTCAGTGCTAAACTGCCAAAGCCAGGAACCCACAGTGAGCTTTAACAAATGGCAAGGTTGGAGGGACAGCTATGGAAGTTTTTCCCACAAAGAATTGTGGAGACAGTTCAAAAAGTATGGTGTTTTTAGGGGAAAATAAACAGGCAGCTAGCCAGCATGCTGATTAACATCTACAACCAAAGAAGAAAAAATGCAAAAATGGAAGATCAGGAGGCTCTAGGTGATCACCCCAATAGAAAGCCATGATCCCTTTCTTAGTTCTTAGACTTGAGGCAATTTTCAGATCCAGAATCCATTGGCTGAAGAGGTGGCCAAGTCCCTAGGAGGAAGAACCCTGTTACACCATGATAATTATATACAGTGATGATTCCCTAAGTGCTTCTCCAAAGGGACCTATAACTTTTTACTTACTGGGTGACTATACAAAAGGCAAAGGGAATACCCAGATATTTCAAAAACTATTAGAAACAGGATCTGAGTTGATACTGATACCGGAGACATATAGCATCATTATAGCTCCTGTTAAGTGTGAAGATTTATGGGGCCCAATTATGTCCTGGATTTGAGATTCTAGGTATATAGTTCCTTTCCTTTAATACTTTAAAAATATTACTTCAGTGACATCTCATATCCAGTATTGCTGCTGAGAAAACTGATGTCCTATGCTTCTTGTTTCTTTATAGGTGAACTGCTTTTTCTCTCTGGTAGCTTTTATAATGTTTTTAATTTAAAATCCACTTTAACATATCAAGGTATGGGTTTTTCCTTATTTCTTCTATTTGGAACTCTATAAGCCTTTTTTATATACAGTTTTAAAATTTTCTTTTATTATTAAAATCTTATCTTCATTAGTTTTTAAAATATTTCCTCATCTCAATTTTTAATTTTTTTCTGCATTTGAGAATCTTGTAATTGGGATATTGGCATCTCTACTTCTCTATCTTTCATATCTCTAATTTTTTAAAATTTATTTTTATATTTTTATCCTTCCCTTCTTCCTTTCTGAGAGAGTTCTTCAATTTGAACTTGCAATTCATCAATTTATTTTTCCGTCATAACTATCCTATTATCTATCTAATCAACTGTGCTTTTGTATTTCAACTCTTATATTTTCCATGTCTAATATTTTCATTCTGTTTTTATGCATGCTTCTTCTTGTTTCAGATGATTAATGTGAGCAATGACAAATAGCTCATATCTTCCCTTATATCTTTAAATACTGATATAATATGTATTTTACATCCTTTGTTTATACTAATGCTTCTGTTTCAGAGGCTATATGTTTTCTTGTCTATTGTCTTTCTTCTGAAGAAGTTGTACCATTTGGAGTTTATTTATTTTAGACTATGATTTCATGTTTCTCCAGGAGCATCAGCTGCTTTATCAGGCAGCATGGGCTATGGAAGGGTCAAAGGGCAGGTGTTTACTTGTGTCAGTCAAAGTGAATTTAAGGAACAGATTGGGGATGAATCCTAGGGTAGAGAGTCCCAGAGCCCACAAAACCTATTATTGATCATTCTCACTCATTGACTTTCTATCAGTTGACTTTTCCAGTGGGAATTTCACTGACAAATTCTTAAGAGTGAAGCAGCACTAGAAGGAAGAAGGTTCTTTTAATTTTAATGCAACAGCCCTGGAGATGTGGAGGGTAAGGTGAGAAGACAGTACCTGAAAGCAGCTAATTAGTGCTACCTTTTCCAGAAACTTCTCTCCTCAGCAGGCTTTTTCTCCTGTCCTTTCAAAATTGGTGGTCTGAATTGCTAAGACTAATTTCTGGTATGATAAGAAGGTAAACATTGTCTCAAAGCAATGTAGGGCAAAACATGGTGTTGGGAGATGTAAGAGAAAAACTTAAAAAGCCTTTCTCTTAACTATCCTCTCATTCTACTCTAGACTTCAGCCACCTACCTCCCTACACACTCTATCTAGTTCAAGTTAGCTCCAGTCTCCTAGTTCTGGCCTAGAATCCAGGTTTACTTCTTTCATCTGTAGTGTGTCTAGGGTTGATTTGGAGAAAGGAACAAGTGTCCTATGCTAGTACACCATTTTTATAGACATGAAAGCCTATGTGTGTGTGCATATGTATGTACTTACCAAATGATCTTATTTTTGAAATGAAAAGTGTATAAATCATTTGTTAGTGAAGATATATATTTATTTATTTAATAAGTCCTTCATTAGTGAATAGATATATTTATTCATGTTTGTATAAATGTAAATAATGTAAACGGATATATAGAAGTTTAAACTTTGATTTGCTTAGGAGAAAATCAGGGAGAGATTGTTAGAATTTTCTTTGTTGGGAAATAGCTCACATAACTTTGTAGCTTGAATTACAGTTGACCCTTGGACAACATGGGGGTTAGGGTTGATGGCCCCACATAGTCAAAAATTCATGTATAACTCGCGACTCTCTCAAAACTTAACTATGCATAGCCTACTGTTGAATGGAAGCCTTTTTGATAAGACAAAGAGTTGACTGACATATATATTTTATGTTATGTGTATTATATACTGTATTCTCACAATACAATAAGAGAAAAGAAAATGTTATTAAAATCTTAAGGAAGAAACAATATATTTACTATTCATTATGTGGAAGTGGATCATCATAAAGGTCTTCCTTCTCATTGTCTTCCCATTGAGCAGGCTGAGGAGGAGGAAGAAGAGAAGGGATTGGTCTTACTGTCTCAGGGGTGCCAGCTGTGGAAAAAAATCCACATATAAGTAGCCCTGATATGGTTTGGCTCTGTCCCCACCCAAATCTCATCTTGAATTGTAGTTCCTATAATACCCACGTGTCGTGGATGGACCCAGTGGGAAGTAATTGAATCATGGGGGCAGATCTTTTCCATGCTGTTCTCATGGTAGCGAATAAGTCTCATGAGACCTGATGGTTTTATAAAGGGCAGTTCCCCTGCACAAGCTCTCTAGCCTGCCACCATGTAACACGTGCCTTTGTTCCTCCTTGCCTTCCACCATGATTTTGAGGCCCCCAGCCATGTGGAACTGTGAGTCCATTAAACCTCTTTCCTTTATAAATTACCCAGTCTGGGGTATGTCTTTATTGGAGCATGAGAACAGACTAATACAGGTCCAGTGCAGTTCAAATCCATGTTGTTCAAGGGTGAACTGTAAAATAAAATATATTTTTAAAATAACATGGACCAGGGGCCGGGCGCGGTGGCTCACGCCTGTAATCCCAGCACTTTGGGATGCCGAGGCGGGCGGATCACGAGATCAGGAGATCGAAACCATCTTGGCTAACAAGGTGAAACCCCATCTCTACTAAAAATACAAAAAATTAGCGGGGCGCGGTGGCGGGCGCCTGTAATCCCAGCTACTCAGGAGGCTGAGGCAGGAGAATGGCATGAACCCGGGAGGCAGAGCTTGCAGTGAGCCGAGATAGCGCCACTGTAGTCCGGCCTGGGCGAAAGAGAGAGACTCCGTCTAAAAAATAAATAAATAAATAAATAACACGGACCAGCAGATGGCAGCACACTGTAACACATTTGGTCAAACTTTATTGCTTCTCCTGAACAACGTGAGTCCTAGTGACCTGCTATTTCCACATTTGCTTGATTTAACTACAATAAAATGACATTAATGGATTATGCAATCCAATTCTTGTTGTATTTGGGTTGGCTGCTTGCTTAAATAGTCATCTGTGGTTTTTAATCTGCGTGGTTTTTAATCTGTGTGACTAAGTCATTCTGATGCTCTTCCATCAGTTGTTACTCTCCCTTGGTTGCCATTAGCATATCTTCCTGGCTTAGAAGAAATACTCTCTTGATTTAAAAAACAACAAAACCTCTTTTTGATTCTTTAATATCCTATTAATTAGAGAAGTTATTTCATCTTTTTCTAAGGTCAGTTGAAAATCCAGTTTCTGACCATTTCAGCCTCAACTATGAGTCTCTGGTGGCCCCTTTTCCACTAGTGGACTGGCGCCACTAGAGGAAGAAGGGTCTAAAAATAATGCTATGCTTGGCCAAACACAGGCCCAAAAGAGTATGCTACTTTAGACAGCAGCTATCAAAAACACTTTATGTGGTTTTGAGAAAGGAGACTTACATACGATTGTATATTCAACGGCTAGAATACTCAGTATCTGACACATAGAGGTTTAAGAAATGCTTGTTGGATGAATAAGTAATTAGGTAAGTCGGCGCCTTGAATATTTTAGGTCAGTGATGTCCAATACAACTTTTTTTTAATGATGGAAATGTTCTATATCTGTGCTGCCCAAAATAGAAGCCACTAAGCCCATGTGACTATTTTGTGCTTAAAATGTGATTAGTATGACAGTAATGACAAAATGTGATCCGTATGAGGAAATACATTTTATTTTATTTTATTTTAATCTAAATAGCTTCATCTGGCTAGTGGCTCGCACATTGGATAGTGTAGCTTTTAGTGCTTAGTGATGTTATGCAATTCTGTATGCTCCACTGTTAAGTGTTAATGGATGATGATGGGCTGAAAGCTGAATACATAAGCCCCCTTTTTGAATAGTGTCTGTCTACGCATTCTGAAGATATTAAACAGAGAACACTTGGTGCAATTATTCAAGATTTAGGCATTTGACAGATAACTCCCTATATATTCATGTATATTTGCCTGTAGGAGCTCAGCCTTCAAACAGTCTTCTTTCTCTAACTTTCTCTAATCAGGAAGATCAGTTTCCAGATGATCCTAATTTGGCTAGGATGGTATAAATATGAGTGTGGTCATACTAGGCTTTTTTTTCCCTAGCGTTTTCAATGCATCAGTATTACAAAAGAGAGAGAAGAAAAAATTTTCCAAACTCATGTAAGGAAATTGTGAGCGCATGGTTTTTAACAGTGATTTTTTTTTTCCTATTACTATTGATCCCATAGCAGTATTTCTTAACTGGGGGTGATTTTGCTCCCCTAGGGACATTTGGCAATGTCTGCAGTAACTTTTGGGTTGCAACTTGGTAGGGGAGTACTACTGGAACCTAGTATGTAGAGTTAATGAATGTTGATAATATCACAATACATAGGACAATCCCTTCCCCTCCCCCAATAAAGAATTAACTGTGACAAAATGTCAATAGCACTGAGATTGAGAAATCCTGCATTGTAGTGATGACTCAAACAGATGAATTTGAGTTTGTTGCCATATATATATATATATATATACATATATATATATATATATAAACATACACAATATCCTATTATGTGGAGCAAGAGAGACTCAAAACCCCTCAAAAGATGTTAGCACAGCAATTATCTCACTAACTAAATTAATTTTAAAAGGGAGGTGGGAATAAAGGTTTAGACACTCAGAGTAAGTGTGAGTTTTGTTAAATACTAGTCCACAATCATGTACAAAATATGCAATTAAATACATATAAAAATGACTTTAACATAATAATTAAGCAATTCAAAAGATGTTTTCTTGAATATCTAAATATTTTCTATAAATAGTAATCTGCAAAAAAAATGCTGGCCACCTTTTTCTAGTAAATGTAAATATTACACAATAAGGTCTTTACCAAAATCTTATCAAATTGTTTGTGAATGTCTAATTTTATAATGGCTTCTCATGTAAGTTGTTTATAAGTATCTAATTTATATTGATTTCCCATTCTGCAGATCCCTTAACTGTTCTGAAGTTTGTTGAAAATTGTTTAAATAATACATTAAGATAATTTAAAAAGTGAAAAGTTTACACAAAGATTGAAACGTCTCTCATTTTAAAGATGAAACTGAAAGTAGCTCTTTCTCATTGAATCCTTGCCTTTTTTCCTTTCAACTTAAAAATGCCAAAAAGGCTGCCTTTAATTTATGAGTACATAAAGGCATTTTTACATAGTTCAGAGCAGAATCCTGTACAAAGCAATATTGCCAGTTCTCTTGCTGCCTGATCCAGGGATTAATTGCTCCAAAATAAACATCAGTGTAATTGTTTAAAGAGACTAAAATATACATTACTGAGTGTAAATATAAATGTCAATCTTTTTCAAGTTTCTAAGAAAAGTTAAATGCACATCTCAGGGCAAAGGGGAATAGATTCACAGTAGTGTCATCTCTTAAGTCCTAGTTTCATGCCTAGTGTCCCTTCCATCATTTGTGTTAATGTTGGTGAAAATTAATAACCTTGACTTATCTAGTCCAGTGAACCCACACATTCTTAATGGGGAATATTTGACAAGAGAGACTAAAGCTGTGGAGCCATCAGGTACAGGAAGTGTGCCATTTCAGCGAAAAAGTAGAGAATGCTTAGCCAATTGGTACTTATCTGATTAAACTGCTGGCTCACTCTGAAAGGAATATTGTATGTCTTAGGAAAAGAAAAATGAATAAATCAGAGACACTTAGCAGCAATGGTAGATCTTTGTGTAGTTGAAATATCTTCTGTGCTCACAGGAGCAAAACACTTCAGATGATGTGAAAGCAAGCCTGCCTTCTTCATGTTTAAGGGGAAAGTCATCAGATCACACTTTTTTGGATTTTGAACTTGATGATAATACACATGGTGGCACACGCTAAACACACTTTTTCTAGAGACCACACATGACATTTATAATTTGGATTTGAGATGATTGTTGCATTAGATGTTAGTTTTAGATTTAATCCAGTCCCAATAATGAGTCACTTCGGTATAAAGTCCTGGCTTGTTTTATTTTCCACAGTCTATTCCCCAGCTTACTATTCCAACAAGGTACCAGGCATTTCTATCACGTGCAATAACCAGAGGACCTCCAGAATCACCCTGGAAAAGAAGAAGAAAACAATACGGTCAATGTAATAAATAAAGGGATGTCAGAAATGGGTTAGTTGGCATCTGAATGTCTAATAAACTAACACTTTGGATTGAAATATGTAAAATCATTCTATTTTACTTACCATTAGTGTTAATATGATAATTGAGCTTATTACTTACTCCCTGTTAATGCCTTCAGGTAGAAGGTAATGTGAATAAAGCTAAGATTTCAGGTTTATCCTTGTAAAATTTTTAGTTTTGCTGTCTAAAATTTTTAGTGTTAGTTTAGACAGAGCAAAACTAAATTCTGTGACACTAGGCATGAGACTAGGAAAGCTTAACTAAGACACAGGACTATGTTCTATGTCTTACATAAATGATAACTTCAAGACTCAACAAACAAGTCATCTCGTCCATAAGCCTCTCCCAGATTCATGCCTAGTGTCTCTTGCATCATTGTTTCTGTTAGCTAGAGGGAGTCTCTGGCTGTGAATTTGAATCTCATCTTGTTCCACTCACATTAATTGACAGGAAAGTGTCCTGGATATCATATCACTATGTCTCAGTAGGTTTGAGAGGAGCAACATATGCAAAGGGCACACCATGCAAATATGCGCTATTTATTGCTGAAAATATTCTGCTCCCAAACTAAGGTGGAATCCCTAGCCCTAGTGGACTGGTCTAAAGTCATGAGGACTTCCCTCTTATCTTTAAACCTTGGTTTAGACAAATGATTTTAAATTGATCTTTTAACAATGTACCTATTCATTCAAAAGAACACTATGTGGAAGTCATTATAGAGTCTTTAAACAAGAGAAAAAATTCTGTTTGAAGAAGACATGGGCTTCTAGAGTCTTGTGCCTTGCCTTTAGCTCCCTTCCCTTCCATTTTCTTGACATACTTCTTGATCTCCTACAGTGTCGGTGGACAGAGTGTGAAAACCTTGGTCTACCAAAAGAAGTCCTCCTTAGTTCCTTTTCCTTAGGCCCATATCCTAATTTAGGTCCTTGGTATTTTACTATGCTAGCAGCGAAAGGAAGCAAGGGTATATGAACCAGTGGAAAGAGAGATCTGCTTTTACATAGATTTATTTGTGTTTCTCTTTTAAACCATGTGATCTAGTTATATCTTGGACCACCCACATTACTTCTCCTTCCCCCATGAAGGGAAGTGAGTGGAGGGAGACCATGTATTCTAGAACATGTAGCCAAACCCTCGCCTTTCATTTGTTTGTTTTAATTATTTGTGTGCTATATTATTAGATTGTAAATTCATTGTGGATTCATTGTGATTTTAACAAATGCTTATGTTTCCTTCAGTAACTGCTACAGTATCTTGCAGTTGACAAAAAGTGGAATGAATAAGTGAATATTTATTACCATCACATGACAGACAGCCAATGGCAGCTCAACAGCGGCGCCTTTGCATATAAGAAAAGTGCACATATATATCAAATTCTCAAAGCCATTCTTAATTCTTCAAAAAATCACTAAACTGTTCCCAGTTTCAAATGCTACAAGTTAAAACTTTTATTATTTTATTGGCTTATTTTTAGTCCTTTACATAGCCAGAATTTAAAACTTATATTCTCCTAAAATGTTTAATGCTTATATTATTTATTTAATTAGTTTCTAAATGTGATCTGTGAGGTAACACTTTACTAAGAACAAATGTAGATAAATATGTACTTTTTTGTTTTGTTTCTAATAGCATAATTATGTCTGGAAGTATTTAGGTACCTGTGGGACCTGTGGGACCTGTGGGACGCTGCTTCACTGGCCATAGATGTAGCTGCAGGTCCCATCTTGCAGTGCCTTGCAATTAGTAGTGATTAGATACCTAACTGTTGTTATGATTGTGGCTTGAAGCAATGATTGTATGGCTTACTGACTTGGTTTCTACTATCCGCTTCCAGTATGTTTCTCTAATGAGAGTCCTAATTTGTAGCTGGTGACCATGATTTGGGGATAGTTCTCCTCAATAGGGTGTTAAATGAGAATTATGTCTTATGATTATTCCACTCCCTCATTTTACAATCTCCTCCACAGGTTAATTTCATGCAGTCATGTGAAGTGATATTGTTCTACAGTCAGTAAGGCCATTCCTACTAAACAGTCATTTTTGTGGATTTGAACCTATTCTTACCTTACAGGCATCTAGTTTTCCTGACAAGAATCCAGCACATATCATTCCTGATGATACATACACATGAACTTGATTACATATATCATTACTTATGATCTCTACCTCAACTTCCCGTAGCATATTGGGAAAGGGACCTGAAAGAAAGAAAAAATAAATAGATGAAGAACTTCTACATTGCTGCCATGATAGTTAATTGTGTCTTACAAAGAATGGACCAGTGATAAAACCTAAGTCTTGAAGTTGTAAGATTCTGGACTGAATGACAGTGCTCAGAATCAAGTTACATTTATTGGGTGGCTTCTATTTACTAGGTACCATATTTGGTTTGTTTACTTCTGCTACCTTATTTAATCCTTGCAGCAGCCACCAAAGAAAGACATAAATATTCTCTTTTTCAGTTGAGGAAACTAAAGCTTACCTGGTTAGGAGTCTTATCATGATCACACAGTTAAGGAATAATGTTAGAAGCTTTTTAACTTGATGTGATCTTTGTAAAACCAGAATATTTCTTACCACCTGGGAGAATATGCTACAGCTTACCTTAACCTTACTTGGAAATCTTCATTACTTTACAAAGGACACAGCTATTTTGGGAACCGTGAATCCTGAGGAAAAGCAGCATAGAACACTACTGTACTACCAGATTTAACTTTAATACAGATGCAATGCTATCACTTCATAGGAAAAACCACGCTTACTCTGATAATAGCTTCACTTGCTATCCAAAACAAATACCAGAGTAAGTAACACATAAAGGTAGCTTATATTTTATTAACTAACCACACACTTATTGATTGCATGTAACATTGTTTTAACTATTATATTCTTCTCATTTCTTTAAAATAGGAGCAACTTCTATTTTAAAGACTGTACTAATCTTTCATATAAAGACGGATGCTTTGTTTACAACAGGGTCAAAGAATTGAGAGGATAAGGGAGGGCAGTAGTACTGATTTGAGCGATGAATTAGCGTAATTATGTGCTTAAGGGCCTTGAATTTAGAAGGAGCAGATATAAGTTTGAACACTATTTGCACAATTTACAAGCTATATGTGACTTTGGGAAAGTCGCTAAGCATCATTTAACTCACCTGTGAAAAGAAGAAAATAATGCCTTGCTCAGACGTTTATAAGTTAAAAACAATGAATATAATCAGTTATGACAGTAGCTTGCCTCATATTCAGTTCTTAAAAAATAGATGCTATTAGACTAAATTGTAGAGATTAGGGTATATACTTAAGATCCTCAGGGTCTTAAAGCTGCACTTTAAGGTTTACGTTGGATGGAGAGAAAGTTAGAGCTTTTATAAGGAGAGATCTAGGTTTCTGGGGATTTGGCCATTCGCTGTCAAGAAAACTAATTGTTTTAAAATGAGTAAATTCACTCACCTAAGATTGCCAGTCTTGCTGAGAAACTAAGTCCAGATTCTCTACAGTCATTAAAGATTTTGTAGGGTCTTGTGAATTTTTCCATCTCAGTCATCATCTTTAAAAGGGTCATTGTATGGCCATTTTCTCTTTTATCTCTGATTCTGCTTGAAATGTTCCCAGTGAAGCAGTCTGCTCACCAACTGCTCTTTATATAGATTTTATGCAATCTATTTATTTGAGTAAATGCCTTAGCAATATTCAATACTATCTATTTTGTTGTGTATAATGTCATTAACATTTTTAAGATATTCTCAAGTTTTAATCAATTATATTTCCTATTTGTAATTTCTGTGTGCAAATTTTCATTTTAGCTAATTGGTCTAAAATGCTTAGTCTCAATTTTCAAATGCTTACAATCTTTTAGTCTCAGCTTAAAAAAATAAATTCAAGTGCTCGACAATGTAACAAAATACTTTACATTACCAATTATTTAAAGAAGAAACTGTCCAGAGCGTAGAATATTTCTGTTTTGCAAGCTGTCTGGTAACAAGATTTCTTTTCTTTTTTAAAAAAACTTATTTTAGATTCAGGGATAAACTAGTGTTTCAGGGTTTGTTGTATAGGTTATTTCATCCCCCAAATATTAAGGCTGGTACCCAATAGTTGTTTTTTCTGCTCCTCTCCCTCCTCCCACCCTCCACCCTCAATTAGGCCCCAGTGTCTGTTGTTCTCTTTTTTGTGGTAACAAGATTTCTAATTAGATATGATTGGCTAAATCTTGGGAGGTAGGAGAAGAGAACCTTAGTAGGTCCTTGTCTCCATTTCAAAGTGCAGGAAAATAAAAAAATACAATCAAATATCTATTAATTTACTTTGATGCCTTACAAACCCACAATGTTATTGTGAAATGTATTCAACTTATGAGAGTAGACAGCTCATTGCACAGTATTCTGCACACTATTGGGCTTTGAATGATTCATGATGAAGTAGCAAATCACTCCCAAGCTCTGGGAGTAGGAGGTGTTAAGTTTAGTTAAGATTATAGAGGTAAGCGTAATGGTGCTACTCAAGTAGTAGATGTTTTCCTTTTCTACTTTTATCAGGAAGTGGCTTTAAGTCTTAAAGGATTTAATTCCCCTTTATACTCATCACCATTTCCTATAGAACAATGCAGATCCCTCAGAGATGAGGAAAATTTGATTATATAATCTGAGATTATAACGATAGTGCATCCACCTAGACTCAACATCAGAATTTTAGAGTGTATATTGGAGGGAAGCCGACTTCTATAAAAATTAACTGATTAGACTCATATGACTTCATAATAAGAGCTTGAAACAAAAATTAGAAATTTGAGGGCAGATTAAACTCTCATATGTAAAAAGTCAACCAATAGACATAAAAATGGGAAAGTCATATCAGGATCTAAACATCTATGTTTGTAGTTTATTGTCAAATTTATAAAGTTTCAGGTTGAAGAACAGCTCCATAGATACACGGATCAGAGGGATCCCATTTAATATTTAGGGCCAGGTAAAGAATAATCATTCAGTTTATTCATTTAAGGCTCTTTCTGTTTAGTTGCATGATGCATTGCAAAAGCTTATCATTACTAGTGCTTGCAAATTATACACTTTATGAATCAAGCAGCCATAGCAGAAACTACACATATGAAAGAAAGCATTTGAAAGAAAAAATGATGTAAAAATATGCTTTAATAAATTTGGAAAATAAAGCTCTAACCAGTTTCCAAAATAGTCCATATAAAGACAATAAATATAGGTACCGTGTAATAGTAATGGTGCTAAAGTTTTTGAAATTCACCACATCTGTTTCTTATTTGTTTGTTTTTGCCATATTTATAATGGGACATCTGATTTCATCTCTTATTTATTTTGATTTTGTATTTTATTTCATATCTCTGTTCAAATGAAGGATAGGTTTATATTTTTTGCTTTGTTGTTTTACTGAGATACTCACCATCTAATTTAAGTGCTCCCCATCCAGTGACAAACACTTTACTCTTAGGCAAGGCTTCAAAAGTAGCTTCTGGAAGACAGACTCTGTGCACCTCATTGGAAAATATGATGGGGGTGAAGAGCTTCACTACAGCGATATCATCCTCGTGTTTATGGGCAGCATAGTTCTCATGAATAATAATTGACTCCCCCTTTCTTCTCATTAGTGAGGGATTCGGGTTATTCCAAAACTAGCCATCCAGAGTTTGGGTTTTTCTTCACTGATCACAGAGTAAAAGGAATACAGTTGGTTCATTTCTAATTTAAATTTGCCCAGGACTGTGGATGGGCAGGGGACATAAATGTGGGAGAAGGGCAAATTTTTTAAGGTAATAATTGATTGGGACCATCCCACCTTCTTATCTGAGGCTTCTCTCCTAAGACTGCTTTGCTTTCATCTACTTGCTAACAAACCGCCATTCCAAGGTAGCTTAAATTACTGTCCTTGAGGGAAGCTTGTATTTTTATATTATTCCACATTATCCTATATTATTGCCATTTTTGACTATAAAAATAATACAAATTAATTTAAGAAAACAAATAATTATAAAGTAGACATATATACACGTAGATTCACATATACACTCATATCAAGGCACAATCATATAAATGTATGTATAGTTATAAAGAGAAAGAGAGGTAAAATTGGAGCGATATTTTATATATTTATATTGTTTCCTTATGCTTTCTTTTTATTTAGCATCTTATCCAGAATATTCTCCCATTTTATATAAATTTTACTAGGGTTACTGTATCTCTTTATTATTTCCAAGTGTTCTATATGTTAAATTGTCGAAAAATATACAAAGAATAAAAGCACAGCACCAAAGGTATTCATGTGGGATCACCAGATATAACCTATAGTTTAGAATACTATTAACAGAGTTTTTTTTTTAATCTAAAATATCTCTCAGGAGAACTGGTGAGTGTGTATAATTTTTCACAATGCTGGCTTGTTCCTACTTAAAATTGAGATTGTTGGAGTGTATATTTTCAGGTGGAACTGAAGATACTCTTTCTAATTTTTTCTGCTCTTCTTCAGTTAACTGTCTTTTATTCCTAAGCCTGCTGGACAATCATAAGTGGCACCGGGAGGCCTAAGATGTTTTCTTCTTTGGGTGTTTGTTTGTTTGTTTGTTTTTTGAGATGGAGTATCACTCTGTCACTCAGGCTGAAGTGTGATGGTGTGATCTCAGCTCACTGCAACTTCTGCCGCCCGGGTTCAAGTGATTCTCCTGTCTCAGCCTCATGAGTAGCTGGGACTATGGGCACGTGCCACCAAGTCCAGCTAATTTTTGTATTTTTAGTAGAGACGGGTGTCACTATGTTGGCCAGGCTGGAGCCTAAGATGTTTATAAAGGAAATGTAAAAGAGAGAACTATAGGATGTGAAGAGATGAAAAAGAGGTGAAGCTGGTGATCCCATGGGTATAGACTGGGAACTCACAAGTCAAAACAGTGACCCGCTGTCAGGAGCCACTCTTCACTGATCAAAGATGCACCACACAAATGGATCCCCTCCACCTGCAGGCTAGCTTGCCAGGCCAATCACCTTTTCTTGCAATCCGACCATCAGCAATTCTTTTGGTGGATGGAAACTCCTTCCCTAAACCACAACCTGTGAGAAGGGAATAAGATGGCTAATTCCAGAGTTATAAACATATGTAGATATGTTTGGCACATAGTTAAGGACAGAAATATCTACAAATGTGTCTTACCCTAAAAAAATTATTGAAATTAATGTTAAATAAAGTAATGGTAATGCACATTGATAAAATGTGATTATTCACACTTTAAATAAGTATTAACGTTTTAAAAATTATTTAACACTCTCTCTGGTGAATTTAAAACAACATCATTTTAAAATTTGGCTTTTCACATTTTTTGGGGTCATGTTCTTATGTGCAGCAGTTTACCCTAATAATATATTTTGAATGCCAAGTGTACACTATTTATTGCAGAAAATAACGTATATAGTCTTTTAAAATACATGTCTAGCATTACAACCAAAATACTAATATAGCATAAATGTCAAAGTTTCTATATTAAAGTTTTTGGGTGTCATTTAACCCTAAGCAAAATTTACTACTTTAACAAAGGAGGCCAAATAAAAATAAATACAATGAAATAAAAGAAAATTGTTAAAGAAGACATTAGCGAAACTTTCTGTGAGGAAGAGCAAAAATTTTCAAGGACTACATATAGATTTCTCAATTATGATTAGTAATTTTTCCCTCTGAGGGCAATCAAATCACATATCCATCTAGAGATATTATATACTTTTGAGAAAGAGTAAACATGGGGAAAGAGAAATGCTAAATGTGTTGAGTTTTGTTCTTTGATTTGTAAACATCTTAGTGATATTCTTGAACTTACAGCTGTTCAGAATGTGTTCTGCTTGTGCTGCATTCATATCTGAAAAAAAACCCAGGAGATACTCAGTGATGAAATTATTATAACTTAAAATACTATTCTTACATGATATGACCTTTTTCTGGCTGAGAGGAACTGCATAAGTCAGAAATTTTTAATTCAAAGGCAAAAGAATAAAATCCTACATAAAGGAGAAGCCTGGATGTAAATTGAACTCTTCTGACTGTATGTGGACTCCAGGAAAATCCTGGTTTCTGGTTATAAGACCATTGGCTTAGAGAAGGATACAGTTTGCCATAAAGGAAGGAGTCTTCTAGTTAATCAATGCCAAAACAATATTTTAAACTGTAAGTTAAAACAGAAGAGTCCAAGACTAGTCTTACATGTGCACTACTATATGTCAGGAAACCATTTCCTTCTGTCCCCATTAATGCATCTTAGAAGCCTGGCAATCTACACTTGGTCCATGTATGCTCCCTGTGGAATCAAAATTCACCAATGTGCTAACAAAACCTATCTTGTTAGTCTTTTTTTTTCAAAATGTGAAATAAAGAAAACCATAATCAGTGGCTGTTTCCCCAAATTATTTGAATTGCTCTGTATCCTAATTAGTATAATGAGCAATCTAGACCCACATTTTGTTAAGATGAAAGCCAATGTGGAGTTTTGGTGAGCCTGAAAACTGATGAGTCTTTAATTTAGGTAAGACTCTAAAGCGGTACATTGAGTTCATCTGCAGGAAACTATACTTAAGGATTTTATCAGAATAAATCCCTTAGAATTAAATTTTGCCACTAATGGCTTCCGTGGCTTCTAGAATAAACCAAACTTTCTACCTGGACCTACATGATATGGTCCTTATTTATGTCTCTGATGGCAAGTTGCCCTGCTACTGCTCTTAGCATGACTCAATGGCCACCTTGGCCTTCCTGTTTCTTAACTGTGCAAAGGTATTCCTGCCTGCAATCTGTGTTCTAGCTGTGCCTTTTGCCAGGAATGCTTATTTCCCTTGGCCTTTTTATGGTTGGTTTCCCCTTGTCACTCAGATCTCAGCTTTAAAATACCCTCCTCAGAGAGGACTTCCATTACAACCAAATCTAAGGTAGCTTTTTACTCTCTCTGTTCTCTGCATGGAGTTTCAAATTATCTGATATTACCTTGTTTATTTTTTATCTAGTTATTATTTTCCTTGCCACAATTAGAATATTAGTTCTATGAAGCAGAGACTTTAATTTTTGGCACAAATAGTTTCTCCATAAATACTTGCTGAGTGAATAAATAAATGGTAATCATAACAAATAATTTACTAAGCCTTGTATATTAGGTTCTATGACAAAATTTATTTGCTTATTATATCCTCACAATAATATTATGAGGCAAGTTTATTAAGAACATGATTTATTTTTATTTTTTTAGGGACAGGGTCTCACTCTGTTGCCCTGGATGGAGTGCAGTGATACAATCATAGCTCATTGCAGCCTCAAACTCCTGGCCTCAAGCAATTCTCTAGCCTTGGCCTTCCAAAGTTCTGGGAATATAGGAGTGAGCTGCCATGCCCAGCCAGGGCATGATTTAATAATTCTTGAGGCAAAAGCTTGTCCCGCATACATTTCACTGTAACATCAATTAAGTTTAGCGCCATTCTCTGTAGGTTATGGAGCAGTGGGAGGGGGTAGAGTTACAATTAGTTCACAGCTAAGTTTAGCTTAATCCTAAACTCATCTCCATTTATGTAAAAACTATTGTTGAACTTCCACGATGGTGCTATATATCATGTGTGAGCATTACGTAATACACGTGTTCCACCTGCAGGATAAAAGAGGTTGAATACCTCCAGTTCTAGAACAGGATTGTGTAGGCTCACTTTTCCCTGTTCATCTCCTATAAAACAACTAGGTAATCTAAAAATTATTCATCAGATAACAATAAAAGAACTCTGAAAGCTGGAAGGAAGAAGACAGAATGGCTAGAGACTTCAGAATTTGAGGAAGGACAAGTGGTGCGTGTTCCTGGATTTTCTTTTTATTTCACATATATGCTGGACTGAGGACCAGAAAGACCTGCAATTTGTAATCATCAACAGGAATAGACAAAACGATCCCAATACAAGTCTGTTCTCTCTATCCAAAGTACTGGGAAAGGGAAAGCACAACAGACAGCTAATGGGAAACTCAAACCTTCTGCTTCACAGCCAAGGCCTGGCAGTCCATTCTGCCAGCAGCAGTGACAGCCGAAAGCCCTTGACCATCCCAATCCACACTTCAAAACCAGGAACTACCTGGCAGACTGATACACCCACAAAGACAGTGGCAGCAGAGACCTGCATCTACTCAGAAACATAAGAAGACTCAGGCCCAGTGCACCCCTCCACAAAGGGTGGCCCACTGATTCAAGGCAGCCGAGGGAAGCATGTTCTACTCCCACAAAAGGCACGGGAAACAGTAATTAAGAGGAAGTGCAGAATAGTACTGGAAGGATATGAAAACTAAATTGTCACTGAAACAACAAAAGTAAGAATCTGTACTCTAAACCTAAACAGGTTGCCTATTGGTTAAAGTAGAAGAATTAAATAGAACCAGAAGTCTCCTAATGTAACTAAAATGTTCAGGATACAAAGAAAAATTGCTCACCATACCCAAAAACAGGAAAACTATAATCTAAATGAGAAAAGACAGTCAACCAGTGCCAATCCTGAGATGAATAAGATGTTGGATGTGCCTGATGTGTATTTTAAAGACCTGCCATAAAAGTGATGTAGAAATAAAGTATAAATTATCTTGAAACAAAAAAAAAACTAGAAAATCTCAGCAAAGAAATAGAAATTATAAAAAGGACCAAATGAAAGATTACAGGACTGAATAATACAATAAGCAAAATAACAACAATAATAATAATGAACAAATTTGATGGATGGTGCTAATAGTGGAGTAGAAAAGATGGAGAATAAAGTTAGTAAACTTGAATATAAGTCACTAGAATTTACTTAGTCTGAAGACAGAATATAAATGGATTGAAAAAAATGAACAAAGCCTCTGGGATCTGTGGGGCAGTAACAAAAGATCTAACATTGGTATCATCAGATTTTCAGAAAGAGAGGAAAAGAAGTGTGAGGCTGAAAAATATTCAAAGAACTATTGAAAACTCCCCAAATTTGGCCAACGATAGAGACCAATAGACTCAAGAAGATGAGTAAATCCCAAAGAGTATGAACTGCAAGAATCCATACCAAGACTCATTATAATTAAAGTACTAAAAATGAAAGAAAAAAATCTTAAAAGCATACAGAGAAAAATGATGCATTACCTGAGCAGAACACCAATTCAGTAACAGTGGTTCTCATCTGAAACCATGAAGGCCAAATGAAAGTGGCACAGCATTTTTCAAGTTCTGAAAAAAAAGAACTATCAAACCTGAATCCTATACCCTGTGAAACTGTCCTTGAGATATATAGAAGAAATAAGTATATTCTCAGATGAAGACAAACAAAAAGAAGTTGTTTCTAACAAACCTTCTCTTAAATAATGAGTAAACAACAGTATTCAAACAAAAAGCAAATGATTACAGGAGACTAGAATGTGCAGAAAGAAAAGAAAGATACAGAATGGGTAAAAATAAAAGTAAACCAAACAGACTATCTTTCACTTAATGAGTTTCTTAAAGAAATATATTTTATGGTTGAAGGAAAAACTATGACACCAACTGATGTTGTGCTGAATGTATATTGAAGAAATATTTAAGATAAGTATACTTTAAAAATGGGTAGGTTAAAGAGACCCAAACTGAAGTAAAGTTTCTACATTTCATTTGAAGTGGTAAAATGTCAGCACCACTAGGCTGTGATTAGTTATGTATATATATGATAATACTCACAATAGTCTCTAAGATGACTACACAAATTGATAAATTTTAAAAAGCTATAAATAAATCAAAATAAAATTATAAAAAAGTATTCAAGTTACTCACAAAAGGATAAGAAAAAAGGAACAGAGAAATAAGACACATCAAACAATAAACAAATTATAAAATGAAAGCCTTAAACCCTAACATATCAATAATTAGTATGTAAATGGTTTAAGCACAACAATTAAAAGCCAAGGGTTGGCAGAATGGATTTTAAAAACATAACTCAACAATGTGGTTTATAAGAGACTCAGTGCTCACTTCGGCAGCACATATACGAAAATTGGAACAATACAGAGAAGATTATCCTGGCCCCTACACAAGGATGACACAAAAATGTATGAAACGTTCCATAATATTCCACTACAAGCACACTGAAGTACACAGTCCAATGACACTAGGAAGCAACACATAGACAAGTCTGCAAAATAACCAGCTAGCATCATGATGACAGGATCAAATTCATGTATAAACAATATTAACCTTAAATATAAATAGGCTAAATGCCCCAGTTAAAAGGCATAGAATGGCCAGCTGAATAAAGAGTCAAGAGCCATCAGTATGCAGTCTTCAATGGACCCATCTCATGTGCAAAGACAGACATAGGCTCAAAATAAAGGGATGAAAGAAAATTTACCAAGTGGAAAACAGAAAAAAGCAGGGGTTGCAATCCTAGTTTCTGACAAACTGGATTTTAAACAAAGATAAAAACAGACAAAGAAGGGCATTACATAAAGGTAAAGGGTTCAATTCAACAAGAAGAGCTAACTATCCTAAATATATATGCACCCAATACATGAGTAGATTTATAAAGCAAATTCTTAGAGACCTACAAAGAGACTTATATTCACCACAGTAATAGTGAAAAGACTTCACTGACAATGTTAGACAGATCGAGACAGAAAATTAACGAAGATATTCAGGACCTGAACTCAGCTCTGGATCAAGCAGACCTCATATATATCTACAGAAATCTCCAGTCAAAACAACAGAATATACATTCTTCACATCGCCACATGGGACTTACTCTAAAATTGATCACATAGTCGGAAGAACTGAAATTATAACAAGCAGTCGCTCAGACCACAGCGCAATAAAATTAGAACTCAAGATTAAGAAACTCACTCAAAACCACACAACTACATAGAAATTGAACAACCTACTCCTGAATGACTCCTGGGTAAATAATGAAATTAAGGCAGAAATCAATAACTTCTTTGAAATTAATAAGAACAAAAAGACAATTTACCAGAGTCTCTGGCATTCAGCTAAAGTAGTGTTAAGAGGGAAATTTATAACACTAAATGCCCACATCAAAAAACTAGAAAGATCTCAAATCAACAACCTAACATTACAACTAAAAGAATTAGAGAATCAAGAGCAAACAAACCTCAAAGCAAGCAGATGGCAAGAAATAACTAAGATCAGAGTAGAACTGAAGGAGATAGAGACACGAAAAACCCTTTAAATAATCAACAAATCCAGAAGCTGTTTGCTTTTAATTAATAAAATAGATAGAAGGCCAGCTAGAATAATAAAGAAGAAAAGAGAGAAGACTCAAATAGACACAATCGGAAATGATAAGGGAGATATCACCACTGACCCCACAGAAATATGAACAACCATCAGAGAGTACTGTAAACATGTCTATGCACATACACTAGAAAATCTAGAAGAAATGGATAAATTCCTGGACACATACACCCAACCAAGACTGAAACAAAAATAAATTGAATCCCTGAACAGACCAGTAATGGGTTCTGAAGTTAAGGCAGTAATAAATAGCCTATCAACCAAAAAGAGCCCACGACCAGACAGATTCAAAACTGAATTCTGCCAGAGGTACAAAGAAGACCTTCAAACAATACTACAAGGCTATAGTAACCAAAACAACATGGTACCAGTACAAAAACAGACACATAGTCCAATGGAACCGAATAGATATCTCAGAAATAAGACCGCACATCTACAACCATCTGATCTTGGAAAAGCCTGACAAAAACAAGCAATTGGGAAAGGATTCCCTATTCAATAAATGGTGTTGAGAGAACTGGCTAGCCATATGCAGAAAGTTGAAACTGGACCCCTTCTTTACATCAGGCACAAAAGTTAACTCTTGGGAGGCCGAGACAGGTGGATCATGAGGTCAAGAGATCGAGACCATCCTGGCCAACATGGTGAAACTCCGTCTCTACTAAAAATACAAAAATTAGCTGGGCATGGTGGCGCATGCCTGTAGTCCCAGCTACTCGAGAGGCTGAGGCAGGAGAATAGCTTGAACAGGGAGGTGGAGGTTGCAGTGAGCCGAGATTGCACCACTTCACTCTAGCCTGCTGATAGAGCAAGACTCCATTTCAAAGATAAAATAAAATAAAATAAAATAAAATAAAATAAAATAAAATAAAATAAAATAACACAAGATGGATTAAAGCCTTAAATGTAAAACCCACAACTATAAAAACACTAGAAGAAAATTTAGGCAATACCATTCAAGACATAGAAATGGACAAATATTTCATGACTAAAAAGCCAAACCGATTGCAGCAAAAGCAAAAATTGACAAATGGGATTTAATTAAACTAAAGAGCTTCTGCACAGCAAAAGAAACTATCATCAGGGTGAACAGAAACCTACAAAATAGGAGAAAATTTTTACAGCCTATCCATCTGATCCATCTGATAAATGTCTAATATCCAGAGTCTACAAGGAACTTAAACAAATGTACAAGAAAAAAACAATTTCAATGAAAAGTGGGCAAAGGACATGAACAGACACTTCTCAAAAGAAGACATATATGCATTCAAGAAACATACAAAAAAGAGCTCAACATCACTGATCATTGGAGAAAAGCAAATCAAAACCGCAATGAGACACCATCTCACACCAGTCAGAATGGCTACTATTAAAAAATCACAAAACAACAGATGCTGGCAAGGTTGTGGAGAAAAAGGAATGCTTTTACACTGTTGGTGGGAATGTAAATTAGTTCAACCATTGTGGAACACAGTGTGGCGATTCCTGAAAGACCTAGAGGCAGAAATACCATCTAACCCAGCAATCCCATTACTGGGTGTATACCCAAAAGAATAGAAACCATTCTATTACAAGGATACACATGCGTATGTTCATTGCAACACTATTCACAATAGCAAAGACACAGAATCAACCCAAATGCCCAAAAATAATAGCCTGGATAAAGAAAATGTAGTGCATATACACCATGGAATACTATGCAGCCATAAAAAGGAATGAAATAGTGTCCTTTGCAGGGACATGGATGGAGTTGGAAGCCATTATCCTCAGCAAACTAACACAAGAACAGAAAACCAAACACCACATATTCTCATTTATAAGTGAGAGCTGAATGATGATAACACATAGACACATGAAGGGGAACAACACACACTGGGGCCTGTTGGAAGGCGGGTGGTAGGAGGAGGGAGAGCAGCAGGAAGAATAGCTAATGGACGCTGGGCTGAATACCTAGGTGATGGGTTGATCTGTGTAGTAAACCACCATAGCACATGTTTACCTATGTAACAAACCTGCACATCCTGCACATGTACCCCTCAACTTAAAATGAAAGTTGAAGAAAAAATGTTTTAATGTTTTATTTTTTAATTGACAAAAAAGAAACTTATTTCAAACATAGCTACATAAATAAACCAAAAGTAAAAGAACGGAAAAGATAAATCATAAAAACAATTTTAAAGAAGAGTAGCTGTATTGGTATCAGATCATGTAAATTTCAAAGCGTGGAAAATTACTAGGGCCAAAGAGGCATATTATGTAATGATAAAGGATCAATCCATCACGAACTAGAGTAGCCAAAACAATTTCGGTAGAGGAGAATAAAGTGGGATAAATCATTTTTACTAATGTTAAGGCTTAATATACTGTTGCAGTAATCAAGAAATTATGGTACCAGTGAAAGGATAGACCTAAATCAATGGAAAAGAATGGAGAACCCAAAAGTAGATTCATACAAATATTCCCGATATGCCTAATTAGTTTTTGACAAAGGAGCAAAAGTAACTCAATGGAAGATGAATAACTGTTTTATAAATGGTACTGGAACAATGGAACATCAATTAAAAAATTTTAAAAAGCCTCTACCTAAATCTCACAGCATAGAAAAATTAGCTCAAAATGGATTATAGACTTAAATGTAAAATATAATGTAATGCAAGACTATGAAACTTCCAGAAAAAATATAAAATGTGGAAAAAGTATAAGTTTAAAAAGTACAAAACTTATAGAAAAGAGCCTAGATACCTGAGAAAGTCCATAAAATAACACATTAAATTTATTTATTTTTTCTTAGTAATTTTGAAAGCATTTTTACACCTTCCTAAAGGGTAAGTTCTACATTTATTATCTTAATTTTGCAAAACAGGAACTGATGCACAAAGTTTCAGCAACTTTTGCAAGGCTGGACTACTGTTATTATTGCTAGAATACAGGTCTTCTGAGTCCTAGACTAGCGTTCTCTCTACCATCATCTGCAGTCTCTCTGAATGCATTCCATGCATTTTTTCTTTATATTCTTTAAATGATGTTTCTTATCCTATAAAATTCAACTCTAGTTTTAAAATTTTGAAATATGCAACCTCTCACTTTTTCCCCCTATACAGTTCTAAAACTTTATGTGGAAAGAGAAATGATTTTAAGGTCTTCAGTTTTCTGTTGTATTATTACTTTTAAAAGTTCCCTCTTTTGGCCGGGCACAGTGGCTCACGCCTGTAATCCCAGCACTTTGGGAGGCCGAGGCGGGCAGATCACGAGGTCAGGAGATCAAGACCATCCTGGCTAACACGGTGAAACCCCGTCTCTACTAAAAATACAAAAAAATTAGCCGGGCGTGGTGGTGGGCGCCTGTAATCCCAGTTACTTGGGAGGCTGAGGCAGGAGAATGGCGAGAACCCGGGAGGCGGAGCTTGTGTGGAGCCGAGATCACGCCACTGCACTCCAGCCTGGGCGACAGAGCAAGACTCAGTCTCAATTAAAAAAAAAAAAAAAAAGTTCCCTCTTTTTTCCTGCCCACTTTCAAGAGATTGAGTTGTTTTATACAGTTAAAGATAAAACATCTCACAAATACCATGTTCCTGTCCTGTGTTGAGCTCTATGCTAACGCTGGGGATGTGCTTGTGACTACAGCAGGCATATTTCCTGTGTTCAAAAAGTTATATCTTTTGGAGAGAAACATGAAATAAAAAATATGCAAATCAAAGCAACTCCCAAGCACCCTTGTGAAGTACATAAGTATAAGGAATTACCACTGTAAGGAAGCCTTTGTTTGGGAATGAGGATCATCTCAACAATAACTTGCTTAGACAAGCAACTGAGTATCTGGTGATGGGTGATGCATCACCAGTAGATGCCTATACGAACCAATAATGAGACCTAAATCACCCCCTCCCCCCACCCATCCGACAACACTGTGAAAGGATCTAAGTCCCTCTAGAACCATAAAGCAGGTGTCAGGGTAAGAGTGAAGGATAGATCCACAAATAATGAGTTTAAGATTTTAACATTTGACTTAAAAGTAAAGTTACACTTGACAGATACCTATACCTCCTCAACAAAACATTTCCTTCAGGAAGTCTTGTCTCTGCTACCTATAGTCCAGTGCTTTGAATTCAGAGTCTATTCTGTCCTGTCTGCATAACTAATGGAACTGAATGTTGGGTATTACTCACAGAGACTACTCATTCTTATCTTCAAGCTATTTTTTCTTCTTTCTGACTTTTGTCAAATCTATAATATAATTTTCTCTTCTGTTAACATACTATAATGTATATGCTCTAGCCTCCCAGGATAGTTCTGGGAAAAGGTACTGAGTGAAGATTTACTGATAATTAGTAATTTTCGATCAGTCTTATAATCTCATTGCAAAAGTTAAACAAGTTCTGCTAAAACATGACGACTTCAAAGCTAATTCCTGAGAGGCAGCTAGTAGTTTTAGAATTACAATGAGCTTGATTTAATTTCATATCCTGAACATTTATCAATCAGTTCTTTGTGTCTGTGTTGCAAATAAGATGGTGTCTTTATGTCTGAGACAGATACTATCCAAGTCTGATGTCTTTCTTGTCCTTCTCCCCACTCCATGTCCTGGGCCAATCCTATCCTGTGTGCTGCAGAGAGGGTATGAGAGTGTATCCTACAGTGCCAGGGCTCTTTCCTTCTTCCTACCATATTTTGGTTGTGCCCTACATATTGTGGTTTGTGCATCCATACCACTTTCACATTCTGGATTCATATTGGAAAGAGTATTTCAAGAGAGTCAGACACTATAGATTACTACTGTATATCAACAGCAGAGTGTTGGTTTTTATCATATATATGCTGCATTAATACAAACAATTCCACTGAGATCTTTTTTAAAAAGGAAGAAATGCTATTATACTTGGGTTACCATACAATTCTTATTTTATAATTATTTCCATACTAGCCAAAAGAAGATAATCTTCCTTATCACAATCAAAAGATGTGTTCATTATCAAGTAAACAAGAGACTTAAAATGAAAAGTAGTTTTCTTTATGGTGAAATAAAGAAGCTCTCTTTGTAGATGAGAAGATTATTAAAATGAGTAACTATAATATGAAAGAAAAATAGTATTCCTTGCCTCTAAGATAAGGTAATGAAGTGTCTGTCTTCAAGAAGCTTTCATTTGATTTCAACTTCTGATGCAAAATGTTATCAGCTTGTGTTTTTATTGCGTTCTCATTGTTAGGAATAAACTGAAATTTAAGCAATACATCTGCTTTCAAATTGTCATTACTTGGCCTGAAAAACAAAATAACCAGAATGAACGAGGCCAGAGCCACAGTAATTCTTATGTCATACTTTATTACTTAAATATTAGTTATATCTTCAAGAAAATACGACATAAATATTTTACACATTTTATTGTCATAGATTCTCTCCTCTTGTGTCATACAAGTATTAATAGCTAAATTATTCCCTGCTTGTAAAACTTCATCATATTTAGGAAGGGGAGAGTATCTGACAGTTCTAGAATTATCTTTTCTAAAAAAGAAATCAAAAGCACTTGTTATGTCCACCAACTTTTTATATATATATATCATAAACTACATATGTGAATATATATTCCTGTGATTCAAAAATTCATAATAGCTGTTTATTATTTTCTAAAGTCAGTAAAATTGAGAGCAGTAGTTAATAATTGTAAGAATCTTCTGTATGAAATGCAAAAGACTTTAAAATGACAACCAGTAGAATATATTTCATCACTACTCAAGAAACTCTCTCACTACAGAAACTATACAGGAGGAATCACAAATGTAATAATATTAAACTATTTTTGCTCTTGATATAGCTAAGATCTTTAGACCTGTTTACAAAGCAATTAATTGAAGAATAACTATATAATACAAAGCTGCCTTTTATAATCATACAAATTTATTAACTGTGATTACCTAAAGTTGACAACTTGACACTTTATGTAATGATGGTTTAAATTGGATCTCTGAAATATCTGAGAAAAGAAAAAAACAACAAATTAGAGCTTTGTTAAATATGAATTTCACACATTTCAATATATCACAAAAATGCTTACATAAAGCTTGCTGTGATACAAATAACATTTACTTCAATGTTTATTTACGGTTATCCCCCCAAACCTCATTTGAGCATGAACTCGCCATCATAAAGATTATCTCTATAACTGGATGATGATACTTGAACAACTTGTCACATGGTCAAAGATGACTATCTAAAGAGTTGACTTAATGCAGTATTTCAACCTCTATTATAAAATATACATGGAGCAGGAGGCACAGAGATTTGAAAGTTGGATATATATGGACACATCACTCACTCATCACTCAGTATCATTCCAGCTCAGTTATCATCCTCATGGATGTGATTGAAAGATCAGCTTTTTAGGCTCTAAATAAATTCTTTTGGCCAGATTTTGATGCTGTGGCAAATGGGAGAAAGGAAGAGAATATATATTATTGAACACCTCTCTAGAATCATCATACTTACCAATAAAAATGCATGAAAGGATTACTTAGAATAAGATAAGACTGTAAATGCCACTGGTGTCATTTTAGACTTCCTACATAGGATAATTTATCTGTGGTATAAATACCTAGGTCAAATTATTTCTTAATAAAACCACAGCTTGTTACAAAATATGTGGTCTTATAAGCCTGTTTATAGACTCATCAAGCTGACTTGTCAGAAAAAAGACTGACTATATATTGAACCTTAAGTGAACCTGAGTCTGCATAGTGAGTTTCACAAACCACAAGAGAAGAGCTGCTAAGTTGTGAAACTGGGTGTATGTCAAATAAGTGCTTTTCATTCATCTGACTTGATTTATGAAATTTTCTTTGGTGAAATGCCATGTAATATCATCTTGAATAGCATGGTGAGCACAAGTTAATTAATAAATCAATAGTTACTCAAAACAAATGGCTATATGTTTTTCTTCTAATTAACTATGAAGCGAAATTTGTTTTTGAAGAATATATTTTTATATACACATGCACATTTATATGACAAAACTAATACATATTTATTGTTAAAAAATTTTAAAGTAAACAATATAGAAAATGTATTGGAAAGCATTAAAGTCATTTTTAAATCACTGTCTAGAGAACTTGTTATTTACATTCTGGTATATATGCTTCCAGATTTTATATTTACATGTTTATATATACATAAAATATATTCTCTCTATATATACAAATATAGATGTTTATATAATATCTATATGTTTTCTGCCTGCCTCCTTCCATTTTCTTTCCAATTTAATAATTTTTTTTCTAGGTAAATCGCAGCTTCATGAGTCATGTATCATCCATGGTAATTGAGCACATAAACAGTCCGGATTATTGAACTCCTCAAGAAAGTATAAAATGCATTTTAGGTACAGGTTTTCATCTTTTTCTTTTAAGAATATGTTTGCTATAACTGTAACTCAGTTCTACAAGGATTGGCAAACTATAGCCTGTACACAAAATCGAACCTGCTACCTGTGTTTATATTGCTCATGATCCAAGGATGGTCTTCATGCCTTTTTAATAGTTGAAAAAAAGAATAAGAAGGGTATTTTTGATATCCAAAAATTTTACAAAATTCAAGTTTCAGTGCTCATAATAAATTTTTATTGAAACGTTGTCACACCTACTTGTTTATGTGTTGTCTATGGCTGCTTTAACACAACAATAACAGCTGTGAGTAGTTGCACAGACACTGTGTGTCCTGCAAAGTTGAAAATATTTACTATCTTGCATTTTATAGAAAAAGTTTGCATTTACCTCTGGTCTAAATTGCTGCATTGCCTTTCTTTATATGTTATCTCCATTTATGCATTAAGGGACAGGACCAATATTAGTAAATTGATCATTTATTTACTAGTCATCTCCTTGATGAGTATTTATATGGGCCTACCATGTACAAACACTGTGAAAGGCACAAGAAATATAAGAAGAAATGGAGTTAGCTCCAGCACAAATTAATTCACAAGTTAAAAGGGGGCATAGACATATAATATTTTCATAATTTATGATCAGTACTTTAGAAAAGGTACACAAAAAGTTCTGTGAGAGCATTGGAAACAGATGCTAACATTTATTAGGATATTACCTTTCATGCTTTGTATTCATTACATCTAGTGATCCTTAAAATAACACTGGGAGTTGGGTGAAATTATCCCCATTTTGTAGTGTAAACTTTTAGGGGTCAAGCAACTTTTTGAAAGTTATTAGAATGACAAAGGATAAGACTGGGATATCCTTTGTGGCATCTAGATGTCTATGACTTCGAAGTTTGGGCTGTCTCTAATTCAATATCTTAATTCCTGTAACAAAATATTCTTTACACTGGCCTGCTTTTTTCCCCCTCAAAGAAAATGTCCTTAAGATGTATTTTTGAAAAGGCATACCCACTCCACTCCGTAGCATTCTTCAAACCATTTCATCTGCTTCTGGTTTGGGTTGTGAAATGGCTGAAGAAATATGTCTGAATGTGGTAAGAGTGATCTGCCTTCTTTGATTAGTGAATGCTGGGCTGAATAGTGGCTGCGAATACGACTGAAGTCTTCAGAGGAAGAGCTAGTCTGTGTGTTTCTGTGGTATATTTTCAAGAGCAGCCTAATAGGACATATATCAGGGTCATCCATAGAAGGTACTTAATAAATGGTATGTGGTAATGTTATTTGTGCCTGAATAATCGAGTTAAGATTTTAGATAACTCTAATCATTGGTATTTGCATTTTAATTTTTCTGTTGGGGCCAGGCATAGTGGCTCACACCTGTAATCCCAGCACTTTGGGAGCCTGAGGCAGGTGGACCACCTGAGGTCAGGAGTTCGAGACCAGCCTGGCCGACATGGTGAAACCCTGTCTCTACTAAAAATACAAAAATTAGCTGGGCATGGTGGCAGGCACCTGTAATCCTAGCTACTCGGGAGGCTGAAGCAGGAGATTTGCTTGAACCCGGGAGGTGGAGGTTGCAGTGAGCCAAGATCATGCCACTGCACTCCAGCCTGGGCGACAAAGGCAAGACTCCCTCTCAAAAAAAATTCTGTTGGGCTTATGTTGTTCAGTCTCTGATGCCATTATCATTTGTCTAGCATATTTTTCTAGGTGTCCTGAGATGGTGTTGGTGATAGGTTTTAGCTGTGTCCCCACCCAAATCTCATCTTGAATTGTAGCTCCCACAATTCCCACGTGTCATGGGACGAACCCAGTGGGAGGTAGTTGAATCATGGGGGCAGGTGTTTCCTGTGCTGTTCTTGTGATAATGAACAAGTCTCAGGAGATCTGATGGTTTTATAAAAGGGAATTCTCCTACACAAGCTCTCTTTTGCCTTCAGCCATGTAAGACACCTCTTGATCTTCCACCATAATTGTGAGGTCTCCCCAGCCACGTGGAACTGTGAGTCAATTATCTTCTCTTTATAATCTTTAATAATCCTTAACAATCTTTCCTTTATAAATTACCCAGTCTCAGGTATGTCTTTATTAGCAGTGTGAGAACAGACTAATACAGTGGTTACAGTTTCCAGAATTAGCAAATAAAAATACAGTTAAACTTGAATTTCAGATAAACAATGAATGATTTTTTAGTACAAGTATGTTTCAAATACTGCATGAAGATATTTTCAGGACGATCTGAAATTACAGTTGAACTGGGCATTCTGTTTTTTTTAGGAAATTCTAATGTACGTGCAAAAAGCAGTGCTTTCAACTCACCTTTCATCTTAATTTTCACAAAGTATTGTCAGGATAGGAATGATGCCAGCCAAGATTTAGCTTACCTCGTTACTGACTTTTTGTTTCAGGTCGGTGCTAAGTTTTGAGTGTTCTACTGAAAAATCAGGATTATATTCAATACTGGGGATCTGGAAGGAGGTCTGGTAATAGTAAAACTTCAGGCCTGGAAGGGAAAGCAGACAGGGATGGTTTCTGTTTAGTAAATTTGAGTTGTATAATTATGAGAAGTAGAGGGGTTGAAAACAAAAAATGATACAATTGGTGAACTCCCAAGAGTTACAAATGCTATACCTGTAGTCTATACCTCCCTCTAACTCTTTTTTAGGACCACACATTTTCATAGTCACCATGGTTGTCAGTTATGTCATAACACAATTATCACCTGTTAGTGATAATTCATAAATTTAAGATGTTAATTAAGTAAATGTAGAATGTACGATATTCTCATAAGTTGACCTCAAATTTAGAATTTCTACTAAAATAACTTTTTACTCTTAGCATATTAACTAATATTATATCACAAAATTACATAGGATATATTTATTGCACTGTTCAAGAAATAATATTATACAAACCACATCAAAATTTAAACTCTAGACATAATTTTTATACATAAGAGATTATTTTCCCAACTGTATATAAATTTATTCAGATGGAAATTGCATTCTAAAATACTAGAAAATATTAAAGTTTTGAAATAAGTTAAGTGGGTCTTCAAATATTCGAAATAAAACAATTAATAGATACTTACCATATGCCAAAAAATAAACAAGGAGACCAATCAGTATCACCAGAATCAACACAACAGCTCTGACAATAAGGGCAAACATCCATGGTTTCAGTGAACTCACTCTTCTACCCAGTGTCATTGGCCTTTTGAGAAAGAATTGTGTGTTAAAAATGAATAGGATTTTAAGACTAAATGTTCCTTTTTCTGTAGAATTTTTTTCTGGAATTCATATTTAGCTCATATTGAATTTGGTAACACTTAAATATATTTTCCATGAAATTTTTTTAAATGCTATAAAAATATGATTGACATTTAACATTATACTTTCTTTTTTTAAAGTCAGCAGTATTTTACCATTCACTACCTTTTCATATACTTCCTGGTCCATTATACTATATGCTCTAATTTTTTTATTTGTAAATGAACTAATAATATATATTTGATTCATGTGTTTCAAATCACAATGAACCTAAGAAAACAAGAGTATCTGGGTCACTCTTCTCATTCTAACATTAAGACACAGAGGTTCAGAGATTACCAAAACCTCAAAGTCGGATATTAGGGAAGCCAGAAATAGGACTTGGGCCGTTTGGGCTCCTTTTACACCTCTATACTTAAAAAACCTACTACACCGTTTACAGTTCATGCAACTCATAGTGCATATGAAGAGCATCTATAATAAGGCTGATTGAAAAAAAATAAGAGAATTATAAGGAAAAAATAATTAGCCAAACAAGAAGAGATCATTAATATGATGAACAAGCAAATCAATAGTGGTAGCTCAGGACTTTAGACCCAGGAACTCTGTGTTGTGATAAATATCTATTTCATAGGGTCATAAGACATCAAACCTGTGATTTCAATAGATGATATTGTTTATCATAAAGCCAAATTTATTTGAATGAATTAAAAATCAATTTTAAGAAAATATCAAGGCAATAATAGTGCCAGTATGCAAATATGGCAAAAGCATAAAAGTGGTATGCAAATGACTGACATTTGGGAATCCCTTGTGCAAGCAGGAAAACGTGGCAAAACTCTCTCCTCATCCCAGTGCCAGAGCCCACAGTCTAAAGACAAAATCTGAACAGTTACAGAGTTGAGGCAGGCCAAGATAACACCAACATGGGTTGTTTAAAGAGATTTAATCCATAAGGAGACTGGACAAGAATATGGTTCTGAGAAGGGTGCTAGTTCTTGTCCTGTCTGTTAAAATTACACATGGAAAAGAAAAGGAGGGAATTACCTTTCCTGAGATTGGTACCTGATAGTAGTAAAGTGGATAGCAGGCCTCAGGTTATAACTGAAGATATCAGTTGACTCTCCTCTTCAGGCATCACTGAACTGGAAGGAGTCAGGCTTCCCCTGATATTCTTGGGTCTGGGCAAAGGAGTACATAGACGCAATTTCTCCATCCCAGAATCATCAACCTGAGCTCTGTTAAGTATTCAAGTAGCACTAATTCTGAGTTCAGCTGGTATTCTAGAAGGATCTTATGTTACTCTGTCCTGTTACTCTTAGGTGGGTAGCAAAAGAAAAGCATAGCAACCTGGAAATATCTGAAGTGTCTCTAGAATCACTGAGTTGGAGCTGGAGCACAGGCAAGAGCTGATGAACATATCTGTCACCTTCACTAATAGAAGACCATGGAGAATCATGAGCCCATTGTCAACACTCACTGAGTTTCTTCTGTGTGCCAATGAAACACTTCTAGAGATTAAGACATAGTCTCTTCTCTTAAAAGATGTATAATCTAGAGACACATAAAGTAACTAGTATAATACAAGTCTCAAAATGCTATTACAGATGAGTGGATACAAATGGTTTTGCCTTAGAGAAGCTGTTCTTAGAACTAGGTCCTAAAGGCTGAGAAGGAATTGGCAAGGGTCGTCTGTGCATCAGGCAGAGAACACCATAAGCAAAGATAAGAAAACTTGAGAACCAAGGACATACTTGAGAAAACCGTATATTAATCAGAGTAGAGGTAAACTTAATTAATGCGTTTATGTGTTAGTTAACTCAGCAGGCATTTTATTCAGGATTACTATGTACAAAACAAGGGAATGTAAAGACTCTTCAACAGATCTTTCTTTTGAGGAACTTATAGTCTGATAAAGGAGGAACACAGTAGACACAAATTGCTATCAGAATTGCAGAAAATTTAAACGAGAATTTCAAAGAAGGGCTAACAATTCCTCTTTGGAGGAAATAATGGCTGAAATAAGGATACAGTTTTTTTTTAAGCTTAAAAAGGGTGGACACATCTTCTCACTATTTTCCTCTCTGAGCCAGACACAGAACACAATTCATAAAGGGGAGTTTCCTTTGCAACAGAATTCTCATCTTCAAAAATATGTGGTTACCTGTTGAATTATTCTATTCCTAACACCAGAATTAAAGACTGAATTAAAGTCTTATATGTCAAAGTGAGAAGTTGTTTCAGTTTATTTCCTTCCAGACATTCCCTGAAATATTTATTCCTCAATGTTGTTCAAAAAATAACATTTTTCTCTCTATTTCTTTTAGTACTAACCTAATTTTAGCTTAAACATTGAAGAATTTCCATGGCTATTCTAGACAGGTGGGGAGTTTGCTTCATAGAAGTACTTGGTAATTATTTGTCTACTGAATGAAATAATGTATCATAAAGTAGTAGACAACTCTAAACCATTTGCAAAACAAACAACTGTTTTTAGCAAAGAGTATTGCTACACCTGCATTGCTTTTTCCATGGCAGGAATGGAAATGAGATTAAGCATTTACCTGGAATCAAGATACAATTTAAAATTTTGTACAAAATTTGTACTTAATAATCACTAAAGGATAATTCTCTCTTTGTCTTTCTTTCTTGGCTTCTCCCTATCCCTAATCCTTCCAATTCAAGGAATTCAGCTTTAGTACGACTATCCCAGAGAGACTACTAAACAAGTTCACTACAGTGCACGAAAATCCAGCTTTGGAGAAACTTCTGACCAGCAAGTCAGAAGTTTCAAAGAAAACTTCTTTGGTTTCAAAGAAAAATGTAAGTGACTTCACCCTTGAGGAATACCTGAGGCAGGGTTGTTTTTAAAGAAAAAACAGTTTGTTTGGCTCACGGTTCTGCAGGCTATACAAGAAACGTGGTGCTGGAATCTGCTGGGCTTCTGATGAGGGCTAAAGACTGCTTCCAGTCAGGGAAGAAGGCAAATTGGAGCCAGAGTGTGCACACAGCACACAACCAGAGAGGAGGAAGATGGGGTGCCAGGTTTTGTTTTGTTTTGTTTTTTTGTTTAACAATTAGCTCTTGTGGGAACTAATAAAGTGAAAACTCGCTCATCTTAGGAAGGGCATTAATCTATTCTTGAGGGATCTGCCCTGATGACCCAAACATCTCCCATGAGACCCCACCTCCAACATTGGTGTCAAATTTCAGGATGAGGTTTGGAGAGTCAAATATCCAAACCCTAGCACCCATTATGTGGGATCATAGCAATGACTGAGTTAATATATATGTAAGAGTACTTCAAACAGTAGTTGAAACATGGTAAGGATTTAGGAGGTTGGGTTATTTTATGACTATTATTATCCAGGCCACACTAAAAATAACATCAAGTTTTTCAAAAGCAGCTAGGAAAAGATACTGAGGAGTCTGTGAATAGATGGAGTGGAGTGAGCTAGTAGATGGTGAAGGCGCTGCTCACGAAAGAAACAGAGGTGGTGCCCAGGTCTTCAGAATCTGAGTGACGACACTGGACACAAACTACTCACTGACTGGGGAGCAGCTGAGAAGCCTAGCAAATCCTGGCTTATCCCCCGAGAATGTTCCAGCAGGTAAGAGATTCTAAGCTTGGGGGACGGGGAGCCTACAGGAGAAACCACAGGTTCAAAAGTAGGCATTATATGGTGAGCACATTTTGAAGTGTCCACAGGAAAAGAATTACTGGATGAAGATAATGAATATGGGAAATTTTAGAACAAGATGGGTGAATCATCAATTAGAATTTTACTTCATTTCCTAGGTAAAACACAGTAACTTTGGAATAAAGTCATTGTCATGCAAATACCAGGAGGTGATGGTGTTACTATTCATAATCACAATGGCTTAGTAATAATGATGATGATCATTCTAATTGTCCCACCAGATACAAGACTGTCATAAAATCGGTAATGTGGACAGAAATACTGAAAGTTGTGTAAAAGATTAAATGAGGTTTGTGCTTTCTTTTACGTTTCACGTTCTGACAAGCTGTGTGTCTTGTTTCCATAATCCCACATTACACAAATAAGAAAGACATAATGGTTCATAACTGGAAAGTTGATTGATATCATAATTAAAATTATTAAAATAACTGATGTTTTAGTAGATAAGAGTTCAAAAGGAGATAATCAATGTCAAGAGTGCTACGCTTCAAAGTTCTGTTCATAAATGCAAATTTACATGGGGAAGTTCCATGAGAAATTATTCCTTGAAGGAATTGAGATAATTAAAACCTCGTAAGAATAAAAAAGAATGCATAGGCCATTGACCTGAGCTATTGAAAACAATGTGACTGGCCAGAGCAGTACTTTCCAACCATTTTTGTCAATGTTGCTTCATATCTGGAGGGGGTACATTTTTCTGCTTTCTTACCAATGTCTTCAATTAAGCATCATTCATCCTTAGTCATCTCTCTTCCTACTATTACTTGATAACAAATTTTGACCTCCACAAGAAAGCAGGTATTGTTTTGAAAGTTGTAACATGCACAAAGACATTATTTGCAAATCTTTTCTAATGAACAAGTCTTACTGTCACTGTATCTAACCATTGGGAAATAGTTTTTCTTTAAAAAATAAAAGATGAGGCCGGGCATGGTGGCTCACGCCTGTAATCCCAGCACTTTGGGAGGCCAAGGTGGGCGGATCACCTGAGGTCAGGAGTTTGATACCAGCATGGCCAACATGGTGAAACCCTGTCTCTACTAAAAATATAAAAATTAGCCAGGCATGGTGGCACAAGCCTGTAGTCCCAGCTACTCGGGAGGCTGAGGCAGGAGAATCGCTTGAACCTGGGAGGCAGAGGTTACACTGAGCTGAGATCACGCCATTGTACTCCAGCCTGGGTGACAGAGTGAGACTCCATCTCAGAAAAATAAATAAATAAATAAATAAAAGGGATGAAGTTTGAAAAGAAAATCAATTAAGGTCTTCCTTGAGTCAGGAAGGACAATTTAAAGAACTATTTGAGAAGTCATGTAAGTCACAGCTGAAGTCACATAAGTGCTAAAGAGGAGGGATAATGATAGAGTATGACTTTGACACTTCGGTGAATAATAGCTGTGGGAGCTTCTATATTGAATGAAGACACACTTTTGAGTTTCCAGAACCTTTTGATCTCTTCTTTCCTGTCTTTATTTTTCTTTCCTTTCCTCCCTTTTATTCTTTTTATTCTCTAACAGCTTTATGGAGATATAATTCACATATCATACTGGTCACCAATTTAAAGTGTGCAATTCAATGCTTTTCAGTATATTCATAAAGTGCAATCATCCTATTTTCTAATGTTCTGTCATCCCAAATAGAACTCTCAAAATGAACAAAACAAAGAATAAGTTTTGTCATTAAACACATTAGAGAGTGATTGCAGGTTGAGGGACAGAGGTAATGATTACTTAATTAAGCAGCAGCGATTTGTCACTGAAGAAAAGCTATTTGGGCTGAGAGGTGAATCACAAGGAAACAATTTCAAGATGTGGGGAGACAGCAACGAGGTGGCAGCAAGTTCTGAGAACTGGAACAAGAGTGAACTTGTTGAGTCACTGGAGGAACTGAGGCCAGAGTGGTTAGATTGCAGTGAGTCCCAGGAAGGGTGGAGAAGGTTAGCCAGAGAGGCAGACAAGGATCACATCAGGGGGTGTCTGTAGGCCATAGTGAGGTATCACTAAATCTAAGGGTTATAGGGATCCACTGGACAATTTTAAATGTGAAAAACATGATATAATTTACTTTTTTTTCATTGAGACAATGTCTTGCTCTGTCACCCAGGCTGGAGTGCAGTGTCATGATCTCAGCTCACTGCAGCCTCAACCTCCCATGCTCAAGCCATCCTCCCACTTCAGCCTCTCCAGTAGCTAGGACTACTAGCCTGCACCACCACACCTGGCTAATTTTTGTAGTTTTTGTAGAAATGGAGTTTTGCCATGTTGCCCACGCTAGTCTGGAACTCCTGAGCTTGAGCGATCCACCCGCCTCACCCTCCCAAAATGCTGGGATTACAGGTTCGAGCCACTGTGCTTGGCTGATATGATTTACATTAAAAAAAATAGCCTTCCATATATTGAGTCAAACTTACTTTTGCACTCTGAAGGTATAGTACTTCTCTTCATGTATGCTCTTCTGTTCCTGACATTCACCCACTCCTTTGTTTTGATAATAACACCTCCTCTACCTAAAACCTCCTCTCTACATCCCTTTTCCCAGCCACTAGCATTTCCATTTCTGGAAATCTTTCAGTGTGCTGCTGTATACGTTTTCCCTCCTTTAAGAACCAGCTCCGTTCACAGCTATCCCCCACCCAGTTAGTAGCTCTCTTGAAATTTCCTATCCAGTGTTGTTGCTAACTGTTTTATTGCACTGGCAGTGTTCTACCTTCTATCTCTTTGCACCAATAACCTTGCCCTTCTCCCTACTTTTGCTGCCCACTCCCATAATCCATGCTCTATATCTTGTCATTACCAATAGCTGCAATTTCATCATAATCTAAATTTTGATGTCCCAACTGTTTAACCACTACCACCCATTTTCCCAGCTCACTTCCTTGGTACCCTGACTTCAGTCCCACTGGGGTCTATAATCCGCTGATCCTCCCACTTGCTCACTGACTCCCATCACCCTCAGCTTGCATTGCTCTCCTTCCTTAGCCTACATCCCGCGATCCCTCATCATATTCATTCCCTGGCATACACCCTCAGACCTGTAACTCTACCTCACTTGGCCCTAATCATCTAGGAAAACCCAATCCCTGATTAAATACAACTTTCTGCCTATTTTATGTTACACAAATGTGGCTGGGAAAAAAATAAAATCATTTTAAATCCCCGACCACTATCCTGAAGTTTTCCCTCAGTGATTCCTGACCATCATACTATTTAGTTACTCTTTCTCCTAATGTGAGAAATAGTCAATTATTTTATCTTCTCTTTTCAAAGCTGCAATACCTTCTCTGTAATCATCATTCTCAGCCAATTACATTGATTTCATTGCATAGAGAAAATATAAATAACCAGAACGGAACACACACAAGCTCTCACTAACACATCTGCCGCAGTGTTATGCTCTTCTTACATCTCATTTCTGGGCCAGCGTTCTCTCCGTTTGCTCTTGTCACTACACTAATGTTTAGCATAGTGCTTGGCTCAAAGTGGGCAATACATTCTGTTTTCTGCAGAGACCATGCAATGTTAGTGAAGGGGATATGAGATAGGGAGTGAAAAGAGAGATAGGGACTGGGTTCTAGTTTTCTTCTCCTACCATTGGTCAGAATCACTTTGAAAAGGGGAAAACAAGAGTTAAGATAATTATCTAGATAATTAGTAGGAAAAAACTCTCATGTTCTCTTAATATCCAAGATGGTTTTCTCAATATTCCACTGATCTGTACAATCTTGTCTGTATGTGACTTATCACATCTTTAGGTTACTGTTGGCTAATAAGCAAGAATGAGGCTGACAGTTGTCTATTTACTAGTTTGCATCTTTTTCCCCCTGAGCTTTATTAAGATATAATTGACAAATAAAAAAATATAAGCTAGTAGTGGTGGCTCATGCCTGTAATCATAACCCTTTGGGAGGCCAAGGCAGGAGGATCTCTTGAGTCCAGGAGTTTGAGACCAGCTGGGCAACACAGGGAGACCCCGTCTCATTAAAAAAAAAAAAAAAAAAAAAAAAAATTCCCAGTCTACAGGCATGTTGGTGTGTGCCTGTGGTTCTAGCTACTTGGGAAGCTGAGCTACATCCCTTGAGCCTGGGAATTTGAGGCTACAGTGGGCCATGATCAGCCAACTGCACTCCAGCCTGGGTGGCAGAAGAAGACCCTGACTCACAAAAAATGTATATATTTAAGGTGTTTAACATGATAATTGATAATATGTATACATTGTGAAATTACTACTACAACCAAACTAACATATCTATCACTTCATGTATTTACCATTTGAGTGTGTGTATGGTGAGAACGTTTAATAGCTACATTCTTAGCAAATTTCAAATATACAATAAAGTATTATTAACTATAGTTACCATGCTGTACATTAGATTTACTGGGTTGCAGGATGGATGAGGTGGCTAATGCCTGTAATTCCAGCACTTTGGGACGCTGAGGCATGTGGATCACCTGAGGTCAGGAGTTTGAGACCAGCCTGGCCAACATGGTGAAACCCTGACTCTACTAAAATTTCAAAAATTAGCTGGGTGTGGTGGTGCGCACCTGTAATCCCAGCTACTCAGGAGGCTAAGGCAGGAAAATGACTTGAACCCAGGAGGCGGAAGTTGCAGTGAGCCGAGATTGCGCCATTGTACTCCAGCCTGGGTGACAAAAGCAAAACTCTGTCTCAAAATAAAATAAAATAAAATAAAAATATTTACTGGATTGCATCTTCATGTGTACATTGAACACTATCCTGAGTCAGGCATATAAGAAAGATGTTTGAAGACAATGCAGTGATATACTATTTTATGCATCAATAGAATTTGGGAACAAGAAATGCATTTTTACGTGATATTTCACCTCTTCCAGCCAGTTCTGCATATCTCACATTACTGAACGGAAAATAAACAATATTTCTCCCACATTTACCTTTTAAGAGTTTGGTCACAGCAGCCTCACCAACTCTCCGAATAGAGGTTGCATGTATGGTAGAAAAAGCCTGGACTGTTTCAGACAGAATTCCTCGGCACTCACAAGTTATATGGCCTGGCATCACATACTGGAGCCTGAGTTTATTAATCTGTAAAATACAGATGATATCTACAGTGGCATTATGAGAAAGAAAAGATTGGAAGTACTCATTCAATGTTAGCTCTTATTAAACTTGATTAAAGAAGTGGCTGTGAGTGATTGATCTGGCTGAACAAAACTAGATGGTTTGGAAAGTGTAAGCAGTTGATAGCTGCTCTGACCAAAGCAGTTGAGCCACCACATAGAAGTCGTGCTTATTGTGGAGGTTCGTGACAACACTGTAATGAAGGAATTTCTATCCAGATAGTTCTCATCTCCACTTTTCTTTTACTCATCCTCACATTTTAGTGACAAAATACCTGCCACAGGGTGGCTTTAGCTAAATATAGATATAAAAATATAAATAGAATTTTCAAATGTCTGATAAGCTATCTTAATTGTTGGAGTTCTTTCTGCTTGTGTCTGATACATTTGCATGGTGTAAGCAGTCTTATGAGGGTGGTGTTAGAAAGCTGTAGGGCCCTGAAAAGGTAGGGAGTGGTCCTTTACTTATGGTTGCCCTACCTTATTCCAAACACATTTGGGAGAACAAAGGGTGAGGCATAAGGATGAAGTACATGTCACTCTAATTATAATCATGATAATAACTTTTATATATCACTTTACAGTTATAAAGATCTTTAACATATCCTATAACAGTTGATCCACCCAACATCTATATAAAGTTTATATGGTAAATATAATTATGCCCACTTTTCAATTGAGGCAACTGAGGCTAAAAAGATTTACTCCAAAACATAAAAGTAGTAATTAGTTTTGCCCACCTAAATTTCTTGTCTTCTATTAATTAACATTTTCCTCTGTACAGTCATTATAGGTTCTAATACAGAATTCACATCACAATGGCCAATGTGGCATGTGAGAAAAATAGAAGCTTGAAAAGAGAGAGCAAAAAATACTAAGAAATAATTTTATTATTTTCATCCAAGATCCAGGAATCTGAAAGAGCCCCAAAACTCGTAAAAGTAGTGTGTAGCAGTGCAATTAGGAACTTCTAGTACTATGGGGAATAGCCATGGAGAAATGCCACTTGCAGTGGAGTCACCCAGCAGACCACGAGGGAGAGATATGCCTGAGTTACATGATACATGTCTCAAGATAGTGAGGCCACCAAGTATCTGGGCTGTGACCCAAGGTCGAGATCAGAAAATAATTATTCCTCTTGGAGAGACCTAAAACTCTTTGGTGAAAATAATCATTTGCTTACAAATAGGACACAATAAACCATTCAGGATCTGTTCTCAGGTACCTGAATAGGAATTCAAGGAAAAAAAGGACAGTAAACCCCTAAAAAGTAAATGGGCCATTTGTTCCATAGGTGCCTCTGGCACAAGGGTTATGATCAAACCCTACATTAATATACAAAACTCTCTTTTCAATGGAGCCTCCATTGGGTCCATTAGCAATGAAAATCTTTTATTGTTTTGTAGTTATTGTATTTATCCTGGGTACTAATACAGAGATAGAAACAGGTTCACAGAAGTCTTGGGTCTGGTCTAATGACACATAGCTATTAACTAGAGAAGTCTTGATTTAAAATCAGGTGTTCTGACCCCACACCCTGTGTGTTTTTCCATGTTGTCTGCTCAAAACTGCTATTTATTTCCTAATGGGAGCATTTCAGTAATCAGGATTGTAATTTAATTTATTAGTTATAATAAATCAGTATTTTAATTTATTAGTTTATCATCAAATAGAGAACCTGAATTAAAGAATTATAGTGGATTTCATTTGTATAAACTGGAAAGGGTTATGCCAGCTACTCTCAAAGTAGTATTTAATTGTAATAATTATAAAAACAACAAAACTTAAAAATCAAGTCATTCATAGAATTTTTTCTGCCTTATGTGTGATATATTTTTATGCCTGCTGAGACATATAATATCTTCTATAACAAATTTCTAAAATGAGCATTTGTTTTAATGAAAACCTTATAATTTGCATTTTTCTTGAGAATGTCAATCTGGTGCAAAACAAAATAAACAAAACACCTGTTACATTAATGAAGGTGGGCCCCTGATTTTAGACTTTGTTAGTCTGATAACCCATCTAAAATTGCCCCCCTGTACTTGTCTACTTATGAACAACATACCTTTAAGACGGCACCAAATGCTATATTTGAAGTGCTCATTTTCCGTCCTATTTAGAATTAATTTCTCTTTCTTATTTGTTCATTTACTTATTTTTAAATTGACAGATAACATTGTATGTTTTTTATTGTTTACACACATGTTGCTCTTCTTTGCATATATAGCCAATAGTGGAACTGATGGATCATACAGTAGTTCTATTTTTTAATTTTTTTTTGAGAAATCTTCATACTCTTTTCCATAATGGCTGTAGATATTTACATTCCCACCATGTGTATCAGTTCCCTTTTGGTCAACCTGCTTTAAAAAAAAATCTTTTTGACCTATCGGTTGTTTAGGAATGGCTGAAAAACCAGAGAAAATCAGGAGAAAATTAGAGGAGATAAGAAGAATAAGTGTGATACAATAACAAAGGATAAAGAGTAATATGATAAAAATGTAGAATATACACTGAATTAAGCAACAGAGAATCATCGGTGATCATGACAGGAAGAGGAACAGAGTAGTGGGATCATAAATCACCTGTCTGCGGGTTGGAGAACATGTTGGAAGTGAGTAAATGGGACAAGTGAGTATCAACAATTTTTTCATGAGTTTATGGACGGGAAGAGAAGAGAGAGACAAGTCATCAACGTTTATGGAGTTGATGAAGGATTTTTGTTTTCTTGTGGATGCGACAGTTTTCAGTATACTTAAAATAGTGTAACTAACCAGTAGATTGTCTGAGGTTGGGAGGTGAATTGGACTCACATAATATTTGAATAATCGTGGATTCTAAACTACTAGGTTCACCCACATGAAATTACCTTTCACATAGGTCAAAAGTTGTCATTCACTGACATTTTCATATGGTTCAATGTAACAGACTGGAAAACTTGGACACACTGTAGGCATCCACTTGAGAACATGAATGGATGCATGTAGGTTTGTTGATTCAATATCAGGAAGCTGAAGGAAATGTCATCTAATTCATCAATCATATTATCTCTTTGAAGTTGCAGAAAGATGAGATGGCAGGTGATGAGAACTGGAAATTTGAGGAAGCTGAATAAACTTGTTCAATGTGGAAAATAGTTTAAGGGAATGTAGTAGGAATGGTGGGCAGAATTGAGGACTTAGATGAAGAGGCACCTCCTCAACATTTGTGTAGCATATGTTACACATGCTATACAAATACTACATTTCTGTAGCATTTCTCAGTGGTCTGAGCAGAGGTTAGCCATTTTTCAGATAGTTATGTCTTCCCTATATTTTAGCCAGTATGAAGAATAAAAGAGATACAGGGAGAGAGAATTTAGTGGAGTTCAAGACATAGTTAAAATTTTTGTTTAAATCATTAACCTAAGGATCACAAGAAAAGCAAAGACGAGTGTGTGTGTGCGTGCACACACACACACACACTGAGAGTGGCTCCTGATGGATATGAAGAATTCAAAGATTAGAACAGTGCATTAGTAAAAAAATAAAAATAAAAAACCTTGATGCATTGTAAGTAACTAAGATTGCTACAAAGGAAGGTTAGAATAGTGACAAAGTCCAAAGTTATGATTCAGATAGAATAATTCCAAATCATCACAAAGTCCAGGGTGTGCAGAGAAGAGTATTTTTGGAAGAGAAAATTATAGAGATAAGAAGTTGAAGGAAATAAATGACTAAGATGTCGAACATCAACCACAAAAGCACTGATGCTATCTAGGGTAAGTGTAGGAGTTGTATTAGAAAAAGAAATAGAGAAGCAAGTGTCAGAGTCTCCAGTAAATGGAAAGCATAACTCTGGGGTCCATAAGGACAGCAATGAGTAAAGAAAAAGGGTGGACAGAATAATTGTACGAACCTCAACAAAACAAGGCAGTTTTACAAGGGTGTGAAGAGTAATAGTCCAAGATGGCATGGAGGAGAAAGACTAAGTCTTCAATTCTGAGGTATCTTGAAGTATGGGAGAATGAGAAACCCTTATTCCAATTATCCAGGGGTATAGAGAATAGTCAACGAAAAAATAAATTTAGAATATAGTTTATTAACCAGGAATGACATTTCAAGAACAGTAAAAGTGTTTGTGCCAAAAAGAATTTATCCTAAGGAAACAATTTTGAATGTGCACAGCAATTAGCCAGAGGAAAGGCCATTATTACAGATAATAATGTTTCCAGAACATTCATAAGTGCAGTACTGACTTCTATGTGTGTCAATTTTACCAAGATGCAAAAATTTAAAAATAACATGTTTAAAGATTATCATAACATTTTCCTGTAAAAATACTTAACATTAGATTAATACAGATTGGTTTATATCTTGTTAAGTCTTATTCAAAAATATATATGAAGAAAAAAGAAAATCTAAATTATATATGTATATATATGTATGTACGTATATGTTCTGATAAAACTTTCATTGCATTTTTAAACTTGGAATTGTGCTACTTCAGAGATACTAATTATTCTTATTCAGTTTTGGGACCATCTGTCTTTTCTCTCCTTTTTTTTTTTTTTTTTGGCATATACTCCTAGTCCTACACTAACAGTGCTAAACTTCTACAGATCAAAACACTATCATAGAAGATGAAGGTAGTCTCTTATTTAAATGACAAATTTGGTTGCGAAATTACAATCAATAGACTCTGTTTTCTGCATTTACATGTTTTCAATTGGCAAAGTTCTTTTATTCTCACTATCATAAAATCAAAACTTGACTTTAATAGTCAATATGGGAAATAACCTAAAATTCAGTGATAGATGTTACTACATGAAAAGAGACTCTAATATATTTCTGTGTAAGGCAAAGAGAAATGTAAAACTACTCAGGACCCCACTGCAGGACTTTAATCTCAGGAATCTATTCCACAATTACTCATTTGTAGAAAAATATAATGACTAAATACTGTCTATTAAATGTAATATAAATAAAGACTAAAGATTAAATACTATAAATGTATTTACATGTATATACATCATTATATTTAAATACAGAGTGGCTTCCTAGAAAATTAAACAAAATATTTCTGTGTAAAAAAGAGTCTTTCAAGATAGTATTGAAATCCATTTTAGTCAAGTGGAGAAGACTCAGACAACCAGGAGCAGATAAGTTATTGGCTGAAAATTAAATGGTACCAAACAAATTTGAAGAACAATTAAATGCTTCAACTAATATATATGGGCCAAGCATTCTACTAAGTGCTGAAATGTACAACAAGGAATAAAATTGTCTTTTTCACATTACTTAGAGATGAAAAAAACTAATAAATAAAGATGTTTGTGTATTCCAAATGAGGAAAACCCTCTGAGAGCTATTTACACTGAGGCATTGATTATCAATGGTAAGAGTAGAGATGGCTTTTCAACAATGCTTCCTCTACCCATAACACTACTCTCATCCCTCACATTCCTCTGAGCCATAAAACCAAAGAAAACCAAACTCAATGTTTCAAAAAAGATATAAACTAGTCATACTGACTTATCTGCATAGAGAATGGGAATGCGGAGTTTTCAAAAAGATTTAGGACCAGGAGAAGATAACTTTAAAAATCTTGAAAGGTAACAGAAATGCAGAAGTTTAAATGAGTTCTTGGGCTATTGACCAGCCATAGATCTTTTGCTTTTCCCAGATTTTTATTCCACTCTACTTTTCCTTTCTCTTTCTATTTATGTAACTTTCATTTGTTTCTTTACACTTCTGGTATGTCTCTTTTTCCTTGAACTAACCATTCTACAGAATTGACATTCACATAACCCTCAAAGAACTGTGTTTTTCACTCCTATGTCCCCCCAACCTGCCCATCACCACAGTGGCAAGAATGGTGCTGGAACATAATAGAACTTGAATAAAGGCATGACTATTAAAGATATTAAAGAGATAAAAAGGACTAAATTATTTTTATTGGTATGACATAATCAGCTTTTTCCTTACAGATTAGAGATCATTTTAAGTAAAAATAAAAATAATAATAAATAAAAATAATTGTTTCTATTACTGTCCATTTTAAAAGTAAATCTTAATGTGTTAAGTGTGGAAAGTGTTTTTTGGTTATTTGTTTTTAACAACCTAAATCTTAATTTGTGACTTTAAGATGAGCAGGTGAAAGAGGAACATTTTTAATGATCGTACTGAGTAAAATCTGTTAGGAGGACTGTGATCTAGAGATCCATACATTTAATTGAATTTTATATATAGAAATATTATTAACAATGGAAAAACAAAGTGCAACTCTGGTTAAACACCACTAGAAAAGATATTGGTAATTCCCTCATCATCCTGAGTAATTTTTGTCAGGCCTCTGAGCCCAAGCCTGCACATATACATCCAGATGGCCTGAAGTAACTGAAGAATCACAAAAGAAGTGAAAATGGCTGGTTCCTGCCTTAACTGATGACATTACCTTGTGAAATTCCTTCTCCTGGCTCAGAGGCTCCCCCACTGAGCACCTTGTGACCCCCTCCCCTGTCTGCCGGAGAACAACCCCCTTTGACTATAATTTTCCACTACCTACCCAAATCTTATAAAATGGCCCCACCCCTATCTCTCTTTGCTGACTCTCTTTTTGGACTCATCCTCCTGCACCCAGGCGATTAAAAAGCTTTATTGCTCACACAAAGCCTGTTTGGTGGTCTCTTCACATGGACGCACATGACATTTGGTGCTGTGACTCAGATCGGGGGACCTCCCTCGGGAGATCAATCCCCTGTCCTCCTGCTATTTGCTCCATGAGAAAGATCCACCTACGACATCGAATCCTCAGACCAACCAGCCCAAGGAACATCTCACCAATTTTAAATCAGGTAAGCGGCTTCTTTTTACTCTCTTCTCCAACCTCTCTCACTATCCCTCAACTTCTTTCTCCTTTCAATTTCTGTGTCACCCTTCAATCTCTCCCTTCATTTCAATCCCTTTCCTTTTCTGGTAGAGACAGAGGAGACACGTTTTATCTGTGAACCCAAAACTCCAGCGCCAGTCATGGACTTGGGAAGACAGTCTTCGCTTGGTGTTTAATGACTGAGGGGATGCCTGCTTGATTATTCACCCACGTTTCAGAGGTGTCTGATCACTGTGGGGACGCCTGCCTTGATCCTTCACCCTTAGTGGCAAGTATCACTTTCCTGGGGGGGGGCAAGCACCCCCCACCCCTTATCTCTGTGTCTCTACCCTCTCTTTACTCTGGGCTTATCTCCTTCACTATGGGCAACCTTCCACCCTCCATTCCTCCATCCTCTCCCTTAGCCTGTGTTCTCAAGAACTTAAAACCTCTTCAACTCACACCTGACCTAAAACCTAAACACCTTATTTTCTTCTGCAATGCTGCTTAACCCCAACACAAACTCGACAATGGTTCCAAATAGCCAGAAAATGGCACTTTTGATTTTTACATCCTACAAGATCTAGATAATTCTTCTCATAAAATGGGCAAATGGTCTGAGGTGCCTGACGTCCAGGCATTCTTTTACACATCAGTCTCTTCCTAATCTCTGCTCCCAGTGCGACTCATCCCAAACCTTTCTTCTTTCCCTCCCACCTGTCCCCACAGTCCCAACCCCAAGCGTTGCTTTCAATCTTCCTTTTCTACCGACCCATCTGACCTCTCCCTTCATCCCAAGATTGCTCCTCCTCAGGTAACTCCCCGCCAGGCTGAGTCAGGCTCCAATTCTTCCTCAGCTTCCGCTCCTCCACCCTATAATCCTTCTATCACCTCCTCTCCCCACACCCAGTCTGGCTTACAGTTTTGTTCCGCGACTAGCCCTCCCCCACCTCCCAACAATTTCCTTTTAAAAATGGTGGCTAGAGCTAAAGGCATAGTCAAGGTTAATGCTCCTTTTTCTTTATCCGACCTCTCCCAAATCAGTTAGCATTTAGGCTTTTTTTCGTCAAATATGAAAACCCAGCCCAGTGCATGGCTCATTTGGCAACAACCCTGAGACGCTTTACAGCCCTAGACCCTGAAAGGTCAGAAGGCCGTCTCATTCTAAATATGCATTTTATTACCCAATCTGCTCCCAACATTAAATAAAGCTCCAAAAATTAGATTCTGGCCCTCAAACCCCACAACAGGACTTAACCTCTCCTTCAAGGTGTACAATAATAGAGAAGAGTTGCAATTACTTGCCTCTTCTCTGAGAGAAAGCCTAGCCACATCTCCAGCACACAAGAACTTCAAAATGCCTAAACCACAGTGGCCAGGTGTTCCTTCAGGACTTCATCCCTCAGGATCTTGCTTCACGTGCTGGAAATCTGGCCACTGGGCCAAGGAATGCCTGTGGCCCGGGATCCCTCCTAAGCTGTATCCCATCTATGAGGGACTCCACTGGAAATCGGACTGTCCAACTCACCTGGCAACCACTCCCAGAGCCCCTGGAACTCTGGCCCAAGACTCTCTGACTGACTCCTTCCCAGATCTTCTCAGCTTAGCAGCTGAAGACTGAAGCTGCCCGATCACCTCAGAAGCCTCCTGGACCATCAAAGATGCTTTAGGTAACTCTTACAGTGGAGGGTAAGTCCGTCCCCTTCTTAATCAATACAGAGGCTACCCACTCCACATTACCTTCTTTTCATGGGCCTGTTTCCTTTGCCTCCATAACTGTTGTGAGTATTGATGGCCAGGCTTCTAAACCTCTTAAAACTCCCCAACTCTGGTGCCAACTAGGACAACATTCTTTTATGCACTCCCTTTTAGTTATCCCCACCTGCCCAGTTCCCTTATTAGGCCGAGACATTTTAACTAAATTATCTGCTTCCCTGACTATTACTGGGCTACAGCCACACCTCATTGCCACTCTTTTCCCCAGTTCAAAGCCTCCTTCGCATCCTCCCCTTGTATCTCCCCATCTTAATCCACAGGTATGGGATGCCTCTACTCCCTCCCTGGCAACCACACGCCCATTACTATCCCATTAAAACCTAATAACCCTTACCCCACTCAATGCCAATGCCAATATCCATCCCACAGGAGGCTTTAAAAGGATTAAAGCCTGTTATCACTCGCCTGTTACAGCATGGCCTTTTAAAGCCTATAAACTCTCCCTACAATTCCCCCATTTTACCTGTCCAAAAACTGGACAAATCTTACAGGTTAGTTCAGGATCTGCACCTTATCAACTAAATTGTTTTGCCTATCCACCCTGTGGTGCCTAACACATACACTCTTTTGTCCTCAATACCTTCCTCCACAACTCACTATTCCATTCTTGATCTTAAAGATGCTTTTTTCACTATTCCCCTGTACCCCTTGTCCCAGCCTCTCTTTGCTTTTACCTGGACTAACCCTGACACCCATCAGTCCCAGCAGCTTACCTGGGGTGTACTACCACAAGGCTTCAGGGACAGCCCTCATTACTTCAGCCAAGCTCTTTCTCATAATTTACTTTCTTTCCACCCCTCTGCTTCTCACCTTATTCAAAATATTGATGGCCTTCTACTTTGTAGCTCCTGCTTTGAATCTTCTCAACAAGACAACCTCCTGCTCCTTCAACACTTATTCTCCAAGGGATATCCAGTATCCCCCTCCAAAGCTCAAATTTCTTCTCTGTTACCTACCTCGGCATAATTCTTCATAAAAACACACATACCCTCCCTGCCAATCATGTCTGACTGATGTCTCAAACCCCAACCCCTTCTACAAAACAACTCCTTTCCTTCCTGGGCATGGTTAGATACTTTTGCCTTTGGATATCTGGTTTTGCCATCTTAACAAAACCGTTATATAAACTCACAAAAGGAAACCTAGCTGACCCTGTAGATCCTAAATCTTTTCCCCACTCCTCCTTTCATTCCTTGAAGACAGCTTTAGAGACTGCTCCCACACTAGCTCTTCCTGACTCATCCCAACCCTCTTCATTACACACAGTGGAAGTGCAGGGCTATGCAGTGGGAATTCTTACACGAGGACTGGGACCGCACCCTGTAGCCTTTTTGTCCAAACATCTTGACCTTACTGTTTTAGGCTGGCCATCATGTCTCCATGCAGCAGCTGCCACTGCCCTAATACTTTTAAAGGCCCTCAAAATCACAAACTATATTCAACTCATTCTCTACAGTTCTCATAACTTCCAAAATCTGTTTTCTTTCTCACACCTGATGCATATACTTTCTGCTCCCCGGCTCCTTCAGCTATATTCACTCTTTGTTGAGTCTCCCACAATTACCATTGTTCCTGGCCTGGACTTCAATCCAGCCTCCCACATTATTCCGGATACCACACCTGACCCCCATGACTATATCTCTCTGATCCACCTGACATTCACTTCACTTCTCCATATTTCCTTCTTTCCTGTTCCTCACCCTGATCACACTTGGTTTATTGATGGCAGTTCCACCAGGCCTAATTGCCACTCACCAGCAAAGGCAGGCTATGCTATAGTATCTTCCACATCTATCATTGAGGCTACTGCTCTGCCCCCCTCCACTACCTGTCAGCAAGCCGAACTCATTGCCTTAACTTGAGCCCTCACTCTTGCAAAGGGACTATGCATCAATATTTATACTGACTCCAAATATGCCTTCCGTATCTTTCACCACCATGCTGTTATATGGGCAGAAAGAGGTTTCCTCACTACACAAGCGTCCTCCATCATTAATGCCTCTTTAATAAAAACTTTACTTACAAAGGAAGCTGGAGTCATTCACTGCAAGGGCCATCAAAAGGTATCAGATCCCATCACTCAGGGCAATGCTTATGCTGATAAGGTAGCTAAAGAAGCAGCTAGCATTCCAACTTCTGTCCCTCATGGCCAGTTTTTCTCCTTCTCATTGTTCACTCCCACCTACTCTTTCACTGAAACTTCCACCTATCAATCTCTTCCCACACAAGGCAAATGGTTCTTGGACCAAAGGAAATATCTCCTTCCAGCCTCACAGGCCCATTCTATTCTGTTGTCATTTCATAACCTCTTCCACGTAGGTTACAAGCCGCTAGCCTGCCTCTCAGAGCCTCTCATTTCCTTTCCATCGTGGACACCTATCCTCAAGGAAATCACTTCTCAGTGTTCTATCTGCTATTCTACTGCTCCTCAGGGATTGTTCAGGCCCCCTCCCTTCCCTACACATCAAGCTCGGGGATTTGCCCCTGCCCAGGACTGGTAACCTGACTTTACTCACATGCCCTGAGTCAAGAAACTAAAATACCTCTTAGTCTAGGTAGACACTTTCACTGAATGGGTAGAGGCCTTTCCCACAGGGTCTGAGAAGGCCACCACGGTCATTTCTTCCCTTCTGTCAGAAGTAATTCCTCGGTTTGGCCTTCCTACCTCTATACAGTCTGATAACAAACCAGCCTTTATTAGTCAAATCACCCAAGCAGTTTCTCAGGCTCTCAGTATTCAGTGAAACCTTCATACCCCTTACCGTTCTCAATCTTGAGGAAAGGTAAAACGGACTAATGGTCTTTTAAAAACACACCTCACCAAGCTCAGCCTTCAACTTAAAAAGGACTGGGCAATACTTTTACCACTTGCCCTTCTCAGAATTCGGGCCTGTCCTCGGGATGCTACAGGGTGCAACCCATTTGAATTCCTGTACGAACGCTCCTTTTTATTAGGCCCTGGTCTCATTCCAGATACCAACCCAACTTGGACTGCGCCCCAAAAACTTGTCATCCCTACTATCTTCTGTCTAGTCATACTCCTATTCACTATTCTCAACTACTCTTAAATGCCCTGCTCTTGTTTACACTGCCAGTTTACACTGTTTCTCCAAGCCATCACAGCTAATATCTCCTGGTGCTATCTCCAAACCGCCACTCTTAACTGCCTCTTAGAGTGGACAGATGATCTTTGCTGACAAGGTACACTACAATACTCTCACCCTGATGAAATCCTATTCTTTACTTTTATACTCACTGTTATTCTTGTTCCTGTTCTTATGCCACCCTCTACCTCTCCCCAGCTATCTCCACCGCACTATCAATCTCACTCACTCTCTCCTAGCCATTTATAATCCTTCTTTAACGAACAATTGCTGGCTTTGCATTTCTCTTTCCTCCAAAATCTCGGAGGCCTCGACTTACTCACTGCTAAAAAAAAAGAGGACTCTGTATGTTTTTAAGTGAAAAGTGTTGTTTTTACCTAAATCAATCTGGCCTGGTGTATGACAACATAAAAAAAACTCAAGGATAGAGCCCAGAAACTCACCAACCAAGCAAGTAATTACGCTGAACCCCCTTGGGCACTCTCTAATTGGATGTCCTGGGTCCTCCCAATTCTTAGTCCTTTAATACCTGTTTTTCTCTTTCTCTTATTCAGACCTTGTGTCTTTCATTTAGTTTCTCAATTCATACAAAACCATATCCAGGCCATCACGCATCATTCTATATGACAAATGTTTCTTCTAACAACCCCACAATATCACCCCTTACCACAAAATCTTCCTTCAGCTTAATCTCTCCCACTCTAGGTTCCCATGCCACCCCAATCCCACTCGAAGCAGCCCTGAGAAACATCATCCATTATCTCTCCATATCACCCCCAAAAATTTTCGCTGCCCCAACACTTTACCACTATTTCGTTTTATTTTTCTTATTAATATAAGAAGACAGGAATGTCAGGCCTCTGAGCCCAAGCCTGCACATATACATCCAGATGGCCTAAAGGCCTAAAAGTAACTGAAGAATCACAGAAGAAGTGAAAATGGCCGGTTCCTGCCTTAACTGATGACATTACCTTGTGAAATTCCTTCTCCTGGCTCAGAGGCTCCCCCACTGAGCACCTTGTGACCCCCACCCCTGCCTGCCAGAGAACAACCCCCTTTGACTATAATTTTCCACTACCTACCCAAATCCTATAAAATGGCCCCACCCCATCTCCCTTCTCTGACTCTCTTTTTGGACACAGCCCGCCTGCAACTAGGTGATTAAAAACTTTATTGCTCACACAAAGCCTGTTTGGTGGTCTCTTCACACAGATGCACGTGAAATTTGTATTAATTAACCTCATCTTTGTAGATGAAAAATTAATGTTCAATAAAGTATAATCCCAACACTTTAGAAGGTCGAGGCAGGAGGATCACTTGAGCCCAGGAGTTCAAGACCAGACTGGGCAAAATAGGGAGACCTCTCTCTCTACAAAAAATTCAAAAATTAGCCTGGTGTGGTGGTGCATGCCTATAGTCCCAGTTACTCGGAGGCTGAGGTGATAGCATTGCTGGAGCCTGGGAGGTCAAGGCTGCAGTGAGCCATGATCATGGCGCTGCACTCCGGCAAAAGACCAAGACCCTGTCTCAAATAAATAAATACATAAATAAAAGATTTATTTTCTATAAACGTCCTTCCAAATCTATTAAAATACAAAAAATCTTAAGATCCTTTATTTGCTTTTCACTCTTTATATTCTTATGTACAAATTACTTATATTGCTCTTTAATTTTTTTATCTTAAAAGGCAAATGATTTATCAGAGTATTAAAATCTGTATTTTTTTGAAGTTTTAGTTATATTTATCAATTGCAGAATGAGGGTTAAAATACAATACTTCCTATTCCTTGCTCCATTCTATTCCTATACCAGTCACCTCAGGCTTTCTATTTTTCCTCCCTCTCTTTGTGATCATGGCATCCTTACAATAAACTTTTCAACTAAAATCCAATGTGTTACTTTTCAAATCCTAAATATAAAATTATTAGCCTGGTTTCTCAAAATAAAGACTAACATTACTTTATGTTTTCCAACAAAAGTGAAGGGGGAAAAAAGTTTAGATTCCCAATCTGAATAATTTCCAATTTGCATTGGGGAAACCACAAATATGAAACAAATCTTTCGCTTCCGGGAAAATGGCGACTCCCGCTCGTGCCCCGGAGTCACCGCCGTCCGAGGTCATCCGGCGCTAGTAGCGGAGCCTGCCGAGGAAGCCGAGTGCCCCCCGCCGCGCCAGCCTCAGCCCGCGCAGAATGTGCTTGCTGCCCCGCGGCTTCGAGCCCCAAGCTCCCGAGGACTTGGCGCAGCGGAGTTTGGTGGAGCTGCGGGAAATGTTGAAGCTCCAGGAGAGACTTTTGCGCAACGAAAAATTCATTTGCAAATTGCCCGACAAAGGTAAAAAGATCTTTGACTCTTTTGCCAAACTGAAAGCCGCCATTGCAGAATGTGAAGAAGTTAGAAGAAAAAATGAACTGTTTCACCCTGTTAGTTTAGACTGTAAGCTAAGGCAAAAAGCAATTGCAGAAGTTGATGTGGGTACAGATAAGGCCCGGAATTCTGACCCGATACTTGATACTTCATCACTAGTTCCTGGATGTTCCTCTGTAGATAACATCAAGTCATCTCAAACCTCACAAAACCAGGGACTTGGACGTCCTACTCTTGAAGGTGATGAAGAGACTTCAGAGGTTGAGTACACAGTGAATAAGGGCCCAGCTTCCAGCAACAGAGACAGGGTACCACCTTCATCTGAAGCTAGTGAGCATCACCCGCAGCATCGTGTTTCAAGTCAGGCAGAAGATACTTCCAGCAGCTTTGACAACCTTTTTATTGACAGGTTACAGAGGATCACCATTGCGGACCAAGGTGAACAACAGTCAGAAGAAAACGCAAGTACTAAGAACTTGACAGGCCTTTCTAGTGGGACTCAGAAGAAACCTCATTATATGGAAGTGCTAGAAATGCGAGCCAAAAACCCAGGGCCCCAGCTGCGTAAATTTAAAACCAATGTGTTACCTTTTCGACAAAATGATTCATCTAGTCATTGCCAGAAGAGTGGGTCTCCTATTTCCTCAAAAGAGCGGCGGCGCAGGGATAAGCAGCATCTTGATGACATCACAGCAGCTCGGCTTCTACCACTTCACCATATGCCCACGCAGCTGCTCTCCATAGAAGAATCCTTGGCACTTCAGAAACAGCAGAAACAGAATTATGAGGAGATGCAAGCAAAGCTCGCAGCGCAAAAATTAGCTGAAAGACCGAATATTAAAATGCGGAGTTATAATCCAGAAGGGGAGTCTTCAGGGAGATACCGAGAAGTAAGGGATGAAGATGACGATTGGTCCTCTGATGAATTCTGAAGATAATCTCCTAAATCACTGACGTTGAGATGTCATCATCTTACATCAGACTTTCTAACTAGTATCAAGATCAGTGTCAGATATTGTTGAGGGAGGTAATTTTATAAAGTTACACAAAGGTAGTTATAAAAAAAAGCCCAGTTTGTCTTTCAGAAGATGACTTTCATGTGCTTGAAAAGTTTAATATTTGAATATGTGTTTAACCACATGGTATTAAAATTTTGCAATATATTGTGTATTGGTCTGATATTTTAGTATATAGTAGAACGTACTTTTTTTTTCTTTAAGCCAAATGAAAAGAGGTAACTTTGCTTTTTTCCTTTTTCTTACCTATCAAATAGCATTTATTACATGTCTTTCAGTGAAATACTTAGTTGTTCCAGGCACCTAAAATCAATTAGGAAGACATAGTTCCCTTCTTTTTTGGGTAATGAAGGGAGCAGTCTAAAGAACTGTATGCATGTTTGCATGGGGTTATTGAGACATTGGATGTGAAACACCTAGGAAGACATGCATGGAGAATGCTTAACAAATGCTCTTCACCTTTTTCTATCTTCCCTTAGGAAGAACGTTATCTCTCTTCTGATTAGGAAGGACTTCCCTTTTGAGTAGATGTTGGAAAGTGGAGGGTTTTTTTGTTGGTTTGTTTGTTTGGTTTTGTGTTTTTTTTTGAGACGGGGTCTTGCTCTGTCGCCCAGGCTGGAGTGCAGTGGCATGATCTCGGCTCACTGCAACCTAGGTGGAGGTCTTTTTAAATAACCTCATGTTACTTCAGGCAAATCTGGTACAGGAGAAGCCCAAGCTAACTGAGCTGGGTGAAGGCTTGTGCATCACCTGGCTTGAGTTCCTTGCTGTCACAGATGATAGGTTCATGTACACAACATTAATGTTTGATAAGGAAAGCATTTTTTTTGTTAAAATTGAATTGTCAGTACTTTACTTTTTTCCTCCCAAAGAGGTATATATAGACTGCAGAAACTTCAGTCCCATATATAAACGTTCATGTCATTTTAGAGGATTATATGGTTGTCTCCAGAGAAATTAACTTACATTATCAAAAAATTCTTTGTCTAATATATTGGAGTCTTTAAAAATGTTGAAGAATAAAATATTAATTAGAACAACTTCAAATGCTAAGGTGATGTTTTACCGGGACTTAATTAAATATAACTTTTTCCTTTCGAAAAAGACTGTTCACATTTGCTTCCAGGTGTAATTATTGCTTTCATTCCTTACCCCCCTCAAGCAAATGTGAAAAGTATACTGACCTAAGATTCTCATTAGTTTTAGTTCTTAAAACGAATAGTAAATGATTTCACAGCGTAAATTCTGGAAGCTGGATGATATGGAAGAGTTCATGTGCCTGGACACACAGTTCCCTGTAATCCTACCATCTAGGGAGATAACCTCTGTTAACATTTTGATGTTGTGTTTTTGCTTATTTTTCTATGCATAGTTATGCATTTATATTCTCAAAAATGAAATCATAATGTACATTGCTTTGCAGTCTGCTCTATATATTGTCAACATGTTCCCATATTAAATATTTTGCTTTTTAGACAGCTGTAGGATATTTTATTTCATGGGTATACCATAACTTTAAGATTTATTTCCTATTCAGCAATTTGATTATGTATTATAATGTAATCTGTAAATAGTGATATGATTAACATCTTAATCACATCCATAGAAAATGACTTATTTCCAGAAGATACCGCTCTAAAAATGAAATTGTTAGGTGAAAGTGTTTTTGAGAATTTTTATATATATTACTCACTGCAGAGATCATGTTCATTTACATTCCCATTAGCAATATATCCAATGCTCAGAATTGAAAGTTACTACTTAAAATCGTTGCAAATTGAATAATTACAGAAAAGGGCTACATTTAAAATTTGTATTTGTTTTTCTTACTTAGTGAAGGTTGTGTTTTTTTTCATATTCATTGGCCATGCTATATTCATTCTTTTGAGAATTGCTCATTCATATTTTTTCTGTTGCTTGCTTGGATAATTTGCTCTTTTTTTGGCATATAAGTTCTTAAGAATGTCCGTCCTTTGTCATATATTGTAACTTTTTTTAGCCTTATTTGTCATTTAACATAGTTTGTGATATTTCAGTATAGAAGTTGTTTTCTTTAGGAGTCTACCTTTGTGTATGTGCTTGAAACTATTTTTGTAATCCAAGAATGGATAAATGTCCTTATTTTCTTCTAGTATTTTCTTATTTCACTTTTACACCTGTCTTTAAAAGGAATTTAAATTTTGTTTATATACATTAACTAAATCAATACAAGTTTGGGGTGAAAAGGAAATTTTTAATCCATCTCAAATGTATTTGGGTATATTATATAAGGTAGGGATTTGATTTTATTTCGAAGAATTTACCAATTGGTTCAGTATGTGAAACCACCATTTCCCCTCTGATTAGTAATGCTATTTTTATAGAATATTAAATTCTTATGTGTCTTTTGTGTCTTAGGCCAATTTCTGGGCCTTCTGGGTTTTTCTATACTGTCAATAATTATCGCTTTAATTGGTGTTAATATTTGGTAGTACACAGGATCTCCCCTGTTCTTTTAAATTTTGTGAAATATAACTTACAAATAAGTACTTAAAACAGAGTTTAATGGGTAAAGCAACAGCTGTGTAATCACAAACTAGATGCAGAGGAGGTCTTGCCAGCACTCCAAAATCTCTGTGTGTCCCCTCTTGACACTCACTGTTTCCCCGAGAGCTAACTATCCTGACGTACGGTAATTCTCCCTCTGTCCTTTTAAGAATTATTTTACCAGTTATGTGTATAACAATATGGTTTACATTTTGCTCACTTTTGACTTATATAAAAATAGAATAATACTAAAAAAAAAATCTTTCAAACATGAAATAAAACTAAACTTACCAATTCATCATACACTTTTGAGAATGCCAACTCTTCTACTTCGTGCTGCTTTGTGATGTATGGTCAAATGAATAGTATCTTCGGTATTCTTTCTGACTTGTAACCTGACTAAAGTAAGAATACTTAAGGATTTAAAAGAAACTAGTTTAACAAGTTGGGATGAGTAACCTTTAACCAATATTGAGGTGAAGAATCCTTGATTAAGTCTTTGCTGCAGGAAGTAAGAATTTCCTCTTTCTGGCTAATTAAAATTAAGTGAGAAACAATATCAAAGTTTCAAACCTAAGCAACACCCTCAAGTACTTTCAGAAGTTTTGTATTTGTCTTTCAAAAGGTGGTGCTCTTCATTCTGAGTCAGTACAAGTCTGGTCTCAGGCCCTGATATTCATCTCTTTCAGAGGCAAGCTTTTAACACACCAGAGGTTTTCATAAAACATTCTATGGCCCTTGATTTGCTTTTCTTCAGGCAATGATACTTGTGCTGATGATATCTGGCCTGGCAATTCATTTGTGTCTGTTCTTAAGGAGGAGCTGCCTTTAAGGTAGAAAAATTAAAATATATTTTGAACCAACTACCTTTTCAAAGGGCTTCATCAGCTGATCATCATCTGTCTATATGCTTACAGTTTATTAGGTTGGTGCAAACAACCTAATAGCTACACTATCATTGCATTCTTTGACTTACCTGAATTTGTTGTTGTTGTTGTTCTCAGTCTAGGCTTTTTCACCCCCACTGAGACTTTGCCCCTTGTTCCTATAATGTTTTTTCCCTCCTTTTTATTACAGTTTTCAATTCAAAATGCCTCTCACTACAAGGTTCAAGTCATTTAGTTAGAACCTGTCTACACAGGGTCCATGGACTCTGAAAGCCTGCGCTCAAAGGTTAATTCCTGCAGGATTATTTCCATTAATTTCCCCAGCTTCCATACTATCTGTACAACCCATTACCCACACTTTCCCCTCAAGTAGGCTTCTAGTTTTAGTTTTGCTTATTTTCAGATTTAGATACCCATTTCTCCTGTTAGATATGAATGATTTGAGGTTCAAAACTCTGATGTCTTCATATGCACTTACCAGCACCTCTGCAAACACTGTGGCATTCAATACTTACTAAGTCTTTCTTTTCGTCATGTGACAATTGATATTCTCATTTATTTTTCAGCCTTTCTTTGATTTTGAAAAAAAGTTTTTGGTAAAACAGAAACATATGTTAATTACAATTAATAAATGAACACATAGAAAAATGTTCCAATGATTAATAAGTACATAATTCTAAACTTGTATCAATTTTCTTTACTATTTAACAAATTACCATAAACTTAACCACTTAAAAACAACTGCCTCTTATTTTCCATTTCTATTCTGTAGATCAGAAGTTCAGGCAAACTCAACTTTGTTCTCTGTTCAGGGTCACAAATGATAAAAGTAAGATACGTGTCTGGCTAGGCTTTAATCTGGAGGCTATGGTGAAGAATTATACTTCCTAGCTCATTCAGGCTGTTGACAGATTTCAATTCCTTGCAAAATGGACTAAAGTCACTTTTTTCTTGGTCACTGTGAGTCAGGACTGCCCTCAGCTTCTGGAGACTGGCCACACTCTTTAACAAATGGCTCCTTCCATCTTCAAGTCAGCAATAGTGCATATTTTGAAACTCGCAATCTCTGACTTTTCTGCTACTAGGAAGAGAAAATTATCTACTTCTAATGGTTTTCATGCTAATGTACTAGATTAGGCTCACCTGGGTAATATTCTTTTTGATTAACTCAAGGTCAACTGATTAATAACTGCTATAGTCTGATTTTTTGTCTTCCCCTGCTCCCAAATTCATATGTTGAAAATCAAATCACAAACATGATGTTACTGGGAGGTGGGCTTTTGGAGGTGAATAGATCATGAGGGTGGAGCCCTTCATAAAAGAGGCCTTAGAAATCTGTCTTACCCCATCCACCATGTGAGGATACAGTAAGAAGGTGCTGACAATCCCATTACTGGGTATATACTCAGAGGAAGAGAAAGCATTCTACCTTAAAGACACATGCACAAGAATGTTCACTGCAGCACTGTTCACAGTAGCAAAGACATAGAATCAACTAAATTCCCATCAATGACAGACTGCATAAAGAAAATGTGGTATATACACACCATGGAATATTACACAGCCATAAAAAAAGTGAGATCATGTTTTTTGTGGGAACATGGATGGAGCTGGAGGCCATCACCCTTAGCAAACTAGTTCAGGAACAGATAACCAAATACCACATGTTCTCACTTATAAGTGGGAGGTAAATGATAAGAACTTATGAAAACAAAGAAGGAAAAAACAGACACTGGGGTCTACTTGAAGGGGGCAGGTGGGAGGAGGGAGAGTAGCAGAAAAGATAACTATGGGTACTGAGCTTAATACCTGGGTGATGTAATAGTATGCACAACAAACCCCTGTGACATGTGTTTATCTGCTGGGTCTGACCTGCAGACCCAGGCCGAGTGATGGATAAGAAAATGTACGCAGACACAGATTTTTTGCCTGGGCCCATGGCTAGGGGACCGGGCCACTCACAGACACCAAGGAGGGTGCCGTAAAGAGTCACAACAGCCACAGCCCCTACAAGCCAGCACTGTGGGCATTTATTTAGTACAGATTTAATGACAAAGGCTTTGAGGTGACACAACTTGTGGATAATTAACATGGTTGCCCCCCTAGCCCCCAGAGAGCAGTCAGTCCTGCACACGGATTATTAAAGGCCAGGTTCCAAGGCCTAAGTAAACTAACTTATGTAGATCAATTCCCACACTTGCTTGTTATCTACCCTGAGAGAATTCAGCTGCCTTTAGCCAAATCCTCTTTCGAAGCCTTTGCAAAACCTCCTGGCCTTCCAAGAAGGTTTGCATCTTTTTCCTATAATTTCTCCCACTACTCCGACCAATTTTCTATATCTATCTATGTAATAAACCTTCACATGTACCCCAAAACTTAAAACAAAAATTTTTAAAAATGAAGGTGCTGCCTATGTCTATTCACCAGACATTGAATCTGTCTGGCATCTTGATCTCGAACTCTTCAGCCTCCAAAACTGTAAGAAATAAATGTTGTATATAAGCTATCCAGTTTATGGTAGGTGTTTTTATTATAGCAGCCAGAACAGACTAAGATAGTAATTTTATTCACATCTACACAGTCTCTTTTGCTATGGAACATAACAAAATTAGGGGTATGGTATCTCATCATATTAGGACAGAAGACTTTGGGGGACCATTTCAGAATTCTGTCTACCATAATGCCAAACTAAATATTATTTTTTATGCTTTAAACCATATGTTTAAAATGCATGCGTGTGCACACACATGGACACACACACACCTATAATTGAAAGACACCCCACATTTCTGTTAAAAGTTAATGGAAATGAAGATAAAATTTTTCTATCTAAATTTTGGGGCTCTAGATTAAGTAACTTTGCTTTAGGAGGTGAGAAAATGAAAGGAATTTGAAACAGAGGTGCAGGAGAATGAACTAGAGTGGATCAAGAATGCAAGAATGCAGAAGGAAGATCAGTTTAATATTCTTCCAACATGAGATGGTGGGAATATGAACAGAGCACAAGCCAGCAGGAATAGAAAGAAAAGATTCAAAGAGAAGATAATGACAGAAATTACTGATAGAGGTGAGGAATAGGGCAGAATCAAAGCTAATTTCTAGGTTCTTAGTGTTGTTGTCAAGGGCACAGGTTCTGAAAATCGTCAGTCCTTCTTTTCCTTCTTTTCTTCCTTCATTTTCTTTCTTGATAGAAGAATGTAGAAAATGTTTATAGCTTAATTGGAAGGAAACAGCAGAAAGAGTGACAGAATGAGAGAGATGGAGACAGAGGAGAAGGAGAGAGAAAGAGACATTTAAATACTGGAGAGAGAGGGTAAGTGATGAACCAAGATCTGGGGCAGAACAGGAGGCAATAATAATAGAACACAGCTTCTGGTCTTTCATTGAGAGGAAAGCACTTTGGTAAGACAGAATAAAAGGAGACAAACAATAATATAAACATTAGTGTGAAAGTGAATTGTTGAGTTGGGAAATTTTGGATAATCTCTTCTGTTCTTAGTATGGTTAGCACCAAGGTGAGAGGAGAGAGCATGGGCTAAGTACCAGTGCTGAGGTGAGTGTTGCCTTGTTGGAACAACAGGGCAGAAAAATGTTTTTAAAAGAAAAATAATTGGCCAGTCATGGTGGCTCACGCCCTTGATCCCAGCACTTTGGGAGGCTGAGGCGGGCAGATTACCTGAGGTCAGGAGTTCAAGACCAGCCTGACCAACATGATGAAACTCCATCTCTACTAAAAATACAAAAATTACCTGAGCGTGGTGGCGCATGCCTGTGATCCCAGTTACTCAGGAGGCTAAGGCAAGAGAATCGCTTGAATCTGAGAGGCAGAGGTTGCAGTGAGCAGAGATTGCACCATTGCACTGCAGACTGGGTGACAAGATCCTGCCTCAAAAAAAAAAAAAAAAGAAAGAAAAGGAAAAAAGAAAAAGAATTATCTGGTGTCATCAATAGCACAACTGAAATGAGACAGTCCAAATTACTATGGTGTTAATACCTATGGTTGAATTAATTTTCTGTAACTTTGCTCACTTCTACCAGGCACAGAAGAAGAGCCACTGAATTATGAGATTGACCTAGGGCTGAGAGTTTGTTGGATTGGTAGCCTGCAAGCTAAGGACTAGGAAGGTGACCATTATAGTGATAGAAAACCAGTTTATGACATCTAAAATGAAGTTCCACAGGTTTGTATGAAAAGTGTGGTTTTTAAGAGTTAGACATACTATGATACTATGGAGCCTCTGAGACATTTAATAAATCAGAACATCAGATATCTAGAGTGAAACAAAAGTTAAAGTCATTTGAATTTATGAGCTCAAAGAATTAAGGATAGGTGTGGATCATCCGCTTGGATTTTGAAATTGACCACGATGAAGAGATGAGTTGGGTGGAGAGGTTTGTGTTGAGTCAGGTGCCTAGTCCCTTAGTAAATGTGGGGAGTGAGCAAGAGGGTGACCGTAATTAGGGGTGGCAATGTGTGGTACAGCTATAGGCATGAACATCAGGGAAATACATTTTTATACTACTGTGCAGCAAAAATTGTTAGAAGACTACACAAGTCTTCTAACAATTTGAAAGCTTGTAGTTGGGTGTTGGAAGAATTCTGACTTAGTATTAAAGCCAGGGAGAATAAACAATCACTTGAGATGGCTAAAACAAAGTGATGTTTTAGATAGTGACATCCAGACTTTAGTAAGATGACGTGGAAGCATTCCGTGGAGAGGCTGAAGGTATAGGAGCATTTTAATGAAAGGGAGCAAGGAGGACTCAGTGAAACCAGCTGGGAAAGAGGGTGCTAAAGAGATGTTAAACCAGTGGAGGAGAGAGTGGTATGGGGTAAAGGGGGAGAAATCACACTCATTATTGGTAAGGAACAAAATAGGGGAAATGACAAGTGGTCACAGAGTGTTCATTGGTGCATAGAGTGGGGAAGGGCAGGATGCCATACTTATGGTTCCTGGTCCTGATATTAAATTTAATTGACAACAGACTAGCCTAATGTCCTGGGCTAGGTCTCTGTGCCTTAACTATTTGATGTATCATAGACATCAAAACTGACGGTTACATACAAAATATGGTCATAAAATATATAATTTAAGGTGGAGAAATACATTTTATAATGCTATTATGTCAATTTGTGAAATAAATGCATTCATATATACACGAATTAGAAAATAAAATTAAAAATAGTTGTGTTAAGTTGGTACAATTGCGTGCTCTCCCCCCATCAGTAAGTAGGTGTCATAATGTTTCTTTAATATTTTTCAAAGGTGGTGAATAATCCATTTTCTTTACTTCTTAAAAAATAATCTTTGTTCTGAATTACAGCTATTTTTTCATCAAATAGCTTAGTAGTTGTCTTTCCAATAGTTTCTTCTTTATTCTTAGATTATTTTTCCTCTCCATTTTTAAATTTCCCCTTTTCTCATAGTGAATTCTAGCCTGTTCGTTAAACCTTTGAATCCACTTTTCCTAAAGATTATCAATATAGGACAAACACTAAGGATAAAAATGCTAACATTATATAAAATCTTATTTACAATCTTAACAAATGTGTGGCATTGTCTGTGCTGAAATCAGTTTATAATAATATGCTTTACACTTATTTTTTTTTTTTTTGAGATGGAGTCTCGCTCTGCCGCCCAGGCTGGAGTGCAGTGGTGTGATCTCAGCTTACTGCAACCTCCGCCTCCTGGGTTCAAGTGATTCTCCTGCCTCAGTCCCCTGAGTAGCTGGACCTACAGGCGCGCACCACCATGCCTGGTTAATTTTTCTGTTTTTGTAAAGACGGAGTTTTGCCCTGTTGGCCAGGCTCATCTCGAACTTCTGACCTCAAATGATCCACCCGCCTCAGCCTCCAAAGTGCTAGGATTACAGGCCATCTTCCTCATTTCTTATTAGTCATAGTTAAAACCTTAAGGCAAGGAATATATTGAAACCTGTAAAAGAATGTTAACTGTAAGCATTTACAAAAGTGGCTTAATCAAAACTTGTTTATTTTTTGCATTTTAGTGGGCTTCTATAGTTTTTTTTTTTATAAAACAGATATTCTGAAAAAGTAAAGAGTAAAACAGATATTCGGTGTTTTAATAAGGCTTGAAATCTTTTGCTGCCTTATTTTAAAATATGGTGTGGATATTTTATTTCTATCATATTAAGGCTTTAAATTACTTCAAAATTTAAAAAATTATAACTGTGGGGAAAGTGAGAAAAGGATGGAATACGGTATGAATTTGGGGGGTAAACTTCCCATGAAGTATTATGATCTGCCTATTTAACTAGCTTAGTAGCTTTGCCTACACTCTATTCATCTTCTGTTTCCTTAGGTATAGTTGAATATGGTTTTAAGTAGGTTGTTGTCTTAATCATAAAACTGGTTTGGTCCAACAATATACTTTGCAGAACACCATGTAAGTTTAGCTTACTTCACTTTTTTTTTTTTTTTGGCATCCAATTGATGTGAGATAAGATCTTGCAATTCTTATTATTGAATTACAGAAATTAAGCATAATTTACTTACTTAGGGCTTTGAGGATTCTTGGTCTGATTTAACCTAAGTTTCTAGTTTAATATCTAAAATATTGGTGAGATTGGCAGGAATAGGGCTGAGGTAATAATGAATGGTGGTAGGAGGAGGATCTGTTTTATGTTTTAAAATTGCAATTTTAATGTTATTAGTTGTTGGGAACATCATTAGTGATGTGGAATAAATTAGATGTATATAAAAGTACAGGTTGAGAAGAGCTATGATAGCAATGAATGTAGGTATAATGAGGCTATTATTTTTTGTTATTTCTTGAATGATAGCTCATTTGGGTAAAAATCCTGTTAGCAGGGGCAGTTCTCCTAAGGATAGTAGAATAACAAGGATTATAGATGTTAGTGATGGTCATTTATTTCACATACAGGATAGTGATAATGTTGTGTTACTTATATTTGCAATGAGTAGTATAAATATGGTTACTGTTAATATTAGGTAAATTGTAGATTTGAGAGTGATGGTGGGGATGTAAATTAAAATTGCGATTACTCAACCTATGTGGGTAACTGATGAATAGGCTAGAATTTTTTATTGTGTTTGAGTCCTCCTCAACCTCCTACTCGAATGAATAGTACTGCAATTGCTAATAGTATATTTAGGTCTATTGAGGAAAAGATTTAGAACATAATAGAAATTGGGGCTAGTTTTTGTCATGTAAAAAGAATCACAGCTGATGTTGGGGAAATCCCTTGTGTTACTTCTGGAACTCAGAAGTGAAAGGAGGAATTCCCAGTTTCATTGCTAAAGTTACAATAATTATTGGAGATGCTGTTTGGTTTAGCATATTTATAACTACTAGGAGAAACTAGTTTGGCAGTAGTCATTTAAGTTTAGTGACTTGTAGGTCTGCAATGATCCTGCCTACTGAACCTGCATAACTCAGGTTAGAATAGTGGAGAAAAGACTGGACTGGATACTAGGGCTCTTAGATTCTGTTCCTCCACTATCTAAAATCCACTGTATAACCTTGCAGGAATTCTCTTGGCCTTGATTTCACATCAGTCAAAAGAGGAGGTTGATGTAGATAATCTCTTAGGTCTCTCACAGCTCTAATAGCTACGATTCTAGCTTTCAAGTTTATTTTTCATTTTCATGATTGCATGAAGAGATTCCTTGCATACCTCCTTTGTCCATCAAATAAATACATTAACAAAGAAATAAGTTTATTCAGTGAAAAGAATAAATTACTATTAAAATGTTTTTGTTTTTCATATTGTTGTTGAATCATATAGATTTCACTGAGAGATGGTCAGCTATTGGCAACAACTTTGGTCTAATATTGTTCTAGCATTATAAACTAACTAGAGTTCTCATGCCACCCAAAATTCCATCAGGACTGCACAGAGATTATGAGCTGCCTTATTTATTGTCAGCTTAATGGATTTGACCTGTATTTTAAAAAGAGTCATACAAATTATAAGTTTTTGTCTATGAAAATATATGAATATTACTATAGCATCATCACACAGGAGGCAAAGTCTGGTTTTTTTTTTACGTTTTAGGATTTTTTTTGTTTTGTTTTTAACCACAAATATATTTTCAAACTTCACAAAGCATAAAAATGCCAATACTGTACAAAAATCCAAACTTCTTTAAAATCTTAATGGATTTTCAGCATCATCCGAAATGATATCAGTTTACAATGACATACTTTGCATTTTTGAGTAAGTTTTGAACATTCATAGAATTTTCAACTTTATTATTCATCTCAAAAGTCTCACAACAATGCCATAAGGTAGACAGCTTAAGGTCCCATTTGGAAGATGGAAAACATGAGGTAAAAAACATTACATGATTCCTACAAAACCAATCAATAAGTCAGACACCTAAATAGAAATAGGACATATAAATTCTGTTTAAAAAATCCACTTTTCCATTATTGGATTTTCTTATAACCTTGTGTATTTATTTCTCTCATTTGTGCTTAAATATCATTGAATTCAATTGAATTAAGCACAGAAATATTTAAATCAGTATACACAGTTTCACAGATACTTATTCACAAAAAGGTATCACAGTCTTATTAAATATAAATAAAATTACACAAAACACATATTCACGGTTATAGAAATTACATAGAGGAAAGTAATTTTTTGGTAGTCAGATCTGCTTTCCTCTATCTACTAAAGGAAGTGTTTAGTTTTAATATAAAATATGTTCATCATCAATCAAGCCCATCTTTAATATGCTAAACATTCTCAAAAACTTTAAATGTTTCTGTGCTATATGCAAACTGTAGGAGTTTAAGTGAAGGACATGTAAGAATTTAAGTTTTTACTCTGTTTTCTCTGGTGGTAGTTACTCCTAGTCATTGACTCAGAAATTCGATGACATTTCATTTTTAAAGAGGAAATGTGTATGATAAGCTTTTTGTGTTTATATCTTACTGAGATGTGAATAATAACTGGGAGATATTTTTAGTTGTATTTCTCTCAATTACATATAAACACATATAAACACATGTACATGTAAACTAACAAAATTTTCCAACACTAGGGAAATGAATAGTCTAGATTTTTCTCTAATAAATCAGAGCAGCAAATCTAATCTCACATTTGAGGTCTATAGAAATACGGATGCATCTCTGTAGTCAGAACTATGGTGACAGATGATTGTCACATCCTATGACTACTTGTCTATAAGCAGACATAGTGCAAAATATATTAATAAGGCATAAAAGTGATTTTGAAAAAATTATAGTAGTTCACCGAATTTGTCTTACAACGTAATTCAAAGTACTTTGAAATCAATTACATGGCTTTAAAGAAGCAAAGATCAATTTTTTGAAAGTATAGTAAGTTTTATTGAGTCTAAAGCACATTATTAATGATAAATAGTAGCTAATCCATGAGACACTACCGTGTGCAGACACTATTGCAAGTGTTTTACTTGTGTTAATTCATTTAATTCTCAAAACAACTATTATGAGGTAGTACCACTTTTATTCCCATTGTAGAGGTGAAAGAGTTAATGAAGAGAGATGTTAAGTAACTTCAGCAAGGACACACAGCTCCTATGAGGCAGAGACGATGTTTCAACTTGAGGAGCCTGGTTCAAAGTCCATGTTTTCTATCACTATTACCATCATTAGGATTTGGGCCGTATGTACCACTTATTTGAAAAAAAATTGAGCTCATTTATCTTAAAGCTTGCCAAGGCATTCATTTCCATATAACAAAGATTTATTTAGTTCATAGTATATGCAAGGCACTGTCCTACGTGCTTTACACAAAGCTTTACACAAATCAGCTCTGATATTCTGATAGACACCTGACCTGATACTCTGATGGACATCTGACTTGTCAGAGAGCTGAAGACTTACAAAAGTACCAGTTGCCATATACTGATATAAATATTTCTAAGTAAATAATTGGATAACTCATTCCATCAAAAATTAGCGTGCTTGTCCTGTTACTAATTATTTGAAACCAATTCTCCTAGCCTTCATCTGCTTCTTTTTATCCTCCTGTGCTCATGGAAAAACGTTCCAAAGAGTCTTAATTTTTTTTTTTGTCCTTTCTGGGCCAACTGCTACTAACATATAGATGGCAAGATGCTGTTAAAGAATAAATCAGAAAAGCTTCTTAACAACACAACATGCTTCCTGAAGCTAGTGCTTGAGTTATAACACTGTGTTAACAGCAAGTTCAGATACATTTAAAAACTTTTAAAATGTCAACTGTTGAGGTTAGAGATAGTGCTCTGTATTATTAGATATAAGCCCAGTTCAAGTCATAATGCAAATCCCATGCTTCTCCATTCTTGCACACTGAAGGTCCACTTATCAGTTCTAGAATGTTGAAGCCCTGAGTCTTCAGGGAAGACTGTTCTTTTTCACTAGAAGAATCTCACATGCTCCAGGTATTATATGAGGTAAGATTTTGGCATTACTGGCAGCTCTTCATATCCTGTGGAAAATGATGTTCCTGTCTTCAATTGAGGGAAACCACTTATTTATCTTATTAGGAAGTATCACAAGCAGTTTCCCTTGTGAGTAAGGAATAGGTGCTGTCTGTCATTTGCTGTGTCTTCTTCCCTCATGGTAGAGAGGGTTTGGTCCTACGTATGTAAAGGCCACCTCAGGATATTAGATTTGTCTGGGTCTGAAGGGCTTCTTGACATCTAGCAAAAGCACTAATCCAAAGTAAATGAATTTAAACAATACAAAATACGCAGGAGTATCAGCTCTGTGTGCCATGTGTATAACTCATGGGCAATCCACACTACATACCAGTCTTTGAGGCAATCCAATCTCGATACTTAGTTACTCTGGTGTAGACTCCAGGTTTTTTGGGAAGTGCACATGATTGTCCCCAACTTACTATACCTACAATGTACCAGATGTCATGATTATCATAAACCAGAGGTCCACCAGAATCTCCCTGAAATAAAAACATATTTTAAATTGTTAACTCTACTTTAATTCAGTGGGAAGGTATTGTAATCTGACGTTCACAGAGAAAAAAGGAAATTGGTACACAGACCACAGCCAGACTACAGACTATATAATGGGTCTCTCAACTGAATTAAAATTTTTGCTAAACTTTAAAGGGCATTGTTTTTCATAGGAAGGCTAACATTCATTCACAGGAAATGGTTACATTAATTCTGTATCAGTATCCTTAGGTTTTTTTTTTCTAGTTTGAACAGGCCTGTTTAGCATGGTTTAGTAACTATGTATATAAAATGTTAAATGTGAGATTAGCATTTGTAAGCCTAGGTATACAATTTCAAGGATCTCTTCCAAATGCTGTCACCTTGATTGTATTTTATGGACCTATTTTTGGTCTCCTTTTCTGTTACTCACCTATTTCTAATTAGTTTTCTTGCTAAATTTTTATAAACTCCTTTAAATCTCATTTGGAAAACAAAAATAAGAACAAAGAAGATTAAGTAAATAAACAAATAAACATGTGGTCGTTAAAAGTGTGGTCTCAGCAGCTGAAATGCCGGTTTCAGGTCCAGCTCTATTAATTACTGGCTGTATGACCCTAGGTGAGATACTTAAGCTTTCTGTGTCACTTCCTCACTTATTTATTTATCTGTTTCTTTAATTAACTATTTATTGAGTTCCTATTCTATGTCTGAGGCAATCTGATGTCTGTTAGGGATAAAATGATGAACATAAATGACAGGCCCCTGTGCTCATAGAGTTTGAAGTTTAGGTTAAAAACAACAACAACAACAACAATATTAAATAAGCCCAAAAACAAATGCAAAATTACCATCATGATACGTGCTATGGTAACACACAACAGGGAAGTTTGACTGATAAGGAAAAACAGGAAAGTTTCCCCTGATGAGTATAATTGAGCTGATATCTGAAGGAAGAAGAGCAGAGCACAAGGGAAGTGGGGGTTAGGTGTGTTATAGGCAGAGGGAACAGTATTGCAAATGCTCTGTGGCGCGAAGGAGCCTGGCAAATGCAAGGGCCTAAAAAAGGAGGTGGATGTAGAGAGGAGTGTAAGAGGGGCAAATAGTGTGTGATGAGTCTGGAAGGTAAGGAAAGACAAGTCCATGTAGAGCCTCATAGGTCTTGTTTAGAAGTTTTTGTTTGTATCTTAAGACTAAAGGTAAGCCACTGAAGTGTTTCAGAGAGAGATCTGACATGATTAGCCTTTTTTTGGAAATGGTTCTGGCTCTTATTTGACTAACGCATGAGAGGAGCATAAGAGTAAAAATGAGGAAATTAGCAAGACAGCTAGTGTAGTTGTCTGGTCAAGGGAGGAAGGAAAGGAGTGTGAAAGAGAGGCAAAGAAAGGAGAAATGGTGATGCAGAAATATTTAAGAAGGTAAAACAACCTATTAAGACTGAATCATGAAGAAGTGGAAAACCTGAAGAAATGGAAAACCTGAACAGATCAATAATAAGTAAGAATACTGAATCAGTAATTAAAAAGTCTCCCACCAAAGTCAAGTCTAGGACCAGATGGCTTCACAATTCAATTCTACCAAGCATCTAAAGAAGAAATAATACCAATCTTTCTTAAACTCTTCCAGAAAACTTAAGAAGGAATACTCCCAAACTCATTTGACAAGGTGAGGATTACCTTGATACTAAAGCCAGATAAGGACACTTCAATATTCCTGATAAACATAGGATGTAAAAATCCTTAACAAAATACTCATGAACCAAATTCAAATAGATTAAAGGAATCATTCATCATTATCAAGTGGGATTTATCCCTCAGATGCAAGAATGGTTCAATATATTCAAATCAATAAGTGTGATTCATTACATTAACAAAACGAAGGCTAAAAACTATGATCCATTCAACAGATGCAGGAAAAGCTTTTGAAAAAATTCAACACACTTTTGTAAGAAAAACTTTCAACATAATAGGTGTATGTCAAACACAATAAAAGCCATATATTGGCTTTTATTATTAAAGCCATAGTGAAAAATCTAAAGTGTTTCCTGTAAGACCAGGGACATCAAAAGGATATCTACTCTGATTTCTTTTCAATGCAGTTCTGGAAGTTGTCGCTAGAGAAATTAGGCAAGAGAAAGAAATAGAAGACATTCTAATAGAAAAGGAAGACATGAAATTGTCTTTGTGTGTTGACAACATGATCTTATAGATAGAAAACCCTAAAACCAACAAAAAGCTGTTAGAAGAGATAAACAAATTCAGTAAGTTTGCAGAATACAAAATCAATATACAAAACTCAGTAGTGTTTCCATATACTAATAGTGAGCTGTCTGAAAAGGAAATTAAGAAAACAATCCATTTACAATAGCAACAAAAAAAAAATAGCAAAAAAAAAAAAACACTTGGGAGTAAATTTAACTGAAGAGGTGAACGCTTTGTATACTGAAAACTGTAAAATATAGAAGAAAGAAGCTGAAGAAAACACAAAAATGAAAAGATACTCCATGTTTATGGATTGAAAGAATTATCATTGTTAAAATGTTCATTAAAATGTTAAAATTATCATTGTTAAAATGCAATCCCTACCAAAATTCCAATGCCATTTCTTTCACAAAGAAAGAAAACAATCCTTAAATCCATATAGAAGCAAAAAAAAACCTTGAATAGTCAAAATAATTTTGAGCAAAAAGAACAGAGCTACAGGCCTTATACTACCTGGTTTCAAAATGTCTTATAAAGCAATTGTAATCAACATAGTGTGGTCCTGGCATAATAACAGATTCATCAACTAATGGAATAGAATAGAAAGCCAGAAAAAAACACATATATTTATGGTCAATTGATTTGTTGACAAAGATGCCAAGAATACACACTGAGGAAAAGATAGTCTATTCAATAAATGGTGCTGGGAAAATTGGTTATCTATATCAGAAGGATAAAATTAGGCTGGGCGTGGTGGCTCATGCCTGTAATCCCAGCACTTTGGGAGGCTGAGGCAGGTGGATCACTTAAGGTCAGGAGTTCGAGACCAGCCTGGCCAACATGGAGAAACCTCATCTTTACTGAAAATATAAAAACTAGCCAGGCATGGTGGCACATGCCTGTAGTCCCAGCTACTCAGGAAGCTGAGACAGGAGAATAACTTGAACCTGGAAGGCAGAGGTTGCAGTGATTCTAGATCGTACCACTGCACTCCAGCCTGAGTGACAAAGCGAGACTGTCTCAAAAAAAAAAAAAAAAAAAGGAGAAGAAGAATGAAATTAGACCCTTACCCTTACACCATGCACAAAAAGAAACTCAAAATGGATTAAAAACCTAAACTTAAGACTTGAAACTATAAACTACTAGAAGAAAACAGACAAAAACTCCATGACATTGGTTTGGGCAAGGATTTTTGAATATTACCTCAAAAACTCAGGCAACAAAAGCAAAAATAGGCAAATCAGATTGTATCAAACTGAAAAGCTTGCACGGCAAACAAAACAAAACAACAATTAATAAAGTGAAGAGACAACTCACAGAATGGGAAAACATGTTTGCAAACCATATATTTGATAAGGGCTTATATCCAAAATATATAAAGAAGTTAACACAATAGCAAAAAACAAAACAAACAAAACCTGATTTTAAAAAATTGGCAAAGGACTTAGATACCTCTCAAAAGAAGACATACAAATGACCATCACATTCATGAAAAAAATGCTCAGTATTACAAATCATTAGGGAAATGAATTTAAACCACCTAAGTGGAATCAACCTCAGTGTTCATCAATGTGTGAAGAGATAAAGATAATATGGTATATCTACAAAATAAATATTATGCAGCCATAAAAAGAATAAATTCTGTCCATTTGGGACAACATACATGAATCTAGAGGACATTATGCTAAGTGAAATAAGCCAGGCACAGAAAGACATATACTACATCATTTTACCTATATGTGCAATCTAAAAAAGTTGGATTCATAGAAGTAGAGAGTAGACTGATGATTACCAGAGTCTGGGTGAGCCTAGGCGGGTGGAGAGTGAGGGAAAGGGGAGTTGCTAGTCAGAGGGTGCAAAGTTTCAGTGAGAAGGAATAAGTTTTGAGATCTACTGCAAAGCAGGGTGACTATAATCAATAATACTGTATTATAGATTTCAAAATAGCTAAGAGAGTAAATTTTAGATGTCTATCACAGAGAAAATGTTAAGTGAGGTGATGGATATGTTAATTAGCTTTACTTAACCATTCCACATTGTATACATGTATCAAATGTCACATTGTACTCCATAGATGTAATACAATTATGATTTATCAATAAAAAATAATGGACAGTGAAATCTAAGCTGGAAAAGTAGAAGCTGGAAGAAAGGAAATGATTAATGAACTGTGAGAAAACAGAGGAATCAATGGACAATAGGTGTCTATGAAGTTGAAAAAAGACTTTTTCATTCAATCAGTCATCACATATTTTCACCAGTCTATTTCAGGTGCAGTAAATAAAATAGATTAAAATATGTCTTCCTTCATGAAGCTTACATTTTAGTTAGTGGAGAAACAGGAAATAAGCTAGATAAATAAACATACTGCATACTGGATGGTGACAAAGGCTGAGGAGAAAAATAGAACAAAGAAAGGACACAAGGAATGTACATGTAGGTTGTGCATGTTGGGAATGAGAGTTGGTAGACTAGGGTATAACATAGTAAGTGTATATAGGGAAGCAGTAGTTAAAAAGCAAGGGGGAAACACTGGGGGATAGTAGTCAAAAAGGAAGATGCAAATGAGCACTTTTGGAGTGGAGTAGTTTTTGATAACAAGGCCCATAGTGTGACTCTAAGAGGAGGGTCTGAGGTGGCTGAAGAGTATAGAAGATCACTGGAGAAGAGGAGGTCTAGGAACTAAAAGTCCAGCATTTAAACAGGTCAGTGTTGCTAATGCAGGGCTTGGAATGGAAAGAAAACTTGTTTCAGCTGTCGCTGTCATTAAAAAATGTGAGGGGCGAAGGGAAATGACTGGGAGGCTGGGGGATGAATATGGTAATTATAATATTGCTTTTATCTCATTACATTAAATGAAATAATGTATAAAAAGTGCTTAATTTTTGGCTTAGCGTATATTAAACACTCAATACAATTATTGTTATTGTTATGATTATTAAATAAAGTCAGTTCTCGGTGTAAGAGATGCCATTTTTTTTTCTCCTAGGTAAAATATATGCCAAACTCAGAAATAGCTAATGGAAACTTTCCTCATAAACTTTTGGCCTTGACTTTAAACTTACCTTACATGCATCTATTTTTCCTTCCATGAATCCAGCACATAACATTCCTGGAGTTATCAGGCCATCATACACATCCTTTCTGTTACACACATCAGTGCTTATGGTTTCCACTCTGGCTTGCCGAAGTGTATTTTGTATAGGTCCTATTGCACAAATGGATAAAAAAACAAATAAACAGTATTCCTCAAATACAATTGTATCTAAGACATAGAAGACACATAAATTGTAGCAAAAGCCAAAGATTATTTTATTAACATTAGCTATCATCTTATTTTCTGTCATAAATGTCTACATGCAAGGAATCATAAACATACATGTTCCAGTATTATATCACATTTGTAGATCTTTCAAGGATATTAGGAGCCTTAAAACTACATGCAAAATACTACATACGCATGCATTTTTTCATGAGGAGAGGGTCCATAGTCCTCATTAGATTCTCATACAGGTTCATAACATTGATCTTGTCCAACTGCCACATTCTCCATGTAAGGAAACCATGGTCCCTGGAAGTTCACTGACATTCCTAAAGCTATTCAAGTAGAAACCAGGACAGCTGCACAGATCTCTTCACCCTACTCTACTCTGTCATGTATTATTTAGGGGTGTCTCACAGCATGGGAAACAAAATGAATGCCCAATATGTGCTAGTGATCTGATGACAACACAGAACAGGGCTGGGTGTTAGGAGGAGAGGATACTGCACAGTTGAATATCGAAAATAAGTAGTTTAGGGCTCTGGGTTGAAGCTATTGGTGAGTAGCCCTGAGTTAGCTGTAAGAGACTTTTAAGAACCTCTCACAAAGCCAAGTTGGATATGCATGGGGCATTTGGAAAACTTTTCATATAATAAAATTCTGTCAAAAAAAAAAGCTAGATTAAGATATATTAGCAGTAGTTGGCCAGGCGTGGTGGCTCACACCTGTAATCCCAGTACTTTGGGAAGCGGAGGCGGGCGGATCATGAGGTCAGGAGATCGAGACCATCCTGACTAACACGGTGAAACCCTGTCTCTACTAAAAATACAAAAAAAAAAAAAAATTAGCCAGGCGTGATGGCGGGTGCCTGTAGTCTCAGCTACTCAGGAGGCTGAGGCAGGAGAACGGCGTGAACCTGGGAGGCAGAGCTTGCAGTGAGCCAAGATGGCGCCACTGCACTCCAGCCTGGGTGACAGAGTGAGACTCCAACTCAAAAAAAAAAAAAAAAAAAAAAAAAAGATATATTAACACTAGTTTTTTTTTCAGGATATCCTTGACAGAAACATAAGTATCTCTCTTTTTTTTTTTCAGGTTCTAATTCCTACTCGTTTATTGTAAAAATCCTGGAGAAAGCTCATTGATGTAACAATAAAATATGAATTTTTCCCTTTAATGCAGCCCTGTAAAACACATTCTCAAACCTCATGTCATCCAATATACCTTTTGTATTTTTTCTTATAATTCATGTGTATGAATGCATAGAGCTGCTTTTTTTAAATGAAAAAATACAGAATTTCACGGTCTTTTTGGATTTCTTTTAAGGCCTTTCAGTATATCCAAGCTGAAGTAACATCTATGCATTGTTTTGTTATTATGGTAATAACAAGTTCTAGTTTATAATAATATATAGTACTTTTTTGGGACTAGGAGCAATGATATACTGCTTTTTAGTAACTGGTAAATAGTATGTTTTTGTCTATTTGAACTAGAAATGAGAAGGAGAAAAAAGAAACTATTTTTAATATATATAAAACATACTCTATTTAATAAAGTATATGCATAAAATGATACATTAGGTAAGAAGCAAAATTATAAAGAAAACAGCTTATAATATTCCTGATTAATTAGAGTTTCTAAATATAAAAACAAATGAAAGTGACTTGCCATTTACAAAATTAGCACATCATACAACTTTTACATACTTCGGAGGAAATAAAGATCTTGCGACACTGTTCTGAGGAATCGTTGCATTTATAAAAATCGAAGGCTTAATTTTGCAAATACAACTTTCAAGCCGTATGAGCAAATTCAACTTACATGAAAGGCACAAGATAACATCATGTTGAAGAACTTTATCCGTAAATTTCATAAAGTCTAGTCACAAGTTATTGGAAACTTCGTAAGGAATCTCAGAACTGTTTTTAACATGATGTTCCGATTTAAACTGAGAACTGCATAGTCTTTATATCACAAATGTAAATTGAAGTAAGAGTGAAGATTTAGAGAGAGAATAGTTTCTTATTTTGGATGCTACCTGCTTTAGGCAGTGTTGGTTACTAAATACTCAGAGCAGAAAATTAAAATTGAATCGTTTTTCATTTTCTACAGCTTATCTGCTGTGTTTTCAGTTTGTAAAAAAAAATGTATTTTCACATTACTGCAATTTTTGAAGAGTCAATCACTGAAAGAAATTTTAAAGTAAAGTCTTGCTCTACTAGCTTCCTACATTGAAATACAAGAATACAGGAAGTGCTTTCAACAGAAAGTTACGTAGTTCTACAGTACAACCTGTCTAAAGACTTGCAAGGGACCAGCACAGTGACTTTGTCTCTTTGGATCAGGCAAAAGCAGAAGCAAATGAAAAATGAACTTTTAAAAAAAAATTAACATATTAAAAACATTCCTGTATGAAAACGAATGCTTGTCTGCACTTAGATTTAGTGCTATAGAGAGGAACTGAGGCACAATGAAACTAAGTGCACAAAAGGAACATGTCTGAAATAAAACAATTTTCAATGTGACTGAAACCCTTCGCCATTAGATATGACTTACGATAGGGTTGGAGGACTACTTTTTCATATTAAAGAACATTACAAACACCAGGGACTGGCCAAACTATGTTTTATAAATAATATGTAGAGTGATATTAAAATTATATTGCGACTAAAACTCTGGTTTTTAAAATCACTTATAATTTTGATTTTTCATAAAATTACCGGCTCTTTTGCTAAATTAAAATTAACTTCAAATCAAAAACATCTTATTAAATTTCTGGAGGACTGTTAGTTTAACAATGATAATGTACGTTTCTCAGTTTCCCAAACAAGCTCTATCAGATACACATATTTTCTTCATTTATCTCAGTATTAGATGTTCTTTCCATAGAACTTAAAGCATTTTGGTAAAAGGTTGAATATGATTCTTCAAAGAACAGCTCTTCCAATGGCGACTTGGTAGAAACAGTAATGTTGTAATTAGAAATATGCTGCATTGGATGGTAACTGTTTGCTTATTGTATTCATCGTGACTCTAGCAACGCCTGCCATCTACGTACTTGCCGTCCTTTTGACTCTTTCATTTCAGTCCAGTGATTGAGTTCTTCTCCAGAGCTGTTGAGACCTAAATAAATCCAGCCTATCATCTTTCTTCTCATGCTGCTTTTGTTATACACAGACAGCATGAGTGTCACATGAGAAAGCTGAAATAGGGTCACTTTGAAAACAAAAGTTTCCTTGTATACTGGATTTGGCCGCCCTCTGCGGATGGATATCTTGCATTTGGACATCTCTTGATCCGTGGATTTCCGTAGAGTTAACTTAACATATGTATTGGGTGGTCTGTTTGCTGCCCAATTTTTTAAGTGGCTGCCTTTTATCACTTCTGCTGATAGTCTCCCATTTGTGGCATTATAAAGCAGGCTAATGAGAATTTCTGGAACTGACCCGTCTTCGAGAGACTGACATGCGGATGTACTTTCACTACAAGACATTTCTGACACGCTCATTTGGGAGTCACAGACACATTTTATCTTGTGAATTGTTCCTTGTACTGTATTCTGAACCAAGATCTGGAAGCCCTCCAACATTTTCAAAACAGAACTGCTTATTAATATAGAGAAAAAGAAGCAGCATCAGGATAATAAACACCCAAACAGCTGACAAAAACCCAACTGCCTCTGGAGATACTTTTCTAAAACAGGTAAGTTCATGTACTCCACAGGTTCTCTCTCCACCTTCAATCGCCATGATGAGCTCACCATGGACCGCACCAACTGATGGCGGAAACTTAAGTATTTCTTATTTCTCATTAAAACATTCAGTTAATCTTTTTCTCTCTTTTTTTTTGTTTTCTGTTTTTGTTTTTGTTTGTTTTGAGATGGAGTCTTGCTCTGTCACCAGGCTGCAGTGCAATGGCGCAGTCTCGGCTCACTGTAACCTCCACCTCCCAGAGTCAAGCAATTCTCCTGCCTCAGCCTCCCAAGTAGCTGGGACTACAGGCCTGCACCACCATGCCCTGTTAATTTTTTTTTGTATTTTTAGTAGAGACGGAGTTTCACCATATTGGCCAGGGTGGTCTTCATCTCCTGACCTCATGATCCGCCCGACTCGGCCTCTCAAAGTGTTGGGATTACAGGCTTGAGCCATCACCGCTGGCCTAATCTTTCTCTTTAACGTAGAGTGAACTAGTACCTAGAAATCTTAAGTTCTGGTGTTTAATTTATACAATTACTAGACTTGATGTCTTTTAACACCCCTAGCAGGTTGGACACAGGAAAAAGATACAGATTTTATTGACTAACCAAAAAAAATGCTCAAAATATTTACAACCCACTTTAATGTTTATGATCATCATAAATTCTCATACAATGAGAAATAATTAAAATAAACAAAGGAAAAAGCTATCATTACATTTGCGATTTAAATTATATGCTGAATAAAATAAAGTATATGTGATTTAAAGTATATGTAACATATTTATATCTAGGAAAGACAAAATTTGTGATTACTTACTGCCTTGCACTCCCATAGTGTTCTGTCCCTTCTTATATCACCTGATGCAGTTGTTTCTTTTCCTTCTATATTAGTCTCTCTCCCTGACTTTTTTTTTTTTTCCACCGCTCTAGTTGAGCAGTTGAGGAGATTTCTTTCTTTCTTTTCTTTTTTTTCTTTTTTTTTTTTGGAGACGGAGTCTAGCTCTGTCACCCAGGTAGGAGTGCAATGTTTCGATCTCAGCTCATTGCAACCTCTGCCTCCTAGATTCAAGCAATTCTCCTGCCTCAACCTCCCAAGTAACTGGGATTACAGGTGCACACCACCATGCCCAGCTAATTTTTTTTGTATTTTAGTAGAGATGGGGTTTCACCATGTTGGCCAGGTGTGTCTTGAACTCCTGACCTCAGGTGATCCGCCAGCCTTGGCCTCCCAAAGTGCTGGCATTACAGGTGTGAGCCACCACACCCGGCCACCACTGCTCCAATTGTAAACTCAAATACAGGACCTGATTTTTACTTTTTAACCCACAGTCTCCTGTTCTGCCCAAGGCCACACATACTGGAAAGACCATTACTTTTATTAAAAGCTTAAGAGGGATTCTTTAAGATAGATAGCTCGTTTGATCTCAAGACATTCTTGTGCTAAGAAAATTAGGTTGAAACTGCTCACCATCATCTACAATGGATCCAAATCCTGTGACGAACACACTTGTTTTAGGTGGCAACTTTATAGATGAGTCTGGGAGGCAAACTCTCTGGACTATATTTGAAAACTCAACTCCAGTAGAGAGCTGAACCAAAGCAATGTCATTTTCATTTGTTTCTCTATGGTAATTCTCATGAAGAATAATTTTCCTCACATTTCGTTTCACTGCGGGTGGTGTTATAGTTGCACCAAAAGTAGCAATCCATTGAGTTGGGTCTTTATTTCTGCAAAAAATTAAAAAGTAATACTTGTGATGCTTGACTTAATTCTGTAAAAAAGACTGAGACTGTATTTCTTCCCAACTGTCAGTATTATGCTCCTGAAACATTCTTTTGGTGAGAAAGTTTGTAGTTGATAACATAATAGGAAAAAAATTGTTTTTAAATTTATTACAATTAATTATGTACAAATAATTAATAACTGATTAATTTCCAATTTTTAAAGTTCTTGCTTGCTGGGAACTCTTCAGGTTCTTTTTTCCTTAATTTCAACAAACTGTGTAGTAATTAATTTTGATTTGTTTTGGATAATATACATAGTAAGAGGCATTTTCTCTCCATGTCATATCTTCCACCGATTCTTATTTTATGACTCACTTTTTGGTTCTTATTTTACTGGTTTTACTGTGATCGTTGAAGTGAAGCGTAATTTGTCTGCTTTGCAAACCTTCATGTATACACATGGTTTTTTCTCTACCCTACGCCCATATCCCTCCTTGATATACAAGGGCTAACTAATCCTAACTCAAAGTCAGCTCCTACCGCCCATGGATCTGGCCTGGTCAGTCCCTCTTACTAGACTTTCAGTTCTCCTTTCACATAGATGCTTTTCTCTCCCATAGATGCTTTTCTCTCCCACAAGGTTTATATCACCAGCAAATTCTAGCTAGTCCTATTATGTCTTTACTTCCTCATGGTCCTCCAAAGCCTGGTTCTTTCTTTTTAAAGTTATCCTCATCCTGGGTGACTGGAAATATATAGTAACTTGAAATTCTATGGTTGAAGAAAGGATTACTATGTTGGTGAATCATCAACCTTTAAATGTAATAAAAAAAAAAAACCTGAAAGATCAGTGGTTTCCTAAGTGCTGCACTGCCCTAAAAATGAGCAGGCAGAGGCCAGGTGTGGTGGCTCATGCCTGTAATCCCAGCACTTTGGGAGGCCAAGGCGGGTAGACCATGAGGTCAGGAGTTCAAGACCAGCCTGACCAATATGGTGAAACCCCGTTTCTACTAAAAATACAAAAATTAGCTGGGTGTGGCGGTGTGTGCCTGTAGTACCAACTACTCAGGAAGCTGAGGCAGGAGAATCGCTTGTTGAACCTGGGAGGTGGAGGTTGCATTAAGCCAAGATCACACCATTGAACTCCAGCCTGGGTGACAGAGCAAGACTGTCTCAAAAAAAAAAAAAAAAAGAGCAGGGAGATGGGAGGGGTTCTGCTCTCATCTATTTCACTTCTTTAGAGATTAAGATAAGATTTTATTCAAACCTGAAATCTTAGGACTAACTGAAGCATCCATTTGAAAACTAGACACTAGATACTAGAATTCTCAGAGATACAAAGACATATATGACTTCAGGCCTTAAGGAGTTTACAAATGAATCAGATAGAGAATAAAAATTATCCCATTCCTTTATGCATTGTCAATAAGAAAGGAAGCCTCACCTGATAGGCCAATTTAACATGTTTTATGAATACGAAAATTAAGACCCAGAAGTTCGGTGATTTGTGCAGGTAAGTGACACTCTGCTGGTTAGTGCCAAAAGGAGATGGTTCTGGTCTCTTTCCATCCTTTCAAGAATGTTTTCCCCACTCACACTGTTTCACAAAGACTGTAATCATTTTTCATAGACATAAAGGTTTTAAGGTTTGTCTTAAATATGATTTTGAAAATACATTATTTCTGCAGAAAAAATAAATTTATAAAAACTTAGGCCGGGCGCGGTGGTTCACGCCTATAATCCCAGCACTATGGGAGGCTGAGGCGGGCGGATCATGAGGTCGGGAGATCGAGACCATCCTGGTTAACACGGTGAAACCCTGTCACTACTAAAAATAAAAAAATTAGCTGGGCGCGGTGGCGGGCGCTTGTAGTCCCAGCTACTCGGGAGGCTGAGGCAGGAGAATGGCGTGAACCCGGGAGGCAGAGCTTGCAGTGAGCTGAGATAGTGCCACTGCACTCTGGCCTGGGCAAAAGAGCGAGACTTCATCTCAAAAAAAAAAAAAAAAAATTAAAGATGTGAATAATGCAATATTGTCTTCAAAGTACCACGTAGTTTTCCTTCACAACAGTATACCACATTGTGTGATTACATGAAATTATTAATATATCACTTCTAAATTGCACTTTTTTTTCTCTAGGATCATCACTTTACCCAACTCTTTTGGATTATTATTATCAGCATAAAATATGCTATAATGTGTCTCCCATATTTTTAAAAATCTTTCCTTTAACTTCACAACTTCCCTCAACTGTCAAATTTGGTCTGATCCCTTTCATTTAAAAACTTCTTAAAAGCAGTTTAAAAATTTACTGCATCTAATCCTCCTTCCATTTTCTATTGAATCATTCCCATCCCTATCACATTAGAAAAACTTCTTTTATCAAAGTCACTAGTAATCTCTACTTCATCAAGCTCAATGGGCAATTCCCATGTAGGTCTGTGAGTACCCAGAGCCTGCACTGGACCTGCTGAAACAAGTATTTCAATCGCCACAGCCTGTATTCTTCACTAAATATTAAGTTGGAATTCTGGATTTGTTTATTTTTAATTTACATAAAGAGAGATCAGTTATAAACTAAAATGGAAGACACTCTCACAAAAACAGAAGTGCAAAGATTGGAGGACTGTGTGAATATGAAAAAATTAGAAAATCTTCACAAGTGAGTGGGACTCAAATTTGCCCATAAGGCATAATGCCAGTTATTTCGGTAGTTGTAAATACACATATATAAGTGAGTCCCTTTTCTCTTCTTTTCTGCGAAAAAGCAACAGATAATCACCTTAGTATCTTGGAACCATCTGGGATGTTACCCTTAGAAGGATGATAAAGCACCTCTGAGAATCACCAGGGATAGGCTCCTTTAATAAGGTGCAGGGTGCAGAAGTAGTGCCACTGGCCAGGCAAAGGGTCTTTATTTAGAGTTTTGTCTTTGAGAGTTTAGAAGGAAAAGCTTTCTGTACCATGATGGTAAAACCTCAGGGAAGAAAGATGGTGTGTTCCTGACCTCTTGGGGCAGTAGGGTGCCTATGTATGTCTCTGTACATGAAGTGACACAGCTGAGTTTTAAGAGGTACAACCATGAAAGCCCAAACAGAGAGATTTTGCTGGGCTGTACATAACCAGTCTTGAATACTGTGAGGGGAGTAAGACAAGGTAGCAGGTCTCTCCCACCTTCCACACACTTTTCTGGACCATACAGGCCTGCAGGGTTCCTAGAGAATGCAATGAGAAGTGAGAACTTCAAGAGGGATACCTATGATTCTTTTCTTATTTGTAAAGTGATGGCAATGCTGACAGTGGAAAGTTAGAGGGATTAATTGGAAAAAAACAAAAGTAGCTGACTTTCTTCTTGAGTATGTAAAAGAGATTAAACTTGTTACATGTGTAATAGTCTTCACACTAAAATAATCTACATATTATTTTATATAATATATAATAGGAAAGACAGCACTAGGGTCATGATGATAGAGGAAAATCTGTAAGAACTACAAATGACAAAAACTAACCATCATAGATAGGGCATAGGGGAAGCATAATCCATTTAGGGGACAGCTAGGTCTACCCTGAATGGAGCAAAGGTTAAACTGGAGAGACTGGACTCTTCTGATGCGCTAAATCAGTGGCAGATGAGGACTGTGAAAAGAAGGCTCACAGCAGCCTTGGTTAACTTACTTCCAAAAGCAGTGAGCTGCTGTGAGCAGCCATGTGTTACTGATGAGGCTGGCTCCACACTGATGGCCTGACCCTATGAGCTGGAGGCTGGCCTGCCATGGCCATTCCCCTTCCATAGCTGTTTCCCTTCCTTGGACAATTCTTTGAGTAGAAGAGGATGCTGGTAATGGCATGTTTGAAGATGTCATCCTTATTCCACAGCCTGCCACAGAAATACATGATCATTCATATTCATAAAAAGGAGGAAAAAAGTATATTCTGATTTGCTTTGGTTATAGACAATCCTTTGTCCCTGCTACCATGTGAACCATTCATAGCACTCAGCCTTTGAGCTTATTTGATACAGGTCTTGCTGATCCTACTGAGGTTCAGAAGAAATGTTTACTAACATTTCAAGGCATTCAGTCCAGGAATTAACTTCTATCTCTCCTTATAAAGCATATATAGATAATTCATTGAGCACCAAAAATGTATAGATCCTCTGCTATGTGTCTTAGATGTATTTATAGAAACATACCTTTTAGATGAGAAAATTAAGCCTTGAAGAGGGAACATTGCTGGCGGTCACCCAGCTGGTAAGTGACAGAGTGGGATACAAAATTAGGAGGATCCACACCAAAACTAGTAGCAGTATCCTTATTACTGAGAGAGAGCCCAATACTAACTGTAGGTCATGATTTTCCCTTAACTAATGACTAAAGAGAATCAATTTATTGTGTTTGCAAAGCCCTGTATTTTAACAGATTTAAACACTATCGACCTTTTTGGTCTTTTAAAACTTGAAAGGCTAGTTTAAAAAAAAATTCTTCTTCCCTGATTTCAAACCCTCAATTGACTAGATTTCAAGTCAATCTTAAAAGAGAACTTAAAGTGTTACAACATTTTTAATGGGCATGTTTGTCCACAATAGACCTTAACTATGTACCAATGCTGGAATGTGGGGTGCAGGGCAGGAAGAGCAAGAGAATGTACATAACAGATATTTCAATAAAAATGCAAGCAAATTAAAAAAAAATTAAAGCCTAAATGTTACCAGTTTAAAACACTCTCTTGAATTGTTAGATAATATTAAAAGTTATTTATAATGAATATTAATATAATATCTAGAATATTATGTAAGGTGTTTTTAACCACATCTCGTAGGTCATATAAACTTAGAATTGTATTTGGTATAAATTTATAAATTTAAATACTTAAATGCTAAAAATAATAAAAAGACTAAGTGTTCGGTTTACAAAAATATAAAATGAGTCTTAAAAAGCTTGGTAAACTTTACTGCCAACTTTTCTATAACTTTTTTCATGATCTTTTACTGTGAAATAAACAGTTAATTGTGGGTTTTGGAACTTACGACTGTTGAGAAGATTCCTCATCTTTTTGCTGTCAATAGCTGGAATAAGCAAAACATGAATTAGTTGGCAGAAGAATATATTCCCATTTTCATGTTGTGTTGTTCAACTGGTCATTAATAGAAATGTGAATTATCTAAAGCATACATATTTCAAGAGAATATGAGATTTTTCATAATCAAGTCATATATAAATAACCCTTTACTCTGATTTTATTTTTGGTCCAAATTGTGTAATTTAATTTAAAATTAAATCAGAGAGCATTTTATTTCCTGATTTTGCTCAGGAAAAAGAAACAGAAATTAGGAAATTAGGAAATAATAAATAAAGATAAATGTCCCTGACTGCTTTCTTTGGGGGCTCCAGTATAATCTGAGGCAGCAACCTCCAATTCCCATCACAGTTGGTGTTTACCAACCTATATGGTTTAGGCATATTCCTAATGGCCAGTCAGAAATGGTAGCTCTATGGAGCTAAATGCATCACAGACCCCTGAGGGCCCAATTTCAAGGCCCTGATCTAACAGACTAGGAATTTAGTCAATGCAGGTTGATAACCTTGTCTCCCTGAGGATTCTCTCTTGTGAATGGCTTGGATGGTTGTGGCTCAGGCAGCAGGCACTAGAGGCATGAAGTTCTTTCACATACAACCAGTCCAGAGACTCCAGCCATACACAAACTTTCACTTCATTTTATGTTTCCCTTCTGTGACATCTTTTTTCCCTTCAAATTTATTCATTCATTTTCATTATAACTCAGCTACATTAGATGTTTGTTGGGTTAGTGATTGGTTTTCTGTTTGTCAGTGAGAACATGGGGAATTACAGTGATTTTATTAGAAACATTGACTTCTCCCCAAAAAGGGATGCGAGCCCCAATTCCTACTAGAGGTTTCATGGATATGTCTATTTAACAAAATACATGTATGTGGCAGAAGAAAACATACACAGTTAAATCTTCATTATTGAGCATGGTCAGAGAATTTAGTTATTTTGGTATTAAAACAACTTGTATCATAAAAAATCATTGTATGTAACCAACAATGCCAAAATTTTTTAATAAATTATACAATAAGAAACTCTACAGCTGTAACAACTCAGTAAACATAATATAATGTCACTTTTGTAATGGATATTTTACTTTAGGATATATGATTGTGGCTTAGGCACAGTTATATCATCAGGAATTGAGATTTCCACTTATAGAATGCTGGAAAATACTTTGTTTTACTTTGGAATATAATTGATTAACAATCAAGGTGGATACCGTACTCTCCCTTATTTCTAATTACTTCTTGAGAATGTAACAATATTTGTGGGGATTCTATCTCAAAATATATTTAAAGAACTTTCCTGATTTCTAACAACAAAAGAATTAACTTTAGATAACTTGTTTCCTAAATAAATGCATGACTATTGGGAAGGGAGAAGTCTTTTGGGTCCAAAATACAAGCCCCTCTCCCATCTTTTTTTGTATTAAATTAGAAGTAACTAAACTTGGAAATACATAACAAGAAGCAATGAAAGGAGCTGGAACATCTATCACATGTGACATGTATGCTAGTGTTTGAGGGAGGAGAAAGAAAATAAAAAGACACAGGTCCTGCCCTTGACATTTAAAATTTTATTTGAAACGCATTATTTTACTACCTTCAATTACATATTGGAATAGAAATCAGCTCGGGTTCCAACTAGCTGTAAGGTAGTTTGAATTTTAGTTTCCTAAACTTTTTGAACTTCCTTTTCTTCCGCTTTGGAAGGAAAACAAAACAAGAACTTTCCTATTTCAATTCATGAGCAATAAATAAGGAAGTGATGAAAAATAGTTTTAAGTTGGAAACAAGCTAGAGAACCTCTTTACAGTTCATGTCACTGGCTCTTCCTACAGGGGTAAACCTTCATGAAGATGTCTTTCTTTGATACTGTAAAAAATAACCCCCAGAAATGATCTGTAAAGACCTCTGTGAGTCACAATACCTGTGTCTAATTCTAGCCCCAAGGTTTGCTAATCCCATGTCTCACATCTTCCTTGAGTCTCAGCTTCTTTACCTGTAAAATGGCGAAAGTAATACTTACCCTTTGGAACTTTTGTAAGGACCCAATAACATATGATATGGAAAAAAGTTTAGAAAGCTTATTAAAAGCCCTAGTAAAATATGAAAAAAGAAAAAGTTGTAATACTAAATTTTGCCTCATAGTGGAATTTTATTTTAGTTTTATTCCATGCTGAGATTTTATATATATATATATATCTTCCAAAAAAAAAATATATATATATATATATATTGCTTACAAAAATTAAAGAGGGTTGTAAGAGGAGGGAATGACAAAAGTGGCAAATAAAAATAAAAGACTTACGTGTGAGTCTAAATGATGGTTTGTTTATGGTCAAAGACAATTGTTTGGTCTTCAAACTTTGATATAAAGCCTTTTCAATTTTTTTCTTGATTTGTTCAGCACTATCAGTAGATGGGTATCGAAATATGAGCACTATAAGAATATCCACACCTTGTTCATCTGGACTGAAGAACAAAAAAGCAGATAAAAATGGCATTTATCTAATCATTAATGACTTTAACTTATTAGGACTCACATTAAACTTAAAAAACATAATGCATGATACATGTGCATACCAGATTTTTAAATTATCTCTGGATACAGAGATTAAAAATGAGTGTATAATAACCAGGAAGTGTTGGAAGCACTGTAGAAGAAATAAAGACAACATTCTGGAAATACTGGATAAAATACCTACCTGAAAACAGTTGTTCACTGTCCTTACTTAGCTCATAGTTTAGAGGGGTTTGCGGGCGGAGATGTTGGTGAAATCATGCTTTATACATACTTAAAAGGCTTGCTTTTTAAGGCATTTTGAACAAAAGCTGTAACTAATGTCATTATTCTTTAGAAGTGGTGTGACAGGGAGGATCCTTTTGTTTACCAAACCTAGTTTCCTTTGTCTCCTGAGCATAGAGGTAGATTCCATTTCCTGGGCTTTCCTGAGGTTTACTGAAACTTTCTAATGAATCTGGCCAATGAAATATGGAAAGAAATAATGTTCCCCACTTCCAGGTCTGGCTTCTAATAAAACCTCTCATGGCATTTTCCTTGCTCTCACTCTTCCCTTGTCTGCCAACCAGATGCAGAAGATCCAGTGGGCAATTTCATTTCATAATCTTGATTGGCACCCACACCCTTGCCCCAACTTCTGACTCTTTGGACTGTACCATAAAAAGGAAATAAACCTTTACTATATTAAAGCACTGACATTTTGGGGTCTGGTGGTCTGTTAATAGATAAATGATTAAAGAAAGCAGTTATAAAAGAGAATCATTTGATAAACAGTTCAAATATATAAATTTAAATTGTGATGTGCAGGGTTAAAAAGCCTCAAGAAATCTTTTCAGAATGAATTTAATTTGAGAGATAAAAGAAAAGAAGGAAGGAAGAAAAGGAGAAAGGGAAAGAAGGAGAGAGGGAGGAGAGAAAAGTGGAAAGGAGAAAGGAAAAAGTCAAGAAGGTATGAAAGAAAGAAGTGCAAGAGAAAAAGGAAAGACATGAAAAGCCATTTTAAACTAACAATAAACATGCACTGTCATGAAAGAAACACTTTACTGTGGAGAAAGTCATTGTCTTCTGGTGGAGTAGGCTTAAAATGAGGAAAATGAAAAAGACGTTAAGTTCTACTTAGCCCCTAGCTTAAGAGACGGGGGGAAGAGGGAATGTTAACTGTGTCATTCCCCTGTTTCTTGTGTTTGTTTCCTCTTTTTGTATCCAATAGCTGAGATTTTCTTGTCACAAAGCACCTTACGACTTTCTATTGTGATTGGGAAATAAGTAGGAAACCTTGGGCTGCTCAAGATTTATGAAATCTCTGTGTTGCTGTAAAGACTTGCTCAGGGCAGCTAAGCAATTAGGTTCATCAAATACCTCATCTTAACAGTATTAACTTGAAATTATAAACCAAATTTACATACCTTAATTTGATAACATGAGATTTGATAAATCGACCGCCTACAGAAGAATGTCGAAATATCCTAGACATCTGATTTTTAAAAAATAAGTATTAGTCTTCAGAACTTAAAAGTAAAATAAAAAAATAATTTTTTAAAAGAAGTATTAGTCTTAAGAAAAGTGTTATTCCTTGTCTTATCTAGAGACTTGGGCAAAAAAATAAAAATAAAAAAGATTTTCAGCTTATTCCCAGTCATGTTAATGGGTACACTGACAGTTGTAAGACTAAACCTGGGGTCTAATCTTTGTGGAACCAAATAACCACAACAAAATTGTTCAACTTTGCTAAGCCTCTGTAAAATGGGATAACAACAATATCTGCCTTATACAGTTGATTTGAGAATTAAGTGAAATTATGTCACATATTTTACACCTTGTCTGGTATCTACTAAGCTATTGATGATAGTTTTAAATACTGTCAAGTAAATTAAAAGTACATGCTATTTTTTAAGACAGCATCCCTATTTCTAAGAAAGCTTACCTTGTTTGCTGCACTCATCCCAAATATGGCATCTCATCCAGTATTGATAGAATTTGTTGATTTCTTAAATGATTATGTCATCACTAGACCATTTGACATGACTTGAAATGACTTCTGCCATGTGACTCTGACACCCTCACTTGTTAGTCATCTCTATGAGAGACAGGATTTCACAACTGGTACTATGCTTGGGAATAAGTTTCACCACACTCTTATACCATCAGCATTTCATTACTTAGCTTTCCCAGTCTAAGCCATTGGAAATTTTTCAGTATTCAGGAAACTGATTTCATAAAGGGTTCTGATTCCAGCTGGCTATTGAGGCACTGCCTTTTTGTCAAAAAAGCACTGGGCTAGCAGGGTGCAGTGGCTCACGCCTGTAATCCAAGCACTTTGGGAGGCCAAGGTGGATAGATTGCTTTAGCCCAGGAGTTCCAGATGAGCCTGGGCAACATGGCAAACTCCATTTCTACCAAAAATACAAAAATCAGCCAGAGTCATAATCTGGTCTCAAAATAAATAATAAATAGATTAAAAAATTTTTTTAAAAAGCACTGGGCTGAGAGTTATCAGTCGGAATAACAGGTCAATGTAAGTTTACATAAGATCTATTTCCATGGTAAATTTTGCCCCCAATTTCTACATCCTGTCAGAGTAGGGAAAGTCTCCCTCCCCACAAGATTCCTTCCTCTCCCTGACTCTTCTAATGTAGTAATAATGCCCAGTAGACTTTACCTCCTAAATGTTAAATCCACTTTCCTTGATTCAATCTCATTGCTATGGTCTCAAATCAGCTCCTTAGAAACTTGTATTTGGGCCTTTGCAGCAGCCTCCTCATGGCATGTTGATGTGGTTCTACCCTATCTTCTGTCCCCTCAGTTGTTCCCTCCGAATACTGCAACCAGGATGATATCTTTAAAATGCAAACCTGAGTATATTAGACCCTGCCTCAAGTTCAATATTTCCTTCAACACAATCTTACCCCTTCATTGGCCCCTACTTTGCCCCATCCCTACCTTCAAAGTCTCTCTCTCTGTCTGTCTCTCTCTCTCTCTTTCATTTTAAGGTGTTTATTTTGTAAAAGCTTGTATGGCAATATCCTAGACAGGACTTGAACAGGTACTTAATATATACTCAGTGACAAGATTAAGCACATTAAGAGAAATAAAAGAAAACTAGGTCACCAATAACAGTTTATAGGACAATGAACCATTTTCCTGGAAGAAGAAAGATATTCAACATAAGAAAGAATAGGCTGGGTGCGGTGGCTCACACCTGTAATCCCAGCACTCTGGGAGGCCAAGGCGGGTGGATCATGAGGTCAGGAGATCGAGACCATCCTGGCTAACAAGGTGACACCCCGTCTCTACTAAAAATACAAAAATTAGCTGGCCATGGTGGTAGGCGCCTGTAGTCCCAGCTACTCGGGAGGCTGAAGCAGAAGAATGGCCTGAACCTGGGAGGCGGAGCTTGCAGTGAGCCAAGATTAGGCCACTGCACTCCAGCCTGGGCAACAGAGTGAGACTCTGTCTCCAAAAAAAGAAAAAAAAAAAAGAATAAAGAACACTTACAGCAGGAAAAATCAAATTTACATACTTAGAAATTATGTTACAGTTAACAGACAAAAGTTTGCTTAAAGTTATACCTCCTTTCTTGATTTCCATTAAAATAACACAGTTTCTCAGAATAACCATGGAGACATCACCTTTCCACCCAGAGTTGAGAGTAAAACCACTGTCCAAATAACAAGGTCGCCTTCCATGCTTAATATAAGGCATATAATTACCATTTCTAGTTGAAGGCTGGTGATAATTTTTCTGCTTTAACTATAGTCATTGAAAACTGTTATTAAAATTCCTGCTAAAAGGATAGCAATAGCAACAGCTAAAGCTATTCCACAATAGAAAATCAACTGTCTCAATGTCAAAACATCCCCAACAGAGGGCACTGCATATTGGGTGTTTTCTTCCATTAGTTGTGTGATCTGGCACTCTGGTCTGACAATATCAGGCAAAATCACTCCATCGGTTACTTCTCTTTCTGGGATAGGTAGCTCTATTGGGGTAGCTATAGTCTCTTTGTACCCTTTTAGACTAGTTCAAACCTGTGCCTGCTCTGCAACTCTACTCTAGTTTATTCTCAAGATGTACACTAAAGAGAAAAGGTTTTGAAAGACACGCTCAATCCAGACCAGAGTCCTATTATCCCAAGTTTAGCAGCAAACATCAGAGATACTCCCATGGGAAAAGAAAAAAGGTTTTCCCATAACCAATGGCAGTCAAGATAGCACCAATCTTCCATTTTCCTGTGCCTCTCATGACTCCACCAAAGGTACCTGCAAGTGCATCAAATAGATGAAGACGAGCAAAAACAGGCATCACTTGGCTCACAAAGGGAAATAATATCGTTGTCAATGGTAAATACATAGGCAACCACACCCTTCAAAACAACAGTAAAACACTTGCTGCAAGTGTACACACACTGGCACACAGGAGAACAGTAAAGTGGGAACACCAAGCCTGCTCATGATTCCTTGTTCCCACAGCATTACCCACTCATACGCAGGCTGCCACACCAAAGCCAGGGGGCAACCATGTAGACTACAAAGGCCAGTTCACAGATGATGATGCCCTGAGCTTCCAGCTCTGTCACATTAATCAGTCCTGCAAGAAGGGTTCCAATTAAAACAGTCTGTCACTCAATATATACCATGAGCATACTGGGATAGCCAGCTGGATGTAGGAGCCCCACTCCTGGGAAAAGTCCCTAGTCCAACCTCCCCAAGTATTGATATGAATTTGTTTTTCCACCACATGTAGAGGAAAAGAAGTGCAGAAAGGAAGAACTGGGAAGTGATGTTGGCCCAGGCAGATTCTAACCCTCTAAGTTCCACAGTCTACAAGCAAGAGTGCATTAAGGCCCACATAGACTGCATTCTCTGTGATTCCAGTGATAACTTAAGGCAAGTTGATGCCCTGACTTTTGTAAATATCTCCTCTGCAGCCAGAACAGGAATGCTGCTGGAAGAGCAAGAATGAAAATCATCACATAAATTTGGGCCATCCTGGTGATGTCAGGATCCACTTAAGAGCAGGAAGATGCTGTCAGTATTGAGAAAGATGGCCCAGCAAGGAAAACAGCACAGCATCAAGATAAGGATTCCTCTTTGAAGTATGGTCCCCACACATTTTAGGTTCTTGCCTACAAAGGATTGGGACATTAGCTTGTCACAAGGGGAGGCTAATCCAGTTGTAACTGAAGTACCAGTACGATTCACAAGTGTAACACTACTCAACTTGACTGCCCAGATATCCACAGAATATGAGATGGATGATGCAAATAAGAAAGATCATCAACTGTGCAAGGAACACCAGGCTTTGAGCAAGGGCTGCCAGCTCCTGCAGCCTAGCACCTTAGGTAGTGGGCGGTGTGCCGGCAGACTCCACGCCATCCCAGATGGTAGCCAGGGCTCCATGCCATTGAGTGGAGAGGGTTCCGTGGCAGCCAGGATGAGCACGTTGGGAGATGGAAGACGGAAGCGGAGACAGGAGGCTGGGCTGACCTGCCCTGCCCTGCCCTGCCCACTAACAAACCCACTACAGGCACAGCCCTCCCAGGAAGCGGTGGATGGTCCCCTGGCCTTTGGCAACCCCCATCCCACCCTTACTCCCACCTGCTTAACTCTTTTGTAACCCCTCCCCTGATCCTGGTCCAGCTGGAGAGGGGCCAAAACCTCTTATCTACTGATTTAATTGCCTTTCCTAATCACAGTAGGCTGGTTCACACCTCTGTGACTGTGTACATTCATTTTCCTCTTCCTACAACTTTTTTCCCCCCTGGCAAATTTCTTCAATTACAACCTTACCTTACTTGAGAAACTCTAATGACAATTAAGTTAGCTCTAACTTGCCCTCCTCAAAGTTGAACACTCCTTTATTTGGGCCACCTTGTCATCTTGAATATGATTTTATTACATTAATAGCAATTATCACACTGGTTTACAATAGTGTCTCTCTCACTCTACACTATGAACTGTGGTAAGGCAGGGAGTGTGATTTATGTTTATATATCCAATGTTCCACACATTGTCTGGCCCACAGTAAACACACAAGCCATGTTTGACAAATAAATGAGTGAATGAATAACTGAATTAATGAATTAAGAATCAACAATATGGTAAAGGGAAGAAGATGGTAACACATTGTTTTATCTGCAAATTGTGTTGCCAAGTGAAAGTAGAAATCTGTGGTTATCTGCAGAAAGGTGGGACCCAGGAGGCCCCAGTAGTGACCTCACATATTTGGGTCATTCCTCAGGTTTGGATCAGTTCTGAGTCATGACACTTACAATTTCACTAAGCTTCTCTGAGCCCATTTTATTTCCATCACTCAGGGAACAGGGAGAAAAGGTGATTTTTGTATCTCTAGCACATCTGATTAATGTCCTTTGAAATTCTGAACTGTGTACATATGACACTTTGGGGAAGGATTAGGAGTCTTATTATATTAGAGTATAAGAAAATATCAAGATTCAATTCAAACTAAAATGTGATATTAACAAACCATAGTCCCCCAATGCATCAACCTCTATTTAAAAAATGGCATATTCTGGTATAGTACAATACTGGTGTGACCTTTACTAAAAGCTTACAAGTATTAATTCCATACTGCATGGCAGGCATTGGACTGATTCTTTTGTTTAAAACTCACACTACCTTAGGAGGAAAAGTATCATTCTCATCAGCTCCATTTGATAGATGAAGAAACTGAGACTCAGGATATATAATCTTGTCTAAGGTGGCACAGGAAGTGGTGGCTCTGTAATATGAACCCAGGGAAGCCATCTTTAGATCTTGTGTTAAGCGCATTAAGTGACTTTGACAACCTTGAATTAATTACATATTTGAAGCAGATGTTAAAGTTGGTGGGAGACAGGCAGGTAGGAAGGTCATGGTGAAAGAAACCCTTAAAGAAGCCCTCAAAGGCATCTTTTATTTCCTGAATATAAATCTCCTAAGAGATAATCTCTTCAGAGATTGTTTACTGCTTCTAAGTTTAACAGGGGTAGGGGAACTATTCCTCCTCAGATACCTAATGATTGTTATAACTAGTTTCTGGAAAGTTTAACTCATATTTACTTTTTTCTGTTGGAAACTCAGTAATATAATGCTTTTAATGTGATCCAAACTACAAAAACTAATTGTATCCTTTCCCTTTTTACAGTTCAAACCTAAGAATAGATCATTTTACTAGAGATTATTCTATATGAAACAAGATAGTGTGCTCATGGTAAAATGGGGGAAAAAACTTCACCCTAAAATCAGATACCAATTGTAGTCTTTGGTTTGAACTCCAGCATTAAAAAACAAAATAACATATTTGAAACAATACTTATGGCTCTAACTAATTAGCTTCATACCACCCAGGTACTGTTTTTGGCAAGTCTGAGCTCACATCTTTCCTTTGGTTGTGAACTAAATGCAGATTAAGTCCTCAAGGAAGATCAGTAGTTACTGTATGCCAGGTAGGGAATCCCTTTTGAGGTTCACCCATGAAAATAATCAGGCAGGTTATGCAAATTTCCTGTTACTGTCAAGGGAATATGTGCCAGCAGAGGGCAAAAACACCAACAAAACTGATTCTTTTCCTCTTTCCTCTCCAGGAAAGCTTCCTGCTGACTCAAAAGGATTTTTCTTCTTCTGAACTCCTATTATGGGAATGGATGAAATCACTTACAGAGCCACAGAAGGAAACAAAGCAAAGCCAGGATCATGAGTTGGATTATCTGGAGGCCTAGGCCAATGGGGAGTTATTGCTTGCAGTCACTGATCAAGCAAATAAACTTTTCCTTCTTTCTTATGAAATTTATTTAAGAAGCTGAAATTACTTAAATGATAATGAGTTGTGAGAAAAGAATTGTAGTAGATATTTGTTCTCTATCCAAATTGCACTGAGTGGGGAGGTGTACCCATACCCCAGCTTCGAGAATTGACTGATAACAGTTCACACCTGCACTTCTCCAGAGAATTGTCCTTGTCTGACCTGAGCACCTTGTTTAGTAATGTCTGGTAGGCTATGCTCCACCTTCCCTGGGCAGATCCACTGGTCTAAGACAAACAACCCAACCCTCTAATTTCTGGGAAGAATCACCTCCGTGATTAATCTAAGCTCCAGATCTCCCAGAGAAATCATGCTGAGGCTACATTTGTGAAACTACATTTTTATCTAGCTTCTTCCTTTGCCCTTTCCTGCTGTCCTCACTTCCTTATGAATTTTTTTCTGAAAGATCTTGATTAATAAATTATTTAATCAAGATCCCCCAGTCATAAGTTCTGTGTTTTGGAATATAACCTATACAAAAATAAATTAATTGGTACTAGATAATGCTCCGCTATGCATCTATTTCAATGTCTATTCTTTGGAAGTTCTGTCATCACACATCCCCAAGTTTTAGATAAGGTTTTTAGCTAACAGCCAGGAAAAGATTCAATAAACTTAAAAGAAAAAGTGTTTTTAAATGTAATATTTTTTGTCTCTAAAGAAGTTTTTGTATTGCAAATGTTAATCTCTTAAAATAGAGGGGAACGAAGAATGAAAAAAGAAATATTTTTAAGATGTCCTTTTAAAACATAGTCCCTCAAGCTAGTTGTTGTAGTTTTAGAATATAAAGAGCCCAGTAAAGATGGTTTCAGTGAGAAGCTATTATTAAGAAATGAGACTAGAAAGTTTTGGAGTCAATATCTGTAGCCTTTTGATACTGAAAATTCTGCATAGTGGATGGGAGTCATGAGAATTTTCCAGTCTTTATTTTGGAAATCTCTTACCTATCCAACTATAATAACTGTCATGTCATTTATAGTATTATCTTTTTGGATTGTCCTGAGCATTCAGTTCCAAAGTGAAGTCAATGTATCATAGAACATATGGAAAAATTCCAGAACTCATGTTTATATTTATTTTTATCTAAACAAACAATTTTTTACAGCATTGGCTTTGAGGTGTGGAATCTTAGCAGAAGTACATTAATTACTGGATGCTCCCAAGGGGAAAATGGAGACCAGTCTGTTAGAAAGATTGCTTGTCCTAGGATATGTACTTGATAAAGTATTCCTGCATTCCATTTAGTTAAGTAGTGATACTTCACACATTAATTTTAAGTAATTAATATTAATTTAATCACACGAGCAAGTCTCAGTATGTAAACAATTAGTATCTTGTTTTAATTACCAGACTAGTCATTTTTTTTAACTTTGGCAAAAACGATGGAGTACTGTCAAAATATAAATCCAGTTTTTAAACAAAACAGTTCCACACAAACTCTACCACACGTATGGCTTTCATATGGCTTTTGGGCATAGAAAGATGGTAGAGACAGACAATCTTCAACATTTTTGCTGAAGAACCATGATTTAAAGTATTAATATATCATTAAAGTGGATATGTTTCACTCACCTCCTCTCTTTGCCACCAATGAAAAATAACTGAGAACTTGTTGGGGGAGTGGCAAGACGGCTGCCCAGATACAGCCAGAAAGGAACTTTCCCACTGAGAGAGACCAAAATATTGAGTAAGCCAACATACATCAAACAGATCTCTGGGAGAGAAAACACTCAGAGTTGATAGAGAGGCAATGCAGACACAGAGGCTGAAGATGAGGAAGCTGGCAACCCTATGTGGTCTTGCTGGATGTTAGGACTAGCTCCCGGCCCTGAATAGCAACTAGGGAAGGGGTGAATGAAGTGACTGTGAGGCAATTCACTCTTGCTGGGGATCTCTAGGATCATACCTACAAGAGATCCCACAACCCCCATAGATACTTGAATTGGCAGGGGGATCTGCCTCGAGAGTAGGCAGAGAGAGCTCCTGCCTGCATGGACCCCAGAGGGTTTTGCACGTGAGGCAGCTACAGCAAAACATGGCCACAGGAACCCATCCTCCAAGGCTCTCCCCCTTCCTCCAAATAGCTCTGACCTCTGCTGACCGCAGGGCCAGGAGAGAGCAGTGCTGCCTTTCTCATGAGACTAAGGTGTGTCTCTTCTGTACAGCTGGCTGTCCACCAGCCCCTCCCAAGGATGCTACCTGGCTGCTCCCACAAGAACATGCACACAGCAGAGCTTCCACTGCCCAGTATGAGTGCTTTACTGGTTTGCGAGCATATCTGCTCCCCAAGCAGAACCAGTCTCCAACCCCATGAGGCCAGAAGATAAAGCTGCAGGCTCAATCTCAACCCCGTTGGGTTAGAGCACATAGTTCAGGAGTGCCAAGCTGAGATCTGTGGCTGGTGCTGCAGCAGGGGAAGAGCCCCCACTCTCAGAACACTGAGAAGAGTGAGACATGGATTGATGGGCTGGTACAGAAGCTGGTGTGCCTCCCTCTACAGGGATAATCCAGAAAGAGTGTGGCCTGTCTGACAGCCACTGCCTCTGCCCAAAGAAGCACCACAGCTCTGGACACCTAACAGCCCAGTGATCTGGGTACAGAAGGCTTGGGACAAAACCAGCTGGTTGGGCCAGATACTCAGGAAGCAAACAGAAGGAAACTTGGGTGAGGGAGAACAAGCTGGGCAGGCCCCACAGCTATCTGATGGGCAAAAAAACTGTGAGCCACGAGCACCACATAAGCTGCATACCCATGACAACACCACCCTGCCCAGAGACCCCTCACCCTTGACAGTAGGTCAAAGCATCAACAGACCACCTTCAGATATACCCCACAACCTGCTCTGACTCCATTAAGCTTCCACAACATTGCAGGTCTCTTGGCAACCTAATCTTTAGCTTGGACTGTCACTAGTAGAGGCAGAAAGCCTACCTGGGCACCCCTTGAGGCTAAAGAAATGAGGGCATGGTGCCAGTGATTAAAGGGGGCCCCCTAAGGCACAGGGATGGACCTGGTAAGAGCATCATCTCTCTTCAACGCCACAACCACAGAGCACTGTTGCAAACACACTGAAATACACAAGAGCAGGGCAGCTAACAGCCTATCTGCCAGTCATTACTCTTAAGCACCATCTACTGGATCACAGTCTTAATTATAACACCAACAAAATTCTTCCAAAACACATGCTTATGAAACCCATGCAAGAATCTAGCCACAAATAAAAACCAGTACAGAACTTTGGCCCTCTGAAAGCACCAAGAAATGAAGACAACAGACTATACTCAACTTATACAACAGCCAAAATGTCAAGGGAAATAAATAATAATAATAAAAAAAGCCCCATTCAAACGACAGCAAATTCAAAAAGATAAAGGAACATGAGACCTCTCATATGAAAAAGAATAGGTGCAAGAACTCTGGCAATTCAAAAAGTCAGACTGTCTCCTTGCCTGCAAACAATCACCCTACCTCCCCAGCAATGTTTCTTAACCAGACTGAAAAGACTGAAACTACAGATATAGAATGTAGAATCCGGATAGCAAGGATACTCATTGAGATGCAGGAGAAAGTTGAAATCCAATCCAATGAGTCCAGTAATATGATCCAAGAGGTGAAAGATGACATAGCCACTTTAAGAAAGGACTAAACTAAACTCCTAAAATTGAAAAATTTACTACAGGAATTTTATAATACAGTTGGAACAACAGAATAGACCAAGCTGAGGAAAGAATCTCAGAGCTCGAAGACCAGTTCTTTGAATCAACTTAGGCAAAAATAAAGAAAAAAGAAATTTTAAAAAAGAACGAAACCTCCAAGAAACATGAGATTATGTAAAGAGACCAAACCTATGATCCACTGGCATTCCAGATATACAAGAAGAGAGAGGAACAACTTGCAAAACATATTTAAGCATAGGATCCACAAAAATCTCCCCAATCTCACTAGAGAAGTTGACATGCAAATTCAAGAAATGCAAAGAACTCCTACAAGAGGCAATATAAGACAACAATCCTCAAGGCATACAGTCGTCAGATTCACCAAGGTCGCTGCAAAAGAAAAAAAAATCTTAAAGTTAGCTACAGAGACGGGTCAGGTCACTTATAAGTGGAACCTAATCAGGCCATCTCAGCAGAAACCTTATAAGCCAGAAGAGGCTGGGGACATATTTTCAGCATCCTTAAAGAAAAGAAATTCCTACCAAGAACTTCATTCCCTGCCAAACTAAGCTTCATAAGTAAAGGAGAAATAAAATCATTTTCAGATATGCAAAAGCTAAGAGAATTCGTTACCACTATCGGCCTTACAAGAGGTCCTTAAGAGAATGCTAAATGTCAAAATGAAGGAACAATACCAGCTACCACAGAAACACATTTATTTATTTATTTATTTTTTTATGTTCTTTTTTTTTATTATACTTTAAGTTTTAGGGTACATGTGCACATTGTGCAGGTTAGTTACATATGTATACATGTGCCATGCTGGTGCGCTGCACCCACTAACTCGTCATCTAGCATTAGGTATATCTCCCAATGCTATCCCTCCCCCCTCCCCCCACCCCACCACAGTCCCCAGAGTGTGATATTCCCCTTCCTGTGTCCATGTGATCTCATCGTTCAATTCCCACCTATGAGTGAGAATATGCGGTGTTTGGTTTTTTGTTCTTGCGATAGTTTACTGAGAATGATGATTTCCAATTTCATCCATGTCCCTACAAAGGACATGAACTCATCATTTTTTATGGCTGCATAGTATTCCATGGTGTATATGTGCCACATTTTCTTAATCCAGTCTATCATTGTTGGACATTTGGATTGGTTCCAAGTCTTTGCTATTGTGAATAATGCCGCAATAAACATACGTGTGCATGTGTCTTTATAGCAGCATGATTTATAGTCATTTGGGTATATACCCAGTAATGGGATGGCTGGGTCAAATGGTATCTCTAGTTCTAGATCCCTGAGGAATCGCCACACTGACTTCCACAATGGTTGAACTAGTTTACAGTCCCACCAACAGTGTAAAAGTGTTCCTATTTCTCCACATCCTCTCCAGCACCTGTTGTTTCCTGACTTTGTAATGATTGCCATTCTAACTGGTGTGAGATGGTATCTCATAGTGGTTTTGATTTGCATTTAAACACATTTAAGTACGTAGCCCACAGACATCATAAAGCCACTATACAATCATCTACAAAACAATCAGCTAACATGACAGGAACAAAATATCATATATCAACACTAACTTAAATGTCAATGGTCTAAATGTCCCATTTAAAAGGCATACAGTGGCAAGTTGGATAAAAACACAAGATTCTACAATCTGCTGCCTTCAAAAGAACCATCTCACATGTAATGACACCCATAGGCTCAAAGTAAAGGGTTGGAGAAAGATCCGTCATGCAAACAGAAAACAAAAAGCAGCAAGAACGGTAAAGAAGGAAAAACAAGGCCATTACATAATGATAAAAGGATCAATTCAACAAGAAGACTCAGCCATCCAAAATATATATGCACCCAACATTGGAGCACTCAGATTCATAAAACAAGTTCTTCTAGACCTATGAAGACTTGGACAGCTACACAATTATGGTGGGAAACATCAACAGTCCCACTGATAACATTACACAGATCATTGAGGCACAAAACTAACACAGAAATTGTGGACAAAAACTTGACACTTGACCAACTGGACCTAACAAACACCTACAGAATACTACACCCAACAACCATAGAATATATATTTGTCTCATCTGCATGTGGAATATACTACAAGATAAATCAAGTATTTGCCCATAAAGCAAGCCTGAATAAATTAAAAAAAAATCACAGCAAGCACACTCTCATACCACAGTGCAATAACAATAGAAATCATTACCAAGAAGATATCTCAAAACCACACAACTACATGGAAATTAAGTAACTTGCTCCTGAATTACCTTTGGGTAAACAACAAATTTAAGGCAAAAATCAAATATTTCTTTGAAATTAGGGACAGTAAAGGCACAAGACATCAACATCTTTGGGGTGCAGCTAAAGCAGTGTTAAGAGGAACGTCTATAGCACTAAACAAATACACCAATAAGTTAGAAAGATCTAAAATTAGCAATCTAACAATGCACATAGAGAAACTAGAAAAACAACAACAAACCAACACCAAAGCTAGCAAAATAAAAGACAATTAAAATCAGAGCAGAACAAAACTAAATTGAGACACAAAAATCTGTTAAAAAAAGATCAACAAAACCAAATTTTTGGTTTATTGAAAGAATAAACAAGACTGATAGCTACCTAAATTAGAAAAAGAGAGAGACAATCCGTATAAATACAATCAGAAATGACAAAGTTGACATTACAACCAATCCCACAGAAATACAATCCCACAGAAATACTCAGTCTATTATGAACACCCCTATGCATGTAAATTAGAAAACCCAGAGGAAATAGATAAATTATTGGTAACATATAACCTCCATGAATGAACCAAGTAGAAATTGAAAACCTGAACAGACCAATAATGAGTTCTGAAACTAAATCAGTAACAAAAAACCTACAAACAAACAAAATCCCTGGACCAGATGAATTCACAGCCAAATTCTACCAGACATACACAGAAAAATGGGTACCAATCCTACTGAAATTATTCCCAAAAAATCAGGAAGAAAGCAGTCCTCCCTAATTCATTCAACAAAGCTAGCATCATCCTGATACCAAAATTTGACAAAGATACGTGAAAAAAGAAAATATCAGGCCAATACTCCTTATAAACATAGATGCAAACATCCTCAACCAAATACCAGCAAACCAAATCTAGCTGCACGAAAAGTTAATTTGCCACAATCAAGTAGGCTTTATTCCTGGGATGCAAGTGGCTCAACATACATAAATCAATAAATGTGATTCACCATATGAACAGAATTAAAAACAGAATGATCATCCCAATAGATGCAGAAAAAGCTTTTGATAAAATCCAACATCCCTTCATGATAAAAACCCTCAATAAACTAGGCATTGAAGGAACATATGTCAAAATAATAAGAGCTATCTATGACAAACCCACAGCCAACATCACACTGAATGGGCAAAAGCTGGAACCATTCCCCTTGAGAACTGGTACAAAACAAGGATGCCACTCTCTCCACTCCTATTCAACATAGTACTAGAAGTCCTACACAGAGTAATGAGGCAAGAGAAAAAAGTAAAAGGCATCCAAATAGAAAAAGAAGTAGTTAAATAATCTATCTTCACAAATGATACAATTCTATGTATAGAAACAAAGACTTCACAAAAAAAGCTCCCAGAATCGATAAACTTCATTAAAGTTTCAGGATACAAAAAATCAACATAAAACAATTAGTAGCATTTTATTTATTTATTTATTTATTTATTTATTTATTATTATACTTTAAGTTTTAGGGTACATATGCACAATGTGCAGGTTAGTTACATATGTATACATGTGCCATGCTGGTGTGCTGCACCCACTAACTCATCATCTAGCATTAGGTATATCTCCCAGTGCTATCCCTCCCCCCTCCCCCCACCCCACAACAGTCCTCAGAGTGTGATGTTCCCCTTCCTGTGTCCATGTGTTCTCATTGTTCAGTTCCCACCTATGAGTGAGAATATGTGGTGTTTGGTTTTTTGTTCTTGCGATAGTTTACTGAGAATGATGATTTCCAATTTCATCCATGTCCCTACAAAGGACATGAACTCAGCATTTCTTATGGCTGCTTAGTATTCCATGGTGTATATAGACTGGCAGATTGGATAAAGAGTCAAGACCCATCAGTGTGATGTATTCAGGAAACCCATCTCATGTGCAGAGACACACATAGGCACAAAATAAAAGGATGGAGGAAGATCTACCAAGCAAATGGAAAACAAAAAAAGGCAGGGTTTGCAATCCTAGTCTCTGATAAAACAGACTTTAAACCAACAAAGATCAAAAGAGACAAAGAAGGCCATTACATAATGGTAAAGGGATCAATTCAACAAGAGGAGCTAACTATCCTAAATATATATGCACCCAATACAGGAGCACCCAGATTCATAAAGCAAGTCCTGAGTGACCTACAAAGAGACTTAGACTCCCACACATTAATAATGGGAGACTTTAACACCCCACTGTCAACATTAGACAGATCAACGAGACAGAAAGTCAACAAGGATACCCAGGAATTGAACTCAGCTCTGCACCAAGCGGACCTAACAGACATCTACAGAACTCTCCATCCCAAATCAACAGAATATACATTTTTTTCAGCACCACACCACACCTATTCCAAAATTGACCACATACTTGGAAGTAAAGCTCTCCTCAGGAAATGTAAAATAACAGAAATTATAACAAACTATCTCTCAGCCCACAGTGCAATCAAACTAGAACTCGGGATTAAAATTAGTAGCATTTTAAAACACCAATAATGTTCAAGCTGACAGCAATATCAAGATGCAATCCCATTTACAATAGCCACAAAAAGAATAAAATACCTAGGAATATATCTAATCGAAGAGGTAAATGATCCCTACAAGGAGAACTACGAAACACTGCTGAAAGAAATCAGAGACAAAACAAACGTTGTCTCATGGACATGATCATGGATTGGAAGAATCAACACCATTAAGATGACCATACTGCCCAAAGCAGTTTAGAGATTTAACACTATTTCTATCAAAGTACCAAGATCACTTTTTACAGAATTAGAAAAAAAAAAACTATTCTGAAACTTACACGGAACCAAAAAAGGGTCCAAATCACCAAAGCAATCCTAAGCAAAAAGAAAAATGGCAGAGGCATCACATTACATGAACTTTTAGGGAAATGATTTTCGATTTAAAGTTGTGCATCCAAACTTTCAACTGAGTGAAATATAGAATACAGGATTTTTTCAGTATGAAATAATTCATAAATTTTACATCCCATGAACTTTTTCTTAGTAAAGGTACTTGAGGGCATATCTTACTATATCAATGAAAACAGGGATGCAAGAAGCAATGGATCTCACAAAAGGGTGCAGTCCTGTCCTGGTTAGGTTTACCTTTGTAAAGTGGACCTACAGCGCAACTAGTTGAAATTGAACAGGAAACATAAAGTTTTAGAAAAGAAGATTTAAAGAAATATCAAGACCTTGGAAATGTCTGATAATACAGTAAAATGGTAGAGGTGTTACACACACATGAAAGAGAGAGAAAATATATTCATACTTAATTCCAGGAACATTATTTGAATGGCATAAGAACTGTGGTAATAATTGTAAAAAACAAAAACGCTATTTGAATAGCCATGGAAATGGAAATGCTCTTATTGCTTTTCAACATTTAGAATCAACTTATGTAAATAACAGGATAAATTGTAAATATTTTCTCACATTGTGAATAATACAGAGAAAGGATAGTACAGTGAGGGAGAATGGGAATGCTAAAGTTCTCCTATTTTATTAAAGGAGATCAGTGTCTAAAGCTAATCATAAAGAATCATATTAACATAGTGCTCTATTTGGCCATTAATTCTTGGTTCTAGAATAACTCTTATAAGTTTAAAAGACTACAATCCAAGCTAATATACTGAATTTTGCTAAACAAATCTATGATCTCCATAGCCATGCTTTTCATGGGACAAAAAATGGAAGACTATTCTCTTTGCCTTTCTGCTATGACAGTTAAGGAGATGGCTCACCCAATATACTTAAAAAATTACAAATAACTTGATAAATACATAAGCTATTTAAAAAGCAAAATATGTAAGTCATAACTAGATCTAAGATTAATATCAAGAATTATAGCTATACCACGTCCTTTTATATAATCTTTTTAAGTGCTGTCAAAATAAACAAACCGGTAAGCTGATTGTGGCAACTCTATATTCTTATGTTAAAAAAGAATAAAGAAAATGAATCGAAAACGATAAAATCAAGAGTTAAAAATAGAGAAACATTTGTTTCAACCAACAATTTCTCAGGAGTTAGTTGCCTACTCTAATCTACTATATACATTTGATGGTGCACACAGTATACTGAATATTTTATACATATTAAGTAATTTAATCCTCACAACTGTATGACTTACATACTATAGTATCTCCATTATGCAAAAGAAGAAATTGAGACTAAGTTCCTATATAACACCCACATTCAAAGTGATGCAAAAGACACATTAATAAACATTTAAAATTTCTGTTGAGCTTACCATTCTTTCAATCTGATGACTCCTTTCTATAAACTCTCTTGAAGATCTTATGCCATAATTTTCTTTATATTTGATATTTGTGACTTTAAAAGAGGCAAGGTAATAGAAAGACTTATCATCTGAAAGGTAAAACAAACAAAAGTCTCATGGTTAAAGGTAATAAGTTGTTTTGTCCCCTACGTCTTGCCCACACCTGCTAAATAGGCTACAATAATGCAGTTTATTTCTACTTAGTGTAAAAATTCTTGAAGACACTTCTCAAATACTCTGTAATTTCACCACTGCTGCTGGTTAAAATAAAAAATTCTGATCCCAAAGTACTCATACATAACACTCCATTATAGATATTTATGCATATCAAAATATTCATAAAATTGGACATGCAACATACAGTGGAAAGATAATATCGAAAGCAATTGCTGAAAGTCATGTAAATGTCATCAGTTCCCTCAAAGAATTGCTAACAGGTATATCAGATATAAGCTGTATTATGAAGATACACTGAACAAGCTGTCAAATTTTTTTATGCTACTGCTAAGCTTACTTAAGTAGAAGTCCATATTTATTGTTTTCACCTTCTTTTTTTCCCATTCACTCCCTAATTCTCTGCAATCTGTTCCTAACACACCACTAAAGCTGTCTTTTTCAAGGACAACCATTGTAATGTCTTTCATGGTTTTGTTTGTTTGTTTTACTCCTTGATTTCCTTGTAGCCTTCATCATGTTCCCTGAAAACCTATCTTTGGTTTTATGAAGCCATCTTCTAGTTTTCTTCCACCTCCCTGGCCATACGTCGCAGTCACCTTGGTGAGCTCTTTATTTCCACCCTTCTCCTTGGCATTCAAAGATTCTATCTTTGACCTGGTCATATTAAGTACTTTTTGGTAATCTTAACTGGGATGGCCTTACCCACTAACTATTTATTGATGACTCCTAAATTCTTTATCTTTAGACCAAACCTTTGTCATGAGTTTCAATTCTACATCAACTGACTTCAGAAGACTGCTTATTGCACATTAAATAGGCACCTCTAATATATTTCCAAAGTGAAATAATCATTTACTCCCTTATTTACTTAAACCTGCTCCACTTCCTATATTTTCTATCTTTGTGAACAGCCCTAATATCCACATGGTCACCCAAGGCTTGGTTTCATCCTCATTTCCAATATCCAATTAATTTTTCAGTCTTTAAATCCTGTAACTATAACCCATTTAATCTCTAATCTCTCTCTCTCTCTCTCTCTCTCTCTCTCTCTCTCTATCTATCTATCTATCTTTTTGAGATGGAGTCTCACTCTGTTGCCCAGGCTGGAGTGCAGTGACACTATTCCAGCTCACTGCAACCTCCACCTCCTAGGTTCAAGTGATTCTCTTGACTCAGCTTCCTGAGTAGCTGGGATTACAGGGGGACGCCACTACACCCGACTAATTTTTGTATTTTTAGTAGAGAACAGTTTCACCATGTTGTCCAGGCTGGTCTCGAACTCCTGACCTCAAGTGATCCATGAGCCTAGGCCTCCCAAAGTGCTGGGATTACAGGTGTGAGCCACCGCACCTGGCCAGATCTCCAATCTCTTACTGCATTTTAAACATTCATTTTAAAACATTTTTTCAATGTTGAAAACATTTAAATATTCATTTAAATTTTTTTAAATGTTAAAAACAAACATTCATTTAAAAACATTTTTTAGATCATAAATGCTGTATCAGAAAATCTGGAATGACCAGAAAATTATATACAAGAGGATGAAAATCTGTAAGTGTAATATCTAGAAGTAATTGATGTTTTAATTGTGGTTGTTATTTATTCTGTTAAAATAATTGTTTTACTTGGCTGAGATAGCTTATCATCACAATTTTGTATCTTTTTGTTCCACTTACAAAATTGATTCTAAGCATTATCTTACTTCTTTAAAAAAATACATTTTGTTCATTCAAAATGAGATGTCAAGAAATATGAATCAGGGTGACATTTTACCACAACAGTTTACAATCTATTTGGCTGTTTTGCTGACAATTGTTATTTCTTTATTTTTACTGATGGATGCGTGGATGAATTAATCAATATTTACCAAGTTCCTAACAAACACTAAACTGTCTAATCAACTCTCACATATATTATCTTATTAAATTTAATGAATTCAAGCTATTTCTCAAGGCACATCTTGATAAGATTTCACAATTAAAGTTTTATTACAAAAAAAAGATTAAAATTAAGATTGATCCCAGAGTGACACAGCTATTCTATTCATTATCATATACATATCCCTATATTGTCTTTAAGAATTTCCATGTTAGGCAAAAGCATATTCTGGAATCTCGTAGAAGTAAAAGTGATTTTAATATATACTTTAAGTGCTTTTAAAAGTGCTAAAAATATAAGTTATATATGAAGCATAACTATATTAGTCACTATACTATAGCAATTATGTTAATGTTGAACTTTTGTCTTAATTAATAATACCTTTCCTTTATTGAATTGTCCTTATATGCAGAGAACATGATATTTGCCATTTATTGAATCTTTATTATATGCTCAGCTCATTTCACCAGTGAAGAAATTCAACATTAAATAAGGTTTTATAAAAGATCAATTAGGAAGCCATTGTAGAAATCGAATTTAATAATGGCAAATATTTGTGAGAAATTACTACATACCATGCACTGTGTGAAAACACAAATCTAATTTAATAATCACAACAATTTTCTGAAGTAAAAATAATAGTATACCCCTTTATATAAGAGTACTGAAGCTTAGTGAAGTAGAAAAGAAGTTTGCTGAAGATCACCTAAATGGTGCTGGGAAAACTGGCTAGCCATATGTAGAAAGCTGAAACTGGATCCCTTCCTTACACCTTATACAAAAATCAATTCAAGATGGATTAAAGACTTAAACATTAGACCTAAAACCATAAAAACCCTAGAAGAAAACCTAGCCATTATCATTCAGGACACAGGCATGGGCAAGGACTTCATGTCTAAAACACCAAAAGCAATGGCAATAAAAGCCAAAATTGACAAATGGGATCTAATTAAACTAAAGAGCTTCTGCACAGCAAAAGAAACTACCATCAGAGTGAACAGGCAACCTACAAAATGGGAGAAAATTTTTGCAACCTACTCGTCTGACAAAGGGCTAATATCCAGAATCTACAATGAACTCAAACAAATTTACAAGAAAAAAACAAACAACCCCATCAAAAAGTGGGCGAAGGACATGAACAGACACATCTCAAAAGAAGACATTTATGCAGCCAAAAAACACATGAAAAAATGCTCACCATCACTGGCCATCAGAGAACTGCAAATCAAAACCAAAATGAGATACCATCTCACACCAGTTAGAATGGCAATCATTAAAAAGTCAGGAAACAACAGGTGCTGGAGAGGATGTGGAGAAATAGGAACACTTTTACACTGTTGGTGGGACTGTAAACTAGTTCAACCATTGTGGAAGTCAGTGTGGCGATTCCTCAGGGATCTAGAACTAGAGATACCATTTGACCCAGCCATCCCATTACTGGGTATATACCCAAATGACTATAAATCATGCTGCTATAAAGACACATGCACACATATGTTTATTGCGGCATTATTCACAATAGCAAAGACTTGGAACCAACCCAAATGTCCAACAATGATAGACTGGATTAAGAAAATGTGGCACATATACACCATGGAATACTATGCAGCCATAAAAAATGATGAGTTCATGTCCTTTGTAGGGACATGGATGAAATTGGAAATCATCATTCTCAGTAAACTATCGCAAGAACAGAAAACCAGACACCGCATATTCTCACTCATAGGTGGGAATTGAACAATGAGAACACATGGACACAAGAAGGGGAACATCACACTCTGGGGACTGTTGTGGGGTGGGGGGAGGGGGGAGGGATAGCATTGGGAGATATACCTAAGGCTAGATGACCAGTTAGTGGGTGCAGCGCACCAGCATGGCACATGTATACATATGTAACTAACCTGCACATTGTGAACATGTACCCTAAAACTTAAAGTATAATAATAATAAATAAATAAATTTAAAAATAAATAAATAAATAAATAAATAAAATCAAGGTATGCTTGGCTCTTGGGATTTCATGGGAGAATAATATTTTGTGGGAAAATATAATCCCTACATTCCTGGAAGTGGATCCAGCCCTATAGAACAGGAAGACAAGTGATGCTATCTCAATGCAAATTTTACTCTTTAGGTTTTCAAGAAACCAAACTTCAAAAACAGCTTTAGATAATTGGGTTTCTGGATTTTGTTAAAACATAATTCTAAATAGTAAAATCTTTAAAATATTTCATGCAACTCTATAAAGCATTTTTTTTACCCCATAACAAGTGGTATAACAATTGATTCTTAAAAATCCTGAAAAATTTATCTGGGTCATGAAAATGCTTGTTGAAAATATAATTTACTATATAATTCCAGTAACTAAACAACAAAACCAACAAACACAAAAAATACTGAGACAACTGGCAAATTCAGTGTTTGAATTTTTTTAGTTAGTGTCATAATTCATGTGAATGGTAGTGAATGTTATTTTATTCATTAATCTCGAAAGAGCTTCACACAGTTATGAAGGCAGCATTTTATATATATATATACATCATCATAATACATAAAAATATATGTATATTATATGTATAACACATAATATGTATTATATATAAGATTTGTGTATACATATGTGTGTACAAAATTTTTCACTGGAAGAGGACATTTCTAATACATACAACTGACAATGAATATATATATCCAGAGAGAACTCTTTGAAATCAATAAGAAAAAACAGATGACTCAATACAAAATGGGAAAACGACTTAAAAAGGCACTTCACAATAGCAGAAAATCCAAATGAGCGACTGAGACATGGACAGATCCTCTACATCATTGTAGAACAGATAAATGCAAATTAAGATTATGAGGATAATGCTATATCCTACACCAAATTAGCAAATATAAAAAACTATGGCAACACTAAATGTTGGTGAGGATATGGAGCAATGGGAACTGAGATGCACTGCTGGTAGAAAACAGTTTGGTATTATCCATGATGATAAAAAAGCACATGCCCTGGCCAGAAGCGGTGGCTCATGCCTGTAATCCCAGCACTTTGGGAGGCCAAGTCGGGCAGATCACGAGGTCAGGAGTTAGAGATCAGCCTCACCAACATGGTGAAACCCCATCTCTACTAAAAACACAAAAATTATCTGGGCATGGTGGCGGGTGCCTGTAATCCCAGCTACTTGGGAGGCTGAGGCAGAAGAATTGCTTGAACCCGGGAGGCAGAGGTTGCAGTGAGCCAAGACTGTGCCATTGCACTACAGGCTAGGCAACAGAGCAAGATTCCATCTCAAAAAAAAAAAAAAAAAAAAAGCATATGTCCAATGACCCAGTGGTTCTGCATCTGCATAGTTCCTAGACAAACTCTTGGATGTGTGTACAAGATCTGTGTATAAAAATATTTACAGCAGTATTGCTTTAATGACTAAAACCTGGAACAACCCAAATGTCTATAAGTATTTGAATAGATAAGTAAATTATGGAATATTTAAGATAATGAATATCAGTCAATAATTTAAAAAAAAAACCAGACTAAAGCTGCCTTCAACAAGGCAGATGATGCTTGCAACAATGTTGAGTAGATGCAAGCCTCAAAAAAATACGTACAATGCTGTTATACTCATTTAATGTTCAAATACGATTTCGTTTTAAGACATTTTCTTTCTCTTTGAGGAAATAATCAATAAGAATCCAAATGGAAATCCTGAGGATAATAAGCACACATTAATCTAAAAGCCTTTTCATCATGTCAAGTAATAAATAGAGGCATGAATTCTATCAAGCATTTAATAGTCAATTAATAACACAGTAATTGTTTTTTAAAATGATACCCAAGTAGCATTGAAAAATTTTATGGAGTTGTAAAAATAAAACCTGAGAACGTTTAAACAATGTTTTACTGCGCAGCCTGTGGTTCTCCATGGCATATGTTCTTTTTCCCTTGTATATATCTGAAGATGTATTCCTGTGATCCCTGGCTGAAGGGCACTGATAAATCAACCATATTCAAAAGTCACTGATTTTATTAATTCTTATTTTAAAATTGCCCAGTTTTAAAAACAGTGGATAATTGGTCAGAATTATAATGCACTGAAAGCCGATCATTCATAATTACTGAAATCTTTAGAATAAAAATAACTCCATCAAATACACTTCCATCCTGGTGATGTGACTTTTACCACTATGTCTGCTGAAATCCTTATTTCTATTGTGATTATTTTACAATTATTGATAATTTTTACTCCACTGTCTTTCAGATCTATTCATGTACAATCTATAAAAGTAATATTTTAGAAATAACTTGTCCTCTGTTGTTTCCCTGGTTACTAGAATGTAATTTCCTTTACTGAATTCTTTCTGCTATAAAAATAGGTATGTTCCTTTTAAAAACTGCATCATCTTATATACCTCTATTTTATCCCATTCTACTTGTTTAACTTTTGTCATGGTCTACCTTCTCCTGTCTTTTCCTAAATGTCCATCTGCAGTCAGGCAACTTTTCAATTATCTGCAGTCAGGAAAGACTTGGAGATAGAACACTCAAATCCTTGGGTGTTAACCTCTGTATTAGTTGTCTATTGCTGCTATAACAAATTACTGTAGGTTTGGTGACTTAAAACAACACGAATTTATACTCTTACAGTTCTGGAGGTCATATATATCATATGTGAGTTTTACAAAGCTAAAATCAAAAAGTTGGCAGAGCTGGTTCCTTCTAGACGCTGTAAGGCGAGAATTTATTTTTTGCCTTTTTCTAGAGACTACCCTCATTCCTTTGCTGATGGTCCCATTTTACATCCTCCCATTCTCCTCTTGCTTTTGTTGTTCTTCCTCCTTTGACCTTCTTTCCTCCCTTTTATTAGGACCCTTGCAGTTATATTTAGGACCTATCCAAAATATCCAGGATAAAGTCCCATCTCAAAATTATTAGTTTAATGACATCTGGAAAGGCCTTTTTGCTACATAAGGTAACATTCACAGATTCTAACAATTAGGACATGGACATCTTGGCATGGGAATGGGGCATTATTCAGCCTATGACAACCTCTAAGATTTTTTTAATGGCTAAAATGCTTTTTTTGTCATTATTTTTACTATCCCTTCATTTTTTTTTCGTTTTTAAGCATTGGGAGTGAAGGGCATTTTAAAAACAAAACTATTTCATTACCTTCTAACCCAAAGAAAATACTAACAAAAGATAAAATTGTATAGAGTAACTTGGCTTATGCTTTCATTTTATGAGAGTCTAAGGAATGGCTATTAACAATCCCCCAATAATGAGGGTAGGAAGGTAAACTGGGCATGTTGGACAATATTTCATTTCTTCTTCGGATCTTTCAAATGTGGTTTATTGCTATGACTGATATGAGTGCCTAAAATTTTAAGTCTCAATCACCTGTGATTAAAAATGCAGAAATCGGCGGGGCATGGTGGCTGATGTCTATAATCCCAGCACTTTGGGAGGCTGGGTCGAGTGGATCACCTAAGGTCACAAGTTTGAGACCAGCCTGGCCAACATGGTGAAACCCCAACTCTACTAAAAATACAAAAATTAACCGAGTGTAGTGGCAGGTGCCTATAATCCTAGCTACTCAGGAGGCTGAGGCAGGAGAATTTCTTGAACCTGGGAAGTGGAGGTTGCAATGAGCCGGGATCGTGCGACTGCACTCCAGCCTGGGTGATAACTCAAGAATCTGTCTCAAAAAAAAAGAGGAAAATACAGAAACCAAAGACGAAGGTAAATGAATCTTAGTTGATTGTCATTTGGCTCAACTATGATACTGACTCTCCATTTTTGCATATATAATTAGGAAGTAATACTGAGCTTTTCCTTCTTCCCACAGTCATAAAAAAATCTGTTTTTTTCTTCAAAAATAATGCTTGATCTTTAGCCCTTTAAAGGTATTTTTCAGATAACTCTTCTTATATCCTGAGCTTTTCTTGAGGCAACTCATTAATATACTGATTCTGAAAAGAGTATACTAAACTCTCAGCACATTATGTAATTTGTCTTTATGCGAAAGATGATCTTTTCATTCTTCTTTCTCTTTTTTATGTATTTCTTTTAGATACGTCTATCAATGCCATGCTTATTACAAAGTTAACTGGGTGGAAATATGTAACACAGAGCTCAATACAGAAGCAAACTATAATTTAACATCAGTAAAAGACTGGTAATTAAAATGTTAATATCATGCAAATGTCACTTTTTATACAACAGAAAATTTCAAGATACGAAGTCATGGAGTACTTAGGCAATGGAACTGTGACCTGGATACTTACCCTCAACAACAAAATGAGTAACAATACCAATTGCAATTCCTATGATTGCTACAATTGCTAATGTGAAAAGAGCTAGCCGTACTGAGTCCCAAAATTGCTGCTTTCTTTGATATTCAGCTCGTGAGAATTCAGCTTCTGAAAATTCAACAGGTCTGTGATAACAGAAAGAAAATAGAGACAATAAAAATTCATTATAGTTCAACTTTATGTTTACTTACTATGTTCCTCTATGAAAATAGTTTATACTGCTAAATAACAGTGAGCAACTTAGACCTTGAAAAGAACAGTAGGTTTTAATTTGCATATCCTCCCCCGCAAAAACCCAATCACAGAGTGAGGTTTAGACAAAGTTCTGCTGATGTTGACATTCAAGTGAGGATATCTTCCCACGGCATTTTATCCGGCTTATTGGCAATTTAAAACTTTGGTAGTGAAACACAAAGACTGGCTTTTAGATTTTAATATAACTACTTTTAAAATAACCTTAACAATTTCTTAATGGCATGTTGTACAAGTAGCAACATTACTTTGGAAGACCTGATCATGGCTCTTTTCATTTACTAGCACCTCCCAGTGAAATAAAAAAATGGTGAATTGTACTTAGTAAGATTCCACCACTCATGAGCATCCTTCACTTACATTTGACTCACATGACCCCACTGGTGCATTACCTCCATTACTCAAAAATATCTTACATCATTTACCTTTTTCCAACTTGAAAGTTGCTATTTATTTACTTTATTGTCTAAATTCTCAAATAAGATTCAATATTGTGATATCTTTCAAGTGAAATTTTTCTGTAAATGACTTTATGCTTTTCTCTTTACTTAATCAATATTTATTGTGAACTTGTTTCATTAAATGAGATCATGAAAAAGTCCATAGAATAGGACCTACCACATCAAAATAATGTTTCAGAAACTGTTCTAGATCCCTAAATGTATACAGATTTTAAGATAAACTCTTTGTCTTTGGGATGCCCACACTTTAAAAGGGGAAACAGACATGGAAACAAGTAGTTATTATATAGTGTGAATTGTGCCAAAATAAATTTGTACAAGAAGAGGGAGCACTAAACTTTTTGAAGGGTTTTGTCAGGAGATTTTATTAAGAAAGTGACATGATTACAACTTTGAGGAATAAAAGCTCACCAGGTCAAAAAAAAAAAAAGGACAGAGAAAATAGCATGTGGGGCGTTGGGGGGAAGGGAGGAATGTGAAACAGGATTCATTACTAATAGGGGGTAAAAACATAAATAAAACATGACTTTTGTCCTCTAAGAATTTATTGTCTCAATATATGTTCAAGATTGCAAGTCTTTCACAAGACTGCAATTCTGGGAAGAGGATATGGTAGAGCTGGTGGACTGGGAGTCTCATAACCCAAAGTAAGCACCTGGAAATTTACTCTGGAGGAGGTGGAAAGCCAATAGAAAATTTTAATTAGATTGAAGAGTTTCGAAGATTTAGAAAAGTCACACAGATGTGAATGAGGATGGGGATTAAGGCAAGAGTGCAGACAGGTAGACCAGTTTAGAGGTCATATTGATGGTCCAGGAAGGAGACTGTGAGGACCTGAACTGAGGCTATGGAATGGGGTGGAGAGGAGGCGATGGATTTAGTTGTAGTTCTTGAACTTTGTTGAATGATTGATCAGCTGTGGGACAAGAAAAGGATTAATGGCCCACTTGTTTGGACGTCCAGGTAAATGACTGTGACTCCAGGCAAGATGAGGAATATTAAAGGAGAATAGTGTTTCCAATAAAGACATCAATATAGTTAATAAAGAGCAATTTGCTGTCCTTAGACTTGGGTCTGGGTCTGAACCAAATGAAAAGTATCTGTTTTACGGCCTTTCTCTTTGACTTATTTTATTTTAGTTGTGTCACTAATATCTGTTTATATGATTCTAATAAAGCAACTGTTAAGGTTAGAATTACATAACCTAGAAAAAAAATGAAAAAGTTACTATGTACTCATGTGAAACACCATTCCTCTCACCCATAATCGAAGTCTCTATTTCCAAAATCTATGGCAATAAGTAGTTTGAGTATGTAGCTTGTGAATATTATGGCTGCTGTAATTACTTTATTATTCCCATTCCTTTTCCCCCTTAGTTTTGTAGGTTTCATTACTATACTCTGATCCCTTCAAGAAGCACGAAATAACAAGAATCAAGTTTAATAAAATGTAAGGGGTTGATAGCCAAATATCACATTATGGTAGCACTGCATTGTTGTAAAGGGACTTTTTAAAAAATCATAGTCACATTTGATTTTAAAATAAGTTTCTTCTGCCTAGTGATTAGCTATTTTCAGTCTGATGTAACTGGAATGTTGCCTTCTGTCTAATGTGGAAGTTGAAATAAGTTTTACCAAATGCCCATTTATGTGTTTTGAAGTGTAGCTGGCAGGTACAGTATGCAGACACCAGCCAAGTGCAAAGGAAGTGAGGTTTACCCTAATTGTGGAAAAAAGGTCATAATAAAATAACAAAGTGTTCAGAAAATTGTTAAGAAATGTGTTGGTTAGGCTGTTGTGAAAAGCCTGTAATAAGCATAATAAATAAAACAAAATATATTAAGTGCATTCTTAATTATGCAAGAAACTTTGAGATTTTGACTATATTTTAGATATATTTGTTAGATGTATAAATGGTTTAAGCTTTGAAAAAGATTATTTAGATGACATTTAAATTCCCTAATGCCTTTAAAATTCCTATATGTTTCTCCTGATTTGTACATGACAATTTTTTGTTCATTTAAACCCGAATGAGTTGGATGCTAAATGGAACCTTTCAACAGCATTTTTTTAGAAAAATAAATTTTATTGTGCATATTTAAAGGATATAACATGATGTTAAGGAATACATATAGATAGTTCAGAGGTTTCTATAGTGAAACAAATTCACTTATCCTTTATCTCACCTAGTAACCATTTTTTGTTTGTTTTTGTGGCAACAGCAGCTAAAATCTACTCATTTAGCATGAATCCTACATAGAATACAATTTTATTACCTATAGTCCTCATGTTGTACATTAGATCTCCAGACTTTCCATCCTACATATCTGCTACTTTGTATCCTCTGGCTGACATCTCCCCATTTAATTGCCCCTATAACCACCATTTTGTTTGCATCTCTGTATTTTTTATTTTTTAAAAAATATTACACATCTAAGAGATAATGCAATATTTTTCTCTCTGTTTCTGGCTTATGTCACTTAGCTAATATCCTCCAGGCTCATCCACGCATGGCAAATGGCAGGATCTTGGTTTTTTGGGGGGCTCAGGAAAATTCCATTGTATATATTTACCACAACTTCCTTATCCATCTGTCAATGGACACTTAGGCTGTTTCCGTATCTCAGCTATTGTGAATAATGCAGCAATGAATATGGGAGTGCAGATATCTTTACCAGATGACGATTTCATTTCCTTTGAGTATAAGCCCAGAAGAGAGATTGCTGAGTCGTATGGTAGTTATATTTTTAATTTCTTTAGAAACCTCCATACTGTTTTTAAAAATGTCTGTACCAATCTACATTCTCAGCAACACTGTCCTAGGTTCCCTTTTCTCCATACCCTGGTCAACATTTGTTACCTTTTGACTTTTTGGTAATAGCCATCCTAAGGAGTGTGAGGTGGTATCTCATGTTAGTTTTAATTTACATTTTTTTGATGATTAATGATGTTGAGAACCTTTTCATATACTGTTGACCATTTTTATGTCTTCTTTAGAGAAATGTCTATTCAGGTCTTTTGCACATTTTTTAATCAGGTTATTTTTCCCCACTATTGGGTTGTATGAGTTGTTTATAAATTGCAGATATTAACCCTTTCTCAGACATACGGTTGCAAATATTTTTCCCAATCTGTGGGCTGCTTTTTCATTTTATCAATTGTTTCTTTTGCTGTGTAGAAGCTTTTAAGTTTGATGTTGTTCTGCTTATTTATTTTTGCTTTTGTGGGTTGAGCTTTTGGTGTGATACCCAAAAAATCACTGCCAAGGCCAATGTCCAGGAGCTTTTACCCTATGTTCTCTTCTGAAAGTTTTGTAGTTTCTGGTCTTCTATTTAGGTCTTTTATCCAATTTTGAGTTGTTTTTTTTTTTTTTGTAAGGTGTAAGGTAGGTTTTAATTGCATTCTTTTGCATGTGGAAATCTTGTTTAATTTACCATACCAGTACCATTTATTGGTACCAATACCACTTATTCAGAAACTATCCTTTCCTTATTGTGTCCTTGTGATGCCCTTGTCAAAAATTAGTTGACCACGGCCAGGCACAGTGGCTCATGCCTACAGTCCCAACACTTTGAAAGGCCAAAGTGGGTGGATCACTTCAGTCCAGGAGTTTCAGGCCAGCCTGGACAACATGGCAAAACTCTGTCTCTACAAAAAAAATACTTAAAAAAATAGTCAGTTGTGGTGGCACATGCCCGTAGTCCCAGATACTTAAGAGGCTGAGATGGGAAGATCACCTGAGCCCAGGAGGTCAAAGGAGCAGTGAGCTGTGATCATGCCCCTGCACTTCAGCTTGGGTGACAGAGTGAGACCCTGTCTCAAAAAAAAAAAAAAAAATTAGTTGACCATATGTGTTTGGATTAATTTCTAAGCTCTCTACTTTGTTTTACTGCCCTGTTAGTCTTTATGCCAGCATCACACTGTTTTGATTAACATAGCTTTGTAATACAATTTTAAATCAGAAAGTGTGATGCCTCAAACTTTTTCATTCTCAGAATTATTTTGGCTACTCAAGGTCTTTTATGGCTCCATACAAACTTTGGGAGAATTTTTTTCTATTTCTATGAAGAATGCCAATGAGATTTCGATAGGGATTGTGTTAGATCTATATATTTCTTTGGCTAGTATGGACATTTTAACAATAGTAATTCTGATTCAGAACATAGGATATCTTTCCATTTATTGGTATTGTCTTTATTTCTTTCGTATTTTGTAGTTTTGGCATACAGATCTTTCACTTCCTTGGTTAAATTTATCCTAGGTATATTACTTTTTAAATTTTTGATACTATTGGAAATAGAATTGTTTTCTTCATTTATTTTTCAATTAGGTTGTTATTTGTGTGTTGAAATAATACTGATTTCATATGTTGATTTTGTACCCCGCAACGTTATAAAATTCACTTATTAGTTCTAATAGTGTTTTGTGGCATCTTTGGGATTTATACATTTAAGATCATGTCAGAATAATTTTACTTCCTTTCTGATTTGGATACCATTTATTTCTTTTCCTTATATGACTGTTCTTGCCAGTAGTTCCAGTACTATGTTGAACAGAAGTGGCAAGAGTGGGCATTCTTGCTTTTTACAGATGTTGGTGGAAATGCATTCAGTTTTTCCCCACTGATTACGATATTGGTTGTAGGTTTTTCATAAATGGCATTTATTGGGTTGAGGAATTTCCTTTATGATGTGGTTTGGCTGTGTCCCCATCCAAATCTCATCTTGAATTGTAGTTCCCATTATCCCTACATGTCATAGGAGGGACCTGGTGGGAGGTAACTGAATCATGGGGGTGGTTACCTCCATGCTGTTCTCATGATAGTGAGTGAGTTCTTATGAGATCTAATGGCTTTATAAGATGCTTTTCCCTGCCTTCACGCTGTACTTCTCCCTGCCATTGCCATGCGAAGGACATGCTTGCTTCACCTTCTGCCATGATTATAAGTTTCCTGAGGGCTCCCCAGCCCTGCAGAACTGTGAGTCAATTACACCTCTTCCCCTTATAAATTACTCAGTCTCAGGTATTTCTTCATAGCAGTGTGAGAATGGACTAGTACACCTTCTATTCCAAAACTGTTGAGAATTTTTATCAAGAAATAATGTTGAACTTTGTCAGAGATATTTTCAATAAAGATAATCATGAGGCTTTTATCTATCATTCTACTAATGTGATGCATCACATTGATTGATGTATGTATGTTAAACCAGCCTTGCATGCCAGAGTTAAATCCCACTTGATCATGATGTATAATATTTTTGATGTGTTGCTGGACTCAGTATATTTTATTGAGCATTTTTGCATCAATGTTTATCTAAGAAATTTGCTTGTAGGTTTTTTTTTTTTCCTTGTGATGTCTTTGTCTTCTTAGGTATCAAGGTGATGCTGGCCTTGTAAAATGTGTTAGAAATCATTCCCTCTAGGTTTTTTTTTTTTTTTTTTTTTTTTTGCAAGAGTTTGGGAAGTATTGGTATCAATTCTTCTTTAAATATTTGGCAAAATTCAGCTGTGAAGCCATCTGGTCCTGGGCTTTTCTTTGTTGGAAATTAACAACCTTTTATCATACTTTGTATTGCATCTATTTTAAAAGATAAAATTGTGTTTGTTATTTAGTTCTTTTGAAGGTGGAAATGTTTGTTTTGCTGTATTTTCTTTCTTCATGTTAAAGTAAAATTGGAATAAAAATGAGAAATATACAACTCAAACCTACTCTTCCATGTAAGTAAACTTTTTAAAAGTTAAACAGAAAACGTCCGTATATCCTCTAAACTAGTGATGGGTTTTTATGATCAAAATAAATACAAGTTGACTGGGTTTAATTCTGGCTTTGCTACTATCAGCAAGCTAGTTAAATTCTGTACTTCGATCTCCTCATCTGTAAAATGAAGAATAAAAGTCTTTCATGGCTTTGTCAGACCCAAAATAATACAAATAATAAATACCAGTAAATAATTGGTGGATAGTCCTGTTTCTTTCAATCCCTAAAGCAAAGGGATTTGTTTTGTTCTGTTTTTGGTCTTTTCTTTAAATATAATTCTTCAGATGACCTGACAGTTTATAGTTAAGAATATTTCTGTATTTTCTCCAGAGTAATCTGTATAATTACTGTTAAAGTTACTCACTAATATTATTTTTGTTTAAAATGTATAAAAATAAATGTTTCTGAATTTCTTGCAAAATGAACAAAATGACGTCTAGAAGCATAAACATAAAGAATATAAACCTATCAGTATTTACTACCCAAATTCTCCATTTTAGCTGCTTTAAGATATTAACCACTCAGCAGAATTAAAATCTTGATCTATAGTCTGAAGGTAAAAAAACACAGAATATTTAAAATAAAACCGATACATCTGTTAAAAAACTTGTGGGATTATGCTTTATCCATTAATAATTCTATGTGGACACCAAATAAAATGACATTGTTGTGACATCACATTAATGTTGTAATGAGACATAAAATAACTATCATTATTATGTCCATATCATTAAAAAAATCTATTCAAATAAACAGAACACAGTACCTAAAGCCTTTTGGTAATTTAAATAGAAATAAAACTCGAATAGTCACAGTAATGGAGTACACATCAAAAGAGTCCAATTTAGTTCTGTGGATGGCAGTGGGATTCCCTTTGGGAGATCTCTTTCTATGGTAGGTCTATTGGCAATATTGGAAAGCATGAGTCAGAAACACTGGCAACGGGAGACAGATAGTAAAAAGCAGGGGCTACTTGTGTTGTTGCAGCATTTAAAATGATAGAGCCATCTAAGTCATGATGACACTGGTATTTTCATGAGGAGGCAAAATTTGCTTTGGACTCAATAAAAATTCCAAAGATAAGAAACACTAATCAGAGGATTGCAAAAAATGTCCTTGGATTTCTCAAAAGGCATATGAGGGGATATTCTATAAATGTCATTATGATAAGTGACTTCAGAAGCATCAAGAATTGGCAAAGTGGTGGGAAACTGCGGGGGGAGGGGTTACAACTATGAGTTAATACATCAAAATTAGCTTCCTATCAGCTAGAAATGACTGGTTTGACAAAACAGTCAATGAAGAAAGGTGAAATTGTGGAGTGTGGGCAGAAATTGCATAGCATCCTGCTCCTTTATTGGAATGTGTAATAGCTCTGTACATGGGGGAAAATATTAAATCTTATTTACATAATAGAATATAATGTAAAACATATAAGACATTTAAAGAAACTGGTTATAATAATTTCATGAGTTTTCTGAAATTTTCTTTGAAAACATTTTTTAGACCTTCGAGTTCTAGATTCAGTACAAGATCTATCTCTCTTTATAGCTGACTTTCAAAATCACTATTACCATCTTGGAAGCACTACTCTCATGCTATGGTATCAGCAAGGTCAGCTATACCTCTGATAGCAGTCACACAAGTAACAATACTAAACACTTAATTTCATTCATACAAATACAAGCAGCATTTCTGCAGTTTTCTTGTATTAGAATGGTCACATTTTCCACCTCAAGAAGACTTTATAGTTACTATGACTGCCAAGTATAGTATTAATAAAAATAAATTTCATTCATTCATTTAGTACATGTTCAGTTAGTACATGTTCATTGGACATCTACTATGTTCCAGACACTAATTTAGTTACTATGGATATGGCCGTACTAAGGATATAGACTGCCTTTATGTGTCCCAATGGAAAAGATAGTTTGTGCAATAAACAAATCTATACATAAATGTCAGGTATCAAGTAAGAGGACACAGAATAACCAGGGTACAGTGAGGGAGGTGGTAGGATTAAGGTGATCAGGGGAGATCACTCTGCAAAGGTGATATCTAAGTGGAGACATGAACAAGGTGAAAGATGGAGCCATGTAACTATCTGAGGGGAAAATGTTACAGCAAAGAAATAGTCATTACAAGGACCCTGAGGTAGGAGCAGACTTGGTGAATTTGCAGAAGAGCAGAAGGTCAGTGTGGCCAGTAGGCAGTGTGCAAGTGGAAGAGGGAAGATGATGGGGTCAGAGATCATTATAGACCACATCATAATCCAGCAGGCCACAATAAGAACCATTTTGGTCCCAGCACTTTGAGGGGCCAAGGCGGGCAGATCACGAGGTCAAGAGATCAAGACCATCCTGGCCAACATGGTGAAACCCCATCTCTACTAAAAATGGAAAAATTAGCTGGGTGTGGTAGCACTTGCCTGTAGTCCCAGCTACTTGGGAGGCTGAGGCAGGAGAATCGCTTGAACCCAGGAGGCAGAGGCTGCAGTGAGCTGAGATTGTGCCGCTGCACTCCAGCCTGGAGACAAAGTGAGACTCTGTCTCAAATTTAAAAAAAAGAACCACTTTGGAGTTTTGATCCCTGTGGATGGGACTGATCTTTTCAAAAGGATCACCCTGTGGATAATACACTGGATGGAGGGCAGCAGCGAAGATGTGAAAAGTGGAAGCAGCAAAACTGATTAGGGGACCCTTGCAATAGTTCAGGTCTGAGATGATGGCTACTTGAAGTAGGATGCTAGCAACGAGGAAATCAGAACATATAACTGGATTCAGAATATATTTTGAAGTTATAGCTGACAGAATTTGCTGATGAATTGGTTGTAGAAATGACAGAAAGAGAAGAGTTAAGGAGGATGCCAAGGTCTTTAGTTTGTGCAGAGAAAAATGATAATCCAGTGGATATGAAACATTTTGAAAGTAGTGACATCATTCTCAAATTAATGCTTATATGGAACTCTAGTGTATAACACAGACTTAAAGCAAAGATGTTCTGGGATGGAGAGGGTGTACAGAAGTCTGCCAGTATGCAATCTGCCCACTGGAAGGGACCCCTGAGACACATTTGCAAGAATTAACTGCTGAATTTCACACGGACTACAGTCGCTTCAGCAAAATCCTGAAGATCCTCCATAATGGAGCCCTGGGCAGCATGATGTGTCACCCAGCCCCTACTGATGTCTCTTGCATTCTGTTCTCCAGCCTTTACATGCCATGTACCCAATGAGCACACCTTCATTTTTCTAATGTCACCTCTATAAAATCTTTCCAATATATACAACTCCTGGGTAGGCTTTGACTTGTAAATAAGGAACCAGCATGCCATTTATTTGCTCTCTGTCCTCAGAAAAGATTATTGCTTCAGAAGAGGTAGAAAAGGCTGTGATGTAGAGAAGTTAGTCTTTGATAAAGGGACAGGCTTCCTCTGAGACTAGCTGTAGTACAAATGTATTTGTAAGTATGGGGGTAGGGATTTGAAGGATTCCTTTTTTATTTTACCCAGGACCTGACAGAATCACAGAATTTACAGTTAACTTACAATTAATCCACTTCAATCACCAATACTAACATCCACTTTATCAGAACACTACCATAATGTTGTCTAGCCTATTCTTAAAACCTTTCCTTCTAACTTCCTGAGAAAGCTCCCCTCACCTTTGCTTAGTCTGATGATGGTTTTTAGGCATGCATTCCCAAAGTTTGCATCTCCTACACTAACTATATTTTCTTAGGAACATTCAAAATGGATAAAATCCATATGTCACATCTAATACAGTCAACAAGTTCTAATTGAGCACCTACTATGTAACCTAACGCTATTCTAGGTGCTGGGTATTCTCTAGTGAACAAAAGAAGGTCCAGTACTCCAGTACCAGTACTGGAGTACCCGGCCGGTACTCCAGTAACAGAAATAAAATCACTTATACATTTACAGCTCCTCCCACTGTTTGGCCAAACCACAGGGTTAAATTCTCTTATTGCCTTGGTGAAAAATTAGGGTCATGCTGAGAAAGCATTTGCCACATATCTTTTATAAATTAAGAAATATGAATAGGAATTATACACCAGGTGGATATAACGATGAAAGTACAGATCCCTAAAAATTTTATAAGTCTGCTTCTTTCATTCAGAATTTAATGTTTAGCTTTGTTTTAAATCAACCACCTAAATAATGTGTCTCAAAATTTGAAATAAAGAGCCAATAGTTTATGTTGAATAAGTTTATATATTAGTTCAACTTAGTAACACAAAGGAAAGAAGGATGAGTTGGCCAAGGGTTTAAGTACAAAAGAGAAGTTATTTGTCAGGACTATATAAACATCCTTTAATAACATATGACCAGTATTATTCAGATCTTTATGATCATCCCACATGACCCTCCATTGGGTTTATTTCTGTGTTTGTTTTTAACATCATTAAAACAAGAAAACACTGGGCAATTAATTTGAAGTTGGTGAAGTGAATTCATGAGATAATTGATGACATCAAGATGAAGATTTAAATATTTGATTATACTTGGTACTAAAGAAATGTAAACAACAAAACATTAAATTAAATGCAGTACACTCTTCTATGTGCAGCATAAATATTTATGTGCTAATCAAGTATTCTCACAGCAGTAGCCTTGGGGGGAAATTCTTTTTATGTCTTACATATGTCTTAACATATTTGTATTCAACCTGAAGCATAGATACACATTAGATATTCCGTTTGGGCACAGTCCTCTCTACTTCTTGCCAAAAAGCCTTCATTTCTGGGAATACTTGTGGTTAATAACATCTTCTTAATGGCATGGGTTAACTAAGGTTAATGACCTTCCTTACTACACACATATACACACAGATACACAGAATGAGACTCACATGTTAATGGTGAGAAGCAGCAATGGAGAACAAATACAATATTCATTTTAAATGCTATTTTAGATGCACAAAGGAAACTGTGAACCTCAGCAAAATCCACAGACTCAGACCTCTTCCTCCCCAGTGTTTAGCCATGGATATGTGGCAGAGTAAAAGTAAATCACCAAAACTGGACTGTCTTTAATTATGATCTGCTCTATAGGCAATTAAAAGGCATAAAGTTTGTTTTGAGAGATTTAAGTTGAGAGATAGTATAACATACTAGTTAGAAGCCCAGATTCTGTAGTCCAGCTGTTCTATTTTAAGTTCCAACTCTGACATTTGTGAGCAGTATGATTGTAGGCAAGATACTGAACCTTTTTTACCTCAGTTTTTTCATCTGCAAAATGGGTATAACAGTATCTACTTGATATATTTCTTGCGAAAATAAAATGAGATAATATATTTAACATGTCAAAGTGCTATAAACATTATTGCTATTATTAAAATGCTATCTGCTTACTGATTTTTATTTTAAAACACTGAATGCCTAGGAATAATCAAATCCAAATGTCTTTGTTCCTCTTCAGTATGACCACTTTATTTTTGTTCTCACTTTAGTGAAATGTTTTTCTGCTTTCTTATTTAACTTTCTTGTCTTTAAAAATAAAATGGCTATAGCAGGAGTCCAATGATGGAAATGGACAGTACAACTCTTTAACCATTCTTCAAAACCATAGTACTAAGTCCTTTCAAAATAAACAAGGCCATCATAAATTTCAATCTCATTTTCTTTTATGCCTTATTTAGGCTGAAGTCCACCAATTAGAGACTGTTTTTATACAAATTCCATATGGCATTAAGCATGATGATGTAACATAACTAAATCTCAGTACTGTTCCCCCAAAACATAGGTATAGTCCCTTTTTTATATGACTTGTCTAGTCTACTTTTCCCAGTTGGAGCTTATACATCTGCTTTCACAATCTTCACCCATCTCAGTTTTATATTTCCAAAATGATTCTTTCTCATGCACTGAATCTCTTAATAAACATGGTCTTTCCAAAACTTTTGACTATTCCTACGGCAACTCAGACATCTTTGCCTACTGTATTAAAAACAAAATAAAACAAAACAAAAAAACATGAAACAGATGGCCCAATACTTGTAGACAGCAGCTGATTTTACCACTTACTAACTGTATATGCTCTCTATACCCTTCAGTTTCTTCATCTGAAAAATGGTGATAATGGCCCTAAATTTCTGGACTGTAGTGAGGTTTAGGGACAATATAAATTAAGTGCTTAGCACAATGTCTGACAGGTAATAGGCTATAAAAGGAAACTATTATAATTATTATTCTTCATCAACTTGAAACTATAATTATTTCAATGAAACTCCCCAAATGCCATCTTGAGGAGGAAATGAAATTTGTGTTATTTCTCCTTTGCAATATTTTTCTGCCAGCATGGTGGTGGACAGTTGATACATTTTACCTCAAATTTACCCAATTCTTTTTAGTAGTTATTTAATAGCCTCATTTAATGATTAGTTAAGGCTTAGAGAGACTAATTTAGGCAAGGTAAATTTGACAAGTATTGGAACCAAGATTTGGACTCAGAACTATGATTCCCAATTCTCAATTATTTCTGTACTCTATAAATCTTCCTTTGATATTTAACCCATAGATAACTAAAACCAATGATTTGGGTTAAGTTCTATCTCATTATGTACTTACTTAATTATCACAATGGAGTCTTAGCCTTTCTTCCTATTTCCACATTTCTCCGCAGCAATCCATCAGACACTCTGTAATTTGAGATATTTTGGAAAGCCTTTGATACTGTCTCTTCTGCTCAAATGTCTTCTTCTACCTACTGTCTACTGAATCAAGCACACACTCCATAGCATGAACTCATACCTTTTCAGTCAAGCATTTATTATTTTCATTGACGTTTCAAGTTCAGTGAGTCTAGCTTCCCTACTGAACTGTCTTTGAGCCTTTGAACATGCCCCCACACTTAACTGATCGTGCTCAAGCTGTGGGCCCCATCGGCACTGTTTTTTTCCTACTTCCCTACACTCAAATCCTATTCACCCTTCAAGATCCAGCTTAAATGTTACATCTCCATGGACCTTTTCTGAATCCCTAGTTAAAAGTGACATCATTTTATTAATGCCAAACCTATTTGGGGCTAATATTTTTATGTTATTTGTTGTGCTCTCTCTGCTAAGCTTATGTTCCCATGGTGCCCTATATTTTTCCAACCTTAAATTAATAATAAAAATATAATTTGATTGAGCCCAGGAGTTACAGTACAGCCTATGTAGTGAGACTCCTGCCTCTAAAAAATACTACTAATAATATATCAATAAATAATCAAATGTTATTATTTGTATTGATTCTAATATCATTTTTACCCAGCTAGACAGTAAACTCCACAGAGTATGAATAGTACCTATTTTGCTCATTGCCGTAACTCCAGTGTCTAGCACAGTACCTGAGCCTTAGTAGTGTTTAATAAACATTATTGAGTATGTAGACACTATAATCTACCTCATTTAATATTCTTTTATGCTAATAATTATACCTTCTCTTAGTTTATAATTTCCTAAAGGGCAGAATCTATAGCATTCTTCTCTATATCTCTTCCAGAGTTCCTAAATATGTGATTAAAAATATTAATAAATCTTCCCTCTACAAAATTTGCTCCATAGAAAGTAAAATTCTGAAATATTTATTTTTCTAATATTATACAAATATTGACCTAGTTGACATTTATAGAACACTCCACCCAACAACATAATACACATTCCCTTACACTGCATATGCAAAATTCATCAAAAAAGAGCACAATCTGTTTCATAAACATGACTCAACAAATTAAAACAAATTAAATCTTATAAAGTATGTTCTTTGATTATAGAGAAATTAAATCACACCATAAAGGGTGATTCTGGTGAGGTCTCAGAAATGAGAAACGTGTTATTGGACAATGGAGAAAAGGCTATTCTTGTAATAAAATGGCAAAGAATTTGGCTGAATTGTTTTTGTGTCCTAGTGTTCTGTGGAAGGTAGAACCTGAGTGACAAAATTGGATATTGGCCAGGGAAATATCTATGTGAATTGCTGAAGATATGGCTTGGCTTTTCTTGACGGCCTACTGTAAAATGAAAAATGTAAAAAAAAAAAAATGCAATATCCGTGAAGTGCAGTAAAGTGAATCACAACAAAAAGAAGTATGTCTGTATTAATATCACACAAAATCAACTTTAAATCAAGGGTTTTGCCAAGAACTAAAGAAAGATGATATGTCATTATAAAAGGGTCAATTCATCAACATAACAAATGTTAAAACGATCCGTAAATGTGTATGCAACTAACCACAGAGTTGCAAAGTACTCGAAGCAAATACTGTTATAATGAAGAGAAGTACACAAATCCACATTATAGTTTAAGACATCAACACTCTTCTCTCAGTAACTGATAAAGTAGACAAAAATTGATAAGCAAATAGTATCTATTAGCAATATTATCAACCATCTTGACCTAGTTGACATTTATAGAACACTCCACCCAACAACAGCATAATACACATTATCTTCCACTGCATATACAAAACTAATAAAAAAAGAGCACAATTTGGTTCATAAACACACCTCAACAAATTTAAAAAAATAAATCTTATAAAGTATGTTCTTCGATTTTAAAAGAATTGAACCACAAGTTAATAACAGAAAGATATCTGGAAAATCCCCAAATATTATAAAATTAAACAACAAGCTTCTAAATGACTTAGGAATTAAAAAGAAGTACAAAAAAACTTAAAAAATATTTTGTTTTAAATGAAAACATAAAAAATTTGGGAGATGCACACAAGGCAATGATTGGGGAAAATTTATAGATTTAAATTCTTAATTAGAAAATAAGAAAACAAGAAAACAATAATCAACCCTACCTTAAGACACTGGGAAAAAGCAGAGTAAATTAAACCAAATAAAAGCAGAAAAAAGGAAATAATAAAGAAACTGATGAAATTGAAAACAGTAGAAAAGTCAATAGAAACAAGTCAGTTCATTATAAAGATATATAGAATTATTTAGAAAAAAAGAAGGCACAAATTTGCAACACTAGGAATGAGGAGAAAGATATTACCATAGACCTATTAAACATAAAAGAATGATAAATAAATGCTATGAATAACATTATGCCAATAAATTTGCTCATGTAGATAAAATGGATAAATCTTTTTGAAATACAAAAACTTTCAAAGCTCATTCAGGAAGACACAGATGTCTGAATAGTACATACCTAAAAATAATAACATCAATTTAAACAGATTCTGCCAGAAAACAACAGATTCTGCCAGAAAATAGAAAAAAAGGAAATGCTTCCAATTTTTTTAATGAATCCAGCATATTCTGATAACAAAACCAAAGACATTATTTTTAAAAATCGGACAAGTTAGAGTTTCCCAAAGGGAACTGGAAAAAAAAAAATCAGATGAAAGCCCCTCTAAACAAGAAGTAAAAATCTTTAAAAAATGGAATTCAAGAGTGCCTAAAACCAATATTATATAAAAACAAGTGAGATTTATCTTAGAACTACAAAGTTAGTTCAAAATTTGAAAACCAATCAGTATAACTCATAGTATTTACAGACCAAAAAACAAAACAGAAACAAAAACACTCCTATGTGATCATCTCAATATATTCAGAGAAAGCATCTGAAAAAAACTTAACCTTAATTCATTATTTAAAAAAAAAAAAAAAAAAAAAAGAAGAAGAACAAGAAGAAAGCTTTCAACAAGCTAGGGATAGAAGAAAAGTTTCCCGGCCGGGCGCAGTGGCTCACGCCTGTAATCCCAGCACTTTGGGAGGCCGATGCGGGCAGATCATGAGGTCAGGAGATCGAGACCATCCTGGCTAATACGGTGAAACCTCGTCTTTACTAAAAAATACAAAAAAAGAAAAATTAGCTGGGTGTGATGGCGGGCGCCTGTAGTCCCAGCTACTCAGGAGGCTGAGGCAGGAGAATGGTGTGAACCCAGGAGGCGGAGCTGGCAGCAAGCCGAGATCGCACCACTGCACTCCAGCCTGGGCAACAGAGCAAGACACCATCTCAAAAAAAAAAAAAAAAAAAAAAAAAAGAAGAAGAAGAAAAGTTTCTCAAGCATATAAAGCTCTTCTAAGGAAATCCTATAGCTAATATATGCAATGGTGAGACTGAATGCTTTCTTTTGAAGCTCGGAATGGAGCAAGGATGTCTGCTCTTATCACTCCTATTTGTATTGGAAGTCTTAGCCACTGCAATAAAGCAAGAAAAAGAAATATAAAACACACAAGATGGCAAGGAATAAAGTGCTTTTATTAATATACTATAAAGAAAATCCTTGAGAATCTGCCATGAAAAGACTAATACGTAAGTTTACAAAAATCACAGAGTGAAAGGTCATACATAAAAATCAAACTATTTCCATATACAAGCATTTAACAAATAGGTACTGAAATTGTAAAAGCAGTAACATATACAATAGCACTGAAAACTATGAAATAATTATCTGTGAATCTAACAAAATTTGTAAAATATTTAAATGGAAAAAATTTTAAAGCATTTATGAAAAATCAAATAAAACCTTAAAAATTGAGAGAGATATATTATGCTTAATTAGAAAAGTTAATCTTGCTAATTTGACAATTCTTTCCAAGTTTAACTGTATATTTTCAGCAAGAATAAACTATCAATCACAAAATGTGAGTCCTTCAGCTTTTTATTGTTTTTCAAAATTATTTTGGCTTTTCTAGGTCATTTGCTTTTAAATATCAACTCTAGAATTGTTTCTTTCTTTCTCAAAAAAAAAACCCTTACAATTATAAAACTTAGAAAATACAGAAGAAAATATTTTTGACCTTGAAGTAGAAAATATTTCTTACCTTAAAGTAGAAAATATTTTGTAGATAGGAAATATACACGTATTAGAATGGCAACAGTTTTTGTTTTTTTCCCAAGGGAAAATAACTAGAATATTCATACATTGGTGTTGGGAATGCAAAATGGTACCTCCACTTTAGAAACTGGTTTGGCAGTTTGAAATGAAGTTAAACATTAAAAAATGCACAGATAAATGGAAGGACATTCCATGTTCATAGACTGAAAAGATGAATATTGTTAAAATGCCCATACTACCCAAAGCAATCTACAGGTTCAATGCAATCCTGTCAAAATCTCAATGGCATTTTTCACAGAAATAAAAAAAAAATCCTAAAATTCATCTGGACTCACACAAGACCCCAAAAAGGCAAAGCAATTTTGAGCAAGAACAACAATGCTAGAGGTACCACACTCCCTGATTTCATAGTATACTACAAAGCCATAGTAATCAAAACAATATGGCATTGGCATAAAATCAGACATATAGACCAATGCAACAGAAGAGAGAGCCCAGAAATAAACTCATGCATCTATGCCAACTGATATTTGACAAGGGTACCAAGAATACACAATGTATAAAAGATAGTGTCCTCAATAAAGAGTATTAGGGAAACTAAACATCCACATGCAGAAGAATAAAATTGGGCCCTATTTCACACCTTTCATAAAAATCAACTTGAAATGGATTGAAAATTTAAATATAAAACTGAAACATTAAAACTCTTAGAAGAAAACATAGGGACCAAGCTTCTAGATATTAGACTTGGCAATGATTTATTGGATATGACATGACACCAAAAGCAAAGGCAGCAAAAGCAAAAACAGACAAGGGGATTACATCAAACTAAAACGCTTCTGCACAGTCAAGGAATCAATTAACAAATTAAAAGGCGGTCTACCAAATGAGAGAAAATATTTGCAAGCCATGTATTTGATAAAAAGTTAATATCCAAAGTTTATAAGGAACTCCTACAACTCAATAGCAAAAGACCAAATAATCTAGTTTAAAAATGGACAAATTGGCCAGGCGCGGTGGCTCACGCTTGTAATCTCAGCACTTTGGGAGGCCGAGGGGGGCGGATCACGAGGTCAGGAGATCGAGACCATCCAGGCTAACACGGTGAAACCCCGTCTCTACTAAAAATACAGAAAATTAGCTGGGTGAGGTGGCAGGTGCCTGTAGTCCCAGCTGCTCGGGGGGCTGAGGCAGGAGAATGGAGTGAACCCTGGGTGGCAGAGCCTGCAGTAAGCCGAGATCCGGCCACCGCACTCCAGCCTGGGTGACAGAGCGAGACTCTGTCTCAAAAAAAAAAAAAAAAAAAAAAAAAAAATGGACAAATGACCTGAATAGACATTCCATCAAAGAAGACACACAAATGGACAACAGGTTTATGAGACGGTGAACAACATTCCTAATTATCAGGAAAATGCAAGTCAAAACAACAATGAGATATCACCTCACATCTGTTAGGATGGTTGTTAGGTTGAATAGAAAGTTGGGTGTCTCCACTGAGAAATCCTTTGGGCTAGGGTTGGCTCCAAGTTCTCAACTGTCAATTCACTGAATTATAAAAATAGCTATTAATTACCATTGATACTTCAGCAAAAACCCCTTAAAACACATTCCTACAAATATTTCACACCCAGGTAGTTAGTCTCAATCATGATACTTCCATCTCTGTGGCTAAGGGCTATTCAAAAATGGACATGCAGTCCAACTCTGGCCAGTGATATGTGAGAGATAGTTGGGAAATTGTTGAGAAATACTTCTTTTCTTCTAAAATAAGTCAAACTGAGAGATAACTCCTTATTGTTTTCTCTGAATATTGTTGTGTCCCAATGTGACACCTGAGACTGCTACAACTCTATGAGAAGCAAGCTGTAAGAGAAACTAACCTGAGGACAATGTGGACTCACAAAGAATACCAAAGTAGAAAGACAGAAATAACCAGGGTCTCATATCACACATTTGAGGGGCTGGATCAAATGCCACTGAGAACAGCCCAGCTTTTGATATTACTATTATATTAAATAATAATTTTTCATATTGTTAACACCAACCAGTGTGAGGCTGAAGTTTTAATTAATCACAATTGAAAACACCCAAATGAATACACATACTTAAACATTAATTCCCATAGCCTCAAGAATCTTCCAAAAATATGGAAGGCTTTTTATGTGAAACTTCAAGAAAGGTTTTAATTCAAACTGTATTATAACACAATTTTGGATAGTTCAAACAAGGACTTTTGTATTACACGTATACAAAAACATTTTTAAAAAAATACTATAACTCACCAAAGAGAGAAACTTCCTGTATATTTTATGCAATTTAAAGCACCCATTACATATGCTTGATATACTAATTACAATATATTTCTAGCAATTCTTTGATAACAGGTCTTTAGTCATAAGCTTGGTAAGTAATTCTGAGATTTCTTAATTCATTCATAAAATACTTATTGAAAATTTTTGCTGGCTGAAGGTGAAATGGTTAACCATACATACTCAAGGAGTTTATAGGCTAGGGGGAAATACAAATATTAAAAAATTTATATGTAAACAATTAACATAATAAAAAATGGTAACAAAAATGAAAGGTGCTCTTATATGTCTACAACAAGGAAATCTTATCTAGAGTAAGGGGTCAGGGAAGGTTCCTCTGAGAACATTTAAATGAAGACCTGAAGGATCATCTAATTAGGGTGAAAGCAAAAGAATGAGTTGCATGTCTCACATTTTAAATCAAAAGCTAGAAATAATTAAGCTTAATGAAAAAGTCATGTTGAAAGGTAAGACAGGCTGAAAGCTAGGCCTCTTGTACCAAACAGCCAAGTTATGCAAAGAAAAAGTTCTTTGAGTAAATTAAAAGTGTTATTCCAGTGAATAAACAAATGATAAGAAAGTAGAACAGATTTATTGCTGATACGGAGTAAGTTTTGTGGGCTGGATAGAAGATCAAACCAGCCACACACAACATGTGTTAAGGCCATAGCCTAATCCAAAGCAAGGCCCTAACTCTCTTTAATTCTTTTATTCTATAAAAGCTGAGAGAGGTGAGGAAGCTGCACAGAAAAATTCTGAAGCAAGCAGAAGTTAGTTCATGAGATTTAAGGAAAGAAACCATTTTCATAACATAAGAGTGCAAGGCAAAGCAGCAAGTGTTGATGTAGAAGCTTCAGCAAGTTATCCAGAAGATTACTTAAGATCCCTGATAAAGGTGGGTAAACTAAATAACAGATTTTCAATATAGGCAACTTTCATAGCTAGAGAGGACAAGTCAATGCCTAGCTTCAAATACTGGCTGACCCTCTTGTTAGGAGCTAATACAGTTGGTGACTTGAGGTTGAAGCCGATGCTCCTTTCCATTCCAAAAATTCTAGGGCCCTTAAGAATTATGCTAAATCCACTTTGCCTGTGCTCTATAGATAGAAGAACAAAGCCTGATGACAGCACATCTGTTTACAGCATGGTTTACCAAATATTTTAAGTCCACCGTTGAGACTTATTGCTCCAAAAAAAGAGATTCCTTTCAAAATATTACTGCTCATAGACAATGCATATCGGGTCACCCCAGAGCTCTGAAGGAGATCAATGTTGTTTTCAAGCCTGCTAATGGGAGTCTATTCTGCAGTCCACGGATCAAGGAGAAATTATGACTTTCAAGTACTGTTATTTAAGACATACATTGATAAGGCTATACCTCTCATAGTAGTAACTGAAAGCCTTCTGGAAAGGATTTACCATTCTAGATACCACTAAGAACATCTGTGATTTATGGAGGGAAGGTCAAAATATCAAAATTAACAGGAATTTGGAAGAAGTTGATTCCAACTCTCATGGATAATTTTGAGGGGTTCAAAACTTTAGTGGAGGAAGTAACTGCAGATGTAATGGAAAAAGCAAGATAACTAGATTTAGAAGTGGAACCTGAAGACATGACTCAAATGCTGCAATCTCATGATAAAACTTGAACAGATGAAGAGTTGCTTCTTATGGATCAAAAAAGAAAGTGGTTTTTTGAGATAGAAACTATTCCTGGTGAAATGTTTTCATATCAACACTGTTGATATGAAAAGAAAGGATTTGGAATAATACATATGCTTAGTTGATAAAGCAGTGGCAGAGTTTCAGAGGACTGACTCCAACTTTGAAAAAAGTTCTGCTCTGAGTAAAATGCTATCAAACAGCATCACATGCTACAGAGAAATCTTTTTTTTTTTTTTTTTTTTTTTTTTTTTTGAGACGGAGTCTCGCTCTGTCGCCCAGGCTGGAGTGCAGTGGCGGGATCTCGGCTCACTGCAAGCTCCGCCTCCCGGGTTCACGCCATTCTCCTGCCTCAGCCTCCCAAGTAGCTGGGACTACAGGCGCCCGCCACTACGCCCGGCTAATTTTTTGTATTTTTAGTAGAGACGGGGTTTCACCGTTTTAGCCGGGATGGTCTCGATCTCCTGACCTCGTGATCCGCCCGCCTCGGCCTCCCAAAGTGCTGGGATTACAGGCGTGAGCCACCGCGCCCGGCCGAGAAATCTTTATTGAAAGAGTCAATTTATGAAACAAGCTTCATTGTCTTATTTTAAGAAATTGTCACAGCACATCAGCTTTCAGCAATCACCACCATGATCAGTTAGCAGCCATGAATATTAAGGCAAGACCCTCACCAGCATAAAGATTATGACTCACTGAAGTTTCCAATGATTGTTAGCATTTTTTCATCAATAGAGTATTTTTCATTAAGGTATGTGCCTCTCTTAGATATGTTTTTGCACATTTAATAGACCACAGTATAGTGTAAACATAACTTTTACATGCACTGGGAAATATAAAAAATTTGTGGCACTCACTATTGTGATATTCACTTTATTGCAGTGGTCTGGAATAGAACCTGCAATATCTTCAGGGTGTGCATGTATTAAGTCTCACCTCCCCTTCTATATGACCCACCCAGTTGGCTGGATCCATACTTCTTAGGTCTATTCTTTTTTTAGTTCTATGAGATGTCTCAATGGCCTCTCAATTAATTCTGTTTTTTAAAACTCAAGTTCAATTGTTTCAACCAAAATAATTTTAACCACCCACATCTAACAGCCCATAAAATGTTTCTTAAGGAATCAAATTCTGTTACTTGTGACTGAGTATGCGAAAACACCTAAGGAGACAAAAACAGAATTAAAATAGTGACTGAAAAAGAATTCATAAAGTGTCCAGTACACTCTCTTCTGAAAAATATGTTATATTACTTGTAGATGTTGAATATTTTTGGTATGCTATTCCTAGAAATAATTCAATATTTTGTCTCCTATTCAAAGTTATATTAATTGTAATACATTTGAATTTATAATAAACACCAGTTCTATTTTATTTTATATATATATAACATGGAGGCTAAACAGAATGTGCTATGGTTGTGCAGTTTCTGACAAAATAAGTAACTAAATACATAAAAATAAATTTTAAAACACAGTTGTTTTCAATAAGCAGCCAATGTTCTTCACTTAGCTTCCTGTATGATTGATTTAAATATTTGTATTTCAGTGGTATTTTGCAATCCAGTTCAGGGGGAGGAGCTATGATGAAGATATAATTGTCCTAGAGAGATGTGATCAACAATGTTCACAGCTAATATAATCTGCATATTAAATAAACAAAATTAACATGTCCCAGAATCTGCCTGTCACATTTCTAAAGGGCCATGTGTGAAAGAGTTAATCGGTATGTTACAGTGCTGCATATGAAGACCTTTGAGAGCTTCTCATTCTTGGAATGCTCCCTTCTAATGCCAAGTGGCCTTATCATTGCCCAATCAACTCAAAAAACAACCCAAATGCTATTTCTTAAGATTTATAATTTTTAAATAACCACTTTTTTTATTTTTGAATATTTGAGTATGTATTAAGTGATTCATTAAGACCTAATTAATTGTTATAATAAAATCACCTAATTCTCAAGATGTTTAAAAAGATATACCATATAGTATAGGATAACATAGAATAATTACATTTTAACTGTTGAGCTTTAAAAGAAAAATACCTTACAAACTGTGTGTATAGTTAAAACAATGTAAGTATTAAACTTTGTGTAAAAATACCTAAAATTCTATTATTGAATTTCATATTCTGATAGACCCTACTTTTATTTTGATAAGTGGATCAATAGAAATTTACTTCTCTATTTGCATGAAAATCCATTAATTTATTATAGTACTGTATCTGGCTACAGATAAAATTCTGAAAAATAATTACAGCCAGGAAAAAAGCTTATTTCATAGCTGTATGAATGATAATACCAATATTTCATTAAGTATACCGAGGGATTTGGAATCTAGCTTTCATGTATTGTCTCCTATGCAGTTAAACATTATAAATGAAACAATAGTTTTCTCAACATTAGCATATGAATCAAAGAACATGCAATTCTAATAGGTAGATTCCATCCTAAGTAATGTTTATGTCATTTATTCTAATGCATAGATAACACATAATTCAAGCAGATAAACCACTATCAGGCATCTATCTAGAACAACTCCTAATACATGCCTGTTGAATGAAAAACTTCATCTTACTTGACATTTATTAAATTACTTCCAGAAAGGCAATCACGAATATAGAACACTTTATTTTTATTAGTTTAGACATATGCACATTAATGCTGCCTGAATTCCTAATACACTTTAAAAAATGTTTTTGAGGGAATGTTAGAATGACGCTTTAGTCTGAACTCCGACTTACCATTATCAGAAATAATACCTACTTCAGTTTATTCAAGTTGGGAAGTGAGGTAAGAACATAGTCACAGTTGCCTTTACTATGTTCCTTGATAATGAACTGCAAGTCTATCTTAGCCATCCAAATTTCCAGATAATGCTCTAAGAGAGTCAGAGTAAATAAATCCCCACAATACAAAAGAAGAGAGCAGCTAATAATCCATTATCTTCTGTTGCCACAGTTTCGTTATAAGTAATGTTTCACATTCTTCTAAAAGCTGCTGTCAGTAGGAGAAATATGGTAGCTAAGCAGCTAAATGAATTAAAATGAGAAGAAATTAATGGTTTTGGCAGTTTTGAAGAAGTAGTACACTGACTAAATTCTTGCTGCTCTTATTAGATCAAAAAGTAAAGAACACAAGAGCAGTCCTAAGCAAGAATTAGTTGCCCAAAAAGAATAAATCATGAACGTCAAGAAATCTAAGTCTATGTCATCTAAAGAGGACACATTCCTTGAGTTAACTTTACTGAAAAAGATTCTGCTCATTCTGTGAAAAAGTGAAGGTACTCGTCTCAACCATTTTTACCTGATAATATCCGAAGAGCCCAACCACAATATCCCATGAGTTAATATTTTTTAAAGTGATATGATATACAAGCTATGAAACAAAATAAATTGATCTTTCCTTTACCTAGCAGAAATCATGGCCAAGTACCATCCAAAGCAACTGAAGTTTGAGATTGGAAATTAAAGTATAATCTGGGCCTACTAACCACCACAAAGCAAGACGATTATGGAAAATGAATGATAAAAGGGAGGGGAAGGTAGGCAGTAGGGCCACAATGGGACAGGAAATGTCCCACTGATTTGCTAGAGAGGAGAGATAGATGATACTGCTGACGTGGTTTCAAGGTGGTGTCTATGCTAATATGGCAAACCCAATCCTTAACAAGACAAGCCTCTACAATCTATTCAAGTCTATACATATGACTGAAATAATGAATTCAGTGTTAAAGATAGGAGCATCACAAATAACTTATATTTAATCTATTTTTAAAAACCTTTATCAAGGTCGGGCACGGTGGCTCATGCCTGTAATCCTAGCACTCTGGGAGGCGGAGGCAGGTAGATCCCCTGAGGCCAGGAGTTTGAAACCAGCCTGGCCAATATGGCGAAACCCCATCTCTACTAAAAATACAAAAATTAGCCAGGTGCGGTGGTGCACGCCTGTAATCCCAGCTACTCGGGAGTCTAAAGCAGGAGAATCACTTGAACCCGAGTGGCGGAGGTTGCAATGAGCCGAGATTGCACCACTGCACTCCAGCCTGGGCGACAGAGTGAGACTCTGTCTTAAAAAAAAAAAAAAACAAACCTTTATCAAGATAAAGCTGTAGGGGCCAAGGGCATGGTGCCTCGCACCTATAATCCCAGCACTTTTGAGCTCAGGAGCTCAAGAAAACCCCGTCTCTACCAAAAATACAAAAATTTAGCTGTGCGTTGGGGTGCGCCTGTGGTCCCAGCTACTCTGGAGGCTGAGGTGGGAGAACTGGAGAATTATCGTTTGAGCCTGGGAGGCAGAGGTTGCAGTGAGCAGCGATCATGACAGAGCAAAACCCGGGCGACCAAGCGGAAACTTCAGCCTTAAAGAAAAAGATGAAGCTGTAGGTTATTTTAGTTTTTATTGATTCATTGATTCTTTTGTTATTTGACATCAATGTATTGCACTAAAGGCCTCATTCATTTGGGGTCCTTCTGCCTGTTCAGGTTTATTTGCCTAATTATAAAAAGAAGCAGTGCAAAGCAAATACAACAATCTGTCAGTGGGCATAAGAGTAGTAGATATAAGAGTTAAGGCTGTTGTTTGGCACCTTGTAGATCAAACGATTAACTAGATTTTGTTTTTTTCTTTTTGTTTACAATAGTATCTAGACACACCCTACACTCCGTTTCGCACTGAGTTGTTTTGTTTTGTTTTTCTATTTTCAGAAGTGAATGCTTGCCAACTTGCTTTTATCTTATCTTACCTGTTGGAATGTGTCTTCAAAGTAGTTTGACATTCTAAGTATCTAAACCAGCATTTTTTTTTTTTTTTTTTTTTTACATAGTACAAAAGACTTTTCAATCCTTGATGCTTAGTTTTGAGAATCATGCATTGGGAATGCTGCATTGGTCATTCCATATATTATATTCTACAAAAAATAAAACAAGACCAGGAAAAGACTTCATAAACTTGAACCATATGAAATTGCCTGTATTCAATGGTTTTTTTAACTTACAAACAGGGCAATTTCATATGGTTCCCACTTGTAGATTATACTGTATATTTTTATGTTATATTTTAAATTATTTTTATTTTATATAAAGTACTGAATATGTGGGCTGCTCCCATCACCTGATAATAATGCTATATAAATTGTTGAATTCTTCAAAATACTCTACATTCAAATTTTGAGCAGTAATCAATCATTTATAAAATTTTCTAAATTTTGCAAAAAAAATAAAGACAAGTTAATAATACATTTTAAATAATGGCCAACTACAGAAAATTAGTTAAGAGTCAAAGTTTAGTCATATATGATACTGGAAGAAAATATAATACACAGAATCTGAAATAGTAAATGCAAACATCTCTGATATGAGTTTGAATTGAGTTTTGAACCTGGATTTTGAATATGAATGTTCCTGAAATGCTAAGTTGACTGTGCTTCATAATAAATAATGAACCCTTATAATGCTTGTACGATCCAAGGGTATAAAAACTTTCTTGCTATTTGTCCCTAAATATTCATTCACTACCCTAACACACCCAATCACACACTCCAAAGACACAATATCCTTTTTTAAAGACTACTGCAAATACCTGCTTAAAGCAACACAGACTTATCTTCTTGGTCAAGATACTGGTTTCCATGCTGTCTTCCTACATTTGTTTTATAGTGTTAAGAGGTCCTGCTTAGATCTTCCCAAGACTTCTTTAAGTGCAATGGGAAGCTATGCCAGTATTTAATGTTTTTCAAAATGCATTTCAGAAATTTAGCCTTCATTTTCCTGCAGATAAACAAAAATAGGCAGTAAAATGTTATCATATAAACTGGAGATCTACTTTTTAAAAAGCTAGCCATTAAAGAAATAAAGTGAATTAGCAACATTTTTTGGAAAAAGTACAAAATGTTTACTTCATACTTATCAAAGTCATAATTCATATATATTTGCTTAATTATTTATCACGTTTCCTCCTCTTCCTCCTATGGTGTTATAAACACCATAAAAGTAAGGATTCTGTTTGTTTTATTCATATATGTGTGTATGTGTGTATTTGTTTATATGCATCTGATATGTGTATATACACACAGGATATATACAAACACATATGTCTACATAGAATATATGTAGATATATACATATGTGTATAATGTGCTACTAGTATACTATAAGCTAAATTAAGTATTTGTTGTACTAATGAATAAATGAAACTTTAAAATCTAGTCTATAAGCATCTATCTGATGTTTTTATCTCTTCAACAATAAATCTCCATCAGCACCACAACTTAAGTTTACTTAAAGTACAGTCTCTAGTTTTCAGCTTTTTACTTACTTTCTGAATTACTGAATCTCAAATATCTCACAGGCCTTCTTTGAGAAGATATGTAAGATATGTGCATACATAGATACATAATAAACGGTAAAACTTGAAATTTTCATTTACTCCTAACCTTTCCTCTTTTCTCAGTATCTGTTCTTTGGTTTTAGCCATATGAAATCATAAGTCAATGTACAAATGTTGAGAGTCTGCAATGTGACAGGCAATGTGTTTGGCACTAGCAATAAAGGGAGGGAGCTCTCTGAGCAGAGAAATATAAATGAAAACAAATTAGCATACAAATAGAAGAGTGCCAATAGAAGTATACACAATGTGTTACATATGTTTGAAGAGAGGACGGCTGTACTTCAGGAACAATTAAGATGTGAAGGTAGGAGAAAAATTTCACAGTAACTTTGTTATATCTTGAAGGAAGACCATGGGGTCTCACTAAATGTCAGGAGGAACATCCATTGTAGGCAGACGAAACAACAAATACGTAGGCAGTCTCTCTCTGCCACGCCCTTCATTTAGTTCTGCAAAAAGTGACAGTAGCACCATCAAGCTGCACTGGTCCACTCCAATGGTTCTAAATTGCATTATCATTTTTTCCTCTTGCTTAAATCAACTTTTATTATGTAGTATGGAAATTTAACCTGGTGCAAAAGGCCCTTCATAGTCAGAATGATCACTTCAGCTTTATCTGACAACTTCCAACATCTATTTGTGAGTGTATCTCAAGTCTCATGACTCTTGCAAGGGCTATGTTCTCTCAACCCAGAATACCGTCTTTCTCCTACTACTAATTCTGCTTGCTTTTAAAAACTAAACACAGTTATTACGTATTCAAAGAAGCTTTTATGAAATTGAATGTGCACCCCTGTAGCAGCATGTCAGTATTTGTTTTTTCGCATTGATCACAACGTGCCATCAGAATGTGGCTTATTGATTTGCCTCATCACAAAGGTCTCAACTTGTTGATAACTATCTCTCTTATCTCTGCCTCACTTGCAGAGGGCACCAAATACAGGGACCCATGAAAAAAACTTGAATAACCTACAATGTGGGATACTTTAAATAGTTCTCTAGTGCCTTAAGAATGTTAATGTGTTCTCCATATTAACTAGCTATTAACTCTTTGAAATCATAGAATTAAGCATTCAAAAGGACTTCAGGGCTATCTAACCCAGTGTATTAAAAAATATTTTTGACCATGACCCACGGTTAGAAATGTTCAACATCAAGGCCTGGTACACATACTTGTATGTGTACTGTCTATATATGAATCTGAATCTGAATCATATATCCATAATACAATATTTACACTAATACTTAAGATACAGAAAAAAATAAAATTAATACAAATCTTATTTTATTACTATTTAAATACACCAACAACAAATGAACAATACCAAAATAAACCAAAGAATAAACCAATAAACCAAAAATTGCTTTTAGCTATCCACAAATATTACTTCAAGGCCCATTAATGGTAACAACCTCACCCCTCATTCATTTACTTATAAACCTTCCCCACATTTCACAGATAAAAGTGAGGTCTTGAGAAGTACCAGACAAAAGAGTTCAAAGTTGGATCTTGAACACATCTAAATGATGGTACTCTTTCTACTTTACCAAAATGAGAAAGACAGGGCTTTTGCTAAGAGGCCATAGTCTATCTGACTAATTCATTCTTTGAGACTAGATCCCTTGGGCAAAATACCTTTACTAATGAATTCAATAAATCCACTGTCTAAGCTTCTTATCTTTATACACAAGATATATTTTTTGACAGAATATTTGTTTTAAAAGCAGATCTGATTTGAAATCTAATTAGCAAGAATATTTTAAATCCTCCAAATAATAAATGTTTGAGATGATGGATATGCTAATTACTCTGATCTGATCACTATATATTACATGTACTGAAATAGTGCTATGTACCCCATAAATACGTAGAATTATTATATGTCAACTTAATAATAAAACCAAAAAATCCTCAGAACTCTAATAAACTCTGGATCAAAGCTGACGAGGCTTCAATATAGAAATTTCATGTTGTAATGATATTTTCAGGGTGGAAAAGTGAGTGTTTGGAGATGATGCCGTAAGTTGGGAAGAGAAGAATCAGGCTGATAAAAAACACTTACTGAAGAATTCTGAAATAAATTAGAATAAGAGAACTCCAAATTTTTCTAATTTTTTAAAGAAATTTTTAGCATATTATATTTATATGAATGTTAGTTAAATATAAAAGTTTTTTCTACTGTACGTTTTGTCTTATTCTGTCTTTATCTTGATAAATAAGAAATATACTTTGTTGTATTTAGTAAGAAGTACAGATAATATGCTATATCATGCTATCATGATGGGTTTATATGGGAGATTTATGCATGAAATGGAAGTCTTCCTTAGGCTTATGCTGTCATTTGAAAGTAAATTAGGGAGGGCAGGAACACTCATCATTTAAGAGTGCCAGAGCCTACAGGCTTTAAGTATTTAGGTTAATTGAAGACAAAATCAAATGACTGAACAATTAAAATTATCACAAAATCATGATTAAGTTGGAAACATCAGTCAGTGCAGAACATGTGGGAAATTTGTGTCTGTAGAAAGATCGAGAACCTTTTTAAGAAACAAGGCTAGACTTAGCACAAGTTTGAATGAAATCATCCATCAAATATCAATTATTCCTTTCGAAGTCTATAAAACAATAGCCTGAATATTACCTAAACATAAATATATAATACAAATTTATTTACCTTAAATTCAACAATTGATCAATTATTTTGGAGTTCAATTATGATGATACAAAGTCTAGATTTTGTTAATTTGATAATTTTTTACATATGAGTATTTTAATTTTAATCATTTCACTCATGATATACAAAATAACCTATCATAGTTTCTATTAGAGTTAAATAAAAATTCTAGTAGACTCTCCTCTTAAATTTATATTTAATTTTCCCAGAATATACATCAATAAGCAACATATGATAAAAATGTATACCATGCTATGGAACATGGAAAAGTAACTAAATGGGCTATATTAAACACTTTATTCTTTGAAGTGTAGGTTTTACTAAATGTTTTAAATATTAATATAGTTAACTTATTACCTCACATCATTTCTATTTCTTTTATTTAGAAACAAAAAACACCACATTGGCCTCTGTTGTTCAAAAAAATTCTGATATTTAAAAACAACAACAATAAAACTTTAATATAAAATACAATAACACACATTAAAACTCTAATGTTTAAATCAATCTCCACCAGCCAACATCTGTACTACCTGTCTCAGGAATTGTAAACCTCTGTCCCCACTGATAACCTTTACTGAGAAAAGCTGAATACTTACGCGTACATCATGAACCCAGGACTGGGGCAGCTTCTATTCAGTCACCATCTGATCTGTATCAGCAGGTTAGGACTTGGAGGCTGCAAAATAATGACAGTCACTGGCAACAAGAAAGGAAACAAGTTTGACAGGTTTAGTGAGTGAGGTATGCAGTCTTCTAGCCTGATAAGAACAAGAACATGATCAGTTTTGTGCCAACTGGCTCCACACAGTGAAGTAATTGTCAATATCCGCATAGAGAAGCTCCAAGTAGTAGAGGGCTCAGAATGTGCAACTTGTGATGATTCAGAAGACCACACTTTTCCAGTTGGGGAAGTATGATAAGCATTGAGGTGTGGCCCCAGTTTGCTTTCCAAAAAAAAAAAAAAACCAACAAAACAAAACACACTAGAGCACACTGATGGCACTTCTTATTTGTTCATTAGAAATGTTCAGTCTCTTCCCTTTGAGGGAATAACAAGGGGTAGCGGAGTGGAGAAGACCTGAGTTATGAACCAGGGCACCTGTCTCAGCCATTATTCAGCTTATTGGGACTTACTTTCCTCCTAAGGAAAATGGCAGGACTGTATTAGCTTTTCTTAATACTGTCCATTTTAGCTCTAAATATAATAGAACGTATTGAAACAATTTATTTACCCCAAAAAAGGCAGAAAAGGAAGGTAAATATCAAAAGCAAAAACGTATTTTCTTCTTTCTTATTATTAGGAATAACTTTGTCCATCTTAGTGGTATGAATTCCCAGTATTTACAAACCGTCCCTTTAAATACTTTCATATATCTATAGAGAATTTAGTATAAATACATGAACTTCTTATAAAGATCAGAAAAGTTACAAAATAGAAATTACAATTTTAAGAGCTATTAAGGCTCAGAGTCAAAGGATATTAAAGAAAAATGATAAATTTTTACTTTGGTTGTACAGAATATCTTCATCTAAAATGCTAAAAATGCAATGTGCCTCTAATTGTAATACTTTCATTATAATGCTCTGCAAAGGTATTAAAAGGAACTATATTTTCCAAAACATTTGACAAATGAAAAAAATGAAACAGATTGTCAGTTTGTATAAACACCAACAATATGACAGAAGACATATGATAATACAATTTTGAGTAGAACTAAAAATGTCTAAATAAGTAGTTAATAAAATTTACCAGTCAGTTCACACTGAAAACTATAACTTCATTTAGCAAAAGTAACTTTCATCTTTGGAGCATTACTTTTTTTCAAAAGTAAAAAATTCCAAAATCTAATAAAAAGGTGCTAGAAAAATTATATTTGTTTAGTATATAAATATAACTGATTATTTTCATTTTTATATAGTATATGTAGTAGTATTTGTGCTAATTTGAAATTAACATTGTGTAAATATTCTTTTTAAATGGTTTTCATGTTTACATTTAAGCATTTCACATTAATAATAAACTAATATTTTATAATCCTTATTTGTTAAAATTCATAAATATATTCTCAGCCTCTTACATTAGTAAATAATAATACAGCAGACAATAAGCTCTGTGGCTTAACTGAGGGAAATTAGGCTTTACAAGAAACATGTCCAAGTAATTACAAGCAAGTCCAGCAACCAGCTTTGAGGATTCTGGATTAAAACATGTGGTATGTATAGATTTATTCTCTCAAGAAAATCAGTGTTTTCATATTGAATCACAGGACATGGTGGGGGGAACTTAGGAGATACAGCAATATTTACTTTAACCATGTTTAAAAAGTTAGAGATTACAGTAGAAGCTGTTTTATGTTTAATGGCTCAAAAATAGAGATTTAATTGTCTCCCATCGGAATATTTTCTGTTTGGCCATTCTTTCAAATGATCTTTTATTTGAATAGTTTTAAAGTTTGTGTTTATTGGTTTTTATTTTCCCCCTCCTTCAGCTTTCAGTGACTACGTAAAATAACTCATTTTTTTCTCTGACATAATAGCTTTACCACAGTGGGGTGACAGTATACCAGGCTACTAGATAAGATGACTGGGTTCAGTTTCTGGCACTGGCATGAATTACCTTTGTGAAAATAGGAATGTTCTTAACCTTTCTACATCTCAGATCCTCCCTCTATAATATGGAGATAATATTTGTCTCTAATTTAAAGGGGATAATAAATGTAAAGGACTTAAAATAGTATCTGTCCCATATTAATGTCCTTAGCACAGCTAGGTACTTTATTTTTTCTCACCCCTTTTTTTTGTGATTAGCACTATATTGCTAATTGTTCTCAATAGACTTCAAAAGTGGTATTTTCTAAACTCTTCTGTCTATATGGCTCTCTTTTCAACAATACATTGTCTCAAGTTCTTTGCTTCAATTGTGATAAATAGGAGGAAGGGTATTAAGATGAATAACTAGAAGCACTTCCCACTTGCCTCCTCCACTAAAAGTACCAAAATTAGTGAGTAATCACACTTTGAATAGGTCAAAAAACATGAGAATTTAACAGAAAAGTAACAGGGAATACCAAAAGCAAGAAGAGGGGAGTGAAGATGACCTGCTCTGCCATTGCTGGCTAGGAGCCAAGAGACTCCCCAATACAGGGAAATGGTGAGAGACACTCAGAGGTCCAAATGTCTACCGTGGACTTTGGCAATCCTTGCCACAGCCCCTCAACCCTATAAGCCTTTAAACTAACATAGGGAGCTGCTGAGAGATTGTGTGACAACAGTACCCCAAGATGAAGCCCAAACTGGATTCCACAAATTCCTGGATACCTAAGCAGCTACCACAAGGTGCCATTTTAGAGCCCTACCCCCAAACAACTATGCGCTGTCCTAGAGCCCAGTGGTGCTGGGACTGAGGTACAAGAGAAGCAGCAGCAGTTGCCCCTGTGGCACAGGCAGAAGCAATCATGGCATAATGCACACAGGGCTAAGATGCAAGTGAGGTGCCAGCTACCACAGCAGGGCCTGAGGAGTGGGCACTGTGGGGGCTAAGGCATAAGTAGTGCACAGATTCCCACCCACCAGCATAGGCTGCTATCACTGAAGGTGGCACTGCCTCTGCCAGTGGCAGGACAGCAGCACATCCACTGCCACTCCTCACTTGAGCATCCTCCCAATGGCCTAAGGATTGCCCTGGCATTGCCTACCATAGCCTATACAATCACAAACCAAAAAACAAGCCCACCCCACCTGGATTCAACACCCTGCTACATGCCAGAGCACACAGTATGGAAAACAGAGAATTACCCAGCCCAATACTGTTGGCACCTGAATACTCTTCTCAAGAGTCTGAGATTAAGCCTATCTACCTGCCACTACCACCATAGCTGACACCTACCTGCAGGCACCACCTGCAGGCCTGGAGATTGACTCATCCAGTTCATTGCAGCCACCACCAACACCAGTTCACACTGCCTAGGACCTAAGTGGTTGTCCTGCCACTGCCATCACCCACATCACATCAGCTGCACAGAAGCCTAAGAACCTGCCCACTTGACAAGCCCACTGTAGCAACAATCAGCATCTAAGTAAGCTACCTAAAGGCCCCAAAATCAGCCTTCCTGGAACCAATGGTACCAGTGTATGCCACCGTGGGGCCCAAGAACAGGTACATTTAGCCCACCATTGCCACCACTGGGGCCCAAAGACTGGCCTACCTGTGCCAGTCTCCAAATATCTGCACCACAGCTTCATTAATAACATCACTTTAAACCACCAAGAAAATAACAGATACCACTGACAATATTTACAGCCAAATAAATCATACGGAGACTACACTAATGGACACACCGATAATCAAGGCTAAAGTGCCTGAGTTATCAACACCATAGATTCAACCTCAGGAAAAAGTGCCCTCTATGACAGCAAATTCAAGATATTCAAAGAAACAACTGTTACATCAATGTGCAGATATCAATGTTAGACCACAGAAAACATGAAAAAGCAAGGGAATGTGTATTAGTCTGTTCTCATGCTGCAATAAAGACATACCCAAGACTGGGTAATTTATAAAGGAAAGAAGTTTAATGGACTCATAGTTCCACGTGGCTGGGAAAGCCTCACAATCATGGCAGAAGGCAAAGGAGAAGCAAAGACCTGCTCCCATGATTCAATTACCTCCCACCAGGTCCCTCCCAAAACACATGGGAATTGTGGGAGCTACAATTCAAGATGAGATGTGGGTGGGGACACAGCCAAACCATATCAGAATATGACACCTTCAAAAGAACACAACAATTCTCCAGCAAAGGATACCAATTAAAAAATAATTCATGAAATCCCAGGCACAAAATAAATTTGATTCTAAAAATGCTCAGTAAGTCACAAGAAAATTCCAAAAGTAATGCAAAGAAATCAGAAAAACAATTCAGGATGTGACTGAGAAATTTACCAAAGAGATAGATATCATACAAAAAGAATCAGACATATTTTGGGACTGAAGAACAGCAATAGACTAGATCAAACAGAAAAATCTCAGACTTTGAAGACAGGTCTTTTGAAATATCCCAGACAGACAAAAATAAAGAACAAAATAAAAAAGAATGAGCAAAGCCTTAGTGTCCTATGGGACACCATAAAATGAAAAAATATTTGAATTATCAGAGTCCCAGAAGGTGAAGAGAAAACAAAAGTGTTTGAAAACCTGTTTAACAAAATAATAGATGAAAACTTCCCAAGTCTAGCAAGAAATATAGACAGCTGAAATAGAGGAGGTGCTGAAATCACCAAACAGATACAATGCAAAAAGGATTTCTGCATTACACATTATACTCAAAAGGTCTAAAGTCAAATAGATAAATCTAAAAACAGCAGAAAAAAAAAAGTATCTAGTCACCTATAAAGGAACTCCCATCAGACTAACAATGAATTTCTCAGCAGGAACTTTACAGGCCAGGAGAGAATGGGATGATATGTTGAAAGTGTTAAAAAAAAAAAAAAAAAAAAAAAAAAAAAAAAAAAAAAAAACACCCTGCCACCCAAAAATACTATATCCAGCAAAATTATCCTTCATAAATGGAGAAATAGTCTTTCCCAGACAAGCAAAATCTGAGAGAATTCATCACCACTAGCTGTTCCTACAAGAAATGCTCAAGGTAGCCCTAAAGCTGTAAGCAAAAGGATGGCATTTACTATCACGAGCCCACATGAGAATATAACACTCACTGATAAAGCAAATACAAAAATGAGAGAGAAAAAGAGCTAAAATGGTACCACTACAGAAAACCACCAAGCCACAATGACAATAGGAGAAAAAGAGAGGAACAAAAAATACATAAAACAACCTGAAAACAACACTATGATATAAACAAAACCAGACATATCAATGATAGCCTTGAATGTAAATAAATTAAATTTTCAAAGATACAGACAACAGATAAAAAACCATGACCCAAATATATACTGCTTATAAGAAACACACTCTACCTCTGAGAAACTGATAAAGCACTAAATCCAGGGAGAGGATTTAGCAATTCTAAATATATATGTGCCCAACACTGGAGCACCCATATTCATAAAGTGGGATTTATCCTAGGGATGCAAGAATGGTTTAAAATACATAAATCAATAAATATATCACATCAACAGAAAATAAACATAATTCATCACATCAACAGAAGGACAAAATCCAAAACCATATTATCAGTCTCAATAGACACAGTAAAAGCATTTGATACAATTCAACATCCCTTCATGATGAAAGCTCTCAACAAACTAGGCTTAAAAGGAACAAACCTCAAAATAATAAAGGCCATATATGACAAACTGACAGCTAACATTATATTGAATGGAAAAAAAAAGTTGAAAGTCTTTCTTCTGAGAACTCTAATAAGACAAGGGGGTCCACTTTTACTGCTCCTATTCATCACAGTAATGGAAGTCCTAGTCAGAGCAATCAGAAAAAAGAAAGAAAGAAAAGATAATCAAATTGGAAAAGAGGAAGTCAAATTGTCTCTCATTGCAGATGACATGAGTTTATATTTAGAAAAACCAAAAGTCTTTACCAAAAAACTCTTAGATCTGACATGCAAATTCAATGAAGTTGTAGGATACAAAGTCAACATACCAAAATCAGAAGTGTTTCTATACACCAATAATGAAATAGCCAAAAAAGAAATGAAGAACACAATCCAATTTACAATAACTACAAGAAAATATAATACATAGAAATAAATTTAACCAAGGAATGGAAAGAGCTCTGTAAGAAAAACTACAAAATACTCATGAGAGAAATCAAAGAGGACACAAACAAACCAAAAGACACTCTATTCTCATGGACTGGAAGAATTAATATCTTTAAAATGACCATACTGCCGAAAGCAATCTACAGATTCAATATGATTTCTATCAAAATACTAACATCATTTTTCACAGAAATAGAAAAAAGAATCCTAGCACCCTCCTCAATAAATGGTGCTGGAAAAATTAGATATCCATGTGCAAAAGAATAAAACTGGACCCCATCCTTCACCATGTACAAAAATTAACTTGTAATGGATTAAAGACTTAAACATAAAACCCAAAGCTATAAATCTACCAAAAGAAAACATTGGGAAAACATTTTGTGACATCGATCTGGAAAAAACTTTATGGCTAAGACCTTAAAAGCATTGAGAACTAAAACAAAAATAGACAAATGGGAATATATTAAATTAAAAAGCCTCTGTACTGCAAAGGAAACCATAGTCAGGAGGCAACCTGTTAAATAGGACAAAATACGTGCAAAATATTCACCTGACAAGACACTAATATACAGAATTCACACGGAACTCCAGCAACTGAACACATTAAAATACTCCAGCAAATAAGCACATTAAAAAGTGGGCAAAGGCAGGAGTTCAAGACCAGCCTGGGCAGCATAGTGATACCCCATCTCTACAAAAAGTAAAATACAATAAAAATTAGCTGGGTGTGGTAGCACATGCCTGTAGTCTTAGCTAGTCGGGGGTCTGAAGCAGTGGGGTTGCCTGAGCCCAGGAGTTTGAGGTTACAGTGAGCTTTGATTATGCACTCCAGCCTGGGTGACAGAGTGAAACAAAAACAGTAACCAAAAAAAAAAAAAGTGAGCAAAGGATATGAACAGGTAATTCTCAAAAGAAAATATATAGGCTGGGTGTGGTGGCTCACACCTGTAATCCCAGTGCTTTGGGAGGCCGACACAGGTGGATGATGAGGTCAGGAGTTCAAGACCAGCCTGGCCAACATGGTAAAACTCCATCACTACTAAAAATACAAAAATTAGCCGGGTGTGATGGCGGGCACCTATAATCCCAGCTACTTGGGAGGCTGAGGCAGGAGAATCACTTGAAACCAGAAGGCAGAGGTTGCAGTGAGCCGAGATCATGCCAACAGGTATATAAAAAAATCCTCAACATTGCTAAGCATCAGGGAAATGCAAATCAAAATCACAACGAGATGTCATCTTACCCCAGTTAGAATGGCTGTTATTTAAAAATAAATAAATAACAGATGCTAGAGAGGATACAGAGAAAATGGAACTCTTATACACTGTGAGTGGCAATGTAAGTTAGTATAACCACTATGGAATACAGTATGAAGGTTTCTCAAAAAACTAAAAGTAGAACAGCCATACAACCCAATAATCCCGCTACTGGGTATCTATACAAAAGAAAATAAATCAGTTTATCAAAAGGACACCTACACTTGCATGTTTATTGCAGCACTATTCACAATGGTAAAGGTATGGAGTGAAGCTAAGTGTTCACAAACAGACAAATGGATAAAGAAAATGTGGCATATATAAACAATGGAATACTATTAGGTCATAAAAAAGAATAGTCATATCATTTGCAGCAACATGGATGGAACTGGAGGTCACTGTGTTAAATTAAATAAGCCAGGCAGAGAAAGACAAATTCCACATGTTCCCATGCAGATAGAGAATAAAGTGATAGATACCCATGGCTGGGAAGGGAGTGAGTGTAGGATGGGCCAATGAAGAGAGGTTGGTGAATGGGTACAAACTTATAATTAGATAGAAGAAATGAATTCTAATCTTTGATAGTAGACTAGGGTAACTATAGTTGTCAACAATATATTGCATATTTCAAGGTAGCTAGAAGAGACGACTTGAAATGTTACCAACAAATAGAAATGATAAATACTCCTCAAGGTGATGGATATTCCCAAATACCCTGATGTAATCACTACACATTCTATGCATGTAGAAGGCACTCATATGTATCCTATAAATATGTAAAATATTATTTATCTGCAAAAAGCAGGATAACAGTTTATGTGTGGGAGGGGTGAGGAAGGTACATGGGAATTCCTTGAACCTTCTGTTCAATTTCATGATAAACTTAAAATATACTATATTCTGAAAGAATATAGTATATTAAAAACAAACAAAAATGTGATGATTAAAACATTGAACTATTAGGTCCTATTTCGTGTAGCATGTGAAGATTTTAAAGAGTGATCTTCATATGGCTTTACAAGCCTTCATAAAACAAATTCTGAGGGTTGACAGGCATTAGTAATTTATACTATAAAAGTGAAATTACTATACGTGAATTTTATTTCATTAGCATTCAGCACCCTTAGTTAGACACATATTGCCACATGTGGGCCAATACCACACTGTTTTTTTGTTTGTTTGTTTTTTGTTTTTTTTTTTTCAAGACAGATTCTCACTCTGTCGCCCAAGCTGGAGTGCTGTGGCATGGTCTTGCCTCACTGCAACCTCTGCCTCCTGGGTTCAAGTGATTCTCCTGCCTCAGTCTTTCCAGTAGCTGGGATTACAGGTGGGCGCCACCACGCTGGGCTAATTTTTGTATCTTTAGTAGAGACGGGGTTTCACCTTATTGGCCAGGCTGGTCACGAACTCCTGACCTCAAGTGATCCGCTGGCCTCGGACTCCCAAAGTTCTGGGATTACAGGCATGAGCCACCATGCCTAGCCCACACTGGTTTCTATTGCTGCACTGTTGAATGATTTATTATCAATCAAAAGATAATGCATGTTTGATGCAATACATCAATAAGGAAAAGTCAACGATAAAATGTCATTACCCCAGGATGTCAAGGGGAGAGTTAAGATATTTCCAAATTAATCATGTTTCTTCAAAATCAAAGAAATTTTTTTAAAACCCCAACATTTAGAATAGGCTTTCTAAAAGGATTCTGTGCCCTTCCCTGTAATTTTGGACTTTAAAATAAATTAATTAAATGTTTAATAAATGAGTCATCAGCAAATAATTTTATTTATACCTACTAATAACCTAAAGGTTGGCCTTAAGTTTTGCCTTGTGCTTGTGATGCTATTGTGTACTATTTTTCCACTGAAGAAAGAACATAAGAGAATGTAGTGAAGAATCACACCTTTCTAAGTACGAGCAATCAGATCCAAAAGATGAGCATCCAGAAGACGCAATCTTGGAAAGAAGAGGCCACCTTCAACGGAGACAGAGAGTCCCATGAGTTAGAATGAATGAATCATAGGCCTGAGGAAAGGGAGACCAAATTGGGTGGCCTTTATTATAAGAATTGATAGGATTTGTCTCAAAAAACTAAGACAATAAAAATTGGAGAAACACTATAAAATCTATTCATTTCTATGGATCACTTCCATTTGCTCATTAAATTCTTGAACTGAGAAAAACATAATATATGTACATTTTAACTCAAAAAGTGTGTCTTGGAACACATCAATGTTCAAGTCAATAATTTTTTGTCAGATCTTAATTGTTTCTTTTAGAAAACTTTATTTTTAAGCAAAACATATTTTACACATAACAGAAAAAGATCACATTTGAATTATCAATATATAACTTAATTACTTCACTATAACCATATTCAAAGGTGTACATACTCTATTATTACTCGAAGGTAAAGTGTGAAATGGTGTCCTTGCTGATAAGTATGTATAATAGTACCTAAAACAATTTATCAGTTTTAAGCAGTACAGCGAAACTGCAGGAACTGACTTACACAGCATTCTTTGGTCTCCTCCTAGTTTTGGGAGTTTCTATTTTCCAACAGATTTCTAGCTGAACTCTATTATTTATTTCTCCTTCCAACACACATTCATGCTCACTAAAGACTACACTTGCCCATAAAAAGCATTTTCATCATATGACTATTTTTAAAAATCTTTTAATGACTCTCTGTTTTCTACCTCATCAAAAATATACCCAATGAACTTCAAAATTTTCTGAGAATTAAATCTATCCCAACTTCATTTCTCATAATAGGTCACATTATGAACTTTAAGTCTAACTAAGCTTTGTCATTTTTAAAACATGTAATTCTCATTCTAACTTTGTAATTTATCTTCTATTATCACAGCCTCCTTCCCATTGGAGTATTCTCTATATTCTTTTCTCTCACTTAAATATGACACTTTGAAAAAGCTCAATCTAATTACTAACTCCTTAATGAAATCTCTGTGAGATTAGGACAGCAGTTTAAAGTGCAGTTCCTGTGTATAGACTGCTTGGACTCAAATCTTTGTTCTGCTATGAACTTTTTGACTTTGGTTAAAGCACTTTTTCTGTGCCTCCATTTCTTCATCTGCAAAAGAAAGATGAAAATAGCACTTATCTTTTAGAATAGTTGTGAGTAGCAAATGAAATAATGAATGTAGATGACTTGGAACACTAATAAATCAATTAATAAATATTACATCATTATCAACAATGACAATAGTTTAGTAGTAGTAGCATACTATCCCATAACTCTTAGGCTCTCCTCTATAAGTGATAGATTTCTTGGAATACTATGTAAGAAATCACTTAATAAGCCAGACACGGTGGCTCACGCCTGTAATCCCAGCACTTTGGGAGGCCGAGCCAGGTGGATCAAAAGGTCAGGAGTTCAAGACCATCCTGGCCAAGATGGTGAAACCCCGTCTCTACTAAAAATAGAAAAATTAGATGGGCATGGTGGTGGGCACCTGTAATCCCAGCTACTTGGGAGGCGGAGGCAGAGAATTGCTTGAACCTGGGAGGTGGAGGTTGCAGTGAGCTGAGATCGCGCCACTGCATTCCAGCCTGGGCGACAGAGCGAGACTCCGTCTCAAAAAAAAAAAAAAAAAGAAAAAAAATGAAATCACTTAATAAATATTACATCATCATCAACAACGACAACAGTTTAGTAACAGTAGCACACTATTCCATAACTCTTAGACTATCCTCTATAAGTGATAGATTTCTATTATTATAAGTGATAGATTTCTATCACTTATAATCCATGACATACAATTTAGCCCTTAATTATATGTGGATTTGTGTTATTTGCTATTGTCTTATGTTTTACTCTAGTTTTGTCTCTTTAAGTACATTAAAAACCCTAAAGACTCTAGAAACAAAGCAACGACAAACCAAAGCTGGAGTCCGGTGTTAACAGAAGCAGTCTATTCTGGAGGTAGGAAATAAGCGAATACATTACCTGTAAAGAATTTTAAAACAAAGTTGGTGTGGTTATTATCACCTCTCATCAATTATTTTAAACAACATCACTGATAAAATATACCTCCATGCTGGGGGTAGACTACTATACACTGACACCGTACCCCCACTCTTCCTCCTAAATCACTGCTCTAACATGACCCTTGCAGGAATTAGATTTTTCCTGGTCAGTATTGGGGTTTCTGACATATCTGAAGGCAGCATTATTTTTCCAATTTTTTACTATGTTCCACAGTAAAAATATATTTTAAATCACAGCACAGTACACACATAGATACACATATATGTTTCACAGGAGTCATGTGACTACTAAAAGGTCATGGCACTGATTTTGAAAAAAATATTGCTCTAATTTGATCCTTAGCAATCCAAATTAGAACTACCAAGAATCTTTTCTAACATGAATTAGGTAGTTTCCCTGGGGTCCTGTGAACTAGATCTATTTCAACACTGAAACAAACTAGACTTCTGATACTGAGGGGTAAAAAACAGAAATGAAGGAGTTGATTTACTTTCCTGGGCCTTGTATCCTAATATGCATAAACAATAGATAATTGTGTATAACAAAGCTAATCCCCAGGCTCAGGGACGAGTATGATGGACTCCCCAACTTTGTTCTATGGAATTTCTATTCCCAAGTGTGGCCCTAACCATCTCTCAATGTCTCCTCCATTTCTATTCTTCATCTAAAATATGCTTATTACTCTTATTGAATTCTAGCCAAATTTGTATTCAATTCCAAATTCACATAACAATGAAGCTCATCAGTGTCCATGCCTTTCTAGACCATGTGTTTTGTTTCATTCATCTCCACTGAGTGTACTAACTCTTTAGTTATCTCTCTCACAATCTACCCATAAATCAAGTACCTGTCAATGGAGAAATTACTTTATGCCCGTAATTCATGAATGAAACCAGTCATGATGCAGTATTGGCTGGTCAGGATTTCCTCATGAAAGCTATAGTTAAAAGCCTAATTAACAGTAAGATGAGAAGTTTAGGCTTAATGACACATTTAAAATATTACAAATTATTCCTTCTTACCTACTCTCTGGTTTAGGAAAGAGACCAGTTGTAAACAGAGACTTCATCATTATTATAAAATTTCCAGAAATGTATTTAAACAACTAAAATTTTATCAAAAAGCCCTTGGTAAATATTGAAAAGAGGATGATGTATTCTTAGTTCTACATGAATGGCCATACGGTTACTTCACATCAACTAAAAAGATGACCTAAATCTGTTTCAGTAGGGATTGTAGGGATTCATTATAGATTAACATGCATACTTTCACTGACTAGCTAGTGTTAATATGCGCTTTTATTTCCTCTAAGCCATGGTTTCTCTAATTGTTTAAAATTAAGGATATAAATATTATTAACAGTTTTCTGTATGTTCATGATAATATAATATAGCAGAAAATTATACAAGAACGTTTAACTATTAAAGCCTTGTAGGTAAAAACACTATTTGCAAAAACGTGATTTTCTACATAGAAATTCCAAGCTAATTAAGAGGAAAACTGAACTAATAAAGAATTTCAAGGTAACTTGATACAAAAAATAAATATACCAAATTAAGTAACTTTAACACTATAAGCCAACTGTAAATAAATAAAAAATCATTTCATTCACAAGACCAAAAATCATACAATAATAACCTTTTAAAATGTGGAGAACTCATGTAAAAAAAGTTATATATATTTTTAAAATTTAACTTAAATTTATTTTACGTTCTGGGATACATGAGCAGGATGTGCAGGTTTGTTACACAGGTAAACGTGTGCCATGCTGGTTTGCTGCACCTATCAACCCATCACCTAGGTATTAAACCCCACATGCATTAGCTATTTACCCTGATGTTCTCACTCCCCCCACACCCCCTGACAGGCTCCAGTATGTGTTGTTCACCTCCATGTGTCCATGTGTTCTCATTGTTCAGTTCCCACTTATAAGTGAGAACATGCGGTATTTGGTTTTCTGTTCCTGTGTTAGTTTGCTGACGATAATGGCTTCCAGCTCCACCCATGTCCCTAAAAAGGACATAATCTCATTTTTTTATACTTGCATAGTATTCCACATTGTATATGTACCACATTTTCTTTATCCAGTCTATTGATAGGCATTTGTGTTGACTCCATGTCTTTGCTATTGTGAATAGTGCTCCAACGAACATATGCATGCATGAATCTTTGTAATAGAATGATTTATATCTCTTTGCGTATATGCCCAGTAATGGGATTGCAGGGTCAAATGGTATTTCTGGTTCTAGGTCTTTGAGGAATCACCACACTGTGTTCCACAATGGTTGAGCTAATTTACATTCCCACCAACAGTATAAAATTGTTCCCATTTCTCCACAGCCTTGCCAGCATCTGTTGTTTCTTGACTTTTTAATAATTGCCATTCTGACTGGCATGAGATGCTATCTCATTGTGGTTTGGGTTTGCATTTCTCTAATGATCAGTGATGTTGAGCTTTATTTCATATGTTTCTTGGGCATTTAAATGTCTTCTTTTGAGAAGTATCTACTTATGTCCTTTGCCCAATTTTTAATGAGGTTGTTTGTATTTTTCTTGTAAATTTGTTTAAGTTTCTCATAGACTCTCGATATTAGACCTTTGTCAGGTGGATAGATTGCAAAAATTTTCTCCCGTTCTGTAGGTTGTCTGTTCAATCTGATGATAGTTTCTTTTGCCATGCAGAAGCTCTTTAGTTTAATTGCATCACATTTGTCAATTTTTGCTTTTATTGTAATTGCTTTTACATTTTCATCATGAAATCTTTGCCAGTGCGTATATCCTGAATGTTATTGCCTAAATTTTCTTCTACATTTTTTATAATTTTGGGTTTTACATTTAAGTGTTTAATCTATCTTGAGTAAATTTTTGCATCAGGTGTAAGGAAGGGGTCCAGTTTCAATTTTCCACATATGGCTAGCCAGTTCTCCAAGCACCATTTATTAAATACGGAATCCTTTCCCCATTGCTTGTTTTTGTCAGGTTTGTCAAAGATCAGACGGTTGCAGATGTGCGGTCTTATTTCTGAGATCTCTATTCTGTTCCTTCGGTCTATGTGTCTGTTTTTGTACCAGTACCACGCTGTTTTGGTTACTGCAGGCTTCTAATATCGTTTGGAGTCAGGTAGTGTGATGCTTCCAGCTTTGTTCTTTTTGCTTAGGATTGCCTTGGCTATGGGGCTCTTTTCTGATTCCATATGAATTTTACAGTAGTTTTTTCTAATTCTGTGAAGAATATCAATGGTAGTTTAATGGGAATAACATTGAATTTATAAATTAATTTGGGTAGTATGGCCATTTTCACAATATTGATTCTTCCTATCCATGAGCATGGAAAGTTTTTCCATTTGTTTGTGTCCTCTCTGATTTCCTTGAGGAGTGGTTTGTAGTTCTCCTTGAAGAGGTCCTTCACTTCCCTTGTTAGCTGTATTCCTAGGTATTTTATTCTCTTTGTAGCAATTGTGAATGGTAGTTCATGCATGATTTGGCTCTGCTCATCTATTGCTGGTGTACAGGAATGCTTGTGATTTTTGAACATTGATTGTGTATCCTGAGACTTTGCTGAAGTTGCTTATCAGCTTAAGGAGGTTTTGGGCTGAGACCATGAAGTTTTCGAGACACAGGATCATGTCATCTGCAAACAAGATAATTTGACTTCCTCTCTCCCTATGTGAATAACTTTTATTTCCTTCTCTTGCCTGATTGCCCTGGCCAGAATTACCAACATTATGTTGAATAGAAGTGGTGAGAGAGGGCATCCTTGTTTTGTGCCAGTTTTCAAGGGGACTGCTTCCAGTTTTTGCCCATTCAGTATGATATTGGCTGTGGGTTTGTCATAAATGGCTCTTATTAATTTGAGGCATGTTCCATCAATACCTAGTTTATTGAGAGTTTTTAACATGAAGGGATGTTGAATTTTATCAAAGGCCTTTTCTGTGTCTATTGAGATAATCATGTGGTTTTGGTCATTAGTTCTGTTTAGGCGATGAATTAAATTGATTTGCATATGTTGGACTAGCCTTGTATCCCAGGGATGAAGCTGACTTAATTGTGGTAGATAAGCTTTTTGATGTGCTGCTGCATTTGTTTTGATAGTATTTTATTGAGGACTTTTGCATCAGTGCTCATCAGGGAAATTGGCCTGAAATTTTCATTTTTGGCTCTATCTCTACCAGGTTTCAGTATCAGGATGATGCTGGCCTCATAAAGTGAGTTAGAGAGCAGTGCCTCCTTTTCAATTGTTTGGAATAGTTTCAGAAGAAATGGTGCCAGCTTTTCTTTGTACCTCTGATAGAATTCAGCTGCAAATCCATCTGGTCCTGGGCTTTTTTTGGTTGGTAGGTTATTTGTTACTGCCTCAATTTCAGAACTCGTTATAAGTCTATTCAGGGATTCAACTTCTTCCTGGTTCAGTCATGGGAGGGTGTATGTGTTCTTGGAATTCAATCATTTCTTCTAGATTTTCTAGTTTATTTGCACAGAGGTGTTGATAATATTCTCTGATGGTTGTTTGTATATCTGTGGGGTCAGTGGTAATATCTCCTTTACCATTTTTTATTGCATCTATTTGATTATTCTCTTTTATCTTCTTTATTAGTCTAGCTACTGGTCTATCTATTTTACTAATTTTTTCAAAAAAAAAACAGCTCCTGAATTCACTGATTTTTTAAAGGGTTTTTTGTGTCTCTATCTCCTTCAGTTCTGCTCTGATCTTGGTTATTCCCTGTCTTCTGCTAGCTTTTGGGTTTGTTTGCTCTAGTTTCTCTAGTTCTTCTTGTTGTGATGTTAGGGTGTTGATCTGAGATATTTCTAGTGTTGTGATGTGGGTATTTCATGTTATAAATTTCCCTTTTAACACTGCTTTCACTGCATCCCAGAGATCCTGGTACATGGTTTCTTTGTTCTCATTGGTTTCAAAGAACTTCCTGATTTCTGCTTTAATTTCATTATTTACCTAGGAGTCATTCAGGGGCAGGTTGTTCAATTTTCATGTAGTTGTGTAGTTTTGAGTGAGTTTCTGAATCCTGAGTTCTAATTTGATTGTGCTGTGTTCCAAGAGACTGTTCGTTATGAGTTCAGTTCTTCTGCATTTGTTGAGGATTGTTTGACTTCCAATTATGTGATCAGTTTTAGAGTAAGTGCCATGTGGTGCTGAAAAAAAATGTATATTCTGTTGTTCTGGGTGGAGAGTTCTGTAGATATCTGTCAGGTCCACTTGATCGAGAGCTGAGTTCAAGTCCTGAATATTCTTGTTAACTTTCTGTCTCGATAATCTGGTAATATTGACAGTGGGGTGATATAGTCTCCCCTTATTATGAGAATCTAAGTCTCTTTGTAGGTCTCTAAGAGCTTGTTTTATGAATGTGGGTGCTCTTGTAATAAGTGAACATATATTTAGGATAGTTAGCTCTTCTTGATGAATTGATCCCTTTACCATTATGTAATGCCCTTCTTTGTCTTTTTTCATCTTTGTTGGTTTAAAGTCTGTTTTGTCAGAAACTAGGATTGCAACCCCTGTTTTATATGATTTCCATTTGCCTGGAAAATTTTCCTCTATCCCTGTATTTTGAGCCTATGTGTTTGCACATGAGATGGGTCTCTTGAATCAAGCACACCAGTGGGTCTTGACTTTTTATCCAGGTTGCCATTCTGCATCTTTTAATTAGGGGCATTTAGCCCATTTACACTTAAGGTTAATATTGTTATGTGTGAATCTGATCCTGTCATCATGATGCTAGCTCATTATTTTGCAGACTTGTTGATGTAGTTATTCCATTTTGTCATTGGTCTTTGTACTTCAGTGTTTTTTCAGTGGCTAATAACATTTTTTCCTTTCTATATTTATTGCTTCCTTCAGGAGCTCTTGCAAGGCAGGCCTGGTGGTGACAAATTCCCTCAGTATTTGCTCAGCATCTGAAAAAGATCTTATTTCCCCTTCACTTATGAAGCTTAGTTTGGCTGGATATAAAATTCTGGATTAGAAATTATTTTCTTTAAGAATGTTGAACATTGGTCCCCAATCTCTTCCGGCTTCTATGGTTTCTGCTGAGAGGTCTGCTGTTAGTCTAATGGGCTTTCCTTGTGGGTTACCTGGCCTTTGTCTCTGGTTGCCCTTAACATTTTTCCCTTCATTTCAACCTTGGAGAATCTGATGATTATGTGCCTTACTGGGGTTCTATGGATTCCCTGAATTTGAATGTTTGCCTGTCTTGTTAGGTTGGAGAAGTTCTCCTGGATGATATCCTGAAGTATGTTTTCCAACTTGTTTACATTATCCCCATTTTAGGTACAGGTTCAGTCACAGGTTCAGTCTTTTTACATAATCTCATAGTTCTCAGAGGCTTTGTTGGTTTCTTTTCCTTCTTTTTCTCTAATCTTGTCTGCCTGTCTTATTTCAGCAAGATAGTCTTCAAGCTCTAAAATTCTTTCCTCTGCTTTATCTATTCAGTTATTGATACTCGTGTTGCATTGTGAAGTTCTCATGTTGTGTTTTTCAGCTCCTTCAGGTCATTTATATTCCTCTCTAAACTGGTTATTCTGGTTAACAGCTCCCGAAGTGTTTTATCATGATTCTTGGCAACTTTGCATTGGGTTAGAACGTGCTCCTTTAGCTCAGTGAAGTTCGCTATTACCCACCTTCTGAAGCTTACTTCTGTCAATTCATCCACCTCATCCTCTGCCCAGTTCTATGCCCTTGCTGGAGAGGTGTTGCAATCAAGTGGGGGAGAAGAGGCACTCTGGCTTTTTGAGTTTTTGGCATTTTTTTCATTGATTCTTTCTCATCTTGTGAGTTTATCTAGCTTCAATCTCTGAGGCTGCTGAACTTTGGATGGAGTTTACATAGGACTTTTGTTGATGCTGTTGTTGTTGCTTTCTGTTTGTTTTTCTTTTAACCCTGAGGCCTCTCTCTGTAGGGCTGCTGCAGTTTGGTGGGGGTCCACTCCAGACAATATTCACCTGGGTCCCTCCCACACCTGGATTGTCACCAGTGGAGGCTGCAGAACAGCAAAGATGGCTGCCTGCTCCTTCCTCTGGGATCTCTGTCCCAGAGGGGCACCTGCCTGATGCCAGCAGAAATACTGCTGTATAAGGTGTCTGGCAACCCCTGTTGGAGAGGGTTCTCACCCAGTCAGTAGGCATGGGATCTGGTACCCACTTAACAAAGCACTCTGGCTGCCCCTTGGCAGAGGGGGTGTGCTGTGCTGCGGGGAGTCCCACTTGTCTGGACTGCCCAGATTCCCCAGAGCCAGTAGAGAGAAAGACTAAGTCTGGGGATCCACGGAGACCATGGACACCACTCTTCCCAGGGGCTCAGTCCCAGGGAGATCAGAGTTCTGTCCCTAAACCCCTAGCTGGAGTTGCTGAAGTTCCTGCAGGGAGGCCCCATCCAGTAAGGAGGGATAGGTCAGGATCTGGCCTAAGGAGGAAGTCTGGCCACCATCTGCCACAGCCACTGTTCTGTGCTGTGAAGAATTCCTCCTGGGTCCAAACCATCCGGTCTCCCTGCAGTGGGATAATTTAGGAATCAGAGATACCAAGGGGCTGAGGAGGATACTTATTATTTATTATTTAGTACACCGGCCCAGTCAGATTAACATCCAAAAAGACTGAGCCCTGAACATAGAGTCTGGTTACCTTTTAAGCATTTTGTGGGGCAGGGGGAGATCTGTGTAGGGGGAAGCATATTACAGAAACAAGAAACAAAGACAGTTATTCAATTGAGACATACATTACATCATTTCTTATTTTTCAAGGAAGAACATGTTTTACAACTTGAGATTATCTGTTTAGTGACCTTGCAGCTGCACAGCTAGAGAAACAGAGTCTTCATAATGCCTTGGAAAGGGAGAGATAAGGCTCACTAGCCACAGAAAAACAGGCAGTTATTTTTTAAAGGACTTCGGCTCTTTCTCTTCCTCTGGGAGAATTGGGTTTTCTTACATACAACTGAGTTTTTGCTTAGACATTCTTTTATTTCTTTTAACTCCTGTTTCATCCCCAGCACTGGCAGGGGAAAGCCACAGACTGGAGCTGCAGTGATGGCAGCTGCCCCTCCCGCTGGGAGCTCAGTCTTAGGCAGCAGGCAGCCACAGTGATGGTGGCCTCCCCTCCCTCTGGGAGTTCAGGTGTCTTGGGCAGCAGGCAGCCACAGTGAAGATGGCTGCCCCTTTTCCTGGGGAACTCCATAGTCTTAGGCAGTCTCCAGCCAAGTGGCTGCTGAGAATCTGCACAGTTCCATGCTTGAGACCCAAGGCCTCAGTGGCATGAGCTCACAAGAGGGATCTCCTGATCTGCGGGTTACACACATCCATGGAAAGAGCATGGTTTCCTGGGCAGGGTAGCACCATCACTCACTGCCTCCTTTGGCTGGGGATAGGAGCTCCCCTTGCCCCATGTGGCTCCCAGGTGGGCCATCACACAACCCTGCTTTTCCTTGCTCTCTGTGGGTCATGCCAACTTCCTACAGTCCCAGTGAGAGAACCTGGATACCTCAGTAGCTGGTGCAGGATTCACTCACCATTTTCACTCTTCTCTGTGGGTGCCTCTGACCACAGCTGTTTCTAGTCAGCCATCTTGGCCTCTCCGCCAGTTACATGCATTTTAAAGAGAAGATAAACTACTACAAAGATATGCAGAAAAATATTACAAAAGAAAAATATTTTTACAAGACAAAATGCGATTTTTATATGTAAACACTGGCAATACAAAATTGTTTAAAAAGTGTAGCAGTTTTAAGTATGAAAATTCATATTAGGTATCAGGATGTGGAAGAGGAAGAGTAGAGAAGAGAACAAGTAGAGGTTTTCAGCAGGATAGAGAAAAAATAGGTGGCAAACAGTAAAACAAATAAAAGAAAGAAAATGAGAAGAGAACATAGGAAATTCTGGGGATTACAATATTCAAATGTTCCTTTAGGTATAAATCTTAGAATGTTCTCTGATCATGGCTCTTCAAATATTTTTTATCTTTAATCTTCAGAGGCTCCAGTTTAAATAGCAAGAGAGAGGCAGAACATGATTGCCTAATAGAAGGCTCCACTGATTGTGCCCCAACAAGGACACCAATTTAACAACCATCTACACCAAAAAAATCACCTTCATAAGAACAAAAAATCAGGTGACCATTCACAGTACCTCGTTTTAACTTCATATCACTAAAAGAAGCACTAGAAGAGGGCAGAAAAGACAGTCTTGAATCACCGATGCCATCCCTCTCCCATCCACTGGCAGCAGTGGATTCTATTTTTACTTGCCTCTCCACCCTCTGGAGTTCCACTTCAAGTGGGGGCATGAGTAAATGTGCATCTAACCTTTCCCCAAGTCTTTTTCATTCTCCTCATAATTTACCCACTAAGAAAAGTTCTTTTTTTTTCTCCAGCATGGACTTACCTTATCATAACTTTCTTCCTTGAGGCAGTAATCCTCAGAGTTTAGTTTTAAATAAGGAAAGAATATCCTTTCTACACTATGGAAGAAATGTTAACAATCTTGTCCTGGCTTGGCTCTAGAAATGATCATTGGAGCTAAAAGGATTTAGAAAATACTTTTTTTTTTTTTCATGACAAAGCTTAGCTTTCAAATTATGGCTTTGCCTCAACTACAAACAAATTTTACTTTGGATTTCAAAAGTTGTATCTTTCTCTTACAAAATTTCCATTGTAAAATTCCTAACCCAAGGCAAATGGATATCCTTGGCATGATGGGGGGTTCTTCATCATGAAAAAATGCAAAAGAGAAAGGCACAATGATGACATTTTTAAAATATTACCTTATTACATATACTTGTCATATTGTATTTCCCACAATACTGTGCTTTTTATAGAGAACATAACGAATGGAATCTTCTGACAGTAATACTATCTCCCATTTTTCCTTAACTATGGAAACCATTAGATATTCTAGTCGCTCATTTTCTTCTATTTTTTTAAATTTTCCCTACTCCACGTGGAACCTCAGCTGAACATCTCCCCTTTTGACTTGTGTGAATTTAGGCTTCCATATTTAACTATGGTTTATCCTTTAACATATCAGTACAGTTATAGGAAACTTCCAGTTAAGAAATTTATAGGAAGTAGAGTATCCCAGTATAAAGATCTTGCATTCTGGAACTCTCAGGATTTTTTCTTAAATCATTAACTCTCTTTTGCTTTTCTCTCTTAAAGGCAGTAATGTAGAATACATTATTAGATTTATAAAAATATACATCCATTCAAAATCATGTACATAGAAAGTGTCTTTAAACAATTACATTATGAGACGAGCATCATAATATGAATGTGTTTAATGTGTGCCTTTGTTAGGCTACAGGTAAGAATAGGATAAGAAAACAAAGCAAGGTTGACATGTATAATACCTTTGGGTTTTTCCCTAACTAGGATCTCAAGTTTCTTGGATGTGTTTTTTAAGGAGTTCTCTTGTGTTGAAATCGTTTATGACTTACCGTCCAATCAGAAATAGCTAAAGGACACATTGTTCCTCTCATTTTCTCACAGCACAACTATGATATACACAATCAAATCCTGAGGAAAGTTGAACTTCATAGACACAATGGTATCTTTACTTATATATGAAAATAGTTTAATGATTTTCAACCTTAAATTTCCAATTATGAAAGCATAACAATCTAGATAAAAAACTACTGATTTTCTATCATGTGCCATATGCCTAATCATATTATGTCTAATCCACAGAAGAGTACTTGAGGTATTATTATCCCCCTTTAATGTATGAAGAAACCAATACTCAGAGAGGTTAATGACCAAATTATAAGTCACACAGCTTGTAAGGAGTAGGGCCAAGATTTTAGTTTGCAGAGATTGACTTTTTCTACTATACTATGTCAGCTATAATCTAGGGGTAAATGTTGATATATGTCGGTCTCTTCTCTGTACTAAAGTTTTCTGCATGCCTCCTCTCCAAAATTTAAGCAAAGGCTGTGAATTAACAGTAACTGCCAATATCTCTCACCTCTTTCTCTAATTCCACAAGTGTAAGGGCTGTTGAATCCCAGACAATGGATATGAGGCCTCTTGGGATCTATATGGCTGACTTCCTGACAGAGTTAACTCATTCTTGGCATCACCACCTTTTACTGAAAGGTGATTTTTAAAAATTAGAAAAGAGATGGTATCACAGAGAGATGGGATTAAGAAAGAGTCAGTGTAGAAGCCCAAATGTCAAATATCTATTGAGCGATTTAAAAGGAAATACAACCAAGATAAATAGACAGCAGAAGCCAGACATAATCCCTGATACTACAAAAAAGCTAAGCCCTCAGCTAAAAAGAAACCAATGAAAATAGTAAGCAAAGAAGCAAGCAGCAGACGAATGGATGATTCAGCTAAGGCTAATTTATCTCTCAAAAAAAATGTCCTTTGTCAGTATAAGAACTGATACCAGAGCATTTTCACAAAGACTACCTGTGATTCAACACAGCAAAGGAAAGACCATGACTCATGACTCACGCAGTAACTGGAGAGACACATCCCAGATGTGAGGGGACAAGAACAGGATATGTTACTCTGATTCAAACTATTTTACCTTACCTCCTTAGTATAATTTTTTAGTTCTGCTTTCTCACTCCTTTAAAAAAATATTATAGACAACAGGAATGGAGACAATGGGCCATTATGACAGTAAGAAGGGGGATGTGTGATAGAAAAGAGAAGATATGTTTCTGCATGTGTGGCTGTGTGTGTGTGTGCGTGTGTGTGCATGTGCGTGCGTGCAATAGAACAAGAACTTGGGAGGGGAGCAAAAATTACACGCTTGAGTGTTTTAAGCATTTTGTTTTGTGGCGGAATATTGAGATATCAATGTCTAAGTCTATGGCATTGTTTATGGTAATGGTTTCATGGGTGTATACTTATCTCCAAACTCATCAAGGTGCACACATTAAATACATACAGCTTTTTTGTATGTCAATTATACCTCAATTAAAAAAAAGATTTGAAAAGAATTCCTTTATTTGTTACATATAGATCAGGCTAGAAATAGGGACAGGGGAAATTGGCATTAATCTGCCAACAGAGATAAAAAGTAGAGTCACCGGATACAATACAAGATGCCCAACTGAATTTGAATTTCAGATGAAAATAAGTTTTGTAGTGTATGGTACATGCAATATTTGACATACTCCTATACCCCAGAACTGTACTGCCCAGGTCTTAAGGTTGCCACTTATTTTCTAAGACAAGCAATATTTAGGACATATTTATTATAAAAATTATTATTGTTTACTAAAATTCAAATTTAACTGGGTGTCTTGTATTTTTATTATAAAATCTGGCAACTTTATTCCAAAGTACATGATTGATCTATGTATATATTTTTCTAAATTTATATTATCATGGGTCTCAGCATGTGTGTGTGTGTGTGTGTGTGTGTGTGTGTGTGTGTGTGTCCATGTGTATGGGGGTGATGAGGGTAGAAGAGAGACAGAGAAAGAGAGAGAGAGGGAAAATTTAGATGACTTTGGATGAGGGATAAGAAATATTATATTCTTCACATTACTAAAATACTTTTATTGTATTAGTATATACAAAATTGTACAAAATTTAGAAAATAAATAAGAATATAAAGTTTTAATATTCATAATCCCATCACCTGGAGATAATCACTCTTAAAATTTTGGGTTTTCTTAACTCTTCACTCCTCATATCCACAAATACAAAACTGTTATGAAATGTTAAGAGCTACATAAATGCTAACATTGATTGCAGACTTAATATATGCCAGGCAATTTACTAAGAGCTTTATGTGGACTAATTCATTATAATCTCAGTGAGAACCCCCTATTCTTGTTACTACTGTTTTACCAATGGGAGAACAATGAATAAGGCACAAAGAAATTAAGCAATATTCCCCAAATTACTCGGTAAATAAGTGTTCCAGCTGGGATTCAAATCTGAGAGGTAGTGCTCTGGAGTGTGGGCTGAAAGACCTTGCCCAAGCTATAATTGAGAGACTGAACTTTATTCAGAGCCATTCACTCATTCATTCATTCCTTCATTCATTCATGACAACATTTAATCTACTAACAATGTGAAAACCACGGACCCCCTTTTTTTTTTTGGCTTTGGAACTAGGAACAAGATATTTCCCACAGAAAAATTAAGCTACTTCTTCAATAGAATGAATAAGTCATTAGCAGTTCCTGTGACTGATCGGAAGTTTAAGAAAACTTTTAGAAGTGAATTTTTCCATATGGCAGAGAATCACAACTGAATTAGATATATTTGGATTTAATTTTCAGCTCTTCTGTTTATTAGTTATATAACATTGTGGAGGTGATATTTCAACCTTAATTTGCAAATTTTTTGATAGAGAAAATAAGAATACTTATCCCAGGGATGGCTTCAGGAAAGTGCAACTTGTGTAGTCTTATAAAGCATCACCCACTAGAATGGCCCTTGCTAGATTTGAAGTTTTATTCTTGCCATATTTAAATTCTTAACAATTTTATATTTGAATGTGCATTTGAGTAGAGGCAACACAATACTCATGGATGACAGCATGAACATGCCACTTAGTCAAGCTGTCAGGTCCTGGGCCTGATGGACAGCACAGGCAGAGAGCAGTGGGTCTGGTTGTCTGGTATGCACGTTCAAGGTGCTGCAGACCTGAGTGGGCTGCCAGGGTGGGAATCGGATCCACACTGGTAAAAACAATGGTGCTAACAGCAACAGAGATAGCAACAAGAATGGCAGTAGCCCTGAGAAATAAGGGCTTCCACATGGAGGCAGAACTGAGATCACTGATCGAAAACCAGCTTGTCTGTCTATCCCCAGAGCAGTCCCTGCAGTGTTTTCACAAATATTAACTCTCCAACGTGAGCACTGACATAAGGGCTGCCACCATAAGGAAATAAACTTTGCCAGTAAATTATTACAAAATAAAAGCATACACATACACACTGTGATAATGAAGCATATCAGGGATTATATCCTTCAAAATGTGTAGGATCTCTAGTTTTATGGATGCATCATATTCCAAGGTGTATATGTACTATATTTTCTTTATCCAGTCTACCACTGAAGGGGATCTAGGTTGATTTCATGTTTTTTTCATATCAGGGAATTATTATATCCTTCAAAAAGTGTAGGATCTCTAGTTTTTAAAAACTGCTGCAGAATTGCAAAGCAAATATCCACAGGCTTAGAAATGGGAATTGAATTTAATAATTATCACATTTGGTGTTGTTTCCTACTTTTATTTTAGGTTCAGGGACTACATGTGCAGGTTTGTTACGCAGGAAAATTGTGTCACTGAGGCTTGGTGTATGAATGATCCCATCAACAAGGTAGTGAGCACAGTACCTAATAGGTAGCCTTCCAACCTATACTTCTCTCCTTCCCTATCCCCCAGTAGTCCACAGTGGCCACTGTTCCCATGTTTATGTCCATGTGTGCTCAATGTTTTGTTCCTACTTATCAGTGAGAACTTGTGGTATTTGGTTTTCTGTACCTGTGTGAGCTTCCTTAGGATAATAGCCTCCAGCTGCATCCATGTTGCCACAAGGACATGAAAAAGAGTGATCATAAAAAAGAATGATTTTTTTATGGATGTATCATATTTCATGGTGTATATGTACTACATTTTCTTTATCCAGTGCACCACTGATGGGCATCTAGATTGATTTCATGTTTTTGCTACTGTGAATAGCACTGCAGTGAACATGCAAGTGCATGTGTCTTTTTGATAGGATGATTTATTTTCCTTTGGGTATATACCCAATAGTGAAACTGCTGGGATGAATAATAGTTTTAAGTTATTTGAGAAATTACACTGCTTTCCACAGTGGCTGAACCTGAACTCTACATTCCAACGAGCTGTGTATAAGAGTTCCCTTTTCTCTGCACCCTTGCCAGAATCTGTTGTTTTTTGACTTTTTAAAAATACTCATTCTGACTGCTATGGGATGTTATCTCATTGTGGTTTTGATTTGCATTTCCCTAATGATTAGTGATAATGAGCATGTTTTCATATATTTGTTGGGCACTTGTATGTCTTCTTTTGAGAAGTGTCTGTTCATGTTCTTTTCTCACTTTTTAATGAGGTTATTTGTTTGTTGCTTGTTGAGTTGTTTAAGAGATTCTGAATATTAGACCTTTGTCAGATGCATAGTTTGCAAATATATTCTCCCATTCCATAGGTTGTCTCTTCATTTGGTTGATGATTTATTTTGCCGTGCAGACACTCTTTAGTTTAATTAGGTCTCACTTGTCAATTTTTGTTTTTATTGCAATTGCATTTGAGGACTTAGTCATAAATTTTTTGCTAAGGCCAATGTCAAAAATGGTATATCTTAAGTTTTCTTCTAGAATTTTTATTGCTTTACATCTTACATTTAAGTCTTTAAAGCATCTTGAAAAGATTTTTGTATATGGTGAAAAGAAGGGGTCCAGTTTCAATATTCTGCATACAATTAGCCAGTTATCCCAGCACCATTTATCAAACAAAGAGTCCTTTCCCCACTGTTTGTTATTGTTAACTTTATTGAGTATCAGGTGGTTCTAGGTGTTTGGCTTATGTCTAGGTTGTCTATCCTGTTCCCCTGGTCTATTTGTCTGTTTTTGTACCAGAACAAATGCTGTTTTGGTTACTGTAGTATTACAGTATACTTTAAAGTCCGGTAGTGTGATGCCTCCAGTTTTGTTCTTTTTGCTTAGTATTGCTTTGGCGATTTGGGCACTTTTTTGGTTCCATATAAATTTTAGAATCATTTTTTTCTAATTGTGTGAGGAATGTCATTGGTTGGTTGATTGTGATATGGCCCCAATGACTGGAGGAACACCAGGGTCCTTTATCTCGTGCTGGTTTGAATAAAACAATACAGACACACGTGGAGTGGTTTTAAGGGGCATATAATAGGCAAGAAAGAAGGAAGAGGCTCCCAGGTACAGAGACAGAGGGAGGGGGCCTCCAACCCAAAAGAGGAAACCCCAAGTCTGGCTGAAAACAGCCAGTTATATGAGAAGGCAATGTCTGATTTGCATAGGACCCAGGGGATTGGTTTGACCAGGTATGTCATTCAAGTAGCCCGCAAAAAAAACTGGCCCCCTACCCTGGCCTTTTAGTATGCAAGTGCAGGTGCCATGATGTTCTACATAAGTGGGCATATGTGGGGGCGGCCATGTTGCCAGGCACATGTGGGGACCTGAAGAATTGGTGGGAATCGCCATGTTTGGGTGGACCCAGTTTCTAACAGCTGGCATTTGCATATGGAAGCTTGCTGGCCCAGCCAGGGCTTTTCTGCTATATAAGAAAAGTTTCTGGAACTGCTTTAAAAAAAACAAAACAAAACAAAAAAACTTCCCAAGGACTCCTTTTCCTATCTTCCTAAAATAATTTCTTAATAACTCCTATAACAACTGGAATAACATTAAATCTGTAAATTGCTTTGAGCAGTATGGCCATTTTAACAATATTGATTCCTCCTATCCATGAGCATGGAATGTTTTTTATTGTTTGTGTTGTCTCTGACTTTTTTCAGCCATGTTTTGTAATTCCCATTGCAGAGATCCTTTACCTCCTTGATAAGCTGTATTCTTTGGTATTTTACACTTTTTGTGGCCATTGTAAATGAAATTACATTTGTGATTTGGCTCTGAGCTTGGATGTTATTGGTGTATAGAAATGCCAACTTTTCTATGTTGATTTTGTATCCTGAAACTTTACTGAAGTCATTTTTCACTTCTAGAAGCCTTCTGGCAGAGACTATAGGATTTTCTAGGTACAGAATCATACTTTCTGCAAACAATAGATAGTTTGACTTCCTATTTGGATGCCTTTTATTTCCTTCTCTTCCCTAATTGCTCTGCATAGGACTTTCAGTACTATGTTGAATAGGAATGGCAAGAGTGAATTTACCTGTCTTATTCAAATTCTCAAGAGAAATGCTTCCAGTTCTTGCCCATTCAATATGATGTTGGCTGTTGGTTTGTCATAGATGGCTCTTACTTTGAAGTACCTTTGATGCCTAATTTGTTGAGGATTTTTAACAGGAAGGGATATTGAATTTTGTCAGAGACTTTTTCTGTGTCTATTGGATGATCATGTCATTTTATTGTTAATTCTGTTTATGTAGTGAATGACATTTATTGATTTGCTTATGTTTAACCAACCTTGCATCCCAGAAATAAAGCCCATCTCAATATAGTGAATTAACTTTTTTATGTGTTGCTGGATTCAGTTTGCTGGTATTTTGTTGATGATTTTTGCTGCTATGTTCTCAGAGATATTGGTCTAAAGTTATCATTTTTCACTGTATCTCTGCCAGGCTTTGGTGTCAGAATAATACTGACTTTGTAGAATGAGTTAGGGAGGAGTCCCTCCTCCTAGATTTTTGAAATAATTTCAGTAGGAATGAGACCAGTTCTTTATACATCTGGTAGAATTTGGCTATAAATCCATCTGGTCCAGGACTTTTTTTAGTTGGTAGGCTTTTTATTACCAAGTCCATTTCAGAATTTGTTACTGGTGTGCTCAAGATTTTAATTTCTTCCTGGTTCAGTCTTCAGAGGCTTGTGTTTCTAGGAATGTATCCATTTCTTCTAGGTTTTCTAGTTTGTGTGCACAGAGGTGTTCACCATAGTCTCTCAGGATTTTTTGTATTTCTGCGGAGTTGGTTGTCATATCACCTTTGTCATTTCTAATTGTGTTTATTTGGATCTTCTTTTTTTTTTTTTTTACTAGTATAGCTAGCAGTATATCAATCTTGTTTAATCTTTCGAACAACAAACTTTTGGCTTCATTTGTCTTTTGTATGGATTTTTGCATCCCAGTTTCATTCCATTCAGCTCTGATTTCAGTTATTTCTTTTCTTCTGATTGCTTTGGGGTTGGTTTGCTCTTGTTTTTCTAGTTCCTCTAGGTGTGACATTAGAATGTTAATTTGAGATTTTACTAACTTGTTGATGTAGGCATTCAGCACTATAAACTTTCATCTTAAAACTGCTTTATCTGTGTGATTTTGGTATATTGTGTCTCTGTTTTCATTAGGTTCAAATAATTTTTTTTATTTCTGCCCAAATTTCATTCTTTACTCTAAAGTCATTTAAGAGCACATTGTTTAACTTCCATTCCATTGTATGGCTTTGATAGATCTTCTTGGCATAATTTCTAATTTTTTGCCCTACAATGAGAGTGTGGTAGGTATGATTTCTATTTATGTTTAATTTGTTGAGATGAGCTTTATGGCCAAGCATGTAGTTGATCTTAGACTATGTGCCATGTGCAGATGAGAAAAATGCATATTCTGTTATCACTGGGTGGAGTATTCCTTAGATATTTATGAGGTCTAATCGGTCAAGTGTCAAGTTTAAGACCATGATATCTGCTAGTTCTCAGCCTCAGTGATTAATCTAATCACTAGCAGAGGAGAGTTGAAGGCCCCCAGTATTATTATGTGGTTGTCTAAATCTCTTCATAGATATCTAAAAACTTGCTTTATGAATCCACATGCTCCAATGTTGGGTATATACATATTTAAAATAGTTAAGTCTTCTTGCTATATTCAGCCATTATCATCATGTAACACCCTTTTTTGTCCGTTTTGATCATTGTTAGTTTAAAGTCTCTTTGAACTGATACAAGCATAACTACTTCTGCTGTTTTTAGTTTTCCATTTGCCTGAATAGATCTTTCTCCAGCTCTTTGTTTTGAGCTTATGGATGTCATTACTCTTAAGATGGCTCTATTGAAGTCAGTTGGGTCTTAATTCTTAATCTCACTTCCCACTCTATGCCTTTTAAGTGGGGCACTTAGCCTATTTACATTCAGGGTCAATATTTCATTGTACTATTAGCTGATTGTTATGTAGATTTGGTTGTATAGCTGCTTTATAATGTCTATGGGGTATGTGCTTAAGTGTGTTTTTGTGGTGGCAGGTATCATTCTTGAATTTCCATGTTTAGTGCTCCCTATAGGCACTTTTGTAAGACGGACCTTACGTATCTGGTAAGAAATTCACTAAGCCTTTGTCTGAAAAGGATTTCATTTCTCCTTCGCTTCTGAAGTTTAGTTCAGCAGGGTATGAAATTCTTAGTTGGAATTTCTTTTATTAAAGGATAATAAAGCTTGGCCCCCAATCTCTTCTGGCTTGTATGGTTTCTGCTGAAAGGTCTACTGTTAAGTCCAATAACATTCCCTTTTCAAGTGACCTACTCCTTCTCTCTAGCTGCCTTTAATATTTTTTTCTTTCATGTTGACCTTGAAGAATATAATGACTGTGTGTCATGGGGATGTTCATCTTGCATTAGTATCTCACAGGAGTTCTCTGAATTTCCTGAATTTGCATGTTGACCTCCCTAGTGAGATTGGGAAAATTTTCGTGGACTATATGCTCAAATATGTTTTCTAAGTTGCTTGCTCTCTCTCTCCTCTTTCTGGCATGTCAACAATTCGTGGGTTTGGTCTCTTTACAAAAATCCCTTTTTTTTTTCAGAGGTTTTGTTCAGTTCTAAAAAATCTTTTTTCTTTATTTTTGTCTCCCCATGTTGCTTTAAAGTGGTGATTTTTAAGTTCTGAGATCTTATCTCAGCTTGGTCTATTCTGTTGTTAATGATTCCAATTGTATTCTGAAATTCCTGTAGTGAATTTTTCACTTCCAGAAGTTCAGTTGGGTTCTTTCTTAAAATTGTTACGCTGTCTTTCAACTCTTGGATCATTTTAATGGTTTTCTTTGGATTGTGTTTCAACCTTCTCTTGTATCTCAATGAGCTTCCTTGCCATCCTGATTCTGAATTCTATGTCTAACATCTCAACCATTTCAATCTGATTAGGATGCATTGCTAGGGAGCTACTGTGATCATTTGGAGATAAGAAGACCTTCTGGATTTTAGAGGTACCAGAGTTTTTGTGCTGTTTCTTTCTCATGGTTGAAGGCTGAGGTTCCTTTTTCCTTTGAAGTTGTTGTCCTCTGGATAGGGCTTTTTATTTTTAATGATTTTTATTGCCTTTGAGGTTTTAACAGTGGTGCCAGTTGGATATAGTTGAGTATCTCCATTTCTGGATGCTTTTAAGGGCAAGGCTGAGCTCTGCACTCATGGACTGTGTATTCTAATCCCGGGGGACTGGGACTGGATCTGTGACTTTGTCCTCTGGTCCCTTGAGGTCAAGCCCTGGCTGGATGGAGGGGCTAAGGTGCTGTCAGACAGCTGAGAACAGCACTCCACAGGGGATGGTGGGGAGCACCAGAGGCAGAAGGTACCCCTTCCTTAGGAACTGTTCAGGGCCTAGAACATGTCCTAGTCCTAGTGCTCAACAACCCCATGAAGGGTTCTCAGCTTCCTCCTCATTCAGTCTGGCATCTTGGTCAACTCTCTAATATCTCTCAGTGTATTCTCTCAGATGGTCTTTTCAGAGTATTCCAGTTTACTCAATATTTTGGTCTGTCTGGGTTAGAGAAGTTCTTCCTAACTATCTCTAGTCAGCCATCTTAGCATCCTCCCCCATGATCACATTTAATGGAAAAGAACACTATTTTCATATGAGGCTTTGGATGAACCAATTATTAAGGAGAAATAATTTCAAATTTAATTTTTTTCTTGTACAGGTACTTTATATACAAATCATGAGGCCTCTTTCAATTTCTTATATTATTTCCATAAGTTTCAGGAAATGTCAGAAGAAACATTAAAATGCCACTGTATAAATATATATGTAAAATTGATTTCAGACTAACAAAAAACTGATTTATATGAAGAGTTATATGTTTTTAGAAAAATTTTTCTGTAAAAATCATGAGCTATAGATGTACTAAAACTTAAGTTTTGAAAAATTCATCATTAATTTATCCCAATCTTGTCAGATTCTATAAAACACACTTAACAGTTCCAGTATTAGTTGTCATAAAAGTTGTATTTAAATTTTGACCCAGGGGTGAATTAGGTGAGGAGGTCTTATCTCAGCCCCTCATCACAGAACACTGCTGCCAACTGAGCAAAATACAAAAGACTTATCCAGTAGGTGGCACTTGGAAGTGTTAGCCATCTATGTGCTGGCTAACACTCTCAAGTGCTACCTATTGGATCACAGCCCAAAATACACCATCAAAATATACTGCCAGAACCTGTGAAAACTAAGGCAAAGGCTACCTGCCTCCAGCACCCTATTCCAGCTAATGCACATGCACCCTGCTATGATACTGTGGCTACTGGCACACATGAGCGAGCATGGATTCCACTCCCACTGCCATAAGAAGCACTTTGGCCAGCGCCTCCCATCAGATTATTGTGGTCAGCCGCCAAGGAATGTCTCAGCCCCTCCAGCACAGCAGGTTCCAAATATTGAGGAGCCAGAGAACAAAGCCAGGGGCTGGGTACCAGAGCCCCAGAGTTAGAATATGCAGCCCAGGAGTGCTGAGTCGAGCACCTGGCACCCTAAAATCTTCCAGGAATCAAAGCCAGTCTATAGAACCCACCTTATACCATAATCAAAACCCCAAGGGCATAAAAGAAGATAAAAGCAAAAAGGAAATCAACTTCAAAGACTGATGGAACATCACCCCACACAGATGAGAAAGAACCAGCACAAGAATGCTAGCAACTCAAAAAGCCAGAGTATCCTCTTGTCTCCAAATGACTGCACTAGTTCCCCAGCAATTTTTCTTAACCAGGCTGAAATGGCTAAAATCTCAGACATATGACTCAGAATATGGATAGTAATGAAGATCATTAAGATTCAGGAGAAAATGAAAACCTAATCCAAGGAATCTGAGGAAACAGGACCTACTACAAGGCAACAGTAACCAAAACAGCAGGGTACTGGTACAAAAACAGACACATAGACCAATGGAACAGAATGCAGAGCCCTGAAATAAAGTGGCACACCTGCAACCATCTGATAATCACCAAAGTCAACAAAAACAAGCAATAAGGAAAAGACCTGCTATTCAATAAATGGTGCTGGGATAACTGGCTAGTCATATCCAGAAGATTGAAACTGGACCCTTTTCTTACACCATATACACAAATTTAGTTGAGACGGATTAAAGACTTAAATGTAAAACCTGAAACTATGAAAATCCTTGAAAGAAAACCTAGGAAATACCATTCTGGACATAGGCCCTGGCAAATATTTCATGACAAAGATGCCAAAAGCAACTGCAACAATAACAAAAATTGACAAATTGGACTTAATTAAACTAAAGAGTTTCTGCACAGCAAAAGAAGCTACCAATAGAGTAAACAGACAACCCACAGAATAGGGTAAAATATTTGCCATCTATGCATCTGAAAAAGGTCTTATATCCAGAATCATAAGGAACTTAAATTTACAAGCAACACCATTAAAAAGTGGGCAAAGTACATGAACACTTTTCAAAAGACATACACGTGACCAGCAGGCATATGAAAAAACACTCAACATCACTAATCATTAGAGAAATGCAAATCAAAACCACAATGGGATAACAGCTCATATCAATCAGAATGGCTTTCTTTAAAGTCAAAAAATAACAATGTTGGCAAGGTTGCAGAAAAAGGAAACATTTATACACTGCTAGTGGGAATGTAAGTTAGTTCAGTCATTGTGGAAAGCAGTTTTGTGATTTTTCAAAGAACTTAAAATTACCATTCAACCCCACAATCCCAGTATTGGGTATATACCCCAAAGAATATGAATCCTTCTACCAGAAAGAAACATTTACTTGCATGTTCATCACAGCACTATTCACAATAGCAAAGACATGAATTCAGTGTAGATGCCCATCAATGGTAGACTGGATACAGAAAATGTGGTACATATACACCATGGAATACTATACAGCTGTAAAAAAGAACTAGATCATGTCTTTTGCAGCAACATGGATGCAGCTGGAGGCCATTATCCTAAGCAAACTAACGCAGGTACAGAAAACCAAATACCATATGTTCTCACTTGTAAATGGGAGCTAAATATTGAGTACACATGGACACAAAGAAAGGAACAACAGACACTGGGGCCTACTTGAGGGTGCAGGGTGGGAGGAAGGGGAGGATCAAAAAAACTACCTATCAGGTAGTATGCTTATCATCTAGGTTAGGAAATAATCTGTACACCAAACCCCCACGACATGCACTTTACTTATATAAGAAACTTGCTGCCCAGTGCAGTGGCTCATACCTGTAATCCCAGCACTTTGGAAGGCCAAGGCGGATGGATCACAAGGTCAGGAGATCAAGACCATCCTGGCCAACATGGTGAAACCCTGTCTCTACTAAAAACACAAAAATTAGCCGGGCATGGTGGTGTGCACCTGTAGTCCCAGCTACTCAGGAGGCTGAGGCAGGGGGAATAGCTTAAATCTGGAAGGCAGAGGTTGCAGTGAGCCGAGATCATGCCATTGCACTCCAGCCTGGGTGACAGAGCGAGACTTCATCTCAAAAAAAAAAAAAAAAAAAGGAAAGAAACTTGCACGTGTATCCCTGAAACTAAAAGTTAAACAGTAAAATAAAATAATGGAATTGGAACACACACAACAACAACAAAATAAAATACATTTTGAAAAAGTAATCAAGCTTTCTGTAATCAATGTATTAGACTTGAAATCATCATACTCATCAGTACAAACTCAGCTTAATAGAGACACAGATTGTTACCATGGTCAAATCTGGAACAATTTGAACAATAAAATTAGTAAACTAGTATTGGATTTTAATCTAAAGTATAAAATAAGTATCCAAGAGTCCACAGTGGTATAAGTATATGATTAAATAAATAAATGAGAGAGAAGAGACAAATATCCCATGCAGAAAAATTCCAAATAATGTATGTAGATATTCCACCCTCAATGAGGTGGGTCATAACTCCCCACTCCTTACGTGTCATCTCTAAACAGTGATTTCCTTCCAAACAGTACAAATGGAAAGTGGGGAAATGTAACTTTACGGTGGAGAATCCTGAAAAACACTACCTAAGCTAGATGATCAAAGTAATATCAACAGAGATAAGTTATACTGACAGTATAAACCACCGACACAATATGATTAAAATGGCACTTTACCTCTGTGATCTTCTCCCAAAAACCCGTAACTCCAAATCTAATTATGGGACTAACATCAGAGAAATCCTAATTGAGGAGCGTTCTATAAAATACTTGACAAGTACTTCTCAAAACCGTTAAGATCATCAAAAGCAAAGAAAATCTGAGAAACTATTACAGCTAAAAGGATCCTAAGGAGACATGATGGCTAAATGTAATGTAGTATCCAAAATGGGATCCTGGCACAGAAAGGGGCCATTGGATAAAAACTAAGGAAATAGGAATTAAGTATGGGCTTTCATAATAATAATGTACCAATATCACTTCATTAATTGTAACAAATGTACCACACTTTAGATAGCAGCAACAGGGGAAACTGTGAAATATATAGAAACTTTCCCTACCATCTTAACTTTTTTGTAAATCTAAAACTGTTTTAAAATGAATAGTTCATCTTTATAAAAAGTAAAAAACAAACTGATCTTACCAAGAGCAACTGGCATTAATTTCAATTATATCAACTGAAGTTTAAAAAGTATAAATTTTGATAAACTAACAAATGAGTTTCCAGAAAAGCAGGAAAAAAATTTATGAGAAATCAAGATTACACATTATAAAGTATTATTTCTTTTATGACCTAAAATTAGAACACCAAAAATTGTATTTTTGTAATTTATTAGTTTATATTGTTACCCACATACCATTTTCATCCCTATTATGTTTTATAATATAATAGCTTTTTAAAATTAAAAGCTTAAGGAGCATTGCATTTTCATTTTTCACTACTACCTGAAAATTATTATTTAGCCCCCAGTCAGTTGCAGAGATGTATGCCTATAGTCCCAGCTTCTTGGGAGGCTGAGATGATACGATTCTTGAGCCCAGGAGTTGAAGTCTTGCCTGGGCAACATAAAAAGAACCTGTCCCTTTAATATAATAATAAATAGATAAATAAGATCATCAATGTTATACTTACCTCACCACCACATAGGAAACTGCTTAATAAATGCTACGTATTATTAGTGAGCTACAGTTAGTACCCAGTTACTGATTCTCAAGAATTATTCTTCATAGAATGTATTTAACACCTCAGTTCAATTTTCAACTACTTCATACAAAATCACTTTATACCTAACTGGTGTTACATAGCTGATGGAAGAGATCTGCATACATATTTGCATGTGAAATTAAATATCTGAGAAAAATGAGTGAAGAAGTAGGATTTAAGAGTAGTTTCTGATTTAAATTTGCTGATTTCCAATTATTGCACTGGACACTTTTTAATACATTTCCTTAATTTTTACAAATGCTGTGAAGTACGCACTTTATTCCCATTAAACTGGAGAGCAAACTGAGATCAGGGAGCTTGAATAAACTTCTCAGGTCACAGGATCACAACATGAGTAACAGGATTGAGATTGAAACCCAGTTTTTATTACTTCCAAGTAGTTTTCATTACCTCACAGTGCCTCTTATTTATCATAGTGCAGGCAGGTACTATTTACTAGCTTTGTCAAAATTTCCTTATTTTGGTGAATACTGTAAAATGGTTGGATATCTCTAAAGAACTTATTTTAAACAGGTCAGAATTAAGAATGACTCATTCTCATGCATCTTTTACAAGCTCAATTTCCAGAAATAGTTCTTCTTTACAACTACAATCTGTTATCATGATCTCACTCTTTCAGCTCTGTTGGGTTACTGGCTAAACCTAGTTTTGGAATTACTTGGATTCTAGATTGTAGTTTTCTCTAGAATCCTCCTGATGATACTTCAGAAGACTGTCCGGCATCTACCACATTAGGGTATACCATAGAAAAGGGCTTTCAGACTTTGTTGGAGCAAAGTTTGTTGATGCTTTCATGTTGGGGTCATGTTTTCATGGTACTACACCTGCTTGGCCAGCCAGTTCCATTGAGGTGCCTGTTCCCAGTCCCTCCGGGGGTTCTCAAACAAAATCTGACAGCATATTCCCTCACTCTTTACTCTGCATTTCTTGCTTCCCACGTGGAGTTTTTCCATCACCTCTGAGACACTGTGGAGGTGCACTGATTTGCCCAGTTGTGTTTGTGAGGTTGCAAATTATACATGGACAGTGGCAAGTGTCACTGACTTGCTTCCACTCACTAGCTTACTCCATGCAGTGTGGCTGCCACTGTGGATGTTGTCACTGCTGTTTTGTGATCTAGCCTCCTCATAGCTGCTAGAGGGCCAGGTGGTACAACCTAAAACTGTGTCACAGTCGATGTGTCATGGGAGGAATTTTTTTCCAATGGCAGATACAAGAAGGTGAATTCTTCTCCCTTCCTCTCCCTAGACAAATCATTCAGAAACACAGTGGCTCATATAGACTCTCCAAAGATATCCCACTAGCTTGATATAAAACTCTAGCCCAATTGGTAACGTACCCCTTACATTTGCTTTCCATCCTCATCCCTTCTTTCTCTATTGATCCCTTTCCCTCAGTCCTTCTTCCCTAGAATTGCATATCCCTAGAATTGCCTTGGGCTCTATTTTCTAAAAAAATCCACACTAAAAACAGTTTGCCATCCTATGATCACTACCATTATTCAATAGCTAATCAAACCATTTAGGGGTTTATTTACAGTTATTTGATTGAGAGACGAAAGAGGAACAGAAAAGAGAACCTTATTTACTAGGCTCCAAGAAGGTAGAGGAGGTTGCCCCACTTGGAGAACTGTGCCAAATTTCCTGACTCCAACTGCTATACTTCGTAGGTAACAGATGGCATAGTGGGTGGAAGGGAGTTACACATGCAACTATTCAAATCTCTAGCACTGAAAATATCTTGATTGCAAGAGGTGACGCTTAGGAAATTTTAGAGACAGACATGTCAGAAATAATTCTGATGTAGCAATAGCAGAATATATAAGCAGGTTATCCTATAGGTAATTGTTTGCTTGCACACTATTGAGATTTATATTGATGCATAGTATGCATTCTTCACCAAATATCCAGAGCAAACGTGCTAATGTATTGTGTTTAAAGAACTGCAGCCAGATTTGGGGAAAGAAAAGAACACAACAGGACCACTATTTCTACTCTCTCAAGGGAAGAGAATGAAGTGAAAACAACTCTATCTAATTTGGGGGCCATGAACATTTGCCCTACAATCAGTGGCAATCTAACCGATTTGGTTCTGCAGATGTCGGAATAAAGGGCAAGGAACCCAATAAACATGATAATGTAACATTGACAGTAAAAATAGAGATGTCCAGACAGAACACTGTACAGTGAATACTTTAGATCACACTAATGTCTTATCGAATGTTAAATATATCTTTTGTTGACCTAATTAACATATGAAACAGATTTTGTTTCGATTACACATTAAGTAATCTCATGACGTGTTCTTTTGTGGAGGTTGAGGTTGTATGAGTTCAACATGTGTTGGTAGTGGATGAGTGGGCATCCAAGTGGCAACATGCACTACCTAATTTAAAATAATACATTAGAGGTTTAACTTGATTGGGGTTACGGGAAGCTTTGACTAATGTCTTACCATTTGAGCAACGAAATGAATATTTATGTCTTGTACTTGTATCTCAAAAGCAATGTTCTTTAACGTGTTTAAGTTGCAGCCCTTTAGAAAAAAGATTTTCATTTCCCTCTTAGGTATCTCATAGTAATAGGGCCAATTTCTATGGCAACTCATTTATTAATAAGAAGTTATTATTTCGGGCAAAGACTCAATGATGACTATAAAGAAGGAGAAAAGAGTCTTCTGATGCTACTTTAATTTGAATTTTTACTGAGAAGATGAAAAGGGCTGCATATAACATTAATTAGTTGGCCTTGTAGTACGCATTTGAAACTACTATTTTGTGAATCTGTTTATTTATTTAGCAAATATTTACTGAAGGTGCACCATGTGTAGGCAGTGTTCTAGATGCTGGAGTGACGGTGGTGATATAACAAAGTCCTTGCCTTCATGGTCATTTATATTCAAAGAGAAGAGATAGGTAGTAAACAAGTAGATACATAATACAATGCCAGGTTGCGTTTGGTGCTGTGAAGGAAACTGAAACAGAATAAGGGACTGGAGAATGAAAAAGACCTGGAGACTATATTAGATAGTAAAGCCAGAGAAAACCTCTCTGAAGATATAAGATTCAAGTAGAGACCTGAAGAAGATAAAAATTGATAAAAATCAAAATATCGCAGGGCGTGGTGGCACACGTCTGTAATCCCAGCACTTTGGGAGGCTGAGGCAGGCAGATCCCTTGAGCCGAGGAGTTTGAGACCAGCCTGCTCAACACAGGGAGGCCTCATGTCTACAAAAAAAAACAAAAATTAGCCAGGCATGGTGGTGCACACCTGTGGTCCCAACTACTTGGGAGACTGAGGTGAGAGGATCAATTGAGCCCGGGAAGCAGAACTTGCAGTGAGCTGAGATTGTGGCACTGAACTCCAGCCTGGGAGACAATGTGAGACTCTATTTAAAAGAAAAAAAAATCAAAATATCTATTCATTCACTGGCTGTTTTAAATGAATTTTTATTTTAAGAATTGCAACATCTATTCATATTTGGAAGTGGTATGTAATATACATTCAGTTTAAGGCATGGGTTGGTGTACTAATGGATTTGAGGATTTCTTGTGATAACTCCGCAATCCACTACTGCCCCTAGGGAACTACTCCTTTAGATCCATCCCATGTGCCCAACCTATCCCTATTCTCTTTAATGGGCATTTATTTCCTAGTGCTCCCACTTGTGCCATGCTCAGCCCTTTGACCATTAATCCCCTCATCTAAATGCCAGCCTTTTCTCAACTGTATACCAATTCAAATTATCTCTTCCCAAAAAATTATCTCTTCTGTAATAAGAGATCACTACTTTTTAAAAAATTTACTATTTGCTAGGCACTATGCAAAATGCTTTATATTTATTGTATTCATGTACAAATGTAGGTAGTAACTACTATGATTCCTACTTTGCAGACAAGGAAATGGAAACTTGGGGAGTTTAAGAAACTTGTTTAAGTTCATATAGCTTGGCAATGTCAGGGAATGCCTACACTTTTTCTTTACTCTTTGATGGAAAATTGATTTAAAAAAATTATTTTATCAAAGTGTATTATCTGTACCTACGAATCAACCTCTCTTCATCTCTCCCCTTCCCTTTACCCTTCCCAGACCCTGGTAAACACCAATTTACTCTATCTTCATGAGATCTACTTTTTCAGTTCCCACACATGAGTGAGAGAACAAGTGATACTTGTCTTTCTATGTTTGTGATGCTCACACTTTAAATTATTATTCTAGTGTGCCTTCCTAGACCATTCTAGGACAACTATTCTATCTTGGTATGATCTCACCCTAGAATGTTTATCATCAGAATGCTGATAAAGAGAAAACCACATTAGGAAATTTCACTAAAAATTATACAAATAAGAGCTATACAAATGCTGGTTCATTTTAATAATTTTTATTAGCCAAAATCAAAGGAACATCCTCAAAAGTGAGGAGATCCCTGTTTTCAGTGGTGCTCAAGCAAAGAAAGAGTGATTCTCTCAACTGGGTGAGAAGTTGAATTTAGTGACTTCAAATGTAGAAATCTATGATTCAGATATCTATGCTTTTGCAGCAAGGTTCCATAAAAAGAGGTGGGTGAGTTATAAGCAGCCTGGAGGTGTTCATAAACATAATATACTTGCAAAAAAAATTAAGTGGAATTTTTATGACCTAGTAGTATTTTTGAATTGTTTACCAGACTATATTACATACAAGCACTAATGTCTCTTTGTAATTAATCCCCATGTCAGTATTTCAGTTAGAATTTTCCTCTGTGGTATAAAACCCTTAGGAGCCCTTCAGGGAAGATGTACCAGAAAAGTATTTTATTAGTCCAGAGCTAATATTTAGTCAAAGAAAATATGACAGAACCAAGAAGAAAAAGCTACTTTTAGAGGTATGGGGTTTTTCTATTCCTTCAAATTTACTTTTATACAAGAGATAATCTGAAAATCTTATTTTTGGAATCCAGAAAAAGTATTTTTTTTTTTTTTTTTTTTTTTTTTTTTGAGACGGAGTCTCGCTCTGTCGCCCAGGCTGGAGTGCAGTGGCGCGATCTCGGCTCACTGCAAGCTCCGCCTCCCGGGTTCATGCCATTCTCCTGCCTCAGCCTCCCAAGTAGCTGGGACTACAGGCGCCCGCCAACACGCCCGGCTAATTTTTTGTATTTTTAGTAGAAACGGGGTTTCACCGTGTTAGCCAAGATGGTCTCGATCTCCTGACCTCGTGATCCGCCCGTCTCGGCCTCCCAAAGTGCTAGGATTACAGGCACGAGCCACCGCGCCCGGCCCAGAAAAAGTATTTAAACAATAAAATTTTTGAAAAGTTCTTTTCATTAGCATTTACTAAGAAGGATTTCACTCATTCATGTATTTTATTATTCCTTAACAAACCTTAACCTGGAAAATATTATTAAAAGACAATATTTTTTCTGGGCAAAACCTTAAAGTTTGTATAAATCTTTAAAAATTTTTTAAATATAAACCTGAGCTCTTCCAGTGCAGTTCTCATGAGGAAGTGGATGTAAGCAGTGCATAGCACAAATGAACAAGCATGCAAGTATAAAGATCCCCCGCTTGTACTATCAGTGTGCCACTTGATTCAGCATATTAAGCTTCTACTGTGTTGAGTAGGCTGCTTGTCTCATAATTTTATAAAAATGGCATAGAAAAAAGAGACATAGACACATTATTTTAAACAGACTCTGATTAGTGTTTGATATGGTTTGGTTGTCCTGATTCAAATCTTCTCTGGAATTTCCATGTGTTGTGGGAGGGACCCAGTAGGAGGTAACCGAATCATGGTACTATCAGTGTGCCACTTGATTCAGCATATTAAGCTTCTGCTGTGTTCAGTAGGCTGTTTGTCTACTGAACTACAAAACTACTGTTTTATAAAAATGGCACAGAGAAAAGAGACATAGACACATTATTTTAAACAGACTGTGATTACGGTTTGATATGGTTTGGCTGTGTCCCCACCCAAATCTCATCCGGAATTTCCATGTGTTGTGGTAGGGACAGGGTAGGAGGTAACTGAATCATGGGGGCAGGTCTTTCCCATGCTGTTCTCATGATAGCAAATAAGTCTCATGAGATCCGATGGTTTTAAAAAGGGAGTTTCCCTGCATAAGCTCTCTTTGCTTGCTGCCATCCATGTAAGACGTGACTTGCTCCTCTTTGCCTTCTGCCATGATTGTGAGGCTTCCCCAGCCACGTGGAACTTTAAGTCCAATTAAGCCTCTTTTTTCTGTAAACTGCCCAGTGTAGGATATGTCTTTATCAGCAGCATGAAAATAGACTAATACAGTAAATTGGTACCAGTAGAGTGGGGCGTTGCTGAAAAGATACCCGAAAATGTGGAAGCGACTTTGGAACTGGGTAACAGGCAGAGGTTGGAACAGTTTGGAGGGCTCAGAAGAAGACAGGAAAATGTGGAAAAATTTGGAACTCCCTAGAGACTTGTTCAGTGGCTTTGACCAAAATGCTGATGATATGGACAAAGTAATCCAGGCTGAAGTGGTCTCAGATGGAGGTGAGGAACTTGTTGGGAACTGGACCAATGGTGACCCTTGTTATGTTTTGGCAAAGAGACTAGCAGCATCTTGCCCCTGCCCTAGAGATTTGTGAAACTTTGGGAGGCTGAGGTGGGTGGATCACCTGAGGTCAGGAGTTTGAGAACAGCCTGGCCAACATGGTGAAACCCCATGTCTACTAAAAATAAAAAATATTAGCCAGGCATTGTGGTGGGTACCTGTAATCCCAGCTGCTAGGGAGGCTGAGGAAGGAGAATCACTTGAACCCAGGAGGCAGAGGTTGCTGTGAGCCGAGATTGCACCATTGCACTCCAGCATGGGCAATAAGAGTGAAACTCCATCTCAAAAAAAAAAAAAAAGAAAAGAAACTGAACTGGAGAGAGATGATGATTTAGGGTATCTGGTGGAAGAAATTTCTAAGCAGCAAAGCATTCAAGAGGTGACTTGGGTGCTGTTAAAGAAATTCAGTTTTATAAGGGAGGCAGAGCATAAAAGTTCTGAAAATTTTCAGGCTGACAATATGACAGAAAAGAAAATCCCATCTTCTGAGGAGAAATTCAAGCCAGCTGAAAAAATTTGCATAAGTAATGAGGAGCTGAATGTTAATCTTCAAGACAATGGGGAAAATGTCTCTAGGGCATGTCAGAGGTCTTCTCGGCAGCCCCTCCCATCACAGGCCCAGAGGCCTAGGAGAAAAAAGTGGTTTTGTGGGCCAGGCCCAAGGTCCCCATGCTGTGTGCAACCTAGGGACGTGGTGCCCTGCATCCCAGCTGCTCTAGCCATGACTAAAAGGGGTCAATGTAGAGCTCAGCTGTGGCTTTAGAGGGTGCAAGCCTCAAGCCTTGGCAGCTTCCATGTAGTGTTGAGCCTGCAAGTGCACAGAAGTCAAGGATTGGGGTTTAGGAACCTTGGCCTAGATCTCAGAGGATGTATGGAAATGCCTGGATGTCCAGGCAGAAGTTTGCTGCAGGGGCAGGGCTGTCATGGAGAACCTTTGCTAGGGCAGTGCAGAAGGGAAATGAGGGGTCTGAACTCCCACACAGACTCCCTACTGGGGGACCACCTAGTGGAGCTGTGAGAAGAGGGCCACCGTCCTCCCGACCCCAGAATGTTAGATCCACTGACAGCTTGCACCGTGTGCCTGGAAAAGTTGCAGACACTCAACACCAGCCCATGAAAGCAGCTGGGAGGGAGGCTGTACCCCACAAAGCCACAGAGATGGAGCTGCTCAAGACCATGGGAACCCACCTCTTACATCAGCATGACCTGGATGAGAGACATGGAGTCAAAGGAGATCATTTTTGAGCTTTAAGATTTGACTGCCCATTGGATTTTGGACTTGCATGGGGCCTATAGCCGCTTTGTTTTGGCCAATTTCTCCCATTTGGAACGGCTGTATTTACCCAATGCCTGTACCCCCTTTGTTTCTAGGAAGTAACTAACCTGCTTTTGATTTTCCAGGCTCATAGGTGGAACGGACTTGCTTTGTCTCAGATGAGACTTTGGACTATGGATGTTTGAGTTACTGCTGAAATGAGTTAAGACTTTGGGGGACTGTTGGGAAGGCATGATTGGCTTTAAAATGTGAAGACATGAGATTTGTGAGGGGCCAGCGTGGAATGATATGGTTTGACTGTGTCCCTGCCCAAATCTCATCTTGAATTTCCAAGTGTTGTGAGAGGGACCCAGTAAGAGGTAATTGAATCATGGGGGCAGGTCTTTCCCATGCTGTTCTCATGATAGCAAATAAGTCTCACAAGAGCTGATGGTTTTAAAAAGGGAAATTTCTCTGCACAAGCTCTCTTTGCTGGCTGCCATCCATGTAAGATGTGACTTGCTCCTCCTTGCTGTCCACCAGGATTGTGAGACTTCCCCAGCCATGTGGAACTTTAAGTCCAATTAAACCTCTTTGTTTTGTAAATTGCCCAGAATCAGGTATGTTTTTATCAACAGTGTGAAAACGACTAATACAGTGTTCTAACAAAAATACAAATGACATGTCATCAGAGAACGGGAGAGGAGAGAATAATTTTTGCCAAGTCTTTTTTATATGAAATTTGAGCTGGGCTCTGAAGGAAATTAGAGTTTTAATTGGCATGTTGTGTTGCTAAAGGGAGGAACCCATAGGCAGGACTGGGAATTTAGATACCATTTAGATTACGAAGGGCTTGAAAATAAAATTTTAAAAGTTATCTTTCTTAGCTGGGCATGTTGGCACATGCCTGTACTCCCAGCTACTTGGGAGGCTGAGGCAGGAGAATTGCTTGAACCCAGGAGGCAGAGGTTGCAGTAAGCCAAGATCACACCATTGCACTCCAGCCTGTGCAACAGAGCGAGACTGTCTCAACAAAGAAAAAAAAAAGATAAAAAGTTATGCTTCATGTATTAGTAAATCACCAAAGACTTGCAAGACTAGTTAGGAAACCATCAAGACTTAGGACTGATGGGGAAAGATGATAGAAAAGGAGAAATTAAAGGGGATAATAAATTTTCAAGAACAGTAATGCCATTAAATAAATGGGTGAACATATAAAGAGGAGCACATATGTAAGTCAAATGATAAAATGGGGTGGACATATTAAGTTTTGGGGGCCTTGCATTATTTGGAGTGGTCAAGTAGGCAGCTGGAGGTATAAAACAGAGTGTAGTGTTCTAAACCTGGCAGTTATTATAATTACCCTGCATTGCATTTGCTGTGTACTGGTACTTTCCACTTGGTTATGTGGTTTTTAGAGCAGAATCTATTACTTAAATACATCTTTATTTATCATGGAACTTGTTACTGTCCTTTGCAAGAATGAGTTTTTTTTTTTAATGGAATCACGGTTTATATTTTGTATTTGCCAGAAATAAGGATGGGGGGGGTAGGTTTTCACTTTGTCTATTCTTCTGTCTCCTGCTGGGATTGTATTTTGCTCATTTATGAGACTTCTCAAGTTAACAATGTTACGTTTGACATTTAGGGGAAACATGAGAAGCCTGATACTTGGGTTGTAGTGCCCTCTGCTGGGAAAAGTGATAGAACATAGGGGTGTTCTCGCAGAAAAGAAAAAAACAGAAGTTGAGATGTCAGAGACAGTAATTAATGTCTTTTTATCCTTTAAGCAAGTATATATGTGCATATATATTTTACATAAAAAAAAACTCAAAATAGTGAATGTATTTAAACATCAAGTTATTCTGGTAATTTAAAATGCAATTCCGTTTATAAAAACTAGCTTAACAAATTTCATTAACACATTTATGGAAAGCAAAAATAAATGATAAATCTGTCATATACAATTATGTCCCATTTGAGCTTAAAGAAACATAATTATAGGATTTCAGTTATTTATGACTACGCAACCATATGATTTTCCAAGACTGTTCGATGCAAAATTTTCAATTCATTTATATCAAGCTAAATGTCCCAATTTAGGCTGGGAAAATATGTTCACCATATTCATAAATATCTCATCAATATTTAATGACTAATGATTTATTGAAAATATCTCATTTAAATTGAAATTTCTTTAAACAAAGGTTAATGAATTTTTTTTCCTTTTGGTTATAAAGTAACCATGCTCATTATGGAAAATATAAGACAGACTCCAGAAATCATTCATAATATCACTAGAATAAACTCTGTTTAAAAAAAACACTCTGGTGTCCTATATTTTTTCTAGTCTTTTTTTCTACTCGTGTTTTATATAGCAGAGACAAACTACAGAGCAGTTTTACGTAACTTTTTTCTTTGCATGATGACTTATAAATCTGTGCAATTTTAAAGAATTCTCATCCCAACATTGTACTTGTTTCCTTTTCCCTTTTCTACCCAATTAAAGATAAAACTTCTTCAATACTAGCACAGAGCTTTTGATCATTACACCAGAAAGCATCTCTTGCTTGTCAGAACCTTCCAGGCTCTACTTCTACTCCTCTTTGATCTGGAACTGCACTGTTGCCTACTAGTCATCATTCTAGTTTATTCCCAGAGCCCTCTACTGTTTACTCTGTGAAAACTATTTGTTCTTTGCTACAGTAGAAATTAGTGCCAGCGGTCTTTTTCAACAAATTAGGCCAGAGAAACTTCTGTATCTCCAAATATACATGTTCTGTCTCATGTTTCTCAGCCTCCTTAAAGTTAAAAGGGGCCATTTAACAAGTTTTGGCAAATGATCTAGGAGCATTAGTGGATATATTTTCATTCTGTTAGTGGGTCTATTAGCAGCATTCTCTTGCTCTGTGATTAGGATTGTGAAGGCAAATGTTCACACGGCATAGCCACAAGATGAAAGCAGCCTGCATTGCTAATCCAGCAGCCTGGGAGAGTCATCCTACTGTCAATACCTATGAGTGAGAAGTAAATTTTGGTGTGCTAAGCTATGGAGATTTAAGTGTATGGAGCCACAGTAAAATCTAGCCTATCCTGACTAATACATGATAGTATATTCAGTCACAGTGTTTGACAATGTTGTTTTCTCTGCTTTGGGTGCCCTTCCCAAGCACCTCCATCCCTTCACCAAGAAGTTTTTCTTGAGCTTCCTCTTATTCATCCCACAGGACTCATCTCAGGGGCGTTTACTTGATAAACTTTTGATTGCCCCCACCCCTCATTCTGGGTTAGCTGTCTGTCCCATATGCTTCTGTAGTACCATAAGTATATAAATGAACAGTTCTTGGATATTTATGGATTGATGAAATTATTTTGTAGGTATTAGTTATATAAACTTTTCTTTAGAATAATTATTAGAATAATTAGAATAGATCAGCAGTTTTCAGAGTGTTTTCTGCAGACCCCTAAGGGTCTCTGAGGCTTTTTCAGGAAGTCTGTGAAATCAAACTAACAGTGAAAATAGATTAGTGGCAAAAAAGGCTGGGACTTTTAGCAAATCAAGGTAAAGGCAACAAACTGTACCAGGAGTCATTGCATCATTGTATTTTTCACTGCCATACATTTGCAGTAAAAAAAAAAATCCAACTTTATTTAAGAATGCCCTGGATGAAACATTAAAGATTATAAATTGCATTGCCTTTTGAAATTGAGTACATACATGTCTTTGTTATGAATGACAAAAGAGAGGTAGACATAAGCATGGTTGCTGCATAATTGAATTGAATGGCAATCTTGAGTAAAAGCACTGAAGTAATTTTATGATTTGCAAGGTGAATGCATCATTTTTACCGTGGAACAACATTTTATTTGCTAAGAGTGACTGAAAACCTATTAGAATCAGAATCAGTATTTAATATATTTAGAATCTGCATGTGGCAGATATTTTCAGAAAATGACTATTTGTTGCTAATTATGAAATATGAGATTTATTAAGAAAATTAGAATTTTGGTAAACTTATTTGTGCTACCGTGAACCTGACATCCCCATAATACTTAAAAGATTTTATAATGTGATCAGTGATATTAATGAACATGACTTTGTGACACAGTACAATGAAAGGTGTCAACATTTGGAATATTTACTTAACTCAGTGTAGTTGTCTGTTCTCACACTGCTGTAAAGACATACCTGAGACCTGGTGATTTATAAAGAAAGGAGATTTAATTGACTCACAGTTCCATATGGTTGGGGAGGCCTCAGGAAACAACATTCATGGTGGAAGGCGAAGGGGAAGCCAGACACATCTTACATGGCGTCAGGAGAGAGACAGCGAAGGAAGCCACACACTTTTAAACCGTCGGCTCTCATAAGAACTCACTCACTATCACAAGAACAGCATGGGGGAAACAACCTCCATGATCCAATCGTTTCCCACCAGGCCCCTCCTCTGACACATGGCAATTACCATTCAAGATGAGATTTGGGTGGGGACACAGAGCCAAACCATATCACTCAGTTAACCAACATTTTCAAAAAGACATACAAATTATGTCACAGAATCATGCATGAATAAAATATCCATTCAAAATGCAAGATATACTAATGGATTTCAATATAACAACACGTAAAAAGTTTGTTGATATGGTTCAATCAACAAGAACAAAAGCAAAAAACGTTGCCTCCAGAGAAAGTACCAAAGTTCTTACTATTCCAGATTCCTAGGTGCAGAAGAGGGTTCCTCATAAAAGCTTGGCTGAACTCCCCTACATTCTCCCTTTCTATGCTACAGCACTGCTGTCCTTTGCTTCGAGGCTGCTACCCACCCCAGAAACTATTAAGAGTGATGGGATGGTCCTATCAACCTTTTCCATCAATAGAATAGAAACTAACATATAGATTTTTAGTTGTAGGAAAATGCTAAGAGGTTTCTATGACTACAAAAGTCAACTATTCTTTTGAAACAGGGAGGCTAACAATCTGAGCAGGCTCATTTATAACAGTAAGTACACAGACTCATGAAATAGCTCCTACCCATATAGGAGTGTTGGAGAAAGGAAAATAAAATGAAATAAAAACCCAGCAGAATATGGGTAAGAATGGAAGGACCCATCTTTAGCGTTCATACACACTCTCTTCAGAGGATGTGGAGGGCCCAAGTCCCTTTCTTTCCCAGAAGAGTAACCTTTCCTAAGAGGAACACATGCCACAAATTAAGATTTTACATTTTTTTTGGTTTTGTTTTTGTTTTTGACAGGACTCAACACTCTGAGAAAATGAGAGAGCCAAAAACTCTACATTATTAAAGCAATGCTTCCAAGGATGTTATAGAATAATAATAAGCAAAAAAACAAATTCAGCAGTTTATCGGATCCAAAGAGCCATGTAGAATGTCTTGTGGCTGAGAATGAATGAAGAAAGAAATGAATGAAGGAAGAAACATAAGCAGCTGAAAACTGAAAAGACCAAACTCCAAAAAGGGTTCAGTAGAAAGGGAACTTGATCTAGATGCTGGTTTTATAGAAAAATCAGAGTTACAGAACCTGTATCACCCCACAGACACTGTAAAAGGCCTAATTAATATTTAAGAATAAAGGAGAGATGAGGAGCAAATATAAAACAGTTTAGGTCAGCTATATAACAAAAAATCACCAAGCCAGTGATAATCCAGTTTTTCACTCTGCAGTGCTCTAAAAGAAGCATCCTTCCCAGAACTTAAAAAAATTATGATTATTGACTGGACATTAAGTTTTTGGACTTGGAAAACACTGAGCTCTCTGAGGTTTCATTTCTTCTGATAGAAACTAAATAAATACCTAGAATAATCTTTTAAAGTAATCATTGTTTTTCTTTTCTTAATCTCAGGATTTTAAAGTATAGAAATCCAATATGTGTAATAAACAATCTACATTGTCATACCCTTTTAAAACACTTTCATTGAAACCTCTTTTGTACTATGAATGAACTGCATGCATTTTGTTATGCACATTTAATTAATTTGTATAAAATATTTAAGATAAATATTTCTAATTAAAACTAGCTGTGTCAAATTTTGCACTACTCTTAATGATAACATCAAAACTATCAGGAAACATAGTTAAAAATTGTATTTTATTGGCCTGGCACAGTGGCTCCTGCCTGTAATCCTGGCACTTGGGGAAGCCAAAGCAGGAGAATGACTTGAGGCCAGGAGTTTGAGACCAGCCTGGGCAACATAGTGAGACCCTATCTCTACATTTCTTAATTTATTTTGTGAAGAAAACAACCAACGTGGTAGTAGTTCTTTTTTAACAACAACAACAAAAAATTATTTACAAGTTTATATAATTAAGTAGAGCATACTTTAATTTGTAACATTTTGTTTATGGTATGTTTAAAAATATTTTAAAATATCCATGGAATTATCAATTTGTTTTGAATACCGTATGGTAGACATAATACTAATTGGCAGTATTTGATTTTAATAAATAATTCATAAAATTTTTAATACATAAAACAGCTGCATCTGCATTGCTACTTCTCATTGCAAAGTTTTGTCATTAACAAACTTTAATTCAGTAACATACAGAATTCAGTTTAAGTTGTAGCTTAAAAATTTGTCAGATACCATCAAGCTATTTTCACTTTAAGGTATACAAATATTTATTTGAAAAAAAAATGATTTTTTAACAAAGAAAATGGAGTTTTCTATTCCACATTAATAAACTCTGGCTCTCAGAGACAGATGGGAGCAAAAAAGATTCCAACTCCCAGATAGAGTTCTGGCATGGATTCACATAGAACAATTACACTAGTATTCAAACTTCATCTGAAGGCTTAAAAACATAAAATTACAAAATTAGAATCTTAGCAGTCACTAGTATCACTTTCCATAATCTCTACTCCTACCCCCACCCCAAGACTAGATCCTTTAATCTCCTCTGCCCCTTCTAGATGAATAGGCATCCAGGATCCACCTGAATGACAGCCAAATTTGCCAGACCATGATTCAGAGGGCATTTTTACATAGGCTCAAGTGAGAAATATAAAATACCCTACAAATATAAATGCCTTTGTGAAAGTAATGCTGATGTCATTCCCCAGCGTGGACTTCTTACTAGTGTTAGGTATTACCCAAAACTATAAGGAGTTTTCACTCTTTTCAGAAAAAGCAAGCAAGCAAACACACAAACACATAACACCAACAAACAAAAACTCCCACAAAAATGGGAATTGTCAACATCTCTGGTTAAAATCACTTCCTTATCCTGGACTTCTATGACTAAGAGGCAGGATTGTGTAAAGTGGGTGTTGTTCTGCATTCTTGGACAAGGTTGTTAACCTCTTGGTATCTGTTTATTCATCTATAAAGTTGAAATAATAATAGTATTCTTCATGGAATAGACAGAAGGATCAATTGGGATAATACAGACAAAGTCATTGGAATTGTGCCTGACACATAGTAACAACTCAGTAATGTTAAGCACTGCTGTTTCATTTATGATGATGATAATGAATACAATATGTAATGTTAATTACCACCAAAGGCATTAAATATCAAGATCATTAATAACTGAAATTTAATATGCTAAGACTACTTTAAAAGGCCTTTGGTATTTCAATGTTTTAAGAAACTGAGTTTATTTATGATATAAAGGAACTAAAAATGCCATTTAAAAGTGATTTAATAAAATTTTAGGACAACTATTATTACACATATACTTATTTTAGATCTTTGGTAAATGCAAAATGGCTATCAGTAGATAGTGTGAAATCCACACTTTCTGGAAGAAGAAAATTCAGTAAGTAAAAGATTTTCTCATATATCTAATCTAGGTCATTGAAGCTCAAATAAAATTTAAATACTGTATAAGGACTTGTCAAGACACTAAATCAAATGTTCAGTAAATACCGATAAAAATTTTAACTTTTTAAAAGTGAATATTACAGACTGTAGTCACTTAACGCCTGGAGACTGTGTGGTTCATAAAACAGGGCCCTAGGCTCGCTTCTGGGGACTGTGGGACTGGGACTATGGCCAGAAATTAACATTTGTGTCACACAAAAAACCCACCTGCAGACATACCATGCTTACCTCCTTCTTGAACTCCCTTCTTTCCCGCCTCCAGTCTCTGGCCCCTACTTAACTTTCTCCCCACACCCCTACCCCCACCGCAGCTTCCAGAACCATCTTCTGGGCCTTCCCATCATCCCCCAGCCCAAGACCAATTCAGCCTTTCTTTTGTGTGCGTGTCTGGTTAGCTCCTTTCCAAAGAACCATGAGTTCCCACATCAGCCAGAATTACTGCACCGAAGTGGAAGCCGCCGTCAGCAGCCTGGTCCACCGGCAGCTGCGGGCTTCCCTTACCTACCTCTCTCTCATCCTCCATTTCTACCGCGACGACGTGACCCTGGAGGGCATGGGCCACTTCTGAGAGCTGGCCCAGGAGAAGCGACAGGGCGCCCAGAGTCTGTGGAAGACGCAAAACCAGCGCGGAGCCCTCTGCGATGCCATCCAGAAGCCGTCCTGGGATGAATAGGACAGCAGTTTGGGCGCCCTGCGAGCCGCGTTGGCCCTGGAGACGAACCTGAACCAGGCCCTGCTGGATCTGCACGCCCTGGGCGCAAAGCATGCAGACTCTCACCCCTGCGGCTTCCTGGAGAACCACTTCCTAGGCCGCGAACGGAAACTCATGCTGACCAGACTCAGCAGGCTGGAGGGGCCCAACCCGCGCTGGGCAGGCCTCTTCCTCCAGCGCAGCAAGGAGCCTGCGGCCCCCAGGGGCCTTCAAGAGGCCCACCGGCCACATCCCTCTGTCAGACCTGGGAAAGCGTCCACCCGAGCCGCTCCCTTCAACCTCAAGATACATTTTTTTTCTTTCTTTCTTTTTGAAAGAGTCTCCCTGCCTGGGGTGGGTGCAGTGGTGATCTCAGCTCACTGCAACCTCCGCCTCCCCGGTTCAAGTGATTCTCCTGCCTCAGCCTACCGAGTAGCTGAGATTACTGGCGCGAGCCGCCACCCCTGGCTAATTTTTGTATTTTTAGTAGAGACGGGGTTTCACCATGTCAGCCAGCCTGGTCCCGAACTCCTGACCTCAAGTGATCCGCCCGCCTCGGCCTCCCAAAGTGCTGGGATTACAGACGTGAGCCAGCGGGCCCGGCCCTCAAGATACTTTTTAACCACCCCGTGCCTTCCCCCAAGCTATGGTCCAAGTAGAAGCAACCCTTCTTTTTACAGAAAAAGAGGTTAAAAAGAGAAAGAGAGGAAAACCCACCCACGAATTCTCAAAAAAGCAAACAAAAACCAAAAAGAAAACTGTCATTGAACAGTTTGCTTTTAAATTTGTTTTAATTAAAATACATTACACATTTTCAGGGTGCATAGAGACTTTTTCAAAATATGTTACAAATAAGGAATTTCCACAGAAACTTGTAACAACAGTAAAGAACTACTACTCTGCCTGGTCACAGTAAGTCTAAAATGTGCTGTTTTGCCTGGTTTTGCTGATGGTGTAATTCTTTCACAATGATTGCAAGAATTGACCAAGACCCCATACAAATAAAAGAGTGTAACTCAGTGCCTACATTCAGACTAGATTTAGGTCACAACCACACCCCTTCCACAAAAGCTATGACATGAAGGCAGATATAGCATATTCCAACCCAATCAGCATAAAGTATTGATTCCAGTCACTCACAGTGACTAATTTGCCATGGACAAGGACACACTTTCACAATTCTAGAAAGTCTGAATGACAAAAACCAAGAGTTTATGCTGTGATGAGATAGCCATGATGTGAGTTAATTAAATAGAAAAATAATTCATATTATAATAGTCTGTTTTTGATGTGAACACTGTCTTTGCTTAGGCTTTTCTGGACCAAACTTGAGGTGTCTTATTTTGTCTTGTTGATTTGGCTTAGAAGTCCACAAATATTCCCTCAGGACGGCAGTTCTTTCAAAACAGCCATTGTACACACTAATTTAAAATGCATGTTAAATAAGGCTTAGGAGTAACTACAATAGTTGCTAGGAGATGATTTTCTGTTAAACACCCGTCTCAGAGGTAATCCAGTTGCAGTAGGTGGTCACTCACGTGTAGACCCCTGGACTATTGATTGCACCACATTCATTCCTTCCCCAGCTCACTACTCCAACAAGGTACCAAATATACCAAATATTTAGAGAATTAGGATGAACTAGTGGTCCTCCAGAGTCTCCCTGAATAAAAAAAAGAATATTTATCATTGTGAGAATTTCCTTTCAGATACTTTACACTAAATGATCACCCCAGATAAAGTTTGTAAGTCATTAGCATTTTACCCACGGTGTAAATCCCTGTGTCACCATTAACCTTAACTGTGACTGACCAGAATACCTTGCCTAGGACTCTGGAGTTTACCTGAAACTGAAAGGTGTGATTTATTTTTAAAATTTATTTATATTTTAGAGACAAGGTCTCACTCTGGCTCCCAGCCTGGAGTGCGGTGGCATAATCACAGCTCACTGCGGCCTGGAACTCCTGGGCTCAAGCGATCCTCCCACCTAGCCTCCTGAGTAGCTAGGAATACAGGCATGCCACCACACTGAGCTAGCTATTTTTTTTATTTTTTGTAGAGATGAGGTCTCACTGTGATGCCCAGGCTGGTCTTGAACTCCTGATGTCAAACAGTCCTCCTGCCTTGGCTTCCCAAAGTGCTAGGATTTCAGGCATGAGCTACTGCACCAAAGGTGTGATTTAATAAGTTGCAAGCTTTAATTCCGTGACAAAACTTTGGAGACATATGAATATACTTGGAATATAGGACTTCATATCTGAGAAAAGTAGCAGAACTCTAACCATGAGGGGGTAAGAAAGTGAGAGGAATTTCAAATGGGCGAAAAGTAATTGAAAAAATTCTGAGACTGATTATTTATTGAAATGTAGCTAAGAATCTGGACTGTGGTGCTGGACAGCCTAGGTTTGTATACCAGCTATGATGTGCAAATTACTAAAATTTCCTCTGCTTCTATTTCCTCATCTATAAAATGAGAATACTGGTATTACCTACATCATAAGAGTGTAATGATGATTAAATGAATCAATATTTGTAGAGGACTTAGAACAGTGTTTGACTCAGAATAAGTCCAGCATAAATGTTTGTTAAACACTTAAAAACATATGCTGCATGTAGGGAAGAATTACTTTAGTGCCAAAGCTGAGAGGCACTTTGACAGGATTGGAAAAGTGAAAATTAATTGAAGTATAGAATTGTCTCCATATTGATGATTTTCATAAAGTAAGAGCAGTTATTTATATACTATTGGTCAATGTAAATAATGGCCAGAATTACCTGGCAGGCGTCTATATTTCCTTCCATGTACCCAGCACATAGCACTCTATCCTGTACCATACTACGATAGGCTTCTTTAGCATTACAAGTGTTTGTATCAGTAATCTTCACAGATGCTTTCTAAAGGAACACTAGGTGTTTACCTAAAGGAATTAAATATTATCAGCAAACAAGCTGAAAGAGCTGGATGACCTTGATTTATCCTTTGTACATAAGACCCATGTTTGACTGTTGCATACTTTTAGAATGAAAAGCCCACTCACTTTCCTCACTCAAAATGATAACAAAGAGATGTTCAAATTATAATTTGAAATATGTTTCTAATGTTGCCTGTCTCTCTTTATCTCTCTTCCTACATCTTTGGACTAGAGCTTTCTCAATTGGCTTTTCCAGGTTAGGGAGGTTCTACAACCAAATTGGTTTCCTTGGAATGTTTGAAACCCAGGCAGTTTGCAAAGTCATAACTCCCTATGCATCATTCCCTAAGAGATTGTCTGAGAGCACTCAACATCTGGAGGTAAGTGATGCCTTTCACTTGACACCTAGATTACTATTTTCCTGTTGCTTTTGTACCTTACATGGTATGTTAAGTTTTCACTGATCTTACCATTAAATGAAAGTCTTCCCCATCCTGTAACAACAACTCCTTCACCAGGTGGAAAAATCTGTGTGGCTTCAGGAAGACAAACTCGATGTACATCATTCTTAAATAAAACTTTTTTAGTGAGCAGTATAAGTGCGATATCATCATGATGTTCATCCTGGATGTAGTCTTCATGAATAATAATTTGTTGAACATCATGTTGCATATAGGGAAGAGTTACTTTCGTGCCAAAGCTGACAGTATAGTTTTTTGGATTTTTTGTCCTAAAGAAATAAAAATCATGTATTTTGTACTTATTTCAAGATAATAGAGATACATTCTGCATCTACTGTACTCTTTTCTTGGCATGAATATTTCCTTGCTCTATAGTCCATTAGCAATGATATAATCTGATTTTTAACTCATTTGAAAAAATCTTGAGTTCCTACACCATACACCATGTAAGGCAATGGGGGAATAGAATAAAAATAAATGGCCATGCCATCGAAAAGTTTAAATCTGGTGAAAGGTAGGTGTAAACACTAGCAGTTATAATAGGTTAAATAGTGGTGTATATAATTAGTGGGACTACAAAATAGGAAGACTTAAATCTGTATTCTTAAAGGAATGGAAGATTTCTTAGGGAAAATAGCATTTTGGATAAGACTATGGACTAAGTCGCATTTGCCTAAAAGGCAAGGAGATGGGGGCAGGCATGTGCAGAGAGGAAGGTACATATGAAATAGAATGTGTTTCAGCAACTACAAGTAGTTTAGGATGTCTGTATTATAAAGTGATGAGAGGTGAGTATCATGTGAAGAAAAAATGCACTGTCCAGAATGAATGACTCTTCCCATTTTTACTGAAAAGTTAGGAAAGTCTTAGATAGGCTTACCATATAATTTTTCTTCCAAACCGGGACACTTTTGAGAATGAAAGGGAGTGCTGCTAATATTTAAACAGGGATAACAGGTGCAAACTGGAACTTCCTCCAAAGCCTTTGGTTTCTGTAGCTTTGGGCAACATAATGAACTTAACACTTTAAAACAGTGAGCTGCAGTCACCAAGTGTCTTTCACTGATCAATGATGCCCCACAGTAGTGTTGCCCACTCATTTTAAGGCTTGCTTGTCATGGTCATTCTCCTTCCTGATCAATGGAACCTCCCCTGACTCTATCAAATGTAGGTGGCATCCTTGCTCGTCTCCCACAGCCTGTCAGAAAAAGTCAGTTTTGCTTCATTAAAAATAGGAAAATAACATTTGATTACAAAGCAGAGAGTGAGCTGAGTTGGCTTTGTGTGGTTATATCTGACAATATCTTGTGCTGATAGGTACAGTGTAATCTGTACAGGAATCACTAGCAGCCAGTGGATTGCTTGCATACCCAACATACTGTCTCCAAGACACCAGCACTTGGAGAATGTGTGAGCTGTGGAAGGCAGATAAAGTTATGGTTAAGTCCATGCTCTGCAACCAGACTCCCTGAGTTTGAATTCTGGCCTCGCCATTTACAAGCTGGATGAATTTGGGCAATCATTTCACTTCTTTGTGCTTCAGTTTCCCCATCTCAAAAATGGAATCATAATCATAACCATCTGTAGGATGGTTACAAATATTAAATGAATTACTGTATATGTAAAACACTTAGAACTGTTCCTAACCAATAGTAACAAATCATGATTGCTGTGCTTTAGATCACCTCATAAATTTAATTAAAAAGTATCTGAACTTACGGTTGTTGATAATTTTTGCAGCACTGACCTTACTGATTTCTGAAATAGAACAAAAAATTCATAGTAAATTTAAAACCTAGCACCTCTGACCTTGGGGCGATGGATTAAGACGATAGGTCAAGCAGGGCAGAAGAGTCCGTAAATAATTTGAAATTTCAAAATAAAGTGTTAATACAAAGGAGAGAACACTGGTTTATTGGAATTGTTCTTTTACTATACATGAATGTATGATATGGAGGTACCATCTTCATGGCTCCGCAGGAGAGACTTCTTTCTTATTTGATTAGAATTGTATTCTACATCATCTAAAGTGGAAAACTGTGAGTGTCTTTTCTTAGAAGAAGAGGAATTCCCTACAAGTGAACCTAATTCCTGTCAGTATACAAAAAGATAACTTTTAAAAAGTGACCTGTCTTATAATGGTGGGTCCACTGCTGTTTTTGAAAGTTATAGGAGATTTTTAAAAGATTAGCAAGACACATCAGTACTTATAAGGACTGTTTAAAGTATCAATATCTGCTTTTGAATGAAAAGCAGCCTGCCCTCACCCCTGAATCAAGTAAAAGGTTTGGTATTATTGTGATTTGATTGTGTTTTTAATAGTGAAGAATACAAATAATTGCTCTGATATAAAAGTGACATTCATTTGAAAATATTGAAGATCAGTTTTGTGTCTGATATTTGTGATATATGCTAGGGATAAAATGATGAAAGTAACACCACTCCCATCATGAGCTTACCCATAAGCCTCAGAGAATTCAGATCTGTAGTCAAGGATCCTGAGTGGTTCTTCAGCATCTGATGTAAGATACTTTCAATTCTTTTTCTTGTGTTTTCTTTCATTGATCTTGGACCCTTGAATACCAGCCATATATGTGCTGTCACTCTGTTGTTATCAGGACTGGAAACAACATAAAGTTTTCATATGTTGCTGAAAACAGCATTTTCTTCCTCTTTGTCTGATCTTTCATAGCTTGGTTTCTTCTGCTCTTTTGTGGGTTTGTGGAGTACCTTTAGGTTAAGCACAGGACCATCCATCCTCTTATATTTGCTTGGTGACAGTATGCATGCAGCTGTATTATTCAATATAGAGGACAAGCAGTTACACAAATCTAAAAAAAGGGAGGCCGGGAGTGGTGGCTCACGCCTGTAATCCCAACACATTGGGAGGCCAAGGCGGGCAGATCACCTGAGGTCGGGAGTTTGAGATCAGCCTGGCCAACAAGGTGAAACCCCATCTTTACTAAAAATACAAAAAATTAGCCAGGCATGGTGGTGGGTGCATGTAATCCCAGCTACTTGGGAGGCTGAGGAAGGAGAATTGCTTGGACCTGGGAGGTGGAGGTTGCAGTGCGTCGAGACCGCACCTCTGCACACCAGCCTGGGCAACATGAACAAAAGTCTGTCTCAAGAAAAAAAAAGAGTTGCCTGAGGCATAGGGTAAAGGTATCACCTAAGAATTGGGATGATTTATTAATACATTCATCAATCATTTGTTGAACAACTGCTATAGACAAGCAACTGAGCTAGGTGCTATTAGGTGATGCAAGGGTGACTAAGACACAATTTCTACTCTCAAGGAAATTGTAGATTTTTAGGGAAGATAAAACATATATACAAATTACTAAAATAAATGAGGTGGAAGCAATAATTTATTTATCTTATCTGGAGATATTCCCAGGAAGGTCAAGTCATTTTTTACATAAAAGATCAGAGAAATTTGCATGGAGGAAGTGACATACACAATGAAACTTAATGTATTTTTGTTTCTGCTTCATTATCAAGCAGAAAATTGCATAAAGCAGAGATGAGAAGGAATATTTCTTCAGAATAATTGATGGCAATAATATTAATTAGCATGGATTGGGCATCTGCTATATTCCAATGTACTTTGTATTACGTAGCCAATGTACTTTGCTATCACATTTATTAGCACAGTCTCCACAACAATCCTGCAGCATAGGTGTTATCTTCATTTTATAGACAAGGAAAAATTGAGGCTCTGGGAAGTTATATAATGTATTCAAGAGTAAGTACACACTACACTAGGATTTAGATTTAGTGCAGTTGACTGCATAACCTGGGCTCTTTACAGAGCTGTCTGTATGCTGTACACTGTCACTCTGTGCCTAGTCATACAGTAATGGCAGTGTCTAGGAGATTGGGCTCAACCAGAAGAGGATCTTTAATGCTAGCTGAGGGGTAGCAGTGATGGAAAGTTGTTGAGGTAAACTGTATTTGAGGAAAATTAATCTGACCATGAGTTTTAGGGAAGATTTGTCTGGAAACAGGAAAAGGGCAGTCAGCCTGAGGAGCTAGCCAATTAGACACGCAGGAATTGTTAAGGAGTCCTGAAGCTTGTGTCTGAAGTAACATTATTATGCTTTGAGGCTTCCTCAGGGATGTTCAATATTTTGGCACATAAATCAATAATAATTCCTGGGAAGCACTCAGGTCACATAAGTTTGATTATTATAGCAGTGTATGCTAAAGTGAAAAGCTTTGTCCTGTGACCTCTTCATGACTGCCTTTTGGCCCATGCTGTTTATAGATACTTGAATTTACATGCATGGGAAAACAAAACAGAGACATCTCCCGTGGTTGCAGTCATCTCTGAGAGATATCTGGGCCCTTCAACTTTAATCTCACATTTATGTTCAATACCAAAATTGACCTCCAATGTTAATGCTAGTTGAGAGCTTAATCTGTTCTACAATTCCAGGAGTCCCATGAGCAGGGAAGAAGAGCAGACATAGTCCTGCGACACTGATGGAAATAAAAGCAATAATTGCCTTCATCTGAAATGTGTTTATTTGTGAGTGTTTCCACACATATTTTCTTTTCTTTTTTATCCTTAGTACTGTTCTGTGAGTGAGGCAAAGCAAGTATTACTACTAACATGTAATGAGATAGTGGAACAGATTCAAAGCGATACAGTAACTTGCCAAAGACTCTAGGGCTATTAAATGGCAAAGGCTAGGCTCAGGTTGTCTAAATCTATTCTATGGTTACCTCGGCTAGTTCATGCCACTCCAAACCCACATGTAGGGAACACAGCATAGCTATTTTACTTCTTATTATGGTGACTAGAAGGTTTTCTTGATCTCAAAGTCTAGTGTAAATATGCTGTCTCCTAACCTGTATCTACTAAGAATTCTAGGGGTATTTCCACAAAGTGTTTAGCTGACTTGCAAGTCAAAAGACAGGAGAAAACAGGATCTATATTTATGCTACTGCTAAATAAAAATTTTAGAGCATCAAACATTGGTCTATGGGACTATCTAATGTTTTCTGAACATAAATATTTAGGAAACCAAAAGGATGACACATTTATAATTTGAGGATTAATGTATCCTCAATACATCTAGTGAACTCAACTATATGGCCCCAATCTTAGGTTTCATATTGAAAAATTAGTCTGACATTTATGATAATGCTTGATATTCATAGCTTATTGGCTAAGGACTATAACATATCAATAGATTCTTTTCACAGAGAAATTTGAAGTGTCCTGGTATGTATGATCAGTTGATCTCTTTTTTGATGGTTAATGTTGGTTACTTACACCAGTGTGATGACTTGAGAAAAGATATATTGTCTGTAAATGCTAGAACTTTGAAATGCATCAACCATCTGTTAACAGAGAAAATAGAGTCAAATATCAAATTCCAGTACTTATATTTCAGAGAATTAACAATGAAATATAGGAAAATACTAACTTACCTAGTCTCAAGAATTTGGCTAAGATAGTTATTTTCTGGTGATGTCTCCCTTTCATAATTGCTATTATATGGGATATCCAGCATTTTAAAGCTACCTTGGTAGAAGTAGATCCTGTTTGCTGTGAGATCAAGAAATGATCCAAGAATTATTTAAATTAAATAAGCTTCAAATCCAGATATAGATTACACAGCAATAACAACTAGTATGTATTGTGCTCATATTAGATATTGATACACTCTTTGGGTACAGTTGACTAGATCATCTAGGCATTGTGTTTACAGGACCAAGTATGAGATAGATATATATTTATATTATGTGATATAAATATATATTATATATATCTATATTCCTGTTTCAACCAATATGTTACTTTGTCTGAACTTTGAGATATATATATCAATCATAAATAGACAGAGATAAGAGAATGTTTGAGATAGTAGATGAAGATATAAAGTTCAGACAGAGTAAAATGTTGGTTGAGACAGGAATATATACTATAAAGAGATTTCCATCTATAGTAATCAACTGTCAGATTATGAATAAAAATAGTTACCATGTAAGTATCTACTATGTGAAGATACTTTAGAAAAACTTTATGAAATGTATTAATCGTTCAGAAGTGTAGTCTCAGAGAGACTAAGTAATTTACCCAAAATTATACAGCCACTAAGAAGAGCCAAGTATCAAAACTCAATTTGTCTGACTCCAAAGCCTATACTTAAGCTATTATATTTCCTTCCTAAAATTTCATAGATATTAAGCTGCTTGACATATGACATGTGTTATCTCCAATGTGATGCATATTCAACATTTAGCAATATGCTACATACTGCATGAGTGCCAAGCATATAAGAACTAAATAAATATTAATATTATTTTGCAATATGATTATTGCCTTTGAAAATCATCTTGTGGAAGAGATGATATGAATGAAACCATTACATGTGATATTAATATGATATAATTAAATGGCAAAGTTTATTTTTCAACTGCAAGTTCTATGTGAATGCAGAAAAGGAGACAATATGATTAAATATAATATCACTATAAATGTGAAAATATTTTATAATGAAGTTGATGGAAAAAGAAGTCAGAAAGTTCTTAACAAAATGCTGAAAATTGGTTGATTATAAGTGATTTAGGAAGGAACATTGTTAATTTCAGTTAGCTTTTCTGTGGGTCATAGACCTTTCACTATAGAGATAAACTGATAAAGCTTTATAAGAGTAGCTTACTAGGTTTTTTTATAAGTAGCAAAAACTAGACCCTGAAACTATGCAACTTCTCTCTCATAATTCAATGTTCCCAATGCATCATTCAGTTATTTGGATTCCTGATTATTTCTACCTATTACAATGTTCAACAGCCATGAATATTCCTTAATTAATACAAGATTAAATTAATGTAATTAATAGATTGGCGGGATATGGATTGGTTGATTACAACTGAACGGAGCTCTCTTCCCAGAGAGAGTGAATAAATTGAATTTGTAACATCTATGGCAATTAAGATAAAGAAAACATACCCTAGAACAAGAAAATCAACTCTTGAATATCCAGTTACTAATTTAATTCTGTGTAGCAGTCTTAATGGGACACTGAGATTGCTCACTAACTATACTGAGGCCACTGTGAATACAGCCATTCTGCTCAGTTGACACCTAATGAGATGAAAATAACTTCTGGGAATGGGATGTCTACAAGGCATACTTGTACCATATGATTAACATTTCCATCTATGTAAGTAGTTTAAATGCCAATATGAATTGAGAAAGATGGATAATGGAGCAGAAAAAAAAGGAAATCATTCTATAACTTTTCCATAACTTAATTATTTAAAACCTATAATTAAATATATTTAATTATATTAAAACCTATTCTGGAAAGAAAACCTAAAACACACACACACACATATATATTGTTTTCCTGAGTGCTCTGGATGCAATATCAGGGTTTAAGCATAAATTAAGAGAGGACTTCTAGCTGAAGCTGACACAGCAAAAACGCTTTTACATTTTCTTACCCCTAAGCCCAGAAAAAGAACAAAAGATAAGAATAGTGGGTTGTATTCTAAGGAAACAAACAATGCAGCTACAACTTACAACTTCAAATTAAAAAATGTGAAGCAAACATGCTCCAAACTGTGAAATATACACTGAAGTGAGAAATTATATACATCAGAGATAACATCTCACAAATTAAGCTAGATGCACATTTTTCTAAAAGTTCTCAATGATTAAGTATCAAGACTTCAAAGATGGCCGGGTGCGGTGGCTCACACCTGTAATCCCAACACTTTGGGAGGCCGAGGCAGGTGGATCACCTAAGGTCGCAAGTTCGAGACCAGCCTGGCCAACATGGTGAAAACCTGTCTCTACTAAAAATACAAAAATTAGCTGGGCTTGGTGGCAGGAGCCTGTAATCCCAGCTACTTGGGAGGCTGAGGCAGGAGAATTACTTCAACCCAGGAGGGGGAGGTTGCAGTGAGCCTAGATTATGCCACTGTGCTCCAGCCTGGGCAACAGAGCAAGAGTCCATCCCTTAAAAAAAAAAAAGAAAAAAAAAAAAAGACTTCAGAGCTTAGAAAAAGACAGGAATATTTCTGTAAAGGCCTATTTTAACACTGCATAATGGCAAAAGTAATAATAAAAGTGAGGGTGGAGCCAAGATGGCCAAATAGGAACAGCTCCAGTCTACAGCTCCAGGCATGAGCGATGCAGAAGATGGGTGATTTCTGCATTTCCAACTGAGGTACTGAGTTCATCTCACTGGGGAGTGTTGGACAGAGGGTGCAGGACAGTGGGTGCAGCACACAGAGCATGAGCCGAAACAGAGAGAGGCATCGCCTCACCCAGGAAGCGCAAGGGGTCAGGGAATTCCCTTTCCTAGTCAGAGAAAGGGGTGACAGATGGCACCTGGAAAATGGGGACACTCCCACCCTAATACTGCACTTTTCCAACAGTCTTAGCAAATGGCACACCAGGAGATTATATCCCACGCCTGGCTTGGAGGGTCCTACGCCCATGGAGCCTCGCTGATTGCTAGCACAGCAGTCTGAGATCAAACTGCAAGGTGGCAGCAAAGCTGGGGGAGGGGCGCCCACAATTGCCAAGGCTTGAGTAGGTAAACAAAGCGGCTGGGAAGCTTGAACTGGGTGGAGCCCACTGCAGCTCAAGGAGGCCTGCCTGCCTGCCTCTGTAGACTCCACCTCTGGGGACAGGGCATAACCAAACAAAAGGCAGCAGAAATCTCTGCAGACTTAAATGTCCCTGTCTGACAGCTTTGAAGAGAATAGTGGTTCTCCCAGCAAGCAGCTGGAGATCTGAGAACAGACAGACTGCATCTTCAAGTGGGTCCCTGACCCCCGAGTAGCCTGACTGGGAAGCACCCCCCAGTAGGGGCAGACTGACACCTCACACGGCCGGGTACTCCTTTGAGACAAAACTTCCAGAGGAACGTTCAGGCAGCAACATTTGCTGTTCACCAATATCCATTGTTCTGCAGCCTCTGCTGCTGATACCCAGGCAAACAGTGTCTGGAGTGGACCAACAGCAAACTCCAACAGACCTGCAGCTGAGGGTCCTGACTGTTAGAAGGAAAACTAACAAACAGAAAGGACATCCACACCAAAACTCCATCTGTACATCGCCATCATCAAAAACCAAAAGTAGATTAAACCACAAAGATGGGGAAAAAACTGAGCAGAAAAACTGGAAACTCTAAAAATCAGAGTGCCTGTCCTCCTCCACAGGAACGCAGCTCCTAACCAGCAATGGAACAAAGCTGGATGGAGAATGACTTTGATGAGTTGAGAGAAGAAAGCTTCAGACGATCAAACTACTCTGAGCTAAAGGAGGAAGTTCGAACCCATGGCAAAGAAGTTAAAAACCTTGAAAAAAATTACACGAATGGCTAACTAGAATAACCAATGCAAAGAAGTCCCTAAAGGACTTGATGGAGCTAAAAACCAAGGCACGAGAACTACGTGACAAATGCACAAGCATCAGTAGCCGATTCAATCAACTGGAAAAAAGGGTATCAGTGATGGAACATCAAATGAATGAAATGAAGTGAGAAGAGAAGTTCAGAGAAAAAAGAATAAAAAGAAACTAACAAAACCCCCAAGAAATATGGGACTATGTGAAAAGACCAAATCTACATCTGATTGGTGTACCTAGAAGTGACTTGGAGAATGGAACAAAGTTGGAAAACACTCTGCAGGATATTATCCAGGAGAACTTCCCCAATCTAGCAAGGGAGGCCAACATTCAAATTCAGGAAATAGAGAGAATGCCACAAAGATACTCCTTGAGAAAAGCAACTCCAGGACACATAATTGGCAGATTAACCAAAGTTGAAATGAAGGAAAAAATGTTAACGGCAGCCAGAGAGGAAGGTCGGGTTACCCTCAAAGGGAAGACCATCAGACAAACAGCAGATCTCTTGGCAGAAACTCTACAAGCCAGAAGAGAGTGGGGGCCAATATTCAACATTCTTAAAGAAAAGAGTTTTCAACCCAGAATTTCATATCCAGCCAAACTAAGCTTCACAAGTGAAGGAGAAATAAAATACTTTACAGACAAGCAAATGCTGAGAGATTTTATCACCACCAGGCCTGCCCTAAAAGAACTCCTGAAGGAAGCACTAAACATGGAAAGGAACAATCGGTACCAGCCACTGCAAAAACATGCCAAATTGTAAAGACCATTGAGGCTAGGAAGAAACTGCATCAACTAACAAGCAAAATAACCAGCTATCATCATAATGACAGGATCAAATTCACATATAACAATATTAACCTTAAATATAAATGGGCTAAATGCTCCAATTAAAAGACACAGACTGGCAAATTGGATAAACAGCCAAGACCCATCACTGTGCTGTATTCAGGAAACCCATCTCATGTGCAGAGACACACATGGGCTCAAAATAAAGGGATGGAGGAAGATCTACCAAGCAAATGCAAAACAAAAAAAGCAGGGGTTGCAATCCTAGTCTCTGATAAAACAAACTTTAAACCAACAAAGATCAAAAGAGACAAAGAAGGCCATTACATAATGGTAAAGGGATCAATTCAACAAGAAGAAATAACTATCCTAAATATATATGCACCCAATACACGAGTACCAAGATTCATAAAGCAAGTCCTTAGAGACCTACAAAGAGACTTAGACTCCCACACAATAATAATGGGAGACTTTAACACCCCACTGTTAACATTAGACAGATCAACGAGGCAGAAAGTCAACAAGGATACCCAGGAATTGAACTCAGCTCTGCACCAAGCGGACCTAATAGACATCTACAGAACTCTCCACCCCAAATCAACAGAATATACATTTTTTTCAGCACCACACCGCACCTATTCCAAAATTGACCACATACTTGGAAGTAAAGCTCTCCTCAGCAAATGTAAAAGAACAGAAATTATAACAAACTACCTCTCAGACCACAGTGCAATCAAACTAGAACTCAGGATTAAGAATCTCACTCAAAACCGCTCAACTACATGGAAACTGAACAACCTGCTCCTGAATGACTACTGGATACATAACGAAATGAAGGCAGAAATAAAGATGTTCTTTGAAACCAACAAGAACAAAGACACAACATACCAGAATCTCTGGGATGCATTCAAAGCAGTGTGTAGAGGGAAATTTATAGGACTAAATGCCCACAAGAGAAAGCAGGAAAGATCCAAAATTGACACCCTAACATCACAATTAAAAGAACTAGAAAAGCAAGAGCAAACACATTCTAAAGCTAGCAGAAGGCAAGAAATAACTAAAATCAGGCAGAACTGAAGGAAATAGAGACAAAAAAAACCCTTCAAAAAATTAATGAATCCAGGATCTGATTTTTTGAAAGGATCAACAAAATTGATAGACCGTTAGCAAGACTAATAAAGAAAAAAAGAGAGAAGAATCAAATAGACGCAATAAAAAATGATAAAGGGGATATCACCACCGATCCCACAGAAATACAAACTACCATCAGAGAATACTACAAACACCTCTACGCAAATAAACTAGAAAATCTAGAAGAAATGGATAAATTCTTCGACACATACACTCTCCCAAGACTAAACCAGGAAGAAGTTGAATCTCTGAATAGACCAATAACGGGAGCTGAAATTGTGGCAATAATCAATAGTTTACCAACCAAAAAGAGTCCAGGACCAGATGGATTCACAGCCGAATTCTACCAGAGGTACAAGGAGGAACTGGTACCATTCCTTCTGAAACTATTCCAATCAATAGAAAAAGAGGGAATCCTCCCTAACTCATTTTATGACGCCAGCATCATTCTGATACCAAAGCTGGGCAGAGACACAACCAAAAAAGAGAATTTTAGACCAATATCCCTGAGGAACATTGATGCAAAAATCCTCAATAAAATACTGGCAAACTGAATCCAGCAGCACATCAAAAAGCTTATCCACCATGATCAAGTGGGCTTCATGCCTGGGATGCAAGGCTGGTTCAATATACGCAAATCAATAAATGTAATCCAGCATATAAACAGAACCAAAGACAAAAACCACATGATTATCTCAATAGACGCAGAAAAGGCCTTTGACAAAATTCAACAACGCTTCATGCTAAAAACTCTCAATAAATTAGGTATTGATGGGACGTATCTCAAAATAATAAGAGCTATCTATGACAAACCCACAGCCAATATCATACTGAATGGGCAAAAACTGGAAGCATTCCCTTTGAAAACAGGCAGAAGACAGGGATGCCCTCTCTCACCACACCTATTCAACATAGTGTTGGAAGTTCTGGCCAGGGCAATTAGGCAGGAGAAGGAAATAAAGGGTAATCAATTAGGAAAAGAGGAAGTCAAATTGTCTCTGTTTGCAGATGACATGATTGTATATCTAGAAAACACCATTGTCTCAGCCCAAAATCTTAAGCTGAGAAGCAACTTCAACAAAGTCTCAGGATACAAAATCAATGTACAAAAATCACAAGCATTCTTTTACACCAATAACAGACAAACAGAGAGCCAAATCATGAGTGAACTCCCATTCACAATTGCTTCAAAGAGAATAAAATCCCTAGGAATCCAACTTACAAGGGATGTGAAGGACCTCTTCAAGGAGAAGTACAAACCACTGCTCAAGGAAATAAAAGAGGATACAAACAAATGGAAGAACATTCCCTGCTCATGGGTAGGAAGAATCAATATCGTGAAAATGGCCATACTGCCCAAGGTAATTTACAGATTCAATGCCATCCCCGTAAAGCTACCAATGACTTTCTTCACAGAATTGGAAAAAACTACTTTAAAGTTCATATGGAACCAAAAAAGAGCCCACATCGCCAAGTCAATCCTAAGCCAAAAGAACAAAGCTGGAGGTATCACACTACCTGACTTCAAACTATACTACAAGGCTACAGTATCCAAAACAGCATGGTACTGGTACCAAAACAGAGATATAGATCAATGGAACAGAACAGAGCCCTCAGAAATAATGCCGCATATCTACAACTATCTGATCTTTGACAAACCTGAGAAAAACTAGCAATGGGGAAAGGATTGCCTATTTAATAAATGGTGCTGGGAAAACTGGCTAGCCATATGTAGAAAGCTGAAACTGGATCCCTTCCTTACACCTTATACAAAAATTAATTCAAGATGGATTAAAGACTTAAACATTAGACCTAAAACCATAAAAACCCTAGAAGAAAACCTAGGCATTACCATTCAGGACATAGGCATGGGCAAGGACTTCATGTCTAAAACACCAAGAGCAATGGCAATAAAAGCCAAAATTGACAAATGGGATCTAATTAAAGAGCTTCTGCACAGCAAAAGAAACTACCATCAGAGTGAACAGGCAACCTAGAAAATGGGAGAAAATTTTCGCAACCTACTCATCTGACAAAGGGCTAATATCCAGAATCTACAGTGAACTCAAACAAATTTACAAGAAAAAAACAAACAACCCCATCAAAAAGTGGGCGAAGGACATGAACAGACACTTCTCAAAAGAAGACATTTATGCAGCCAGAAGACACATGAAAAAATGCTCATCATCACTGGCCATCAGAGAAATGCAAATCAAAACCAAAATGAGATACCATCTCACACCAGTTAGAATGTCGATCATTGAAAAGTCAGGAAACAACAGGTGCTGGAGAGGATGTGGAGAAATAGGAACACTTTTACACTGTTGGTGGGACTGTAAACTAGTTCAACCATTGTGGAAGTCAGTGTGGCGATTCCTCAGGGATGTAGAACTAGAAATACCATTTGACCCAGCCATCCCATTACTGGGTATATACCCGAAGGACTATAAATCATGCTGCTATAAAGACACATGCACACGTATGCTTATTGCGGCATTATTCACAATAGCAAAGACTTGGAACCAACCCAAATGTCCAACAATGATAGACTGGATTAAGAAAATGTGGCACATATACACCATGGAATACTATGCAGCCATAAAAAATGATGAGTTCATGTCCTTTGTAGGGACATGGATGAAATTGGAAATCATCATTCTCAGTAAACTATCGCAAGAACAAAAAACCAAACACCGCATATTCTCACTCATAGGTGGGAACTGAACAATGAGATCACATGGACACAGGAAGGGGAATATCACACTCTGGGGACAGTTGTGGGGTGGGGGGAGTGGGGAGGGAGAGCATTGGGAGATATACCTAATGCTAGATGACGAGTTAGTGGGTGCAGCGCACCAGCATGGCACATGTATACATATGTAACTAACCTGCACAATGTGCACATGTACCTTAAAACTTAAAGTATAATAAAAAAAAAGAAGAAAAGGGAGAAGGATCAAATAGACGCAATAAAAAATGATAAAGGGGATATCACCACCAATCCCACAGAAATACAAACTGCCATCAGAGAATACTACAAACACTTCTATGCAAATAAACTAGAAAATCTAGAAGAAATGGATAAATTCCTCGACACATACACTCTCCCAAGACTAAACCAGGAAGAAGTTGAATCTCTGAATAGACCAATAACAGGATCTGAAATTGTGGCAATAATCAATAGTTTACCAACCAAAAAGAGTCCAGGACCAGATGGATTCACAGCTGAATTCTACCAGAGGTACAAGGAGGAACTGGTACCATTCCTTCTGAAACTATTCCAATCAATAGAAAAAGAGGTAATCCTCCCTAACTCATTTTATGAGGCCAGCATCATCCTGATACCAAAGCAGGGCAGAGACACAACCAAAAAAGAGAATCTTAGACTAATATCCCTGATGAACACCAATGCAAAAATCCCCAATAAAAACTGGCAAACTGAATCCAGCAGCACATCAAAAAGCTTATCCACCATGATCAAGTGGGCTTCATCCCTGGGATGCAAGACTGGTTCAACATATGCAAATCAATAAATGTAATCCAGCATATAAACAGAATCAAAGACAAAAACCACATGATTATTATGTCAATAGATGCAGAAAAGGCCTTTGACAAAATTCAACAACGCTTCATGCTAAAAACTCTCAATAAATTAGGTATTGATGGGACGTATCTCAAAATAATAAGAGCTATCTATGACAAACCCACAGCCAATATCATACTGAATGGGCAAAAACTGGAAGCATTCCCTTTGAAAACAGGCAGAAGACAGGGATGCCCTCTCTCACCACACCTATTCAACATAGTGTTGGAAGTTCTGGCCAGGGCAATTAGGCAGGAGAAGGAAATAAAGGGTAATCAATTAGGAAAAGAGGAAGTCAAATTGTCTCTGTTTGCAGATGACATGATTGTATATCTAGAAAACACCATTGTCTCAGCCCAAAATCTTAAGCTGAGAAGCAACTTCAACAAAGTCTCAGGATACAAAATCAATGTACAAAAATCACAAGCATTCTTTTACACCAATAACAGACAAACAGAGAGCCAAATCATGAGTGAACTCCCATTCACAATTGCTTCAAAGAGAATAAAATCCCTAGGAATCCAACTTACAAGGGATGTGAAGGACCTCTTCAAGGAGAAGTACAAACCACTGCTCAAGGAAATAAAAGAGGATACAAACAAATGGAAGAACATTCCCTGCTCATGGGTAGGAAGAATCAATATCGTGAAAATGGCCATACTGCCCAAGGTAATTTACAGATTCAATGCCATCCCCGTAAAGCTACCAATGACTTTCTTCACAGAATTGGAAAAAACTACTTTAAAGTTCATATGGAACCAAAAAAGAGCCCACATCGCCAAGTCAATCCTAAGCCAAAAGAACAAAGCTGGAGGTATCACACTACCTGACTTCAAACTATACTACAAGGCTACAGTATCCAAAACAGCATGGTACTGGTACCAAAACAGAGATATAGATCAATGGAACAGAACAGAGCCCTCAGAAATAATGCCGCATATCTACAACTATCTGATCTTTGACAAACCTGAGAAAAACTAGCAATGGGGAAAGGATTGCCTATTTAATAAATGGTGCTGGGAAAACTGGCTAGCCATATGTAGAAAGCTGAAACTGGATCCCTTCCTTACACCTTATACAAAAATTAATTCAAGATGGATTAAAGACTTAAACATTAGACCTAAAACCATAAAAACCCTAGAAGAAAACCTAGGCATTACCATTCAGGACATAGGCATGGGCAAGGACTTCATGTCTAAAACACCAAGAGCAATGGCAATAAAAGCCAAAATTGACAAATGGGATCTAATTAAAGAGCTTCTGCACAGCAAAAGAAACTACCATCAGAGTGAACAGGCAACCTAGAAAATGGGAGAAAATTTTCGCAACCTACTCATCTGACAAAGGGCTAATATCCAGAATCTACAGTGAACTCAAACAAATTTACAAGAAAAAAACAAACAACCCCATCAAAAAGTGGGCGAAGGACATGAACAGACACTTCTCAAAAGAAGACATTTATGCAGCCAGAAGACACATGAAAAAATGCTCATCATCACTGGCCATCAGAGAAATGCAAATCAAAACCAAAATGAGATACCATCTCACACCAGTTAGAATGTCGATCATTGAAAAGTCAGGAAACAACAGGTGCTGGAGAGGATGTGGAGAAATAGGAACACTTTTACACTGTTGGTGGGACTGTAAACTAGTTCAACCATTGTGGAAGTCAGTGTGGCGATTCCTCAGGGATGTAGAACTAGAAATACCATTTGACCCAGCCATCCCATTACTGGGTATATACCCGAAGGACTATAAATCATGCTGCTATAAAGACACATGCACACGTATGCTTATTGCGGCATTATTCACAATAGCAAAGACTTGGAACCAACCCAAATGTCCAACAATGATAGACTGGATTAAGAAAATGTGGCACATATACACCATGGAATACTATGCAGCCATAAAAAATGATGAGTTCATGTCCTTTGTAGGGACATGGATGAAATTGGAAATCATCATTCTCAGTAAACTATCGCAAGAACAAAAAACCAAACACCGCATATTCTCACTCATAGGTGGGAACTGAACAATGAGATCACATGGACACAGGAAGGGGAATATCACACTCTGGGGACAGTTGTGGGGTGGGGGGAGTGGGGAGGGAGAGCATTGGGAGATATACCTAATGCTAGATGACGAGTTAGTGGGTGCAGCGCACCAGCATGGCACATGTATACATATGTAACTAACCTGCACAATGTGCACATGTACCTTAAAACTTAAAGTATAATAAAAAAAAAGAAGAAAAGGGAGAAGGATCAAATAGACGCAATAAAAAATGATAAAGGGGATATCACCACCAATCCCACAGAAATACAAACTGCCATCAGAGAATACTACAAACACTTCTATGCAAATAAACTAGAAAATCTAGAAGAAATGGATAAATTCCTCGACACATACACTCTCCCAAGACTAAACCAGGAAGAAGTTGAATCTCTGAATAGACCAATAACAGGATCTGAAATTGTGGCAATAATCAATAGTTTACCAACCAAAAAGAGTCCAGGACCAGATGGATTCACAGCTGAATTCTACCAGAGGTACAAGGAGGAACTGGTACCATTCCTTCTGAAACTATTCCAATCAATAGAAAAAGAGGTAATCCTCCCTAACTCATTTTATGAGGCCAGCATCATCCTGATACCAAAGCAGGGCAGAGACACAACCAAAAAAGAGAATCTTAGACTAATATCCCTGATGAACACCAATGCAAAAATCCCCAATAAAAACTGGCAAACTGAATCCAGCAGCACATCAAAAAGCTTATCCACCATGATCAAGTGGGCTTCATCCCTGGGATGCAAGACTGGTTCAACATATGCAAATCAATAAATGTAATCCAGCATATAAACAGAATCAAAGACAAAAACCACATGATTATTATGTCAATAGATGCAGAAAAGGCCTTTGACAAAATTCAACAACGCTTCATGCTAAAAACTCTCAATAAATTAGGTATTGATGGGACGTATCTCAAAATAATAAGAGCTATCTATGACAAACCCACAGCCAATATCATACTGAATGGGCAAAAACTGGAAGCATTCCCTTTGAAAACTGGCAGAAGACAGGGATGCCCTCTCTCACCACTCCTATTCAACATAGTGTTGGAAGTTCTGGCCAGGGCAATTAGGCAGGAGAAGGAAATAAAGGGTATTCAATTAGGAAAAGAGGAAGTCAAATTGTCCCTGTTTGCAGATGCCATGATTGTATATCTAGAAAACCCCATGGTCTCAGCCCAAAATCTCCTTAAGCTGAGAAGCAACTTCAGCAAAGTCTCAGGATACAAAATCAATGTACAAAAATCACAAGCACTCTTACACACCAATAACAGGCAAACAGAGAGCCAAATCATGAGTGAACTCCCATTCACAATTGCTTCAAAGAGAATAAAATACCTAGGAATCCAACTTACAGGGGATGTGAAGGACCTCTTCAAGGAGAAGTACAAACCACTGCTCAATGAAATAAAAGAGGATACAAGCAAATGGAAGAACATTCCACGCTCATGGGTAGGAAGAATCGATATCGTGAAAATGGCCATACTGCCCAAGGTAATTTATAGATTCAATGCCATCCCCATAAAGCTACCAATGACTTTCTTCACAGAATTGGAAAAAACTACTTTAAAGTTCATATGGAACCAAAAAAGAGCCCACATCGCCAAGTCAATCCTAAGCCAAAAGAACAAAGCTGGAGGTATCACACTACCTGACTTCAAACTATACTACAAGGCTACAGTAACCAAAACAGCATGGCACTGGTACCAAAACAGAGATATAGATCAATGGAACAGAACAGAGCCCTCAGAAATAATGCCGCATATCTACAACTATCTGATCTTTGACAAACCTGAGAAAAACTAGCAATGGGGAAAGGATTGCCTATTTAATAAATGGTGCTGGGAAAACTGGCTAGCCATATGTAGAAAGCTGAAACTGGATCCCTTCCTTACACCTTATACAAAAATTAATTCAAGATGGATTAAAGACTTAAACATTAGACCTAAAACCATAAAAACCCTAGAAGAAAACCTAGGCTTTACCATTCAGGACATAGGCATGGGCAAGGACTTCATGTCTAAAACACCAAAAGCAATGGCAACAAAAGCCAAAATTGACAAATGGGATCTAATTAAACTAAAGAGCTTCTGCACAGCAAAAGAAACTACCATCAGAGTGAACAGGCAACCTAGAAAATGGGAGAAAATTTTCGCAACCTACTCATCTGACAAAGGGCTAATATCCAGAATCTACAATGAACTCCAACAAATTTACAAAAAAAAAAAACAAACAAACCGATCAAAAAGTGGGCAAAGGACATGAACAGACACTTCTCAAAAGAAGACATTTATGCAGCCAGAAGACACATGAAAAAATGTTCATCATCACTGGCCATCAGAGAAATGCAAATCGAAACCACAATTAGATACCATCTCACACCAATTAGAATGGCAATCATTAAAAAGTCAGGAAACAACAGGTGCTGGAGAGGATGTGGAGAAATAGGAACACTTTTACACTGTTGGTGGGACTGTAAACTAGTTCAACCATTGTGGAAGTCAGTGTGGCGATTCCTCAGGGATGTAGAACTAGAAATACCATTTGACCCAGCAATCCCATTACTGAGTATATACCCAAAGGATTACAAAACATGCTGCTGTAAAGACACATGCACACGTATGTTTATTGAGGCACTATTCACAATAGCAAAGACTTGGAACCAACCCAAATGTCCAACAATGATATACTGGATCAAGGAAATGTGGCACATATACACTATGGAATACTATGCAGCCATAAAAAATGATGAGTTCATGTCCTTTGTAGGGACACGGATGAAGCTGGAAATCATCATTCTCAGCATACTATTGCAAGGACAAAAAACCATACACCACATATTCTCACTCATAGGTGGGAATTGAGCAATGAGAGCATATGGACACAGGAAGCGGAACATTACACACCGGGGCCTGTTTTGGGGTTGGGGGAGGGGGGAGGGATAGCATTAGGAGATATACCTAATGTTAAATGACGAGTTAATGGGAGCAGCATGCCAACATGGCACATGTATACATATGTAACAAACTAGCACGTTGTGCACATGTACCCTAAAACTTAAAGTATAATAAAAAAATAAACAAAAATAAATAAATAAATAAATAAAAGTGAAATCATACAATTGTGACATTTTTATTGTATATGTTCCAATCTTCCAGCTAAGGCAACTTGCTGAAGGTAACCTGGGGGAAAAAAAAGAAAGGACATCAGAAATTACTATATCATAATTCAGAGAGTCTGCAAATTAGGGAGATTTCTTCAGGGCCACCCCATCTTCTTACCTCTTAAAAAATGAAACTAAATGGACCCTGGGGTTAAAGAAAACAACAATTAGATAAGATAATTTTTGAGATAATAGGTGAAGATATAAACTGCAGACTCCCTCAGCCTGGAAGTCCGAGACAGAGCATTAAGGGAAAAAACATCCATAATTAGAAAAGAGAAAGTTAAATTGTCCCTGTTTACAGGTGACATAATCTTATATTTAAAAAAAAACTAAAGACGTAACCAAAACATTCTTACAACTGATAAATGAACTCAACTAAGTTTCAAGATTAAAAATTAACATATAAAAATCAGTAGCATTTTTATACATCAATAACAAACTGGTTGAAAAATAAATCAAGGAAACAATCCCAATTACAATAGCTACAGAAAAAGAGAATCATAAAATGAATTTAACCAAGGAGGTGAAAGATCTCTATAAAGAAAACTACAAAACTCTGAGGAAAGAAATAGAAGACGCTCAAAAAAATTAAAAGACAACACATGTTCATGGAATGGAATAATTAATGTTGATAAAATGAGTATACTACTCAAAGCAATCTACAGATTTAATGCAACTCTTATCAAAACACCAATGACTTTTTTAACCAATGACATTTTTCACAGAAATAGAAAAAACAATCCTAAAATTGTTTTGGAACCACAAAAGACCCAAATAGCCAAAGCAATCCTGAGCAAAAAGAACAAAGCTGGAGGCATCACACTACCTGACTTCAACGTATACAACGTATACTTCAACAAAGCTATAGTGACAAAAATCGTGTGGTACATATTTACAGTTATCTGATTTTTGACAAAAGCAACAAGAGCATACATTGGGGAAAGGACAATCTTTTCAAAAAATGGTGCTGGGGAAACTGGATGTCCACATACAGAAGAATGACACTAGACCCCTCTCTTACATTGTACACAAAAATCAAATCAGGGTGACTTACAGAGTTAAATGTAAGGCACAGAACTGTAAAATTACTTGAGGAAAACATAGAGGAAATGCCCTAAGACATTAGTCTGGGCAAATGTTTTATGAATAAGACCTCAAAAGCACAGGTAATAAAAGCAAAAGTAGACGAATGGGATTATATCAAACTAAAAAACTTCAGCACAACAAAGAAAACTATCAATAGAGTAAAGAGACACCTGAAGAATAGAAGGAAACTATTCATCCAACAAGAGATTAATATTTAATATCTGAAATATACGAGGAACTCAACAGAAAAAGAAATCCAACTAAAAATAGGCAGTTGATCTGAATAGACATTTTTCAAAAGAAGACAAACAAAGGGACATCAGGTCTATTTTTTAAAATGCTTGGCTGGGCGTGGTGGCTCACACCTCCTAGCACTTTGGGAGGCCAAGGCAGGTGGATCACCTGAGGTCAGGAGTTTGAGACCAGCCTGACCAACATGGTGAAACCCTGTCTCTACTAAAAATACAAAAATTATCCGGGCTTGGTGATGGGCGCTTATAATCCCAGCTACACAGGAGGCTGAGGGAGGAGAATCACTTGAATCTGGGGGGCGGAGGTTGCAGTGAGCCAAGATCGTGCCACTTCACTCCAGCCTGGGTGAAAGAGCGAAACTCTGTCTCAAAAAAATAAATAAATGAAATAAAATAAAATAAAATGCTCAACATCATTAACCATCAGGGAAATGCATATCAAAACCACAATGAAATATAATCTTACCCCAGTTAGAATGGCTGTTATAAAAAGACCAAAAATAACGAATGCTGGCAAGGATGTGGAGAAAAGGGAGCTCTTACACAATGTTGGTAGAGATTTTAAATTAATAGAGCCATTATGGAAAACAGTATGAAGTTTCTTCAAAAAGCTAGAAATAGAACTACCATATTGTCCAGCAATCTTACTACTGGGTATATACATATCCAAAGGAAAGAAAATTAGTTTGTCAAAAAGAAATCTTTGCTCTCATGTTTATTGCAGCACTATTCACAATAGCCCTAAGTGTCCATCAACAGATGAATAGGTAAAGAAAATGTGGTATATATACATCATGAGATACTATTCTGTCATAAAAAAATGGAATCCTGTCATTTTCAGCAACATGAATGGGGGACGTTAAATAAAATAAGCCAGGCAGGCACAGAAAGATAAATACTGCATGTTCACACTTACATGTAGAAGCTAAAAACTTTGATCTCATAGATGTAGAGAGTAGAATAGTGGTTACTAGAAGCTGGAAAGTGTAGGAGAAGGGGAATAGGAAGAGATGTGTTAACAGATACAAAATCAAAATTACTGTTAGGCAGGAGGAATAATTTCTTGTCTTCTAAAGCACTGTAGGATGACTATATTTAACAATAATTTATTATGTATTTTCAAATAGCTAGAAGAAAAAATGTTGAGTGTTCTTGACAAAAATAAATAGATAATGTTTGAGGTGATGAATACATTAATTACCCTGACTTGATCATTACATATTGTATACATATATCTAAATATCATCCTAAACCTTACAAATATATACAATTACTATGTGTCAATTTAAAAAAAAAAACACTCCCTCAGCCTATAATCTACCCTCTAGGCCCACTTCTTACAGTATTCTTTAGAAAACATCTATCCCAAACCCCAAAGGGTAAATAGTAGTTAAAAATAATGCAGTAGGGAACCTCATAGATCTTGGAGGAAAAAAGCCAAAAGGAAGAAAAAATATTTTTAAAAACTAGAAGAGGAATTACCAAGGGAACAAAAATGTGTTAACAGCTAATTCCAATGGTCTCAAAGATGCAGTATACAAAAGAATTAAACAATGTACAACCATTTAGTAAAGAAGACAAGTAAGCTGCAGAATTTAGTAAAGGAATGCAAGAGGAAAATAAGACTATCAGAGATAAAAGCCACATTGAGAAGAACAGATACAGATTTTTAAAAATCTTGTATCATGAGGACAGGCTTGAGCAAAACAAATAAAATAAAATTGAAAAGAGAAACTAAAACTGTTGAAGGAATAAACAATATGAAAGGAAAAGGAGGTCCAACAAATGCATAATTGGCGGCCCTGAAAAAAGAACTCAACAAAGAAGTTTAAATCTGTCACTTTAAAGGGCCCATTTGTTCAAAGAAAAATTAAAGGATGAACAGAATACTAAGACTGAGTGGATTTGATGAATCTATAGCATAAATAATCTTGTGATGATTTGGCAGAAAAAAACAACAAAATAATTTACATTTCTATTTACAAATAGGAAATGGTCATGATCTTTTCTTTGACAACACTAAATTTACAAAAATACAGTGGGAAAAGTTTACAAAGTTCTAAAGAAAAGATAATATAAACAAATACGTTTTTTGCTTATCTATTGTTATGCATGTAAAATCTCAGGAATTTCAGCAGCTCAAAATCTTATAAGAATGACTTCAAGAAGACCTATAACAAGCCTAGAGATTAGTCATAATAAGAAACTCAAGAATCAAGAACTTTCACTTAAAGATGATAAATTTAATAAATGCATCTATACGTGTTTCTTCCCCAAATCCCACTAAAATGATAGGAAAATTGTGTGGTTTGGGGTTTTAAAGAAGTTAACTCATAATGACAATGATAATGGGAAAGGAGGCAACAACAGCATTATGAAAGCTGGACACAGGTGAGTGGTAATTCGCCTAACGGACTCAAGAAACCTAAAACCTTATATTGTAGTGGGAAAAGTAAAGGCATGTGCTGTCTTAAAAGAGCAGCTTAAATGGTACCAGGCAATCATGGAAGTAAGAATAGAAGAAGTGAAATTAAAACCAGAAAAATTGATTGAAACAACTAGCTCCCAGTGTCTTTCCCAACTGCTAAGGTTTTCAGACCATGGAGACTGAAACAGTTGAGGTCAGGTGCACCACACTCAAAATATCTATGCTGGACTCTTCCCAACTTGACTACAGAAAGCTACCAGCAAATATATTCATGCAGAACAAGGGAGGAATTTTCCCCTGTCTAAGAATTCCGACCAATGCAAGAGAAAATACCTAAATATACTGGTAATTTAGGTTCTCTCAACAAAACATCTAACCAGATAGAACATCTGTAATAAAAACCATCACCAATAGGCACTTCCTTCAGTCAGGTCTTTGATTCCCAATCTTAAAAATTTGCAGACACCAAAGGATCAACATATATTTGAGAAAAGTATGAAATAAGAAATATGACCAAAATAACCAAAGAAAACCTTGGAAGAAAAAGACTATTCAGGCAAAAAAAAATTTAAACATTATTATCCTCAGAGGAAGTGTAAGAAATACGATCACGATGTTATATAAAGGAACATTTAGATAATTAGACAGATATCTCAGAATTTAAATATATAATAACAGAAATAAGAAATCAATAGAAAGTTTAGAAAGTAAACTTGAGAAAATCAAGAACTTGATTTTTTTTTTTTTTTTTTTTTGAGATGGAGTCTCACTCTGTTGCCAGTCTGGAGTACAGTGGTGCAATCTTGGCTCACTGGAACTTCTGCCTCCCGGGTTCAAGCAATTCTCCTGCCTCAGCCTCCCAAGTAGCTGGGACTAGAGGCACGCACCACCACGCCCAGCTAATTTTTGTATTTTTAGTAGAGATGGCATTTCATCATGTTGGCCAAGATGGTCTCAATCTCCTGACCTCGTGATCCACCCGCCTTGGCCTCCCAAAGTGCTGGGATTACAGGCATGAGCCACCGCACCCAGCCAAGAAAGTGATTTTTTTAAAAAAGATGAAGAAATGAAAAACATAAAGGAAAAGATTAAAAAATTACATGTCATATTTAGGAGTCTCACTGTCAAAATAACAGGAGCTTCAGAAAGAGAGCATGAAGGACAGGAAATCAGCAAAGACATAATCCAAGAAAATTTCCAGGCACTGAAGTACAATGAATTTTCAGATTGACATAGCCCACTAAATGTCATCACAACAGATGAAAATAAGATCTCCACTCTGTCACATTACCATGAAATTTCAAAATACTGTGGACAAAGAAAAAAAAATCCAATGAGGTTTCAGAACATGAAGGACAGGGTAGAAGAGGTTTCCTCAAAGACTCTAGAATCAAAATGTCATCAGACTTCTTGACAGGAACTTTGAAGGCAATAAGACAACAGAGTATTAGCATCAAAATTCAGAGGAAAAATTGCTTTCCACTTAGAATTTGATATTATTAATTAAGGTAAAGGGTAGAATTAAGACATTTTCAGGCACACAAGTTGGCGAAAATGTACACTTCCCATTGTAACCCTTTCCCAGAAAGCTCCTGGAGTATATACTCCACTACAGCTGAGTGAATGCAATAATAAAAAAGAAATATGGAATTCAGGCATTAGGGTGTCAGATTCAACAGATAGTTGAAGGTAAATCTCAGGATGCTGCTAAAGGGAAATCCCAAAATGACTGCTATGTTGCCAGAGTATGAATGTGTACAGAATCTTCATTCTTCCATAGTAGAAAGTGAACAGATGATGCCAACAATTGAAAAATTAGAATACAGCAATATTAAGAATCAAAGAATTGAAAGTGGTTGTATTTGAGAAGTGAAAAACAGGGATAGTGAAGGAGGGGCTGTGTTTGCATAAGAAAAACTCTGAGTAACTATTTGATTATTTATGAGCATACTAACTTTGGAGGAAAAAAAACAACACCCAGGCATAGCAATACCGTGAAGAAAGAGTTGATGATGAGTATATGCTCCATCTAAATATATATTCCAAACTAAACAACTGTAGCAACATTTATTACAGACCAGAACAAAGTGTTACAAATGTTGACGATGTAGTAAGAATAATATTGCTAACAAACTACTGAGAATTGTAGGAGGAAAATGAAAAGTACAAATACATGATTTTCTTGTCTTTCATAGTAGGATATAAATGATATAATATCTAAAGTTAAAACATAGCATTTTTTAAAAATGACTTCAACTTTTCTTATGTTTTCCAAAGTCTATCTGTGCATTCATGTCTGTGTATGAATATCCATTATTTTATCTGTGTATAGTGAAAAAGATGTCTGCAATACAGTGTTTGACAAATGTTAGCAATGCTTATTTCTGTAATCTGTGGTTCCTGGTGCCATTTTAAAGGGAGATAATTCATTGTTTCCAATTTTTTTTTATCTTTTGTAGAAATTGAAATAAAGATTACAGTAAAATGAAATAAATGAAATGTATTATTTACCAACCTACTGCCAGAAAATGAACAAGGAGACCAATAGTTATTCCAAAGATTGCCAACACTCCAAACACAAGAAGGGCAATCATCCATAGTGACACAGATGTACAGGAAGCCATGACTGGTCTGCAAGTAAAGGATGATATGAATATGAAGGCTCTATCAGAAATACCACAGTCATTTTAAATCTGTATGTCTTGTCTCCTGCTCGCCCCTAGAAACTCTACAATTCAGACACAATAGTAATAAAAGACATTTTAAAAAGGAGGAAGAAAGGGAGAGCAGAGGGAGGGAGGAAGAGTGAGAGGAAGAAACAAAGATTTAAAAAAATCAGCTTGCCTTAAAGCTTTTGATTGAACCTCTCTAAATCTGTTATGAGGTTACATTTAGGAGTATAGTGGTTGGTTACAAGTTATCGATACTTGGCACCTTGCTCCCTCCCATGGTCAAGGATTAGAAACAGAGTATCAGTAAGTGAAGATCTTGTCAGGTCAGAGGGGTGGGGAAGGGAAGGGAAATGTCTTAGAAGTTCTTTATGCCTAAGCCCATATTAATCTTTTAGAGTATGATCATGATCCTATATTATTTATTATGCCTTTATTTTATACAAAGAACATGCGCAAATATGAAGTGCTATACTGTGTTAGAGCACTGTCCATCTATCTTATTAGCTTATTTATTACTCTGTTTCAAAGAACTCTTTCGTAGAAAAGCATGTCGTGATGAATCTACAATGTCAGGTATTTTCACTATGTCTTGTTTAGGCAAAAATTTGTATTGAGAGCCTCAATCTCAGTTGAAATAAGGATCTGTGGGAGTTTTCTAGACAAAATGACATAGGAAGACATCTAGGAAGAGGGAACAACATGCAATGCTTAAAGAAAGACCAGCAATTCAATTTTGTTATGGCAAACTGAGTCATTAATCATTCAAAGATGACATCGGAGAGTATGATGGCTAATTTTATGTGTTAACTTTGGCTAGGCTGTGGTGCTGAGCTGTCTGGTCAAACATTACTTTAAATGTGGCTGTGAAGGTATTCTATAGCTGTAACTAACGTTTATAATCAGTTGACTTTAAGTAAAGGAGGTTACCTTTAATAATGTGGGTGAACCTCTTCCAATCAGTTGAAGAACTTAAGAGCAAAAATGAAGGTTTCTGGGAGATGAAAAAATTCTGCTTTGAGATGATAACATAAAAATCCTTCCCGAGTTCCAGACTGGCAACTTGTTCTATGGATTTCAGACTTTCAAACCACACAGTTGTGTGAGCCAATTCCTTAAAATAAACCTGTATGTGTATGTTTGTATATATGTGTGTATGTATATCTGTATCTTCTATTGGTTCTGTTTCCCGAGAAAACTGTGCCTGACATGAACAGAGAAGTAGTAGCAAGAATTACCCTTGATACCCCACAAGGATGTTGAGATTTTGACTTCTGCATTGAGGCTCTTTCAAGAGCAATTGGAGAGTGACCTTAATCAGAATCACCTGAGGTGATTAAACTGCAGATGGTGGAATCCTATTCCAGATCAAGTGAAATAGCATTCCTATAAGGGCCTGGAAATTTGCACTTTAATAATCCTGGTGATGCAGATTCTCACTACACTATACACTATCTTTATGGTAAAATACAGAAAGACTTTAATCTATGAAGGCACGTTGTCAGTTTTTTTTCAGATTTTTTTTCAGATTAGAAGTAGCATGTGGGTGCACTGTGTATGATAGATTGGATTATAGAAAAAATAAATTGGGTTGATGATTTCAGGAATATAAGATCTTTTTTAAAATCCATCTTCTATTGATGTTTTTTCATTTTTCTAGAAAATGATTTCATACCATTTTTCTCCTCAAACCTCCAGCACCATCTGACTCATCCTCACTCCTAGTTGATAACCATAGTATTCCACTGAGAAAATGGAAGGCATCACTAAAGAATATTTACAATTCCATCATCATATTTCTGAACTTCTCTTCATCTGTGCCCCAAACTCTCTTTTCTTCAAGTTTCTATAAATAAACTGCATGTGTCCCTGACTTAGGCCAACCCCTCCACTATCTCTTCTCACTCTCCAACAAATAACCTATGTTCTAGACATTTCAAACCTTTTACAGCTCTATGGACACATAAGACTCATGTCTCTATGCCCTTGCACTCTCCGTTCCTGCACCTAAAATGTTCACCTCAAGTCTACCCTGTGAGCTTCCACTCAAACTTTATCACTCAACTCTGTCATATCCTTTTCATTGTAGTCTTCCATGGTCAATCATATTATGTCCTACATTCATAGTATTTTTTTATTTTTACATTTCAGTCTTTTTACCTTTAGTTTTTAGCATGCTGTGATCTGGGACCACATGATTATTTGTTATTTTTTATATCCAGGATATTGCACAGTGGCTAGAATTAAAGGTAATTTTTGTTGAATAAGTGAATGAATAAAGATCAAGGGCAACTACATTTTGGAGGAAAGATCAGAGGGACCCAAGTTATATAAAGCCTTCAGGGCTAGTCAAAAGAGTTTTGACTTTATCTTGTGGAATGACTAACATGAGGGCTTGTAGTTCTTAGGAAGATGAAATTGCAGGTAATATGCATGATAATAGTTGAAAGGAGGAAGAAAGTAAAAGAAAATCAGTAAGGAAAGAGCCTATTCTATTCCACGAGACTGGAATGATGGGATTCTGGGTGATGATAATTAGAAAGAAAGTAGGAATTCAAAAAAGTTTACAGGAGTAAAATATATGCAAGAACTTGGTAATTAGTTAACTATATGGATAATGGATAAGGATATGTTAATGACACAAATTTGCCTCAAGAGGAAGGGGAGAATAAAATGAAATCTAGAAGAGATAAATTGGGGAGAAAAAAATTGTAAATTTTTCATATTTTGAGTTTGAGGAGCATTGAAATTTTCAGGAAACAATTGGAGATGTCAGACTCTTAGTTAAATGAGGACTGATACTTGGAAGTATAAATTTAGAAGTTATCTAAAAATAAGAGAGAATCAAGGCTGAGAAACTGGATCAGTGTGTCAGACGACTTATTATATTAAAAATTAGACAAAATCAGTATTTCTTTTTCCAAGGCAAACATTTGTTTTCATTCCAATGATGGCTAAATTATCTCAAACTTTTTATACCCTTCCTGAATGTCACAGTCTTATTCTTTAGTATCTCTCAAAAGCCCTTAAATAATGAGCATTTTTTCCTCATTGTCAAATTTAAAATATTGTTGATCTTTTAATGATGTATCAACACTTAGTTCATCTCATAAGCATTCAGCTCCACCAAAACTACCTTACTCACTGGTTGGTTCTCTAATCTCAACTCATCATTTTTTCACTTTTCTGTCTCCTGTGAACTCTTACTAATTACTTTTTTCCTTAATCATTGTTTAATTGAGGATACATTTATACATTTCTTATTTTGGCTCGTTTTATTGTTAAGCTTTTAATTCAGAACAGATCTTTGCATAGATTTGGGCAAATGTTTTATTTTATCTCTACAGTTTGTTTTCAGAAGTTGTATTCTATAAGAACAAAAAACCCTAAATTTATTAAAATGTAATCAAATATGATGTTTTAGAATTCACCCAGACACTGTGGATTAAAGGTGAAAAACTGAAATGACTTCCTAATTTTCAACTTTATTTCATTAGAATTGCTATAGGATTTAATATTTTCATTCCTTATCCCGTTTTCCATATTGATTATCTCTTGTCACAACACAGATGATTCTCTGGGTTGTAGCTACCTTTAATTTGTAACCTAAAGACTTTATGACAATGACATAGATTAAATAGCTGCCTAAAAACGGCAAAGAAACTTCCCAAGTAGAAAGAATATCAGCTATTAGCCAATTTCTGGTAGTCCATACAACAAATTCTTCTGGAAAATCACATAAGGAATTACTCGGAGGGGACACAGAATATAAATTATATTTTGCCATAAAAAAAAATTCCTGGATGTAAACTTCTCAATACTTCCTTTGCAAAAATCTAAAACATTGCCTTCTTCTGACATGTTCCTCATTCTATTTGATAGGACTAACTCTAAGAAAAAATTTGAAATTGATAAAATGTGGTTTTGAAGTCTTTATTTCCACTTCTGGTATTTTTTTTTCTTTCTCTTAACTATTCATCAGGCACCCACATGCAAGCACAAAGTTCAGTAAGATCTTCTCAAATGTACAAGCAAAGTAAACCAAGTTTCTAAATCACTCAATGTTCTGCTGTGTAATCAGATTAATGCCTCATTCTGAGAAGCTAATCCCTGAATTAAGGCTTGAACCTTTCCCAGGTAACAAGTATTTATTCAAAAGAATGGCTTAATCTTTTGAAATCTTTCAGGTTAGAACTTCTCAGTATGAACTTGAAATCTTTCAGGTTAGAACTTCTCAGTGTCAGTATGATGAAAGAAAAGGTGGAGGTGCCTTAAAGGAAACAATATCCACTCAGCATAAAGGTGATGACTCCCTGGTAGGCAAAACAAAACAAAACAATCATGCTGTTTCTTTTCCACTTTTAAATGTGTTTGATCACTCTTTTATTGATAGATCAGAAATGCTGGTAATAAGAAAACATCAGGGTTATGAATAAAATAGCATCCTTAATAAAAAAGAAATAATCACATAACAAAAACCCTTTTACTTTACTTAAAGAAAAATTCTTAGTATATTCTATCACAGTGAATATTCTCTGTCAAATCACATTTTCATATGAATACTGATATTGTGAATATATATATATAAACACATACACACATATCTTAAAGGGTTCAACTATTGACTTAAAATACACATTTTAGAAAACTATTTGTGTAAGGTATGCACTTATATTTCATAGTTATCCAAACATTAAGTGTTATAAGTTAAATTCAGTTAATTTTGCTATATTTTATGTATATAGATGAAAACTCCTTGTGAGCTGAAAGTATGTTCTTAAAATGTTGCCATTAATGATCGCTGTTCACTTATTGTGATAATTATCTAGTTAGATACTTTAAAAATAGATAGCATGTGTAAATACATAATTATATGATTCTGGTTCATGAATATTTAACAAGTAAAATATGTAGATTTACATACGGTTCAACAGAGAATACTTATGAAGCAATGACACTGTGAGATTCAATATAATATTCATGAAAGCCTTTCGAAAGCAAGAATTGTTTAACAAATACAAGGAAATCCTAATCCTCATCACTATCAACAACAATTTAGCATTTGTTTTATAAGAAAAGAAAATGTTCCCTCCGCTACCTGCTCTCTACAACAGTCACACATTCATATTATTTTTCATTCACAGGAGGTTTAGCTGCACATCACCTTTCTGAAGCACTCCTCAAATTATTACAAAAAAACTATAGATTGCAAACACAAGTGTATATGACAGGTTTGTCTCCATGCAGGAAACCAAAAATGCTGTGGAAAAACTACAACTTTCTTACCCAAACTCAGTTGTTTTACTGCAATCTTTGGGTGGGAGTCATACTGGGGAGATAGTGTTAATTCTATCGATGTCAGAACTTTAGGCAAGCAAATCTCAACTTACCTATACATAATGTGCTGATATAATGGCTGTTGAAGTAAATAAATATAAAGAAAAGTTCTGCACTTCTTTTGTCCTGATCAGTGCTTCTCTGGTAAATGTGCTAACCGCAATGATAGTTGAGATTTTAAGGGCTGGGTAAAATAGCAAAAAACAATGAAAAGGAAACTTGTTTAACAAGTGTGATGACAGCTATGGATCTGTGATTTAAAGGAAGAAATGTAAATCCCCTTTGAGTTGGATATTTAGAAAAAAAACAAAAAACAAAAAACAATAGATATTACTTGGATTGGTGTTCTGAGAGGTCCACCCCCAAAATACCACCACAGATGGGTGAGTCAGTGTTCTGACTCAAGTTCCATCCATCCTTTCATGGCATAGAGCTCCTCCCAGTAAAACCGACTGTATCTAACAGATCAGTCTTTGACAAATAACTTAAATGTAAATTGTCTTTATTTGATACAATTATTCTGCCACAGCAGTACTCATTTGAAACATGCTTAATCCAAAAATTCTCACTGAGGCTCTGCACATACTTTTGCAGAAATTGATTTACAGAGGGAGGTAGGTTTTAGAGTAAGAAACAGTTCTGTTTTAGAAATTCTTTATACGAAATGGAACTATTTAATCTAATCAATAGTTATTTTACTAAGTGAATATAATTCAATATAATACCACTAAAAAGAAAAGAAACACTAAATAAAACTGCACATTTTTAATGGGTGCTAATAAGTGTATTTAAATTCATGTACATGTTTATAAAGAGATAAATAAATATATGAAAATATCTGGAAGGATTCGCAAAATAAGAATTACCTCAGAGAAGGAAAGAGACAAGAATTGGAAATGATGATTGGAAAAAATATTAGCCTGATCTATAGTGGGTTCATTTTCTTCACAAATATAATGTATTCATATATTCCATATGTAATTAAAAAGCAATTAAGAATACTTGTTGAATTGAAATAAAAGCTTATCCTTTATATGGATCTGAGTAGGGAAAAAAGATAGAATTAGCAATAAAATTTAGCTTTTGGGGGTGTCAGGACAAAATTAATGTAAACTAAAAACAAACTGTATTTGTTGACTTTGTGAAACTTTCCGGACTGAGATGGTGTCTTAAAACAGTAGGCACACAATCTATGAGAATACAGTGGATAAAAAGTCTCACAAAAAGTGTGAGCCAGTTTTTACAGCATTCTAAGAATATATCAGGGAAAAAAATGTCAGAGAAGGGCATCCCAGACTTGGAGTACACCACTTGGAAAGACACATAATAGCATGTTCTAGAAATCCCAACTTATTGAGTGGTTGAAACATAGGCTACATGCAAGGACATGATAGGACATAAAAAAGAAGCATGTAGCAGCCAGATCCTGATAGTACATCTCATTTTTGTTCAGCTGGACACCATGACTACCTCCATGAAGCCAGCCACCAGTCCAGGACCACAGAGATGAAAAAGAGTCCTTGAGGGGCTCACAGTCTAGTAGGAGATTCAGATGCATAATTTTTACACCTGTGGAAAGTGTAGTGACAGGTGTAAACCTGGGGCAACCTGGAGCCACCATCCTGGGGATGTAAGGGAAGGCTACCTGGTGGGAGTGACACCTGAACTGTGTTTTGAATAATGAATAGGAAGAGTAAGTCAAGCTTTTTATGGATTTGCAAGTCATAATAAAGAATATGGGTTTTATTCCTTAAGCGTGGTGAGATAGGGAGGTAAGGGGAGGAGTAGGAGTTTAAGCAGGAGATAGAGGTGCTGCCAGACTAATTCTCCATGATCATTAAGATGCTTGTTCTTGAAGAATGCCATTATAGTACATTAAGGATAGGTAGGAGGACTAACAATTCAGAATTCACATTTTCTTTTAAAACAAAAATGCCAGATTAATTTACAACATAGTACCTCTCTGGCTCTTAAGTTACCTTCTCTGATGACGGCTTGGTTTGATTTTTTAAAATCTTCTCTTTTTTTAATCAAATGCCTGGGAAAGGTAATGTGGGAATGCTCTCTCATTACTCTGGTTAGTGATTTCTGTCTCATTGAATGTTGTCTTTAGCAGATGAGATAAATCTGACTTAAAGAGCATAAATCTAAATTTATAAAACCTGAGGTGGTTATTTAATGGATTCTTGTATAACATGTATTCCTATATTTAGTGAAAATAAAGTTTTGTTTACTCAACCATGAGTGTCTATTGTGACAAATTTTAAATGAAGATAATTAATTTTTAAGGCAACAACACAAGAAAGTATAATATATTGGCCGAGTGCAGTGGCTCACTCATGCCTGTGATCCCAGCACTTTGGGAAGCCGAGGCAGGTGGATCACCTGAGGTCAGGAGTTCGAGACCAGCCTGGCCAACATAGTGAAACCCTGTTTCTACTAAAAATACAAAATTAGCCGGGCATGGTGGCACGCACCAGTAATCCCAGCTACTCTAAAGGCTGAGACAGGAGAATCACTTGAACTTGGGAGGTGGAAGTTGCAGTGAGACGAGATTGCACCATTGCACTCCAGCCCGGTCAAAAAAAGCAAAGCTCCATCTCAAAAAATAAAATAAAGTAAAATAAAATAAAATTTAAAAATAAAGTTAATATAATTATTTAATTTTCACAATTAAGCATCATAATTATGCAGGACAACAACATATTCTAATATAATTGGATTATTTTGAAATCCATTATTCACTATGAACTGTAAGTCTGAAATGCCCTTAACACATATCATCATGAAATGTTTCAAAAACAGATTCTTCTGAAACTTTTTCCTGCATTGAAATTACGAAAAATAAAAACCAATAAGAAACTTTATTCACCACCATCAGTAGCAGGCAGTACTTAGGGCATTTAACAACACATCTGGCACAATGGCCAAAAGCTAGTTTGTAATGTTATGGCACAGAAATTGTGCTCCAGTTGCATCATCTAGTGAAGATTTCTTTCAAAAATATAAATGAGAAATAATTACATTCAGTGGTGTGGGGTTAGTGTCTAACAACGAGGTCTTGATACCAGTGGGTGGGAGCTAATTAAAAACGTTTGCCAATTTCCACAGTGTAAATACATCATGGTCAATTTCAAGCTATGTACATGACATCACTAACTATGAATTTAGGCAAGGATGAGCAGTAGCATTCTATTATATATCACCATCATATAGACACAACATATGCAAATAATCTCAAGACCATGAATACTAACAAAATGTAAAATAATGAAGACATAATGCATTTTGAGTATTTACTGCCTTTAATTTTTAACTATCGCTGTTTCACTCTGGCTCATATGATTCTTGAAGTTTTAACACTCAGTTCTTGTACATTGCTGCAAGCCAAATTCAGCACATCATTGCTTCACTTTAATTATTAAAATTTGCAAATACTTCACAAGTTTGAATTTTTGAAAGGACTTATAAAACTCTACACAGAGTACTCATATAAAGCTTTTATTTAAAAGTAAAGTATATGATAATTATACATTGTACACATGTATCAAAATAGCACATGTACTCCCAAAATATGTAGAAACAATTATATATCAATTAAAAATGTAAAAATAAGTAAAGAAAGCAAAGCAGCAAGAGAAAGAGTATAGGCAAGTATTAGGGGAGCCAAGAGATATAGAGGTGCAAATGCCCCATGGTCCTTATTCATACATACACACATTTTGTCTCCAGATTGAACCACCAAAATCAGTGTGATGAATCTCAACTTCATGAACACTCAAGGCAGAAGTTCTCAGTAGGATCTTGGGTCAGTAAAACAAAATGGCCCAGAGGTTGCTAGGAGAGTTTCAGACTTTAAACCTCACATAAATCTCACTGGACTTATTTTGGCCAAGAGCCAAAGCTAAGCAACTTTTTTCCCAAAGAAAAGCATTCCCAAAGAAAAGGATAGAGTTTTCCCAGTCCAGCTGTATATTAACTCTATCCTATGCAAAATCCAATAATGAAATTAACAAAAAATAATATTTCAAATATTTGTTACTCAGGATGATTCCACGTCCATGCTTTTGAAATGTAGAAGACTGAGAAAAGATGAACAATTCTATTTTGACATACTAATAGAAACTGCCTATTAGATTTTCACATGGAAATTTTAGAGATATGCCACTGAAGGTTCAGGGAGATGGCAAAACAGTGACTTCTAAAGCTACAATTAAAACACTTGGAAGTGGAGGCAGAGAGTTGGTATTGAAAGCCATTGAACTGGCATGTGTGGTGGCTCATGCTTGTAATCCCAGCACTTTGGGAAGCTGAGGTGGGTGGATCACCTGAGGTCAGGAGTTCAAGACCAGCCTAGCCAACATGGTGAAATCCTGTCTCTACAAGAAAAACAAAAAATTAGCCGGGCATAGTGGCAGGCACCTGTAATCCCAGCTACTCAGGAGGCTGAGGCACGAGAATTGCTTGAACCCAGGAGGCAGAGGTTGCAGTGAGCCAAGATCACACCATTGCATTCCAGCCTGGGCAACAAGAGTGAAACTCTGTCTCAAAAAGAAAAAAAGAAAGTCATCGAACTGGATAAGATCACTTAGGGTATGAGTATAAGTAGAGAAGAGGAGAGATATGAGCCTGAGCTCTGGGACAGTCCAACATCTAAAGTTGGGAAAGATGTGGAAGATCCAGCAGAAAAACTGAGAAGAAATTGCTAATGACATAGAAAGATTTCCATAAAAGATGTTTTTTTTTTTCTGGAAGCCAGATAAAGAAAGTGTTTCCATAAAAAATGATCAACAATGCTAAATGTTATTGATAGATTAATTAAAGGAAGAATTGAGAATTGAGCATTGGAATGGCAACACGAAACTCATTGGTGACCATGACTAATGCAGTTTTGGAGGAACATCTGAGTCAATATTTGGAGTGAGTTTGAGAGGGAATGAATGGAAAGGAGGTAAGGACAGCACTTTGAACTAGTTTCACAAAGAAACATAGCAGGAGAAGATGTAGGGTTAAAAAATAAGTATGTTTTTATCTGGAAGATATTGCAGAAGTTACTGTGTCTATGGAAATGATCCAGTATAGAGGGGAAAATTGATGACATAAACAGGGATGGGCAACAGTTATAGAAATAAAATCTTTGAGAAGGTGAGTACAGATGGGTTCTTAGCACAAGGGGAGAGTTTGGCCTTAGAGTGGTGTACAAACAGTTAATCCATTGTAAGAAAAAGGAGGATAGATGACAATAACAGCTAACATCTATCTTGCATTTGCTATGTGTTCTAAGTACATTACTTTTAACTCCTTGAATACTCCAAAACAACACCATGAAGTAGATATCATTCTTATCCCCATATCACATCAAAGAAACTGAGGCATAGTGATTTTAAATAATTTGCCCAAAGTCACCCATCTTGTACATGGCAAACCAGCGTTTGCACAAAGGCTGTTTAGCTCAAGTTCAGTTACCTATACTGCCCTTTGAGAAGCAAGTAGATTTGTAGATTTTTATGATAAGTGCCAGTAGAAACTCTCATCTGGTTCCTCTTGTTTTCTTGGTGAAACAATGAGCATGATCATCAGGTGAGTGTAAGGAGGAGAAAAAGACAGTGTTGGAGTTAAGAGCAGGAGAGAAGTGAATGAGTTATTTAGGAGAATAAGAGGGAGTTTTGGCTAAGGAAGTGCAAAGGGATTTTCAAAGAGCATTAAGGATATAACTGAGGTTCATGACTAAGATTTTAAAGAGTAGCCAGCATGATGTGTGTTTTTCTCCAGCTACAGTCAACAACTATGGTACATGCACTAAAAAGTTGAAGAGTTGGACTGAACCGTGTTTGTGGTTTTGCCGGGCTAGATAGTGAATGGGGAGATAGGGGCAGGGGCAGTGAGTGTAGATGTCATGACTGATCACAGTATTTAAGTCATAACAAATGGCAAATGACAAGCTCAATGAGGAGAACATGAAGATATTTTCAGGTATGCCAAAAAATAAAAATAAAAATTCCAGTCAATGGAAAACAGCTTCTAGCAGGCTTTGAGCCATTAGACCAATATCTAAGACCAAATTTTTATTTTTTATTTTTTTTTGAGATGGAATCTCGCTCTGGCTGGAGTGCAGTGACGCGATCTCGGCTCACTGCAAGCTCCGCCTCCGGGGTTCACGCCATTCTCCTGCCTCAGCCACCCGAGTAGCTGGGACTACAGGCGCCCGCCACCACACCTGGCTAATTTTTTGTATTTTTTAGGGGAGACGGGGTTTTCACTGTGTTAGCCAGGATGGTCTCGTTCTCCTGACATCGTGATCCGCCTGCCTTGGCCTCCCAAAGTGCTGGGGTTACAGGTGTGAGCCACCGCACCCTGCCTCTAAGACCAAATTTTTAAAAATAAACCTAAAAACATTTTTAGATACTTTTCATCACTTCGTCTCTTCTTTTCTGATTCATTTTCAGTGAAAACATTCTTTGAAAGCATTAATATGAAAGTCTGTGTTGCATAACAAAATACTGCCTTATGAGTTAAAAAAGAGTTCTCATACACTGATAAGTTGGAGATGTTTCTAGAGTAGACACAATCCTTGAACAAGGAAGTCACTTTCAAAAATTCCTTATTAAAGCCTAAACTGGTTGGTTAATTGGAGGCTTCACAAGAAGGAGGGAACAACCTTGTCAACTTTGTGCTATCATATATGGCATTAATTTTTTTTTCAATCTTTAAAAAAATGCCATTTTAATTAGCACTACATTCACAAAAAGATCTTGGCTTATGCTTCATAGTGCACAAGACTATATCCCTATCTTATATCACAAACAGTTTCATATTTCAAACACATAATTTTTTATGTTTCTCAAGAACATATGGACATTTATTAATAGCTGTGGTCCCGCTAGTCAGTAATGGTATGCTCTTTCTCAAATTCTTGCTCAATGGACTCCTTCAAAATGGACTTCAACTTCCCCTACTTAAAAACAGGAAGAAATAATTAAATTAGTCTAAGTTGTTCTTTGTTTTATTTTGTTTTGTTTTGTTTTGTTCTGCTTAGCTGGGGAATGGGGGGAGCGTAAAATATCTCCTTAATCATTCATCTCTGGTTTCTTTTCCATACCACTTATGAGTAGTAAAAGCATTTTATTTGAGAAAATCTTTTACTTTTTAATAAAATGGTGACTAATTTTGTAATGCAAATAATGATACTTTTGTCAATTTAGCATTTTAATTTTCATGCATTGTGATTAGTGTTGTTGGTTTTATTTCTCAAGGCAGACCTCTAATTCTTTGTGTGAACTTCTCAATGTGCTGTTAACATCAGAAGGCCAGGATGGCGCAGTCTATTACTACCAAAAAGAAAAAAAAACACTTACTTTTAGCTGATCCGTCACACATACAGTCCATATGAAAGTGAAGATTCTAAGTTGTTAAGACTGAAGTAAAGGCTACTATTGCACCCCATAAAGAATCCACCTTTGGCTGAATAATAACTGCTTTACCTTATGCAACTTGCCCCACCTGCTCCTTACCTCCACACCAAGCCTGGAGATTGGCCACTCATGCTATCATATCCCTCCTTGTTCAACCAGGAAGCCTCAATCTTGAGAAATCTTCACGCTTCATTTCTTTCTCATGGACCCCTTAGTCTCACAAATTCTCTTCCTCCACCAATCTCCCATCCTCCTCCAAATTCCTGTCCACCCTTTCCTTCCAATCACTTTCCTCTTTCTTCCATATTGGGGTTATTACTCATTCAGTTCCATTTGTTTTCCCTCTGGAAGAAGCAAGGGACAGACTGTGATTCAACTCATGATGTCGGGGATAAATTAAATGCTTGTAAACATCTGACTTCTGAATTAACTATCTATAAGACAAGGAAATCATTATACAGCCTGCAATACCTTTGACCTCTTAGTAATATTAAACTTTGTTCTACTTTGGGTTGCACTATAAAAGGATGTCTTCTGTTATCCTACCAAGGCATATTCCTAGCCCAAGGAAAAGGATGAATATGTGTTCATTTCTTACTAGGACAGCTGCAGTAGCTTTCTAACCAGTCTGCCTGCATTCTGTGCTCTTCACCCCCACTCCAGCCCATTCTCTTCATCAAAGTTATGTAATCTTTTCAAAGTGCATATTAGATTATCTCACTCCCTTTGCTTGGAAAACTCCTGGGCCTCCCATTGCAGTTAGAATGAAAATTCAAGGTCTTTACCATGGCTTACCAAGCGGTACTTGACTTGGCCCCCATCTACCTCCTCCATCTTCTCCCCTACCATCTCTCATTTATCCATGGGGTTTCAATCACATTGGCCTTCTTTCTGCTGCACATATCCACCTCACTTTTCTCTCTCTCTCTGGATCTCATACTTGTTCCCTTTGGATATCTTTTCTTTCATATGTTTTCCATGTTTTGGCTTTTCATCCTTTAGGTACAGCTCAAATGGCTACCCCCTCAGAGATGTCATTCAGACTTCCCAATCTAAATTATAGCTTATCTGCTCCATCATTTTCTATCACATTACTTTTTATTTCCTTTATAACATTTATCGTAATCCAAAATTATCTTATTTATGTGTTTACTGCCTATCTTTATTCACTAAATGTGGTATCCTTGAAGGAAGACATTGTATCTATACCTGACATTTCCTGAAACACACTAGGGACTCAATAAATACATGTGGCTGGCCTGAAACAGAAGTGAGGAGAGAAAGACACCATCTTGTCACAGATGGTTATAGATTTGCTTGATGTCAATATGCATATCATTTGAGCCATACTTTATAATAAAGAATAAAAGAGTAGCTCCACAAACAAATGAAGAAATGAGTACTTTTTTAGTTTATTTTAATGCCTTTAAGTTTTTGGTGACTTTTACATTTGGAAAATTACATAAGGTAAATTATTTGTAGAGATTACAAAGTTAGCCATCCATATGATTGCACTTTTACTATAAGGAGATGCCACACAGTTCTCTGCCCTTGATGACCTCATATTATTTTTGCTGCAAGAGAAAGCAAACAAATGACAAAAGGTGAATATGAAGACAATGGAAAATGTTATATAAATAATTGCCACTCAAAAGTCATTCTTTAATTCCTGACAAATTTTGGATGTCAACTCAATGAGGACAAATTTGTGTAAGGATAAATTTGTCAACTTATCACAGATGATGGAGAGTGACTTTAACCAAATCATTTCTCTTCTCTGGTCTTCAGTTTCTTGATCTGTAAATTGAAAGACTCAGTGTAGCTGGAGCTCTGATACTCCTTCTTCACTGCAAGATTGCATGATTTTGTGAGGTACATGAATCATTTCACATATAAGTTAAAAAGTAATGTACACTTTCGCACTTATTCCAGTTAATAAAATGAAATTATAATTGATATAATAAAAAGTAACTCATTTGATAAATCCCCTATATATGTTCTCATAGTTTCAAAATTTATATTTTATTTTCTTTTGATTCTGGAAAACAAATTAAGGTCAATTCTGAATATAATGGTAAAATGAATCACAACTCAGCTATTAAGAAAAATTATATATTAGCCTTCTTTATTTTCTTCTCTCCTTTTTTTTTTTTTTTTTTTGAGACAGGGTCTCACTCTGTTGCCCAGGCTGGAGTGCAGTGGTGGCGCAATCACAAATCACCACAGCCTCAACCTGCTGGGCTCAAGCAATCCTCCCACCTCAGCCTCCTGAATAGCTGGGACTATAGGTGCACGCCACCATGCCTAGCTAATTTTTGTATTTTTTGAACACGGATTTAGCCATGTTTCCCAGGCTGCCCTCAAACTCCTGGGCTCAAGCAATCCGCCTATCTCGGCCTCTCAAAGTGCTAGGATTACAGGCATGAGCCACTACACCTGGCCTCTTCCTATCTCTTACATTAATTTAAAAGATTAATAAATGCATGGACAGTGTTTTAGATATAATAAAATATTAATAAAGACATTTATATTTTTATATATAATAAAATGATTAGTTTACCAACAATCAAAATAAAAAGATCCCAAAGCCACAGATAAGGATAGCCTACAGTGGTCTTTATGTTCCTTTGTATAATTCCTTTTTTTTCAGAGTCCAGTCTTGGATGTAATCCAATTGCGATAAGAAGTCACTCGAGTATAGACACCTGGCTTATTCTTTTTACCACATCCATCACCCCAGCTTACTATTCCAACAAGATGCCAGATATTTCTGGAATCAGGGTAAGCTAGTGGTCCACCAGAATCATTCTAGAAGAAGAAAAGAAAAAAATGTTTCTTGTCTTAACAAAAAATTTCCTTTTACCTCTCCTGTGGAGTTATCTGTACCTCCTGGGCACTGAAACCAATTCACTCTCTTTGGGCTTAGAACTCTGAAACCCTTAGGACTTTTTTTTAAAACACAAGACAGCTACAAACCAGAATATATGGCCTAAAACTGCCAAATGTTGACTTGAGCAAACCAGAGTTTGACTTATATAATGAGTGCAGCTTGAATATGGAGAAGGTGACTTAGCTGCTTGCACTGAGCTTAAGTCTCTATGATGAAGCCTCTGAGGAACAAGTGGCATAGGCATGTGCCCAGACTCCTGATGCATCTCTGGATAAAGAGAAGACAACATTCTAGGTCTGCAGGTTGCCCAGAAAATAGGACAAAATTCATCTTGTAAACTTCTTCTAAGTGTTATTCTTTGTATGAATTCCCAGATTGAAAACTTCGTGAGGGCAGGATTGTGTTCACCTCCACGTCCCTAGCATGTAGGCTAGTGTCTGGTACATAAATGGAATTAATACATTTTTAGTGTATTGAAATACAAAGCTACTATGTCAGTATTATTAACACAAAAAAAATTTTATGTGGATAAAAACTTCCATTTGATTAACTGGGAGAAAACAACTGGATAATGTAACTAGACATACCTGACATGCATCAGCTTCTCCTGACATAAATCCAGCACATAACATTGTATCAGTCACAAAGCCAGAGTATGCATATGAGGCATTGCAAATTTTGTTGTCAATAATCTTCAAAAAGTCTTCTTGAAGTATCACTGGAAATGAACCTAAAAGCAATAAGTGCTGCATATTATGCAGATCTTAGACTTTGCTGGGACAAAGAATATCTACCTATAGCATAAAGCAGACTCTCTTGGTCACCAAGAGTCAGGCCAGTCCCAGGTTAGATTAGTCTCTTTCAGGTGTTTGTAATAGTTGGCTGCCTAACACATAATTTCAATTTTTCCAATTCCCATTCCCAGAGATATTTTAGGAAGTGAAGACAATTTGACATCATGCTTTTTGTCCCACCACTTGGTTTTCTTTTCAGTATATTTACTGATTGATTAATTGCATGAGGGGATGATTGATTGATTGATTGATTGATTGATTAAATAGTTATTCCCATGCAGCTATTATGATTTTACAAAAAAACTTACCATTCATATAAAGTGTTCCCCAACCTGTAACTACAACATTGTCATTTTCTGAGAGCTTCATTTTGGCTTCAGGAAGACAAATCTTACGAATGTACTCTGTAAAAGAAACTTCTTCAGCAAGCTGCACAAGGGCAATATCATCATGAAGCCCAGGACTGCTATAATTTTCATGAAAAATAATGTTTTGGACTTTCCGTGTCATATATGGTTTATTTACTACAATTCCAAAGTTGACAGTCCAATCTTTTGAATTATTTTTCCTAGAGGACACAATGTAATTAGAATACACTCAGTTGCTGGGTCACAACACTGTTCTTAGTGGTGATTATCTCATAATTTTAAGGCATGAGGTTCCCAAACAAAACTATAAACCACTGAAATTCTATTTTGAAAACTATCTTTGACATGGAGCTGTTGTAAATGTTGCAGTCACTTAAAAATAATGCTAAGGACTCAGATTTGTCAGCTTTCTGAAGATCTTTTCAAGTAGAGTCACTGATGTTTTCCCCTGCTTATTCAGTTCCATCCAGTTTCTGAACATTTAATTTGGTCAGGAATCACATGAGCGTCCTCAATTCCGTAAGTGGATGGGGTCCAGGATTAGTCTTATTGCCACATACCCTTGGTTTCAATAGCTACTTTTTTTACCCTCACCCTTCTACCACCCTCAAGTAGGCCCTAATGTCTATTGTTCCCCTCCTTGTATCCATATGTACTCAGTGTTTAGCTCCCACTTATAAGCAAGAAGATGTGGTATTTAGTTTTCTGTTCCAGCATTAATTCATTTAGTTTGGATAATAGCCTGCAACTGCATCCATGTTCCTGCAAAGGCCATGATTTTATTCTTTTTTATGACTGGATAGTATTCCATGGTGTATATGACCCATATTTTCTTTATCCAGTTCACCGTTGCTGGGCATCTAGGTTGATTTCATGTTTTTGCTATTGTGAGCTGTGGTGTACATACAAGTGCATATGGCTTTTTGGTAGAACAATTTATCTTCCTTTGGATATACTCAATTTTTGGGTCCAGATTAAATTTTACGTCAGATGGATATGCTGTCTTTCTTCAAATTTCCATCGTACTTACTATCTTTGTAATACGTGTCATGTTTACAATACTATACAGCCTCGTACTTTTAATATATGACATTTAAATTTTCTCAACTAGATTATAAACTTCTGGATGGCAAGACAAGGAAGCACCTAGTAACTGGAGTCAGACACACTTGAATTCACATTCAGTTTCTATTATTTAAGAACTAGGCTGGGCATGGTGGCTCGCACCTGTAATCCCAGCACTTTGGGAGGCTGAGGCAGGCGGATCACTTAAGGTCAGGAGTTCGAGACCAGCCTGACTAACATGGTAAAACCCCGTCTCTACTAAAAATACAAGAATTAGCTGGACATAGTGGTGCGTGCCTGTAATCCCAGCTACTCAGGAGGCTGAGACAGGAGAATCGCTTAAACCCAGGAGGCAGAGTTTGCAGTGAGCTGAGATCGCACCATTGCACTCCAACCTGGGCAACAGATTGAGACTCCATCTCAAAAAAAAAAAAAAAGAGCTGAGTGATCTTAGCCAAGTTTTGTCACCTTTCCTGAGTGAGACTTAGTTTCCTCATCTTCAAATGGTTTTAACTATACCTTCCATACAGAATTGAATGTTGTGATTAAATGAAATGATGTTAAGTAAAGCACTTAATGTCAGGCCAAGGTACCTATTTGGAAAATGTTAATTAATACTTCTATTTGCTTTTCTCTCCTTTCTCTAATTTAAATGCATTTCCTTTCCTGCTCTTTAATTACGCAGGTGATTGTAAATGTTCTATGTGATTGTAAATTTCATATGGCCTTGGTGAACCTTGACACATTAAGTTAACCCCTACAAACTATCCAAAATAGTTTTGCACCTAGCATCCTTCATTTAGTCAAATTTTCAAACTTACTTAGCAAAGCAGTGAGCTGCAGATAATAGCCACCTGCTGCTGATCAGAGAGGCTCCACAGTAGTGACGGCCTTTCCATTGCATGCTGGCCTGCCATGGCCATGCCCCCTCCAGGGAGCTTTTTCCATTCACAATTTTGTTGCCAGTTATGATACTGTTGGCTACTTGTCTCCCACAACCTAGAGAAAGGATTTATTTACACGAGAGCAGGTATCTTTGATTACGCATTATAAAAAAATATATCATTAAAAATTACTTGAAACCTTTCAGTGATTATTCAACTTCTCCTAATTGATGACGTTTCTTTCCTACAAGATACTCCTGTGATGTTTCTGTATTCTATCTTGGTTTGAGTGGTTCTTACTTATCCTCTTTTCCAGTCTCAAGCATCTTTCAACCACTATTTTTTGTTGTGTCTATGTGTTATAACTCTTGTCTCTCTAAGCAGATTCTTGAAGGAGGAGCTTTGCCTCATTGGTGTCTACATCTTGCATAGTATATGCACTGCTGTCTGTAAGACACCATGTGAACAAAAGATACTCCATAAATATCCATGGAGTGAATGAATGCATAAATGTATCTTGTGGAAAACATGATACTCTAAAGAGAATTTATTTAAAAGATGTAACAGGACAGCGATATGCTCCTATAGGCCCAGCTACTTGGGAGGCTGAGGCAGGAGGACTGCTTGAGCCCAAGAGTTCCAGGCTATAGTCCACTGTAATTGCACCTGTGAATTGCACTCCAGCCCACACAACATAGCAACATCCCACCTCTAAAGCAAAAAATAATAATAATTTTTAAGATGCAGAACTGTTTTTATCTTTAATAAATATATTTTATATAGCCTGGTTTTATATTTTCTTCTTATCCTAAATTGTCATTTCCTTCAATCTTTCTCATTTTAACATATTCAAATATGATATTTTTCACTCACAGTTTTATTATTTGGAATCAATTTTCATTTAACTTTTTATATATTTTTTAATAAATGTTAAAATTAATAGACCAGTGTTTTTCAAAGAGAAATTCTAAGTCAATATCTGGTATATCTAGTAATTCGGAAAGCGTGTTATGGGATTTCCACATGACATATTTCAAGTATTTTTAATAGAAAAATAATGAGAAAATACCTGTGAGTCCATCAAATTTATAATTAAAAGGTCCTTAACTTACAGTTGTTGGTAAGCATTTCAGAAGCAGCCTTGCTGATTTCTGAAAGTGAAAAACAAAACAAAATATAAAATTGAGCAAATATCACCAAGCAATTGACTTCAACCTAAGAACATAAATGCTAACTTTCCTAACCCAATATTGTCCAACATTTAACTATTTGGAGTAGTTCAGGTATTTTCAGCCCCTCTGACTCTTATTTGTTACATTATAACCATCTCTCCATATCTCTACTAGGTAGCCTAGAAAAAGAGAAAAGGGAATAAAAAACAAAAATCAGTTTTATGATTATTGAAGTAAAATATTCAGTGCTGTAAGAAGCTGGCACCCTTACAAATTGTTTTTTTATTATACTTTAAGTTTCAGGGTACATGTGCACAACGTGCAGGTTTGTGACATATGTATACACGTGCCATGTTGGTGTGCTGCACCCATTAACTCGTCATTTAACATTAGGTATATCTTCTAATGCTGTCCCTCCCCCCTCCCCCTTACAAATACTTTTAAGAGATCATGATAGAGATTTCTTTCCCATGATAATTCTCTTTACTCTGAAATGCTCAGAATTATATATATTTTAAGGAAAAATGTCCCAATTAAAATTATACTTCACTGAGCCCATCCTGCTCTTTAGGGAAATCTCCTTACTAAGAATGAATCATGAAATTTTGAGAACTTAAATTTAAATCTTTTTCCTATTGGTAAAAGACTTTAGAGAGAAGGAGAAGAGGAGGAAACTAAAGAAACACTAGAAAATGCTGACTATACTCTATGGGACACAGAAAGAGAGTAAACAACGTATCCCTCTTTCCCAAAAGCTACTCACAGAAAAATTTTATTGCTCCCTTGAAAAGTTCTACCTCAGGTTCCCTTCTTATTAGTGGTTCACTGGTAACGGGGTCTTTATTGTGTGGCAAAAGAGCGGTAACTGGCAGATGTTGCTGGCCTTTCAAGCCCTCGAAGACCCTAGGATTAATTGTCTGGCTGGAAGAACCATGAAACTGGACTCTGAAATCATATGCTTATCACCTAGCTGGACTTTTAACAATCCAAGTGACAGTTTCAAGACCTTTGCAAAACCTTCACAATCTTTACAAACTTCACTTTCTGTAAGGAGGCAAAATCTTATCATTTTTCTGTGAGAAGCTTTTGGGAAAGAGGGATAGATTGTTTACTCTCTTTCTGTGTCCCATAGAGTATACTCAGCATTTTCTAGTGTTTCTTTAGTTTCCTCCTCTTCTCCTTCCCTCTAAAGTCTTTTACCAATAGGAAAAAGATTTAAATTTAAGTTCTCAAAATTTCATGATTCCCTTGTTTTCTAGGGAATTTTCCAGACAATTTTTTTCTTTAAAAGTGGTATTACTCCAGTTTTTTCACAAAAATCAATAAGAACTCCCATCCCTAACATTGTTCTTAACTCCTGCAGTCTCCTTACTGAAAGACCAAGAAAGCCCTAAATCTGCTTTCTGTCATGAGATCCTGACAAAAGCAAGGAGTAGAAAAGAAAGATACTTTGCCTGGGCTCGGTGGCTCATGCCTGTAATCCCAGCACTTTGGGAGGCCGAGGTGGGCAGATCACAAGGTCGGGAGTTCAAGACCAGTGTGACTAACATGGTAAAACCCTGTCTCTACTAAAAATACAAAAAAATTAGCCAGGTGTGGTGGCGGATGCTTGTAGTCCCAGGCTGAGGCAGGAGAACTGCTTGAACCTGGGAGGCAGAGGTTTCAGTGAGCCGAGATCACGCCACTGCACTCCAGCCTGGGCAACAGAGCAAGACTCCATCTCAAAAAAAAAAACAAGAAGATAATTCAATTAGAACCCTTCACCCCCTTTCCCATGCATAATAGCCAAACCCTTCCAAACTTACATCCATGCTTGCAGTGTAACCCTCATTCCTATCATTCTTCAGACAATGATTCCATGGCACTGCCCTTTCCACTACCAAGTCATTGCTAGGGGTGCCAGAGTTAGGTACGCATATTTTTTTCCCGAATTACTAAAACTCTTAGTTCACTTTTTAGTACTTTTTAAAAAAATAATCCAGAAAAAACCTATGTAATAGAAAATAATGGAAATAAGTCAAATACCCATGAGTTTAATGGAAGCAGGAACTGCATTCCAGGATGCCATGTTGTTTTTCAACATCTGATGTAATTTAGCCTTGATTTTAGTCCTCATGCTAACTCCTTCTGCTGGAGGAAACTTGAATTTCAGCTGTAACTGCACATTTGAACCATTGGCATTAGGCCTAGAAACAACAGAAATTTTCTAATGTACTGTTTCTTGATCTTTTAGAGGTTTTGTGAACACATTAAATTTCACACATTTTAATTATCACATTTTCTTTACATATATTAAAGAAAAATATACATATACTATCTAAGCATGTATAAAATTCAAAGATATCTAAAAAAACTTCTAGTACGTCTAGTTCAGATGTGCTATTCATGGAAGAAAATATAGACCACAAACTAAAATCAGAATATTTCAAACACTATGGGAAATGGAATACTGGCCAAGAAATGATTGGCATGAAGTCTTACTATAATACAATAAAAACCAGTGCTCTCATAAAGAATTTTTCTAATAACTTCATTTTATAGAAAGAGATAAATGAGAAAATAAAGATAGGGCAGGGAAGCATTCAAAAGACAATTTCCAGCATGTATTTAGAAGCCAGTGCTAACCTTCTTCCTACGGTTTTTTTATACATAACCAGTCTGCCCCAACAGATCTATACAATGAAAAAGCTCAGAAAGAGAATTCTAAAGCATGAAGGACATCTTGATTATATATTCAGTACATTCTTTTGATTAATCAGGAAAAGAGATTAATTCATTTTGGAAGACTTTCAAACCAAAGCCATATCAATCAGAATTGTTAAAATATCCATAATTTCACTTTCAAATAATTATGATCAATTCTAGGGTCTTTGAAGGTTTTTGTTTGTCTGTAGGTAAGTAGGTTGGTTAGGTCAGCTGGATTTTTTGTTTGTTTTGTTTTGAGAGTTCAGAATTCCCCAGAACTGATATTAACAATTACCAAATTACAAGTGGGCTCTACCCTCATTACTCTTCCCCCATACACTATACCCTCCTCCCTGCATCCCTCCCTACCACCACTATCTTCAGGCATCCTTCAAAGGTGTGTCTAGACAAATGTTGTCTTAAAATATTGTCTTTGTTCCACAGCCATTGTAAGGATGATAATTATTAAGGAAACTAAAATAGGATGTTTTTAGGGAAGGTATGGGCTAAAAACAAACCAGTTGAATTATTTGTTTTCCCTGGAGTTATAATTATCTTTCATCATAGCAGTCAGTTAGGACTGACCACCACCAATAACCTTATAATTCTTTTGCAGGTATAAGATTAAAGATTTGTATATAATGACTCTTGCCCAGAACAGAAATTTGCTAGATACAATGATACTTTCATTCATGGAGAACTTGATCTTTCTTTTTCTTTTTTTTTCTATTTCCTTCGTTCCTTCCTTTCTTTCTTTCCTTTCCTTTGTTTCTCTTTTTCTTTATGTTTGTTTTTTGTTGTTATTGTTATCTAAAATCAAGGTTGTATGATATATCACCTACTTTCCTTTCATAAAATCTTAAATGAACTTGTACTTACAGAAGTTTGATGACCTCAGATTTGACATATTCCTTATATATACTGGAATTTTGAAATGCATTTAACATCTGACAAGAGAAAAAAAACAGTCATCATGTATGTTTCAATCAAATTTATAATAAAATTAATTTTAAAAATCTCTGATTTACCTTAGTCTCAATATCTTTGCTTAGATTTGTGCTGGCTTGTGAAGCTGCGTTTTCACAATTATCATTGTATGTGACTCCAGAAATATGAAAATCACCTTGATAATAGTAAGTCTTCTCTGCAAAATTAAGAAAAAAAAACCTCAAAGAATTTTAAAGTGGAAAGTGACTTTAAAGCGATTTATACCTCTGCCTCAACATTCCACCCAGCTTTAGAAATAATCCATTTATACCTCTGCCTCAACCATTTATACCTCTGCCTTAACATTTATACCTCTGCCTCAACATTTATACCTCTGCCTTAACCATTTATACCTCTGCCTCAACATTCAACCCAGCTTTAGAAATAATCCAAGGGAGGGAGAAAAATAAAAGGAGAGGAGTGAACAATTGTTTATTCCAGAAATGGCAACTCCATATCATTCATTCAATGATCCCCGCTTTCCCTTTATGTGATAATAGACATTACTGTCCTGCTAAGTCCAGATATACCCTCAGCACCCTCCTCAAAACAGCAATGCCCACAGTCACTAACAATCCACCTGAGTATGCACTAGATATAAAACATCTTTTACATGTATAGTCTAAACTCAGCCTAGCAATTACCCAATTAATCTTTCTAAGCAATTCTAATACAGGAAACATACAAGCATCAGTCACCCTTCACTTTCTGGATGATATACACTGTCTTGCACCCTTTTGTATGCCCTTTGCCTGCTGGCCTGGTTTCCATTCCTTGATGTTATTCCTGGAGGACACCATGGTGCCATTATTATTATTATTATTATTATTATTATTATTATTATTATACTTTAACTTCTGGGATACACGTGCAGAACATGCAGATTTGTCACATAGGTATACACGTGCCATAGTGGTTTGCTGTACCCATCAACCTGCCATCTACATTAGTTATTTCTCCTAATGCTATCCCTCCACTAGTGCCTCCACCTCCCTGCCAACCCTGGTGTGTGATGTTCCCCTCCCTGTGTCCATGTGTTTTCATTGTTCAGCTCCCACTTATGAGTGAGAACATGTGGTGTTTGGTTTTCTGTTCCTGTGTTAGTTTGCTGAGAATGATGGTTTCCAGCTTCATCCATGTCCCTGCAAAAGACATGAACTCATTCTTTTTATGGCTGAATAGTACTCCATGGTGTATATGTGCCATATTTTCTTTACCCAGTCTATCATTGATGGGCATTTGGGTTGGTTCTAAGTCTTTGCTATTGTGAACAGTGCTGCAATAAACATAAGGGTGCATATGTCTTTATAGTAGAATGATAATGATTTATCATCCTTTGGGTATATACTCAGTAATGGGATTGCTGGGTCAAATGGTATTTCTGGTTCTAGATCCTTGAGGAATCATCTCACTGTCTTCCACAGTGGTTGAACTAATTTACACTCCCAACAGTGTAAAAGCATGGTGCCCTTTTATTTCCCTACAGCATATGATGGGTGGTGCTTTGTGTGAGTCACAAGGTCTCATATCCCCATCTTTTCCTTTCCCCAAATATAAACTGCTTCACGTGATACATTAGGTCACCATAATTTAAAACAGGACAAGCCTCTTAAAAATAGGAATTACCAAGATGCAGTGGATTATGCCTATAGTCCTAGCAGTTTTTGAAGTCAAGTTGGGAGGACTGCTTGAGTCCAGGGGTTCAAGACCAGCCTGGACAGCATAGTGAGAGCCTGTCTCTACAAAAAACTTAAAAAATTTGCTGGGCATGGTGGCACGTGCCTGTAGTCCCAGCTACTGAGGAAGCTGAAGTGGGAGAATTGCTTGGGCCCAGGAGTTCAAGTCTACAGTGAGCTGTAATTGCACCACTGCACTCCAGACTTGGTGACAGAGTGAGACCCTCATGTCAAAAAAAATAAAATAAAAAGAACTAATATGAAAGAATACCCTGTTTTGGTTAAGTAATTAGCCATTCCTGTATTTTGAGAGCAATTGTGCTTTTGATCCACCTTTAACATACACCATGTAGTCTCTAAGTTACTGAAAAGTATGATCTCCTAAGCTGAAATAATTTATTACCCTGTAAGTTAGAAATAATTTTAAAATAAAATAAAAACTGATTTCCTATATTCCTATAGATTCTTATATTTTTCCTTATGGTAACCAATATATACAAAAGTCCAATGCCAAAGTCTGTCTGAGAAGTTACCTGAAAAGATGAATGCATATGAAGCTAGAGGAGCTAGTTCCAGCCCCATCACAAATCAGCTGTGCTGTCTTGGCATATTTAGCCCGCTGGGATTTTCTTTATTAATCACAAAAACTAAATTGCAGCCTGGTGCGGTGGCTCCCAGCTGTAATCCCAGAACTTTGGAGGCAGAGGTGAGAGGATCACTTGAGGTCAGGGGTTCAAGACCAGCCTAGCCAACATGGTGAAACCCCATCTCTACTAAAAAAAAAAAAAAAAATTAGCCAGGAGTGTTGGCGAACGCTGGTAGTCCCAGCTACTTGAGAGGCTGAGGCGGGAGAATTGCTTGAATCTGGGAGGCAGAGGTTGCAGTTTGCTGAGGTCACACCACTGCACTCCAGCCTGGGAGATAGAGTGAGACTCCATCTCCAAAAAACAAAACAAAACAAAAAACAAAGAAAAACAAACAAAAACTAAATTACAATAGATAAACTCTAAGACCCTCTTCTTTCTACTATTTTATCATTTTCATCTGTGAAGCTTGTCACCAAATGACTAAAGTAAATAATTAGAATCTGCTAACTTTGTGTTACATCCAGAATACTGAACCAGGGTATTTACAAGTAGGTAGATTAATTTGTCAAAAGTCTCATACATCATGCCCAGATTCTGAGAAACCATTATGTTTAGATTTCTGATTCCAGTTATAATTTTACTGGAGAATTCTATCAGTTCAAGGTACCATTTTAAAATTAATTTTCACTTGATTTTTACTGTGGATTGAATTGTATCCCCTCCAAAATTCATATGTTGAAGCCCTAAACACCAATGTGACTGTATTTGGAGACATGATCTTTAAGGGAGAATTATGGTTAAATGGGGTCATAAGGTTGAGACACGAATCCAATAGGACTAGTCTCCTTATAAGAGAAAGAGAGACCAGATCTCTCTTGCGCGCTCTCTCTCGCGCGCGCGCTCTCTCTCTCGCACTCTATCTCTCTCGCTCTCTCTCTCTTTCTCACTCACTCACTTCACCCCATCTCCCAAAATACACACAGAGGAAAGGCCACGGGAAGGCACAGTGAGAATCCAGCTATTTAGAAGCCAGGAAAAGAAGTCTCCCCAGAAACTAACCAGCATATTGGTCTTAAAAGTCCAGTCTCCAAGATTGTGAAAAAATGTCTGTTGTTTAACCTAGCCAGTCTGTGGATTTTGATATGGCAGATTGAGCAATTATAATTATTTAGATAAACTGAATGGAAATCTATTCTATATTCTATACTGTGGTCAGTGATTTTCAGTTTTACAGACATAGCAACAGTAATCTTTACATGGTAAACTGCCCTCCATTTCAAAGTTTATCAAGTCTTTTTTCTTAGGATAGACAGATTTTATTACCTCTCTAAAACATTGTTTTATACTAATAGATTATAACAATACCTATACATCATAATCACTATAGAGCTTCCAAAAGGCATGCATGGGTAAGGTCATGCCCCGGTCCAACTGGATCAGCTAACCTAAGGGTAGGGCCTAGAGAATGAACACTACTTCAAAAGAGCTCGACAGGTGATTCTGAGAAGAAGCTAGGGTTTGGAACTATTAGATAAACTATCTGAAGAATTATGAAATTGGTTATACATGTGTATTAAGCTTTTGGAAATAGCATTGTTAAGTAAAACGGTTGAGAAAGAGATGAACCAAAGTCATTTCTAGAATAATGATCTTTGTGAAATACTTATCTCTGAGTTAATCTAAAAAGTGGAAACTCAAAAGTTAAAAAAAGTTGATTGAGAAATAATAGATGTATTTAGACAGGGAAACTAATTTCATGCTACTTAAATGAGGGATTACAATAGCTGCCATCCAGCTAATTTCATACCACTTAAATGAGAGATTACAGTAGCTGTTATCCAGCTTAAGTTATTCTCAATATTAACAAATATTATATTCGTTCCTAAGCCAGAGTCCTACAGCAGAAACTCCTCTTCCAAACTGACTTCAAACAACATTTACCACAGCGTTTGTGTCCATTTTTACTCCACAGGTAGGACAGTTCAAGTAATTTAACTTGAAGTAATTTAAGCTGCTGTAGCCTTCTATCTGAAATAGTAGGTGGTTGACCATGTAGAGTCATTGAAGGGTGAATTATCATCCCATGCACCTCCTGCTCCAGCCAGGGTTCTGTAGTTCCCCTTTGCACCACTCCTTTCCATTAAGACCTTGCTTCCCCAGGAAAGGGGACCTGTTAAGATGCAAACTGTATGTTGAAAAAATGGATTTTTTCACAAGGGCTTGATTTTGAAAACTCAGAGCACTGTACTTAAGGAAATTATGTGAAGAATGTTATTTTTTAATGAGTAGAGGGAAAGAGAGGACAGAAAGAGATTATGAACATTTCATGGATAGATATGGCAGACAGGAGATTGAGTGCCCATTACCCTTCTGAAAGACAAGTCTTAAGAGGACTGAGGAGAAACAAAGGAAAAGAAGCCAGGTTGAAAGAAACTGTGTAATTTTTGCTGAGTCAGCCAAAATTTGTCTACATTGTATTATTGTATAGGGTTATATATTTCAGAGATATAAAACTCAGAAAAATCATGATAAAATAGTATAATTAAACTATTAAGTATATTAATATCAAGCTTTTAAGCAAGCTATGCTACTTAAAAGCTTGTGGTATCAAGCAAGTCACTTTACTTTTCTGAGCCCCAGTGTACTGTATGTGAAAATAAGGATAGTAGTAAAATCTGTCATCCCTAGCTCACAGGATTATTGGGAAGATAAAGTGGAATGATGGATGTCAAATTTATTTTAAAACATTAAATAACTATACAGGTTTAAGGACTTATTTTTCAGAAAAGTAAAAATAAATTGGAAACTAAGCTTTGTGAGTATACTGTTAATAAAAGTTTTAAAAATAAAACCATGTTTGTGCAAACATTTAGCCATTAAACCATGCTTGACTATCTACTATTAAAAGAGTTATTTGCAGATTTTTCATTGCTACTTATTCATCATATCTTAATAACCAATAGCAGAATTGAACCAAGAAGAGAAGGAATCTCTAAAGTTTGAGATATATTTACTACAGGATGTAACAATTCAACTACAAGCCTACTATAAGCTCCTTTAATGACAATGAATATTGACATCAAAGCATTGAACATTTCAGTCTTGCTCATACCCCCATAGTTAGTGATATAATTTACAAGGAGGCCTCTGATTCAAAAAATTTTATAAATTTCTGTGTCATAATAAACTGTGTTGAAATAAAATAGTAAATAAGAAAACTCCCAAGAAGAAATTTAATGTTCATGTTGTTTTTTTTCAATTTTTAAAATTTAAAGATTTATAGCAAGGATGAAAACTGAAAATAATCAGTACTCACCAACTGCCAGAAAATGAACAAGAAGACCAATGGTTACTCCCAAGATTGCCGCCACTCCAAGAAAAATAAAGATCGTAGTCCATAGTGGCCAAGATCTTTGGGAAGATATGCCGTGCCTATGAAAGAGGAAAATTTTGGTTCAAATCAGATAATAACAATCAAAATCTACCTGCCTCTCCTTCAACTCATAGTACATGAATTGTAGTTTATACATTAGTCCTTTATGCTAGCTGAAAACATAGAAACCTCAAATGCCTCAAAGAGGATAGACCCTAATGCTCATTCACTTAGCAAATCATCATTGATCCCAGGTTAGCTGCTGGAAATACATCAGTGAGCAAAATAGACATGATTTCTGTCCTCATGTTGCTGAAGAGAAATTGACTTGCTTTTTTTAAAAATTGAAGCAGGTTACAAAACATTAGTTGTAGTCTGATTGTATTTTTGTAAACTATAGCCATATCATGCACAGGGACATATAAAGACTTATAGACACAATTAAATACATAATATAATATAATATATATAATATTATATTATATTATATATATTATATTATATATATTATAATATATATAATATAATATTATATATATTATATTATACATAATATAATATATATAATATTATATATATAATATTATATTATATATATATTATATATAATATTATATTATATATAATATTATATATATAATATATAATATATTATGTATTATATTATAAATACATAATATAACAAGTTTTAATTATAGGTTTGATAATTGCAGATGGAAATACCATGATGTCAACTGCAATAATCTCTATGTAATAAAATTATAGATTTTTTGTTTACTTTTAACTGCATTTTCTAATTTTTCTTTTTTTTAATTTTCTTTCTTTCTTTCTTTCTTTTTTTTGAGACAGAGCCTCACTCTGTCATCCAGGCTGGAGTGCAGTAGTACAATCTCAGCTCATTGTAACCTCTGCCCCACTGGGCTCAACTGATCCTCCCACCTCAGCCTCCTGAGTATCTGGGACCACAGGGGTGCACCACCACACCCAGCTATTTTTTTGTAATAGAGTCAGTGGTCTCACCATGTTGCCCAGGCTAGTCTCAAACTCCTGAGCTCAAGCGATCTGCCCATCTTGGCCTCCCAAAGTGTTGGGATTACAAGCATGAGCCACTGCACCTGGCCTATTTTCTATAATGTTTCTACAACAAATGTAAATTATTTGCATAATATAAATTAATAGATCAGTTAGTTGTTTTATCATCAAAGCCAATCAATTAGTTGAAACAGAATTAGAAAATATGGTGGTTCGGCATCATAGAGATAAAGCAGTTTATGGTTACAGTTACATTGTATGGCCACACTAAGCTTAATCTACATAAAGTTTGAATCCTAGTTATTTTTCATATCTTGAGAGATGATGTTATATAATTGTCCATTGGAGGAAGGGCTGTAACATAAACATTCATGATTTCAAATGCAAAACATCCTCAGCTGCTTCTTCAATCTCTATTCTGTATCATTCTAAATAAACCTTGCAAAACAGAAGAGTTTGTAATCAGGGAACATATTTGGTGAATTACATATTTCCTATGAGTATGTGAACCTTTTTGTTCTCATCTCATCCAGGACCAACTGACTTTTAGGTAGATACATTTTTGTTTTTGTTTTTTTTAGCATTACCTGATACAACTGTGCAACTCCACCTAAATTTGTTTCCTCTTCACTCTGTTCCACATTCTTAATCCTACCTCTTCCTTATACCTCTTTGTCTCTTTTGATGACTTGTTAATTAGTGTTTCGCAGAACCAACATTATTCATCAAAGCTCTTCAAAGAAACTCCTTATTTCAGACACATTTCATGTATTTTTTCATACCAGAATGCTGTTGTTTAATATCAGCCTCACAGAAAAAAGTCTACTCAGGCATAGCATTTTTAATACAGTATTTATAACTTTATTAATATTGGATAACATGTTTCTTTTAATGACTATAAAAGTGCACTGTGACAGTAAGGTCTCAAATTTGTTTGGAATTAGCCAGTTATAACAGTCTGGTAGCTTGGGCTTTCTGAGACATGCATATTAGTCTAAGAGACTAAACATTATGTAGCCTAAATAATTATTCTAAGTTCTGAGATGGTTTCAAAATAATCACTGCTTTACCCAGCTTAAAAGAGATTTTTCTCTAAAAACCCATTTTGGATGCTCTGAAAATTTCTGAAGAGTACATATTATTGACTATAGCTCTGACATGACTTTTTCCTCCTCACATGGCTTTCTCTTGTCAAAAATAATTTAAAGTACTATTTTATATCTAAAAGAGTACAGTAAGTTTGTGATTAACTCAACCCTTCCTCTAATAAATGTAGCCTCTGGGAATTTATTATTATTTTTGAATAATAGCTGCACTTTTAAAAATTATGTTCTAAATATCAAAAAATGTCCATTCATGAAACAATTTACTCTCATTTACCAAATTAATTTTTGGCAACACTTTTTTCTAAAGGTAGCATTTGCATTACAAGATGAATCCCTCACTTAACAAAGGAAATAGGTTAAAAATTAATCTTCAATGAATTTAACCAACTTCGTGTACTTAACTAAACTATAATTGCCTCACTTTTAGAATGAATCTACTTCAAATAAGAGTTAATTGCTGGCTGCACATGGTGACTCATGCCTGTAATCCCAGCACTTTGGGAGGCCGAGGCAGGCGGATCACTTGAGGTCAGGTGTTTGAGACTAGCCTGGCCAACATGGTGAAACCCCATCTCTACCAAAAAATACAAAAATCAGCCGGGTGTGGTGGTGAGCATCTGTAACCACAGCTACTCAGGAGGCTGAGGCACGAGAATGGCTTGACCCCAGCTCCATCACAGGGGAAAAAAATAAATGAAAACTCATTGCCATTCTGGCATAACCATTTGCCTTAATCAACTTGCAATAATGATGTTAATCAAAATGGTGGTGAGTACATTACTTACAATTTTAAAACATCAGTCTTGTTACAATTTTACCTTTATGGTCCATGCCAGTGGTTAGATTTCCTTTTAACCACTTTTGGGCACTGCTTTAGGAGTTAAACAGCAAAGCATTAAAAAATATATAATTTTCATGTATTAGAACTTCATTTATAAACCATTTGAATTAGATGTGCCTGAATTATCTCATATAATGAAATGTGTTAAAGCATGACTGTGGTGCAAAATTCTTCAAATTTTATAAAAATAAACATTTTTTCCATAGAAAACTTTAAATCATTAGGGTGAGAATTGTGCATAAGGAGCAGAGAAGTGTAATGAACAAATGGGTAATGGCCTCTATTCTTCACTTTCTCCTGGAACTTTGAACAAAAGAGAGTCTACAGAAAGGAAGTCATTGGAAAATTTATGAAGTTTTGAGAACCTGCAGTTTGCCTGTTGCTAATTCAGAATCTATATTAGAAAGTACATTATTCCAAAATATATAATGGCATTCATATTTTTTATTATTCCTAAGAAAACCTTTTAATATTAGAAAATTTGATTTCAATTACATTACTAGAGAATAAAAACGGTAGCGTTCTTATGAGTGATTGTAAAAGAAATCTTATGCCTCATTTCCTTAAGATTTCAGGTCAATTATATATTTATATTCTTTCCCAGTAAGCAAAATTTTGCTGAATTATTATTTTTCTTTTTAACTTTTGGAAACTTTCCCAGAGACTTCAAAGGGTCTGTAGACCTCAGACAATAGAGTGTTTCTTAACAGTGTCCAGGAATAAAAACTAAATTATAAAAACAGTCAATTAACAAAAAACTAGAACATACTTAATGGCAACTTGCTACATTTTGCCAACTTGCTCTCCCCAGTGAAGTCCCCTTTACCTGTACATAATGTTCTGATTGTTATGGCAGTATCAGGTATAACGGTGGTAATGATGATGACGAAGATAACGATAACGATGACAATGCTGGTAATAGTGATGACAAAAGTTAGAACCTTCTGACGCAGCTTTTGACTTATGTGCTACATCCAGTGTTGGAGCTTGGTTTTTATGGGCTGGGTAAGATGTAGAGAACAAATAAGATGAAACTTGTCTGACTAGTGTTAATGACCATCACATTTCTGTAGTTTCAAGACAGGAGTTAACCCAAGAATGACAAACTTCCTTGACTTGGCGATTTAGAAAAAATTACGGCCCAGTTTGGTCAGCTAAGAGGCACACCCAAGAAACAGCTTTGAAGTATGTAGGGGTAATCCTAACTCTATATTTTACCAATTCCATTATACTGCCTTGTCTCTTCTCAGTTGAAACTAACTATAACTAGTTAAAAGTTTCTGACAAATGTCGTTTTACAATACGTCAATTTTAATATGGCAAATATTGCCATCATTCTCATGCAGATGAAATTCTATTTCATTGTGGTTTGCATTTGCTTTTCCTTAATTACCTGTGAGAATAATCGTTTCACATATTTTGAGGGAATTTGGATTTTCACTTTTGAGAATCCTGTTCATAAGTTTAGTTTTTCATCAACAGGCAGCAGATGGTAAGGAAAAAAAAATGGGTTGCTAATCTTTTTTTCTTATAGTTATATGTGAGTTCCTTATATGATCTGGATATTAATGTATTATTATACTGGATATTAACCAGTTATGTTCACCTATTTATTAATTACCTGTCCCCAGGGTGCAGCTTGACATTTCATTATGTAAAGAGATTTCAGTTCTTTAAAAACTTCAAGAATCCATTTACTTTTGTAATGACATGAAATGATAATTTAATTTTATATTGTCTTAATTTGAAATTATTTTTTCTTACTAATAACCTGTTTTCCAAGACTTTTTTATTGCAGAGTTCATCTTTTCTCTACGGATGTGTGAGGCCTCCTATATCATATACAAAATCTGCATGTTTCTTAACTCTCTATTCTGTTCCAATAGTCTATTTACCTTTTCTTCTGTCAATACTAAATAGTTTTAATTACTATAGATCAGGAGTCAGCAAGCATTTTCTGTAAAGTGCCCAGACAATAAACGTTTGAGGCTTTGTAGGCCATATGGTCTCCATTGCAACTATTAAATTTTCCCATTGCAGCACAGAAACAGCCAAAAATGCTAAGTAAAAAAATACATGCAGGCATGGCTGTTTTCCAGTATTTACTTATAAAAGCAAATGGTGAACCAGGTCCATGGGTTGTAGTTTTCCAGCCCCTGCTGCAGATTACAGTAGGTCATGATTTCTGAAAGCATATGTTTTCTCAAACACTTCTTCAAATTTATATTGGTAATTCTTAACTTTCTATTCTGCCATATGCTTTGAGGATCAGCTTATTAAGTCCCATTATTAAGTCCCAAGAAAATATTTTGAGATTTTGAGATTTCAATAGAAATTCTATTTATTTCACAGAATAGTTTGGAAAGATTCAACATCTTATATTGTTAACTGTTTATCAGCATGATGTATCTTTCTATTTATTCATTAATTTTGTTTTGTCATTTTACTCATAAAGTGATATAAGGCACATCTTTTTTATATTTATTCCTCTGTTTGAAGTTTTTCTCATAGTCATGAATAATATTTTTCCTGTTAAATTTTCTAATTATTTATTGCTAGTGTGTAGGAATGTTACTGATTGGTATTAGTAAGTAGCATGCCCAGCAAATTTGTTTAGCTACTTTTAAAATTAATAGCTGTCTTTAGATTCTTTGAATTTTCTATATAGATGATTATGTTGTCTTTAAATATTAAGATTTCCAAATATCATTCAGTACAGTTCCTTCCTTTCTTGGATTGGCTTTCCTTCAGTTTCTGGTATTTTTTGTCACTCTCCACTGCCTTCATATGGTTAATTTTTATATTATTTTCCAAAGTGTATAATTATTAACTCTAGAAGGCCTGAATATAAGGTAGTTTGCCATTACTGGAATGCTTAAACAGTAACTTTTAAAGAACAGAATTTCTTAATTTTAATTTAAAATTTATCAATCTTTGCTTTTAAGTTTAGTGTTTCATGTATACGTGTATGTGGTCTAAGAATTCTTTGCTTTTCACAAAGACATTCTCCCATGTTTTATTCTAGAAACTTTAGTGAGTTACCATTTGCACTTAGATTAATAATTCACATAGAATTTATTTTTGTGTACATGATGAAGTGGGATTAAAGGTGTATTTATTTTTATTGGCTTTTAATTTTGCCATTATTGTGCCATATCACACTGCTTTAATTAATGAAGTTATAAAAGGTCTTGATAACTGGTAATATAAGTCCATATTTATTTTCCTTGTTCAATGTTGTCTTGGCTTTTTTCAGTCCATTGCATTTACTTCTAAATCTTAACACTATCTGATCAATTTCTAAAGAGAAATCTCTAGAATTTTGTTGATATTGCATTGAATGTACAGATAAATTGGAGGATAATTGACTTCTTAAAATAGTAAAGCTTCCAATCCATGGACTTGGTATACATTCATCCATTTAGATTTTCTTTAATTTTTCTCAATATCTGGATAGAAGTCATACCTGTTTCCCTACAATTAATCTATGTGTTTCATATTTTTCTGTCCTGTTATAAATAGTATTATTCCTTGAATTTTGTGTTACATTTGTTGCCAGCATATTGAGATACAATTGATTTTTATATAACAAGAAAATGGATTAATTTATTAATTTTTTTTGTTTGGACATCTTTTCAAATTTTTGGCATATATGTACATCGTCTTGTCATCTGCATAAACAGTGTTACTTCTTTTCCATTGCTTATATTTTTTATTTTGTTTTGTTTGATTAAATGATTTTTTATTTTTTTTATTTTTTTTATTTTTTTGGCTTATGGCATAGAATTCCAGTATACTATTGAATGGAATGGTGATAGCAGGGATTCTTTGCTATTTTCCCAATTTCAGAGAAAGACTAAGTATTTCACCACTAAGTAGAATGTTTTCTGTCACTTTATCAAATTAAGGAAATTGTCTTGTTTTTTGTTTGCTACGTTTTTACAATAAACAGAGTTTGAATTTGACCAAATCCTTTTGTCTGCATTTATTGAGATAATCATGTCTACTTTTATCTTATGAATGTCATGATCTACATTGACTCATATTTAAATGTTAAGCCAACCTTGCATTTCTGGAATAACCTCAACTTGATTGCAATTTATGACACTTTATATATCACTGGGTTTCATATGCTAATATTTTGTTTAAGATTTTTTGATACATACTTCTGAGAGACAATGACATATAATTTTCCTGTCTTTTATTTTCGTTGTTAAGTTTCACAGCTGAGCTTATGTTAGCCTTATAAAACAAGCTGGAAAGTAACTTTTATTGCAAATTATTTGAAAATTTATATATATATATATACAAAAGGCAAGTTGCCAAAACTAATATGGTATCACTATAAGGAGATCTACCCGCCCTTCAGGGATACCACATTTTGGACTTTGCATAAACTTGAAATAAACTTTTCTTTTACAAGCCCATCAAGATTTGAGAATTTATCTGTTGAAACAGATAATACAAATATCTATAACTAATAAATATCCTATTTGATGTTTATAGTCAATTAACTTTTTAAACATCTTTAAAAAACTTAAACATTTGAAAATGATAAAGTGTTTGTATTAAATCTCAATCATTTCACACGCATCCATTCTTCCTTTTGATTTGCTCTAATATCAGAAATAGCCACTGTAGACTGATGAGGTTCTCTAACTTCCCACGGGCCAGCAGTGTTGCTGCTGAAACAGGATGATCTTTTCTTCCATCTTGAACAAAGCCTAAAGCCTAAAATGTCAGTGTTTATGCCATTTTCTCCCCTTAGCTTCATAGCCACAAAAGATCTGTCAGTTATGAAAGAGAAGCACATACATCATGTTGTACTTATGGTTACATTGAATCATCATTCTTTAAATGAGTGAGTTAAGAAACATATATTTGTTCCAAGAACACTCCCACAGACTGCATGTCTCAGTTTCAATTCAACCTGAAGTTTCAGTGTCAGCTTGGGTAAGAATTAATCAAATGCTCTGTAGCAACTGGGATTATCCACCTCATGACTGCACTTCCTCTTCCTGGGTTTCTGTTTTTTTAAAAGCTTTACCATGTCATTCATATCTAGGTATACTTCAAAATTATTCAAACCAACCTTAAGACTTACAACTGAATCTTCTACAGTAACCCTGGCGCACATACATTTTATAGTTTTCTGAGATCAAATTGCATGTATCTCATAAGAATTAATTATCACATATTCTTCTACTTGTGTCATACTTGTTTCCCCAAGTAGGATATAAATTCCTGGAGTATAGGGTTTATGTTTTATACTAGTTTCCATACCTTCCATGTTCTTAGTAAACACTGACAGGTTAATTATTCAATCCTTACAACATGGAAGAGAAAGAAAGACTCCTTCTCCTCCCCTGTTTATTTCTACATAGTATTTTGTTCTTATTAGCACTATTTTCTTTTCATTTGCAATAATATTTTGAGTTAGATTGGCTGGCAAACTAGCAGAAGCCTTTTTTCATCCTCAGACATCTTTTACTTATTTATTTATTTCCTTATTTATTCATTATATATAATAGACTTCATTTTGTAAAGCAGTTTTAGGTTCACTGCAAAATTAAGTGGCAGATACAAAGATTTTCCATACATGCCCTCCGCCCCCACACATGCTTAGCCTCTCCGTTTATCAACATGCCCCATCAGAGTGGTACGTTTGTTACAACTGATGAACCTAAATTGACATATCATTATCACCCAGACTCCATAATTTACATTAAGTTTCACTCTTGGTATTGTACATTCTATGGGTTTGGACAAATTTGTAATGGCATGTATCTACCATTATAGTATCATACAGAGTAGTTTCACTGCCCTAATAAATAACGAAGAGGCCTTTTTTACTGCACTGTTCCTTGGTACACTCACTTCTGGTAGGACCTACTTCTCAAAATAGCAAAATCAGAAGCTTAAACTTACCAGTACTGTCCATCATGACCCAGCTCTAGGGAATTCCTTTACATTTTTCAGACTCATGAGACATATCTTTCTAACCAAGATATCTTTTAGTTAACTTAAAATAGGAGGTACCTATTCCCTGTTTATGGAATGCATGACACATAAGAAGAAAACTCTCAAGGAACCTGGGTTTCCTTCTCAACAAGCATGAGATTTTACAAGTAATACATATATATCAAATCCAAGTATTCTGGAATGTAACTGCTCACTTCTATAATCCTTTTAGATTAAAACATCATTTTTACACATTGGTAATTTTTGTTACTGAAAATATAACTTAAATATATGATTGTTTTTCTTTTTTTTAACAGTCACCTTAGCTTCAGATTATTATATAAACTGTTCCTACTAAGGAAATTGAGGGAAGATTGACATGCTTTGATAATCCTTGTAAATATAATGAACATTAATAAAAATCTTTTGATTGTAAGAGACTAAGTTGCTGTTTCATGAGTTTCAGTCTCTTTGTAAAATTAATTACCTCCTAAGGTACTAAGAATATTTACAAATGAAACTGCTGAAGTATTACAGCTGTTTACGGAATTTTGATGAATATTTAAATGAGAGGAATATGAGAATGGAGATAATACAGTTTATTTTTTAACTGGGAAAAGTTGATATTGAAAACCATAGGCCAGGCAAGGTGGCTCATGCTTGTAATCCCAGCACTTTGGGGGGCCAAGGCGGGTAGATCACCTGAGGTCAGAAGTTCGGGACCAGCCTGGTCAACATGGCGAAACCCCGTCTCTACTAAAAATAAAAAAATTCGCTGGGCATGATGGCAGGCGCCTGTAATCCCAGCTACTTGTGAGGCTGAGGCAGGAGGACTGCTTGAACCTGGGAGGCGGAGGGTGCAGTGAGCCGAGATCATGCCATTGCACTCCAACCTGGCCGACAAGAGCAAAACTCTGTCTCAAAAAAAAAAAAGAAAAAAAGAAAACCATTTGCCACTGAATCTGATATCAATTTTGAGGGGAAAAAAGCCACAATAAATTCCTAAAAGTATGGCTGGGCAAATCTAAAAATTGGAAGCAATTATTACTTTAAGCCAATATTGGTTCACTTAAAATAATAATTATTTTTTAAATAGATAATCCTAATAAACTCTCAGAATTACCTCACTTAAAGCAGCAGGTTTTTCCTGGTTTAAGCTCTGATTTCCACATTAGCAGCACCATCTAGAATCCGACCTATATATTTCCCTATGGAAAGAGTCAATTTTTCATGGCACACAATGGAATTTATATAGTACTGCCTTCATATTTATTTTTAAATAAAGAACTACTTTGTATAGAGAGTATCATTAATTTAAAAAATCAAAATAAAACAAAACTACTAAATTCATAGGGTATATGTAAGACTTACAATTGCAAAAGAACTTATTCTTTCCCACATAGTTTTAGTAAGGATTTGACTGAGTTTATCTGGGTACTTTCCTCCTTTGGTTCCTATATGCCTGTATGCCTGGGAAGCCTCCCACCCTTCTCCCTAACATCCTACTCTCACAGACCCCCCACCACAACTTGCCTTGGCCAAATCCCATTTTGCCCTTTTTCTCTGTTCATATCGCTTACCTCAGGAACCTCTACACTCCCACTTCATGGTAGTCCCATTCTTCAATATGAGACCTTCTCACTCCTTTCACTAGCTCTGTAAACCTTACTATATGGCGTTCTCTGGAAGTCACAGTATGCTTTCTGCAACTTCTTTAGGACCTCAATCTCTTCTCCAAACATCCACTCCATATTCTTGCTCAAAGTAGAACCTGTCTTTCCTCCAGTATGCAGATTTCATTGCCGCCCTCCTATAAGGTGCCCATTATTTACCCACCACTCCTTTTACTGCTGTCCCTATAGGTGAAGTGCGTGTACTCCTCACTCCTCAGTGCCGCTTCCAGACCTCTGCTCTCTAAAATCAGATTGTATGCTACTATGCCTTCATCTGGTGGGGTGTATTTCAGATTCATATGGAAGGTGTAGTATACTACAAAAAAAGAGGCCACCTATAGATACCAGGTCTTAATCCCTAGAACCTGTGTTATATATATTTAAAGAAAAAAAATCTTTGAAAATATGATTATGAATTTTGAGTAAAGGAGAATTTTTTTTTAATTTTAGATACCAGGGTACATGTACAGGTTTGTTACATGAGTATATTGAACCCAGGTAGTGAGCATAGTACCAATAGGTAGTTTTTCAACCCACCATACCATCCTGCCCCCACAGTGTCTATTGTTCCCACATTTATGTCTGCATGTGCTCAATGTTTAGCTTCTACTTAAAAGTGACAACATGAGATACTTGGTTTTCTGTTCCTGTGTTAATTCACTTAGGATTACAGCCTCCAGCTCCATCAATATTGCTTCAAATGACATGATTTCATTCTTTTTATGGCTGCATAGTATTCCATGGTATATATGTATCACATTTTCTTTATCCAGTCCACCACTGATGGGCACCTGGGTTGATTCCATATCTTTGTAATTGTGAATACTGTGTATGTGTCTTTTTGGTGTAATGATCAATTTTCCTTTGAGTATATAATCAGTAGTGAGATTGCTGGGTCGAATGGTAGCTCTGTTTAAGTTCTTTGTGAAATCTCCACACTGCTTTCCACAGTGGCTGAACTAATTTATATTCCCAGCAACAGTGTATTAGATTTCCTTTTTCTTCACATTCTTGTCAGCATCTGTTGTCTTTAGACTTTTTAAAAACAGCCATTCTGACTGATGTGAGATGGCATCTGATTGTAGTTTTGACAAAAACAAGCAGTGGGGAAAGGACTTCCTATTCAATAAATGATCCTGGGATAGCTGGCTAGCCATATGCAGAAGATTGAAGCTGGATCCTTACCTTTCACCGTACAAAAATTAACTCAAGGTGATTATTCTTGATTGTTCTGGTAGGCTCTAAATCCAATCACAAGTGTCTTTTAAAGGAGAGGTAAAGAGACAATAAATAGATACTCAAAAGAGGAGCAGGCAGTGTGAAGACAGAGATTGGAGTGATGTGACCACAGTCACTTTAGTTTTGTTTAAGTTTTAAATTTTGTGTGTATATAGTAGGAGTATATATTTATGGGGTACCAGAGATACTTCAGTACAAGCATACAATGCATAATAATCACATCAGGGTAAATGGGATATCCATCACAGCAAGCATTTATCCTTTCTTTGTGTTACAAACAATCCGATTATCATCTTTTAGTTATTTGAAAATGCACAATAAATAATTCCCTTTCTTTTTGTTTTTTGTTTTGTTTTGTTTTTTTGTTTTGAGACAGGGTCTCACACCTGTTACCCAGGCTGGAATGCAATGGCGTGATCATGGCTTACTGCAGCCTCAATTTCCCAAGTTCAAGCGATCCTCCTGTCTCAGCCTCGTGAGTAGCTTGGACTACAGGCACACACAACCACACTCAGCTAATTTCTGTATTTTTTTGTAAAGATGGGTTTTTGCTATTTTGCCCAGGCTAGTCTTGAACTCCCGAGCTGAAGTGATTCTCCTGCCTTGGTCTCCCAAAATGCTGAGATTCAGACATGGGCCACCATGTCTAACATAATTCCCACACTTTTGAAGTTCTGTTTGAAGATGTCTTTGTAGGAAGCCCCACTCAGGACAGATATGTTAATTGAGAAATGAGATAACCCAAAAAATTCACTGTGAATAAAGTGTTGCAGGCAAAAGGGAAAAAGCCTTTACTCTTACTTCACACAATATGATTGTGAACCATCATTTTCTAGATTTGCTTTTATCTGTACCTTATAGTAGCTAACAGACAGTTCTCAAGTACCTTGTCTATTGGCTGGCAGTATAATATTTATCACCAGAAGATATTTATCACTAGAAAATAATCTGATTCTTTCTTCAGTAAGCAAAACTTTGGTTTTTCCTCATAGGAGATAATTATATGTATGATTTCTCTAACATATAAGAAAAAATACATTCAGTATGAGATCAGCAATTTATGACGTGATTTCAAATTTTAATGTTAAAGCTGAAAGATCAAGTCTAGGTGGGACACTGTAGAAGGCCAACACAGGTGGATCACTTGAGTCCAGGAGTTTGAGACCAGCCTGGCAACATGGCAAAACCCTGTGTCTACAAAAAAATACAAGAATGAGCTGGGAGTGGTGGCATGTACTGGTAGTCCCGTGTACTCAGGAGGCTCCCCTATTCAGGAGGCTGAGGCAGGTGGATGGCTTGAGCCTGTGAGGTCGAGACTGCAGTGAACCATGATGATGCCACTGCACTCCAGCCTGGGTGAGACCCTGTCTCAAAAAAAGAAAAAACAAAGCAAAACAACAACAACAACAAAAAAAAACCAGATTAATTCTAGAGTTTGGTACATATTGTCAATAGTCTAAATGTTGCCAGTCTAAGGACATCCAGATAAAAGGTAGTGGGCGATAGAGCCAAAATCACGTCAGGGATAAAAGGCTTTTGTCTAAATAAGTGAACTTTTAAAAGGGTAAAATTTAACTTTAATAACTTGCTTCTATTTTAAGTTATTTTTATGCATCATTTTCTTTCTTAGTCTTTTTAATGTTTTAACTGCTTAACTGTTTCACTCTTTCAATTATTTTGTTAGTTGTAATGCAGTTGTCCACTTTCTCTTTGTCCAGACGCTTTCTTCCTCAATGTTCTTAAGAACACATCTCTGGCAGCCATGAAAAAGAATGAGTTCATGTCCTTTGCAGGGACATGGATGAAGCTGGAAACCATCATTCTCAGCAAACTAACACAGGAACAGAAAACCAAACACCGCATGTTCTCACTCATAAGTGGGAGTTGATCGATAAGAACACATGGACACAGGGAGGGGAACATCACACACCGGGGCCTGTTGAGGGGTGGAGGGCAAGGGGAGGGAGAGCATTAGGACAATATCTAACGCATGCAGGGCTTAAAATCTAGATAACGAGTTGATAGGTGCAGCAAACCACCATGGCACGTGTATACCTATGTTACAAACCTGCACTATCTGCACATGTATTCCAGAACTTAAAGTAAAATGAAAATAATAATAATAATAATAATAATAATAAAGAACACATCTATGGTCACTTCTTAATCTCATTTACTTTTTCAAAAGAACTTTAAATTTTGTAGTTTTTAGGTTTAGTCCAAAGTTTTCTCTCTTCTTGCTCTATCGTCTCTCTCTACTGGAGCTTACCCACTCACTCAGCTTAAAATACCACCTATATGGTGACAATAATAAAATGTATATCTTAAGATCAAACTGCAATTCTTGGTACCAGATTCACTTGTTCAACTCCCCCTACTCACCTGCTCCTTTCACATTCCTCATAGACATCTCAAGAACATATCCAAGAGTAAGCCCATGATCTCTTCCCCGAAACAAGCTCTTTCTCTTTCCTCGTCTCTTCCCATCTCAGTAAATGGCTCCCTAGTGGTTTCATTTTGCTGTTAGAAATGAGGGTTCCATTCTTAAAGACTCCTCACTCATCCACTCCCATGCGCCACCAGTTGTCTGTATGGCCAAATTTTCTTGCTGAGTGTTTTGAAAATTCATCTGCTTCCTTTTATTACCTCTACTACTACTCCTGTTTATATCACCATCGTTTACTACCTGAACTTCTGCAAAAGCTTTGTACCTGAGCTCTCCACGTCACACTTGGCTGCCCTGCATGTAACAGCTCTTCTCTAGACAGGGTAGTATGCCTGAAACACAACCCTGACTGGGTCCTTCAGGTTTAGGATGAAAGAATCCGCAACACAACTTATCAGGCCTAACAGAATCTAGTCCCTGACAACTTCTCAGTCTTATCTCAGGCCATTGTTTCTCCTTCTCTAAGCTAAAGCCACTGTGGTCTTCCTCACAATTTTCCCACGGTTAAGTTATGCACTTCTGGGCCTTCTCATATGCTAATCTCATAAACTAATCTCTTGACCAGAACATTCTTCCCCTCATGTCTCATCTGAAAGGCCACTTCTTCCCTATATTGCAAGCTAAGTTAAGTCCCCCTTAGAGACCTTCTTTGCTTCAATTATGACTTCAAAGGTAATTTTATTCACGTGGTTTTTTTTGTTATTCAATGTCTGTCTTCCTTGCTAGATTGTAGGCAGGGGAGACAGACAGATGTCTTTTTTTTTTTAAAGTAACTAGATTAAAGCCATGCCCTTTGTACCTGTTTGATCAACATATATTGAATGAATTATGATATGTCACTTTTTCTTTGACTTATTTGGATTTTCTTTTTGGATTTATTTGTATTTACTTTTTAAGTTACAATTTTTTTTTCTTCTCTCTGACTTCTGATAGGCTATCATCCATTATGAGCAATGAGTACTTCCCATCTATTTCCTCCAATGTCACACTTTCTAAGCTATGTAACTTAAGAGATTCATAGGCCAACTTCTTATTTTGAAGATAATACTATGTTTTAACCTGTATTAATAAAACATTTGAACTACTAGATTGTGACCATCTTTTCAAGTATAAACCTTCTCACCTGTTCACAGAGGTGATGTGAACCAACCCTTGGTCACTGCTCATATGATGATTGGTTATTGGAGAAGATGTGATCCAAAGGACGGGGGAGGCTTCTTTCAAGAAAATAATTTTTGACAAAACCTTCCCAAGTTCAAGTTTAGTAAGTATGTGAAATTGAATCTTCCAATATGGAAGGTGAGATATTGAAGCATTTGAAGTATTTCTCACATTTTTCCACCTCCTATATATTTATTGATAATAAAATGTTACACAAGAATTACCATGGGAAATGTCTTCCTCCCTCTTCTATTTCATTATGAGACACACACACACAAAAAAATTGACCACAGATAGCATTAGTCCTAAAAGACTCTTTAGGTCGGTATTTATTTCTCTGCCAATTATTCCTTTAAAATAAGCCAAAACAATAATGTAGTATTTATTAAGCAGTCCAGAAATGTTTAGAGTACCAGAGTTTCTTGAGAAAGGATGCTTTCTAATTCTCTAGTGGTTAAGGAATGTGGCATGTAAGATGTCTCCTCTGGGGAATCAATTATAATTTTCTCAATGACCTATACCTGGCCAATTTTTGTTTTAGTGTGGCTCTCATGAACAGAATCTGGCTTTTTTTTTTTTTTAAATCAGAATCTCAGAGCGTACTGGATACTGTGATGTGCTGCCCAGATTCCCTTTCAAGATCAAAGCAGTCATTCCTCTAGCTGCCAGGAGTTGTACTAGGTTGTAGTTTACAGCTCATTCCCTACACAGAAATTGCGCTCAACCAAAACAGCAGCCTTCATCCCATGACTAATTACTGCGGAGGAAGTTGGTTTTAAAGCTGGAGTGTCAAGTGAAATAACTCAGTCGAATACCGCATAGTCTCATTTATAAATTGGAGCTAAACAAGGGCAATACAGAGCAGAATAATAAACACTGGAGACTACAAAAGGTGGGAGTGTAGTAGAAGCATGAGGGTTAAAAAATTACCTATTGGGTACAACGTTCACTATCGAGGTGATGGGTATAATAAAAGCCCAGGCTTCACCACTACACAATATATGCATGCAATAAATCTGCACTTGTATCCTCTGAATATACAAAAAGTAAAAATTAAATTTTTAAAAGCTAGGGTCTTTGATTGGATTCCAGACATGTCTGAGAGGCCATCTCAGCTTCAGAGCTCTGTGTGATATTGATTGAGGCCCTTGTGGCAACTTCTTCCTCTTCCAAATCTTGCTTCCTCACCTTTTTCTAGGTATTATTCCTGTAAGCATTGTTCCATAAACCCCTATATGCAAATGTCTGTCACAGAGTCTATTTGCTGATAATTTACGGCAGATTATCTCTGGCTTTTAAACGAATCTAACTCATTTATGTTTATTATGATTATGCATGTATTTAGACTTGTTTCTACCATCTTATTTTATGACTTATGTTGATTTGTTTTTATTGTTATTTTCTTCTTTATAATGAATTAAGCATATTCCTTTTTTTTGTAATCTCTGGCAGTTGAGAAATTGCATATTCTTTCAGTTTACATAATGATAACAATGTAATTATCTTATTTCAATGTATGCCTTCAGTTTCTAGCAAAAATTTAAACATATTTGTCTATCATTATCTACGGCTAATAGCATCTACAAGAGAAGAATTTTAGCATCCATTCCCTTCTTCTATTAAAATAATCTGGCATTTTAATTTTATAATTTTTTTTGTTTTTGTGTTATATGAGAAATATAATTGCAAGGTAGAAGTTTTTCTGGTACCTTTCAATCTTTCTTACTTTGGTCTCAAGTATAGTTTTTCTAATGTACATTAATTTTTTTAAACTACATATTTTTAACACTTGAAAGCTAAATGTGAGCCCCACGCACATCACAAATAATTTCCAAAAGCTAAGCATTAAAAACATAAAATAATATAAAGAATAGAAAAGAACGTTGAAACCTTTTTATATATTATTAAGTGTGGAAGAATTATGACACAAAACTTATCAGTTTGACAATTTAAAAAATGTAAAGCTGCAATATGATAAATGTCATTTATATAATGTTAAAAGCAAGTGACTAATTGAGGAAAAAACTTACTAAATATGTAAAGAGGATTAATATTCATAATATATAAACAGACCCAACACATCAATATGAAAAAGCAGTCTTCCTAGAAGAAATTTGTATGACTAATTCAAATTAGTCTTTACCGAGAAAAGAAAAATAGCTCAGAGCAGTCTGGGCTATGTGAGGTCTGCAAAATGTACCAGGATCAGAAAGACATGAGCATAGCAATAAGGCATTTTGTTTCTGACTAGCTGCCTCACCCATTATCTTCATGTTCTTGGAATTTGTGATACAAAGAACAATATATAGCCACTCTGTAGCTTATATTAATATAAATTCTTAGTAAAGAACTTAAGAACAGCTTCTTTTTCTTTAAAAATCCACTTGCAACTGCTGCTAATCAGAATGTATATTCAAGGCAACTTGAATCTATGTTCCCAGGTTGCAGTCCTCAAACTTGGTCCAAATAATATCCCTATTTATATTAAATTTGTCTCAGCTTTTTCCTTTAGACAGAGAGTACCATGGCATTCAGCACCTTATAAAAGCTTTGTCTTACTTTCTGGAAGAGTTTACAATAGATTTCAGCATTATTAACCTTTATTTGTAGAGTTATCACTCTTCTGCTCAAAAGTTCCTCAGCTGCTGTGCCTATGGAGTAGGCATTCTTGTATTCCTTTACTTTCTTAAAAAACTTGCTTTCCCTTTAGTCTATGGATTTGCCCTGAATCCTTTCTTGCAGAGATCCAAGAACCCTCTCTTGAAATCTGGATTGGCACCCCTTTCTGGTAACACCTTCTTGATGAACCATGAAGAGACTACGCTGAGGAGACCCCCAACCCAAAGGAAAGGAAATAGACTGCAGCACTAATTGACTGACTGGGTAAGTGGGGTGCATCTGCCTGAGTAAAGGATGGAATTAGCTTAGAGGCACAACTTAGGGGAGTTAGAGTCTCTCCTAAGACAGAGAGGGTTAAAGGCCCCACTTAATAAAAGGCAAGGATGCTTGACTGAACTTAGGTTCGAGGCCCAACTTAGGAAGGTTAGAGTCCTTCCTAAGGTTTACGGGCTTAAAGGCCCATCTCAGTACAGTCCCTCTTAGCTAAAAATGACAGGAGCCATCTGGAGGAATGTTTGAGCCTTGCCAGTTTGATATTGGGTGGTAAGCAGAGTGGCTACTGTAGCAAATCTGGTGTATCTTGTGCCATAAACTTGTCTTTCTATATTGTTCTGTCATAAAGAGGGGTACCTTAGGATAGAACACGGGGCTAGGATCCCATACACCTGCTGTTCAAGATAACCCAGTAAACCAGTCAGTTACAAACTTTGCTGCAGATGCTTGGACAAAAAAAAAAAAAACCAAAAACTGAATAAAGTTTTCATCTCGTTTCATGTCCTTGGAAGCTTGACCTTGTAAAGACACGGTAGCACTTTCTCTTGGTTTCCACCGTCCAGGAGACAGGAATTTTGGAATTCATGTCATAGTTAGCCCTAAAAATTATCTTGAGCAGTTAAAAGCCTTTGCAAGCTCAAAACTGGCTGCTGTAGGCTCCTTTTGGGAAGGGCAATGGGAACTGCCCAGTGCTGTAGCTTAGTAACTAAGGCTTTGTCTTTTCACAATGGTGGCACGTGTTCAGGGTTCAATTCCTGGCTTAAAGCATGAGTCCTTTCTGTGTGATATCTGTGTGATCTTTACCATTTATTTATTCTCTTCCCCTCCATGAACTATCTTGGTTTTTTTTTTTTTTGTCTGAGCACCTGGGAGGTTAGCTTTAGTAAAGTTCAAAAGCCAGAAATGTTGGCAGTTTGGTGTGGCTAACCATGGGTAATAAGAAATTTAAAAGGATTTATTTTCTTTAAAGAACACTGTATTAGTCTATTATCATGCTGCTAATAAAGACATATGCAAGACTGTGTAATTTATAAAGGAAAGAGATTTCATTGACTCACAGTTCCACATGGCTAGGGAGGCCTCACAATACGGCAGAAGGTGAATGAGGAGCAAAGTCATTTCTTACATGGTGGCAGCCAAGAGGGCATGTGCAGGGGAACTTCCCTTTATAAAACCATTGGTTCCCATGAGACTTATTCACTATCACAAGAACAGTATTGGGGAAACTGCCCCCCATGATTCAATAATCTTCACCTGGCCCTGCCCTTGACATGTGGGGATTATTACAATTCAAGGTCAGCTTTGGGTGGGGACATAGCCAAACTATATCAAGCTTCTGTTCTGTTTTGCATTGCCTTATATGATGGTTTTTACTCTTGGGGGTATCTGAAACCACTTTGCGTTATGAAAGAGCTTTGATGTGTAATGACTAGGTAGAAAAAATAGTTTTGGAGATCCTCAGCTCTTTGCATGTTTGGATCAGAGAAACATGCTCTTGGCCACCTGGAAGGTATGAAGACATCCCTAACCCCCAAATCCCCACTGAGAGAAAAGACTGCCACGCAGGATGGGCTAATCACAGAACAGGCTGATTGGATTTTGTTTCCTTTGCAATAAAATCATTGCACTGTATTGTTCTATAGAGTTTCTCTGTTTTGGGATCTAAGATCTGATATAAAAAATGGGATCCTTAATTTTGGGAGATAATGTTTTACCTTCCAGTTGTGCATGCTTATAAGGCCATAGAAACTGCATGCTTTCCTGGCCCTGTTCCTCCAAGGGCTCCACCTTGAAGTCAATAATCCAGTTAAAGAACTAGCAAATGAAAGATCTTAAAACTACTGGACCTCCTTCTTCTGTCTGTGTATTTATATGTGTTGTGTGTGTGATATGAAAGAGCTTTGATTAATTGGTTTAAAAATAATAAGAGCTTAAATCAAATATTTTATCAGAAAAATAAAAACTGTAATGTCTTTTAGTTCACATGGCTTTAGCAATCTTTTGGAAATAAAAACAGTTTTACATGCAACATGTGTAAAGAAAGTAAAATGTGTTTTTGGTAAAAGATTATAAGAAGTCATGGGAATGTGGATTTTTTTAACCTATATTAAAGCGTTAACAGATTGTTTTAAGTTAGATAGAATAAAGCTGAAGGTTTGAGCAAGTTGTAGAAGGTTCAGAAAAATTAACCTTGTAAAAGAAAGTCTGTGTGTAAACATATTGGCTAAAGTTAAAGGGGTATTATTCAGTTTTTCCATAAACTGAACATTGGAATAAAAACACAACAGGTTTTTCTTACACCACTGATCTGCTCCTTAACAAAAAATGTAAAGGATTATAAAAAAAGATTTATGAGAATCTTATCTTATGGTCAGACATTAAAATTGAATAGATTTGTCTGTAAGGTTTTATTAAGAATTGTGTTTGACATCAATAATGCCCTAACGTGGACAGACATGAGGGCTCGTGCCTGTAATCCCAACACTTTGAGAGGCCAAAGCAGGCTGATCACTTGAGGCCAGGAGTTGGAGACCAGCCTTGACAACATGGTGAAACCTCATCTTTACTAAAAATACAAAAATTAGCCAGGTGTGGTGGTACATGCCTGTAATCCCAGCTATTTGGGAGTCTGAGGTATGAGAATAGCTTGAATCCAGGAGGCGAAGGTTGCAGTGAGCCCAGATTGTGCCACTAGACCCCAGCCTGGGCAACAGAGAGATACTTTGTCTCAAAAAGAAAAATAATAATAATAATAATGCAGTAATGTAACAGTACAATTTGGCTTTCTCTCTTGAACAAGATTTTTAAATTTTATTTAAAAAAGGTTTTTGTTTGCCTTTTGAATAAACTATAGGAAAAAGAAGAGAAAGAAATGTTTGGAAAGCTAAGTCTTTCCTCTATTAATTTGTAAAGATTTTTGTCTTCTTAAAATTTTTAAGTTATCATTTTGACTAAATGAATAACTTACCAATAATTTATGGTGGCCTGGGACTTTATTTTTTAATATCAAGTGTTTTAAACCTTGATATTTGAAAAACTTTCTAAAACTAAATTATAAATTATGTCTTTTTCAGAACTAATTAATCTTTTAAAAATTAGGTCCCTAAAGTTCAGAAGAGACATATTGGCTTATTTGGTATAAAAATTATACAGGAAGCATTGTCAAATATGAAATGGTGCTTGGTTTTCTTTGGGCAGTGTTTGTATAAATGTGTTATTGATATGTGTTCCAAAACTTTCTTAAACTCCTATAATTCTGATGACTTAGTATATGTTATTAAAAACTATAATTGTTATGTAAAATTGTTGTATGCCACAGGAGTAATCAAAATTTCTAGTCAATTGTAGCTTTAATAGAGGCTGCCCTAAGATGTTTTGTCATCCATGGACAATTGTTTTCTAGTTTTCATCCTCTTCAAAAGGTGGTTTATAATCAGCTATAGAACTTTCAGGTGCTCTTGAATGCAGGTTTCTGACAACTTTGGAAATTATGACACTAGAATAGAGAGAAAAACTTTCAGGACTCATGGAGAGCCAAAATGTTTATGAATATCAAGCAGGACAGGAGTTAACTTAATAGAAATTAATAGAAGGCTTATGTGATCTTTTTTGACTTTTTGCTTAAAACATTGCTGATCTTTTATCTTGTTTTTTAGAGTCAAGGAAACTTTTCTTTTGAGCTATTTACAGCTTTTAATGACTGATTATAGTATACTCCCATGAACAAAAGGTGGAGCATATTTGTTTCTCTCTACCTGATTTCTCCAGAATTTGGAGACTATGTGTGAGTATTCTTAACTTATGGCAATATAGTTATTTGCGTAAGTGCAATAACAATGTTTTATTTTTCAATAGGACACAATTGGAGAAACTCGTTATTTTACCAAGGCCTTGACTAGAATGGTGTGCTTTCCTTTAAAGAATCAAATTTAACTTGTAGAACCAATAAAAAGCCCTTGGGAAAACTGGCCTTATACATTGTCTACACAGTCCCTGTACAGGGTTCCTGACCTACAGTAAGTAAAGAATGTCACTTTCTAATAGCCTCAGAAGCCCCAAATTACCTTGGGACCTCAAGTGGAGAGGAATTTACCCAACTCATGGGTATTTGAGGGTACAAACCTATGGCTGGGATTGGTTTTAAAAGTCTTATCTGAGATTACTTCTATGGAACAGATTTCCATCAAAGCCAATTTTTAAAAGCCTATGTAAAAAAATAATTATTTTTGCTGAATTTATAGAAATAATCAGGCCAAGTATAATAAAGCAAATCAGTCTTACCATGATTTATCCTTAGTAAAAATGGGAAACTGGAGAGAGAAAAAAATCATGTTTCAAAAACTGTGGTACACCTGTTACTAGACCCTAGTCTCATAAATTGTTTTGGAGTTTTTTTTTTCCTGAGATTTAAACTGACCCTACTTTTTTCCTGTGAACCAACCAGTGATTTCTGGCTGCTGCTCAGGAGAAACAGGAGAGATGCATAATGTAAAAATATGGATCAATATTCTAATTCTGAGCATGTTGGAATCAGCTAGCAACCCATATCAGCTTGGTTTCAACAATTGCCCAGTTCATGGTAAGCATTCTTATTTCATTTAGTTGGGGTAATTTTACTTATTTTGCTTTACTATTGTGGAATATATTGCTGTTCTACTCTTTGTGTAGGAATGCAGGATAAGCTTACCAAATGTTTTCTTAAACTGAACACTTATTAATTTTCCAGATATCACCTTTTGTTGGAACTCAAGAGTTATGAGTGGCCCTTAACATACCGATGTTTTCTAACTGAGCTGCTCTCTACCCTGAATACAAGAGACCTTAATAGTTAGGTAGGACTATCATTGCCCCTGTTCACCATGAATAAGTTACAGAAGATGAATCTTCATCCCTCTGCAACCCTTAGTATTAAGGATTCCCTTGTAAAAGGGAAGGGGGGAAATATGTCAGAGACATTTGAACCAGAGCAACTTCATCTTGAGTAGGGGCTGTGTAAAATAAGGCTGAGAGACCTACTGGGCTGCATTCCCAGGAGGTTAAGACGTTCTAACTCACAGAATGAGATAGGAGGTTGGCCCAAGATACAGGTCATAAAGACCTTGCTGATAAAGCAGGTTGCGATAAAGAAGCCAGCCAAAACCCACCAAAACCAAGATGGCAATGAGAGTGACCTCTGGTCATCCTCACTGCTCATTATACATATTATAATGCATTGACATGCTAAAAGACACTCCCACCCACGCCATGACAATTTCCAAATGTCATGGCAATGTCAGGAAGTTACCCCATATGGTCTAAAAAGGGGAGGAAACCTCAATTCTGGGTATTGCCTACCTCTTTCTCAGAAAACTCATGAAGAATACACCTCTTGTTTAGCAAATAATCAATAAATAACTGTAAGTATCCTTAGTCTAATATCCCAAGCTTCTGCTCTGTCTATGAAGTAGACATTCTTTTATTCCTTTACTTTCTTAATAAACTTGCTTTCACTTAAAAAAAGTTCATCATATTCCACAGGGTAAATGCATTAGGATAGCATTCAAGGTTCTCCATAACTGTCTACAACCTGCTTTTTCTATCATATTTATTAGTTCTCCAACGAAAACCTACTTTACTTCATTAAAAAATGATATTCCTATTTAATGTCCCTAAGATATATGATAACATTTTTCTCCTTCATTTACTTTATATTTTACTTCTTATTGTTATAAGTTCTTACTATTTTTCTGTTAACAGGAAAATCAAACTCTAAAATATTTTAAAGAGTTTTATTCTGAGGTAATATGAATGACCATGAGCCCAGAGAAAACACAATCTCAAGAAGTCCTGAGAAAGTGCGCCCAAGGTGGTTAAAGTTTGGTTTCATACATTTTAGGGAGGCAGGAGTTACAGGCAAAGATATTAATCAATACACGGAAGGTATTCATTGGTTTGACCTCAAAATGGTGGGATATCTTGAAGGGGGAGCGGCTTACAGTTTATAGGTGGATTCAAAGATTCTTTAATTTGCAATTGATTAAAGGAGTAAGGTTCTCTCTAAAACTTAAAGTCAGCAGAACAAATTGTTTTAAATGTTTTAAGTCAAGATAAAGATGTAGCAAGATAAGGATGTGGCAAGATTGATGGCCTGTGGGTGAGGCTTCACACTTGCCTTGCATGGCCTTAGGACTTGTTTATAATTTACTATCTTACTGCAGCAAAGTATCTGTTATGTCAGTCTTAAGATGTCTATTTTAACATTAATGCTAGTCAGCTGTTATGCCTAAACTGCAAAAGGGAGAGAGTATAAGGCAGCATGTCTGACCTTCCTTCACATCATAGCCAAGATTTCAGTTTTGTCTTTTTTTTGTTTTGTTTTGTTTTGTTTTGAATTGAGGTGAAGTTTCACTCTGTTGCCCCGGCTGGAGTGCAATGGCGTGATCTTGGCTCACTGCGACCTCCAGCCCCCCGGGTTCAAGTGATTCTCCTGCCTCAGCCTCCCAAGTAGCTGGGATTACAGGCATCTGCCATCATGCCCAGCTAATTTTTGTATTTTTAGTAGAGACAGGGTTTCACCATGTTGGCCAGGCTGGTCTCGAACTCCTGACCTCATGATCCACCTATGGAATTATAGCTGTGAGTCACTGTGCCAGGCCAGGAATTCAGTTTTTAAGGTTTTTCTCCCCTTGGCTAAGGGAGAGGCTTAGGATTTTACTTTTAGTTTACAGTTCTCATAAAACACCCTATTTTTTCCTGCCAATGAATCCTACCCATTTTTCAAGATCTAGCTCAGATTTTAGCTTTTTAGAGAGACCTTTTTAAGCACCTTAACGCCCTGTGATTCTTCCATATATCAACTCAATTCTCACAGCAACGCTATGAGGTAGGTATTATTACCTGTTATTTTATAGATTGTTAAACTGAAGCATGAAGAGGTTAAATAACCTGCCAAGCATTTCATGATTAGTATGTGACAGGTGAAATTCAGACCCAGAAGATCTGCTCCAGAGTCCTTGCCATTGCCTGCTCTACTCTTTTAATTATTCTAAATTCCTAGAGAAGAAGAAAATATGGTAAAGTGGAAGAAGATACACTCTGAAAATCTGGCTGCAAATTTGAGTTGGGTTGTTTACATTCTATATGACCTTGGGCAAATTACTTAAACTCTCAGAGTCTCATTTTTCGTTTTTAAAAAATAGAAAATTGTGAAGACGAAGTTAAAAAGATATATCTAAATTTCCAGACACATAATAAGTATTATGTATTGTGTATTCAAAGAGAGCCAACAGCCTTTGAAAAGACTATAATGGTGAGAAAATTATGACAGTGAAAGAGATCTAATCTAACTGACTCCATCTTGCCTATAACCTCCAAGCTGCCTTTGTTCATTCTTGGGCATAGGCCAAACTAACTCTGGGAGGAATTTAGTTTATAATTTAACTTTGGAGCAAAGGTGATAACAGCGCTTCCCTAAACAAATTGCCTTCTTGCTGGGGGGACCAGACTGCCTTCATAAAGCTAACAAATGAGACACAAGATTAGAAATTATGACTCAGAAGTCATGCAGCTAGAGGCTACAACCTCCCCAGTTGTTCCTATGAATAACATAACTACTGCAAAACCGAACATTGGTGTTCAAGATATTTTTTTAGACCCTATGTTCTGATAGATCAGCTGGTACAACCCAGACTGGTAAACTGGCTCATCTGATCTTGTGGCCTCCACCCAGGAACTGACTCAGCACAAGAGGACCCAACTAATCAACATTCCCCATTTCCTAGTTCCTGCCTGCCAAAGTATCTGTAAAAAACCCTAGCATCTGAATTTGAGGGGAGGCTGATTTGAGTAATAAGAAAATTCTGCTCTCCCATTTAGCTGGCTCTACGTGTATTAAACTCTTTCTCTATTGCAATTCCCTTGTCTTGATAAATCAACTTTATCTGGGAAGCAGGCAAGAAAAACCCACATCTTTTTTATAAAAACAAGTCAAAATGTTTTATCTGCTCTTCCATTATGAGGTCATTTGTGAATTTCATTTAACTCTAACATTTAGCCTTTTACCTTTAGTACAACAGACAGAACTGGTGGGTTGAATACTGTTTAGGTTAATACTCAATGTCTCTGAACTTGAGCCAAGTTTATAAATTTACTCAAGAAAACAAGAAGCTACATTCACCAGCCACTGCCTGATGATTAGAGAGGCTCCACAGTGGTGTTGGCTTCTCCCTCATATGTTGGCCTGCCATGGCCATCGGCCCTGTACAGAACTCCTCCCAGTCAAAAGTCAGTCAGTTTTTCCAAAATTGGTGTCTGATGATGACTGTCATCTACAGGCTGGCAAAAAAAGTGGTTAGCTTGTCGACTCCAAGAGCAGATTTATCTATTTATATTACATATTCATGACTGCAAATCAGTACTTACATTAATAATGCAAAGTACTCTGATTAACGTTTATATTAACCATAACTACTTGTGAGGTTTCTTCTGGGTTGGGAGAGTTTTGTTGTTAGATTTCTTCAGCAGGTGCTATGTTTGCAATACGCTGAGTTGTTAACGACTAATTATTTTATCTTTCCTGATCGATAAATAATATATTTAAGATATATTTATGCTTTCTGCTTTGCTTTATGCTATTCTGCTCTGTATTCCTATTTAGTGTACCACTAAACATAGTACATATAGTACACATAGTACATATAGTGTACACATAGTACATATAGTGTATTACACATAGTACATGTAGTGTATTACACATAGTACATATAGTGTATTACACATAGTACATATAGTGTATTACACATAGTACATATAGTACATATAGTGTATTACACATAGTACAAATTGAGATGAATATATAGCATGAACAACATATTATATAGGTAATTCATTATAAAATTACTAGGTTAATTTATTCTTTCTATAAAAAATATAGATTAGTTTTTATTTTCTTTGACTTCTCAATTCTTCTTTTGTTTCCTTATTTTATTTTACTCAGATGTGATATCTCTCACTTCTACTTCTCTTAACCATTGCTTTGTTTCTGTGTTATATGGAAGAGTAATTGACTAAAGGATTCCAGAAAGGTCTGTTGCACTATTTTAAAAGATAAATGTATGTATTAGTCCATTTCACACTACTATAAAGAACTATGCAAGACTGAGTAATTTATAAAGAAAAGGGGCTTAATTAACTCATAGTTCCACATGACTGGGGAGGCCTCAGGAAATATACAATCTTGGTGGAAGGAGAAGGGGAAGCAAGGCACGTCTTACATGGTGTCACGAGAGAGAGAGCACGCAGGGGAAACTGCCACTTTTAAACCATCAGATCTCATGAAAACTCCATCACTATCACAAGAACAGCATGGGGAAACTGCCCCCATTATCCAATCACCTCCCACCAGGTTCCTCCCTCGACATGTGGGGATTACAAGTTAAGATGAGATTTGGATGGGGACACAGAGCCAAACCATATCATTCTGCCCCTGTTCCCCTGACCAAATCTCATGTCCTCACATTTCAAAACCAATCATGCCTTCCCAAAAGTCTCCCATGTCTTAGTTCATTCTAGCATTAACTCGAAAGTCCAAGTCCAAAGTCTCATCTGAGACAAGGCAAGCCCCTTTCACCTATAATCCTATAAAATCAAAAGCAAGTTAGTTACTTGTAAGACACAATGGGGATACAGGCATTGGGTAAATGTTCCCATTCCAAATGGGATAAATTGGTCAAAACAAAGAGGCCACAGGCCCCACGCTAGTCTGAAACCCAACTCTGCACTAATTAAATCTTAAAGCTCCAAAATCTCCTTTGACTCCATATTTCATATTCAGGGCACACTGGTGCAAGGGGTGAGCTCCCATGGCCTTGAGTGGCTCTGCAGGGTACAGCTCCTGTGCCTGCTTTCACAGGCTGGTGTTGAGTGCCTGTGGTTTTTCCAGATGCACAATGCAAGCTGTCAGTGGATCTACCATTCTGGGGTCTAGAGGACAGTGGCCTTCTTCTCACACCTCCACTAGACAGTGCCCCAGTGGGGACCCTGTGTGAGGGTTCCAATCCCATGTTTCCCCTCTGCATTGTATTAGTAGAGGTTCTCTATGAGGCCTCCACCACTGCAACGGACTTATGCATGGACATCCAGGTGTTTTCATGCATCTTCTGAAATCTAGGTGGAGGTTCCCAAACCTCAACTCTTGTCTTCTGTGCACTCAAAGGCCCAACATCACATGGAAGCCACCAAGGCTTGGGACCTGCACACTCTGAAGCAATGGCCCAAGCTGTACATGGCTGGAGCAGCTGACATGCAGGGTGCCATGTCCCAAGGCTGCACAGAGCAGGGGGACCCTGAGCCCAGTTCACATGAAACCATTTTTCCTTCCTAGGCCTCCAGGCCTATGATGGAAGGGGCTGCTGTGAAGATCTTTCACATGCCCTGGAGATATTTTCCTCATTGTCTTGGCTCTTAACATTCAACTCCTTGTTACTTATGCAAATGTCTTCAGCCAGCTTGAATTCCTTCCCAGAAAATGGGTTTTTCTTAGCTGCCTCTTGGTCAGGCTGCAAATTTTTCAAACCTTTATGCTCTGCTTCCCTTTTAAACATAAGAAGTTCCAATTTCAAACCATCTCTTTGTGAACTCGCATGACTGAACACTTTCAGAATCAACCAGGCCACATCTTGAATGCTTTGCTGTTTGGAAGTTTCTTCTGCCAGATACCCTAAATCATCTCTCTCAAGTTCAAAGTTCCACAGATCTCCAGGGCAGGGGCAAAATGCCACCTGTCTCTTTGCTAAAAAAAAAGCATGTGTGACCTGTGCTCCAGTTCCCAATAAGTTTGCCATCTCCATCTGAGACCACCTCAGCCTTGGCTTTATTATCCATATCACTATCAACATTTTGGTTAAAACCATTCAACAAGTCTCAAGGAAGTTCCAGACTTTCTCACATCTTCCTGTCTTCTTCTGGCCCCTCCAAACTGTTCCAATCTCTCCCCATTACCCAGTTCCAAAGTTGCTTCCACATTTTCAAATATCTTTATAGCATTACCCCACTCTTGGTACCAATTCTCTGTATTCATCCATTTTCACACTGATATAAAGAACTACCCAAGATAAAGAAAAGAGGTTTAATTGACTCACAGTTCTTTCTGGCTGGTGTGGCCTGAGGAAACTACAATCCTGGTGGAAGGGAAGCAAAACATGTCTTACATGGTGTCAGGAGAGACAGAGCACGCAGGGGAAACCCACTTTTAAACCATGAGATCTTGTGAGAACGCTCTCACAATCATGAGAACAGCATAGGGGAAACTGCCCCCATGATCCAATCACCTCCCACCAGATCTTCCCACATCATGGGATTACAATTAGAGACGAGATTTGGGTAGGGACACAGAGCCTAACTATATCATTCTGCCCCCGTGCCCTCCCAAATCTCATGTCCTTTTCACATTTCAAAACCAATCATGCCTTCCCAGCAGTCCCCCCAATGTCTTAACATATTCCATCATTAACTGAAAAGTCCAAATCCATAAGTAAAGTCATGTGAACTAAAAGTCTACAGTTTTTATTTTTCTGATAAAATATTTTATTTAAACTCATTATTTTTAAACCAATTAATCAATATACTATCATCTTTAGTAAAGGATGCACCTTGAGAAAATATTAGAGGATGTGTTACATTCGTTACAAATTTCTCATTGTTGATTAAAATGTCAGCATTGCTCTCATTATGAAATTTGGGAAAGAAAGGGAACATTTTTTAACCCAAACTAAGTAACTAATAGTCAGTTTTAAAAGCTTAGTTATTTGGATTATTTCATTACTCAAAAACTGGCTCACTGACGATTCAGGACTTTTTGCTCTTACCACTTACATTTTAGTCATTACCCCACATGTCCACTAGATGGTGTGTAAGGACAGAAAAAAATAAATTAAAAAATCAAAGAACTTAGAGGGAGATGACCACAGTGTTTAAGTGAAGAGCTGAGAATTTTCTTTGGATTTTATCCCTAGTAATTCCAGTTACTCTAAAACAAGTGAGAAAGATCCATACTAAAGAAAACCTTTTTAATGTCATCCTGGCCAACATGGTGAAACCCCGTCTCTGCTAAAAACACACAAATTAGCTGTAGTCCTAGCTACTAAGGATGAGGCGGTAGAATCTGAACCCGGGAGGCGGAGGTTTCAGTGAGCCGAGATCGCGACACTGCACTCCAGCCTGGCGACAGAGCGAGACTCCGTCTCAAAAAAAAAAAGAAGAAAGAAAAAAAATTTATTTATGGCATTTGCCTACCAAAATTACTTTTTGAAAAGGTTTTCAAGTCATTGAACATAAATGTCTTTTCGGTCAGAGGCGTGCATAGAAATAGAGATGGGAAGGCAAAAGGAAGCAATACTAGCAACCACTGAAAAAACTCTTGTGGGCAGACAGGGAAGAAAATGTGGGCTGCTGTTTTGACTAGCAGCCATCTACAGAGGAATGTTACTGCTCTTTGAGAAATAGTCCCTCCTAGGTCATGGCTCATTGATGGCTGTGTCTGCCTAAAATGACAGAACTGTAAGGAACAGCTAGCTGTCAGTCATTCTACTCTTTGGAACTACCAGGATTCAGCTTCCACAAAATAGAGGTAGAAACAATGTAGGTGGTATTTGCTTGATATATTTATGCTGCTATGCTTTTGGATCCACATGTCACCTAACAAGAATTTTACTGACCTAATTGAGTTGACTCTGTAATTGATTTTTGCAAAACTCCCCCAAAAAGTAAAACAAACAAACCAAAATGTAGTATTTTATTTTCTTAGTTCTCCTGGGAATTCTAGAAACTTGTTTTTGCAGGAGTGGCATCTCCATATGCCCATACGGAATTTGTTCACCAAAGAAAGTTAAGGTTGACTATTGATATGTATTTGCATAGTACTTTACAAATGAGTGGAGGCGAAAAGGGAAGATACAAACACTTTGGTGCTGTACTAACTGGGTACTAAGGTCACTGAAATTACTCAGCCTCAGGAATCTAAGGAGCTCATTATGAATAACAAAAGAAACTTCTATCACTCAGAAAATTCCAAGGGTTTTAGGAGTTTTGTGCCTGGAACCAGATTGCCAAACATATTTCTTATTCTAACACAGCCATATTAAACTAGAATTTTTCAGTGTATCAGAGATTTATCAACAGAGAACAAAACTGAGCTTACATTGTCAGCCGTGGTGGTAATCTCATTTCAAAGCTATGTATACTTTTGAATGATATAGATATGAATATAGCAAAATTCTGATTTACAAGAATCTCAATACATTTGCTCAGAGCTGTGCTAGGCTGTAATAGTTCTTTTTCACAACTACCATTGTAGGTGAATGCCAGATATATGACAGTCACCTTCATACTAGTAAGTTTTCTCTATGAAAAAATTTCAAAGAATTTTGTGTCAGTAAAGGGTTGTGACTTGAGAAATAAAAATAAAATTCTAAGCCCCCACAACTGACTGAATGGATTTCCTCTTGACAAAGGGAACCACAGAGAAAACCTGCATTCACAACCATAATGGGACGGGAGATCAGTCATGCCTCATCATAACCCTTCCCTTGCTAACTGTCATTAGGTTTTCTTCCCTAAGTAGTCCCAATAAACTTGGTAGTCCCAAAAGTGGGATCTTTCCTTGTTTGGTATTGCAGAGCCAATACACAAAACCAAACATGAGCATCGAGTGGAGCAAAGAAAGGAGAAACAGGAACATGGCTCACAGATCAACTTCTCACCTAGTGAGAGGTGAGGAGTTAAAATGTAGAGTCTCTTTAAGGAAAGGCTTGGACATTAAAAGGGAGGGGAGGAATATTCATATCCTTTCTGGAAATGGGCAGTGATATCAGAACCAGAGTCCAACCTTGTTCTTGTTCTTTTATGGTTTCTTCTGGTCATTGTCATGGCGACTGTTAACTATCATGACCCGGCTGGAAGTGTCACTTAGCATGAAAATTGGATTATAATGAAGTCTGAGATATATTTACGGCCACTCAGTCAGCCATCTTGATTCTAACTGGTTTTTGACCAATTCTCCTGAGGAGGAACTTCTGTCTGCATGCCTTCCTGTTTCTAAAAATAAGGAAAGTTACAGTGAGGTAGAAGTTCAGCTATGTCACACAGGCATTATACTAGGTAATAAATTAACTAAACAGAAATCAGCCTCTTCAAAAGACTGCTAAATTGTCTTCCATGTATAGAACAAAGGTAAGATGAGATTAATAATTCCTTCACCTTCCCCTGAGACATCTGCTCCCTCTATTCTCTTTTTTCCTCAAATGTTCACCTATCTTATGTAAACTGTTCATTTACTGGGCACTAAATAATGTCTCACAAGTATGTAATCATTTGTCTCACTGCCACTGTCACGCGCATCCGTGTGAAGACACCACTAAACAGGCTTTGTGCGAGCAACAAGGCTGTTTATTTCACCTGGGTGCAGGTGGGCTGAGTCCGAAAAAGGAGTCAGTGAAGGGAGATAGGGCTGGGGCCGTTTTACAGGATTTGGGTAGGTAGTGGAAAATTACAGTCAAAGGGGGTTGTTCTCTGGTGGGCAGAGGCGGGGGTCACAAGGTGCTCAGTGGGGGAGCTTCTGAGCCAGGAGAAGGAATTTCACAAGGTAATGTCATCAGCTAAGGCAGGAACCGGCCATTTTCACTACTTTTGTGATTCTTCAGTTACTTCAGGCCATCTGGATGTATACGTGCGGGCTTGGGCTCAGAGGCCTGACAGCCACCACCCCTCCTTTTTTGAAGGAAAATTCATAAATACTAAACCTCCCAAGAACTTCTTTGGAAACAATTGATTTCTGTCAAATGTACTTTTCAGGTCATGTTTAACAGAGTAATCCACCAGCAAATGATTATTTAAAAAGCAGAATCCAATTCCTGCCCCCCAGACCAATGTATTTGAGTCTGGGAATGGTGCTCAAGACATTGTATTTTTGACAGAATTATCAAATTCTGATAAATTTTACAAATATCACAGTTTGGAAACAATTTCTCTCTTTTCTTTCTCTCTCTCTTTTTTTTTTTTTTTTTTGAGACAGGGTCTTGTTTTGTTGCCCAGGATGATGTGTAGTGGCATAATCATTGCATAGCTTACTGCAGCCTCCACCTTCTGGACTCAAGCAATTCTTCTGTCTCAGCCTCCTGAGTAGCTGGGACTGCAGGCGTGTGCTACCATGCCCACCAATTTTTTTTTTTTTGAGATGGAGTCTCACTTTGTTGCCCAGGCTGGAGTGCAGTGGCGCGATCTCGGCTCACTGCAACCTCCACCTCCTGGGTTCAAGCGATTCTCCTGCCTCAGCCACCCGAGTAGCTGGGACTACATGCGCCCGCCACCACGCCCGGCTAAATTTTTTTGTATTTTTAGTAGAGACAGGGTTTCACTGTGTTAACCAGGATGGTCTCGATCTCCTGACCTCGTGATCCACCAGCCGCGGGCTCCCAAAGTGCTGGGATTACAGGCGTGAGCCACTGCGCTGGGCCGCCATACACTATTTCTCTAGTTTTGTTTTTTGTTTGTTTGGTTTTGCTTTGTATTGTTGTTGCTGTTGTTGTTGTTTGAGACAGAGTGTCTCTATGTCGCCCAGGCTGGAGTGCAGGGGCATGATCTTGGCTCACTGCAACCTCCACCTCCCGGGTTCCAGTGATTCTTCTGCCTCAGCCTCCCAAGTAGCTGGACTACAGGCACACCCCACCACATCTGGCTAATTTTTGTATTTTTAGTGGAGATGGAGCTTCACCATGTTGGTCAGGCTGGTCTTGAACTCCTGACCTCAAGTGATCCACCCACCTCGGCCTCCCAAAGTGCTGGGATTACAGGCATCAGGTTAGTTTTAGTAAAAGTAAACTCTAGGATGTAAAGAATAAGTGTCTTTCTTTTAAAACTTTAAAGAATTCTAATCCTCAAAGGATGAGATCAGTGGGTTTTGGCCTATGTTGAAAATAGTGAAAGAAATTATTAGTACACCCTTGCATATCCAAGTGTCAGATTTTTAATATTTCACATAAGTCCTATGTTTTAGTTACTAATATTCTACTAATGTTAATTTGCTGTTCCCAATAACTATTCTATGGTTATATGAAATGTTTGTGTTAGAAGAAGTGGGGTGAAAAATATAAGGAAACTCCTTTTTCTATTTTTGCAACTTTTTATAAGTCAGAAAATAGTTCAAAGTAAGTTTTTTTAAGCTACTTAAGTCTTTGAATAATCCTTATTAGACCTTGTTGCAAATATAATAAAATAGCCCGGTGTTTTGAACACTGTGGCTTATGTTCTATTTTCAGCTATATTATCCACCAGCATTTTTCCTTATGGCTCAAAAGATTGGGCTAAACCAGAGCTAGATTCACTATGACATTGCTTCTATCCTTAACATGGAATTCTATGATTCCAATTTATATATTCTGGATATGTTATCCTCATCCAGTGTATATATTGCAAATATATATTTCCAGACTGTGGCTTTCTTTTTCATTCTCTTAACAGTGTCATTTCATAAACAGAAGTTCTTAATTTTAATGAAGGCCAACTGTCACACTTTCCTTGATGGTGAGTGCTTTTTATGTCCTGTTTAAGAAATGTTCCCCTACTACAAGGCCATGAAGTTATTCTCCTACATTCTTATCCTCATGCTCATTGTTGATATGGTTTGGCTTTGTGTCCCCACCCAAATCTCATCTCAAATTGTAATCCCCAGGTGTTGAGGGAGGAACCTGGTGGCAGGTGATTGGATCATGGGGTTGGTGTTCTCCCCATGGTGTTTTCATGATAGTAAGTGAGTTCTCCTCATGAGATCTGATGGTTTTCTAAGTGTCAGTTTCCTCTACTCTCTCTTTTTCTGCCACTTTGTGAAGAAGGTACTTGTTTCTCCTTTGCCTTCCACCATGATTGTAAGTTTTCTGAGGTCTCCCCAGCCATGTGGAACTGTGAGTCAATTAAACCTCTTTCCTTTATAAATTATCCAATCGTGGGTATTTCTTTATAACATTGTGGAAATGAAATAATACAGAGAAGTGACACCAGGAGTGGGGCACTGCTGTAAAGATACTTAAATGTGGAAGCAACTTTGGAACTGGGTAATGGGCAGAGTTTGGAACAGTTTGGAGGGCTCAGAAGAAGACAGGAAGATATGAGTTTGGAACTTCCTAGAGACTTGTTGAGTGGTTTTCACCAAAATACTGATAGTGATATGAACAATGAAGTCCACACTGAGGTAGTCTCCGTTAAAGATGAGGAAACTATTGGGAACAGGAGTAAAGATCACACTCATGCTATGCTTTAACAAAGAGACAGGCAGCCTTTGCCCTAGAGATCTGTGGAACTTTGAACTTGAGAGAGATGATTTAGGGTATCTGGCCAAAGAAATTTCTAAGCAGCAGGCATTCAATAGGTGAACTGAATTTTCCTGAAAGTGTATAGTTGTATGCATTCGCAAAGAGATAATTTGAAATTGGAACTTATGTTTATTAATACAAGGGAAGTAGAGCATCAAAGTTTGGAAAATTTGGAGCTTTACACTGAGGTAGAAAAGAAAAATCCATTTTCTAGGGAGAAATTCAAGCTGGCCACAGAAATTTGCATAAGTAATGAGGAACAAAATGTTAATAGCCAAGACAATGGGGAAAATATACCCAGGGCATGTCAGAGATCTTCACAGCAGCCCCTCCCATCACAGGCCTGAGGCGTAGCAGGGCAAAAAACGTTTCTTGGGCCAGGCTCAGGGCCCTGCTGCTCTGTGCAGCCTCAGGACTTGGTGACCTGCATCCCAGCTGCACCAGCTCCAGCCATGTCTTAAAGGTGCCAAAATACAGCTTGGGCCATTGCTTCAGAGGGTTCAAGCCCCAAGCCTTGGCAGCTTCCATGTGGTGTTGGGCCTGTGGGTGCACAGAATATAAGGATTGAGGTTTGGGAACCTCTGCCTAGATTCCAGAGGACGTATGGAAATGCCTGGATGTCCACTGAGTCATGCAAAAATCACAAAAAGCAAAAAGACAAAAAAAAAAAACAAAACCCTACTTGCCTTTTGTTCCCAAACAGACAGCTGTAATTTCATATGCTTACTTTATCTCTTACATAAAATGTAGATTTACTGAGTACAAGTCAAATGCATAATTGACCTTTCCCCCACAGTCTTCCTTCCAAATGTAAAATGTATATTCACCGAGCATTAATCAGAGCTTCACAAGAATTGACTCATTGCCTACCCTACCTCCCTTTTTTTTCCTTCCCCTCCTGCTTGCTCTTTTCCCTTTAAATATTGAAGTTCCCAAAACCCTGTTTGAAAAAACTCAGGCCACAGATCCTACTGTAACTTGTATTTCTTTTTCCCAGGCATGTCCTCCACCTTGGTAAAATAGATCTCTGAATCCACTGAGATCTGCCTCAGTCACTTTTTGGATTACAGGTGTATTAGTCTGTTTTCACATTGCTATAAAGAACTGCTGGAGACTGGGTAACTTATAAACAAAAAAGGTTTAATTGACTCACAGTTACTCGTGGCTGAGGAAGCCTCAGGAAACTTACAATCCCGGTGGAAGGTGAAGAAGAAGCAAGCACCTTCTTCACAAGGCAGCAAGAGAGAGAAAAGGAGAGGGGGTGAACTGCCAAACACTTTAAAACCATCAGATCTTGTGAGAACTCACTGAGTATCATAAGAACAGCATGGAGAAACTGCCCCCATGATCCAATCACCTCCCACCAGATCCCTCTCTGGACATGCAGGAATTACAATTCAAGATGAGATTTGAGTGGGGACTCAGAGCCAAACCATATCAACAGTATATTCTATTAATTCAGAATCACTTGTTGAAAAGCAAAATTGTTTGCCCAGTAAATTGTAGTTGTGTAGTTGTCATAAAATTAGGTGACTAGATGTATGTGTCAGTTTCTGGTCTCCGACCTCTCTTCTATAGATATATCTGTCTATCCTCACAGTAATACCACTGTAGTCTAGATGTCTGGAAGTATAACTTCCAGGTTTGACTTTCTTCAAGGCTATACAAGGTTCAAAACAGTATCAAAATCCAGAGGTAGAAGGCAAGTTTGTGATGAGGTGCAGGGCCACATCCAGATAGGGCTAATCAGGAGTTAGTACTGACCAGGATTTGATGTTGACCTTATAACAGTGAATTAAGTTTTAAATATGAGAAGGTGGGTTGTCTTATCTGTTTTTATTACTCTCTCTGTTCCTCAGTTTTTTATTCAGTGTAACACATAGGAAAAGTATATTTCTTATTTGATTATTGTGAGCAATAATGTATTGATTCATAAAATACTTAAAATTATTCTTATTATGTAGTAGACTTCTATTATATAGTAGACTCTTACTTAATGTTTGGTATTGTAATTATTGTTTTTCTTGTTAGTATTCTTATTTTAGCATCTGGAAAGTGCTCAACATTTTACTTTGAGGCATTGCAGTTGCATCTCTTTCTACTATTGAAATGATTATGAGGCCGGGCGCGGTGGCTCACGCCTGCAATCCCAGCACTTTGGGAGGCTGAGGCGGGAAGATCACGAGGTCAGGAGATCGAGACCATCCTGGCTAACATGGTGAAACCCCATATCTACTAAAAATACAAAAAGAAATTAGTCGGGCATGCTGGCAGGCGCCTGTAGTCCCAGCTACTCAGGAGGCTGAGACAGGAGAATGGCGCGAACCCAGGAGGCAGAGGTTGCAGTGAGCCGAGATTGTGCCACTGCACTCCAGCCTGGGCGACAGAGCAAGACTCTGTCTCAAAAAAAAAAAAAATTGATTATAAACTGACAGATAATGAAAACAGGTGTAAATGGGGATATGGCTTGCAAACGTTGAACCACAAAATGCTATAGAATGGCACTACAGCAATATCAATGGAGATCATTTCCTCTTATTTGAAAAACAGAGTGGGAGAACTGGGTTTTTGAGAGTGGGTACTAATCCTGTTATATTTTTATAATTTAATGGGGAAATGAAGAAATTACTTAATACATTAAAAAACTAATACAATATCTTTCATATTATAAATATTCAATATGTATCAGCTAGTAGAGAAATTATCAGCTGGTCATGGTGGTTCAGGCCTGTAATCCCGGCATTTTGGAAGGCCAGAGTGGGTGGATTACTTGTGTTCAGTAGTTGGAGACCGGCCTGAGCAACATGGCAAAACCCTGTCTCTACAAAATTAAAAAATACTAAAACTTATTGTGGCATATGGCATGTGCCTGTAGTCTGAGCTACTCAGGAGGCCGAGGTGGGAAGATCACTTGAGCCTAGGAGGCAGAGGTTGCAGTGAGTGAGATTGCACCATTGCACTCCAGCCTGGGCAACAGAGAGAGACCTTGTCTCAAAAAAAAATTATTTTCATTTTTGTACACTAGCATTAGGTTTATTAAAAAGCAACAAGTGTAGAAAGACATCTATGCTAGAGAGATGTACTTTTACATTCAACCACTAAGTGAAAGATATATTTGTTTCTCAAAAACAAAAAGAAAACATGCTTCTCGTGGTACTCAGTAGGATGAACATCAGTTGTGCTAAAATTAAAGTAACATAGCTTTAAAAACATTTCATGTTCAGTGTATTATTATTGCCAATATACCCTCAAACAAAATGTTGTATTTTTATGTAGGTCATTATGAAACAGAAGGAAAATATATATATATATATAAAAAGATTAAAAATAATAATAGTAATATTATAACTGAAATTAATGTATATACTGAATAATTTGGAAACAAAATATTTTTGGTTTCAGAAATTTTGCCTTTTAACCAGGAAAATTCCAACTTATCTCTTCCAAGTAAAATACTTCGTGATTTTATAATTCTTCAGATATGACAAAAAACCACAACCAAAAGAGCTAAGAATATGCCTACATTTATACGCAGTATCCTCTTTTTTCAATAGTTTTAATTGGGTAAATTTGAAATCCCTGGTTGTTTATTATTTATCATTGAAGGGATCAAAATATTCACATAGGAAATTCAGGATGCATCAAATGTAATGGGAATTAGTGATTGATTATGTTGTGTTCCTTTACTGGAACCTAAAACACTTTAGAAGACTTTAAAACATTTGAAAAGTTTTCATGCTGAAAGAAAATGATAACTCTGCAGATTAGTAATTATAATATTCATGGTTCCCTACTTCAACTTTGTTCTCAACGCTTTCTGTAATCATTTAGTGACAAACTTCAGTAATTCCTTTCATTCTGCTTGAGGCTATTTCAAAATTTGTCCACTATCCTTAAACCTCCTACAAATTTTTTCACTAAAACCACTGGAAAAAAACTAACTGACAAAAATTAAGCAAATTTGTACTTACTACTGTATTCATTTTCAGCCATACTATTGCCACATTGGCCTTCCTGTAAAATATGTAAATTGAAGGGGGCCAGCTCCTCCACACCTGTGGGTGTTTCTGGTCAGGTGGGACAAGAGATTGAGAAAAGGAATAAGACACAGAGACAAAGTATAGAGAAAGAAAAGTGGGGCTAGGGGACCAGCGCTCAGCATACGGAGGACCCACGCCGGCACGGGTCTGCGTTCCCTGAGTATTTATTGATCACTCTACCATTTCGGAGAGGGGGATGTGGCAGGTCAATAGGGTAATAGTGGGGAGAGGGTCAGCAGGAAAACATGTGAGCAAAGATCTCTGTGTCATAAATAAGTTTAAGGAAAGGTGCTGTGCTTTGTTGTGCATGTACACAAACATCTTGGTGCATTAAAGAGCAGTATTGCCACTAGCATGTCTCACCTCCAGCCCTAAGGCTGTTTTCTCCTATCTCAGTAAATAGAACATACAATCAGGTTTTACACCGAGACATTCCATTCCCAGGGACAAGCAGGAGACAGATGCCTTCCTCTTATCTCAACTGCAAAGAGGCCTTCATATTTTACTAATCCTCCTCAGCACAGACCCTTTACGGGTGTTGGGCTGGGGGACGGTCAGGTCTTTCCCTTCCCACGAGGCCATATCTCAGGCTATCACATGGTGAGAAACCTTGGACAATACCTGGCTTTCCTAGGCAGAGGTCCCTGCGGCCTTCCACAGTGTATTGTGTCCCTGGGTACTTGAGATTAGAGAATGGCGATGACTTTTACCAAGCATACTGCCTTCAAGCACTTTTTTAACAAAGCACATTCTGCACAGCCCTAAATCCATTAAACCTTGGGTCAACACAGCACATATCTCTGCAAGCACAGGGTTGGGGCTAGGGTTACAGATTAACAACATCTCAAGGCAGAAGAATTTCTCTTAGTACAGAACAAAATGGAGTTTCTTATGTCTACTTCTTTCTACATAGACACATTAACAGTCTGATTTCTCTTTCTTTTCCCCACATAGAGTAAAAAAAAAATTATACTCATGAAGGGTTATATATGACTGTCTTCTATATATCGAGCAAATCTGTACTTGACTTTGTGCTCAAGTCCAATATAACAGCTGCTCCCTTGGCCTTCATGTGAGCAATGTTATCATGTTGGTCCGCAAACAAAGGAATGCCCATGGAGGGACTCCACGGTAGATCATCTCATAGATGCTATTGTTCCACCATAAGTTATAAAGGCTTTGGTTTGGGGATGATCTAGGATTGTGTGATTTTTAGCAAGATTACTAATTGTACATCTGAGAAATAAGATGAGAAACGCACAATATAAGGCAATGAAAGATAAAGTGTTTTCTATGAACAAGTTATTGCATGCATGAAACTGCACTGATATTGCTTTCAGATCTCAGAGGAAGAAGCACCTAAGCCCACTGGGGAGGTAAGTGAAGGCTACGTGAAAAAGGTACTGTGTGACATGAGACTTGAGACTTGAAAAATGAGTGTGAGATTGCCAGAAGGAGAAAATGAAGGAACACATTCACAATAAATAAAGAGCAAGTGTGAGAAAGGGAGAGGGAAGCAAAAGAAAAATACATTATCTTAAAGAAACATTGATGTCACACTGAAAGTGATATGTAGGGCAGGGCAACAGGGAATTGAGTGGGCATGCTGGAATCAGAGGAAGGACAGGCCACACTTTATCATGAAATATATTATCATTTCATAATAAAGTTGTCAAGTATTTTCTCATAGAAAATGCAGTCTCTCATAATAAAAGAGGTGTTGTTATTTTTCAGAGGCAGTAGGGGAGATAGGTGTAAGACTGCAGAACAAAGGACAGTGTGACAATCCAGGAAGTTATCAAAAAATCCTCTGTGATATGTAACTGCATTTGAAATAAGGTACTTTGATTCCGGCCATAAAGAATGTGACTCTGGGTTAAAAAGTGCCATCCCAGGCTGAGCACAGTGGCTGATTTCTGGAATCCCAGTGTTTGGGAGTCTGAGCCTAGAGGATCGCTTGAGGCCTGGAGTTCAAGACCAGCCTGGGCAACATAGTGAGACCCTGTTACTACAAAAAAATTAGCCGGGCATGGTGGTGTGCACCTGTAGTCCCAGCCACTGGGGCGGCTGAGAAAGGAGGCTCACTACTGTAATCTATGATTGTACTACTATGCTTCAGCCTGGGCTACAGAGCAAGACCTTATCTCAGGAAACAACAACAACAACCCCTTAAAGTATGTCTTTTCCTCTCTAAAACTAGAAAATAAATATGAAGAAGTTAATTTTATTTTTAAATTTTTTATTAATAAGTGTTTAATAAATTATTTCCTGTTTATTATCACTCTGGCTATTACTCATGTTTTCAGTATTTTCTTTTTTCATGTCTTATGAAGACATTCATTCTGTGGGATCCACCTATGCCACTGAGTATTGGATCTTAAGGTATTTGGTTTCCTTCCAAAAATACCTTATTGACAATACCTTATAGCATGCAGGAATTCTAAAGAGATTAAGAGATCGCATAGTTAAACGCCTTTCATATGACAGACAAGGAAATGAGGACAAGACAGGGTGAGTAATGAGAACTGTTAAAACATTGATGTAAATAGGAATACTCACATTTCTCGTACTTACTTTTATATTCAATTAAGGTATGAAATGTAACCTTGATGTTTCACAAATAGTTTCTTAAACAAATGAGATTATCAATGACAAATTTAAATATTTAAGAAAGAGTTAAACATCATTATAATTGTAATGCAAAGAATTGTAGCAAATTTCTAATGAGCTATACTTGTTTTTGTTTTATGTACCTATTTTTTATATTAGCTCTCATTTTCCAACTTAATATAACCTCTTAATTTTTTTGAGTTGTGCTGGAGGGCATTGACTTATATTATTTGTTCTATACATTATTTTATTAAAGTTTTAAATATTTTAACTTACAGAAAAGCATGTCTATGAAATCATCTGCTTGTGAGAAATAAAATAATTCTGATTTTTAAAAAGTGTAACTTCTTTTAGATGACAAAGTATTAAACACTGCTTCCAAGAAAAATCTGAAGTGGTAATTTAGAATATAAATTTCGAGTATCATCATGATTGCTGAGTTTGAAAATCCTTCAAATGTTTAATCAAAAGACCAATCTTAATTCAAAAGTTATTACTTTTGTAATAACTGTTTAAAAAATTCAAAATTGTGATGATGCTTAATTTTGTTGAACTGACAGTTAACACTTTGATGATGTACTACAAAGCATTAACGTCAGTGATTAATATGATTTCATATAGCCAAGTCATTTCCATGCCCAGGCCCAAAATAAGGTACTGATTTTGGAATTCCCAAGATCCTTATAAACTGAAGTACCATAGACAATTTTTTTAACTTTTACTTGGTATATGAGTGTTAGAGTTAATTCAAATTTTCAGCAAAAAAATTAGTATAGGTAATTAGAAGGCAATAGCAGACAGAAAATTTAAAAAGTAGCTCACAAATACCTAAAGACCAGAGGAGTACTCTATACATTAGAAAATACATTACTAATATATTTTTTGAAGTTGAGGGCATCTGAACCTCTTCCTATGGTATGCTTGCTTCCACTTTACTGCTTCTTATATTCCCTTCTTCCTCCATTAGGAGAAGGCGTTTATTGGAAGCAGAATCTTTGTGAGGTCACATTTTATAATACACAGGGTTCATCTTAAGGGCAGGATTCCATCTTCACCCTTTCTCTTACTTCTTCCTGCTTGAAACATTGGCAAGCTCAGGTTCACCAATTCAGGCTGGTTTTCTCTTTCTCTAAATCTACCTGGGTTGGTTGGTACCTAGACTCAAAGTTAGTGAGCCCTGAACTTTTTTTCTCTGCATACTCCCTGAACAGCACACTGAATAGCTCTGTTCCAACATTTCGGTGATGTAAAAGAGGCAGGGATAACATGGCAAGCTTAAACTGTGATGCGATTCAGAGGCTTTTAAATGCAAGCTTAGGGTTATTTTGCTAGTACAGGGGCTCATTAAATTTAACTTTTTTCTAATAACATCTGTAGCATTTCCAGTGTCCTCAGGAATGCTGTGAGGAAAAGGAGGAAATAGACGGGCAGAATTTGGTGATTTCTCTGTCCCTACCTGTAACACAAGTATAATATCAACTGTATAATATGCTATACCTGTAAAGATTTTTATTTCTAATCACAATGTTAATGCCAAAGTTATCGATAAAAAACAGTTATCTTAGCATGTGCCAAATATATATACGTATATATAAACCATATATATGTTTTTAAGTGCTTTCTGAGATAAATTAGAGCTATCCAACAGTCTACCTTTTACAGAGGTGATTTCTACAATCAGACACTTTATAGACTCATTCAGTAGCTGTCTTCAATTAAGGAACTTCATCTAACATTTTGTGGGATCTGGGAAAGTGCTGATGCAATCACTCTGACCTGTTCTTCTTTCATGTTTCTAATCACTGATCCCACAGAAAACACCACCAACACCATTTTTCTGCAGAGCTGAGGACCACATCTTCCATTTCCTTTGAAGAAAGAATTTTCTCCATCACAAAAGAGTAAGACCACAGCAAACGCTATAGAAAGGATTGATACAAATAACTTAGAAGATAAATTTTATATTACCAGGAATTAATAGAGCTTGGCTATTTTTAAAATGACTTAATCACTCAATTTCTTTGGAAGGAGTTGTGTAATCTGAAATAGATGGCCTCTATTAGGCATATTATGTAAATGTTTGTATGTGTGTATGTGTAAGAAAGAAACGAAATAGAGCTAGTATATAATAGTCAGGGAGAGATAATGTTAGACAATAATGTACTCAGATGCCTAATTTATGTTACTAATTACTAATATAGATTCCTGAAAGCAGGCATCACAGCTAGTTCTAAATTCAGTTTTAATTCTATCTTGTTATACTTTTACCAAATCACTTGTGTTTATTCTATGTAAGTTTTCTGGAGAATACTTTTAATTTGGAGTCATTTGGCTTTACTTGTCTGACTACAAGCAGTGTGGAAAAGTTACTTGTGGTTTTGTCATCTCTATGATCTTTTATAACTCACCTTAAAAATTGCAGGAATTTCTTAAACATTTCCCCTAAAATACCTCTTAAAAGCTGGAGGTTAAGAGTTGCTGACAGTTAGAAGTCTGGTATTCTGGCTTGCAATTTCTGTGAAATAGTCCTAAGAGTTCTGCTTATATCCAGAACAATACTTGTATAATACCTATTAGAGTGAGCCTTATTTCTGGGCTTCTTTAACTTTTGCACTGAAATCATACTGTAAAATTGATATCCCTGTAGAATGTGCTGTTTGTAACTGGCAGTGTGGGACCCTCATCATTACCTACCTCATGGGGGTGATGAAAGGATGAATGCATTAACTTGGTAAAGCACTAAACTTGTACATAGCAACTTAAATTTGCATTTATTTTAATTATTATTAAGTGAAGAGAAAAATTTCCACAATGATTCTAGTTCTTACTTTCATTACCTAATATATTTTTTAAATGTAATATGTTTCAAATACAAATGATAAAAATACGAGCATATGCTACTTCAAAAGTAGGAATTAACTTTATGGTATAAACTGAGGGCTGGTAAATTGAGGCCTTTGGGCCAAATCTGACCAACCACGTGTTTTTTTTAATAATTGAGGTAAAATCACATACAATAAAATTTCATTTTATTTGTTATAAATAATATTATTAATAACCCTTTTAAAGTGAATAATTCAGTAGCACTTAATACATACACAGTGTTGTGCAACTGTCACTACAATCTAGAATCAAAGAATTTTCATCCCCCTAAAAGAATATCTGTACACATTAGACAGTTACTTCCCATTCAACCATCCCCCAGCCTGGTAACCTGGCATTATGTGTTAAAATCATTCTACTTGCTATTAGAAAATCAAAACAGAAACAAACAAAAAACCATACAGCAATATACCTTTAACAAAGTGAGGTTTTTTCCTTAATTTTCACATATGCTTAATTATCATTTTCTGATATGGAAATATGTACTTTTAGCTCCCTGATTGCTTTTTGCTACAATATATGCAGACAGTAGAGATATTTTACAAGAAAATCTTGTACCAGTCACTTTCCAAATGGTATCATGGCATGGGAAGTCCCATGGACCAGCTCCCAAGTAAAACAGGAGTAACTAGTGATTTTTTTTTTTAAATAATTTGCAGTCTCTAAGAATTGTCCTAAGGACATACAACAAATAAAGAAATATGTGCTGAAGAAACTCCACTATTTCTTGGTGAAATTAAACCACAACATGCTCATTTGTCCACCTCCTAATTCATGGTAACAGAAACTCCATCATTCCAGAGAGGTATAAACAATACCACAGGGCTCCCACTTTTGAAGCTCCCAGTTGAGGACTATGGTATCTTGTTGGGAGGCAACGTTGCCCTGAATTTTTCATGCACATACCCAAGTATGTGTTACAGAGGCTAAATTCCAGGCAAGTGTGGCTAAGAAGGATCTCCCATATTCCATCCAGCCACTGTCATAACACAGATGTTCTATTCATGAACACTGAGTACCAAATAGCCACTATCCCAGTTGGAGATTCCATGAGAGGAGAGGAAAACTGAGAATAAAGGCCAAAGTAGAAATGCACCACTGTCCATGCCCCCAGTCCTATAGTCAAGGTCAAGACACTCTGCACAGGGGAGAGTCAGGCCATAAACACAGAGCTACAAATGTTTTCCCAAAGGAACTTACTTTATTTGAAACAGTGTGAAAATTGTAATCCTAAGAGTGCTCTGAAAACACGGAGGCTTTCTGGTAAATAATTAAGAGGAAGCTGTTAGCTTCAGAACACATAAATGCTAAGCCACAGGCAAACTAATTTATTAGAGGAAACCAAAGATACAGATTGAAAAAAATCTTCCTGGGGTCTGAGCAATGATCAAATACTGACCTCAAAAACTATCGCTGCAAAAGAATCACTGAATTTTATTGGATCAGACTGTGGAACAATTTATACTCTCAGGCCATTATCAAAAGTAATAGAGCACTCAATCAGCAACTTGTGAAGGCTAACAGCAGGGTTCAGCCGTAGAAGAGGCAGTCAAAGAATGTCCTCCTGCAACCACCATTATTACAGGACATGTGAGCATACCAAGGCTGCACCCTTGCATAGCAATATCAAGCTTAACACTGCAAAGGAAAGAGGCTTCGCTAAAATAGTCCATCTAGTCATCAGCCACAGATTAAAATACACAGAAAGAGGATATCTAATATCTACAGTTGCTACAATCTATTATCAAACATGTAGAGTTTTTAACACAAATTTAAATGACATGCTGAAAAGAAATCAGGAGAGTATGATTCCCACGTGAGGCAAAAGCAGGCAACAGAACCTGCCTGTTTAAGAGACAAGGTGTTGGATTTAATAGGCAAAACCTTCAAAATAATCATTATAAATATGTTCAGAGACCTAAAAGAAGTAATACTAAAGAGGAAAAGCAGGTATAGTAACAATGCAGTATCCAATAGAAGATATATGGAAAGTGATAGTAATTATATTTTTTAAAAAGAAGCAAATGGAAATATTGGAGTTGAAAACTGCAATAACTGAAATTAAAAAAAATTTACAAGAACTCAACAGTAGATATGAGATAGCAGAAGACAGAGCCAGCCAACTTGAAGGTAGGTCAGTAGACATTGTGTAACCCAAAGAACAGAAGATAGAAAATAAAGAAAAACGAAGACAGTCTTACAGAATTTTGCGACAATCTTAAGCATTTCAACATACACAAAGTGAAAGTAATAGAAAAGGAAAAAAAAGAAGAGAAGGGAACAGAAAAAAACTTACAAAAATAGTGCCTAAAGACTCTTCAAATATGATGAGACATTAATTTACAAAGGCCAGAAATACAACAAATTTCAAGTAAGATAAACACAGAGATCCAATCACAGAAACATCATAGAGAAAGACTGAGGGTAAAGACAGAAGATGGCAAAGAAACAAGAGAGAAACAGCTCATGACGTTCAAGGGCACTCCAAAATCATGAATAGCTGACTTATCATCAGAAACTATAGAACCCATAAGGCACTAGCATGTCATATTCAAACTAATGAAAGAAAAAATTCAACCTAGAACTTTATCTACCACAAAACTATTTTCCAAAACTGAAGGAAATAAAAAATAAAAAAAAAATACATTCCCAAGCCAACAAAAACAGACAACTTGTTGCTAGCAAACCTGTCTTATAAGAAACACTAAAAGAAGCTCTTCAGATTGAAACCAATTAAGCAAGCCTAATCCACACAATAAAGGAAAGAGCACCAATAAAGGTCATTATACAATTATAAAAGATAGTATAAATCTACATTTCTTCTCCTTTTTTCTTTGAACAAACTTCAGAAGGAAGTATATAGAGCATGTATACATACAGTCATATCGTTGGGCATATCACCTATAAATATACATGTCTGTCAATAACAGCACAAAAGAGATGATTGGGAGCAAAGCTTTGTTAGAGTAAGAAATGGCAACAAATAGCAACCTGAATCCACAGGAACGAATAATGAGAACCAATAATATTCTGATTTATCTTCAGATTGTATAAATCTTTCACCTTTCACTAAAGAGAACCAATAATGGTAAATAATATGATTAGTATAATCAAAGATAAAAATATATACTTGCTCTCCAAATTGTTTCCATTTCTAAAAAGACATACAATTATATAGTGTCATAAAAACAATGTAATGTTGTGTTGGTAACATACATAGATGCAATATCTATAACAATAATACCACATGTAACACAAAGAAATGATAAATGCTTAAGGGGATAGATATCCCATTTAATTTAATGTGATAATTATACATTGTATGCCTGTATCAAAATATCTCATATACCCCATAAATATATATACCTAGTATTTACTCATAAAAGTAATACTAATATCACAAAAATGGGAAGAGACTGGAACTATATGTGAATAATGTCTCTACAGAGGACAGAGATTTAAGTCAGTATAAATCTGAAGTTGATTCTGATAATTTACCATATATATCTGGTAAGCCCTAGAGCAATCACTAAGGAAATAACGATGAAAAATAGTAAAATGGAACATGTTCACTTAGTGCAAAGAAATATATATTTAAAAAGAAGAAAAAATTAAATGTATATATATGACAACAGTAAACAGCAAACGTAAATTTAATCATAATAAAAACACCACATGTAAATGGATTTTAAAAATCTAGTCAAAAGGCATATATTACAGACCATATTTTCTTTAAATCCAACCATATGCTACATAATAGGACACACTAGAAATTCACATATACAAATAGGTTAATATAAAAGGATGGAAGGAGATATACAAGGAAACAGCAAACATAATAAAGCTGAGGTGGCTATACTTATTTCAGGCAGGTAGATTTCTAACCAAAAATGTTAGTAGAGGTGAAGAAGGACATTTTACAATTGTTACAGTATAAATCCATCAGGAACACATAACAATAATAAGTATATGTGCATCTATTAACAGAGTTCAAAATACAGGAGGAAAAACCATACAGAAATGGAGAAACAGACAATCCAAACAATAATAATTTGCAAATCTGTAGTAATCAAGAAAGTGTGGTACAGGCATCAACAGAATTGATTTTTAAATCCAGAAGAATTATTGGAAGAATATGGGTTTGAACTGTGCAGGTCCACTTACACACAGTTTTCCTTTCACTTCTACTACCCCTGAGACATCAAGACTAACCCCTTCCTCCTCATCATCCTCAGCCAACTCAACACAAAAATGATAATAAAGATCTTTATTATAATTTACTTCCACTTAATAAATAGTAAATATTTTTTCCTTTTTATAATTGTGTTAGTCTGTTGTCATACTGCTAATAAAGACATACCCAAGACTGTGTAATTATAAAGAAAAGGAGGTTTAATGGACTCACAGTTCCACATGGCTGGGGAAGCCTCACAATCATGGTGAAAGGTGAAGGAGAAGCAAAGGCATGTTTTACACGGCAGCAGGCAAAACAGCATGTGCAGGGGAACTGCCCTTTATAAAACCATCAAATCTCATGAGACCTATTCACTATCATGAGAGCAACACAGGAAAAACCCACCTCCATGATTCAGTTACCTCCCACTGAGTCCCTTCCACAACACATGGGGATTATGGGTGCTGTAATTCAAGATGAGATTTGGATGGGGACACAGCCAAACCATATCTTTCTGCCCCTGGCCCCTCCCAAATCTCATATCCTCACATTTCAAAACCAATCATGCCTTCCCAACAGCCCCCCAAAGTCTTAACTCATTCCAGCATTAACTCAAAAGTCCAAGTCCAAAGTCTAATCTGAGACAAGGCAAGTCCCTTCCATTTATTAGCCCATAAAATCAAAAGCAAGTTAGTTACTTCCTAGATACAATGGGGGTACAGGCATTGGGTAAATACACCCATTCTAAATGGCAAAAAATGGCCAAAATGAAGGGGCTATAGGCCCCATGCAAGTCTGAAATCCAGGGGGGCAGTCAAATCTTAAAGCTCCAAGATGATCTTCTTTGACTCCATGTCTCACATCCAGGTCATGCTGATGTGAGAGGTGGGTTCCTATGGTCTTGGGCAAGTCTGCTGCTGTGGCTTTGTGGGGTACAGCCCCCTTCCCTGCTGCTTTCACAGCACCACTAGGCAGTGCCCCAGTGGGGACTCTGTGTGGGGGATCCCATCCTATTTCTGGTACCAATTTACTGTATTAGTCCATTCTCATGCTGCTAATAAAGACATACCAAGACTGGGTCATTTATAAAGAAAAAGTGTTTTAATGGACTCACAGATCCACATGGTTGGGGAGGCCTCACCATCATGGTGGAAATGAAGGAGAAGCAAAAGCACATCTTACATGGCAGCAGACAAGACAGTATGTGCAGGGGAACTGCCCTTTATAAAAGCATCAGATCTTGTGAGACTTACCATCACAAGAACAGCACAGGAAAAACCCACCCCCATGATTAAATTACCTCCTGCTGGGTCCCTCCCACAACATGTGGGGATTATGGGAGCTACAATTCAAGATGAGATTTGAGTGGGAACACAGTCAAGACATATCAATAATTTTCTTAATAACATTTTCCTCTAGTTTATTATAAGAATACAGTAATAACATATAACATAAAAAATATATTTTAACCAAATTTTTATGTTATTGGAAAGGCTTCTGGTCAACATCAGGCTATTAGTTATGTTTTAGGGAGTCAAAGTTATATGCAAATTATTGACTTCCTGGGAGATCAGTGCCCTTAAGCCCCACATTGTTCAAGGATCAACTGTACAGCCATATATTATGGTCAATTAATTTTTGACAAGAATGTCAGAACTATACAATAAAGAAAGTACAGCCTCTTTAAAAATGTTGGTGGGAAAACAGATTTGCCCCATCAAAAGAATGAAATTGGATCCCTTTCTTCAAACCATATACAATAATTAATTGAAAATAAATAAAAACCTACATGTAAGAGCTATAACTATAAAACTCTAAATATAAAAAAAGATAAATATTTGTAACATTTAATTTGGCAATTGTTTCTTAGATATGACACCAAAAGGAGAAACAACCAAATTAAAATGAACGAATTGGACTTCATAAAAATTAAAACTTATGTGCATCAAAGAATACCATCAAGAAAGTGAAATGACGAGCCACAAAATTGGAGAATATATTTACAAACCATATATCTGATAAGTTACTTTTATCAAGAAAATGTAAAGAAAATTTAACATTCAAGAAGAAAACAACACAATGAAGAAGTGGGTCGAATTATTACTTTAGGTTTGAAAGTTATGGAAAAATGCTGTTGTGGCCAATGAAATATAATCAATGGAGCAATTTAAAGACACTACTGAATGAACTTGTTTGGATAGTTCATGAGGATAGTTCATGAGGTTCTGACACCTTCATATTTCATTACCCTTGATCTCGATAAACTATTATTAAATTTGAAATTTTTTCTACATCTTATACTAGAGTTGAACTGGAATTTTTTTTTTTTTTACCAAATGAGTCAGGAAATGGGTGTATAATTTGCCAAAAGACACACATTGAGCATATTTTCCATTACTGCAAAAATGTTCTGGGGCGAAAGTTCTGATTACTTTGAAAAGTTCTATAGAGATGTAGTTCTGAACAAGAAACTTATGACAAACTACAAAAATCAAAGTTTGACATTACTATGGTTTAAATGTGTTCCCTTCAAAATTCAAAATGTTGAATTTCCATTTCAAAATTCAAATGTTGCCAATGTGACAGTATTGAGGTAGACCTTTTAAGAGGAGATTAGGCCATGAGGGCTTCTCCCTTGTGAATGGGACTAGGTGCCCTTATAACAGAACTTGACAGTGACAGTTTGCCCCTTTTTGCCTTTATGTCTTTATGCCTTCTGCCAAGAGAGGACACAGCATTCCTCACTTCCAGAAGACTCAGTGTTCCAGGAGCCATCTTGGAAGCAGAGACCAGAGAGACCCTCACCAGACAATGAATCTACTAGCCCCTTGATCTTGAACTTTCCAGCCTCCAGTACTGTGTGAAGCAAATTTCGGTTCTTTATAAATTATCCACTCTCAGGTATTTTGTTATAGCAGTGCAAATGGACTAAGACAATGTCCTTCTTGGAGATGCCAGTGGTCCCTGTGGTGAGTTGCTGTCTGAGATACTTGAAATGTCCTTTGTGTATAGTCTCTGCTTCTCTCTTGGCTATACATTGAAAAAATATAGGTGAGGACTTTGATTCCTTCCTTCCTATATATCCGTTGTTATATCTGAATTAAGTGGTAGAATGAAATTTATGGAGAAGGTAAAAATATGATATATGTGCTTTATTTTGACTTTTGGTTCCAAACGTTTTATGAAAAGAAATGAGATCAGTTTTACAGAGAAATATTAGGTACGCTGTTTTTATACGGTAGCATAAACATTCAACTTTCTTTGTGCATTTGAAGGTGAGCTTATATGAATATAAAATCAAAGAAAGTTTCCTTTTTTTTTTTTTTTTTTGAGGCAAGAGTCTCGCTCTGTCACCCAGGCTGGAGTGCAGTGGCGTGATCTCAGCTCACTGCAAGCTCCGCCTCCCGGGTTCACGCCATTCTCCTGCCTCAGCCTCCCAAGTAGCTGGGACTACAGGCGCCCGCCACCACGCCCGGCTAATTTTTTTTGTATTTTTAGTAGAGATGGGGTTTCACCGTGTTAGCCAGGATGGTCTCGATCTCCTGACGTCGTGATCCGCTGACCTTGGCCTCCCAAAGTGCTGGGATTACAGGCGTGAGCCACTGCGCCCGGCCAAAAATCAAAGAAAGTTTTCTTTTATAGGTAAATAAGGAAATGAAAATATAAAATGATCTATCAATCTGATAAATATTCTGAAGGGGCTTACATTATAGGGTCAGTTAGAACCCTGTGGCCATCACTCATACAAGACACTCTAAGAAATCATAACTCTGCAAATTGAAGCACCTAGGATTTCTTTCGGAAATTACAGATTCATTTAATTATAGTTTTAGTTTTATCTCTAAATGAACATAGATGCATACGTTGACTTACAAACATATTTCTAGCACAACTGTCTATATAGTAATAAGAAAATTGTTTTCTCTTTCCCTACTTAGAAATAATAAATATCACACACACAACACATAGAAGTATACAGACAGACAAAAAAGATCTAGTAATTGTAAGATTTATCATTTGCCAGTTTGTAAGTTTCTCTTTAAAGAATGCAGTTTCTAGGACCTAATAAGCAGGCACAGCTGGAAGACAAACAGATCCCCCAAAATTAAGGGTCCTATTTTTATACTAAAACCTGGATCCCCAAAAGAGGGAATCAGTCCATCTCCCATAAGAGTCTTATCTCTCAGTGTGGGGCGATGACATTTCCATGTCTTCTAGGTGGCCAAGAGCATGCTTCTCTGATTTAAACGTGCAAAGAGCCATGTATTCTCATATAACAGCTATTTCCTTTTCCCAAAAGGGTATTTCCTACCTAGTTATAAAACACCAAAGCTCTCTCATAATGTGAAGTAATTTCTGATACCCTCAAAAGTCAAAACTGTCAAATAACGCAATGTAAAGAGAACAGAGCCTTAAATTTTGAAAGGAATCTATCCACTTCTAATTCCTGGGGTTTCATGAGGAAAAAACAGATTTTCTCCAAAAGAGGGTCTTTGATTCCTCCTCCGTTTTTCCCAAGGAGTCCCAGGCTATTAGAACTGGAATAAGCTGACTTTTAGTCCTTTTAAATCTCTGATTACCAGATGTTAGCCATGCCAAATCACCAATATTTCTGGCTTTTAAATTTTACCAAAAGTAACCTCCTAGGTGCTCAGAGAAAAAAAATTCAAGATGGGTCATGGAGGGAAAGAGAATTAATGAATAGTAAAGGTCACACAGATAGCAACCCAGAAAGTACTCATTCCCTAAGCCAGGAATTGAACCCTGAACCCCGGCCACCGCTATGAAAAGACAAAGCCTTAGCTGCTGACTACAGCATTGGATGGTTTCCATTGTCCTTCCCAGAAGGAGCCTATAGCAACAAATTTTGAGCTTGCAATGGCTTTTAATTGCACAAGATAGTTTTTAGGGCTAACTATGACATGAACCCCAAAATTACTGTTCCCTGGAAGGCAGAGATGAAGAGAAAGTATCGCCATGTGGCTACAAAGTCAAGCTCCCAAGGACATTTTCAACATGTGGTCTCTGGACAAGATGAAGTGGCAGACTGTTGCCCACAGTAACAGAAAAAATAAAAAAAAGAAAGGGAGAAAAACATTGGCTATGGCAGGGTGGGGAAGGTGAGGCACTCAGGGAGGCCAAAGACCCACTCAGAGCAGTGTCACTGAATCGAAAGTTCAGGCAGCCTCTTGTCAGTAGGGAAGGGATCTTTTCCAGCAGTCCCATCAGCTCTGAATTTTCCACTTTTAGGGAGAAAAACCTCCCCATGTCTTTTGATCCTGCACATACCTAATCCTGTCACCCATAGCAATCAGCAAAGAGTACAATACAGATTAATCCAAACAGAATAGTGGTTAACATCCCATAGTGCCAAACCTGTTCTTAGCCAAGAGGGACTTTACCGAGAGAGAGGGCTCTATATCTCTAAATCTTAGGAAGGACTCTAACCTTCCCAACTTGGGCCTCAAACCCAAGTTCGGTCAAACATCCTTGCCTTTTATTAAGCGGGGTCTTTAACCCTTTCTGTCTTAGGAGAAACTCTAACAACCCTAAGTTGGGCCTCTAACCCAGTCGCATCCTCTACCTGGGTAAATGCACCCCATTTATTCAAAGTCGGCCAATCAGTGCTGCAGTCTATTTCCTTTGAGTTGGGGGGTCTCCTCAGTATGGTATCTTCATGGTTTGCCAGAAAAGGGTCCTGACCCAAACCCCAAGAGAAAGTTCTTGGCTCTCACACAAGAAAGAATTTGGGGCGAGTGCACAGAGTAAGTGAAAACAAATGTATTATGAAAGTAAGGGAATAAAGAATGGCTACTCCATAGGAGGAGCACCCCTAAACTTTTTTTTTCTTTTCAACTTTTATTTTAGGTTCAAGCTTTACATGCTCAGGTTTGTTACATGGGTAAATTGTGTGTTGCGGTGGTTTGGTGTACAGATAATTTTGTCACTCGGGTAATGTGCATAGTACCCAATAGATCGGTTTTTGATCCTCACCCTCCTCCCGCCTTCCACCCTCAAATAGGCTGCAGTGTCTATTGTTCCCTTCTTTGTGCCCATGTGTATTCAATATTTAGTTCCCACTTACAAGTGAGAACATGCAGTATTTGATTTTTGCTTCTGCGTTAATTTGCTTAGGATAATGGCCTTTAGCTCCATCCATGTTGCTGCAAAGGATGTGATCTCATTCTTTTTTATGGCTGCATAGTATTCCATAGTGTATATTTACTGCATTTTCTTTATCCAGTACACCACTGATGGGCATCTAGGTTGATTCTACGTCTTTGCTGTTGTGAATAGTGCTGCGATGAACATACATGTGCATGTGTCTTTACAGTTTACTAATTATATTTCTTTGGGTATGTGCCCAGTGAGATTGCTGGGTTGAATGGTAGTTCTATTTTCAGTTCTTTGAGAAATCTTCAGAATGCTTTCCACAGTGGCTGAAATGATTTACATTCCCACCACAGTGTATAAGCGCTCCCTTTTCTCTGCAATCTCCCCAGCATCTCTTATTTTTTGACTTTTTATAATAGTCATTCTGACTCGTGTGAGATGGTCTCTTATTATGGTTTTGATTTGCATTTTCATAATGATTAGTGATACTGAGCATTTTTATGTGCTTCTTGGCCACATATATTTCTTCTTTTGAGAAGTGTGTGTTCATGTCCTTTGCCCATTTTGTAAGGGAGTTGTTTTTTGTTAATTTGTTTAAGGTCCTTATAGATTCTGGATATTAAACCTTTGTCAGATGCTTAGTTTGCAAATATTTTCTTCCATTCTGTTGGTTGTCTGTTTACTCTGTTGATAGTTTCTTTTGCTGTGCAGAAGCTCTTTAGTTTAATTTGGTCCCATTGTCAATTTTTGTTTTTGTTGCAATTGCTTTTGGAGTCTTTGTCTTGAAGTCTTTCCCAGGGCCTACATCCATAATGGTATTTCCTAGGTTTTCTTCAAGAGTTTTAATTTTAGGTTTTACACTTAAGTCTTTAATCCATCTTGAGTCAATTTTTGTATATGGTGAAAGGTAGGTGTCCAGTTTTAATCTTCTACATATAACTAGCCAGTTATCCCAGCACTGTTTTTGTCAGTGTTGCCAAAACTTAGATAGTTTTAGGTGTGCAGCTTTATTTCTATTTGGGCTTTTTTCGGTTCCAAAGGAACATTAGAATTTTTTTTCTAATTCTGTAAAAAATGTCATTGGTGCTTTGATAGGAATAGCATTGAATCTGTAAATTGCTTTGGGTAATATGACCATTTTAACAATATTATTTTTTCCTATCCATGAGCATAGAATGTTTTTCCATTTGTTTGTGACACATCTAATTGGAAACACATCTTGTTTCCTGAACTGAAACACTTAATATTTTATTAATGACAATACTGCCCCAAATGATATATAAATTCAATGCAATCCTTATAAAAACCACAGCTGACTTCATAGCATAAATTGACAAGATGATCCTAAAATTTATATTAGATATTTAAAGGACCTAAAAATAGCAAAACGCTCTTAAAAAGAACAAAGTTGGGGGACTTGTACTTACTGATTTTGAAGCCAACTGTAAATCTACAGTAATAAAGAAAATGTGGCATAGGCATACAGATAGATGTATAGATTGATCGAATAGGTTTTAGAATCCTGAAATATACCATATGTTAATGGTCAACTGATATTTGACAAGAGTGCCAAAGCAGTTCAATAGGGAAAGAGCCTAGTAAACAAATGTTGTTTGTGTTGACAATTAATAACACGTGTTGTCAAGGATGTGGAGGAATTGGAATCCTCATACATTGCTAATGAGACTGGAAAATGGTATGGCCACTTTGGAAAACAGTCTAGTAATTCTTCGAAAGTTAAACATAAAGCTAATATGTAACCCAGCAATTCCATCTCTAGGTATATACCCAAGAGAAATGAAAACATGTCTACACAAAACTTGTACATGAACATTAATAAATAACATTATTCATGATAGCCAAAAACTGGAAAAAACTCAAATGTCCATTAACTGATGAATAATAAACAAAATGTAGTATATCCATAGTATATAACATTATTTGGAAATAAACATGAATGAAATCTTGATACTTTAACATGAATGAGTCTTTAAAATATTATGAAAAGTGAAAGCCAACCACAAAAGACCACGTATTGTATGATTTCATTAGTATGAAATATCGAGAAAAGGAAAACCCATAGAGAGATAGTACATTAGTGTGTGGTTGCCTAGAACTCTGGATATGCAGAAATTGCATAGGGTGGAGGTTGACAGCTAATGGTAAAGTACTTCTTTTTGGGAGATGAACCTGTTCTAAAATTATTTTCTGATTTTACAAGTCTGTTAATATACAATGAGACATTCAATTGTACACTGATATGGTTTGACTGTGTCCCCACCCAAATCTCACCTTGAGTTGTAATAATCCTCACATTTCAAGGGTGGTGCCAGGTGGAGATAATTGAATCATGTGGGTCGTTTCCTCCAGTTTCCTCCATACTGTTCTTGTGGTAGTGAATAAGAAACATGAGATCTGATGGTTTTATAAATGGGAGTTCCCCTGCACAAGCTCTCTGTCTTGCCTGTCACCACGGTTGTGAGGCCTCCCCAGCCATGTGGAACTGTGAGTCAATTAAACCTCTTTCCTTTGTAAACTACCCAGTCTTGGATATGTCTTTACTAGCAGCATGGGAACAGACTAATATATACACATTAGATTGGTGAATTGCATAGCATGTGAATTATACGTCAAAAAGTCATGACTAAAGTGTTTTTATAAAAATAACTCTAAAAAATGCTGATTCATCCATATAATTATTTTATCTCTAGTTCTGTGTCAAGGAGACTGAAGACAAAAGAGCCTCTCTATTGCCACTACTTTTGGCAGTATACTAAAATACATCACATAAATGCGACGACTTGTTCATGCAAAATCATTGATCTTAGCTAGATGAAAGCACTTAAAAACATAAAAGAGACATTAAATACATTTGTGTAAACACAGGGTCATCTACCTTTTGTTTTTCTATTTGCCATTGACATGTTCAGACTACTTATATAATGTATTTACTTCGAGGTGTAAGAGTTATATTTTAACTTCCGGATTGATTTATCATTGCATAAAAACAAAACGTAAGAATGGCAGAGGGAACAACAATTTAAAAAGAAGCATTGTATTTTATCAAGATGGCTATGAAATGGACTTCAGTCCTTCTGTTGATACAGCTGAGCTATTACTCTAGCTCTGGGAGTTGTGGAAATGTGCCGCTGTGGCCCATGGAATATAGTCCTTGGATGAATATAAAGACAATCCTGGATAAACTTATGCAGATAAGTCATGAGGTGACTGTTCTAACATTGTCAGCTTCCATTCTTGTTGATCCCAACATAACATCTGTTACTAAATTTGAGGTTTATTCTATATCTGTAATTAAAGATGATTTTGCAGGGTTTTTTTTCACACAACAGATTACTAAATGGATACATGATCTTCCAAAACATATATTTTGAACATATTTTTCATTAATGCAAGAATATTCTTTGGGAATATTCTGGTTATACTGAGAAGTTCTTTAAAGATGTAGTTTTGAACAAGAAACTTATGACAAACCTACAAGAATCAAGGTCTGATGTCGTTCATGCAAATGCCATTGGTCCCTTTGGAGAGCTGCTGGCTGAGCTATTAAAAATATCCTTTGTGTACAGTCTCCACTTCTCTCCTGGCTACACATTTGAGAAATACAGTGGAGGATTTCTACTTCCACCTTCCTATGGAGCTGTTATTCTGTCAGAATTAAGTGGTTCGATGACATTCATGGAGACAGTAAGAAATATTATATATGTGTTTTATTTTGACTTTTGGTTCCAAACATTTGATATGAAGAAGTGAGACCAGTTTTACAGTGAAGTTCTAGGTAAGTCATGTTTTTAATTGGTGGTTATTAAGTCCTAACTTTCCCTGTGCCTTTAGAGGTGAGTTTGCATGAGTATAAAATCAGAGGAGTGTGTTTTTTGTAAATGAAATGATGAAGTGAAAATATAAGATGATCAATCAATCTCACAAATACTATGGAAAGCCTGACATTAGTAAGTTAGAACTCTGGGACCATCAATTGTACAGGATGCTCCAGTAAGTCATAATCCTGCAAATTGAACCACTGAGGATTTCTCTAAGCAATTACATATCCATCTTACAATGCTTTTATTTTGTCCTTAAAATAGTCATTAGAAATTTCAATAAATGTCTTGATGAGAGCAGACATGTAGATTACATATACATTTCTACAACTATTTATGTAGCATTAGGACATTGTTTCCCTTATGTAGCTTAGTTTCCTAATTTAAAAAATTAAAACATTTTTCCATATTACTATTACTATGAGGATTTCTTCATATTTGAGTGAATAGTGTCTGTCCCAGATGCAAAAAGCTATATAATTTGAGGTCTCTCAGACTTCCACATTCCTTCAACAACTGCTTACAAGTCATATATTTTAAGGCCTAAAATCTTGTTGAAGAGTGAACATGTAATTATTAGTTTATATTTTTAAAACTATATCTTTCCATTAAAGAAAATATGAATCTAAATAAGGCTGAGCACAAATCACTATTTTAATAATTTGTAAAAATTTTCCAGCTGTTACTTTCAATATCAATATTATTAATAAACTAAAATTATTAGTCACCTATTATGAATCAAATACAGTAGTAGCTACTAGAAACCCCAAAACCTTACAATTCATTTGGAGAATCAAAGATTAAGGAAATAAATTGCTTCCTAAATTGTAGAAACTAGACTGAATACTCTTGAAAAACATGGCTATGGCTATGGTAGAATTAAGTGATGGTGGATTTCAAAGAGTTTTTAAATTTATAATGGTTACTTTTGTATTTTAGAGAGAAAACAAATCTATGTTTAATTCTACAGTGACTCGTTTTAATAATCATTCATGATTGTGTATATACCAATGTGACATTAGAGTCTACCCACTTTACTTACATATGTATGAACAACATCTATAAAATATATAAATTATGTATAAATATGCACATTTATATTTGCTTTAGCAAGTCATAAAAAATTTTGGCTACATTATTTCAAATAATTTTAGAAAATTACCTGGCATATTCACATGACAATTTTATTTCTTTTGCCTTTCCCCCCCCTTCAGGAAAATGCACTACAATTATCTGAGATAATGGGAAAAGCTGAAATGTGGCTCATTCGAAACTACTGGTATTTGGAATTTCCTCGCCCACTCTTACCTAATTTTGAATTTGTTGTAAGACTCTACTGCAAACCTGTCAACCCCCTGCCTAAGGTAAACCTATTCCTAGTTGTTTTATTCTTTTTGTTTTGCATTTTCAGGGGGAATGACTGTATTCTTCGTTCAGAGTGTTTGTCTCATGGTAAGACAGATATGACAAGTGAGGAAAGTGACCTGCCAATTAGAAACTGATATATTTCTTTTCTGTACCATCACAAGTATGTGAATTTCATTACCATTACAGAATAACCTGAGATACCTGGGAGACTTTGAGAGTATAGTCAGTTAACTTAAGGTGTTATTATTCAACACATAAGAATCAATTATTCATTTAAAGAATATAGTGACTAAAATATACCAGAAGTGCCAGATTTGCAAAGAAATGAAGTAGACATAACTTCTGCCCCCTATACATCTTATCTTCTGTTGTGAAAGATAAAATATAAGCAAGTAATAAAAATTGGGTGAAAAGTGTCATCTTAAGGAAAGACCACAGTGCTAACGAAGCATTTAGAGATTACAGACAGTATCTCCACGTCATTAACAATTAAGGTAAGCCCTAAACAAGGTGGAGGGACAGGTGAAGGGATGAGAGGGAGAGGAAGAAACATAAAGAAAAGCAGATAGAGAAGTAAGGACAGTTCCCAAAGACCCTAAGTTTAGTTCTGCAGGAAGAGGCTGAGTAATGAAGCAGATGATGCTGGTGAGGTAGTATAGAGCCAGATAATTATAGGAGTTTGAACATATGTTAAGGGGATGGGGAAGACAGTGAAAAGAGTTAAACAAAAAAGGAATATTATCAGATTTCCTTTTTAAAAAAAATCTCAAGCTTTAGTCACTGGGTTGATTGTAGAGGGGCAAGACTATAGAAAGGGGAATCACTCTAAAGGGAACTTTTGTAAGAATGTTCTTACAAGAGTTCAGGCAACAGGTGACAGAAAACTAGATTAGAATGTTCATAGAGGCAAGACGCAATGGCTTACATCTATAATTCCAGCACTTTGGGAGGTGGAGGCAGGAGGAGGGCTTGAGCCCAGGAGTTCGAGACCATCATGGGCAAAAAAGTGAGCCCTTGTTTCTAGAAAAAAAATGTTTAAAAGTTAGCTGGGTATGGTGGCACATGCCTGTCATCCTAGCTACACGGGAGGCTGTGGCAGGAGAATCACTTCAGCCCACAAGATCAAGGCTGCAGTGAGCTGTAATCATGCCACTGTATCCTAGCCTGGGCAACGGATGGAGACCTTGTCTTAATAAAAAAAAAAAAAAAAAAAAAAAAAAAAAAAAAAAAAAAAAAAAAAAAGTTTATAGAGATGACTACACCTACTCATACAATAATAGGCCAACCTCATATTGTGTTCTGTGTGTGGGAAAAAATAGTTAACATAGATAAAACACTTGAAATATCTCTGGTACATAGTGATCCAGAGTAATATTGACTCTTGCCATTATTGCTGTTTTGTTTATATTACTAATACTATTAACTAATTTGTGCCAGACACTTTAGATATTATTCCTCATTTTATAGAAACTGGTCTTCTAATAGATTAACATTGTATTCTCAACCAAAGTCCTAGAGAACAGATATCCTGTGGATTGCTTTAAAAGTCAATGTATGGATCAGATGAGCAAGTGGAAATGCTAAAATTGTATTGGAAAGGTTGAGGCTTTTCACCTGTATTTTAGCTTTAAAGAAACACCATTCCTCAAAAATATAAGTATATGACTTCAACTATATTTGCAGACAGAACTAACATTTACTTTCTTTCTTTTTTTAACTTGGGTTTTAATTATATACGTATTTTTTCCTGAAGAAGAAAGCCATTTTAATACATTCAATACTGACTTATCCTCCATTTTTCTGTAGAAATAGTGATTTATTGTATGGAGTTTCCAGTGTTTACCTCTATCTGATTAAAATGGGTAGAGCAGGGAGTTTTCTACTTAGTTCCAGGTGAATTCTTCACATTTCCTGGCTTTTAAAAGTTCTCCTTCCACAAATCTTCTATTACTATATATCCGTGTAAACCCCAGTCATATAATCTCTCCCCACTGACCTTGGCAAACACGATGGCTTGTTGTGGATAACAGGTGGAGGCAGCTAATCCCATGAAACCAGGTGGACACACTAGCTTCTTTATTTTTGAACCTCTAGCCAAAAAGAGTCCATTAAGGCCAGCAAAACCAATAACACCAAGTCTTGGAAAAAATCCAGGAGGTGCATTTTAGAGATACTCATAGCTGTCTAATCCCCACTGAACCAAACTTTGCATCTTAGGCTTAGTTTGGGAGTACGTTTCCTGACACAAATTTCTATGTGGCTCACAATAGCGTCGGAACTGTGAGATGCCTACTTCAAGCTGGCTCCTTGACTCTTCCACACACTTCGATTGACCCTCGGGAACTGAGTACAGTGAAAGCTCATCAACCTTCATGGGATTTTGAGGAGGTGAGTCCTTTTTTGGTGCTGCATAGACTTTGAAGGTGAACAAGCGTAGGCTGGTTGGCCTCACGGACCTCCGAATTACCTTGAACATGTCGCTGTCCGTGGTGGCTCTGGCAGGATTTACTTTCTTTTATTCCAGTTTTATTCCAGTATTTCTTTTTTTAAAATTTCTTTTATTCCAGTATTTCTTTTTTAAACCTATTCTTTCTGAAGATCCCAAACTTTTACATATTAGAGAATACAATGGTGGTTTACCTTATGAGAGGAAGTGTTTTCTGCCTTATGCCCAGACTAATAGTACACCTCAGTAAAGCTCATTTTGGGAACATGTGTCTTGCTATATCACAGCTGCTTGATAGAGAAGCATAGAAAAATGTACAGTGCATGTATAATAAAGACCAAATAATTTCTACCACTTGTATCAGTTCTGTCAGTATATAGGATGATATTCCTTATGAAGGAACACAAGAGTCAACATATTCTAACTTAATATCATACTTTTAAGATATAAGCAGAAAGGAAGCATTCTTTATGTACTATATGATCTAAGATATTATTTTTGTCTATGTTCTTATTGGCAGCAATATAAAAGTGAGATCTTATTCAAGTGTTAAGACTCAAAGTCCATTTTGACTGCAAATTGTTTAGGCTGTATACAGTAACTTTCACAAGGTAAAATAGCTGAGGTAGGATTGGTAGAATTTCTAACAAACTAACTCCTATTCTTGAAAGATTTCTTCATGCATATAAAGGGAAAGTGATAATGTTGGCAAGGAGGGAAAAAGAGGAGGAGGAGAAGGAAGGCACAGAGAAAGGTAATAGCAGTATAGTGGCAATCATCAGCTATTGTTACCAAGTTGGAGAAAGCAAGATTTGAATAGATGTCAGGAAGCTTGTCCTTTTATTCTTTGTTTTTGATGTTATAGATTGTTATACAGTATCTCATATTGTTGCTTCTTGGTGTGACAAGAGCTGCTAAAATCTACTTAGTAAAAGTCCCTTATACAATTTTATTAACCACAGTCCTCATCTTGTACATTAAATCTCTAAACTTGCTCATTCTACATATTTGCTAATTTGTATGCTTTGACCTACATCTTCCCATTTCCTCTCACTGCCCACCACCCCTGCTGGTGGCAACCACTGTTTTGTTCTCTGTGTATCTGAGATCTTTTTAAAAATACATATTCCATGTGTAAGGGAAATCATGCGATATTTTTATTTCTATCTCTGGCTTATTTATCATAGCATGAAGTCCTCTCTGTCCATCTGCGTGGTGGCAAGTGTTAACATTTCCATCTTTTTAAGGCTGAATAATATTACACACACACACACACACACACACACATATATATATCACATTTTTAAATCCACTCATCAGTCAATGGACACAAGTTGTTTCCATATCTTTGCTATTGTGAATACTGTTGCAGTGAACATGGGAGTGCAGCTATCTTTACAAAGTGGTGATTTTCATTTTTTGTTTTATACCCATAAGAGAGATTCCTGGGTCATATGGTAGTCTATTTTTAATTTCTTTAGGAAACTCCATACAGTTTTTCATAATGATTGCACCATTCTGCAGTCTTACCGATAGCGAACTAGGGTTCACTATTTTCTCCATACTCTCACCAGCATTTTTTGTCTCTTGTCTTTTTGATAACAGCTATTCTTACGGATGTGAGATGATATCTCATAGTGGTTTCATTTGTATTTCTCTGATGATTAGTGATGTTGAGCAATTTTTAATATGCCTATTGGCTATTTTTGTTTTCTTTAGAGAAATTTCTGGTCAGGTCCTTTGTCCATTTTTAATAGGGTTATTCATGTATTTTCGGTATTGAGTTGTAAGAGTTCTTTATAAATTTGGGGTATTAACCCCTTATCAGATATGCAATTTGCAAATATTTTTCCCAGTCTGTAGGCTGCCTTTTTATTTTGTTGATTGTTTCCTTTGATGTGAAGAAGCATTTAAATTTGATGTAATCCCACTTACATATTTTGCTTTTGTAATCTGAACTATTAGTATGATATCCAGAAAATCACTGCCAAGGCCAATGTTGAAGAGATTTTCCCTTATGTTTTCTTCTAGGAGTTTTATGGCTTCAGGTCTTACATTTAGGTGTTTTATTCATTTTGAGCTGGTTTTTGTTGTGTATCTCACATGTATAGTGTGAGATAAGAGTTCTTTTTCATTCTTTTGCAGGTGGAAATACAGTTTTCCCAGCACCATTTATTGGAGACTATACTTTCCCCTTTGCGTCCACTTGGTGCCTTGGTCGAAATTTAGTTGACCATGTATGTTTGCATTTATTTCTTTGCTCTCTATTCTCTTCCATTAGTCCATGTTTCTGTTTTTTACCAGTGTAATTCTGTTTATTATACCTTCGTAACATAACTTTAAATCAGGAAGTATGATGCCCCCAACTTTATCTTTCTCAGTATTTCTTTAGCTCTTCAGTTTGTGCGTGTGTGTCTGTCTGTGTATGTGTGGTTCCATAGAAATTTTAGAATTTTTGTTTCTATTTCTGTAAAAAATGCCATTAAACTTTCGGTACAGATAGTGTTGAATCCATGTATTGCACTGTGTAGTATGGACATTTAAAAAATATTAATCCCATGAATAAATAAGAGATATCATTCCATTTATTTGTGTCTTCAATTTCTTTGATCTGTATTTCATAGTTTTCCTTGTACAAATCTTTTACCTTCTTGGTTAAATGTATTGTTTTTCTGGGTGCTATTATAAATGGGATTGTTTTCTTGATTCCTTTTTTAGTTAGGTGATTATCTGTCTATAGAAATGTTACTTTTGTTTCCATGTTGATTTGGTATCCTGCAACTTTTCTGATTTACTCCAACAGTGTTTTTTAAGCATCTTTAAGGGTTTTCAACATATAGGATCATATCATCTGCAAATAGGGATAGTTTTACCTCTGATTTAGATGCCTTTTATTTCTTTTACTTATTTAATTGCTCTTGCTAATCTTTCAAGTACAATGTTGAATAGAAGTGATTAGAGTGAGAATCCTCCCCTGATACCAGATCTTACTGGAAAAACTTTCAGTCGTTCCCCACTGATGTAATATTATCTGTGTGTGTTTTTTATAAATGACTTTTACTATTTTGAGAAACTTTACTTCTATACTTGAAAGTCTTTATTGGGAAAGATGCAGAACTTTGTTAACTTCTTTTCCTGCATCATTTGAAAGGAACATGTGGTTTTTAACATTCTCATAATTCACATGTCACATTGATTGTATATGATAAACCAGGCTTGCATGCCAGGGTTAAATCTCACTTGTCATGATGTATGTTCTTTTTGATGTGTTGTTTAGTTGTTTGCTAATATTTTATTAAAGATTAGTGTATCAATGTTCATTAGAAATATTGCCCTATAGCTATCTTTTCTTACAGTGTCTTTGTCTGCCTTGGATATGAAAGTGATTCTGATGCCATGAAATGTTTGGAAGTATCTCCTCTATTTCTACTTTTTGACCGAGTTTAAGAAGTATTGATAGATTCTTTTATGAACATTTGGTACAATTTGGCCATGAAACCTTCTGGTCCTGTGCTATTCTTGGTTGGAAGGTTTTTAATGACTTCTTCAACTGATTTGTTGGATTGGTTCAAGTTTTCTACTTCTTCCTGACTCAATCTTGGTAGGTTATATTTTTCCAGGAATTTATCTATTTTTTTCTAGATTATCCAATTTGTTGCATATATTTATAATAGGCCTTATAATACTTTACTTGTGAGGCATCTGGTGTAATGTCTCCATTTTCATGTTTGGTTTTATTTATTTGGGTCTTTCCTCTTTTTGTCATAGTCTAGCTAGTATTTTGCTGATCTTATTTTTTCAAAGATTACTTTTTTGCTTTTTTCTGTGTTTTTGTTCTCTGTTTTACTGATTTGTATTATTTTCCTCCTTTTGCTAACTTTGGCTTTAGTTCTTTTTCTAGCTTTTTGAGACATAATGTGGTATGTGCACTAGAAAAGAAATGTATATTCTGCTGTTCTTGGATGGAAAGTTCTGTATGTCTGTTAGGTCCATTTGGTCAAACCCAGTATTTGCTTAATTTTCTGTTTAGTTGAGCTATTCAGTGTTTAAGGCGGGGTACTAAGATCACCAACTATTATTGTACTGCTATCTATTTTTCCTTCACGTACATTTTTTTTTTTTTTTTTTGAGATGGAGTCTCGCTCTGTTGCCCAAGCTGGAGTGCAATGGTGTGATCTCAGTTCACTGCAACCTCCGCCTCCCAGGTTTAAGAGATTCTCCTGTCTCAGCTTCCCGAGTAGTTGGAGTTGCAGGTGCCCACCACCACACCCAGCTAATTTTTGTGTTTTTAGTAAAGATGGGGTTTTGCCATGTTGGTCAGGCTGGTCTCAAACTCCTCACCTCAGGTGATCTGCCCGCCTCAGCCTCCCAAAGTGTTGGGATTACAGGTGTGAGCCATCGCGCCCAGCCAATACTTTCTATATGTATTTAGGTGCTTTGTTATTGGGTGCATATATAATTCTTATGTCATCTTGATGAATTGGCCGCTTTATCATTAATGACCATCTTTGTTTTTGTAACAGCTTTTACCTTGAAGTTTCTTTTATCTAATGTATATTACGCCATCCCTGCTCTTTTTTGGTTACTATTTGTATGGATTTTCCCATTCTTATACTTCCAACTTTTGTGTGTTCTGGAAGCTGAAGTGGGTCTCTTTTAGGCAGCTCAGTTACATTGTTTTTTAATCCATTCAACCACTCTTTACTGGATAATTTAATTCATTTAAAATCAAGGTTATTATTGATAGGTAAGGACCTATTTTGCCATTTTAAAATTGTTTTCTAGTTGTTTTGTAGATTCTTTGTTCATTTCGTCCTCTCTTGTTGTTTACCTTTGTGATATGGTAATTTTCTGTAGTGCTAATAAGCTTTGTCCTTTATCATTGTTTGTGTATCTGTTGTAATTTTTTGGTTTGTGGTTACCATGGGCTTACATAAAATGTTACAGTTGTAATACACTATTTTAAGCTGGTAACAACACAGATCATATAGAATTATTCTAGATTTTTACCCTCTTCCCAACAATTTATATTTTTGTTGCCATAACTTACTTTTTTTTTTTTTTTTTGAGACGGACTCTTGCTTTGTCGCCCAGGCTGGAAGGCAATGGCACAATCTTGGTTCACTGCAACATCTGCCTCCCGGGTTCAGGCGATTCTCCTGCCTCAGCCTCTTGAGTACCTGGGATTACAGGCATGCGCCACCATGCCCCACTAATTTTTGTGTTTTTAGTAGAGGAGGGGTGTCACTATGTTGGCCAGGATGGTCTTGAATGCCTGACCTCAGGTGATCCACCCATCTTGGCCTCCCAAAGTGTTGGGATTACAGGCGTGAGCCACTGCACCCAGTCTTACATTTTTTTACATTGTATATTCCTTAGCTTTTCAGAGCTATTATTTTTGACTGTCTTTCAAATCTCCAGTATGAAGGTTACAAATGAAAATATTTAATAGTCAATAGTCTGTGTTTAAGACATAGTAGTATTTAAGATACATTTAATGTATTTATTAGTATTTAAGACAATAGTCAATAATCTATATTTAAGACACAGAAGAAACTGAAAGTGTAAGATTTAGAAACAAGAGAATCCCCACCCCAAAAAATTAGAGATTAAATGATCTACATGATAGATAACAGAATACTATGCATGGATTGCTTATACTCTAAGGATTCCTATTCCTACTATAAGGAACTTGGGGACTAAACTTGAGCCAGTTCTTTCCTGTGTGCCTCAATTTTAATATGTGTTTCAAACTGCATTTGGAATGTTTCCTACCCAAATAACAAAATCTTAAACATGAAGCTAAAATTATCCATGTGTGTCACAGTCACCCTTACGTTGGGTCAGGGAACTCTAGCTTGGTCAGTTAACTGCTGGCAACAGTTCCTTCTTCAATTCCATGCCCCTGAGGACTCTTAATGGTTAACATTATGACAAGACAGGATGTATGTGACCCTCAGAAAGACCACGACATTCTACAGCAGAATGTAGATATATCCAAGGGCAAGATGCCACACCTGTGATGGCAAAATACTCTGAAAAGTCAAACATTCAGGTGTTATAACTTGTATGAGATCCTGATTTAATGGACATCTGCTAAATTTCCTCTGTCCATGTCTTTTGGAGACTGTCCTTCCTGATGTAATCCTCACAGAGGTGACCATAACATGTGCCTCTCTTGCTTCCCAATGCTGGGAGACAAAGAACCCCATTTCCTTGGAAATACAGATTGGATTACGGCTGGCTCCAAAACCAACATGGCTATTCAGTCCTTTTGGGGAACTGACATGGACACTGGGAGGAAAATAGTCTCTCTCCTGCCACTGAAACTACATGGACAATGGAAGCTTGGAGATAATGGCCATTTTCTGAAAAATTAGACCATGCTTGAAAAAAAGCCATTATGGAGGAAATCATTATGGAGGAAATCAAATCCAAAAATTACATGCTTGAATTTTCACTCCTTTGAACTATTACTCCAGCCAATAAAATCCCTGACCGGATTTCTAAACTCGGAATGACTGAATTTTCTGTTTTTCATCTGAACACATCATACTAATGTAGATTGTTAGAATCACAGCACAGTGGAGTACACGAAAGAAACCATGTCTTCTCACAGTGACAAAAGCTGTCATGTGTACGAATATTAAATAAAACATACTGATTTTTATATACTGACTCTTCTGTACAGAAAAAAATCTTGCATTTTTTATACAATGTTCCGGTAAGTTTATTTTAAAAATTAGGAAAGGAGAAAACAGTGATGATTATGTGAGCCAACAGAATTGTTTAGAATAGTGCCAGATACTTGGTAAAAACTTAATGTTGGCTTTTTAAAATAGATCGACTCAATACTAAGCTCAACATACAAAGCATAACTTAACATCTAATTGGATGGCACTTTAGAAAAATCCTCTGCTTAAGCCTGAAGGAAATGTTAATGTTTAAAAATCTCAGGCCAGGTGCAGTGGCTCACGCCTGTAATCCCAACACTTTAGGAGGCTGAGGCAGGTGAGGTCACTTGAGGTCGAGTTTGAGACCAGCCTGGCCAACATGTTGGAACCCCATCTCTACTAAAATTACAAAAATTAGCGGGGTGTGGTGGTGGGTGCCTGTAGTCCCAGCCATTCGGGAGGCTGAGGCAGGAGGTTGCAGTGAGCCAAGATCATGCCACTGCCCTCCACCTGGGCGACAGACTCCATCTCCAAAACATTTATTAATTTATATACTGTTTTTTCAAAAGTGATGAGGTGGTTTAGAAACACCAAATAAAAACATGGGTAAAATCTTGGCCCATCAATTACTACCTTTCTAATCTTGGGCAAGTTTACTAGCCTCTCTGAGCCCATTTAAATGAGTCTGTATATAAAAGCACAAAGTCTCTATTGCATACAAAGTGCTCAGTATTTATTCCTATTATTTCAGGAAAATACCTTTAATATTACCTACCAGTTTTGTATAATGGTTACAGAAATTCTTAAACTGTAGCTATCATCTTGTCTAGCTTACTGATGAATACACAAAATGCCAATGAAGTGACTTACCATGTATCACTAACCGGTTTAATTAAAGACAATGACAAAACTAGAACCCAGGTTTCCTTAAAAGTACTTTTTCCTCTCTACCACAATGCAGATTTAAAACAAATCCTCAGGCTTTAGTTTTGTCATTGTAAATAAAACTTCTGTGAATGCAGGGAAAGATACTACATGCTGGTATGAATATGAATGCAGTATAACTATAGTTTATTATATCCTTTAAGAGTAAAGTGCCTGTGTTGTTCTTTTCAGGCCAATATAGATTAAATGTAAAACTGTACTATGTGATCTGGTACACAGTACAACTGTTGATACTATAAAAAAATCAAACATTCAAATATTCCTAATGTTTATAAAGGCCAAATTCCAAAGGCCAAAACTCCAGGTGTAACTCAAGAAAAAATTCAAAAAAATTATTTCATAAACTGTTTTCTTGAGCGGCTCTATTTCTATGTTATAGTTGGTTACCACTGGGAGAACTGGACAGTTAACTTAAAATACAGAACTAATACAAGAGGGTTAAAAGTCCATTTATGAAGTAAAGTAGAAAGCATGTACAAAGTCGTTCACTTACAGAAGACTAAAACAACAAATAGAAAACCTAAATAAACGATTCTGTGATCAGAGTAGACTCAAAATGTTATCAGGTGTATAAATACTTAACCAAATTATTAACATAACTCTGTGTATCTTATGTTAGAAATAGAAGTAAGCTTTTAATGCAACAGGCCTAGGTCAATCATTTCTGCTAAAGTGTGCCTCAAAAAAAGCAAATGGGGTTCCTAAAATTCCTGAACAAAAAGCATGCTTTTATGTCCATTATTGCATAATAAAACAAACCTGCAATTGGATAAGAAAAAGATACAAAAGATAACCGTCAATCTTTACCAATTTATTTTATACAAAACAGTAGCAATGTAGAATATGGGAATCGTCTTCCGCTGCCACGCACGCAAGTTGTGAACATTCCAAGCCAATGTATACAATTTGGAGGGGAAGGCTAAACAATAGCATCAACCACGCTACTGAACATAGGAATTTTTCATTTAAAAAGATTAAAAATTAGATAGCAATGTCTTCTTAATATTGCTCTCGTCATTGAAGACTGAGGAAAAATAAAAAGTGACTTTATAAGTTTTTTAAAAAAAGAGGCAATGGGGAAAAAAACAAGAGGCTGCTACAACACTGCCATACAGTCAAACCATCATACTTCAATATTTGCATACTCGATAGCAGCATTATTTTTACTGAACCGTGTGCAACTACATGTAGAAACACATCAAAGCAAAATATCATGGCAGTTATCAATCAAGATCCAAAAAGGAAAAAAACAAACAAAAAAATAACTCTAGGATGAACACACTATAAGAACATTTATGGAGAAAGAATCAGTATCTACATTCTTGGACTGTTCCATTCTGCCCCAATAAAAGTGTCAATTCAACTGTCAGCTGTGGATTTTTGGCGGATTTGAGTTTTTCCAGTTCTTATGATACTGCATGCTTGGAACAAAGGGGGTCATAATAAATCCTTCTACACAATGAACTTCATAGGCAGACAGCTGAAAATAAATTTACTACTTGTAAACACACACAAAAAAAAAATACAAGATTTTTTGTATCTTTAAACAATCAGTGCTTCCAAAAGCCCATTATCTTCTATATCGACCTCTCTCCCCTCGGTCTCTGTCTCGATCACATAATCGCTCTCTTTCTCTTTCTCTATCACGTCCTCTATCTCGCTCTCTGTCTCGTCTGTTATCTCTAGGGCGGTCTCGCTCTCGTTCCCGGTCTCTTTCACGGGGTCTACTTCTCCGGCCACTGACAACAGCTTGTGTGCGACGAAGGAAATCATCCACCCTCATATCATAATCATGCTAGAAAAGGAAAGAAATGTGTTAGGTATGTCAAAAAGGCAAATAGTGTTAAGTGGATCCCTGATTTGAAAAAAAAATTTATATAAACAATTTTAAAATATAAAAAAAGAAAAGTCTCTGTATTATAATCGGCGGAGAGAACAATCCAAAGAAATGCAATAATAAATTAATTCACAGAAGGTAATATGCTGACATGGTTTAGAAAAAGGATGATGCCTCATTAGACATCTACAACAGATTATTCAAATCTCTTTATGCAGTTTTCCACTTAACTTTAATGACTTTTCCATCTGATCCCTTCAGTAAGATTTAGGCCAAAGATATTAACTAGTGATGACCTTCAACTATTATCCATATATACTGCCAATTATGCTAAATGTCATCAATGTTTTTCTGGCACAGGCTAGCTCTACATTTTTCCTCCAATTCTACCAACTTCAATTTTACAAACTGAGTATTATGTTCCAGATTTTCTTTCAAACTAAATTGTTACAACTAAGTTGATGTGCAAGAAAAGTTGTGGCTGCTCCTAAACTTGGCCCCTGCTCTAGTTTAAACTTTCTACTCTTAGTTCTCAGCTTACCTTACTGATTTTGGTCTTCTCTCAAAACTTAGCTGAAATAAGATTTGAAAACACAGTCCCACATTACCTTTTATATATGTGATTATGTAAGTAGAGAATATGTATACTAACCAAAAAATCACTACATAAAGATCCATAAAATAGAACTTGTTAAAAAGGATATAGTTGAGGAAAACAAAAAAATCTCAGACTTCCTATTTTAAAAGCCATGTGATCAGTTATGGGAATTTTTAAGACACCACAACCCATCTAGTCAACTAAGATTTCATTATAGATAGACTGTATATTTCTTTCTTGTGTGCTTAACTGAAAATAAACTACTAATTTAAAGTTTGTGAATTAGTTAACTAGTACTCTCAAATTATTTTACAGAATGTTAGAAGTCATGATAAGATTTGATTTAGAGAAAATTACTATCTTTATAAGGAAATTACTGACAACACAAAAAAATGTCTCAAAGATAGGCTAGAAAGCTGCTCTGATTCTCACAAATAGGCCCACTCTTCATCTTAAGTGGGAAAATAAAAAGATGTTTATTTGGCCCCATACAGACTCATCAACCTAAGTAGGGAGTGGAAAAAAATTCTAACTTGCATATCCTACTTAGTTTAACAACAAAACTACCTTTCTAAGGCTATCAAACTTATATGCATATGAATTATGCTTCCAACACTTGCCAGAAGACAATTCTGCTTTATAAATAAAAGTACTATTGGGGGGGGTGGGGAAGCATTTAATAAACTCAGCCCCACTAGTTAAAAACCCAGAAAACTCAAACTAAAACTAGAGTCTTTTTTTCACTGGTCCTGTTTTGAAGCCATCAAAAAAAGCTTTCACATCAATCTTATCAAATAATTAACAGAATCAATGAATAAAGGACATGTCTGCTACATATCATAACATCTGGTTATTCTTTGCTAACATCACAATAACCAGAGGTAAAACAATTTATCAGTTACTAGCTTTAACATTTGGTAGAAATAAAAACAAATGACTAAATGAGATTACAGCTTATCAGCTAACTTAATATACACGATCTATCCTAGAAAAATTGAGTAAGAATACACAAAAAGTTCAGAAATATCTATTAACAATATTAATTACATAGCATAATTAAGATCTCAATATGGAAAGAACATAGCCTAGGTACTACCTAAAAGGAGTTCTATTTGTAGGCGTTTGCCTTAAGCAGTTTGTGATTTGATCAGTAAAAGAAATATATTCTATCTATATAATCCAAAGGGGCATAATCAGGCATTTTTAATAAAAACAAACAATTATTCCAAAACAGTCTGCAGTAAGAATATGCAATGGTCCGTCAATCATCATACTCTGGTCTCCCCATATTTAAGTTACCTACAGAATTCTAAGTAGTTCCCTCACACCTTTGCCTCCTTGTGCACTTACTACTCGTTTATCTCTGTATCTTGCTTCATGTGGTACTGGATGATGTCCTGAGTAAGGGGGATGAGCTTGAGGAGGTGGAGCATGGTGCTGATAGTAAGGATGGTGTGGAGGTTGTTCCATTCCTGGGTAAGGGGGCTAAAAAAGGAAAACCATTTACATTAAGAATCTACCAACACCCTTGTAAACAAGCGATTCTTAGAACCCTTCATCCAAAACACCAATCCCAAACAAGTGAATCTGTACTAGACATTTACTTTGATGGCATTAAGGTGTTTCAAAATATGCTTTTTGTCGAAAATTACACATCTTCTAAGATTTAACATGTTTATGCTTTTCTACTCCTATCATATAAATAACAATGGAAATAGCAAACACTTACATGGTGCTTACTGTGAGCCAGGCATTGTTCTAAGCACTTTACTAGTCTCATTTAATTCTCACAGCAACCTTATGAGATAGATACTATTGTTCCCAGTTTACAAAAGGGAAAACTGAAGCAACAAGGAGTTAAGTAACCTGCTTATAGTCACACTACTGTTAAAGTGGTGAAGCAGGCATACGGCATCAGGCATCCTAGTTCTGCAGTTGGTAAACTGGTTAACCACTTTGTATGTATCTGTTCTTAGAAACATCAACAGGCCTGGTGTGGTGGCTCACGCCCATATCCCAGTGCTTTGGGAGGCTGAGGGAAAAGAATCCCTTAAGCCAGGAGTTGGAGACCAGCTTGGGTAACAGAGTGAGACCTTGTCTCTATAAAAAAATTAGCCAGGCACAGTGGCATGTGCCTGTAGTCCCACCTACTCAGGAAGCTGAGGCAGCAGGACCACTTGTGCCCAGGAGTTCAAGGCTGCACAGAGCTATCATCACACCACTGCATTCCAGCCTGGGAGACCGAATGAGACCCTGTCTCTCAAAAAAAAAGTCCAGGAGCAAATTAACTTTTAAATGCCATTTAAAAAATGAATAAAGGGTAAATTAAAGATTACTTTCATAGTTACTATCAAGATCATATATTATTAAATTTTTAAAATTTCCTAGAATCTAAAGGGGAAAAGTCTCATAATCATCTGCATATAATAGTATAAAACTGTATACCTTAAAAGTGAAACAAAAGTCAGATGAAGAGGCCATATAACATATTGCATTTAAAAAAAGACATAAATTAAAATGTAAGAAAACAGTAGAAGCTACTTCAACTTCCAGGTTTTTATTTCTTGAAAATTAATGCTTCAGCTATCTTCAATATCTTAAAATATACTCTAAGACAATTCAGTTTTCTTAAAGGAAATAATTAAAAAGCAGGAATAATCAGGGTTTAATTAATCTTATTTTACACAGAAAATTTAGTGAGTATTAGATCAGGCACTATGCTAAACTTAACATGTACTTTGTAAATTTATCTTGACAATGAAAATGACACTACTACATTAAATTTTAAGCTATACCAGGACAGTCATGATGTCAATTTCATTCACCATGATATAATCAGAACAAGCACAGTGCCTTGCACAGAGTAAGTACTAAATATTATATTTGATAAGACAAAGCATCAGTGAATGCCCATGGAATTTTACAGATGAGGAAAACTAAGAGTTGTATTAAGAAATTAACCCAAAGTCACAGAGTTGGGAAGAAAAAGAAATATATCTGAACCCAAGCGGACTTTGCACTACTAATTACTACCATAATACACTATTACAGTTCTCAAGCCTGTACTATTAACACAAATGAGCTTTTAGTCTTTAGTTTGAAAGACAGCATACAATTATTTATCATCAAAAATCTGTATTTTAAGTCTTTTTGAGATGGAGTCTCCCTCTGTTGCCCAGGCTGGAGTGCAGTGGCGCAATCTCGGCTCACTGTAACCTCTGCCTCCTGGGTTGAAGCAATTCTCCTGCCTCAGCCTCCCCGAGTAGCTGGGAGTACAGGCACACGCCACCACACCCAGCTAATGTTTTTTGTATTTTTAGTAGAGACAAGGTTTCAGTTTCACCGTGTTGGCCAGGCTGGTCTCGAACTCTTCACCTCAGGTGATCTAGCCGCCTCAGCCTCCCAAAGTGCTGGGACTGCAGGTGTGAGCCACGGCGCCTGGCCAGTTTAAGTCTCTTTAATGAGTAACTGTAACAATCATATTCCGAGTAAGCACCTGAAATACTAGAACTGCAAATTAAGTTATGTAACTTATAAAAATAGAATAATACAAACCATTCCTTGCCAAGGTGGTGGTGGTCCCATGTTATGAAATTCCCTCACATAATCATTGTAGGACTAAAATAAAAGATGATAATGTCAATATAATTAAAAATTATCACAGAACTGCAAAATAAATCAGAGCCTGATTTTATCCACATTAAATAGATAAAATGAAATGCTTACCCCATTTAAAAACACATCTCGGCGAACTCCTGAAAATCGTCTGTTGGGAATAAGATTTGTGAAACTAAATTCAGGTAATTCATAAACTAGTTCCAAGAATGTAATTCAAAACTAGGCAAGAGTGAACCCGACTTACCTGTCCACTTCCTGGTATCGTGGATCCTTTAAATACCCTGTTCAAACATCAAGCATTTTAGTAAATCAAATTTATATTTTTCTTTTATGGCATTATAATTAAACCTTCCTTACCACTCGTTTCAATTCTTTCCATGAAATATGTACTTTAAGTGATGCTACTACTGTATTATCCCATTTTCAAATTTTCTTCTCAGATTACATGATAATCTAGGAAATAACTAATGATATCATAGAATTGTAAACTGCTAGAGAAGCTTTCAGATAGGTATCTTCTATGTTCACACTCCAAATCTTGCTAATCAGAAAATTTCTTCCTTCTGCTTCACAGGGAAGGTAAGGGCAGAGGAACTATCTTGAGCACACTATGACAGGACTTCCTTAAAACAAATGTTTACTTTCCACCTTGGGTATATGTAGGTCTTACCAAGAAAACCACAGATAAGCTTTTTAAAATGTAAACTTAAGGGGGAGGGGGAAAAAATTGCAAAAGTTGCAAAAATGAAGATGTATACACTGAAAATGAAAAATCGATGGTGGTTAGAAAAATATTCTTTCCCCTGCTTCTTTTAATAAGAACCCAACAAATTAAAATGTAAAAACATTTGAGTAGTCATGTTACTGGGGAAAAACTATTTTCACTTTCTACAACAGGACAACCTATTTTGGAAGAATGAGGCTAATCAAGCCACTTGTTACATAATAGTGCTATAATGATCACTAACATCAATCTCCTAACTGCCTAAGTTTCACAAGTGTATCACTGACTCTCTTCAAATACATGATATCCCTTCTTGAATATAGTTTGCTCTCTTAAATTTCAGTAAGGGATAGATTAATTGAAAAGCTACATTTAGATTACATACCGAGTATTTCCCATTCCTCTCCAAAGACATAAAGATTTTTATTTAAAAAAAGTAGCATTGTATGTATATGTATCACATGAAACACTAACTACCATAGGGAACAAAAAGCCTGATAGAATATAAGGTTATTGCTTTTCATAACTACTTTTAACCTTAAACACATGTGCAGATAAGTTTCCATTTTTGCAAAATTAGCAATTTCAGGTAATTCATAGGGTATGATGAGTTACACTGGAATAGACTAGACAACCTTAACGAAGTTAAGGGAAGAATTACACTAATGAGAACTACTAAAATTTCTCAAGATTTAAGTAGTCAGGTCCTGAATTTTTTTCACTTTTAAAACTGCAGGATTGTGAGGGTTGTTTTTAATTTTTTAATTTTTTTCCAATAATTTGAAATCAAATATCTGCAGGATTATAAAATATTAACCTGGTCTCTGGTGAAACTCAGGGGGATAGTCAATCCTTGGTTTCTTTCTGCTGTTATGAATATCATAATCTTCTGGTCGACGCCTACACAAATTAGACACATTAGAAATTAAACCAAAAACTGCTGGGAGAACAAAGAGTAAAGCAAGAGTTTCTGACAGAGATAAGTACAAAGAATAACCCATTATTTAACATCTTAATTTTTTTAGTGAGCAAATTATTTTAAAATTCCTACATTTTGATTCTCAAATTAATTCCTATAAACCAAACTTTAAATGTACTGCTGGAAGTAGATATTCTCTGCCAACTCATGCTATGATGAGAAAATTGCAGACTAGTCCAATCAAAACATGTAAGTCACATTTTAGTAGTCTAAACAAAAGTAAACAAAGTCATTCTCAAACTAAATATCAGTTTTAACAATTAAAACACTTTCCCAAATAAAGTCTCCATTCAGATGAAAAATAAAAACTAGAAAAACCTATCATCATTGTACAATATGTAACTCTAAAATCTGCATATTTAAAACTTATAAATGTCATTTTAGGTTAAGTCTAAACAAAATTAAGAATTTATTTTTCCTCTGCTTTGCACAAATTATGAATTTTACATGATCATACAGAAAATTTGATACTTATTAAAAGCAACTTTACAGGAAAGTTTTTAAAATCTTAATAGTTAAAAAACTATTTCTTAATAATCCTTAGTAACATTTAGTTTTTCTTTCTACATCTAATGACATTTAAGAATTAAGGGAATTTTTTTTTTCCAGAGACAATGCCTTGTAATAAAATAGGCTTTTATAAATTGGCAAGTAATGGGTCAGAATTTTAACAGAGTTCATAAAACTAATTCAAAATATATTCTTTAGAAGGTGAAACTTTACTGACTACAGAGGGCTGTTCTTTACTGTCTTCCATAAATCGGGTTAACTTAACACATCATTAAATACACTTCAATTTACTTAGCAGCTAATAAAGAGTTAAACAAAAAAAAAGTCCAAAATATTTAGAAAATAAATATATCTTTTTAACCTTAATGTCAAATAAAAACTTGATAACAACCTAGCATTCACTAGTTTTCAGCTATTTGTCTGAGTACCAACTGCTTTCATTAACTTTTTCAACACAGTTCACTCAAACTGCAAAGTTAAGTGCAATAATCCCAAGCCCCCCAACAGAATAAAAACAGTTGCATCTACAATAAATAATACTAAGAAAATTAAAAGCTGGTTTAAAAAATAAACATACCGCTTTCCTGTAGTTTGGGGAGTGCATTTACGACCGGTATAAAACATGATAGTAACAGTTCATATAGTAGTCCAACTACTGACTTTAAGCTGTAAGCCACATACATAAATGGAGGCCCTGGCAGGCTTGAGAGAAGGTGTAGTGGTGTAATAAGTATAGTTTGCAGTCCATTGCAAAACTGAGGTAAAAACTTCACTTGTATATATTGTATTGCACTGGAAACCTCTTAGCTTAAAACTTCAAAAGACATCTTGGTGCTCAGTCCTTTTAGGCCAAAAATAAGGGGCTCTGCCAGGTTTCCTCCTACCTACTCGACAGTGTCCTTTTTAAGCTCAAAGAAATGGGGACTCTTGTTGGATTATCTGTACCTACCACAGGATGTCTCCACCAAAAGGAAATTTAATCAAAGGTTTCATCCCATCAACCATACATCCAATAGTCTTTAGCAGAATATTTTAGATTTAGCTGTATGCAAATCTACACAGGGGAAGGTGTTGGGTAGAAGGGCTTAAATCAGTCCTTTGCAAAGACTTCTCCAATTCTGTAACAAGTTAAACCCCCTTTTTCTGGAAAATGCTGTTTAGTTCATAAAGTAGTGATCAATAACCATGGCGATCCTCTAAAAAACACTTTTAAGTCCACAGGTACTGCCAGCATCTGGAAAAGTTGTAAACAGACACAGCAACAGCCCTTCTTTTTGGTTTGTTGCCGGGTCTCCCAGGGCCACTTGATCCCCTTTGGAAAGAACCTATTGTTTTCAGAAGCTCAGCAAGATGTGTGAATTCACTGGGTACATGTTAGAGAATATTTGGCAATAGGGTTAACACATCACGGTGATAAAATCTGAAACAGTCCCAATAATGCTCCTCTTGAATATCAAAATAACTTAAAATATTTTATCCTCTAAATGAGGCGTCATCTTCTGAAAAAATATTAGTGATCCTTTATAAAAGTCCCATATCTGATAAGGCTTATCCAGAGACATACCTGAAAGAAAAGGCTTTTTAAAAAGTATTAACAATTTTTGCAAATAAAGACTTCCTCCTCTTCCTCCTTTCTAGCCTGTTCTTAGCAACAAATGCCTACCTCATTTCAATTGTATACATTGTATTATCAGAGTATTATCTAATCTAAACTGGTTATCACTGGTTATACTTTTTTCTGCATAAGGAAAGATCCCCATTTTCCTCTTGAAAAATGACTGAGACCAAGGTGACCATGTGAAATCCTCAATGAAGCCACAAACTAGTCCATGCAGCTTGATTTGAGGATTTTCTCTTTCTTCTTTACCGCAGGACAAACTTTTGACGAATCATATTCCTCCATCATGTTATTCTGATACATGTGCCTATTATCAGTCCAAAGAACGTTTCTAACCTTCCCACATCCCGGACTGGTTCTCGACGGGATGGACGTCCTCGTGATCGGGGCTGAGAATGCATTCTTCTCTTGTGACGCATTTTATGAATGACCTGATACAAGTCAATACTTTCATCGGGGGGAAACAGAAGACAAAGCTGGGTTCCACATTCAAGTTCAATTTCCTAGAATAGGAAAGTAGCAATTTATAAAACAAAAACAGACCCTTTCAACAGACTTGCATTTTCCTGATGTACCAGAACAAAAACTGACTTGGAAGCTTTCTTCCCAAGGCTGATGATCATATGGGATTCCAATAAGACTTCCAGATTTATAAAACATTTAAAAAGTGTTTTGTGTATTTATATAAAGGGTAAAAACTAAAAGTGTAGAATCTCTGAAGTTAAATACACAAATGCAGTTGCTTAAAATTCTGTGACAACCACCCTCTGAAAAGGGACTATTTCTTTGTGCAAAATAGAAAAATATCAGGACAAGGTCATTTAATACAATGGAAAAAAAAAATTCATGTTAGTGTGTGTACCAACAACTTTGATAATTATGATCTACTAAGTGTATTGAAATACATTAGATTTACCACAAAGGCAGACCAATCTATGGGCTCTTTAAAATTAAATCATTTTCAGCTATTTGTAATTGAAAAAGTGAAAACATTTTTACTCATGAGCAATAAAATGTCATATTACTTTTGCATGGCCAGGCATAGTGGCTCATGCCTGTAATTCCAGCACTTTGGGAGCCCCAGGCAGGCGGATCGCTTGAGGCCAGGAGTTTGAGACCAGCCTCGCAAAATGGTGAAACCCTGTCTCGACCGAAAATACAAAAATTAGCCACTCTCGTAACCTGGTTTCCAAAAAAATTAAAATTAAAAAATAAAATAAAACAAAACTTCTGGTTCAGAATTACATGTGAGAATTACAAGGGTCAAAGAAAGGTTTTGGTTAATTTTCAATTACTCCACATTTTCAGTTCCATTTGTAGACTTGAAAACCTGAGTACATATATTTAATCTTTTCAGAAAGCTGCTTTCTACTCAGAAAACTAGCACATATACTAAACGGCAATTCTAAAATGTATTACAGAAACTGAAGAATCTGTTAAACAGTGATAATATAGTCAAAACAAATTTAAATCTGGCAAATTCTCTTTAGAAATATTTCCTTCAATTGTATCAAATGAAAGTACCATATAAAGCTGCCTATATTTCAACATTAATGGATGTCTTATTAGTCTCAATCACAGTTATTATAAACTTCAGATAAGATTATTTTTTCAAATTCTCACGTGGTCTCTTTCATCAGAAACGGTTAAAACGAATACATCAATAAAGATCTCTAAAAGGGTTGATTAAATGTGTTTTTTTAAAGAATCAATTAAGGCCACAAACCTGTCCATCACGTCCGATCTTTACTGGTTTATGTTCATTCCAAGGATTGGTGAGATGAGCCGACTTAGTGAAGGGTAATTCACGCCTAAATACAAAGTAATATCAATTACATTCTTCTGCAGAATCCTTTAAGGACCTTATACTACTTTTAGTAGTGAATTCCTGTATTAACTGTGACTTAAATGTGACTAAATTTTAAAAACCACTTACAGTGGTTAATTCCCTATAGAAAGCCTCTTCAGAGACTTTTTCCATATTCTCCAGTTTTCTAAAAAAGAGCTTAAGAGCAAGGGCTTGAGAACCAAGATAACTTGGGGCTTAAACCCCAGCCTGCTCTCTTCTCTGAGCCTGAATCTATTTCTTTGATAAACAAGAATATCACCATCTACTTTATAGTTGTTTTACGCAGTTTGCAAATGAAATGACACAGAAAATATTTAGTATATCCCTTTCTTCTATGAACTCAAAAAACTTAAAAACTGACCAAAAAGAAGCTGGACCTTAACCCAGCTGTTAAAACCAAATGAAAATAGAAGTGTCCCTTATTCTCATTTGGAGGGTGCTTTCCCTGTTCAAGTGTACTTCCTCATTCAATATGGCAATACTCTTCACTACGCATAGAATGGCTTGAGTTGTACAATAGATAATTTATTTATAAATGCATATATTTATATTAATTATGCCCTTTACTGAAACTCAAGGGCAGTATCTATATAATTTAAATACTAAAAACCTGGTTTTAAGATCTCTAAGCCATGACAAAATGGTCTCACCAAACTTAAAAAGATATCCTCTATTTTTATAGTTCTTTGTCAACCTAGCACAATGTCACATGAATACAAAGATGACACATAACCAACAGTTGTTAGCTGCCAAGAAATAATTGTAAATTAACACTATTTGATAAGGTTTTATCTGCCTGTGCATAAAACAAATAATGCCAAAATAAATAAACACTTTAAAGAACTATTCACTGTACTTACAATACAAATGAAACTGTTCAGCCAAAGTACATACAAAGACGAGAAAGATAAGAGTTTGCATCCCTAACCTTTCTTCCATAGCCATCGAAGAAAAATAAGCACACACAATTTTCAAAGACAATGGGTACTATATGCACAATACAGAAGATTTTTTTTTTGTTTTTAATAGGAGTGGTTGTATCTATTTTGAAAGAAAGAAAAATAATCACAAAATGCTTCATGAAAGAAGTGGTACAAGAGTTAAGCTTGAAAGAAAACCCAGGTAAAGCCTTATGTAGAGAACTAAGGCAGGGATACATTTGAAACAAAGAGAAGGGCTAGAACACAGGCATAATGGAAAAGGGAAAACATAAGTAACTTTGCCCAGTGAACATGCCACATAACCTTACATGAATTTTCTTGAAAGTGAATATTGCCTGCTCAGACCTTTTTTTAAATTTAATTTTTTAGAGATTGGATCTATTTTGCCTTGGCTGATTGTGAATAAATGGGCTCAAGCAATCCTCTCACCTCAGCCTCCGAAAATGCTAGGATTACAGCTGTGAGCCACCACACCTGGCCTGAATGCTCAGATCTTATATAACTTGTTTTAAACCTCAGGAAAAACTTTGACATTTTCCAGGGAAATAGAAGTATTTTAGAGTTAAATTAACAAGGTGGTATATTCTGTGATGGAGGTGATATATATATACATGGAAGAGTGGTCAGTGAGTAATGAAAATATCCACTAAGTATCACTTAAAAGCTTGGTTTCTTTTTCTAATATACACCTTACTTCACCCATCAAGAGTGAGTCAAAAATACTGAATTTTTTTTCCCCCTTTTCAGGCTCTCAGAAGTAGAAAGACTAGAACAAGTCCACATCAAAGCTTGAATATCCAGAGGCAGAGATCTAGTTTTCTTTGTATTCTGTTGAATAATTTAAATTTTTCTTCTAATTGCCAGTTTAAAACAGTTATAGGAAAGGCATAAATGAAAACCTACAGCCACCAAAATATAAGAAGGTTATAAATTAATGGGATTATCACTGTTATTTAAATATCAGCAATTAAATACCCACGATCCAAGTAGAAGTAAAAGCATAGGCCAAGCTAAATGTATCATTTGGGGTTGAGATTCTTTGGTGGCACTGGTTCCAACTAGATTCAAGAGACATCTGTTCACTGTTTCAACACAGTTAATCTCAGCCAGAACATCACAGAAAACTGTGAAGCCTGAGGCAAAACAGGGCTCAGAATAAATTAAGAAAAATTGCAGGGTCTGTGATCCATGTAGCATCCTTATTTTATCCTTTCTTCTCAGATCACAATCATAGAACAAGCAACCTAACAGTTACCTTCTGAGCAGCTATGTTATGAAGCATACAGATACAACTTATCTTTACTGTGAGTTCTTTGAGAACATGTAAGGGACTCTCTGACCTAAGTGGTTCTGCAAATAGGGCAAATTTAACAAAGAATGTAAAACTGTGCACAGTTTTTTGTTTTGAGACACAGTCTCACTCTGTTACCCAGACTGGAGTGCAGCTGCATGATCTCGGCTTGCTGCAACCTCCGCCTCCTGAGTTCAAGGGATTCTCATGCCTCAGCCTCCCATGTAGCTGGGACTACAGGCATGCGCCACCACATCTGGCTAATTTTTGCATTTTTAGTAGAGACGGGGTTTCACCATGTTGGCCATGCTAGTCTCGAACTCCTGGCCTCAAGTGATGCACCCACCTCAGCCTCCCAAAGTGCTGGGATTACAGGCATGAACCACTGCGCCCAGCCATGCAGAGGCTCTTATATGCTGGACAGTGGTTTGTTGATTAAAGTTAAAAAGAAAAATGGAGGCCGGGCGCAGTGGCTCATGCCTGTAGTAATCCCAGCACTTTGGGAGGCTGAGGCGGGCGGATCACCTGAGGTCGGGAGTTCGAGACCAGCCTAACCAACATGGAGAAACCCCGTCTCTACTAAAAATAAAAAATTAGCCGGGCGTGGTGGCACATGCCTGTAATCCCAGCTACTAGGGAGGCTGAGGCAGAAGAATCGCTTGAACCCGGGAGGCGGAAGTTGTGGTGAGCCGAGATTGCGCCATTGCACTCTAGCCTGGGCAACAAGAGCGAAACTCCGTCTCAAAAGAAAAGAAAAGAAAAATGGAGAGACTCTAAATGAAAACAGAAATGGGTTGTTTGGAATGGACATGAAAGGAATATAACACCTAGTCAGTAAATGTAACTCTGGATGAATAGTATTTCATAGATCATGCCTTATTTTGAGCTAATTACAGGTGGCAACCTTAATAAGTCGCTTTTTATGCCTCCCTCTCTTTATCAGCTAAAACATGACACTTATCTGGTCCCAATCTTCCATGTGCCTACCAACTACCTGAACCATCAAGAATTTAACAGGTTTGAGGTGGGTTTCAAGATTCTGCATTTTAACAGTCAGATGCTACTGATGTAAGTGATCCAGGGATCACACCTAAAAAAGCTTAAGTCTAGTTATTATTATATCCAAAGGGTCCTTAAATATAAATCTAATAATTATTATATCTGCAAAAGAAAAAAATATTAACAGCAGTTACTGTTGATAGCAAAGTCCTGACCATTTCTATTTATTAAATTTAAATGTTCTGAGACTCAAATGTAATTCTCACTATATAGAGAGAATTTAAACTCAAGAGAGTTCAAGTGACTTATCTAAGGAAATATCAATGTTAGAAATATCACAAGCCCTCCAGAACTGTAAAGTATTGTAAAATTACACTTGAATAGAACTTGAGTATTAAAACATTAAAACTATAGTTTTATTATGTAAAAATACTATTTCTAGGTAAACCCATAAACTTACTTTAAAATAATAAAAGCACTTTACTGCCCACAATTTTACACCTCACGTTAGTAGGATAGACAAATTGAGTCTGTCTACCTCTTCGGTTGCTTGATACATTTCAAACAAATTAGTAGAATAGTCAATAAGTCAATGAAGAGGAATATGAAGAATGAATAATCCATGAAAAATTAAATTCATCTTAAAATTAAGAATTTCCTTATCAGTAATGTAAAAATGAAGGTTAACAGAACAAATAACATTTGAAACAAAATCTGCTGCAACCCACATAAAAATGGGCAATTATTTTCTCTCCTGTTCCCAAGAAAGCAACACCTGCAAATATGTTACATTACAACGTTTCCTCTGGCCTTTACAGAGCAGTCACATACACACACAAAATAAAAATAATCACTCCCTTTCCTACAAATTGTCACCAGATTTTCAACTTTAATTATAACTTAATTATAATTTTGATTTCAAAAAAACCAAGTTTATATTTTAAAACCCCTGGGGGCAACAGAGAGGAAGTGGGAGAAAGCACTAACAGTCTCACCACCTAACACTGCATTCCAATACCATAATTATGTATTTTTTCATTTGTTATACCTTTCCATGTTGATATGTGCACAATTACTTCCACATATATTTAAGAGACAAACTATAATTTAACTAATTTTCTATTTCAAAGAATTTAGATGATTTCCAACTCTTTCCCACAGAAAGTAATAATGGGATGAGTATTTTTTCTGCACATAGCTTTTTGCTACGCTATTATCAACCTAATACAGTTATGTGTCACTTAATGACAGGGATACACTCATTAGGTGATTTCATTGTGTGAACATCACAGAATGCACTTACACAAACCTAAATGGTATAGCCTACTACATACCTAGGATATATGGTATGACCTGTTTCTCCTAGCCTACAAATCTGCACAGCATGTTACTGTATTGAATAGTGTAGGTAAATGTAACACAATGGAAAATACTTGTGTATCTAAACATAGAAAAGGTATAGTAAAATATGGTATTATAGGTACCTCTTACGAGTCCTACAGTCTTATGGGACAAGATTCTTTGTTGATGGGTATGTCACTACACAGTAAGTGACTGTATGCTATTTGTAATATATCACTCCCTCTATCTTCACAGCTCCTCACTATCCTACAATAAACATTTAGGCTGACTCACATTCATTCATTCTTATCCATCTTTGCCCTCTGTTCTTCTCTTTTCCTAACCATCTCCTTCATAAAAAAAGGTAGCTCCCTATCCCACTCACACATCCATATGCCCTCCCACTGCTCCCCACAACCCTGCAACCCCATAGTTTGTTTCCATGCTCTTCTTGGCTTAGGCTGATTTCCATCATATGCATAGCATTTTTCTTCTTTTTCATCCGACCCCTTCAGGCTCATCAAGATCTAATACCCAAAAACAACTTAAAACTCACAAAGTAACCATCTCCTTTCAGACACTTTTTAACTAAAATTAATTTTACAGGTAATACATTTGTGTATGCCACGTAAAGATCACTTAAATAATGAGCTTCTTGTGTACAATACTTCAGTGTGCAGTAAGGACCTAAAAATAGTGACAACTCAGTGTTCAAAATAAGCCTGATTATTTTTCTAATAAATACAGTTAAATCTTAACTCAGTTTCAGAAGATCACAATGGCAACTAAACATCATTTGCTAACCTCCTTAAAAAATACTGTCCACGACTAAACTAGTTACCTCCGAAATTGTTAGCCAAGTCATAGTACTTATTTCCCATTCCTCAATAACTTAAGTGACATGTTAAATCACTAAAATTATACAGATACGCCAGACAACATTTCAAGCAACTGTCCAATTCATTTACTGCTTTATTACTAATATACAAAACAAATCAAATACATGTAACTTTAGACTAAATACGCCTTTGTTGTGTCCCACATTAGATAAAGGTAGTTACTGAACAAGGTAAGATAAGTATACAGTGACTTTTTCACTTTAACACATTATTCTAAACTGGTAGTGTATTCAAAATTTCAGTTATCTATACTGAAGTGTATAATTTACCTGCAAATCCAGTCAATTTTAAAGACACCTCCCAGCATTTTAGCACTCATTCCTGCTGGAAGCACCCAGTGTATAGGAGATCCTCCGTGATGTGATTCTGAAGAAAGTCTTGCAAACCCTAAGAGAATCATATCATAATATAATATGTAGATGCTAATATAATTAATGTTTTTATATGTCCAAATTATTTTTATTCTTACCTTGAAATTTTCCACTCTCTCTGACAGAAAATATTAAGATAACACTCCTTGCAGATCTAAATGCAAGATTTAATTTCTTCTCATTTACAGGGAGCGTGGACCATACACCCTACATAAATAACATAAAGACCACAAAGTGAAATTAACTACAACTCTTTTGTGTTTCCAGTTATGTTTGAAAAAAAACTACATATTTTGGTGTGCTTTCAATTTAAGTAAGCTATAATGAAGAAAGGTTTTATTTATCAGCTGTCAGAATAACGTAGTAATAATTTATAAAAACCTAAGGGAAAAAATGGAGACAATTACCAATTTTACAAAACCATTAAAGCAAGTAGTAAATAGATGGAGATGAGGTTCAAATCTAAGGGACTAGAATTCTATATAGTAAAACCAATCACTACAATTATTTTAATATTACAACCATTTACTGTGGTAAATACATCCTGTTTGAAGGTGAATCGCCACTTAGAAGTTAGTCTTCTTGCAAAACCGTACCTGATCAAATAATTTAAAATTACTCTATTAGTCAAGAATCTAGCATTTTTCTATTTAAGTTCGTTTTTTAAAGCAGTTTTTAAGTTCAAATTTTTATGTATCAATAGTTTGACTGAAGAGGCCTACGTTTTACCTACAGCTGGAAGATATTTGTTAATTTCTAAAGCATTTTAACCAATTCTTCATTCATAACAGATAAAAAGAAATGGAATAATAAGGCAGATGCTATCATTCAGCTCACACCATCTGCTCATACAAATGACATCTCATTCAAACTAAGTGCTTACAGTTGTTCCTCAGTCTCCACTGGGGACTGGTTCCAGGACCCATGCAGATACCAAAATCTGAGGATGCTCAAGTCCCTTATATAAAATGGCACAGTATTTGCGTATAACCCATGCATATACTCCCATATACTTTAAATCACCTCTAGAATACTTATACCTAATACAATGTAAATGCTATGTGAATAGTTGTTATACTGTGTTTAAGTTTGTATTTTCTGTTTTATTATTTCTCATTCCTTTTTCCCCTAATATTTCAATCCAGTTAGTTAAATCGAAAGATGAGGAACCCTGTGGATACCGAGGGCCAAGTGTACTTCTGCCTAAATCCACTTAAGCTAGAGAACAGAATAAGGCTATTTGGTGTACTGTTTCCTTCTGTTTGTAAAGTTTTAGGGGTAGTCCTTAAGGTAGAAATATAGAATACTGACAGAAATATCATTAGAGAAATGTCTAACTTTAGTTTTAAGTTTCTGAAAATCAGTTGAAACTGTAGTTACTCAGTTTAAACCAAGAATAGCAAAACACTGTAACAGCTAGTGTAACACAAAAATGTATTTTTGTAGCCAAACATAAAAAGAAAATTATTATCTTACAACATCCTACAGCAACTATGCATATCTTTTTTGCAAAGTCTGGAGTGGATCTTTAAGCTAATTCTTTTTCTTCTAAATCCCAATGATCTTAATTCTAAAAAATAAAACTCTCCATAAAAGAATGATTTCAAAAGAACCTCAAAGTGTAAATCAAGCATCAACATAAAACAAAAATTGGTTAACTACAGGTACTTTTAGAAGTGTTAGCACAATAAATGAGCCACTGAGGAAGTACAGAAACAAAAATCAACAGAAACAGGATCTTTTACAGCAAAAAGTTAAACTGTATAGCCTTCAACATTTAATATTCTGACCCCTAAAATCATCTTAAAAAAAAAAAAAGAAAACTCAAATTACAAGTAGGCTGACTGACTACAACCAGATCCTAAGTGGCCATTGGAATGTAGATCTTTAAAGCCGTAATGAAAATCATAATACCTATGCTACTTGATATAATACAAGTCTATTTTCCCATTTAAAAATTTTGATATTAGGATAGTTTCAACAGAACTGATGCTAATACCTTCGCTTTGGCAAGAGACACATTCTCATGGTTGTTACTCTTTATGAGGAAAAATCTTGCATCTTGAAGCACATATTTGAGTTTACTGGTTTGATCTGAAAAAAAAAGAAACCCAAATCGATTAACCACAAGCCATTATCACACAAAGGGGTCAAAACTGTACTAACTGAAATTAGCCCTCCACAACCCAGCTAAACTTTTAAAACGCAACAATCACCCATTCAACCTGGAAGGCTAAGCCACATGTAATAAAGCAAAGCTAAGAAAAGACAATCAGCATATTGCAAGAAAGTAAACCTAACCTAGTGATGTTCCGATATATCAAATCCATATTTAAGTATGAAAATGGTTACCAAGTTTTATAGATTTTCTTACTCAGATTCAAGAATAACAGACCATTATATACATACATATATATACACACACATCTATATATAACACATACACACATACACACACACACCCATCCCATTTTGTCCAAAAACTAAAATATCCTGAAATGTTTGGTATTATTCTAAAAAATATGCAGTAAGAAGCAGACACAGAGCTTTCTATGTTAAGATATTATTTTTTGCTTCATGTAATATATCGGAACATTACTACATTAAAAGCAGCTATTAATGGAGAACCAATAAGGAAAAATAATGACTATGCAGCATGCAATGAAAACAATTTCAAATTTAAATGATACCTTTTCGGACAGCACGAACGGAAGATGATAATTTCTCATGCTTCTTTTCTGAACCTGTATTTAGCCAAAGTACATTTGTTCAGATTGAGCTTTAATAGAGATAAGACAAAATTTCTACAGTCTTGTCACATAAAATTCTCATTCAAGACAAATTATTCTTCCTGGCGCACCCACACACACAAAAAAAACTTCTCAATGTGTACGAGTGTTTTGCTTTTTGGGTTGTTTGGATTTTTTTAAAAGTATGTATATTTGAACAGTTTCCCACTCAGAAAACTAGTCACTGAATCATCATCTTCCAAGAAAAAAAAAGTGAAAATTCCACTTAAGCAGTAACAGAACAGGATTAAAATAATAAGAAAAAGCTTAGTTTTCTCTAGAATTATTACACTGAACATGCCAAAAATCAGTGCTAATGGACATCAACAAGTTCACACTAAACTACAGCCTCCACACGCTTTCTAAAGCAGATTACATTAGAATCAAGTCAGATATGATCACAAAATGAGAATACCTGCATATGACTCTGATGCAGAGCTTCCACTTCTATCAAAAACAATTGGAGATATGCCTCTAGCTCTCTTCCTTTCCTTCTTTTTCTCATCTAAAAAGAACAAGAGTTTTTTTTTTAAATCACAATACAGAAACGAAGAGAAGTAATCAAACAAGAATGTATCATTACATGTCTAGTTTTTGCATAGCCCTTCTATTAGTCTGTGCTCCTCTCTCCTGATCCCTCAATTTCCTCAGAATGTTTTATTTTAAAAATACTGTTTAAAAAGTACGGGCATCTTGTTTCTTTCATCAGTTTCAATCAAATAAAAACACACGAAATAACTACAAAGTCAGGGCCTTAATTGCCATATATAGGTGGCCTTGAATACAGTTTTCCAAGCGGGGGGGGAAATTTGCAAAGCAAAAACAATTTCTTTCAAAACTGTGTCCTTTCTACACACCAGGTAACACTGTCTTAAGTCCTTATTTTTTTAAACTCCACTACCATTCTTCAGCACAATTACAATTCTGATTCTATCTTAAGAGATCTGATGAACCCCTGAACCCAAAGCTTTACAACTGGAAAAATATATATACCATAATTAGTGATTCCCTTCTGGTTGCCATTGCTTGTTTTTGTGTCTTCTATTTCATTCTCCTTAGCCATTTCCTCCCTGGATTACTGCTCTTATTTTCAAATTCAATTTAAAATTTATCCCTACAATTTTAATGGTAGCCTGTGTATTTCTGTAAGAGAGCTGAAAATCTTCAGTAAATAGAAAAGGTTTGGATTACCTGCCATGTAAGAACCAGTCCCAAGCTTAATTTGGAACTTTGTAAGCATATACATGAGGACTTGAAATGGAATTCAGCTCTCCTATCTGTTTATTTTTATCTTAGTTTTACCATGATAAGCTCCTTTTACTTTTCAGCTTAGAGATAAGGGAATAGGAAGAAAAAAATGCATATACTTATTTTTATATAAACAATGGAAAGCTGAAAAATAATAATCAGTGATCATGTATACAATAACCTACTATATAATGACAGCTATTTAAAAAGCTTTAACTACTTATCTCCTTTAATTCTCATAACAAGTTCACAAGATATTCTCATTACAGATGAAGAAACCTTGAATTAGACAGGCAGTTAGGCAACTAGACTAGGGTCCCACAGTTCCTGGATGGCAGAACCTAGACTCAAGGGCAGGTCCTCTGGCTTGAGCAAGTAGAAAGGATGTTTTATACTATTTTTGAAAGGTGATTACAGGTTTAACTAGTTTTGGGGGCTTTTTTCATTATTTCTTTCAAAAGTTCTGACATGTTTCTTCTAATTTTTCCCCCATGGATATTTCTTTCAGTAGTCTAAGCATTATGAATGCATCTGACTGAGTGTAATTTATCTCTTGTTGCTGTTAAAAAAGAATTATTTCATGGTCCAAAGTACTAAAAAGGGCCTGGTGCAGTTGCTCGTGCCTGTAATCCCAGCACTTTGGGAGGTCGAGGCAGGCGGATCACTTGACCTCAGGAGTTCGAGACCAGCCTGGGCAACATAGCAAGACCCTCTTTATATAAAGACAAAAACAATAATTAAAAAGTTACTAAAAAGATCTGAGATAATGCAGGGAAAATAACAGAAGCAGAAGATCCTACTCAATTGTTTTTATATAATGCTAAACCTAGCATTAGCATGAGAAATCTCCAAGGAATTTTCATCATTTTTGTATGAATAACTCCCAATGCTCTTAAGTTTATGGCCCTCTCCCCCAACTATTACTCTCAGGTCAAAAGAACAATGAAAATCATCTAATAAATAAACTGTTATCAATCAGTCTGTTGCTTTTATAAAGTTACCAAAAATTCTGAGAATAAGGTAAAATGAACTGGAATCTAGAAAATTCATGACAGAGAAACTCAACTGTGATCACTTTTATTTAAAAACTGACGTCTCTTAATCAAGAAGTTCCAAAATCACCCCATTACTCTTTCATAAACTATTGTATAAAAAAAAATTTCCTGCATATTAATATAGTACCTAAAGCATGTTCCACATAAGGGATTTTCCTTTATAAGGAAAATAAAACTTTCAGGTATCTCTTTTAGAATAAACCTAGTCTAGTAACAGAGTTTTGATATCAAGATTTATTATAAAACTACAGTTACCATTTAATTTGAAATGTCTTCTCCACAAAAACAAAGTGTGTCAATCAAGTTACCTTACTATGGTATCATCTAGGAGCCTGTTACAAATGCAATTTCTGGTCCTACCCATTTAAGTAAGTTCCCTTTGTTTAATGTAAACAATACAAACATTAAAGTCTAAGAAATAACAGAGATACCAAAAAGAAGATTCCTACAACAAAACGTTCCCTACCCAAGGGAGTGGTTTCATACATTCTCCACAATAAATGAACATTCAACACATACTGCTAATGAAATATTTATTATCTTAAATTATAAAAAATATATCCTATCAGTTTGTAAAAGGCATGATGGAAGCATAAAGATTTCATATGTTTTTACAACAAATCCAACTACTCATCTATTCTGTTTAACTCTACCTCCCTTGAAAAGCCTATCTTAACTCCCAAACCTAGAATTCTAGTGAACAAAAGGTTGAAAGCACTTCAGTTGCCAATCACTAGAAAATAACTGGCCATCTGCTCTACCTATACTGTATGTAGTATAGATATATACTATCCATATAGTATAAATATATAGTATAAAATATATAGTATAGATATATACTATCTGTATATAGTATAGGTAGAGCAGATGGCCAGTTATCTTCTAGTGATTGGCAACTGAAGTACTTTTCTATACTATATATACTATATATATAAAACAATGTACTATTATAAATGATCAAATTCTATAATAAACTGTAAATGTATTTCAAAAAAATAGGAATTTTCTTATGTTTAGTACATTTTGCTTATGTAGCAATCTGGTAGCATCTTTACATAAGACAGTCATGAGATTATAATCATCATATAGTGCTCTGTAAGTACCCTGACCTCTCCTTGCTGTACCCTCCCCCAAGAAAAGTTCCCCTAAGCCTAGTGCCTCCAACTACGTAACAGTCATACATTTTTGTCTCATAGGTATAGAGAGGCAGGATATATATAGCATTGAAGAAATGACTGAAGATGGTTCTTACCTGATTTTTCCACAAGAATTTTATTTATAGTCTTCATCTCCATCTTATACCTTACACCCCAGCCCTCTTGTCGACCCTGTCTCAGCCAGTCAACTGACAGACACAAAATTAGAAGAAAAGTCTGTGCTCCCAGAGATAAAAAAGAAATAATCTGTTTTGATTCTGAAGCCATATGATGGAAATCTAGGGGTATTTTACCAAGGAAATACTGTAATACCCAGTGGACAGGTTTCCTATGAATATACTTCAAGTACATCAGTGTTTAAATAAACTGCTGACTGGTATGAAAATCTAAGAATTTACAGAAATCTGAAATACATTTCCTTATACAGAATCAAATGGACTTGTGTTCATTTACAACACAACCATTCTGTAGCTAGGAAATGCCTTTCCTAAAATATGTAAATCTTATCCAAGATTATTCAAATGTATTTATAACATTCAAAAGCATATAAAGGATCACAAGACAATCCTATTAATATCCCCCATCTCCTCAACAATTTTATAATTTAAACATTTTCAAGACTGAAACCTATCAAGCTTTTTTTAAGACAAACTTTTACATATAAAAAGTAGTACCTGATCCATCTGTGCCTGAACCAGATCTGACAGACCCATCTGTGAAGGAAACAGATTCAGAACCAGAGTCACTGGCCTCACTTCGAGTGTCATAATCATTTCCCTCCTCTTTCTGGTCTCTCTCATCCTGTTCATATTCTTCTTCTTCCTCCTCCTCCTCCTCCTCTTCCTCCTCCTCCTCTTCCTCCTCCTCCTCTCCATCTTCATCCACCTCTTCATCTTCTTCTGCATCTTCTTCTACTTCTTCATCTTCCTCCACATCTTCTTCCACTCCTTCCTCCTCATTCTCAGTGTTGTTCCCTTGCTCATCAGAAGAACCACTGCTGCCAGTCTCATGGTCAGAGCCATATTCTTCAGAGTTCACTTCTTCCTTAGAAGACTGGCTGGATCTGCTTGCACGTCTATCCACTTCAAGCCCAATTCTCTGATGTTTAAAGAAAAAGGGAATCAGCAGTCATATAAAAGACAAGGTCAGGGTGAATAAACAGTTCTAAAGCCTCAAAAAGAATGGCTTTCTGTTTTATATCTGCAATAATATTTACTACCTCAGAACCATCTGGCGTAGGAGATTTGGCCCTCCTTTCAGGATCCCTTTTCCGGACACAGGTTTTTTCAGGTTGATTCTTATAAGGTTCTCTGGAGGCACTACTTGATAGACGAATTTTCCGATCAGCATCTAGACGCTTGTTTCTTTCAGATCTTTGATATTCCTCATTTTTATACTCTGTGGCTGACTTTCCTTTTGTACTAACTATTCTTTTGTTATTGCTAACAGATGAGCTCAGTGGCTTAGAAACCAGTTGTCTAGAATGGACAGAAGGCTTTTGTCGTTTGGTATCAGTAGATTCCATTCGATCACTTTTTCTTTTTGATCCTTTAAAATACAATGTAAAAAAAAAAAAAAGAAGTATTTGTAGTATTCCATTTATTTCACCAAAGACTGACAATAATATATACATCAGGAAGGGGGGATAGGCCTCATTTCTTTAAAAGTCTTCTGAGAGATTTCTTCTCCAGAGTTAATCTAAAAGAAAACATAGCTTTCAACTATGGGAATAAAACCATATATTTGAGAAGTTTCATATATTAGAAAAAAACAGATTATCCCTATTCATATGGATACCAGTTTATTATGTACATTTAGTGTTAACTGCCTCAAGGAACAAGCACAAAAAAGCACAGTCATTTTTTTTAAGAAATTGAATCTCCTCTATTTATACTGTTATTTCAACAAAAATAATAGAACTCTTACATACCCTTTTTCTCATTTTTATCTTGTTCACTCTCTGGATTATACAGTTCATCATCTTGTTCTGGTACTTCAGTTAAAATATCATCCAGAACATTAAGTTCTCCATCTGCAAATAAAATTAAAAATTAATAGGGAAAAATCACTATCATTGAACATGTATTTTTGAGTACTTACTAAGTGTGAGGCCACAAGCGCCTAGGAGCTTTTACTTTTATATAAAAAGCTTTACTTTTATTTCAGAATCAAGACACAAGATTAATTTCTATAAAACTAATACAGGGTAAAGAATTGGCCAGTCGTGGTGGCTCATGCCTGCAATCCCAGCACTTTGGGAGGCTGAGGCAGGCCAATCACGTGACGCCAGGAGTTTGAGACCAGCCTGGCCAACATGGCAAAACCCTGCTCTGCTAAAAATACAAAAATTAGCAGGGCATGGTGGCACATGCCTTTAACCCCAGCTACTCAGAAGGCTCAGGGACAAGAATCACTTGAACCTGGGAAGCAGAGGTTGCAGTAAGCCAAGATTGTGCCACTGCATTCCAGCCTGGGCGATAAGAGTGAGTTTCTCAAAATACACACACACACACAAACAGAAGTCTGGGCTATCTGGTCTACAAAGCCAGGAGTATACATCTCAGAAGGCATGAAAAGATATACTGAGGCATAAAAAGAAAATGCAAGAATGTCTCTATTTTTACCTCATTCTTTAATTTCTAATATTTCTGAGGGCTTTAAAATGTGTACAATAAATTAGTATACAAATACGTATGTACAACTTATAAATACACATTTACCAAAAATGTGCACTCTCCACAATTACAAAGGGAAAACGACTTTACAGTGGAGAAATGTTTCACAGGCCAAATTAACCAGATAATCAAAGTTAACATCACCAGTAATGAGACAAATCAACATCATGGACCTCCTGTAACAATGCTCTGAGAATAGAACAATGCTTTTGTAATGTTCTATGCAAAATGGAAAAGCTGAACCTACATGAGGAAAAAAATCAGACAAACCCAAATTAAAGGGCATCCAAATATGTCACTGTCATGAAACAAAGAGTAAGAACTATTTCATATCAAAGCAGACCTAGAGAGGCATGATAACTGAACACAGCCCACAATATTGGACATAATTGGAAAAACTGGTGAAATCTGAATAAAGTTTGTAAATCAGAGTAAGTAGCAATGTTATTTTTCTAATTTTGACTGTACTATGGTTAAGTCAAAGTCCTTATAACACATATTTAAGTATTTAGGGACAAAGATATATTATGTCTACAACTTACAAATGGTTCAGGAAAAAAGTGTGCACACATGCACGTACACACACAGACACACAGAATGAGACAAATGTGACAAAATGCTAACATCTGCAGAATGTGTTTGGAGAGTAAAAGAAAATTCTTCACACTGCACTTGTAGCTATTATGCTTATCTGAAATTATGTCAAACTGCAAGTTAAATGAAAAAATTATCAATGTGCTATATAATAAAAAAAACATTTAGAGCCTGCTGGTGTGGACTGTAAAAGCACAAAACTTGTTCAGAGAAGGGAACTATGACTTTATTCAATGATCATGAAAGCATAAAACTCAGTTTTGTCCCCACTTCTACCTTGTCCAACAAGATAAACCTTAGAAATACACACAAATACCATTTTAAATTTTAAAATGTACTAATGCTAATAGTAAATGTTTAAACATTAACTATTCCAATATCAAAAACATCTTTCCAAATTTAAGGTGTGCCAAAGAGGAAGTATAAAGCCATGAAAACTGATGAGACAGAACAATTACATTTGTGGCTTCAGGAAAAAAACAAAGCCCACATGAATTACAGAAAGGTCTATTAATTAACCTGGGGGCTATAAACAGGTTAAATGGGATTCAAATTTTCCCCAAAGTGGGAAAGAAATCTGTGACTGAAGAGAATAGTTAATACAAACGATAAGGTTACATAGGAAATGGAAAAGATATCATTTTCCTTTACATTTGGAAACAGACACAATCTAAAGATATCTGAAAATTACTATGTCTGGAATAGCAAAATTGATCATTTTGGGTGGTACCAATGCTGATATGTACTTTCTATCATTTTTCTAAAATGAAAACAGGCTATATGGGTTTTTATTTTTGTTTACTTTTAAAAAATCTTATTTAAAATCAAGATATGTCAAACAAAAAAGCTTCTCTCATCATCTAGATTCATGTTTTTGCTAAGAAAAATTTCTTCAAGATCTGAATGGTGGCAAACACCATTTTCGGACTCTAAATTATAAAAAAAATAGTCTGATAGAAGTAAATCAATGTTTTACAGATGTTTAATAAGTACTGGGTCAAAGCTCACTAATCAGTAAAAAAGTAGATCCAACAGGTCTTCACAGAATCAAATACATTTGTAGAAGACAAAAAGAAAAAATTTCAAGACTATCACAATGAAACAGGCAAATAATGCTATACAAATCTTTTCATAAAATCACTAGATCTTATTCAGAAATATCATCCCCGAACCCTGAACATTTATATTATATACTTTAGACATGCTAAATTTAATACAGAATGAAATAATTTTGCAGAATGTTAATTTAAATAAATTTAAGTTTCAAACACACTTAAAGCCTGGTTTTCCTATAAAAAGGGGTATTACTGTTTTAAAGTTTTAACGAATTCAAATTCAGATACTGGTTGTAGTTTTAGAAAGCACCTACAACCTTTTTCAAGACAACAAATATTAACCAATGCTTACTACTTTTTAAAAATACTTTGTCACTTTTAAAATTTTATCACTTTTAAAATATATCATATATACAAATCATATAAAATAGAGCATGTTTAATCATTCATTACTTTGCAGATAAAGAAAGAGAAGCTCAAATGTTCCAGTTGACCAAATACACTTGTCTAGTAACAAATGGATATTAGTATGAAGTTCCGGCTTTAGAAATTGACAGTTAAATCAGATGGGGAACAATAAAAGCAACTTTAACCAAAGTATAAAGAACACAAATGCAAAATATTAAAAGGGCATATATACTAGAACATAAATTTCAAATTAGTGCACCAGAAAGCTCTATATCTTTAACATTACAACATTTAAAATCTACTGAAATATTCAAAATCAACTATAACACCCTCACTTAAATGATGTACACACTTTTATCCGTATTATAGTCCATAACATCAATAAACTGTGTGGTTTTACCACAAACTGGCAAACTAAAACCTACAGGATAAACATGGCCCATTGCCTATTTAGAATGGCCTGCAAGAATGGTTTTTACGTTTTTAAGGCGCTTATTAACAAGAAAAAAAAAAAAGCAAAGAATATGTCAGAGAACACTTACAGCCCACAAAGTCTATTTGGCCCTTTACAAAGAGTTTTGCCAACCCCTGATATAATACAAATGACCAAATTTTAAGTACTTTTCTCCATCACTGAAACTCCTTATATATACACTGGAATATAATATACAAGGGGAAAAGTCTTGGAGGTTAAGGAAATGCAGGTTATAGCTTGCATTTAGGTATCAGGAAATTCCCAGTCTTTCTGAGTTCAAGATTCTTCACCTCTGATAAGAGGCACTTAAAAAAGGTCAGTTTTGGGGAAAGGAAAAGCAGGACATTTGAATCTTCTATGAGTTTTTCAACCTGTAAGAAGACTCTCCTTCCTTATAACTATTGGACTTTAATAAAACCTGCCTGCCCCAACCCTCTTGCTAATGACTGGGCTATGTGATATATATAAAATCTGGTCCAGAACACAAAACAAAATTCCTTCTTCAACAAAACAGGTATGGTATATGCATACATGTTCTGATTATCTACTGCTGTATAAGATGATCACCCTAAAACTTGACTTAAAATGGTAACACCTTTCATTATGGCTCATGGTTCCAGGGCTCAACCGGGGTCTCCCATGTGGCTGCAGTCAAATGGGGCTGGGGCTGGGGCTGAAATCATCTGAAGGCTTGTTCATTGACAAGTCTCGTTGATGTCTAGGCTGGGAAGATTCAAAGCTGGAGCTTCTCCAACATTTCTGTGTGTGTGATTACTCATTACTATGGCAACCACCGAGTAGGCAGATCTTTTACATGGTAGTTTAGGACTCTCGTGTCCCAACAGAGACGGGAACAGGTAGAAATCCAGCAACACCATCACAGTATTTATTCATCACAAAAGCTTACCTAGCTTCAAACAGAGGGGACACATATTCCAATCACTGTTGACAGAAGTGTCATACATAATACATGACAGATGTTTCCAAAATTACTATAGTTTTATTTAAGGGTAAATATTTTAATTATATACTTGAGGTGCATTTTTAATAACAAAAATTCATTTAAATAGGTCAATGTTAAAGCTTATAGTATTAAGTTATAAAGCTAATGTAAACTGCTGCTTCTGGCCATATTCTTCACTGACTTGAAAAAGTACACTTTGCATACATTTTAATTCATTTTTTTAACGTAGAATGAATTATAAAAGAAGAAACATTTTAATACTCTCACAAGCTACTGCTGTTAAAGACTATAATCATCACTGGCATATCCTTTTTGAAAAGAAATAATTATCTCTTTTAGATATAAAGTAATATCCACTAGTTCTAGGTTGACTTTCTTTTAACCTACCTGAACAAACGTTTTTAACCATTTCCTTTGTCCTGAAATTTAACATTATTGATATTCTATATAGAGATATGTATACTTTCAATTACTTCATAATAGTTTGACAGTAGTATCCCAACCCAAGAATAACAACAGTAAACAAAGATTAGAAATGCCAGGTTAAGAAAAGGCCTATAAGCATACAATTCATGCACTACAAAAATCCTAATTTCTATGACATAAAGCACTTCACATTGAAAGCCTTTTTTAGATGTCTATATAGAGAACTATAGACATTAAAAATCACTTTTTTTTTAATTTGTTTTTTTGGAGACAGAGTCTCTCTCTGTCACCCAGGCTGGAGTGCAGTGGCGCAATCTGGGATCACTGCAACCTCCACTTCCCAGGTTCAAGTGATTCTCCTGCCTCAGCCTCCCGAGTAGCTAGGATTACAGAGGCCCGCCACACCATGCCCAGCTAATTTTTGTTATTTTTAGTAGAGACAGGGTTTCACCATGTTGTCCAGGCTGTTCTCGAACTCCTGACCTCAGGTGATCCACCTGCCTTGGCCTCCCAAAGTCTTGGGATTATAGGCATGAGCCACCGTGCCCGGCCTTAAAAAATCACTTAAAATCTTTAAAAAAAAAAAAAAAAAAATTTTTTTTTTTTTTGAGACAGTCTCACTGTTGCCGAGGCTGGAGTGCAGTGACATGATCTCAACTCACTGCAACCTCCGCCTCTGAGGTTCAAGCAATTCTCCCTGCCTCAGCCTCCCAAGTAGCTGGGATTACAGGCACCTGCCACCACGCCGAGCTAAATTTTTATATTTTTAGTAGAGAAGTGGTTTTGCCATGTTGGCCATGCTGGTCTTGAACTCCTGACCTCAGGTTAAAATCTATAAAATTTTGTTCCAAAATTAAGATGTCACAAAAAGATGGATTTTTTTATAATGTGCCAGTTCAAGAAATAAGCTTAATGAAACAATCCTACATTAAACAGTATTTACATTTAGAGCTAAAATTCAAATCTATCTAAAAGTTTTACACTAGCAGTCTAGAGGATAAACTCAGCTCTTGAATGCTGTTTTTAAAAATTCTAAGGATTTAATATGAAAACCCACTTAAAAAAATACTATTTGATTATTAGGGGCCCAGATTCTCACCTGAAAACAACCAGCTGGAAGAGTCTAGTCTTCTGTTAAGACACAGAGAAGGTAACATATGTCAAAGTTTTGCATGAGACAATCTGGGTTTGTATCTGGTGAATGAGTTTGTATCTGGTGAATCAGTATTACTACCTGAACAAAGAGCATGCTGGCTCTTAAAAAAAAAAAAAAACAAACTCATGATACCTAACGTATTAAGCAAGTACTTTATCTTTATCTGCCAGATTCTGGCATGCACACACATCTGCAACCCCTGCATAACACTGATCTTAAACTTGAAAAAACCCAAGGCTCAGTTTAATACACTAAGGCACAGGAACATCAAACTAGTTTTAGTATACCGTATATAATACTTTGGGAAAGAGGAGGAAAGCTAAAGGGGACAATCCTACTCAACTCCAGAAGATTAACTTCCTTGACAGTTGCAAGCACTGTGTTGTCAGATCTTCCACATTTTCAAGAGGACTCTGAAACCCAGATTTTTATTTGGAATTGCATGACTCTTCAGTGCTGCCTCAATTAAAAATGAAACAGCTGGCTGATAGATTCCACAGTTGGCTGCTAGATTCCTCCGTGAAAGTATAATCACGTGTGAATGTTTTGTATTAATATTATACACAAACTAATAGCAAAATGAGTTTTGAGGTAAAGGTACAGATTCCCAGGATACAGGAAGTAAACAAGGATATAAAAAGAGTAACAGGTCGGGCATGGTGGTTCACACTTGTAATCCCAGCATTTTGGGAGGCCAAAGCAGGCATATAGCTTGAGCTCAGGAGCTTGAAATCTGCTTGGGCAACATGATGAAACCCCATCTCTACAAAAAACACAAAAATTAGTGGTGTGCACCGCACCTGTAGTCTCAGCTACTTAGGAAGCTGAAGTGGGAGAATCACCAGAGTCTGGGAGGTCGCGGCTGCAGTGAGCCCTGATCGCACTACTGCACTTCAGCCTGGGCAACAGAGTAAGACCCTGTCTCCCCGCCAACAACAAAAAAAATCATTATTTTTAAGGCCTGTTCAAAAACTGACAAGATGTTAGAAATAACAAAGCTAGCTGTTTGTTGCTTGGCTGGGGGATTTTTGTTTTAGGTAAACATGGGAACTTAAAATTTACCATAATCTTTACATTCTTGGCCAGGAAGGTCACAAACTTTAACTCTAGGGATATCAGGGTAGAAAATTAACCTTTATCTGGGACAGTCATTTTTTACTGCAGAAGCTTCTGGGTCAGAAGACAGTGCTATTTATTAACATGTGAGGTTCCAGCATCAGACTAAGATTTAGTATTTAAGGAAAGTTAAATACTAAATATACTACACATTTTGTTTTCTAACACAAGGTACCAAAATAAATTATATTTTAATTCATTTAATATAATTTTAGTGGGACTTGGCAATGGAGCAAGATTACTAGAACCTCCCCCTTCTATTGTCTTGTAATGTACGTTGTACATTTAGACCAGTTTCTCAGTTTTTGTCATTGAAAATCGTCATTCCTCCAAATGAAGTTTAAAAACTTGGATTTCCCATCCAAAACCGCTCTTATAAAAACATACAATTTAAGTGCAAAGATATCATTTTAAATTTTCTACCTTACTTATACTATAGGTAAAATAAATATATTGGAGTATCAATATGTACTCTATGCCTTACAGAGCCCAAACTAAAGTGAACCAAGACAGGCAATTTTATCCTAAGAAATTACTATAGTGAGGGCCATAGTATATACACATAGTATATACAAATGTTGTGGCACAGTCATCATTTTGATGTTCAGATACACAAATATTTCCCATTGTGTTACTACTGCCTACAGTAGCACGCCCAACAGATCTGTTGCCTAGGGACAATAGACTATACCATACAGCCTAGATATGTAGTAGGTTATGCCACCTAAGTTTGTGTAAACACACTATGATAACACAACAAAACCGCCTAACAATGCCCATCTTCATTGTTAAATGACACGACTGTGTTTGTGTGCACGTGACTGTGTGCATGTGTGTGCACATGACTGTGTGTGTACATATATATATATATATATATATACACACACACCTGCATGTAACCGTCTGTATAACGGCTGGGCACGGTGGCTCACACCTGTAATTCCAGCACTTTGGGAGGCTAAGGCAGGCAGACTGCTTAAGCCCGGGAGTTCAAGACAATCCTGGGCAACATAGGAAGACCTCGTCTCTACTAAAAATAAAAAATTAGCTGGGCATGGTGGCACACACCTGTAGTCCCAGCTACTAGGGAGCCCTTGGGAGGTTGGGGATGCAGTGAGCCGTGACTGCTCCACTGCACTCCAGCCTAGGCGACAGAAGCCGTCTGAAAACAACTGTGTGTATATATACAGTAGTCCCTCACTTATCCAAGGTTTTGCTTTTGAGGGTTTGTTACCCCCAGTCAACTGAGTCAATCACTGTCCAAAGATATAAAAATGGAGAATTCCAGAAATAATTCATAAGTTTTAAATTGTGCGCTAAGTAGTGTGATGAAATTACGCACTGTCCCACTCTGTCCTGCCTGGAAAATGAATCATCCCTTTGGTCAACAAATATTTGCATTGCATATGTTACCTGCCATTAGTCATTTAGTAACTGTCTCGGGTAGTAGATCAACTGTCCACATATGGCAGTGTCAGTGTTCAAAGTAACTCTTATTTTACTTAATAATAGCCCCAAAGCACAAGAGTAGTGATGATGGCATACTGTAATGACTGTTCTACTTTATTATTGTTGTGGTTGATCTCTTACAGTCCCTGACTTATAAATTAAACTTCATCATAGGTATATACATATAGAAAAAAACATAGTATAGATAGGATATAGTAATATCCATTGTTTCAGGTATCCACTGTGGATCTTAGAACGTATTTACCAGGAAAATAAGGCTGGTAGAGGTTGGGGGTCAGGGGAGAACTGTTGTATAACTTAAACTGAGAAACTCTTAGCTTTCGTTATCATACTGCACATGTCATTTAACCAGTCAGTCAATGAAGTCCAACCTGGTAAATACTCAAGGTACTGAAACACAATTACTGTATACAAAGAACCCAGTGAACAAGACAGATGTACTCCGGGCACTCAGGGAGCTTCTAGTCTGGTAATCTAGAAAACACGTTATTTTTAACACAGTAACTCATTACACATTACTCATACACATTTTGGATAGATTAAACTTTTGTAACTGTTCTTTGTAGAGAACTTTGTAAAAGATTAATACAATTTATACAAGGTGTTTGCAATAATAGAAAAGATGCATATTTCCTCCTTATATAGAAAAATGGCATTTAATATTAGTTAACACCAACATTGCAACACCTTTCAAATCCAGTTTCTTGGGCAAATTATCACCACAGGAATCACAGGGAGCTAGCAATCTGTCCACTTATATGGGCTGCAGCTTCTAGGTATGAGTATTATTGAAGCATTGTTATAGATTATAGAAATTCATGTCTTTATTACCCAGATAAGTGCAAAACCCCATCAAGAACTCTATGAACAAGGGTCTTTACTGTTCTGTGATTAATATAATTGCCAATTTCTGCAACTTATAGACTCATTTGCTATCAAGATCTTAAACCATTTATGGAATCATTTGAGAAAGAACTTAACGTTTGTGACATGACTGAGATTTTTAGAGGGTTTATCCTTATAATTTCCTGTTTCATGTAAGACAATAAAGCGCTTAAGAGTCCCACTTTTCCTTAAGAGAGGAAGACCTAAGTATTGATTCTAACTATAAAGCTAAGTGTGTGATGATGATCATCAAGTAAATGATACAACCTGTAGGTTACCTAGAACTCTCCCAAAACGAAATAAACAATTCCAGTAGGTAAGTGCTAGTTCTCCGTGTAGTCCAGAAACAATCTTTGTTCTAAACTATAAAGATAAAGCACTTACATCAAGTTTTTAAATAAAGTTATGAAAATTAAATAAAAAAAACTAAGCAAATGTGAGGCAAAGAACCTTTTCAAAAGTGGGGAAATGTATCCTATGTATAGACAACAGGTGATATCACTACTTCCCAGTAATAGCTACACAGTTTATGTATTTGGACTGCATTATCATCACTAAATCATTTCTAAAGCAAAACTTTTAAAATCATCTACTTTTCTTCTTCAATGTGCATTACTGCGTCTACTCTATTAACGACTTGTAAATATTTTCATCTTAGACAACGAATTCTTGAGAAGTACTGAATTTTACTCATTTTTGTGTTTGGTTCATTTCGCCCACCACAACCACTACAGACTCCCATATCCACAGTTCATAAATTAGAAAGACAATCAGATGTTTGCTGAATACTTACTAATTAAGATCATGTATTTTAATAACTGAGTTAACTAATTAAAAGCATTTTCCTTTACTCACTAACACCATACAATCCTATGTTCCCATTACTTCTGGATTTCTCAAAAAAAAAAAAAAAAAAGGCCCAGGGAGATTTTTTAGCATTTAGTTTAAGGATGGAACATTAAACTGCTATAACCTAATCAAAGAACTACTTTAGGATAAGGGCAGTATCTTAAAAGTATTCCCACCCATTCCACTTTCCCAGCTTGTCCCTAACCTAGGGCAGTTCATTGAAGCATGAAGACTCTCCTGATGCAGAAACCAGAAAAATTAAGAAAAAAGGATTACACGCCTAATGTAACTTGACTCTAGAGCCCACTTAACAACCCCCGACAAAAAAACCCCAAATCAATTAGGCACACAGAAGAGATGTGTGAGACACAGAGCAGCGACCGTGTCATATTTTTAACTATAATCTTTCCAAGACTATTATGTTAATCTTAGGGTTGAAAAAGATCTTAAAGCAGCATTTAATCTAGACCACTCTCCAGAGAGACACTGATCTAGGACCTACATTAATATCTCTAGGGCTTGGGAACTTAGTATTACTATCTTTCCATTACAGCAACGTCAGTTCTCTCTACATTTCACTGAAATTTATCCCTCCAACTCTCTGTAACTTGCATTCATTTGTTTCTGACTGTACCCTCTGGGAGCTACACACGGTTTTTCTAACATAATAGCACCCAGGATTTCTTTGCCAGCCTAAGTCACACAGTCATCTTTCCAAACTAAGTATTCCTTTTTCCAAGTACTATGTTTTTCCAAAATAAGTATTCGAGGAACAAAACGGGTAATTCACTTTGCCTATTTAACAGGAACAGCCAGAAGTTATTTGCAGATATTTCTCAAGATTAATAACCTGCCAGTGCCACTTCCTAAACTTGCTCACTTACCACACCACCAGTGTTGATCGCGGCATTAGGGGTTTTCAAATTTTAGCCTAACAGAAATGGTTGTCCTGAAAATACGCGTTACATCCGCATGATCCTACCAGGAAATAAACCTAGGAGCTTGCAACTCAGAAAGGGCCCCTCTCAGCCCAAGACAGCTAAACGGAAAGTCAAGCGTGAAATCCGCATCAAAGAAAAACCCTACTGAGATGAAGTGCTAGGCCATATGGAGACTGAGGACGAAAGGGCAGGCCTGGTCTCCGCCAGAGTCTAAGTGTCTCGGTGGGGGCCACCGGCTCCTCGCGAGGCCAGCTAACCTCCCCAACCCCCACCCCCCACCCCCAACGACGACCACTGCTCCATCACCCCACTCCCGGGCCCCAGCCTCGCCTCGGCCCGTCATCTTTCTCCGCACTAACCTTTCTCCTCCCGACTGTCAGCCGCCATGGCTCCCCTTCGGTTTCCGCCGCTGCCACCGCCGCCGCCGCTTAGACGCGACTCGCGCGGGCGCCGCAGCCGCGGCAGAAGCACGGGCCCGTCCGTCAGTCCGTCTGCCCGGATACGCGCGTCGCACTTGGCCTCTTAACACTCAGCCTTCTCGACTCTTCCCGCTTTTTCCCTTTCTCCCTTCCTTTCACTCCAGCATCCAGCGGCCTAGGCCCAGCCTTCTCGTTAGGGCTCAGACTCGGGCTAGGTATGGGGGAGGGAAGGGAAACAGATGGCGACGGCGGGCGGCGCTAAAATGGAGCCTGCTTCCTGCGCGAAACAATCCCGCTCCCGAAATGCCCTGCGCTGTTTACGCTTCGTTCCTCTCTGGGAACGTCACAGTGCGGAGAGGGGCGGGGAGGCGGGGACGTGCAAAGGAACGTGACGTGACGTCAGCGCGTCGCCCTGCCGCCCTCAGCCCACTGGTACCTGGAAGGAGTCTTATTCAGGGATTAGGTTACCCAGGTTGTTCATGGAGTTCCCGCTGTACGGCCTATAACTGGATGGCGCAATTTTCCCACCTGAAACTCTTAGTGCAGGGCCTAACAGGCCTTCTTAGCTAGAGTCGCTCTAAAGGACTCCTGATTCAGTTCGGGTAATCGGAGTCTTATTTAGGACAAGTCTGGGTGAATCCCTTATGTTTACCAGATGTACTTTCTTAGTTGGAGTTCCACTCTTACCCAAAGGCAGTGCAGCATGCAACCAGCTTGTTTGTAGTCACAAAAGCCTGCTAGTTTTTGTTTGTTTTGAGACGGAGTCTCGCTCTGTCGCTAGGTTGGAGTGCAGCAGCGCGATCTCGGCTCACCGCAACCTCCGCCTCCCAGGTTCAAGCGATTCTCCTGGCTCTGCCTCCTGAGTAGCTGGGACTACAGGCGCCCGCCACCACGCCCAGTTAATTTTTTTATTTTTAGTAGAGACGGGATTTCACCATGTTGGCCAGGATGAAGTGCTGGGATTACAGGCGTGAGCTACCACGCCCGGCCTAGTTTTGTTTTTAATTGGGGAAAGAATTGTATCATAATAGGTCTTTGTAATTAATAACTAATTTAAACATGTTATCAAGGCCCTGGGGCACAAAATTGATTTAAGCAGACCATCGAGGAATCGAAACTACAGAATAAATGACCAGTAGATACATAACTACATAGTGTGGTAAAATCTGCAAGAGAAACTTGCTTAAGATTCATTGTCCAACGGAAACAATCTAATTTTGCTTCCTTGAACTATAACTGAGTTATAAGGGAAAGAAAAATCTGAAAAAGGTAACTAAGTAACTTCGTGATATGAAGACAAACTGGCAAACTAACTGCATATTCAGGGAAAGACAAGTAGTCTAGAAGTCTAGAATGTGGTACCTCTTTTTTTTTGAGACGTGGTCTCACTGTGACACAGGCTGGAGTGCAGTGGTGTGATCATGGCTCACTGCAACCTTGGGCTCAAGTGATCCTCCCACCTTAACCTCCCAGGTAGCTGGAACTACAGGCATGCTCCACCACATCCGACACATTTTTTGCATTTTTTGTGGAGATATACCATCTCCGCAAGATGGCTAACACCTAGCCATCTTGCCCAGGCTAGTGTCTAAATCCTGGGCTCCAGCAATCCTCCCACCTCGGCCTCCCAAAGTGCGGGATTACAGGTGTGAAGCCACCAGGAGTGGCCCCATTTCTAGGACCTTAATTGAACACTAATTTGAATATACGAACACGCACACGCCACAAACACACACACACACACACATTAAATAATATCTGATGATCCTGAGGAATTGCTATTTGTATTTTTAGTTTTAATAAGTTTTGCTTTTTAAAGAATTTCTTATAATTTCATGATTCATATGAAAATATTTGCAGGCCAGATGCAGTGGCTCATACCTGTAATCCCAGCACTTCGGGAGGCCCAGGCGGGCGGATCACCTGTGGTCAGGAGTTTGAGACCAGCCTGACCAATATGGTGAAACCCCGTCTCTGCTAAAAATACAAAAATTAGCCAGGCATGATGGCATGCGCCTGTAGTCCCAGCTACTCGGGAGGCTAAGGCAGAATTGCTTGAACCCGGGAGGCGGAGGTTGCAGTGAGCTGAGATTGTGCCACTTTCACCCCAACCAGGACAACAGAGCTAGACTCTGTCTCAAAATAATAATAAGAATAGTAATAAATATTTGCAAATGAAATTATATGGTATCTGGGATTTATCAAACTGGTGGCAGGTGTAGCGAAATGGGTAGGAGAATAGATTAAACAAGTCTACCCATGAGTTAACAATTGTTGAAGCTGGGCGATACATATGTGAAAGGAAAATCTCCCCAACATCACTAAGCCAAAGGAAGAAGTCAAGCTGGTGATTGATGTCTCATGTATCCCTAAAATGTATAAAATGAAGCTGTGCACGACCACCTTGGGCACATGTCATCAGGACAGCTTGAGGCTGTCATGGGCTCTTTCTTAACCTTGGCAAAATAAACTTTCTAAATTGATTGAGACCTGCCTCAGATACCTTTTGATTTCCACATACATTAGTTAATATTATACTCTCTTCTCTACTTTTTTGCATATTTGAGTTTCCTTTAATAATTTTTTGTAAAGAAGAGCATAAGAAAACAGCCAAGTAATTTAGAAGATATCAAAATGCCATTTTCCCTGATTCTACATTTGTCCTATTAGAACTAAGGAGTAATTTTTAATGTAAATAGAATTCCATATTTGCATCTTTGTTATTAAAATAAGTTTATGGGGCCAGCTGCAGTGGCACATGCCTGTAATTCCAGCCCTTTGGGAGGCCAAGGCAGGTGGATCACTTGGGCTCAGGAGTTTTAAGACCAGCTTGGGCAACCTGGCGAAACCACATCTCTGCAGAAAATAAAATAAAAAATAGCTGGTCATGGTGGTGCACACCTGTAGTCCCAACTTCTCTGGGGGCCAAAGTGGGAGGATTGCTTGAGCCGGCGAGGTCAAGGCTGCAGTGAGACATGATTACGCCTCTGCACTCCAGCCTGGGCAACAGAGCTGGACCCTGTCTCAAAAAATAAAATGAAGTAAGTTTATGTTAAACTAAGAGCACAGCTGTAAAAAAATGCGGTTTTTAATTCAGTCATGTTAGTAAATAGGAAAAGTTGTTGAGGTTATAAAGGATGAACTCTAGGTATGTTGAACATTGGTCTGAAGCTATTGTGTAGTGATTAAGAGAGTAAGCTTTGCAGTCATAATGACGTGGGTACAAATTCCAGCTCTGTCTCTCAATAGCATGAGACCTTAGAGAAATTAACTTCTAATCTTTAGTATCTTAATAAATGGGAATTTAGAAATAATTTCCAAAGGATTGCTATAATGTTTCAAATGATTTTTTTAAAGGCAGTTAAGTGATCAATAAGCTGGAGCTATTGTTATTTTTATTGTTTCTGTAGTTCAGGAAAGATGGATTGTTCTAACAATTATTGTTGGTGAACTTAACCAGAAAATGTAGTATTGAGTGACTCAGATTTTTGGCCTAGCTATGGGTGGAAATAACTTTCTGGGTAAAGATGCTGAACTAAAAACTTGCAGCCAAAAATCCTCTTCAGACCTCAGGGATCATCACAATATAATTGTAAAAATATAACAATGAACATGGAAGTACAGATATCTCTTTTGAGAGCCTGATTTCAATTGTTTTGGATATATACACAGAAATAGAATTGCTGGATCATATGGTAGTTCTATATTTGAGGAACTTCCATACTCTTTTTTTTTTTTATATAGTCGCTGCACCGTTTTACATTCCTGCTATGGTGTATAAGTATTCCAATTTCTCCGTATCCTTGCCAAAACCTGGTATCTTTTGAAACAACTTATACGTCTGTTGAAAGATGAATGGGTTAAAAAACATATGGTTTATACATTCAATTGAATACTATTCAGTCTTAAAAAAGAAGAAAATCGGCCAGTCACAGTGGCTTATGCCTGTAATCTCGGCACTTTGGGAGGCCAAGGCAAGCCGATCACTAGACGCCAGGAGTTGGAGATCAGCTTGGCATACATGGCGAAACCCCATCACTACTAAAAATACAAAAGTTAGCCTGGCATGGTAGCTCGCACCTGTAATCCCAGCTACTCAGGAGGCTGACAGGACAATCGGTTGAGCCTGGGAGGCAGAGGTTGTAGTGACCCGAGATCGCACCACTGCACTCCAGCCTAGGCCGCAGAGGAGAGACTGTGTCTCAAATAAAAATAAAAATAAAAATAAAAAAAGGAAATCTTGCTGTATGTAACAACATGAATGACCCTGGAGGATGTTCTGCTAAGTGAAATAAATCAGTCGGAGAAGGACAAATACTGTACTGCATGATTCCACTTCTATGAAGTATCTAAAATATTCACATTCACGGAAACAGTAAGATGGTTGTTGCCAGGGACTAGGGGGAAAGGGAAATGGGGAGTTGCTGTTCAACAGGTATAAAGTTTTATTTCTGCAAGACAAATAAGTTATAGAGAGCTGCTGTACAATGTTGTGCCTGCTGTTAATGATACTGTATTCTGCACTTAACATTTTGTTGAGGGTAGATTTCATGTTCAAGGTTCTTACTGCAATAAAATTTTTTTTAAAAAACCTCAATAATTACCAAAAAATTATTTCAATATGTAGTAAAAAGAAATATAATGCTTCTGAAGGCAGTTCCTTTTGTACTGATGATAACGAATTGTGAATTGAGATGAGTGGAATTTAGCAATAAAAAGTGTCAAGAGCATTGGGCAATATTGATGTCAATTCTACCTAATTTCATCTATAGATTTGGAACAATCCCAATCAAAACCTCAGTGCTTTTTAACAGAAATTCACAATATTGAGTTTCTTGTTAATTGAAATTTACAAGGAAAGGTAATGGATATAGGATATCGAAAACAATTTTGGAAAACAACAACAATTTTGGAGGACTAGCATTACCTGATTTCAGGGCTTACTACAAACTTATGGTATCAAGATAGTGTGGTATTTATGTAAAGTAAGACAAATACATCAATAGATCAGAACACAGTGTCCAAAAGTAGAGTCACAGATATTATGGTCAATTGAATTTGACAAAGGTACCAACATAATTGAAATGTGTAGAAGGATAGCCTTTTCGACAAATAGTGTTGAGGCAATTAGATATACATATGGAAATAAATGACCGTGACCCCTACCTTACATAATACACAAAAATTAATTCAAAATGGATGATAGGTCTAAATATAAAAGTTGTTTTAAAACTTCTAGAAGAAAACATGGGAGAAAATTTTTACCACCTTGGAGTAGGAAAAGATTTCTCATATAAAATAATCACAAGTCCTAACATTTTTAAAAATTAATACAATTGCAGCTCAAAAAATTAAAATGTTATGGTCTTTAAAAGATGCTAAATGAATAAGTAAGTGAATAAGGCACATTACAGACTAGGAGAAAATAGTTACAAAACATTTGTCCAACAAAAGACTCGTAGGATATATACAGAGAGAGGACTTGCTACTCAGTAAAAAGACAAATATCCCAATTTGAAAAAATAGACAAAAGACTTCATCATAGAAGATGTGTTGAACAGGCAATTATCACATCATTGTCATCATGAAATATCACTTCAATCCCACTGGAATGGCTAAAATTAATAAGATTGGAAATAGCAAGTGTCGCACAGGCATGGTGGCTCACACCTGTAATCCTAGCACTTTGGGAGGCTGAGGCGGGAAGATTGTTTGGGCTTGGAGTTTGAGACCAGCCTGGGCAACATAGTGAGACATCTCTACAAAAAATTTTAAAAATTAGCAGGGCATGGTAGCACATGCCTGTAGTCCCAGCTATTTGGGAGGCTGAAGTGGGAAGAACTCTTGAGCCTGGGGAGGAGAGGGCTGCAGTGAGCCCTGATTACACCACTGCACTCCATCCTGGGTGACAGAGTAAGACCCTGTGTCAATAAATAAATAAATACATAATAAAAAATGAAAATAGCAAATGTTGGCAAGGATCTGAAGCAATTAGAGCATTTATACTTTGCTAGTAGGAATATAAAATAGTACAACCACTTTGGAAAACAGTAGTAATTATTTATTATGAATCTAAACAAGTACTTATCATAGGACCCAATATTTCCCCTCCTAACAAAAACAAATTGTGTCATATTTATCAGTCAAAATACTGCTCAGCAATAAAACAAAAACTACACATGACAACATGGATGAATCTCACATATATGCTGAGTGAAAGATGCTGGACACAATATGGTTGAGATGACACTAGTCATTAAGAAATAAATCACATTTGTGGTTCCCAGGTGCAAGAATGTTGGGGAAGTTTAATGGCAAAGGAGCATGAGAAACCTTCTAGGGAGATGGAAATGCTCTATATCTTGATTGTTGTGGTGGTTACGTGGATGAATACAAAGACTCTCTCCTTGACCAAACTTAGTCAGGCTCCTCTGATACCTTTTGTCAACTAGACCTTGACCTTAGGCTTCCATGTCTTTATTTGTTCAGTTTTAGCTAGACTCCTGCTAAGTCACTTTAGTAAGAGTCCCTTGCTTTTGGTATCTGGTCACCTTCAAAATCTGATCAAATTCATTATTCTCTACCTTCCCCCAGATGATATCTGATCACCCTAACCTGCCTTTAGAAAGAATACTATCAAATCAGTTTAGCAAGAATCTCCTCTTACCCCTTGCTATGATTTGGATGTTTGTCCCCTCCAAAATCATGTTGAAATTTAATTGCCATTGTAACAGTATTAAGAAGTGAGACCCTTAAGAGGTGATTAGGCAATAAAGGCTCCACCCTCATAAGTGGGACTGATATTATAAAAAGGAGACTTCAACCCTCTGTTGGCCTTTTTGCCTTCCACCATGGAATGATGCTGCAAGAAGGCTCTTACCAGATGTCAGCACCTTGACATTGAACTTCTCAGCTTTCTGAACTATGAACCAATAAATTTCTGTTCATTATAAATGACCCAGTCTCTTGGGCCAGGCATGGTGGCTCACGCCTGTAATCCCAGCACTTTGGGAGGCCAAGGTGGGTGGATCACTTGAGATCAGGAGTTCAAGACCAGCCTTATCAACATGGAGAAACCCCGTCTCTACTAAAAATACAAAATTAGCCAAGCGTGGTGGTTCATGCCTGTAATCCCAGCTACTCAGGAGGCTGAGACAGGAGAATCGCTTGAACCCGGGAAGCGGAGATTTCAGTGAGCCGAGATTGCGCCATTGCACTCCAGCCTGGGCATACAGAGCAAGACTCCGTCTCAAAAAAAAATAAATAAATAAATAAATAAATAAATAAATTACCCAGTCTCAGGTATTCTGTTACAGCAGCACAAAATGGACAAAGACACCCCTAATGTTTCCTCTTAGTAATTTTCAATCCACTGACCCCCAACCCTGTTCATTTGCTATAAATCTCCCCTTGTTCATGCTGTATTCAGAATTGAGCCCAATTCCATACTGAGGTTTATTTTCCTACATTGCAATATTTACTAAATAAAATTTGTTTTTTCTGCTCTAGCTACTATTCAACTGTGATTTTCTTTAACAGTGTAATGCAGCAGAGTCATTTGTGTTGTGCCAAGTTCCTGCCTGTGAAATTTAGCATATGTTGTAGTTTTAAAATAACTAACATTTTACCAATACATTTACTTATAACTTCTTTTTGACATATATTATCTTATTTAACATTCTGAAACAGCTTGTGATTTAATTACAATAACACCAATTATATTTTTAATTGAAAAATAAATAAAAGGAATATTTAAATATCACTGGGTATTCTTAAATTTGGAAATGTATTAATCTTCAGATTTAAGACCAGGTACCTAAGCCTTTTCTTCCACAGTAGGATGTCAATGTTAAATTTTCATTTAGCTTTTACATGTACCACAGAATGCAGCCTTGAATCCTTTAATAGCAATTATATTGGTTTATTGAGTTTCATAACAGGAAATAGACTATCAAAATATAAGTACTTCCAAAAAAAGATAACATTTTACAAGGCCCTTTTTTGGAAAACATGGTTAATTATTCCTGAGATATTTATAGAATTCTGGAATTCTGAAGTTGTTCTGCTTACTTTTGAGTAATATCGGTAGCTGACATTTTCTGAGTACTGACTGTGCCCAATCTGCTCTGTGTGCTGCCTATATTTTACCTCACTTAATTCTTATCACAGTCTTATAAGGGATTTTTTTTTTTTTTTTGAGACAGAGTATGCCCTATGTGGCCCAGGCTGGAGTGCAGTGGTGCGATCTTGGCTCACTGCAACCTCTGTTTCCTGGGTTCAAGCGATTCTCCTTCCTCAGCCTCCCGAGTAGCTAGGACTATAGGCAAGCACCACCATGCCTGGCTAATTTTTGTATTTTTAGTAAAGATGGGTTTTTGCCATGTTGGCCAGGCTGGTCTCGAACTCCTGACCTCAAGTGATCTGCCCACCTCAGCCTCCCAAAGTGCTGGAATTACAGGCATGAGCCACAGCGCCTGACTTGTTATCTTTATTAGGAACAAAGTTTCTTCTGAGTAAACATTTAGTCTTTTTGTTGTTGTTGTTGTTGTTGTTGTTGAGACAGGGTCTCGCTCTGTTGTCTAGGCTGGAGTGCAGTGGCATGATATCGGCTCACTACAATCTCCTCCTCCTGGGTTCAAGCATTCTTCTGCCTCATCCTCCCAAGTAGCTGAGATTACAGGTGCGCGGCACCATGCCTGGCTAATTTTTTGTTGTTTTAGTAGAGATGGGGTTTCACTATGTTGGCCAGGCTGGTCTCAAACTCCTGGCCTTAAGTGATCCGCCTACCTCGGCCTCCCAAGGTGGTGGGATTACAGTTGTGAGCCATCACGCCGGCTTCTTGGTGGCATCTTGATACAGGGTGTGCTGGATATCTGTGGCCACCCTGATCAATTTTCCACCTTGCTCTATTCCTTAAGAATCTCATTCATAGGGACTACACAATAATCGTTTATCTTCTCTCAGTTTTGGTTGAGTTCAGGCATTTGAAGATAGGAAGAAAGTAAGGGTTTTGAACTATTTATTTTCATGGCTCCCTCTATGTAGGGTTAACATAGGGTAGCTCTGTCTCTCTATCTATGACCTCAATTCCTTTTCAACCCTATCTATACATCTATTCTATCTGGGCTCTAGTAACTCTGCCTTCCACTTGCCCATCCAGGCCCAGGGTAGTGCTATGGAATGAACTCCCATCCACCCCCAAATTCATATGTTGAAGCCCTATTCCCCAATATGACTATATTCGAAAATAAGACCTTAAGGAGGTTATTAAACTTAAATGAGTTCATAAGGGTGTGGTCCTGATCCAGTTGGGTTAATGTACTTATTAAAAGAGACACCAGAGAGCTTGCTTTCTCTTCTCATTCAGGCACCAAGGAAGGGCCATGTGAGGACAAAGCAGCTGTCTGTAAGCCAGGAAGGGAGCCCTCACCAGATATTGTACCCTGTTAGAACGAACCTTGATCTTGGACTGTCCAGTCTCTAAAACTGTAAGAAAATTAACTTCTGTTGTTTAAGCCATCCAGTCTGTGGTATTTTGTTATGGAAGCCCAGGCTGACTAATTGGGATAGTAAGGCACTATCTTGTATAGTTTCTTAACACTCTGCCCGCACTTTTGTAAAGAGTCCCTTTATTAAACTCCCCCTAATTGGCATTCATGCTGTTTTCTGATAGGATCCTGATTCATACAAAGCAGACAATCAGAGAACATTACCCAAGCTAAGAAGAGTGACTGACCCAAATGTTCTCCTTCTCTCCTGGAACTTGAAGGCATAATAAGAGTGCATCTTATTTCTCTTGGTAGTTAGGCTTCAGTTTCTGTTTCTGTTTTGAAGTGTATGAGACTGCTGTAACTCATGCTCTGTTCTTTTGGCCCAGCCAATGTATGGCAGTTTCTTATAAGGATCACAACCCACCATCTCCTCAGGCTGACCAGATTCTTCACTTCAGCTCTTGCTGGTACTGTGGATTTTTCAAGACTCACTTATGTGCATACTCCATTTGACCCTAGCACTGGCCTTTGCAGTGGTGACTCCTTGGAGAAAAACTCACTCAGTCCATGGTTAACTTGCACACACCTCCAGAGTTACATGGGCATTTCTAGTTCTCTTCACATCTTGGGAAACCAAGAGACAATCTCCTAGGCTCCCCCTGCTTAAACATGCTACTTAACCATTTTAACTCTACTGTGGCCTTCACATTGGCTCTAGGCACTCTGCTTCCAAAATTCCAAACAGGAAGTGGGGTGCAAATCCTATGTACTTTCACTTAATGTCTCTGTAGACATTCAGAAGCACATTTCCACCCAATTTCCCTCTGACCCTCTTCTTGGACAAAGTTTTTGTGATAACCACTTTGATGATAAAGAATCTAGTGAGGCCTTAAGATACAACCTAAGAAAGAAGGTCAAAAACTGCAAAGTAGAAAGAACATTTAGATTTCTACAACTTTTGCAATTTCTTGTGTATGTGACGTTTGTCTCCTTATACCACAGAGATTACCAAAACAGGCACCAGAGGAAAAAAAAGATGATCACCACCACCACCACCACCATTTAATAAATAATGTGTTTAGCATAACTTCAGGATGAGAAAAGAAGATTAGAGCTGGTGGGACAGTGATTCTAAGACTTCTCAGAGGTGATTTCCAGGATGACTACTCCAAAGAGAAGAGGCAAGTAAACTGCAGTCCTCAGGACCTGTTGCTAAGAAGAAAAGAAATTCTGAAGAATCAATTCAGATCTGAAAATATTGGACTGGGTCGAAACACACTTGAAAATATAATCTGTCATACATTTTCTCATTGCTTAGGAGTATGGGCTTGGGCATAAATAAGATTAGCATTTTAGCAAACATTTACTGCTTAGAAGCTATGTGAACGTGGAGAAGTGTAACACAGAGGTGAAGAGCCCTGGCTCCAGAGTTAGGGATGTGGCTTGAATCCTCGCTCTGCTACCCAGAGCAAATTATTTACTTCTTTGAGCAAATTATTTACTTCTTTGAACCTCATTTTGTTTTCTTTAACTAGGATAGCTAATCCAATAGTTTTTTCTTCATCAAGTCATATGTGAAGTACTTATCACTAACCTGTTGTGTGTATGCATGTTAGTGCTAAGTACTTCAGCAATTGATCATCATTATTATCAACCTGAGAAAACTCACTTTACTCTTGTCAAAGGAAAATAAATCTCAGGACCCAAAAATCACTAAGCCAAAGGGAAGTCAAGCTGGGAACTGCAATGGGCACACCTGCCTCCCATTCTATTCCTAAATAAGATAGCTACAAAAATTAAAAAGCTACATGCTTCCCTTGCAGTTTTCCCATAAGGAAATTCCTTGTGAACAAGAGACGGAACTCAGAGTCATCCCTGTGCTCACGTGAGTCAGAGTCCAGCCTGGGCAGCATAGTGAGGCCCTGTCTCGACAAAAATTTAAAAACTTAGCTGAGTGTGATTGTGTGGTTGGCTCATGCCTGTAGTTCCAATTACTTGGGAGGCTGAGGTGGGAGGATTGCTTGAGCCAGGTTGCTCAATGCTGCAGTGAGGTATGACACTGCCACTGCATGTCAGCCTGGAAGACAGAGTCAGATCCTATCTCTGGAAAAAAAAAATGCTTGTAGAATGTAAACATGAGGCCCTGTCTCTACAAAAAGTTGCTTGGGTGTGGTTGAGCCCAGGAGTTTGAGGTTGCAGTGAGCAATGATTGCACCATTGCATTCCAGCCTGGATAACAGAGTAAGATACTGTTTGAAACAGGAAAAAGAAACAAAAACAACATTTGTATGTGGGTATGTTTTATTTCCGGGGGGCTGCTATAACAAAGTATTATAGATTGTGTCTTCATATTTTGGAAGGGGAAAACAAGCTCATTGGGGCCGCTTTTTTAAGGGCACTAATCCCATTTATGAGGGCTCTTCTGTCACGATCCAATCACCATCCAAAGGCCCAACCTCTTAATACCAACACCTTGGGGCTTAGAATTTCAACAAACGGATTTTGGAGGCAGGGGACATAAATGTTCTGATAGCAGGGCTTTTTAGAAGTGTCATGAATAATTAAATTCTAATCATGGTAGCCAAGCCATGTATCAGCTTTCTTATAACTTAATTAGAATGCCAAATACTGTGGAAGAAACAATAACATTGCAAGCAAATGTGTTATTGTTACTTTGAAGGAAGTTATCTTCTAGTATAGTAGAAGTAGTAGATATTGTAGTGGGGTAAAACGTGTTTTCTGACAATGACTCCTTTTACCAGTAGTGAACTGGTAAATGTTTAACAACCAGCTCTCCAGAAAAACAAAATAAAACAAAACTTATTTGTAATGTTTGTCAATTTATGTGGTGTAATTACTCCTGCCATGACCAATTTCAAACTATCTATGTGACATCTCATCACTGAACACAGGAAGAAATGAGAAGTAACAAAATTTTATAGTATTTTCACCATACAGGTGCAATAATTGTAAATATAAATAACCTCAAGAACAAATAATATTAAGTTATAATTGAAAGAATCAGGAAGTGGTGAATTTTGAATATTTATTACTTTTGTATTTAATATAGTTTACTTAACTATACTTAATATTATTAACTTTGTATAATTTATTTTTTAATAATCCCTATGTTTAACAACCAGTCTACAAAAATTTTAAAAATTTAACAACTGGCTCTTATAAGTCATTACAGGCAAGCTTCAGCACACCATTATGCTTAACTGCCCCTCAGATACACAGCACTCATAGCTATATATGTATGATTTTATAGGATATCCTGGCCACAGCTGATGAGAGTAAATAGGGATGGGAATAGGTTCAATGTCACTTCTCCCAGAATTTGGAAAGGGAATCAGACTGGAAATCATCCTGTTTGTGTGGCTGAAACTATAACTCATGAAAATTTGAAGTTACAGGCAGTCACTTTTTGACCATTATGTGGACTTAGTAGTAAATAAGATTTATCTTCCAGTATAGAAGCATAAAAATATGCAAAGGGAAACCAGAAATGGGGAAACACATCTCATTTGTCTTAAAGCATTCTAGATTTCAGCGGCAGTTCTTGAGACCTGGTTGCATTCTACCCTTCGATTTGGACAGATACATTTACCCTCACAGTAGTTTTCCTTTTCCTCTAATATAACTCGAATTGCTTTTTGTTATTTGCAAACAAAAAGATGGACATGAAGGAAAAAGGAAATAGCAAAATACGCAAAATAATAAGCGTAGTATAATACTGGGTGAAAAATGTTCAATTGCTCTATAGCTCATAGATCAAAATAGAGAACTTTGCCCTAACTCTATTCGTAGATAATGAACATTAGGATAAATATTTCAACTCTCCTTTTTGAGAAAACCACAATCTAAATACAGCTACCTTTCTCTGTAGATTCTACTGTAATGTGTGCTTGGATTTAACTGCCTCTCATTGTAAACAAGATTGTTTTGAGGCAGCTGAAAGGTAAAGAGCTTTCCTTTGGCAAGCTCAACAACTCTTGTGACTTAATCATCATCTATACAAGAATGATTACTTCAGTCAGACTTCTCACCTGATGTCAGTTGTTTCCTTGACATCTTTTCTTAGATGTCTCATGATTAGCTCAATTTTAAAAAGCTCAACAGTACCCCCTTGATCCACCACTACCCACACTGTCCACTAACCTACTCATGCTAGGGATCTGGGAATTAGCCTTCTCCTCACCTCACATCTCCAGCACTTGCAGTACAGTGGGGAAGTGAGGGTGAAGGGGAAAGGGAGCTAAGGTACAGACAATGGCTAATTTACATCTCTTGGTGGCAAGTGTTACAACAGGAATAGTATACAACACTATAGAGACATACAATGGGAATAAATCCATGAGTTAGTCATATGCTCCTTTCTAGACCGTTCTCTGGGTACTCACTGCCTGAAAAACATGATTTTTTCTTACAGGTTTCAGCTAATTCTGCATCTCACCAAGAAATTTTTCCTTGACAACCTCTCCCTAACAGAATTAGTTGTCTCTGTTGTGTTCCTGTAACCGAGTATCCCCATTTTTCTTAAGAAAAAGGGAATGAATAACTATTATTATTTTCTCTTCTCTTTTTCCTTTTCCCCTTGATATGGTTTGGCTCTGTGTCCCCACCCAAATCTCATCTGAAATTGTAATCCTTCCCCATGTGTCAAGGAAGGGACCTGGCCATGGGGCGATAGGATCATGGGGGCAGTTTCCCTCATGGTGTTCTCAAAAGATCTGAGTTCTCAAAAGTGAGAAGTGAGTTCTCAAAAGATCTGACAGTTTAAAGGTGTGTGGCAGTTCCCCCTTCATTCTCTCCTGTCACCTTGTGAGAAGGTGCTTGCCTCTCCTTCACCCTTTACCATGATTATAAGTTTCCTGAGGCCTCCTCAGCCATGTGGAACTGTGAAGCAATTAAACCTTTTTTAAATAAATGAGCCAGTCTCGAGTAGTTCTTCATAGCAGTTTAACAATGGACTAATACAGAGAATTGGTACTGGAGTTTGAGGCACTGCTATAAAGATACTTGAAAATGCAGAAGTGACTTTGGAACTGGATAATGGGCAGAGGTTGGAACAGTCTGGCGTGCTCAGAAGAAGACAGAAAGACATGGGAACAAGTTTGGAACTTCTTAGAGTCTAGTTGAGTGATTTTGACCAAAATGCTGATATTGATATGGACAATGAAGTTCAGGCTGAGATGGTCTCAGATGGAGATAAGGAACTTATTGGGAACTGGAGTAAAGGTCACTCTTGATATGCTTTACTCCAGAGACTGGCAGCATTTTGCCCCTGCCCTGGAGATCTGTGGAACTTTGAACTTGAGAGAGATGATTTAGGTTATCTGGAAGAATAAATTTCCTTTTTTTTTGAGACAGAGTCTCGCTCTGTCACCCAGGCTGGAGTGCAGTGGCACGATCTCGGCTCACTGCAAGCTCCGCCTCCCAGGTTCACACCATTCTCCTGCCTCAGCCTCCCAAGTAGCTGAGACTACAGGCACCCACCACCACACCCAGCTACTTTTCTGTATTTGTTTAGTAGAGACGGGGTTTCACCATGTTGGCCAGGATGGTCTCAATCTCCTGACCTCGTGATCTGCCTGCCTCAGCCTCTGAAAGTGCTGGGATTACTGGCATGAGCCACCATGCTCAGCCTATAAATTTCTAAGAAGCAAAGCATTCAAAGTGGGATCTGGCTTTTTCTAAAAGCCTGCAGTCATATGCATTCACAAAGAGATGATCTGAAATTGGAACTTAGGTTTAAAAGAGAAGTAGAGTGTAAAGGTTTGGAAAAGTTGCAGCCTGACCATGTGGTGGAAAAGGAAAACCTGTTTTTTGGGGAGAAATTCAAGTCAGCTGCAGAAATCTGCAAAAGTAAAGAGAAGCCAAATGTTAATAGCCAAGACAATGGGGAAAACCTCTCCAGGGTGTTTCAAAGTTCTTCACAGCAGTCCCTCCCATCACAGACTCAGAGGCCAAGGAGGAAAAAATGGTTTCGTGGGCCAGGCCCAGGGCCCCCCTGCTTTGTACAGCTTTGGGACATGGTTCCCTGTGTCCCAGCTGCTCCAGTGCCAGCCATGGCCAATGGAGGACAAGGTACAGCTTAGTTCATTGCTTCAGAGGGTGCAATCCCCAAGCCTTGATGGCTTCCACATGGTGTTAAGCCTGCAGGTGTGCAGAAGACAAGAGTTGAGCTTTGGGAACCTCCAACTAGATTTCAGAGGATGTATGGAAACGCCTGGATGTCCAGGGAGAAGTCAGCTGCAGGGGCAGAGCCCTCATGCAGAGCTCATACTAGGGCAATGCAGAGGAGAACTGTGGGGTGGAGCCCCCACACAGAACCTCCACTGGGGCACCACCTCATGCAGCTGTGAGAAGAGGACTACTGTCCTCCAGATTCCCAAATGGAAGATTCACTGACAGCTTGCACTGTGTGCCTAGAAAAACTGCAGGCACTCAATGTCAGGACTTAATGCCACCCAATGAAAGCAACTGCAGTGGCTGTACCCTGCCCAGAGCCACAAGGGCAGAGCTGCCTAAGGTCTTGGGAGCCCACCCCTTGCATCAGCATGACCTGGACGTGAGGCATGGAGTCAAAAGAGATTATTTTGGAGCTCTAACACTTAATGACTGCCCTATTGAGTTTCTGATTTGCACGGGGGCCTGTAGCCCCTTTGTTTTGGCCAATTTTTCCCGTTTGAAATGGGACCATTTACCCAATACCTGTAACCCCATCATACACTGGAAGTTATTAACTTGCTTTTGATTTTACAGGCTCATAAGCAGAACGGACTTGCCTTGTCTCAGTTGAGATTTTGGACCTGGACTTTTGGGTTAATGCTAGAATGAGTTAAGACTTTGGGGTACTGTTGGAAAGGCATGATTGTGTTTTGAAATGTGAGAAGGATATGAGCTTTGGGCGGGGCTGGGATGGAATGATGTGATTTGGCTTTGCATCCCAACCCAACTCTCATCTTGAATTGTAATCCCTGCATGTCAAGGGAGGGACCTGGTGGGAGGTGATTGGATCATAGGGGCAGTTTCCCCCATTCTGTTCTCATGATAGTGACTGAGTTCTCACCAGATCTGATGGTTTAAAAGTGTGTGGCAGTTCCCCCTTCATGCTCTCTCTCCCGCTACCTTGTGAAGAAGGTGCTTGCTTCTCTTTCACCTTCCACCATGATTGTAAGTTTCCTCAGTCTTCCCCAGCCATGCAGAACTGTGAATCAGTTAAACCTTTTTTTTAAAATAAGTTACCCAGTCTCAGGTAGTTCTTTATAGCAGTGTGAAAATGGACTGATACACCCCTGTTCTCCACTTTCTACTTAGTCTTTTAGTAATGACAATATAGCCTTTTACCATCCCCTTCACCAGACGCTCCCTACAGGGTAAGTTCATCTATGCACTCTAAGACGGAACTCTCTTTGAGAGTTAACAGTCGATTTATAGACCAAAGCATGCCTGCTATGGAACTCTCACCCACCAGAGGGTTACCTCAAGAGATAACAATTGAAAAACATGTCCGCTACTGTCTCCCAGCTAGGGAGTTTTTATCATAGTCCTGCCCACAAAAATGCCAGAAGTCACCAGCTTGACCTCCTGGTATGTAAGGGACCAAGCTAACATGCAGACCCCTCACCTTGCTCACTTCCTCTCCTGCCTTTTAAAAGTGCCTGCTTTAGGTTCTCACTCATAAGTAGGAGTTGAAGAATGAAAACACATGGACACAGGGAGGGGAACAACACACACCATGGCCTGTTGGGAAGTTGGGGATGAGGGGAAGGAACTTAGAGGATGGGTCCGTAGGTGCAGCAAACCACCATGGCACACATATACCTGTGTAGCAAACCTGCACGTTCTGTACATGTATCCCAGAACTTAAAGTAAAATAAAAAAATAAAAAAATAAAAAGAAAAAAGAAAATGAAAAAACAAAAAAAGGAAAAAGAAAGTAAGTGCCTGCTTTTGCTCCAGAAACAAAGTAGTACATTTAAAGTCAAGACTCCTGTGCTTCTTCCCCTAAGCTAGCTTGGGAAATAAATCACTTTGTTTATACCAGACCTCGCTTTTGTTAATTGGGCTCTGCAAGCATTGAGTGACTAACCTGCATTTATTAGTTACATTCTCACTGCATTTGTACTTGTCTCCATTACAACAATTATAATTATAGATACATTTTAAGTTACTATGGAGCCCCAGCAGAATGCCTGTCACATCAAAATTATCAAAGAAGTATTTAGTAAAGAGAAGAAAAAAAAGAATAAACAGAAGATATCAACAGCTCTGGATTCTACCAGTGACCAGCATTCAATCAACTCTATATAAATTATTCTCTCTGTTCCTATATTTTCTCCTTTGTCCAGTAAGAAATTGGACTCATGGCCAGATGCAGTGGCTCATGCCTGTAATCCCAGCACTTTGGGAGGCTCAGTGGGGTGGATCACTTGAGCCCAGGTGTTCTGAGACCAGCCTGGGCAAAATGGGGAAACCCCATTGTGGGGGTTCAGTCAGGCTGGTGGGAAAAATTTTAGTTATCATAGCCACAAACCCTCTTGGAAGGCCTGAGAGTTTGCATAACTTCAGTAATAGATCTAGCTGAAGGCAGCCTAGTCCCTTTACCTTTAGTTAAATAGGTTAAAGTAGATACAAAGGAATGTGGGGGAGTTTATCTAACTAGCTTGTTTACTCATGTGGTCCTAAGACTAATCTTAGTGTGCTTAATTGCTTTCTACTCGGGAGGTCCGCAATGTCAATTACCCTCTAGTGGTGTTGACTCAAGCCTTTGTCAATTAATCTTTACTGAATGAATGTGAGTCTTGCTGTGTCTAGGCTGGAGGTTCCAACTATTTACAGCACTCTTCTTGGTGTCTGTAAGTGGTCTGGATGCTCAGCCAGACTGGCAAAGCAGAATATCTGTGTCAGTGCACGTTATTCATCTGTCATTGGGTCAGGGTCTGCAGGACAGACCCCTGCACCCCATCTCTACAAAAAACACCCCCTGCAAAATTGTCTGGGCATGGTGCCACATGCCTGTAGTCCCAGCTACTTGGGAGACTGAAGCGGGAGGATTCCCTGAGTCCAGGAGGTGGAGGCTGATATAAGCCAGGATCATATCATTGCACTTCAGCCTAGGCAATAGAATGAGACCCTGTCTAAAAAGAATTAAAAAAAAAAAAAAAGGAAAGAAAGGAAAAAAAGAAAAACGATATGGAGCTTGAACTTTCCTTGACTTTGGGCACGTCACATGGCTTCGATTTCTTCATCTATAAAATGTCAACCACAGAGTTATTGTGAAGATCAAATGAGCTGTGCATGTGAAATGAAACTACCTTTACAAGCATTAAATGCTATAAAAATTTTAAGCATGGCTTTTAGTAGTTTTAGCTCTAATTTTCTATTATTCTAAATAGTGGAATGTGGTAGAAGTATATCACTGTTTTTTCTTTTTTTCTTTTTAACCAGTGGTGGGGATAAGGGGAAGGAAGTGGTTGAAAAATCGAAAGGGAACTTCTTACTTGGGTAAGTCTGGACTTAATTGTGCCAAACTTTCTAAAGCAGCTTCCAGGACAAATTTCCAGGAATATTTAAAAAATTGTTTAGACTGACTGGAACACAGATATGAAGCCACATTTTTTGTGCACGTGTGACTATGTGTGCCTCTGGAAGATTTCAACACAAACACGCTCTCATCTAAATTAACGCTTTCCTCTGAATTGACTCATTTGACCAGCATAACCAGTTTGCATGCCAGTGCAAGCAGAGAAAGTTGTAATAAAAAGAAGAAAAGAATGAAAGGCATTTAGAAATTCGGTGGTTAAATGTACACTTAGTTAATCATTGTATTTGTTTTTCAAGGGCTTCCTAACCTTTTGGAGAAAGAAAAATATGGCAGAAAGCTGACTGAAGTTTGAAATTAATATGTGCAAAATGTCTGTAGAGGATCTAGTCTATCCTCCTTTCCTTCATCTTAAGACTTAATTTTATCCAAAAATTAAGTAGCCTGATTAGTCATCCTTGCTTTCTTCTCTTCCTGGCTCCTTGGGTTTTTTCCCACATGTATTTGTTCAGCATCTATTACAAAGCAGGCACTGCCCAAGGCATTGTTTTTAATGTACAAGTAGGGAGTTTGAAATTCATCCTTTCGATCAGAAGTTCTCAAACTATACGGTGTATATGATTCACAAGGAAAATTTGTCCAAAGTGCAGATTTCTAGTCTTAATCCCAGATATCAGATTTGAGGCTCTTCGTGGGGCCTGGCAATCTGCCATTTTAACAAGTGTCTGGGAGAGCTGTGGCTCATGCCTATTATGCCAGCACTTTGGAAGGACGATGCAAGAGGATTGATTGGAATTTGTGACCAGCCTAGGCAACACTGCATGACTCTGTCTCCACAAAAATTTAAAAAATTAGCCAGGTGTGGTGTTGCATGACTGTAGTCCCAGCTATTTGGGAGGCTGAGGTGGGAGGATGGAGTGAGCTGTGATCGTGCCACTGCACTCCAGCCTGCGAGACAGAGGTGAGACCTTGCCTCAAGAGACAACAACAGGGCCAAACGCGGTGGCTCACGCCTGCAATCCCAGCACTTTGGGAGGCTGAGGCAGGCGGATCACCTGAAGTTGGGAGTTTGAGACCAGCCTGACCAACATGGAGAAACCCCATCTTTACTAAAAAATACAAAATTAGCCAGGCATGGTGGTGCGTGCCTGTAGTCCCAGGTGAGACAGGAGAATCGCTTGAACCCGGGAGGTGGAGGTTGCAGTGAGCGAAGATGGCACCACTGCACTCCAGCCTGGGCAACAAGAGAGAAACTCTGTCTCAAAAAAAAAAAAAAAAGACAACAACAATGGCCGGGTTCAGTGGCTCACGCGTGTAATCCCAGCACTTTGGGAAGCCAAGGAGAATGGATTATCTGAGGTCAGGAGTTCGAGACCAGCCTGGCCAACATGGTGAAACCCTGTCTCTACTAAAAATACAAAAATTAGTCAGGCATGGTGGCAGACACCTATAATCCCAGCTATTCAGTAGGGTAAGGCAGGAGAATGGCCTGAACCCAGGAGGCATAGTTTGCAGTGAGCCGAGATCGCACCACTGCACTCCAGCCTGGGTAACAGATGGAGATTCCATCTCAAAAAAAAAAAAAAAAAAGACAACAACAAACAAGTGATAAGCAATTCAAGGGACTCCATTCACCTGTTTGAAATTAATAAAACACTTAGTGATTAGATTAGGTTGGTGGGCAGCTGAACTCTTCAAGATTTTATCTATATCTCTTTAAGAACTCCAGAATCGGGGCTCTCTGTTCGAATCCAGACTCTGCCACTTAGGAGCTATTCAGTTGATTGTATTAATCAAGTTAACCTCTTTGTACTCTGTGTCCTCCTCTGTGACAGTACATGGGAATCAAAATATCTACCTCAGAGAGTCACTGGGCAGATTTAGCAGATAAAGCATGGGTGTTATCTGGCATATAGCAGTAAGTACAAAAAAGTAGCTACAATAATAATAACATAACATATAAATTAATATAATAACATTGTTACCATTATTGGCAGTAGTTTTACTGTGGCTCTATTTTTTAGAGAGAAGAGAGAAGACACAAAGTTTTGCCCACAATAAGTGGTCAGGTCTTGGAATATGACTAGATGATTGCTTCAAAAGAGAGAAGTGTTCTGACTGCTTGTATATGTCTTCTGAGGCGGAAATTGCTGTTAGTAACAACCATTTTAGTTTACATTTTCTAAATATTATTAAATCCCTGAGTAGTAGGTAATATTATTGCTATTCTGACATTTTCTTCTCATGGCTTAATTTAAAAGAATCAAAATTATACCCAGCTCAGAGAGGTAAATAACAAATGTTCTCAAGAAGCATCTAAGGCCAGGTGCAGTGGCTCACGCCTGTAATCCCAGCACTTTGGGAGGCCGAGGCAGGTGGATCACGAGGTCCGGAGTTCAAGACCAGCCTGAACAATACAGTGAAACCGCGTCTCTACTAAAAATACAAAAATTATCTGGGCGTGGTGGTGGGAGCCTATAATCCCAGCTACTAGGGAGGCTGAGGCAGGGAACTCCTTGAACCCTGGACGTGCAGGTTGCAGTGAGCTGAGATCGTGCCACTGCACTCCAGCCTGGACGACAGAGTGAGACTCCGTCTCAAAAAAAAAAAAAAAAGCATCTAAAACAGGGGTCCCCAACCCCCATGACACAGATTCTGGTCCATGGTCTTTAGGAACTGGGTTGCATAGTAGGAGGTGACCAGCAGGCAAGCAAGTGAGCATTACCACCTGAGCACCACCTCCTGTTGGATTAGTGGTGGCATTAGATTCTCATAGGATCGTGAACCCCATTGCAAATCGTGCATGTGAAGGAGCTACATTGTAAGCTCCTGATGAGAGTCTAACTAATGCCTGATGATCTGAGGTGGAATAGTTTCATCTGGAAACCATTCATCTCTCTTGTCCATGGAAAAATTGTTTTCCATTAAACTGGTCCCTGGTGCCAAAAAGGCTGGGGACTGCTGATCTAAAAGATGTCCTCATCATAATCACAGATAATGAATACAGAATACTCAGTATCGGAGGAAAGATAAAAAGTTCAGTTTGGGTCAATTTCTTCACTATTTACATACACTTAGGGCCTTAGACCCTTCCATGCTAAAATTTAAATGCATGCATTAGCTCATTTAATCTATAATAGCCCTATAAGTAAATTGCTATTATAATCCTTATTTATTTATTTATACATTTTTTTGAGATGGAGTCTCGCTCTGTTGCCCAGGCTGGAGTGCAGTGGCATAATCTTGGCTCACTGCAACCTTCACTTCCCAGGTTCAAGCGACTCTCCTGCCTCAGCACTCCCTGGGACTACAGGTGTGCACCACCACACCACACTAATTTTTAAAATATTTTTTAGTAGAGATGGGGTTTCACCATGTTGGCCAGGTTGGCCTTGAACTCCTGAACTCAGGTGATCAGCCCACCTTGACCTCCCAGAGTGCTGGGATTACAGGCGTGAGCCACTGCGCCTGGCCTATAATCTCATTTTAAAAGATGCCATTATAAAACATCTTTAAAAATGAAATTTATTCTCTGAAGTGTCAACATAATAAGAAAGAAAAAAAAGACACTTAGGTTAACTAAAGTAATAAAGGAACTCAAACTTGAACCAAGAGCTATGTGATCTTACATCTCACTTTAGTCTGCATATCAAACCGCCTCCTAGACACTTTGAGGCTCACGGGTCTGAAGTGGGTGTAGTGGCATCCTGGGAAGATTTAATAGGACAACAAAGGTAAGTCACACAATGAGCTCTAAATTCTAGTCTGTCCAAAGCATGCTCCTTTCTAAAATTATATTCTAAAATGTTAAGAAAAAATACAAAAAAGGGCATTTTCAGAAAATGTTTTATAGTCCTTCCTCTGAATGACTAACTTTACCTTTTTTCTACATTGCATATTCTTTATCCCAAACATATGCAGAACATGTTGATGTGTTCTCTGATTACAAAGTGTTTTCAAATGATAATGTAATGACTCAGTAGACTTGTGAAATGCAGGCAGAAAAAAATCATTTAAAACCAAAATTGACTGTGCTGCTTCTACCTGCTAAGGGAAGTGGTCTAATTCGCATCAGAGGGGTAAGAGGCAGAGTTCCCTTCCCCTTTTGTAAAAGAAAAATGGGGACAGCAAGCAAAAAATCACTCAATTGTTAGGAAAAAATATCTAAGCCACCCTCTCACCTTCCTTCTCTTTCCCAAGAATTGGTTGCACTACTGAAACCAGAGGAGTGCAGGAATTCCACTATTTTGTAAAATAAGTTTGAGCCAAATTTGCCTGAATTTCTAAGACAGGCTACTTTGGTTGATACACGGATTAAGCCTAAAAATAAAACCTTTTGAGATAAATTGGGTAGTACACCCACAGAATCGCGCCCGAGTCAAGGAGGGAAATCCTTTTGGTATTGTGTTTAAAAATCATTTTTAATTTTCCCTACAACGAAGCGAAACTCCTCACATGTGTTTAATTGTTCGCTCTGAAAGACTACACAGGCCGTTACGAAAATAGTTTTTGGCATGAGTAGTGATCTAGTTATAAATCAGTGAAAAATAAATTGTGTCCATAAAAAAGTTACAGAATTTACCCCTGTGCCATTAAATATTAGTTAACAACCTTGATTTTTAAATTGATGTGCCATATTCTACCATATCGATACTGTATTTGATATGGTTCAGTTGCAGACTGCTCTTCCAGAATAAATAGGCAGAAAGGAATTTATCACTGGCTGCAAACCATTAGATGGCTTACAAACTGTTTGGAATTGTAGGGGCAGGCGCTGTGTGAGCGTTTAGGAACAACTTCCATTCTCCAGAAATGGCATGGGTAGTCCTGCGATCCAAAGGCAGCAGTGTCAGGTGGAAGCGCTAGAAGCCCGAGGCTGCCATTGGCAGAACAAAGCAGTCTCGGCCTGGCTTGGCAGCATCCAAAAGGACCGCAGCCGCCCTGCCGCTGCACACGGTGCATCTGATTGGCGGAACCCAAACCCTTCCGCAGCCCTCCCTGCGAAGATATCTGGGAAACGTAGTTTTTACCTTCTAACCTCTAAGGCACGGAAAGCTTATTCGATGTTGATTGTAATGGAAATAGAACTATGTATTAGGATTTGTTTAACCATCCCTTGAGTTTTAAATTTTTTGGTTGTTACGTAATTTTCTCTGTAATAAATAAATAAAATTCCCTAAACAATATGAATACTTTTCAAATTTTTGATAATGATTGCAAAATTGCTCTCTTGAAAAGTTATGCCAGTTTATACTCCTTCCAGCAATCTTTGTTCCATATTGTCAGTCATGATTAATACATTTGTCAATGCTTTTGAAAAGGAAAGTGACATATTATTTAAAAACTATGAATTTCTTTGGCTAGTTTGAAGATTTTAATTCTCACCACAAGTGAATTACGATTAGATTTTTTTTTTTTTTTTTGAGATGGAGTCTCACTCTATCACCCAGGCTGGAGTGCAGTGGCCAATCTCTGCTCACCAGCAACCTCCGCCTCCCGGGTTCAAGAGATTCTCGTGCCTCAGCCTCCAGAGTAGCTGGGATTTGAGGCATACGCCACCACACTAGGCTAATTTTTGTATTTTTAGTAGAGATGGGGTTTTTGTCCTATTGGCCAGGCTGGTCTCGAACTCCCGACCTCAGGTGATTCTCTGGCCTCGGCCTCCCAAATTGCTGGGATTATAGGGGTTAGCCCTCGCGCACGGCCGCAATTAAGTCTTTAGACGATCTGTTTCCCCAGTATTTCCCAGCAATGTATTTATGAATCATCTCGCATCTCGCATGGTGAGAAACTTAACATGAACGTTCAACCATGTAAAATTATTACCAGTGAAATAAATAACTTAATGTCTAGTGACCTCTTACTGTAGCTCTGTATTGGTAGATAGACACTTCTTTTTTGATCTTTCAAGTATATAGTAAAAAAAATGTTCCTTTTACAGTTTTCAATTTTTTTTTTTTTTTTTTTTTTTGAGATGGAGTCTCGATCTGTCTCCCAGGCTGGAGCGCAGTGGCCTGATCTCGGCTCACTGCAACATCCGCCTCCCCGGTTGAAGCGATTCTCCTGCCTCGGCTTCCCAAGGAGCTGGGATTACAGGCATGCATCACCACGCCTGGCTAATTTTTGTATTTTCTTTAAATTAGAGACAGGGTTTCACCATGTTGGCCAGGCTATTCTCGAACTCCTGACCTCAAGTGATCTGCCCGCCTCAGACTCCCAGAGTGCTGGGATTACAGGTGTGAGCCACCGCGCCTGGCTAATTTTTCATGTTTTTAGTAGAGACGGGGTTTCTCCATGTTGGCCAAGCTGGTCTCAAACTACTGACCTCAAGTGATCCACCCGCCTTGGCCTCCCAAAGTGCTGGGATTACAGGCGTAAGCCATCGCGCCCTGCCTTGTTTTCAAAATTAAACTTAGTTGAAGCCTGTAAGACTTAAAATGAAAGCAAGATTATGTGACTTGATTATGATGCAGCCAAATGAATTTAGATGCAAATGCTAGACTTGAAATGTAAGTGTACGAATATACAGCAGTATAATTTTATGAGGTCTGGGGGTTACTTGTGCATGAGCCCAGGATTTAGATATCTGGCTACTCACAGTAAGATCCATGGAAGGAAATAAATTCTATAAGGAAGCACTGTATAACTCAAAGAAACTAGAGAGGCCCAAATGTCCAAAGCTGCCATTTCGCTTGCTGGAATTTGCTGGTGGAATAACTACCCTTCCCCGAATTAATGAGGCTAAATGAATTCCTGGGGAACCCTCAGGCTGTCAGTGTAACACCTCCCACATCTTTTTTCTCCAGCAGGTGGCATGTACAGCACCATCCTGAAATGGTGATAACTTTATTATTATTATTGTCACTATTCATGGGGCTAACCATCTTCCCTTTTCTTCCCAAATAAGTACATGGAGTTTTAGCATAGGTATTAAAGAAGGCTCGTCAGCATGATGGCTTAAGTCTGTAATCCCAGCTACTGGGGAGGCTGAGGTGGGAACCGAGGAGTTCAAGGCTACAGTGAGCTATGATCATGCCACTGCACTATAGCCTGAGTGACAGAAGGAGACCCCGTCTGTAAAAACAATTTAAAGAGAGAAAGAGAAAGATAGAGAGAGAGAGAATTCTTGTTTCAATGACCTAGAGGAAAAAAGATGTTATAAGTTCGCTTTTGAAACTGGAACATTAATTTTTCACCATATTAAGACAAGACCCTGTATATACACGTTAAACTTAAACAGCTATCTTTTAGGCTGTTGAATGCAAGAAGGTAAGTTTAAGTACCATCTAGTGGTAGGCATCACCCTCCACCTAGTGGCATCCCTCTCCATCTAGTGGCAAGATAGGCGAATTGAAAGCAAGTGCCAAAGAAGAAATAGTCTGATACTGAAATGTTGAACAAAAGTTTAAAAAGACAACAGTATTGACCACGCCTCCTCCAAGTCCCAGCGAGCCCGTGTACAACCTGTCCCGACTCCAGCCGCCTCTTCAGCTCGCCATGGATCCCAACTGCTCCTGTGCCGCCAGTGACTCCTGCACCTGCGCCGGCTCCTGCAAGTGCAAAGAGTGCAAATGCACCTCCTGCAAGAAAAGCTGCTGCTCCTGCTGTCCTGTGGGCTGTGCCAAGTGTGCCCAGGGCTGCATCTGCAAAGGGGCGTCGGACAAGTGCAGCTGCTGTGCCTGATGCTGGGACAGCCCTGCCCCCAGATGTAAATAACGCGACCTCTACAAACCTGGATTTTTTATGTACAACCCTGACCCTGACGTTTGCTACATTCCTTTTTCTATGAAATAATGTGAATGATAATAAAACAGCTTTGACTTGAAAAAAAAAAAAAAAAGAGAATAGTATTAAAGTACCAGATAAACTTTACCACTGTTTTATTAAATTTTAATATAAATAAACTATGTAAAATAATTCATGATTGTAGCAGGTTATCTAATTTGGAAATAAAAAGAATACTCTTGCTGGATGGTAAACAGACTATTCCTAGCATGAGGTCTTTTCTTGGAATTATTTTATCTTAGTCCTTACCTAGAAGGACTTAGGAAGTGACAAACAGTGCTAAAAACCTGAGAGAAAAGTTAAGACATAGTGACAGAATTTTGCAGGACAAAAGAGTGATATTAGTACAGTCTTTCTTATGTTAAACCTTTTATGATCTTGAAAATCTTATCTTTAAATCTTAAGAAGCTGTTGGATTATACTTTAATCATTGCAGGGAAAAGATTTAGAAATTATGTTGTCAACCAGTTTAGATCAAATTGACATCAGAATTGGGTCTTTAGGAGGAGATTTTTGGTACAATAACTTTGTAATCTGAGGATACTAATCAGGGTATAATAGTACACTTAATTAGTATGATTAGCTGATAGTCTCAAGTTAGGACGACAGTCATTGAGCCCATATCAGGTAGTTAACAGTGAGCATCTATCTGTTCTAATATGTTCAGCATTCTGTTAGGATTAGTTGGTGTCCATGCTGTCCTTGTTATTAAATCATCTGAATATCATCCAAGACCATAAGGGACTGTATGTTCACAGGAAAAAAATAACAAAATCACAAAATGTGAAGAATGTATGTATTATGAAAAGAAGGTAGGCAAACAGATATCTTTAAAAGAGGAAGCTAAAAAAATAAAAATAAAAGAGGAAGCCAAATGAATGGATCAGATAGAAAAAAATGTTCAAAAGTGTAATAATTGTTTTAAAAGGACTAAAAATATTTTTAGAGACCCAAAGGAGGAAATTAGAAACATGAATCAGAAAAATCAGTTATGAAGGACCAACTGGAGATATTCAGTATGAAAAACCTAATAACTGAAATAACTCAGTAAGTATGGTATTAGATAAACCTTATAGATGTTTTTTAGATACTGCTTTTCAGAGTGAACACACTTGAAATACAAATTAGTGAGCTGAAAGATCAGGTCAATCAACTCTTCTAGAAGGACTCAGGAAGGACAAAGCAGTGCTAAAAAACTGAGAGAAAAGGTAAGATACAGTGACAGAATTTTGCAGGACGAAAGAGTGATATTAGTACAGTCTTTCTTCAGTATCTTCAAGGATTGGTTCAAGGACCCACTGCCTTCATAGTAAAATCCAGGAATGCTCAATTCCCTTATATAAAATGGCCTGTTTGCTCATAATCTACATACATCCTCCTGTATACATTCAATTATCTCTATATTACATATGATACCTAATACAATAGGAATGCTATGTAAATAGTTGTTATGCTGCTTTGGTTTTTATTTGTATTTTTTTAATTGTTAATTTGGTTTTTTCTTGAATATTTTCGGTCCCAGGTTGTTTGAATCTGTAAATGCAGAACCTGAAGATACATAGGGCTGAGTGTATTTGATAGAAAGAGGACAGAGAAATTGTTGAAATAAGAGAAATTTGAAGCTAGGATGCTATATCCAATTAATTCAATGTAAGGCTGAAATAAGTTATTGTAAGGTACACAAGGCCTCAGAAGGCTGACAAAAATTCTGTTTGAAAACACTTTGGGAGGATGTGCTCAAGTAAGACAAGGAATCAATCCAGAAGTTAACCAAGAGATGTGAAAAGTGTGGAACAAGTGAAGCTTTGTAACGTGTTTAGATGAAAAACTGCCAGAGGCATCTTTAATATAAACAGCTTCAGGAAGAGAGACACACTGTATTGCTTTCTTTATCCCAGAGATTTTGGAGCGTATACATAGGTGTCATGCATGTCGTATGTATATGTGCGTATTTGTTGGAGGAACAAAGCCCAACCCCCACCCCCGACAAAATCCCATGAGTTTATTTACACATTGTACATGAGAATTTGCGCTATTTCCTATCTTCAGACGTGATATTTAAAATATATAACAATTAGTACAACATAGGGCACTGACCAATCAGAACAGACACCAGCCAAACTGCTAGAGCAGCTTCCTGGATGCTGTGCCCTTCATGTCCGGATTATGAGTACACCTCTGGTGGGCTGGGGCAGAGGCATGGGGCAGGGTCTCAAAGTGGCTTCTATTTACCATGTATATAGGATTGTTTCAATATTTTAACAACTTGTATGGTCATGTATACTGACTGAATAGCAACTCTGCTATGAGACATAAGACATGTTTGATGACTTCATGCAATTTTCTGAAACATGCTCTTTTTTTTTTTAAAATAAACCTTGGGCAGATGTTATGTTAAGACAGTCTCTGTAGTAAAATAATTTGCCATATTGGAGAGGCTTATCATCTTTACAATGAAAGTCAGAAAATATAAGTAAAACATATTAAGTTGTACTAAAGCAGAGAGAATAATCAAATATAATCTTACTCAAGATATTTTCATGACAACTCAGCTTGCAAGATGTTTTCCTAGGCTTACTGGGTCATAAATATTCGGTATCATTTTTTTTCCTATATTTTAAAGAAAAGGAATTTGGAACATGTAAACTATAAATCTAAGTTTTAAAAAATCTAAACAACAGTTTCCTCTCATTGCAGACCTCATTCAAATTGCAGGCTGGAGCCATGCCCAATATGCCTCTTCAGAGCCACAACTACCCACAGGTAGGTGGGCACTTGGTGAGTGAGGATAAAAAGTTTGTTGTTATAAGTCATTGAGTTGTGCAGTTGTTTGTTACACAGCAAATGACATTCCTTTTTTACTTATTCATCATTCATTCAACGTATTCTAAACATATAACTATGAACTATAAAAACTCAAAACTGGCTTTTCTTTTAAAAGATTGACTAGACAAATTTATGTTAAAACTAATCAGGAAAGGAATGGAGATGCAAATAAACAACAGCACCTATGAAGTTTGCATTCTACTATTGAAACAGAAAATACACAAATAAACTGGGAATCCCAAATGGTTCATAAGCAAACGAAGAGTGACTTACCCTTACTCTGTAATCAGAGAACTGCAAATTAAAACAATTGGAAAGTCTGACAATATCATGCAGTGATGAGGATGTTGGGAAATAAGAGACCTCCCATTCAACTTAAGGGAAAGTAAGCTGTTGCAACCATTCCAGGGAGCAACCTGAAAGTACTTGGTAAATTAACTATCTTTATACTTTCTCAATGATGTAGCAATTACACTTCTAGGTCTCTTGCACATGTCCCTAGGAATATTTTTCACAGCAATGTTTGTGGTAGTAAGAATGGAGAAAGTCTAGATGTCCATTGACAGAGGAATGGGAAATAAAATAAGGGATAGACACATAATAAAGTTATATTCAGCACTCAGAAATAATGTTCTAGATTAATATTTATCTGGATGGCTCTTAAAATATCATGACAAATTGGGGAATAAACAATATGAGATTTATAAAAGAATAACTTTCAAGGATATTACATGCATATGCCCAGAAACACCAAATTCATCTTTAAAGATACACATATATCTAAATGAATATAGCAATGATATACTGGTAGGGTATAAATTAAATATGTAAGGGTGGGGTGAGGTGAGAATGGTGGATGCATGGGAAAAAGGTAGTAAAAAGTAGAAAGGTAAAATTTAAAAAGGGGTATTGCACAGACGCTGAAAATGTGCAATGAAATGAAGGGTGTGATTAATTCAATTTTGTGACTTGATAGTCTAAAAATAACTATATGTAGTAGAATCTGAAATATGAGGAATAGGGAACTTTAAGGGAGTATATGGAAGTCAACGCCGTCTAAGCATGTGCACACTGAATTCTCACACTTTCGATGATGTCCTGCTATTATATCTTTTCTAAGCTTAGAGGAAGATAAATACCACAGTAGTTATATTTTAATTCTAGTTTTATTTAGGTAAATGATAATAATGAGATAAGCCACAAAGTTCGAATTGACATATCTATTAGTATTAGTATACATAAATGTAGAAAATATATTTCAAAAGAAAAAAGAACGTACTATGATCATCAAAAACCTCACCTTTCCACATGATACATATTGTTGATATTTTGATATTTTTCCACCATGGAATTTATTTTGCAATTACCTTGTTAATCAGTATAATGTATAATGTGAGGATTAAATTGCATCTATGGATCTTGATGTGTTATCTTTAGAACTTATTTAGATTGAAGCTTTCATTTTATCTTTTTCAAACTACTATATTAATGATCTTGAATGAAGATTATTATAGGAGTTCAGTGCCTCGCAAAATTTTCTTGTACTTACCCTGTGCTTCATACTCTTATTGTCTTGCCTCCTTTGAATAATCACAAAAGAAAAAGAAGGCAAAGGACTATATAGCACAACCTATTAGAGGAAATGGCTGAAATAGTATTCTCTTAATGTTTAATGTGACTATTAAGAGGGTATTATGCTGGCATGTAAAACAGTTAATTGTATTCAGTGTGTTTTAACATCACTGATTAATTGATGGCATAGTGAATGTTCATCTTGGAGAAAATACCACCTTTGTATCTCAGGGGATCTAAAGAATGTCTTTTGCTGCTGAATAAAGTGCTTCAAAAAGTTCAAAGGGAGAAATGTGTATTTTTTTTTATGGTAAGGAAGAATAGATTTTACCACTTGGGAAAGTAACAGCTTATGAAATCACGCAGTGATGACTGTAATTCAGCTGTCGTCTGTTTCTTTCACCTTCTAACCAGTGAAAAAAGTTAGGTTACTTATTTCTTTGACTAAGTAAATTGAAAAGGAATAAATTCAGAAAGATTATCTAAGGAAACTGGTTATTAGAGCAAAATGGTTTGTATTCACTCTGTAAATGAATGCTCCTGCTGCTTTTCTCTTCATTTTAATCATAATATTTCTTTTTTCCAGTTGTTTCATGTGAATTTTATTTTATTGTTTGTTTTTGTTTTTGAGATGGAGTCTCGCTCTGTTGCCCAGGATGGAGTGCAGTGGTGCCATGTCGGCTCACTGCAATCTCCTCCTCCCGGGTTCAAGCAATTCTCCTGCTTCAGCCTCCCCAGTAGCTGGAACTACAGGCATGAGGCACCACGACTGGCTAATTTTTTTGTATTTTTAGTAGAGATGGGGTTTCACCATGTTGGTCAGGCTGGTCTCAAACTCCTGACCTCAAATGATCTGCCCGCCCTGGCCTCCCAAAGTGCTGGGATTACAGCTTGAGCCACTGTACCTGGCCGTGAATTTTTAAATATATCACATTTCAAAATAATTTTGCAGTTCCAAAATAATTATTTTGTAATTCAAAGACAGTTGAATAAGCAAATCCCTTGGGATTTGATTGTGTCAGAATTATAAGGTCCTGCTTATTTTTATTTTTATTTTTGGAATTTGTCTGATGGTTGCAGATTATTGTCACCGGTTCCTCACGTTTGTTCCCAAAAGAAGTAGGATTTGTGAGACTTGGTTCCACCTTTGATTTTGATCCATCCCTCTGAATCAGGCTAAGTCACAGACTCCCTAGGTCATTGCCACAATTTTATAAGTAAGGCAACTAAAAATAATCTATAGTACTCACTTTCAAAAGATCAATCACTCAATTCACTGAGTGTTAATAACTGATTTAGCTCAGGGAGAAGGACATTTCTCTTATTATTCTCTATAAGAAGGTAAAATATCTAGGTTCTTACATTTTTGAATAGCAAAGTAATGTTGAAATTAGATGGACACCTTGACATAAATCTGAATAAAAATAACATATCTCAGGAATCTTTTAGTATTATATTATTGATATAAAAATTATTAAAATAGGCTGAGCGCTGTGGCTTACGCCTGTAATCCCAGCACTTTGGGAGGCTGAGGTGGGCGGATCACGAGGTCTGGAGATCGAGACCATCCTGGCTAATAAGGTGAAACCCTGTCTCTACTAAAAATACAAAAAAAAAATTAGCCGGGCGTGACGGCGGGCGCCTGTAGTCCCAGCTACTCGGGAGGCTGAGGAAGGAGAATGGCGTGAACCTGGGAGGCGGAGCTTGCAGTGAGCCGAGATCGCGCCACTGCACTCCAGCCTGGGCAACAGAGCAAGACTCCATCCCCCCAAAAAAAAAAAAATTATTAAAATAGCAATATTATTAATGTCTACACTTGGTCTTAGCCAAAAGGCCAAGAAGATATAGTTTCTTAAATTTCTGAGATCTTTCTAATTTATAAAATGCTTTAATATACAGCTTTATTTTTATTAATTTAATTTAATTTAATTTATTTATTTTTTAGATACAGAGTCTTGCTATGTTGCCCAGCCTAGACTTGAACTCCTGGGCCCAAGTGATCCTTTTGCCTCAGACTCCTAAATAGCTGGTACTAGGCGTGCGCATCACTGTACCTTACCTCCATACGCAGCTTTTTAGAGGCAGAAACTATTTCACTGACTTCTATCCCTTAAACCCAGAAATTGCCAGACATAGGTTAATAAGTGCCTAAAGTAAACTTCAGTCTTTTGTTGCTGTTTCCCACCTCCTATATTTGAGGAATTCTCTGCAATATGTATCTTTAACAGAAGCTCCAAAGGCCATGTGCTCTATATCCCATCTTTCTCTTCAACTACAGCACAGTAACGTAACTTAGGCTCACCTGATCAGCTGTACCCAGTTGAACTTTCGCTGGGAGCTGGTGATGCAAAAGAGTAGCAATGGTGGAGAATCTATTCTGATAGTGGCAGCAGTATAGATAGCAACAACCTGTTCCAGGGCAGTAGTGGAAATGAAACTAGTGGTGGCATACGGTGGCTGGTGCCTGAGGTGATGGCTGTACATGTGGTGGCATCCAGTGTTCAGCCATGGTGGGAGCAGTCCCCTTATGACCCTGGATCTATGGTTTTACTTGTGGATCTGGCTGGTGCATAGTGCTCATTGTTGATCTTCCCTTTTTCAAAACTTGTTTCTTTATTCTTCTTGACAATTCTCTTAGATATATAAAATCCTTTTAATAAATTCTGCTTAAATTAGAATTGGCTTCTGTCACTTGCATTAATATACTTGACAAATAAAATATGAAACTGACTTGCATAGCTCTATAACCCTATCAAGACAGGTTTTACGAATACTGTTTATATATCAGTAAGCAAAGACTAAGAGACAGTAATTTACTTGGCTAAGATTAACGTTTAGTAAGAACGAAGAGCCAGGAATCATACATAGTCACTCCGATTCTATGCCTGGGTCTCTTTCTTCCCTATCACAGTGTGGCAGAGATGGGTTAATTTTCTAAGTACACAGAAAGCTTACATTTCACAACTTCTCTTTTAATTCTCAGCATCATCACTTGGTGTAGAGTCCCCCAGAGAGCAACCTGATCCATATCACAAACCTGAGACAAATTTTGGTTGCCTTAAGCCCTTACAATTTGGAGTTTATTCTTATAGCAGCTAATGATCTTTACTCCAATTAATGCAGAAATTAGTAACAAAATTGAGGTGCTGTCATAACAAAAACTTAAAATACGTGACATTGACAGCTGTTAGCTGGATAGTGAGGAGAGAGATACCAGAGATCTATGTTATATGGTGGTAAAATTTTTGGTAAATTTATTACCTTCTTACAAGACAGAAAATGTACCTACTGGGCTTGTCGTTTTAGAGGAAGAGTTTGCAAAATCAAATGTTGGCAGAGTTTGTTGGGACTGTTGGCTTATTTGGAAAAGTGTAGTAATAAAAGAGATGTTCCCAGAAGAAGATTGACCAATTGATGAACAGAAATGAAAGTAGAGAGAGAACAGAAATTTAGAGCTTTTCAAGTTGAATAGTCCTAACTTTGAAACCCTAAATGGTAAGAAATGGACTTACAAAAGGCTTTGAATGAAAGAAGTCCAGTACAACTTGACACTAATAGTTGGATAAAGGGACTCACAGCAAAGATCAGATTAGGGTATGCCTTACACATTGTTTGCTCCAGATAGACTCAAAATACCTGCCATTAAGTAAAAAGAGGAACCACAGTGGCAAAGAAGCAACACAGATCAGACTAGACAATCATTTCTAGGAATAAACTATTGGTATAGTTACTGGCACGTGGATTTGATTGGAAACAAACAGATAGAAGAATATAAAATTTTGAATAAATGATTTTGCCAATGGAGTCATGAAATTGCAATAAAAAAACACGTAAGATATCAGAATTTAACACAACCTGCATGTCCTAGACCTTCAAGCAGGTGGCAGGCAGTAGGCAGTAGACTTGCACATTCATATAGCTGCCAAAAAGGTCATGTGCCCCAGTTCCCACTGCAGATGCGGTCAAGGAGAATAACAGACAGGGGGATACCTTCCAGAGGGTGAGGACATTGCATAAAAGAACTCTCTCCAGAAGGCATAAACAGTGCCTAATGAAGAATTTCTCCTGTCCCCAAGGCAATGTCTGCCCAATGGGATTTTAAAATTGCCCCAAACCAGTTGCTGTGTTTCTTTTTCCCCTTCTAAATGGAAGCGTTTATTGTGGTAATTGTAACCCTTCTCCACCGTTGTAATTAGATATGTATTTATTGTCTTTTTAGTTCATAGGTCTCCGGAGCCTGGGGCATCGCATCTAGATGGAAAGGACTGAATATCAACTGAAGAGCCTAAATTTTGGGCTGATGCAGTCAGTGATTAAGAGTTTTGAGTCAGTGATGGGGCGAATATGTTTCATGTGTGGAAAGATAAATAAAAGGGATGATGCATGACCAGAAAGGAGGACTGTGGCAGAAACAGCCTAGATGCTCACCAATCTTATTTCTACTGTTTGGGCAGATGGAAACTGCTATAGTTCAAAGCCTCTCTTGGAGTTAGATTGCAATCATATGACTGAGAAATAGAATGTGAGCGAAACTCACTGGTGTCACTTCCAAACTTGGCTCTTTAAATGTTCTTCACAATCATTCATGTACTCACTCTACTGTCTTATGACTATTGTACATATTCATGCACATAATGATGTTTCCATACATATAATGTGTAATAATCAGATCAGGGAGAGTCGCATATCTATCAGCTCAAATGTTTATCATTTCTCTGTGTTGGGAATGTTCAATATCTTCCTTCTAGCTATTTGAAACTATATATTATTGTTAACTCCTGTCATCCTACAGTAGTATAGATTATTATAAGTTATTCCTCCTATCTAGCTGTAATTTTATATCCTTTAACAAATCTCTCCCTGTCTCTCAGTAAAGTATCCTGAGATAGTGGAACTTCTCTGGTTAACACTTGGAAAAGAATTGCTGAAAAGAGCTGTCTCACCAACTTTGGGCTGTGATTTTGTTTTGTGAAGTCATTGTGATTTTGGGATGGTTGTTTATAGCAGCTAGCAAGTCTTAGCATGGCAAATACAGTAACTGTCATACTAAAAAATATGATGCAGAATAAATTATGTTAGGTAGATTAAATAAATCTATATTATTAATAAATAATATTTGTAAGTCTGAATTTTATCTGTTGGAATGTCAGAAAAGAATGGGGATTATATAAAAAAGAATTGTTAGAAACCAGAGTGTATCCTATATAGGATCATTAGTGAAGAAATAGATGGAAAAGTGGAAATGAATAACTATTTCTTCCACACAGAATAAAACCCAGAAACAAAGAAAAGTTAAGTAGTATTAGATAGTGATTCCCAAGCCTGGGAATGGGAGTCAGTGATACTCACCTAGGAGAGAATATTAGGAAGGAGTGAGTGACATGAAAAAAAAAGTCACGGAGGGAAAGGGTAAAGTTTTAGTAAGTCCTATGGATGACAATTATGTATTACCTGCAGCTTGTCCTACTAGAGGAATAGTCTCTGTGCCAAGAGGAAAAAAAAAGGCTCAGAATTTCTGATCTAAGACATAGGTAGTTAAGAACTCAAAAGGAAAAATGTAGTCAGTGTATAAGATGATGGAAATCTTGTTTTAAGAGAACTGAATTATTGGAGAATGTGTAAAGAAGAAAGAGGTGTTAAACTTTTGAAGGGGAGTCAGATTTGCTCACATTTTTAACCTTTAACAGTTTCCCACTTTTTTTTTGAAACGGAGTTTCACTCGTGTTGCCCAGGCTGGAGTGCAATGGTGCGATCTCGGCTCACAGCAACCTCCACCTCCCAGGTTCAAGTGATTCTCCTGCCTCAGCTTCCCAAGTAGCTGGGATTACAGGCCCGTGCCACCATACCCGGCTAATTTTTTGTATCTTTAGTAGAAACAGGGTTTACCATGTTGGCCAGGCTGGTCTGGAACTCCTGGCCTCGTGATCTGCCTGCCTCAGCCTCCCAAAGTGCTGAGATTACAGGCGTGAGCCACAGCGCCCGGCCATACTTTATTCTTTATGATACAATGTCTCACTCTGTTGTCCAGGCTGGAATGCAGTGGCAGAATCACAGGTCACTGCAGCCTTGACCTCCTGGGCTAAAGTAATCCTCTACCCCAGCCTTCCAAGTAGCTGGGACCACAGGCGTGCACCACCACGCCTGGCTAATTTTTAAATTTTTTGTGGGTATCACTATGTTGCCCAGGCTGGTCTTGAACTCCTGGGCTCAAGCAATCCTCCCATCTTGGCTTCCCAAAGTATTGGGATTACAGGAGTGAGCCACTGTGCCTGGCCTGGATGGGTAACCTTTGAAAAGTTATGTAAAATCTGTGTGCCTCAATGAGGATAGTAACAGAAACTTCCCTGGAATTACTTGAAGTTTAAATGAGTTAATCTATGTAAACAACCTAGAACGGGCCGGGCACAGTGGCTCACGACTGTAATCCCAGCACTTTAGGAGGCCAAGGTGGGTGGATCTCCTGAGGTCAGGAGTTCCAGACCAGTCAGGCCAACATGGCGAAACCCCATCTCTACTAAAAATACAAAAACTAGCTGGGGGTGGTGGCACATGCCTGTAATCCCCACTCCTCGAGAGGCTAAGGCAGGAGAATAGTTTGAACACAGGAGGCAGAGGTTGCAGTGAGTCGAGACTGTGCCACTGCACTCTAGCCTGGGCAGCAGAGAGAGACTCCATCTCAAAAAAAAAAAAAAAAAAAAAAGAACCTAGAACAATGGCTGGCATAGAGGCATAGAATAAGCATTATATGTATTAGCTATGATTACAAAAGAGGAATCTATAAGGTATTCTGCAGACAAAGAGAAGGAAGTGGCTAATTTAGTCTGCAGAGTAGAGAAGAACCTCAGAGAGCTGCAATTTGCAAAGCAAGGAGGAGAGATGAATATTTGTTTTGTTTTGTTTTTTGAGACCAAGTTTCAGTCTTGTTGCCCAGGCTGGAATGGAATGGCATGATCCCGGCTCACTGCAACCTCTGCCTCCAGGATTCAAGCGATTCTCCTGCCTCAGCCTCCCAAGTAGCTGGAATTACAGGCACCCACCACCATGCCTGGCTAATTTTTGTGTTTTTAGTAGAGACGGGGTTTTACCATGTTGGCCAGGCTGGTCTCGAACTCCTGACCTCAGGTGATCCACCCGCCTCGGCCTCCCTAAGTGCTGGGATTACAGTCATGAACCACCGTGCCCGGCCGAGAGATGAATATTAAAACATATTTGAGGGACTTTAGAAATTGTCAGTCTTTAAAGTCTGTAAGAAGGATGGTCTGGATGACTCCTTTAGCATGAACTCATTATTTAGTAGATGACTCCATCCCAATTAGTATTTATGCCTGTGGAAATCTCATATGAAGAGCTAGATCTGATTAGCAGCTCTATTATATCTAGCTTAATGCTCACAATTTGTTCCACAAAGCCATTCTCTCTCTCTCTCTCGTCTTTCCCTCCTTCCATTTTGTTAGATCACATATTATAATAGTTATATGCTTTAAACCCTTATTTAGAACAATAAAGATGACTGACTTACATTTCAGACATTGTCGCTCCATGTCGCTAGTTTTAAAACCTGCCCAACTTAGTAATAAAAAGTAATGGCTCCTCAGATAAGAGTTTCATGATAGTTTCTTAGAAACGAGTCAATGACACTACTGTAATAGCAGGGGAAAAGATTTCTAAGTCACATCATATTTTCAAACTGACAATTTTAGCTACAAAAGTACAACTTCCAAGAGGTCTTTCCCAGGTAAACATGGAAGGGATTTACCAGTCCACAGAAAAGTGACTGCCTCTCCCTTGGATAAATGAGATTCTTTGCTTCCTGAAAATGAGAAACTGCTATTTCAATTTCAATGCCAAAGATCAAATTTTCTGACTACTGTGAATGAGGCTGCTCAGCATTTACAACACTAAAAACAAAGAAAAGAAAGCCGAAGAGGAACAATTTTTTTTTAGCATTTGCCCCAGGCCTTTGCAATCAAAGCATAACCCAGCTTATTTTTGGGGTGACTACACCCTCCATTCTCCAGGTAGCTGAATCTTCCTTGCATGTGTGAAAGCATCACTGACAAAGTTTCGTTGTCATGGAGTTTTTAGATAAGTATCTCTGAGTTTAAAATCCCAAATTATATGCATCCACCCACCCTTATACTATAATTAATATCTGTCTTGGGGCTTTTTAGAAATAACTACACACATCAACAGTTTCACAACTGCTTCTGTGAGTGGTGAGATTAGTAGGCAGATTTCTAGGGGAATTATGCAGGTGACCAGTCATTAATATGCACATTGTTAAAATGTTTGAACGTTGTCATGATGATGATACAGCGCCGATGAGTGGAGGAACACCAAGTTCTACGTCCTCATGCTGGTTTAGATAAAACGACACTGACACACGTGGAGTGGTTTTAAGGAGCGGAAAGTTTAATAGGCAAGAAAGAAAAGAGAAGGCAGAAGGAAGAGGCTCTCCTGTACAGAGACAGAGGGAGGGGGGCTCCAAAGCCGAGAGAGGGAACCCCATCTGGCAGGGATACCAGCCAGGTATATATACAGAGGCTGGAGGAGGCAGTGTCTGATTTGTATAGGGCTCAGGGGATTGGTTTGACAAAGCATGTCATTCATATAGCCCAGGAAAAAGCCTGCCCTCCCACCCTAGCCTTTTAATATGCCAATGCAGGGCACCATGATGTTCTACCCACGTGGGGATATGTGGGGGCGGCCATGTTGCCAGGAAGTGTGGGGCAAGGTCAAGATGGCAGTGGGAATAGCCATGTTTGGGTGGACCCAGTTTCTAATGGATGGCATTTGCATATCAAAGGTTGCCAGCCTGGCTCTAAGAGCTGCTTTAAAAACGAAAACTTCCCAAGGACCCCTTTTCCTCTCTATCTGCCTAAAATAATTTCTTAATAACTCCTACAACAATGACACCAAGGGGCCAAATTCTAAGATTCCACCAACATGATGCAGTTGGCTTGGCACTTCATAACTCAATTAAAGGGATTTTTGAGGGTTGTTGCCTTAGGTGTACACTGCATGCTTTGAAGTTTTTCCTCATAAAGAACATAATGCAGTAACTTAGGAGAGACCATTAAAGCATTTTTCCCTTTAAGAACTGCAGCAATAATTATAATCTGGTAGCTACTTTCTTATGTTCTTGTAAGATAACTAGTCATCAACAAATTTTTTTCTCTATTAATTTCACTGCGATCAAATATTTCTCAATGAAAATAAAAGATAGGAATTTCCTGTATATATATAAACTCAGTTATTTTGAAACAACACATAACATTAGAATTGAGAAAGACCATGGAAATATTGATTTCAGTGTGAATGAAAAAGAAAAACTTGGGACCTTAATTCACTATGCCAAAAAAGAAAAAAATTAAGCTGAAAGATGAGTCATGCAAGAAACTGCCTTTCCTTTTGTTCCTAAGCAGATAGCTACAGATAAAAGTTAAACATCTCCACTGACTGCTACTCCATGTTCACCTTATTTTATGTAAAGTGCCGATTTACTGAGCCCAAGATCAATACTTAACTGACAATTCCCCTACTTATTCATTTTCCTCTGCAGCTTGTGGATTACCATACTCTCCCCTTTTCCCCTCCAGCTGGCTTTTCCTCTTTAAATATTGAAGCCTGCAAATTCATCCTTGGAGAAAGGCACAGACCACAGACTGCTTCTGTTATTCCATGTTCATTTCTTCCTGGCATGTCCTTAACCTTGGCAAAACAAACTTCTAAATCTATTTAGATCACAGAAAGGATTTTTTATTTCTATACTTCTTTAATGTGTTTTTAAATGTCTGCCTAATAGTTCATGCAGTTGATATTCCATAATCTCATCATGATTGAGTTTATTTCTCAGCTGTATAGAAGAGGACACAAAGGAACAGAAAAGGCAAGTATCTCATCCAGGATTACCTAGCTAGTAAAATGAATGCAGGAAAAAGGGAAAGGCCAAGAACAGTCACATCTATCTGTCTTTTCATTTTGTTTCTTCTTTTGCTTTTCATGCTTAGAAATTCTTTCTCCGCCTAGAGATGAAATGAATATTCAATTATGGTTTCTTCCAATTGTTTCTGGTGCTCATTTTTATATTTATATTTAACCTAAGATAATCTGGGATATATTTTGGTAGAACAAATAAATTAGATGTTTGTTCTAAGAGAAGTCTTGATGAAATGATTAAAAAGTTTATCTATAAGAATTAACAGATAATACAACTGAGAAATCTTTAAAAGGAAGAGTACTGGAACAGGTAACTTGTACTGACAAAAATTGAAACTGATAATCATCGTAACAATTAGATTAGCATGCACCGTTTTAAGGAAAACAAGATCAATTCTATTTAGCATAAAAGCAGCAATTAAAATGATATGAAAATCTGTTTTTCTCAGACAGCATATTAGTTTATTAATTTAGTATTTGATAATTTTTTCAGATACAGATAATATCTAAGTGATAATTTAAAAAAATCCAAACATCCTAAATAAAAATCTAAGCCAAAATCTCATAACAAGCCTGTCTCTTAATGAGCTGTGACAGTGAAATAATCCTTTTTACATGGTGATAGCTGATATTGTGATAGCTGTAAACTTAGCTGTCATCACAGATCTTGGCTACAGAGGCTGCTGTGGTAACGAGTGAACCTAATGGGCTTTGTTTACTTGAGTGAGGAGTTTTCTTCATGCCCCAACCCTGCCCGCTTGCAATGTGCATCTGAAGCCAGGAGGATGTCTCTCCAACTGATCGTATATTTCTTTCTTGTTTTTCCTTTTTTTTTTTTTTTTTTTTTGAGATGGAGTTTTGCTCTTGTTGCCCAGGCTGGAATGCAATGGCACGATCTTGGCTCACTGCAGCCTCTGTCTGCTGGGTTCAAGCGATTCTCCTACCTCAGCCTCCTGAGTAGCTGGGATTACAGGTGCCTGCCACCACCCCTGGCCAATTTTCTGTATTTTTAGTAGAGACGGGGTTTCTCCATGTTGGCCAGCCTGGTCTCAAACTCCTGGCCTCAGGTGATCCACCCTTCTCAGCCTCCCAAAGTGCTGGGATTACAGGCATGAGCCACCGTGCCCAGCCAGATCCTACTATCTTTCTACTTTTGAATTGCAATGTGGTTTATGTCTTTGGATTTTAATAAGCACAAAACTCCTCCTAGAATTAGCAAGATATCAAAAAAGGCCTCCAAGTGGAGAGCATTTGGCCTTGACCTCATGTAGGAAAGAAAGGAGTTGGCCAGGTGTGGTGGCTCCTACCTGTAATCCCAGCATTTTGTGAGGCAGAGGAGGATGGATCACTTGAGCTCAGGAGTTCGAGACCAGCCTGGGCAACACAACAAAACCCTGTCTCCACAAAAAGTACAAAAATTAGATGGGCATGGTGGTGTACGCCTGTAATCCCAGCTAGTAGGGTGGCTGAGGCAGGTGAGTTGCTTGAACCTAGAAGGCGGAGGCTGCAGTGAGCTGAGATTGTGCCACTGCACTCTGGCCTGGGCCACAGAATGAGACACTGTCTCAAGAAAAAAACAAAACGAAACAGGGAGAGTTTGAAGAACAATAATTCTATAATTAAAGTGTTTTTAGAATAGCCCTCAAGGATCCTCTTTCTATCTTTTATACTACCAAACCTATAAACATATATGTGGTTTCCAGGATGAGGAACACAATACTTGAGATGGAAAACTAAAGACCGGCTATGAGCTCCAAGGTTGAGGAACATATTTGCTGAACCCTTTTCCTTAAATTACATTTATAGAAATAGGAAAAATGGAATATCTCCATTAGGCATAATTCAAAAGCACTGAAGAAGTGTAGGGATGTGAAAACACTTCTAAAAAAGCAAGCTTGGCAAAATACCAACTTTTCTCGAGGAACCAATCCATTCTATTTTTCTGTTTGTTTGTCCCAGGTTCTTAAGCAGCATCTGATTTCTAAACTCTTACAAGGGTAGTCTGGATAAAGCACGTTTTATTTTCTCTGTTGAAAACTAAGTATTGCTTAAATGGAGAATCATGCCTTATTTGGTAGTACGCAAAGGTTTAAGGCATTTTTTTTCCTTAGATGAGGGATATCAATACAGAAAAGTCTGTCACTCTGTTTTAAAATTTATATAAGCTCAAAGTTTCAAGTGCTAGTTCATGGGGGAAAGAATTTGTTTATTTTTTGTTTTTGCATTTTCTATGACATCTTTTAGCATAAAGCCTTACAGAGATCATTTTTTTAAATAGTAGAAACATAAATGCTTATTGAACTGAGCACTCTAGCCAAGGAAAAACTTTTCATTAATTTTGAGATAAGAGGCAAAAATGAAAGCATATTATAAACCTTACTGATTATTTCTTCCTTACTTTGGCTATTGGCCATCTTTTAGTTGAAGCATATACATTTATTAAATGTATTAATAAATACATTAAATTAATAAAGTCCCATATTAAAGAAGTTTATGGAAAGATCTCTCCTTATGTCTTAGTGTTCTCTTCCAGGAAGAGGGTATACAGACTTTATAGGAAGCAGATATTCCCTCTTATCTTGTAATATATGTCCTTGTGCAGCATGAGAAGAAAACTTTAAGATCACAGACTAGCCTAAGAAAAATGATTTATCTTTCAGCAAATATTTCTCATCCATAATTTACTTTGGCTTACTTCTGTGTCTACAAGTGTCTGTTGTAGCATATAAATGAAACTAGTTTCAAACAACTTTTCAGGTGCAATAACAAAATGTATGTACCAGAGCTTCTGGATAGCTGAACACATGTCAGTTCCTGGAGGGCGGTGTGCCCAGGGATGGCATGGAAGCTCTGTGCCCCTTCCCCTATGTCTCACCCTATGCACCTCTTCATCTGTATCTTTTGTAATATCTTTTATTTACTTTTTTTTTTTAGAGACAAGGTCTTGCTCTGTCACCCAGGATGGAGTGAAGTGGTGCGATCTTGGCTCACTACAACCTCCTCCTCCCAAGTTCAAGCAATTCTCCTGCCTCAGCCTCCCAAGTAGCTGGGATTACCGGCATACACCACCATGCCTGGCCAATTATTGTATTTTTAATAGAAACGGCATTTTTACAGTGTTGGCCAGGCTGGTCTCGAACTCCTGACATCAAGCTATCCGCCTGCCTCGGCCTCCCAAAGTGTTGGGATTACAGGCATGAGCCACCGCACCTAGCCTGCAATATCTTTTACAATAAACCAGTAGATGTAAGCATTTCCCTGAGTTCTGTGGGCTGTTCCAGCAAATTAACTGAACCCAAAAAAGGGGTCATGGGAACTGCAACTTGAAGCGCGGTGGTCAGAAGTTCCAGAGGCCCAGACTTGCAACTGGTTTGTGTGTAGTTGGCAGTCTTGGGGACGGAGCCCTCAGTTTGTGGAATCTGACTCTACCTCTGGGTAGATAGGATTGGAATGGAACTAAAGAACATCCAGCTGGTGTCTGCCGCTTGGTGTGTTAGGAAAAAACTCCATGCATTTGGTCATAGAATTCTTCTTCTGTGTTGATGACTGTTGTGTTGTCAGAGGAGAGAGAAAACACAGTTAGGGAGAGTTCCCCTACACAATTGATGTCAGTGAAATGGGATTTGCTAGAACAGCCCTCACTCACAGAAACATGTGGTTTAGGAAGAGAAAGGCTAAAAGGCTGGGAGGATGAGGAATCTTTGATTCCTGGGTGACCATCGTGGTCACCCATGATATGAAGTTGCAGTTGTGTTGAGATCAGTTACTACAGGTGAAAGTTACCAGCGGAATTTAGAGATGGATAGAACTCCCCAGGAATTGGTTCACTGGATGCAAAAGGGAATGCAAACTAATAAGAAAAAAGCAAAATATTCAGTCCTTTGGTTGTTGTTACTTAAAATTGCTAAAATGAAAGTAAAATAGGGTGCTGCATCAGGACTTGAAGTTGGACCAAGTTCAGATGGGGACATGTCTGAGCTTAGTTAGGCCACTAGCCTCAAAGTCACACACAAAGGAGAAAATTATGCAGGGACAGTAGAAAGTACCTCTGAAACCTGTGGAAGACAGTCAATGTGAAGGCAGGGCAAAACCAAGTAACTATTTAAACTATTAGAGTAGGTAGTTAGGTAGGCATGAGCAGGACAGGAGCGAGGCCCCATCCAGAAATGCCAGGCAACCATCAGGTGATGGTTAGTTGGTTGTTAAACTGTTGCTCTAAAATAATAATTGGTCACAGCCAGTGCAGGGAAAAACAGTCTCCCAATAAATAGACAATACCTGAAACTGGTGATCAGCAGCTTCCTGATAAGATTTCAGGAGTTGGGTGAACAGGCTCAAGAATGCCCACTAAAAAGCAAAATGGCAGAGATTAACTGGTATATGATCTTTCTCTAGGAAAACCTGACTGGTAAGGAAAAAATGCCTCAAATGAGCATGTGTACAACTTTGGCAAACACAGTGTGCATGTTGCCCCTCCCCAAGTGCTGGCGGACCAGTGTGCATGCAGATAGCCCACCCCAAGGGAAGAATCAGGGGAGAAGAAATGCAAACCTTGGAACGATGCCAATGTATTCTTTCCTCCTTGCAGGCAAGAATCGTTTGCTGCAGACCTGTTGGATTCACAGCTGGTAACAAAACCGGAGAGTATAGTGTGAAGGAATTGTTTCATTTTTGTAGAATGGTGTTATCAGCTTCCTGAGGAACTATTGCTAAAATGGATTATAAGAATGACAAATGTAGGGGCAGTGTCTTTGGTTTCAAATCTTGCAGAGTGAAGAGCATGTTTGGGTTGATATAGGACCCACAGCTGACCATTTGAACAATCACAGATGGGTATATATGATCCAGATATGTAGGTTATTCCGCAAGGAACAGCCAGTCTGATAGATTGGATAAAAGCCATTATAAGATCTATTTGAGAAGGTGGACTGTTGAACTCCACCTATAAATGCCAAGTGGAACACCTTACATAAGGCAGCTGATACAATTCATATGCAAGCCATGTGTGACTGGCTTTATGAGGACATGAATATTCACTCAGTGAATATGTCCATTACCCAGGTCACGGTAAATACTCTGGTTAAGGGGACCCCATGTGACATTACTCCTGCAGACTCAAATAGTTCAAGAAGCCTTATCAAATTTGTGGACTGAGTTTCCCCTCATGGATCTCACAGATGCTAATAAAAACATTAGGTTAATTAATAAGAGAACAGTGAAAGGCAAAAGGGAGAGTCAAAGACTCATCCCCGGAAGATAGAAATTTTAAAATGGTTATTAAAAAATAAGGTGAATGAAGAAAACATTGATGGGGTGAAACTAAGAAGAAAAAGAAAGGGGAGAGTCATGGGACTCGTCCCAGCAGAATGGAAAACTTTAGATGCTTATTAAGAAATAGAATCAATAAAATAGACATTGATGGGGTTAAGCAAAGGTCTTAATACAACACTATTGTAGGTTGGATGGACCAGAGGGGGCCCCATCTTGTCCCCCAACATTAAAAGGCCGCAAACCAGTCTGCTGTATTTCTGCCAGCTTGGAGAAATTTAAAAAGCTGGAAGGCAGAGATTACAATGAAAAATCAGATCTAAAATTGCCTGGGGCAACAGTCAGGCAGACTAATCGAGATAAAGATTAATAAAAGGGCCAGGGTCCTTGGGCTCAATCCTTGGCTGGGGACCCAAAGCTTTTTACACAAGAGAGGGTAAAATGACCTGGGGGTAAAGAAGAGAAGATCCTGAAACTAGAACATAAAAATGTAAGAGTTGATAGGACTATGGAAGTTGGTATATTTGAAAACACTTTATGTGAAGTGATTGCATCTCTTTTACCTGATTTTTTTTTTTGTGGGAATGAACAAAGTATCTCATTGGGAAATATTTCTCCTCCCTGGTGCTGTAAAACAGAAGGCATGTAATAATCTGCCCTCAAGCAATATTAATTGGACATGCTAAATGGGAACCAGTGAGATTGCCCAAGTCCACACAGTGCAGAGTAGAAGCTAGAATGCTGTTATGGATAAATTCTCCACTTGATAAGCCTCTGTGATGCTATTTCCTGGATCTTGTGGCAAAAGCCTCTGAGCACCTCCCAGCAACATCTACTGGGACTTTGGACTATGGAACTTCCATCTGAGGGGCATTTACTGCTTTGCTGTGAAATGTTAGGTGAAGCTACCGCTATTAACACCTGAAATACCCATGTTGGCCCAGCGATGTCAGAGAAACATTCTAACAGGGATGGCAGTGCCCAGGAGAGTTCCATAATAAAATGGACATGGTTTATCGAGGATCATGCCACCTAAGAACTGCAAGGAGGGGATACTCTTGAGCAGGGTGTTTCTTTTCTCCTGAGACTGACTCTGGAACTGTGTGAGAAACTGCTGGATTCTACAGTGCCTGATAAATGGCTCTCAACTCATGAGAAAGAGCTACTTAGTTTGTGGCCAGTAATTCCAAGGTAAATGGACACCATTGTGTTTGGAAGGCAGCTACTTTGATAAAAGAAGGTAAAAACAGATCTGCTTGGTGGGCTGAATTGCACACTGTTTTTCTAACAGTGATGGAAGAATTGATCAATGGTAAAAGCCCCTGAGTTTGGGTGTTTACTGAGCTGTGGGCAGTGTGACCCATGGCCTGGCCATACACTCAGGCAAGAGGGCCATGGAAATTTGGCCTATTAAATGGATGCACATAGGAGCACTGTTCTATGGAGATTTGAGGGGTGCATTAAAGAAGAACAAGTGAATGCCCATCAGAAGAACTCCCTTCCAGGTTCAGAAAGTGACTGGAATTGACAAGCAGATATCCCCATGTACTCCCTTGAAGTGGCCACCTGGGCCTTTGAAATGAGTGGATATGGGAGTATTGTAACAGGGCAGAGATGGGCTGAATGTAGAGATGGTTTTTTTGCACCTTCTCAGGCACAAAATGCCAGAAAGAACTGTTGTGTTTCTCAATAAGAAAGCCAGAGACTGCTGACGGCTTTGGGACAGATTCTCTGGTGGGAAGGCCCTGAACATAGCTGGCAAGTGCGACAAATGCTGGTAGCCCTGGAGGCTACAAATGGGTCTTGACAGGAATAGACACTGGCTATGGAGTGGATGTTGCTTGCCCAGAAGAAGATGAAAATTCTCTGAGTGCCATAAAAAACCGGAACAGAAGATATTACATGGATATAGATGGCTAACCATCAGTTTTTCAGACCAAGGAACACACTGTACAGCCCATAAGAATAGTCCAACAATGGACAAAGAGATATCCACCTAGAGTAATAGTTTGATAGAGCAGTAGAGCAGGCAATTGAAACATTGATTGTGTAAAACAGGGGGAGATAAAAGCACAAAGGGCTGGCTCACATGCCTTCCTGTCTGCTCACACTCAACATGAGCAGGACTAGAGTGTTTCTGCTAGATTTTTTTTCTTTGTTTTTCTGGTTGATCTGGGGAACAGGGAGTTGGGAGGATGCTGGTATGACTATGCCATTCTTGCCAAGGGACGAGTACACTGGTATAACAAATGTAAGTTTTTCTTTCTTCCCCAAATCACCTAAAAGAAATTTATTTTTTTCTCCCCTGGCTGATGCAGTGGTCCTAGGACCAGGACTGCAATTACAACTGCTGGATTAGCAGGGGTGATTTCTAAGCAAAAACCTGTAACTGTGTTTTGAAACCTTATATCAAAATTCCCAAAGGCATGATGGGAGTGGGTTGTGTCTTCATGCTATCTAGAAAAATTGGGGCTATCAGTGAATGCAGCTATATTGCCTGGTGGTAAAAATAGCTCACTAGTTCTGCACCTATGTAACCTTACCCGGTCTGAATTGGCGTGGACTGAGAAGGAGCTAATTGCTAGACTTGTATTACTACTTGCAATGTAGACCGGCACTGTGGTGGTTCTAATTTCTCTTCCAAAGGTGAAAAGGTTTAGGTATTAATGGAGAGAAGGAGAAATAGTAGCTGAGAGTAAATAAATGAATAAATGAGTTATTAATTGAGAAAAATTCAGTATTACATAACAACTCAAAAGAGTCTCAGAGCAAGAGATGACATTGTCTCTTAGCTTAATTATCCCAGATGCCTTAAAGGGTGAAGCTGCGTATTTACTGAGGCCACTCCTGCTTTCGAGACCTGACAAGATTGAGAGGAAACTTGCAACCCTGAGTGGCCTCATCCTGGAAGACATTCAAACAATATGAAGGATTTGATTAATTGTTAATGATTGTGCATAATATATATATTTTTGAAGTAAAGGCACCATGGTGGAAAACCAGGGAGTGGCCTGTGGTGTTATGATATACACTGGTTTTAGTCCACAGTTCCTGGCTTATAACTCCTATATCCCTTGTTACAATATTTTCTTTTTTTTATATAATGTTGGGTATGTTAGGCCTCAGGAGCAAGCCTCTGACCTTCTCCTGCCTTACTTTCACTCTAATGTTTCCCCACTTTCTAATTGTGACGCTTAAGACTCTCACAGGAGAGGGTTCCATCCTATATCCTGAGGGAAGGAATGCTGATGTCATGAAGCTTTCATAAAAACCCAAGAGGACAGGGTTCAGTGAGCTTCCGGATAGCTGAACATGTGGCACTTCCTGGAGGGTGGCGCACCCAGGGAGGGCATGGAAGCTCCGGGCCCCTTCCTTCATACCTTCCCCTATGGTTCTCTTCATCTGGATCCTTTGCAATATCCTTTATAATAAACCAGTACATGTAAGAAAAAAAAAAAAAATGTACTTACAGTTTCCTTCCTTCCTTCCTTCTCCTTCCTTCCTTCCTTCCCTCCCTCCCTCCCTCCCTCCCTCCCTCCCTCCCTCCCTCCCTCCCTCCTTTCTTTCTTTCTTTCTTCCTTCCTTCCTTCCTTCCTTCCTTCCTTCCTTCCTTCCTTCCTTCCTTTTCTTTCCTCTCTCTCTTTCTGACAAACTCTCGCACTGTCACCAGGCTGGAGTGCAGTGGCATGATCTTGGCTCACTGCAACTCCTACCTCCTGGGTTCAAGCTATTCTCCTGCCTCAACCTCCCAAGTAGCTGTGACTATAGGCACATGCCACCAAGCCCAGCTAATTTTTTTTGTATTTTTAGTAGAGACGGGGTTTCACCATGTTGGCCAGGATGGTCTCATCTCTTGACCTTGTGATCCACCTGCCTCGGCCTCCCAAAGTGCTGGGATTACAGGCGTGAGCCACCATGCCTGGCCAACCTACAGTATTTTTTCTAAGGCCATCTCTAGCTGCATACTTACCACACTAGGTAAATTTTCTGTAAAGGCATATGCCATAAATCAGGATTTTTTTGTTGTGGTTTTTTGGTCAAGATTAGTTTCTACATATCATCCAGTATTTGTTACGTCTAATGAGAGGTTGTATATATACATGTGAATGTTTCAGGACCATATGGCAATTATTCCATTTAAAATATTGCTGTCCTACTTCTCAGAAAAAAGGCAAGGCATAAATTATTGTTTTTACTATTTTAAAAAATGTAGCCCTTCATCAGAGCTTAGATCTATAGGTATAAATTACTAATGCTCATCCCTTTCCAGTGGCAAAAAGGAGATATCAAATTATTTTGAGATTTGAGTAAGAATAAAATTAATAAATAGCAAGAGGACAGGTGTGTGAAAGTTTTCATATGAGTAACGCTCGGGTTACTTATTTCTTTCCTTTTAACAAGAATTATTTAGCCCTTGCCTGGCTCTTGCTGCAGTCAATTTGAGAGGAAAGGACATCTTGCCATTGATTTTAATTATTCCCAGTCATCCCATTCCTTTTTTAGTAGATTGAAACTCTCTTGGGCTGGTTTTCTAGCTCCACCTACGTATTGGTTGGCACTGTCTTCATTTAATTTTGCCTGTTATTATTCCTTCATAATGCCTTTCCCTGAAGTGACAGAACATCCTTCACCTGCCAAGGTCAGCAGTTTGCTACAGGAGATGACACTTCCAGGATCATATGCCAAGTCTATGTAAGGGCACAAGCGAACGGTGGTGGTAACTAATAGTCTTAAAGTTATCTTGTTTATTCTTATTTCAGCTTTCCTGCTATATTTTTTGCATACTCTCTAAAGTAATACATGGTAATTGGAAAAATGTGAGAAGATAAAAAAGAAAATCAGAGAGAATGAGATTGTGTATTAATTAGTTATCACCAAACAAAACTCCAGACTGTATAAATACCAAACAAACTCCAGACTGTATAAAAAGTAAAAACAGGAAATAATCATTTCAAAATTTCATTGGATTAATGTTTTCTATTCCTGCATTCTTCCCCCTCCTTCTTACCTCTTCCTCCTCATCTTTCTTCTTTTCCCCATGTCAAGTAATTTCCAAGATGGCCCAGGAATAAAGATATGCAGTTACAAAACATTCTAGCCCTAACTAGTAAGAACAAATATTCTCTTTCTGTGAATAGAAAGGATAGATGGATCTGTATATACACAGACTTGCATGTGAGTTTTTAGAATATGTACATCAGTTAGATTGTGTTAAGGCACAAAGCCATAGAGTTATGCCCCACATTAGGAAATACTTCCAGGAATGTGTATTGCATGAATAAATAAATGAACCAATAGCTTACTATGTGTCAGATTCTTTGCTGTCCTTTAAATAGATGATCTTATTGAATCTTTTCCCCATATTAGGAAATACTTCTAGGAATAAGTATTGCATGAATAAATGATGAACCAATAGCTTACTATGTGTCAGATTCTTTGCTGTCCTTTAAATAGATGATCTTGTTGAAAATTCACTGTGAAAAGAATGGGGATCTAGCATGATAAAAAGATACTTGTTGACTTTATGGCAGGACACAAGTTACACATTTTGCAGACTTAAGAGAGGCTGTGTGGCCTGAATTTTGAAGTAGTACCTACTGCTATAGTAGTGGGCACTCAGATTTTGTAGAATTAGGCTTATCAGAAATCCTCAGTTTAATTGTACATTCTATGCACTTAATATTTGAGATTTGTTACATTGTATTGGTGTCTAATATTTTATTCATTCCCTATGAGTGCCAGAAAAGGAGTGAAGGTAGAGAATATTTCATTTGTCAGTATTCCATGAAACTACTGATTATGGGAAATTCATGAAAGAGCTTACAGTTTAAAATTCTACAATGGATTAATTAAATATATATATCTGATTACAGCTGAAGTTCAAGTCCCTCAGATCAATCAGCAGTATTTTCAGAGATAAGTAGATTTATTTCTTAATTAATTAATTAATATTTATGTGTCTATTAAATATGGTTCTTCATTGCACATACTTTGAAATTTTTTTTCTTTTTTAGAGAGAGTGTCTTGCTCTGTCACCTAGGCTGGAGTGCAGTGGCGCAACCTAGGCTCACTGCAACCTCTGCCTCCCAGGTTCAAGCAATTCTCATGCCTCAGCCTCCAGAATAGCTGGGATTACAGGCACGTGCCACCATGCCCAGCTAAGTTTTATATTTTTAGTAGAGATGGGGTTTCACTGTGTTGGCCAGGCTGGTCTCAAACTCGCAACTTCAGGTGATCTGCCCACCTCGGCCTCCCAAAGTGCTGGGATTGCAGGCATGAGCCATCACACCTGGCCCATACTTTGATATTTTTAACCATCAAATTAGTGAATAAATTACTGAATAAAACTTAACCATATCTCTTCCATGGGTAGGGAGACTATGGCATCACAAAGGAACAGTGTTGTTATATCTTTACAATAGGAAACATTGGACAAAGATGGAAGAGTAAGGACAATGTTATCATTTTCATTGTTCCATCATCATAATGTGCCATGTTGTGTATAGACTTCTCTACACTGTGTGGCTGCTTCTTTGGAATACACAGTCCTAAGCATTGCTGGGATTGTGAATGTCAAACTACTACTATAGATATTTTGTATCTCAGAACTTAAACTTGATGCAGTAATTATTGTCTTAATCATTGGTTTTACCCTTCCTATCATTGTGTTGGAATAAGGTCTTTCCTGAAGTGAGTACTATAAGCAATAGTATAGAAATACACAAGAGACAATAAAGTACGTGAGGAAGGCTGGGCACAGTGGGTCACACCTGTAATCCCAGCACTTTGGGAGGCTGAGGCGGGTAGATCACCTGAGGTCAGGAGTTCAAGACCATCCTGACCAACATGGTGAAACCCTGTCTCTACTAAAAATACAAAAATTAGCTGGGTGTGGTAGCATGTGCCTGTAATCCCAGCTACTTGGGAGGCTGAGGCAGGAGAATCACTTGAATTTGGGAGGTGGAGGTTGCAGTGAGCCAAGATTGTGGCATTGCACTCCAGCTTGGGTAACAGAGTGAGACATTATGTATATATATATGTGTATATAAATATATATGTATGTATGTGAGGAGGATAATAGTTAATCCTAACAGATTAACTTGGAATCATTCAATAAGTAGACTGAACTAAAATTGGGAAGCCATTATTTGGTATTAAATTATGGGCACCAGGGGTAAATGACTGACTAATAGAGCAGGAAACACCAGACAGAGAAAGGAATGAAATACAAATGATGGTCAGTAGGGAGGAGGTGGTCAAGGAAAATGAGTTATGAACAGAAAGAACTCTATTTACAGGCTGACACTATAAATGCTTGTAAATGAAAAATAAAATTCTAAGGCCTCCAGTGAACTGAATGGAACCCTCATCTTGGCCAAGGGTATTCCAAAGTTAACCTGAAACACTAGTTCAAGCCATGACGGGAATGAGTGGTCAGACATGCCTCATTATACCCTCGTCCTGTTGGAATTCAGTCACTACTGACCAGCATTAACATTAAAACAGAGACCTTGGCCGGATGCGGTGGCTCACACCTGTAATCCCAGCACCCGCCTCAGCACTTTGGGAGGCTGAGGCGGGTGGATCACGAGGTCAGGAGTTCAAGACCTGCCTGGCCAAGATGGTGAAACCCCGTCTCTACTAAAAATACAAAAATTAGCCGGGCATGGTGGTGGGCACCTGTAATCCCAGCTACTCGGGAGGCTGAGGCAGAGAATTGCTTGAACCCAGGAGGCGGAGGTTGCAGTGAGCCAAGATCGTGCCACTGCACTCCAGCCTGGGTGACAGAGGGAGACTCTGTCTCAAAAAAAAAAAAAAAAACAGAGTCCTTAAGACAACGAAGGGAGACACTGTAGCAATAAGAGACCAACATAGCAGACAGCAGGCCCTGAAGAAAACTGAAATATTTTACCCCAAGATATATTTCTTTGACATATTTTGAAATGGCCCTGCAATGGTGTCTGTTGTGGGGAAAATCCATATTCTGTAAAGAATTCCCTTCCTTTTCCAAGTCTTTTTCCTGATCCAGGAGAGAATTAACTAAGAATTTGGCACCTTTTTAAGTCTGATGAGAAATATTTACAGTGTATTCTCTCTGAAGCCTCCCATCTGGAGGCTTTATCTGCATAATAAAAGCCTTGATCTCCACAACAACCGCTTTTCTTAACCCAGACACTCCCTTCTATTGATTCCACGCCTTTAGATAAACTCTTCAACTGTGAATCCACCTATGACCTGAAATCCCACTCCCCACAAGCCCTCCCAACCAAGTTGAGTTGTCCCACCTTTCCAGACCAAACCAATATACATCTTACATGTATTGATTGATGTTTTATGTCTCCTTAAAATGTATAAAACCAAGCTGTAGCTGACCACCTTGGGCACATGTTCTCAGGACTCCTAAGGTTGTGTCACGGGTATGTTTTTGACCTTGGCAAAATAAACTTCTAAATTGTTTGGGAACTGTCTCAAATACCCTTTGGGTTACTCCCTGAACTATGCCAGAAAATCATTGACATTGTGAAGGGAAAATATCTTGGGTCCCCCAAATCACTAAGCTAAAGGGAAAAGTTAAGGTTGGGAACCTCTTAGGGAAACCTGCCTCCCACTCTATTCAGTCACCCCTCTTCTCACTGAGATAAGCGCATATCTGATTGCCTCCTTTGGAGAGGCTGATCACAAACTCAAAAGAATGCAACCATTTGTCTCTTATCTACTTATGACCTGGAAGCCCCCTCCAAGCTTCCAGTTGTCCTGCCTTTCCAGACCGAAATGATGTTCATCTTACATATGTTGATTGATGTCTCATGTCTCCCTGAAATGTATAAATCCAAACTGCTCTGACTGCCTTGGGACATGTCATCAGAACTTCCTGAGGCTGTCATGGGCTCACATCCTCAACCATGGCAAAATAAGCTTTCTGAATTAACTGAGACCTGTCTCATAATTTGGGGGTTCATGTTTTGGTAACCACAGAGGGATTCTAAGTAGAGGTGCCCCTGACCTTTGACAAATCTCCTTTTGGTGTTTGGTATCAGCTTGAGCTATCTTTATGGCTCAAACCAATAGGATAATTTGCTGAGGTCTGGAAGCACCCTCTCCAGAGAATCCCTGATCTTCCAAAATTTGGTTGAGATCTACAGTTTATTTTGGTACGTAACTCCTTTTTTTGAATTTTACTTGCTTCCAACCCAAGGAAGGCAAGTTTTCCCTGCTTCCATAATGATGGAAGGCAGATAACTCCTTTATGGAGTTTGAGCTCACTTCCAACAGGGAAGATGAGTTTTTGTTGTTGTTTGTTTATTTGTTTTGAGACAGAGTCTTGCTCTGTCACCCAGGCTGGAGTGCAGTGGCACGATCTCAGCTCACTGCAATCTCTGCCTCCTGGGTTCAAGTGATTCTCCTACCTCAGCCTCCTGAGTAGCTGGGACTATAGGCGTTCACCACCATGCCCAGCTAATTTTTTATTTTTAGTAGAGACAGGGTTTCAACATGTTGGTTAGGCTGGTCTTGAACTACTAACCTCAAGTGATCTGCCTGCCCTGGCCTCCCAAAATGCTGGGGTTACCGGTGTGAGCCACCGCACCCAGCCTGATGAGATCCCCTCCGCTGCCCCCTACTTCTAGGATGGTAGAGAGCAGCCTTCAGCCTGAAATCCATCCCTAGGCAAGTAAATGATGTCAGGCCTCTGAGCCCAAGCTAAGCCATCGTATCCCCTGTGACTTGCACATACACATCCCGGTGGCCGGTTCCTGCCTTAACTGATGACATTCCACCACAAAAGAAGTGAAAATGGCCTGTTTCTGCCTTAACTGATGACATTGTCTTGTGAAATTCCTTATCCTGGCTCAAAAGCTCCCCTACTGAGCACCTTGTGATCCCCCACTCTGCCCGCCAGCGAACAACCCCCCTTTGACTGTAATTTTCCTTTATCTACCCAAATCCTATAAAACGGTCCCACCCTTATCTCCCTTCGCTGACTCTCTTTTCAGACTCAGCCCGCCTGCACCCAGGTGAAATAAACAGCCATGTTGCTCACACAAAGCCTGTTTGGTGGTCTCTTCACACGGATGCACATGAAAAATGAAGTGGGGTTTGTCTTGGTTAAAGTTAAGATTTCCAACCGCCTGATCTTAATTTCTCCTTACCATTAGAGTGCTTGGTAATCATGTAAGTTGTGCAATTGTTTGTTTTGCTTAACTTTTGTTTTGTTATTGTTTTTTGTTTCTGGTTTTTGTTGTTGTTTCAGTCTTTTTCTCATTGGGTTTGATCAACTCTATCCAACTAGATCAAATCCAAAGGAAGTTCCAAATTATGGAACAAGGCCTCTGAAGTGGCTAAATTCCCAGAAAAACGACGACAACAACAACAGCAACAACAACTACAAAAACGGTGGTGTGGTAGCAGAGAAATATACCAGCAAAAGGAAAAAAAAGAGGAAAGGCTTTGATTTTGACTACTAATAGGCTTTATTTACATAGCAAGGTGGCCTTTTTGCTAATCAGGCCAAACTGAAAGAGCAATGGCTATTACTTCTGAAATAGCAGCAATTTGTCCTAGCTGAAATATGGTAATGATATTTAAAAACATATTTTTTAAAGGGGCTCAGTGGCTAGTCAGCTTAATTAAAAGCTAACATCCAAGATGTGTGTGTGTATGTGTGCATATGTGTGTGTTTGTATTTAAAAGACCCTCATGCTTTTGTTTTTGCTTTTCTCCTAGGACCTTGTCTCTTTTTCGAGCAAAAGTTTTTTCTTCTCAGTTGACTGAATTCTGTTTTCTTCACTTGTTTGTTTCTGCTCTCTCTCCTTTCTCTTGCACCCTCTGCTGCATGGGGAACCTAAAATAGTTCGTAATAGCCTGGGGTTCCTTAAAGAAAACAGTGAAGGCACCAGACTCCCTTCGGAGGAGAAACCTGTTTTTCCTTATGGAACCCCAAGAATGCAAACAGACAAGGTCCTCTCAGCTCTTAAACTGCTTACTTTTTTTCACTCACGTCCGTGTGAAGAGACCACCAAACAGGCTTTGTGTGAGCAACAAGGCTGTTTATTTCACCTGGGTGCAGGCGGGCTGAGTCCGAAAAGAGTCAGCGAAGGCAGATAGGGGTGGGGCCGTTTTATAAGATTTGGGTAGGTAAAGGAAAAAGGGAGGTTGTTCTCTGGCGGGCAGGGGTGGGGGTCACAAAGTGCTCAGCGGGGGAGCTTTTGAGCCAGGAGGAGCCAGGAGAAGGAATTTCACAAGGTAATGTCATCAGTTAAGGCAGGAACAGGCCATTTTCACTTCTTTTGTGGTGGAATGTCATCAGTTAAGGCAGGAACCAGCCATCTGGATGTGTATGTGCAGGTCACAGGGGATATGATGTCTTAGCTTGGGCTCAGAGGCCTGACACTTTTGTATTGTGTTACCTGGTTTTTTGTTTTTGTTTTTGGCTAACATAGTTATTGCAACAGAGTTTGCTCTTGGGTTTTTAAGGAAGAGTGTGTTTTAGACACTAGAAATGTCTTTGCTTAAAAAAAATTTTTCTAAGTGCACTTAAAAAAACTTAAAAAAGTATCATGTGGTCTAACCTTATTATAATTCTCCCATTCTGGAGACCCTGGAATCAGTGTGGGCTCTGCCCACAGCTCAGGGATCCAGTTAAAAGATAGGTAGTTCCTATCTAAATAAAACTGGTCTCCTTATCCAATCTTACGATAGATTTCTGTAATTTTATGTTTGATTTGGCATCTATCTTTAATCTCCCTCTAGCATCACCAGACTTTTTCTCTCAGTACCTTGTGATGTAAATTTTGCTATTTGCATTTCACCTGAGTCGTTTCCTTTAATTTGCAAATTTAAGCGTGTTTACCTGACAACTGCCTAGGGTTGTGAAACAGATTATCAAAAATCTGAAAGTCTAAGATAGGGAAAAAAAGGTTTTTATAAATCTATAAGATGTAATTTATCAGCATGCCTAATATGTCTATGTATTTATATGTTATGTACAGAATGTTTCACTACTCAAAATAGATAAAAGAGCTCTAATTAATTGGCTTAAGAAAACAAAAATGCTTGAATCAAATACTTTATTGGAAAAAAGAAAAGACTAGTCAAATGCTTATTCAAGTTTATGTAACTTAAGTAAAATCTTTAATAAATAAGCTAGCTTTAAAATTATTGGTAAAGTAATATTAGAAATGTCTTAAGAATTGCCAGCATACATTTTTGTTTTGTATTTATTAATCAAGCAATTTCATACTTATCCCTGTCAAATGCTATGAGGTGTCAAAATTTGGCATAGTGGTTACAAAACTATAAAACCAGCCCAAGAAAATGATCTTTCCCTGTGTAATCTTTAAATAAATTAGAGATTGATATTGGTGTAATAAGCTACATCATTTTATTTTATTTATTTATTTATTTGTGTTTTTTTGAGACAGTCTTGCTCTGTCACCGAGGCTGGAGTGCAGTGGCACGATCTCGGCTCACTGCAACCTCCACCTCCCAAGTTCAAGTGATTCTCCTGCCTCAGCCTGAGCCTCCTGCCTCAGTCCGGAGTAGCTGGGACTACAGGCGCATGCCACCACACGGAGCTAATTTTTTGTAGTTTTAGTAGAGATGGGGTTTCACCTTGTTAGCCAGGGTGATCTCAATATCCTTACTTCGTGATCCGCCCACCTCGGTCTTCCAAAGTGCTAGGATTACAGTCATGAACCACCATGCCCTGCCTTTATTTACTTTTTTTGAGACTGAGTCTCACTCTGTCACCGAGGCTGTAGTGCAGTGGCATGATCTCAGCTCACTGCAACCTCTGCCTCTTGGGTTCAAGTGATTCTCATGCCTCAGCCTCCCAAGTAGCTGGGATTACAGGCATGTGCCGCCGTTCCCAGATAATTTTTGTATTTTTTGTATAGACAGGGTTTCGCCATGTTAGCCAGGCTGGACTCAAACTCCTGGGCTCATATGATTTGCCCGCTTCAGCCTCCCAAAGTGCTGGGATTATAAGCAGGAGCCACCAAGTCCTGCCAACATCTTGAATTTAGTAAGATTACTGTGACTTCTAATCTTGTGGCTTTTGTCGGTCTAGTCCACAGGCAGTAAGGTTTGTTTTGGGAAAGGACTGTTATCATCTTTCTTTCAAAGCTAAACTATAAAATAAGTTCTTCCCAAAGTTAGTTCAAACTTTTATCAAAGCCAATTTAAAAGCCTATGTAAAAAAATAATTATTCTTGCTGAGCTGTATACAAATAATTTGGCCAAGTATCATAAAGCAAATGAATCCTATCATGATTTGTCTTGAGTAAAAATTAAAAACTGGAGAGAGAATAACTGTGTTTCAAAACCTATACTATACCTGTTGTTAGATTCTAGGTCTTGCCTAATGTTTTTCAATTTTTATTATTTTCTACAGTTTGGACCAAATTCTAATTTTTCTTGGCTACAAGTCTTCAAAATAATGTTCTCATTTTTTTCTTCTTTTTTTTCCCCATTTTTCCTAATTTGGAGTCACTGAAAACTAAGCTGTGCTTTCGTAAAGCCCTGTGAACTGAAGCTAGACAACTCGAACTTCAGAAGAAAATAACAGCAACCTATTTACATACATAAGCCACTTTCCTACCTGCCTCCAATGTAAGGATTTCAGAGTAATGTGGCCTATATCAATTTTCCAGGATTGTTCTTTTGCTTATTGTTGTTTTTCTCCCTTCCTCCCCCTATTTTATCTTTAAAGGATATGAAGCTTCACAACTTCTAAAAAATGAGCTTTCCTAATAACTCAGGACCTATCTGCCTAGGAATAACCCATTGTACCCATGAGAAATTAGAGGAAATCTGAGATCAGAGACTCATTTTCTTTTAACATGTTTTCTCCAAAGATTTTAAAAAAGAAAAGGGGGGAAATGTGAGAGAAAAATATCCTGCCCCCCCAAGGTTACTGAACTAAAGGGAAAAGTCAAGCTGGGAACTGCTTAGGGCAAACTTGCCTCCCATTCTATTCAAAGTCACCCCTTGCTCACTGAGATAAATGCAAATCTGATTGTCTCCTTTGGAGAGGCTAATTAGAAACTCAGAAGAATGCAACCATTTGTCTCTTATCTATGTATGACCCGGAAGTCCCCTCCAAGCTTCCAGTTGTCCTGCCTTTCCAGAATGAAACAATGTTCATCTTACCTATGTTGATTGATGTCTCATGTCTCCCTGAAATGTATAAAACCAAACTGTGCTCTGACCATCTTGGGCACATGTCATCAGGACCTCCTGAGACTGTGTCACGGGAGCAAGTCCTCAGCACTGGCAAACTTACTAAATTGACTGAGACCTGTCTTAGATTTTTGGGGTTCACAACATTCATTAGCTATTGGGGGTCTAGGACTGAAATTTAAAGGCATAGATGAAGTCTGACAGATCCAATCTGATGTTAACTTTGGGATTTTCTTTAGTTACCACTCAGTGCCCCAGTCCTCCTTAAAATACTTTACACCTCCAAGTCTTTTTCCTTCCATAAAAGCCAATTGTTTCTCTAACACTAGGTCTCTGCCTTGCTGTTACCTGCCTTCAGAACCTGGGGTCTTCCCTTCATAGTTAGGGTTCCCACCAGCTAAGAATTCACGGCCTGGATCTCTGCATATTGCCTATGCTCAGATTGCCTTGCTGCCATGTCCCACCTATCCTGTCACACTTTTCTCACCTGGAGTTTGATGGTTTCCTTGTCACTCTTCCTCCCTTGCAGTGTGCTCTACTTTGCTTCTCTGGGCAGACCCTTGCATAATCCTGGGTCTGCCCCTATATGCCTCTAGTAGGAGTTGATGCTGGGCTTGTATTTTGGATAGACCCAATGGTAAATAAACCCTGACTGTCATTCATTCATCTGTCAAATATCATTATGCTCTACCATGTATTAAGCATTATGCTAGGCACTTGAGATATAATGAGAGAAATAACCATGGAGGAACACAGGAACTCTCATACATTGCTGCAATTTGGCAGTATATTGTAAAGTTGAACAGGTACATGCCCTACTCTGCAGCTAATTAATGTCTCGGTATCTACCTATAAAGACTCTTGTTTCTCCTCATTTACTTCATTTGCTTTTCTTTCATTTACAACATATTATGTAGGACATACTTTTTTTTTTTTTTTTTTTTTTTTTTGAGATGGAGTCTCTCTCTGTCCCTCAGGCTGGAGTGCAGTGGAGCAATCTGGGCTTACTGTAACCGCTACCTCCTGAGCTCAAGTAAGGTGGAGGTTGCAGTGAGCCCAGATCCTCCTGCCTCAGCCTTCTGAGTAGCTGGGATTATAGGCACATGCCACCAAGCCCGGCTCCGGTACATGACTTCAGGTGATCCTGACCTCAGATGACCCACCCACCTCGGCCTCCCAAAGTGCTGGGATTACAGGCATGAGTCACTGTGTCTGGCTGAGCATGCAAAATTTGTAATCGGTAGACATTGTTTATAGGCATGTTTCATAATTATAAAATGAATTAAAAATCAGTCACATAAATATATGGGCTTTTTCAAAATAACCCAACATGGAAACCTTGATATCCTTCCCTAGATCTATGGCAGTCTTTGTAGTCTCCATGACATTGCACAGCTTGGGTTCAGAAATGACTCTCTAGAAAAACTGAAACACCACACCTCTGTAGATAATGATGTGCAGCTGGGGCTCAGCCACTTGTGTTAGTGAAGTTCCTTTCACACCAAAGATACTCACCCCACTTCCATATTATATCCAATCATAGTATTTCAACTTCTGTCAAAATTCCCAGTCTCCAACTATGGTGCAGCAGATCCTTTCAAATGTAAATACAATAGCATAAACTTATATACTGACAATTCTGTAACATACAGAATTTCATTCTGTATGATTCTATTTAATAGAGTTTCAAAATATTCATATGGATGACCATAAAAGAAAGTAAGATTAAAGATGTGCTCTTTATGAAAAGGTGTAACCCACATTTCAATCAGGGATACTTTATAATCTTTAAAAAACACACCATTGACCAGGTGCGGTGACTCATGCCTGTAATCCCAGCACTGTGGGAGGCTGAGGCAGGTGAATCACCTGAGGTCAGGAGTTCAAGACCAGCCTGGCCAACATGGTGAAACCCCATCTCCACTAAAAATACAAAAATGCTAGCCAGGCATGGTGGCAGGTGCCTGTAATTCCAGCTACCAGGGAGGCTGAGGCAGGAGAATCACTTGAACCTAGGAGGCGGAGGCTGCAGTGAGCCAAGATTGCACCACTGCACTCCAGGCTGGGTGACAGAGTGAGACTCTGTCTCAAAACAAACAATCAAACAGCCACACCATCGGCCAGGCGCAGTGGCTCATGCCTGTAATCCCAGTACTTTGGAGGTTGAGGTGGGCAGATCCCTTGAGGCCAGGAGTTTGAGATCAGCCTGGGCAACATGGTGAAACCCAGTCTCTACTGAAAATACAAAAATTAGCCGGGCATGATGGTGCATGCCTGTAACCCAGCTACTAGGGAGGCTGAGGCACAAGAATCACTTGAACCTGGGAAGTGGAGGTTGCACTGAGCCGAACTTGCGCCACTGCACTCCAGTCTGGGCAACAGAGATAGACGCTGTCTCAAAAAAACCCAAAAAACCAAAAACAAACAAACATACAAACAAAAAACACCATTGTTTTTATTTTTATTTTTTCCCTATTTACTACTTCCACAGGAAAATTGTTTGATTTTTGCTCTATTTTAAGCCAAACTTCATATGCAGGGTAAGGCTGAGGCAAAACAAGTGAGAAAGTGGTTGTAGATAAATGTAAACGAATGACCATGAGATGACCCTTTCAGAACTTGTGCAACACGTATGTCACCAGCCCCATTAGCCTGTGTTAGGAATAACGTTCAAAATCCTAAGGAAATTGAACACTCGAACAAAGGATTCTTAGCAAAGCAATTTTACTTCTGCGCACAGGGGTGCCTCCTTGGCCAGTTACATGAGAGCACACCTGAACAAAGGGGCAGGGGAACCTTTATTTCTGTTGCAAGTCCTGCCCCGTACGCTTTTTTTATTGGCCAGGGTCGGGTCGTACAATTTAAACTAATCTCGGTTGGCTAAGCATTTGATTTTTTTTAGATAGGGTGGGCACGTACAAGAAAGTGGAGAGGAAGGCTGGACGCGGTGGCTCACGCCTGTAATCCCAGCACTTTGGGAGGCCGAGGCGGGCAGAACACGAGGTCAGGAGATTGAGACCACCCTGGCTAACACGGTGAAACCTCGTCTCTACTAAAAATACAAAAAAATTAGTCGGGCGCCTGTAGTCCCAGCTACTAGGGAGGCGGAGGCAGGAGAATGACGTGAACCCAGGAGGCGGAGCTTGCAGCGAGCCAAGATTGCGCCACTGCACTCTAGCCTGGGGGACAGAGGGAGACTCCGTCTAAAAAAAAAAAAAAAAAAAAAAAAAAAAAAAAAAAGGAAGTGGAGAGGAAGGGGAAGGGTTGTCTGCAATGAGCTAGAAAGTTAGTCTTTTTTTTTTTTTTAAATAAGGAAAGGAATGCGAGGTGGTACTGATAATGCCTGGTACTGTAGCGTGCCTGGGCATTAAAGGAGAAAAACGGAAAAACGGAAAAACGGCGGGGGTACTATGAATTAAAGAATAAAAGATTGATCAGATTATTTGAAGAGAAACCGCATCATATCCCACACCTGTCACTACATAATGAGGTTATGCTTCATTTTTATATGTATATAATTATGAAAAAAGACTCTGTCTGTTTGCTTACCAGATGTTAGCATGTATTTTTCTACAACATTGTTTGGAGCGTTTCCTAGAGTACTGCTTGGCTTTTTGTTCAGGAGCCTTGCTGCAGCTGGGTCCTTCCTTGCAGCCTTCCCACCCTGCTGACTGACAGGATGCTACCTTTATTGCTGCTGATGTTTATCAGACTGATACTCTGCCTCTAATTGCAACTGGCATTGTCTCTCCAGCTCACAGGAGGGGAAACTGTTCTTGTAATTCTTCGTAATACAGTTGAGGCCCGGCTAGGACCTTGGCCAGGCTTGGGAGTCATAGGGTTTGCAAACTCAAATGTCAACAGAAGTCTGGCTGGTAATGGAAGCGTGAAGGCTGCATAGTTTAAGAAATGTGGGCATGCCATTTGGCTTTAATGTTAGGAAATAACAGCCAGTGGCCAGGCGCAGTGGCTCACGACTGTAACCCCAGCGTTTTGGGAGGCCGAGATGGGCGGATCACGAAGTCAGGAGATCGAGATCATCCTGGCTAACATGGTGAAACCCCGTCTCTACTAAAAATACAAAAAAATTAGCTGGGCATGGTGGCAGGCACCTGTAGTCCCAGCTACTCGGGAGGCTGAGGCAGGAGAATGGCGTGGACCCGGGAGGCGGAGCTTGCAGTGAGCTGAGATCACGCCACTGCACTCCAGCCTAGGCGACAGAGCGAGGCTCCGTCTCAAAAAAAAAAAAAAAAAAAAGAAAAGAAAAGAAAAGAAAAGAAATAACAGCCAGTATGAGTGAACTGACGACGACATACTGCATTTAAAGGGAGAAGCTGCTATTCAAAGCCAACTGATTGTTGATATATGGAAACAGGGCTTAGTTTTTCCAGTTACGATTTTGCAAAAGAACTCTGCAATTTATATTTTTTAAGGGAAATATTCTTATTTTTCAATACTGGCAACTAATTCTTTTTTTTTTTTTAAAGAAAGTGCTGTGGCCAAACCAAATATTTCTGTGGGCCTCCATAGAACTATGAAACACTAATCTATGACCATTGACTAACAACTGCTACCGGAAGTAGTTACTTGCTACTCCCAGGACTCACAGTCCAACTATCTTTTAGATTCCCTGCATAGCAACCGGCAGACCTCCATGTAGCATGAGCTGACACAGACAGACATACAGACATACACACACACACATGCACACGCACATTTACAGAGTGCATATGAATGAAAATCCCATTTATATCAGGAGAAAAACCCACATCCTCCCCAATATTGGTGTTGGGCTCCACAGACTACTCAAAGCCATCACTGTGGTTTGCCCATTTAGTCTCAAGTAACACTTTATGTGGAAGAGAAATGTTACATTATAGTCCATATGCCACTGCGTCAAATCCAATGCACTTTGCATTCAATCTTGCCTTCAGGATGAGGTAAAGAAAAGTTGCTACTGTATGCATGGCATAATCTCATCTCCTATCTCCTGGAAGCAAATGGTTAAACAAAAATTATAAACACAACTTCCAAGAACAAAATAGTAATTTTCAGTAGCAAGTAGCCTGAATTCAGATTTAAGATAAACTATGTCTAACTCTGTGGAGGTTCAGCCTGGCTAATAAATCAAATTTACATTAAGGTCAGGGCTCTGGTGGGACTATTCCCTTATATTCAGGAGTGTCTTCAAGAATAATGGAAAGCTACTTGAGTACAAGAGTAAAAGGGCCCACTCAATTTCCACATCAGAATGCGGGAAAACCACATGCCATATTCTCATTGGAAACTTCTCCTGCTTCAAAATTTAAAGTTCATTCTGCACCAGATAATCCATTTGATTAAAAGAAAACAACTTCTGAGGGCTAACCTGTTAAATAAGCCCACATCCAAAGTCATCTTAAAGGTGACTATCAGAGCAATAAAATGAAACAGTAACCCTGCTTGAAGGCAAAACAAATTTGAAGAACAATTCAGCCAGAGGTAGAGTCTTGAAGTCTAACACCAGCTGTAAGAAATGAACACTATGCTGGAGAAGAGGTGAGAGATCAGGCTACCTTGTTTTTGAGTAACCTAGCATGTAGATATCTATTGTGCAGGAAGATGTATCAGGTACCTTGGAATTACAGAACTAATGTCTATGGTGCTGAATTTATGCTAAGAAATATTCTGATAATTTAATTTTCCCATTAAGAAAAAGTTTGCTGGTCAACCTGAAAAATATGGTCTATTTGGCCAGATTGACAATATTTCTCATTATAAATTAACAAATAAGTTTTCTGGTTATATACTTTAGTTACACAAATATATTGTGTAATTGTATGATATGATTACATTGAGAGGGTCTAAATATTTTATATACTTAAGAAATATTAGGTAAGTTGATTTTAAATAGGCATTACAGATGGCAACATAAGTAAATTAAAATATCACCTTATACAGTCAACTCATTTTTAACTTTTCTTTATTCATGCACTGGAAACATGCATTTTTATTTTTATTTCTCAAACTATTTTTTAAGATTAAATGAATTCATTTTTCTTTACCTGCAGAAAATTGCCCTGTCATTAAGAAAGAGGAAGAAGAGAACACTCATATTTATTGACAGCATTGTTTGGCCTCTTATATATATAAAATGTCATTTATTTTGCACAATAACCCTGGGGAAAAAAGGTATTCTCCCTGTGTAATAAAAATAGGTTGAGGCATGTTTAGTAAAACATGCCCTAGGTCACACAGCTAGTAAATTGTGGGCTAAGATGACTCTTTTATTCTTTATGATTTTTTTATTGGCACATTGTAGCCTAAAATTCTAAAAGAACATATAATCTTGTGTGCTACTAAAAATTTTAATCTGCTCTACCCAAGGTTTAAGTAGTATTTGAATGAGCCAGATTGGGAGAGGCCGTGACTCAGTCAGAGTCAGACTGTCAGACTTGCAGTGTTGTTTGGAAAGATGGGTTTCTGAGATGCGCATTAGGCCAGGGACATCAGGCTTCAAGTAAATCTAAAATCTAGGAGATTATTCTTTGTAGGGTAGAGGAGACGCAAAGGACATAGGTTTAAAATAAGCATATTAACCTGTGCAGCTGCATTAATGAGTGCGGCTTCAAAAGAATCTCTTCAGTAACAGAGAAAATAATGACTATATTCATACATAGTAGGCCATTGACAGAAGACCCAGGAATAAGATCAGCCATATATTGTATCTGAAATATGGCTAAAGTGTAATTAAATATTTAATATTAAACTAAACTCATATAGAACTGGGAAATAAGACCATCAAATTCTCAGTTATTGTTATCTCTGAAAGTGGCTTTGTTTAGTTGATAATTTGACTAGGGTTAGAATTATAGGTCCAAATATATACATATATATATATACACACACACACGTATATATATATATATATATATACCGTATATATATATATATATATATATATATATATATATACACTTTTTTTCCAACTCAATATTTTGCTCAAGTGTTTAATTGCAAGTAGTATGCTGATGAAAAATCTGTTGTTAATCTTGTTCTTATTTTCCTGTAAGGAATCTTTCTTTTCTCTCTAGCAGTGTCAGAAATTTCCTTTTTATACTTAGTATTCTAAGATTTCACCATCTTGTACCTGTCTTTTTAATTTTGCATGGCTTTCACTGACCCATTATGTAGTTTCATGTCTTTATAAAGTTCTGGAAAATTTTAGGCTATTACCTCCTGAAATATTTTTTCCCTACATTCTGTCTAAATCTATTGAAAAGAGTTACGAGTGGGTAGGTAATTTGGTGACTGGTCTCTTGGTATGAGAGCATCTCATTCCTTTTGGTGTCACCAATTCTCTAATACACTGCCCTATTTCTCTGCAATAAGAACTGTATTCATCTTTCCTTTGTGGAGATAGATATTGCTATTTGTCTTATAGGAGGGAGAGGAGAGAGATACTCAGGGGCTGACCTGTCTGGGTTCTCCCTTTGTGGGGCTCCAACTAATCATCCTGCCAATGGCTTTTGGGTACCCCTCCTGCTCCTGGATTTCATTCCTTCCAGGCGTGGAGCATTTATCTTGTTGGTCTCACCTCCTGGGTTAGAACTTTTCTGAAGGAATCATGGGCTGTGACCTCTTTCTTTTCTGCTCATATTTTTCAAAGACTAATTATTATTTCTGTCGTTTTCACCATAGATATTTTTATTTATTTAAAAAATAAATTTTCCTTAATTTTTATGAATTTAGTGTAAGAGGAGGGATTATATTAAATGCTCACCATTTTAAAATTAGAAGTCTGTCTTCTATCTTTCCTTCACTAATATGTGTGTTTTGTACTTAGTCATATGGTCAAATACTTGTACATAAAATTATCTGAAAAAGCAAATGAAAAATTAACTAGATTTCCCCGTCGTATTTGCATGTATTCCTTACAAACTTACCTCAGTCTTCATTTTTTCCTGCTCTGTCCATTTTCATCCAAAACATACACATATACATCATACAGTCAAGATAAGCATGCATATATCACAGGTATCTTTAACACAGTTTGAAGATGTAACCCTTCATTAAATGATGATGGAGAAAAAATAAAGGTAAACTTAGAGGGTATAGTTGAGAGACAGTATTAAAACAATTGACTTTTAACCTTATTGGTCTTGATTATGGAACAGAGATGGGTGAATCGTTCATTTAGATTTTTTTTTTTTTTTTTGAGACAGAGTTTCACTCTTGTTGCCCAGGCTGGAGTGCAATGGCACAATCTCAGCTCACTGCAACCTCCGCCTCCCTGGTTCAAGTGATTATCTTACCTCAGCCTCCTGAGTAGCTGGGATTACAGGCATGCACCACCACGCCCAACTAATTTTTGTATTTTTAGTAGGGACGGGGTTTCACCATGTTGGCCAGGATGGTCTCAATCTCTTGACCTCGTGATCCACCTGCCTTGGCCTCCCAAAGTTCTGGGATTACAGGTGTGAGCCACTGCACCTGGCCTCATTTAGATTTTATGTTATTTATTTATAGCTTGATAATATTTTGTCTTTTAATTTTTATTATTGTCTAAATATTCAGATTTAGAGGAAATATTATTTTCTTCAGGCAAAATAACAGTCCTGAGAGGCAAAGTTTTTTTGCTTCTTTTTTTTGAGATGCAGTTTCACTCTTGTCATCCAGGCTGGAGTGCAACGGTGCGATCTCGGCTCACTGCAACCTTTACCTCCTGGATTCAAGCGATTCTCCTACCTAGGCTCCCAAGTAGCTGGGACTACAGGCACACACCACCATGCCTGGCTAATGTTTTGTTTTGTTTTTTTTTTTAGTAGAGATGGGGTTCGAGACCATGTTGGCCAGGCTGGTCTCGAACTCCTGACCTCAGGTGATCCACCCGCCTCAGCCTCCCAAAGTGCTGGGATTACAGGCATGAGCCGCCACACCCAGCCTGCTTTTAAAAATATTATTTTTAAGTTATTAGTAGAATGGACTTATTGAAATATGTATTTTTTAACTGAAGGTACTTGGCATAGTAAGTTTAACTATGTTTAACTCTGTTGATTTGCTTTTACATTTTGTGCAATCATAAGTGTCCTTCAGTTCTTAAATATCCACAGCAAATCAAATATTAACTCTGTGCATGTTTTTGAGTTTTTATTAAGTAGTGTTTATATCATTGTACCTATTCTTATAGCTATTGCCTACATCCAAGTAGGCATTTTGTTTAGTTCTTTTTCTTTAGTCTCTCGAAATAATGAAAAGTGAAAATTTCTATCATTTGATTGACTGTTTTAAGTCTTTAAGTATATTACACTTTGGGCAAAATGCCTACTACTGATAAAGACAGCAAAGTTTTTACAGATGTATAATTAAAAACTGACAATGCAGTATAATGGAGAACACACAGAAAGTTCCCTTTGTAGTAGTAAAAATGTTGGTATGCATAGAGGTGGGAACTTCAATGTGCTAGTGTGGAGGGAGTGGTGTGGAAGTGGTATGCCATAAGTGTGGAAAGGTAGGTAGGAACCGGATCTTTCCTGGCCTTATAGGTTATAATAAGGATATTAGATCTTTTTCTCAAGCCAATAAGGAATTTTAAAATAACTTTAAAGAGGGGAATGGCATGATTAGTCTATAGTTTTAAAAAGTCACTCTGCCTTCATTATGGGAAATACATTGGGGGCAGAGGGTATACAAATGCACATAGGGAGGAGGATGTGCATTGAAACATATACATTTGTGGGCACAAAATAAATATTTTGGGATATTGGCAGATTGGCTAACTCTATTCTCTTCAGACTTCTTTTCAATATTTTCTGAAACGTCACCATGGACAAATAATAATTAATAATTAATAATTCATTAATTAATCATTAATACAGGAGGTTCCAAGATGGCCGAATAGGAACAGCTCCAGACTGCAGCTCCCAGAAGATGGGTTATTTCTGCATTTTCAACTGAGGTACCAGGTTCATCTCAATGGGGCTTGTCAGACAGCGGGTGCAGCCCAGGGTGCAGGGCGGGGCATCGCCTCACCCAGGAAGCGCAAGGGGTCAGGGAATTCCCCTTCCTAGCAAAGAGAAGCCATGACAGACAGTACCTGGAAAATCAGGACACTCCCACCCTAATACTGTGCTTTTCCAATGGCCTTGGCAAACAGCACACCAGGAGATTATATCCTGCACCTGGCTTGGAGGGTCCCTTGCTCACTGCTAGCACAGCAGTCTGAGATCAAACTGCAAGGCGGCAGCAAGGCTGGGGGAGGGGCGTCCGCCATTGCTGAAGCTTGAGTAGGTAAACAAAGCGGCCGGGAAGCTCGAACTGGGTGGAGCCTACCACAGCTCAAGGAGGCCTGCCTGCCTCTGTATACTCTACCTCTGCGGGCAGGGCATAGCTGAACAAAAGGCAGCAGAAACTTCTGCAGACTTAAATGTCCCTATCTGACAGTTTTGAAGAGAGTAGTGCTTCTCCCAGCATGGAGTTTGAGATCTGAGAATGGACAGACTGCCTCCTCAAATGGGTCCCCGACCTCCAAGTAGCCTAACTGGGAGACTCCTCCCAGTATGGGCTGACTGACACCTCATACAGCCAGGTATCCCTCTGAGATGAAGCTTCCAGAGGAAGGATCAGGCAGCAACATTTGCCATTCTGCAATATTTGCTGTTCTGCAGCCTCTGCTGGGATACCCAGGCAAACAGGGTCTGGAATGGACCTCCAGCAAATTCCAACAGACCTGCAGCTGAGGGTCCTGACTGTTAGAAGGAAAACTAACAAACAGAAAGGACATCCACACCAAAACCCCATCTGTAGGTCACCATGATCAAAGACCAAAGGTAGATAAAGCCACAAAGATGGGGAGAAACCAGAGCAGAAAAGCTGAAAATTCTAAAAATCAGAGCACCTCTTCTCCAAAGGAATGCAGCTCCTCACCAGCAATAGAATAAAACTGGATGGAGAATGACTTTGACGAGTTGAAAGAAGACGGCTTCAGACGATTGGTAATAACAAACTTCTCCAAGCTACAGGAGGATGTTCAAACCCATTGCAAAGAAGCTAAAAACCTTGAAAAAAGACTAGACAAATGGCTAACTAGAATAAACAGTGTAGAGAAGTCCTTAAAGGACCTGATGGAGCTGAAAACCATGGCACGAGAAGTATGTGACGCATGCACAAGCTTCAGTAGCCGATTCGATCAACTGGAAGAAGGGGTATCAGTGATTGAAGATCAAATGAATGAAATGCAGTGAGAAGAGAAGTTTAGAGAAAAAAGAGTAAAAAGAAATGAACAAAGCCTCCAAGAAATATGGGATTATGTGAAAAGACCAAATCTACGTCTGAATGGTGTACCTGAAAGTGACGGGGAGAATGGAACCAAGTTGGAAAACACTCTGCAGGATATTATCCAGGAGAATTTCCCCAACCTAGCAAGGCAAGCCAACATTCAAATTCAGGAAATACAGAGAATGTCACAGAGATACTCCTCAAGAAGAGCAACTCCAAGACACATAATTGTCAGATTCACCAAAATAGAAATGAAGGAAAAAATGTTAAGGGCAGGCAGAGAGAAAGATTGGGTTACCCACAAAGGGAAGCCCATCAGACTAACAGCGGATCTCTCAGCAGAATCTCTATAAGCCAGAAGAGAGTGGGGGCCAATATTCAACATTCTTAAAGAAAAGAATTTTCAGCCTAGAATTTCATATCCAGCCAAACTAAGCTTCGTAAGTGGAATGGCACAATCTCATGCGCCAAACAAATGCTGACAGATTTTGTCACCACCAGGCCTGCCTTGCAAGAGCTCCTGCAGGAAGCACTAAACATGGAAAGGAACAACTGGTACCAGTCACTGCAAAAACATGCCAAATTGTAAAGACCATTGAGGCTAGGAAGAAACTGCATCAACTAACAAGCAAAATAACCAGCTAACATCATGACAGGATCCAATTCACACATAACAATATTAACCTTAAATGTAAATGGGCTAAATGCTCCAATGAAAAGACACAGACTGGCAAATTGGATAAAGAGTCAAGACCCATCAGTGTTCTGTATTCAGTAAACCCATCTCACATGCAGAGACACACATAGGCTCAAAATAAAAGGATGGAGGAAGATCTGCCAAGCAAATGGAAAACAAAAAAAGGCAGGGGTTGCAATCCTAGTCTCTGATAAAACAGACTTTAAACCAACAAAGATCAAAAGAGACAAAGAAGGCCATTACGTATTGGTAAAGGGATCAATTCAACAAGAAGAGCTAACTATCCTAAATATATATGCACCCAATATAGGAGCACCCAGATTCACAAAGCAAGTCCTTAGAGAACTACAAAGAGACTTAGACTCCCACACAATAATAAAGGGAGACTTTAACACTCCACTGTCAACATTAGACAGATCGAGACAGAAAGTTAACAAGGATATCCAGGAATTGAACTCAGCTCTGCACCAAGCAGACCTAATAGACATCTACAGAATTCTCCACCCCAAATCAACAGAATATACATTCTTCTCAGCACCACATCCCACTTATTCCAAAACTGATCACATAGTTGGAAGTAAAGCACTCCTTAGCAAATGTAAAAGAACAGAAATTATAACAAACTGTCTCTCAGACCACAGTTCAATCAAACTAGAACTCAGGATTAAGAAACTCACTCAAAACCGCTCAACTGCACGGAAACTGAACAACCTGCTCCTGAATGACTACTGGGTACATAACGAAATGAAGGCAGAAATAAAGATGTTCTTTGAAACCAGTGAGAACAAAGACACAACATACCAGAATCTCTGGGACACATTTAAAGCAGTGTGTAGAGGGAAATTTATAGCACTAAATGCCCATAAGAGAAAGCAGGAAAGATCCAAAATTGACACCCTAACATCACAGTTAAAAGAACTAGAAAAGCAAGAGCAAACATATTCAAAAGTTAGCAGAAGGCAAGAAATAACTAAGATCAGAGCAGAACTGAAGGAGCTAGAGACACAAAAAAACCCTTCAAAAAATCAATGAATCCAGGAGCTGGTTTTTTGAGAAGATCAACAAAATTGATAGACTGCTAGTAAGATTAATAAAGAAGAAAGGGGAGAAGAATCAAATAGATGCAATAAAAAATGAGAAAGAGGATATCACCACCAATCCCACAGAAATACAAACTACCATCAGAGAATACTATAAACACCTCTATGCAAATAAACTAGAAAATCTGGAAGAAATGTATAAGTTCCTGGACACATACGCCCTCCCAAGACTAAACCAGTAACAAGTTGAATCCCTGAATACACCAATAAAAGGCTCTGAAATTGAGGCAATAATTAATAGCTTACCAACCAAGAAAAATCCAGGACCACATGGATTCACAGCCAAATTCTACCAGAGGTACAAAGAGGAGATGGTACTATTCCTTCTGAAACTTTCCCAATCAATAGAAAAAGAGGGAATCCTCCCTAATTCATTTTATGAGGCCAACATCATCCTGATACCAAAGCCTGGCAGAGACACAACAAAAAAAGAGAATTTTAGACCAATATCCCTGATGAACATCGATGCAAAAATCCTCAATAAAATACTGGCAAACCCAATCCAGCAGCACATCAAAAAGCTTATCCACCATGATCAAGTGGGCTTCATCCCTGGGATGCAAGGCTGGTTCAACATAAGCAAATCAATAAATGTAATCCATCATATTAACAGAACCAAAGACAACAACCACATGATTATCTCAATAGATGCAGAAAAGGCCTTTGACAAAATTCAACAGCCCTTCATGCTAAAAACTCTCAATAAACTAGGTATTGATGACAAGTATCTCAAAATAATAAGAGCTATTTATGACAAATCCACAGCCACTATCACACTGAATGGGCAAAAACTGGAAGCATTCCCTTTGAAAATCAGCACAAGACAGGGATGCCTCCCTCACCACTCCTATTAAACATATCATTGGAAGTTCTGGCCAGGGCAATCAGGCAAGAGAAAGAAATAAAGAGTATTCAATTAGACAAAGAGGAAGTCAAATTGTCCCTGTTTGCAGATGACATGATCATATATTTAGAAAACCCCATCATCTCAGCCCAAAATCTCTTTAAGCGATAAGCAACTTCAGCAAATTCTCGGGTTACAAATTCAATGTGCAAAAATCACAAGGATTCCTATACACCAATAATAGACAAACAGAGAGGCAAGTCATGAGTGAACTCCCATTCACAATTGCTTCAAAGACAATAAAATACCAAGGAATCCAACTTACAAGGGATGTGAAGGACCTCTTCAAGGAGAACTACAAACCACTGTTCAACGAAATAAAAGAGGACACAAACAAATGGAAGAAAATTCCATGCTCATGGATAGGAAGAATCAATATTTTGAAAATGGCCATACTGCCCAAGGTAATTTATAGATTCAATGCCATCCCCATCAAGCTACCAATGACTTTCTTCACAGAATTGGAAAAACCTACTTTAAAGTTCATGTGGAACCAAAAAAGAGCCCACATTGCCAAGTCAGTCCTAAGCCAAAAGAACAAAGCTGGAGGCATCATACTACCTGACTTCAAACTATACTACAAGGCTACAGTAACCAAAACAGCATGGTACTGGTACCAAAACAGAGATATAGACCAATGGAACAGAATAGAGCCCCCGGAAATAATACCACACATCTAGAACCATCTGATCTTTGACAAACCTGACAAAAACAAGAAATGGGGAAGGGATTCCCTATTTAATAAATGGTGCTGGGAAAACTGGCTAGCCATATGTAGAAAGCTGAAACTGGATCCCTTCCTTATACTTTATACAAAAATTAATTCAAGATGGATTAAAGACTTAAATGTTAGACCTAAAACCATAAAAACCCTAGAAGAAAACCTAGGCAATACCATTCAGGACATAGGCATGGGCAATGACTTCATGATTAAAGCACCAAAAGCAAGGGCAACAAAAGCCAAAATTGACAAATGGGATCTAATTAAACTAAAGGGCTTCTGCACAGCAAAAGAAACTACCATCAGAGTGAACAGGCAACCTACAGAATGGGAGGAAATTTTTGCAATCTACCCATCTGACAAAGGGCTAATATCCAGAATCTACAAAGAACTTAAACAAATTTACAAGAAAAAAAACAACTCCATCAAAAAATGGGCAAAGGATATGAACAGACAATTCTCAAAAGAAGACATTTATGCAGCCAACGGACACATGAAAAAGTGCTCATCGTCACTGGCCATCAGAGAAATGGAAATCAAAACCACAATGAGATACCATCTCACACCAGTTAGAACAGCGATCATTAAAAAGTCAAGAAACAAGAGGTGCTGGAGAGGATGTGGAGAAATAGGAATGCTTTTACACTATTGGTGGGAGTGTAAACTAGTTCAGTCATTGTGGAAGACAGTGTGGTGATTCCTCAGGGATCTAGAACTAGAAATACCATTTGACCCAGCCATCCCATTACTGGGCATATACGTAAAGGAATATAAATCATGCTGCTATAAGGACACATGCACAAGTTTGTTTATTATGGCACTATTCACAATAGCAAAGACTTGGAACCAACCCAAATGTCCATCAATGATAGACTGGATTAAGAAAATGTGGCACATATACAGCATGGAATACTATGCAGCCATAAAAAAGGATGAGTTCATGTCCTTTGTAGGTACACGGATGAAGCTGGAAACCATCATTCTGAGCAAACTATCGCAAGGAGAGAAAACCAAACACCGCATGTTCTCACTCATAGGTGGGAATTGAACAATGAGAACAGCTGGACACAGGGCGGGGAGCATCACACATTGGGGCCTGTCGTGGGGTTGGGGAAGCAGGGAGGGATAGCATTAGGAGAGATACCTAATGTAAACGATGAATTAACAGGTGCAGCACACCAACATGGCACTTGTATACATATGTAACAACCTGCCCGTTGTGCAAATGTACCCTAGAACTTAAAGTATAAAAAAAAAAAAAAGAACAAGAACTCCAATAACAGGCCTTGAAAAACTAAGCGTGAAATCCAGGTTGTGGAACGTTTGACCCCAGGAAGAATGTATTTCATCTGTGTGTAGTTCATCTGTATTCTTGTGGTAATCAAGCAGACACCAGCTAGACCACTAGTTGGCCCACTGCTCAAGACAGTCGTCAAGACCAGACATACTACCGCACACGTAGTCAACTCCTGTGCTTCCCATAAAAACCGTCTAGCTAGCCTGAGAAACTTGAGATGATCTTTGTGACATGAGTCCACCATCTCCTCTGGTTGTCAACTCCTGAATAAACCCATTTTTCTCCCTCAAAAAACATTAATAATTATTAATAATAAATTAACAATAAATCATTAACAATAATTAATAATTAATAATAATTAATAATAAAAATTAATAAAAATAAAATAAAATAAAAGTATTAAAAACTCTAATAAAATATAATACAATATAATATATAATACAATACAACATAATATGTGTTATGGCTAAGGAAATTTCAGATTAGGAAGGACACCTAATTTAGACTAAAAGAGAACAGCTTCCTAGAGAAGGTGAAAGATGAGTTAAGTGCTGATAGCTGGATAGTTCAGTCAGACCAAGAAAGAATGGCTTTTCTGAATCAAAGAAGAACATTTATGTGGATATCCTGATAAAACGGAAAACAGATCAGAGTACAAAGTATACCATTACCAGGGATGTGGCTGAAGAGATAGGCCGACAAGATATTAGATATTATGCTAAAAATCCAGGATTTATCCTGAAATGGTAAATGGTAATTGAAAGATTTTTAGCAAGACAGTGACATGATGAAACTGGTATTTCAAAATGAACATGCTAGCAAGAGGTGGGATAATGTACTGGATGAGAATAAGACGGGAAGCAGAGAGGCCCATTAGGAATTTGATTCATTTATTCACTAATGGTGATACCAAATGCTTAGTATGTAACAACTATTGAGCCAGGTGTTAGGGACACAGTGGTCAACAAAAAAGAGGGCCACTGCTTTCCTTCAAAGGTTTAAAGTCTAGCACATCAATAAAATAATACAGGGAGGTAATCCAGCGCTTGACCATTCTCTCCCTTTAAAAATTATGTGTGTTACTTTATTATAATTTAAAAATACAGATGAATAAGAAGAATGTGAACAAAATCAGACATCCACTCAACCTCTATGGAATGTTAACATTTTATTGTGTGTACATACTTCTAGATGTTTAAAAATATAGTATGTGTATATATTGTATATCATACAATTATATGAATAAATCAGACTGTTCTCAATTGGTTTATGATCTAGTTTCCTCTTAACAACACATGGTGATCTTTCCATAACCATAAATCTATTTATCCATATTATTTTTTATGAGGGGATGATGTTCTACTGCATTTTCGGACATTTTAGGTAGGACTATTCAAAACAATGTTAGAATGAATATTCTTATAGGCAAGTTTTAAATTTCATTTCATTAGATTAAATTCTTAGAAGTGGAATAAAAGAAAATGCACATTTTAAAGGCCTTTGATAATGCCCCAAACCCTCCTTTATAATCTTTTCTTCTGGCTTCCATACCATACTTTGTTAGGTTTTTTTTTTTTTTTTAACTACATCAGCAACTCATACACAGTCTTCTTCATTAGTTCATTGCTGCACATTGAAATCATCTGGGGATTTTTAAAAATTACTGATGCCTGGCTCCCACCCTTAGACATACCAATTTCATTGGTATGTGGTACAATCTGGGAATTGGAATTTTTAGAAGTGCCTCAAGTGATTCTTACTTGCAGCAAAAGATAGAAACCACTGTATTCTTTTATTTTCCCTGTTTACTACAGAAATTTAAGTTCCATCCTAGATCTGCATCTTACCTTTTTTCACATGCTCTTCATATGTAATCATAATTTCACCTCTTCCACTCTAAACTCTATGAATATAATTAAAAACTCGTATCTTGCACTTTTCCTGAGGTCCAGTTCCACTTTGTTCATTGCCTATAGGAAAGTGTGCACTAATGCTAAATATAGAATTAGCTCTCAAACTTGGTGTATCTCAAACTGAATTAAGAGGTCTCCCTTACTCTTGATAAACAGAAAACTAAACACATGTTTAAAAAAACAGCAACACCTGTGGGGAAAGATATTTTCTACCTTTCAGTTGGTTGCAAAGCTCTTGTCTTGATTCTTTCTCTAAAACATATTTTAAATCAGTTTCCCCTACCCTTTCTATTACCATTACCACAACCTCTACCCTCAGAGTAGTACCACTGTGACAATACTTATCTGAATATCTGTCTTGGGAGCACTGGCCTGTCAGAGTAGTTTGCCTGCAATCTCACTTGCATGAAGATAGCACCTAGTGAATACCAGTAGATATGACATTAGGGACTGAAATCAAGGTGGAATTAAAAATTTCAACACATGTAAGTAAGAGTGTGTGTGTGTGGGAGGAAGTGGGATAATGTAGGAGAAGGGACAGTGATCATTTCCAACTACTTGAAGATGGCCACTCTTGGGCCAGGAACTCAGCCCAGGGTTGGAGAATGTTGAGATACATCGGGCTCATCCCGATTGATTTCAGGCTGCAAAGGTCACTTTGAGAATTAATTGACCCAATAATGGAGGAACAACTATAACGTTCCAGGAGAAAGAAGGCTAAAAAGCAAAACTATTTTATTTGTGTTATAAATATCTGAATTTTTAAAAAATTTGAACTCCTTACCCAGGCAAGTCTGCCATAATTTCAACCAAGGAATACTGACAAATCTAGAAATTGAGAGATTTATAAGCTACTGAATCTAAAATATGGAAGCAGCTAAGCTGACATGACTGGGGAAAGTGAGGATCCTTTAATCTCTGACTGTGAGGGTGACTGTCCTTGACATGCTGTGAAGAGTAGCTATAAACCATCACTTCTTGTTTCTCAGATCTCAAACTATTGATCCACTCAGCTAAAATAAAAGCTCCATTGAGCAGAGGCCTTGATTGTACAATTAATTATTCTCCAGCAGCTCTGAGAGTGTGAGATATATGGTAGCCATACAAAAAATATTGAGTTAATAATTTCTCATACTGGGGCCAAAACCCCTGTGACCATAGTAGCAATGTAGTAGGGTGTTCAAGTGTGTTACTTCTTTAGAATTTTAGAAATGTAATTTAAGAATTTTTTTTTTTTTTTTTTTTGAGACTGAATCTCACTTTGTTTCCCAGGCTGGAGTGCGGTGGCTCGATTCTGGCTCACTGCAACCTCCGTCTCCTGGGTTCAAGTGATTTGCCTGCCTCAGCCTCCCGAGTAGTTGGGATTACAGGCGTGCGCCACCATGCCCAGCTAATTTTGTATATTTAGTAGAGATGGGGTTTCACATGTTAGCCAGGCTGATCTCTAACTGCTGACCTCTGGTGATCTGCCCGCCTCAGTCTCCCAAAGTGCTGGGATTAACAGGCGTGAGCCACCACTCCTGGCCTAAGATCATTTTAATAAGATTTAAGAGACACTAATTTCTGTCTTTCAAGAGAGGTACTAATTTCCATCTAAGCAGGCCCACCAGAAAGTAGATATGGAAAAACAGGACAAGCATATAATATTTGTAAAGCAAAGCATTTTATTTCTAGAGGAAGATTTGAAATCCATGGAAGTTAGGAGATAACACAGTTGTTTTAGTTATTTGTCACACTTTAAAGTCATTGTAGCAGTTAGGAAATAGTGAGATCTTGGCAAACAAAATGTGGACATCTAGGAGAAGCCAAAGAGTTGGCAACACTTTTTAAGCATCTCTGGCAGCTCCTGTCTAGTTGGACTAAAGGAATACCATATCCTATTATAAATCACATTTCCCTGGAACTCAGCTTAAAGGGCAAACTTTAGAAGGAAAACCTCCATCATCCTCATTCAATACTTCAGCTACTGTTTCTTATCCGCATCTAAACAAAGGCCATTAAATAGAGTTTCAGGGAAAGGCAGAGCTGCCAGGAATGATGCAGAGATGGCCTTTTTCTTTAGTAAACCAGAAGCTTAAATGGGCATGACTCCATAAGATTTTTTGTTTTAGTAATTAGCAAATAGAGTTTCAAATTCAAATTGACTTGAAGCAAGCAGAAGTTTTAAATTAATTAAATTTTCCAGGAAAGGGAAGCCTAGCCCTAGGAACAGAGATTACTCAACTTGTAATGCATTCCTCAGGCCTAAGTATCCACACCTATAAAGAATGACTTGGACTTGCAAAGGTAATAGAGCTACTTAAGAAGAATCTCTCCAACATCCCTCTGAGAAGCAGCCCAGAAAGATACAAGGCAAGGGAAATCTTTCCAGGGAGAAGAACTCAAGGTGCTGAATGGCTTTTAAAGGACATTTCTGAGCCGGGTGTGTTGGCTCATGCCTGTAATCCTAGCACTTTGAGAGGTCAAAGCGGGTGGATAGCTTGAGTCCAGTGGTTTGAGACCAGACTGGTGAGCATGGGGAAATCCCACCTCTACAAAAAATACAAAAATTAGCTGGGTGTAGTGGCACACACCTGTAGTCCTAGCTACTTGGGGGCTGAGGCTGGAGGATCGCTTGATTCTAGGAGGTTGAGGGTGCAGTGACCTGAGGTTGTGCCACTGCACTTCAGCCTTGGCAGTAGAGTGAGACCTTGTCTCAACAAAACAAAACAAAACAAAACAAACAAAACAAAACAAAACAAAACAGCAAAGACACTTTCTCTATTTCCAAGGGAGCAAGTCAAGAACATTTTATACTGCCTGCTCCTAACAAGTGATTATTCTCAAGCCCCTTTCTTTCCCCTAAATGAGATAATTTTATTAAGGTAATTCTGTCTGTGGTGCACCTTTATTTGCCCCTCTGAATCCTTCTCCACGCTCCACCTTCCTCTACCTGCAATGCTATCCTGGGAGGCTGACCTGCATGAAAAACCTTAAAGGATTCTTACCTCCTCTGGCTTCCAGTTGGGTTCAGCCAATGGCACAGCAGTAGATAAGAAGGAGGTGGGGCGGGCGCGGTGGCTCAAGCCTGTAATCCCAGCACTTTGGGAGGCCAAGGCGGGCGGATCACGAGGTCAGGAGATCGAGACCATCCTGGCTAACATGGTGAAACCCCGTCTCTACTAAAAATACAAAAAAAAAATTAGCCGGGCGTGGTGGCGGGCGCCTGTAGTCCCAGCTACTAGGGAGGCTGAGGCACTAGAATGGAGTGAACCCGGGAGGCAGAGCTTGCAGTGAGCCGAGATCGCGCCACTGCACTCCAGCCTGGGCGACAGAGCGAGACTCTATCTCCAAAAAAAAAAAAAAAAAAAAAAAAAGAAGGAGGTGGGAGGCTAGGAGCTAGGATAAGGGTACTTATCTTAAGCCTCCGTTCCTGTGTCCCTCAGCTGAAGGTCACTGCTCATTTCAGGCCAAATGGCTTCATGGGACTCTCCCTCCTTTAGTAACCGCTGGCCGAGGGGCAATAGCTCAGCTACTACAAAACCCCGAGCTCTTGAATTATAAATCAGAATTACCCTACGTCCACACTTAATTTCCTTCTTGAAATCTACTCTCTACATAGACAAGTGAATTTTCCCCTCCCTGACCAAATCAGGCCTCCAAATATAAGCTTTTGTAGCTTGCTTAAATTCTTGATTAATTTTTACTATTAAATGATTAGTTTGAATTCTCCCTTCCTCTCACAGAATGTAAGTTTCACGAGAGCAGAAAGTGCATTAGTGTTGTTCTCAGCTGTTTGCTCAAGGTTTAAATAAAAACTTAAACATAGAAACAAAAATTTTTCTTTTTAGTTGTGCTTTCTATTTTTTCTTGGGACCCTGATAGACAGAACAGTGAAATTCATCATCTAACTGAAGATTGCAGTATTTTGGAACTTGGCATTAAAAGCCTGACTCAATTACACTGAAGGAGATTGTACATCTCACAGAAAGCTTGGACTTGAGCACTGACCTCCAGACACTACCTGAGAAGGTCTAGTAGACATGATTTTCCATTGGAGAGGTGGTGGTGTTTTTGATGGCATGTAGATTGTGACTGGCAGGGGCATTTTTGGAATGTAAGCATGTCTTTGAGTATGTGCTAGGTAAAATTGAAGAGTAGATTGTAGTGAGCCTCCACTGTGGTTCTGCTTTATGCCAATAATTTTTCTTTTAATTTTCTATTCATAAAATAATCTGCATTAGGACTTTTGCCAATTCAGCAGAATTATGTCATTAATACAAAGGATTATAATAGAACATAAATTGGCTGGCCCATGCATGAAATCCAAAATAATATGAGTATTCACAATTTTGACAAAGCATTCACCTTAAGAAGAGGCAAACAAGCAGGGAACTAATACAGATACAGTTAGGTTTGGTAGAACACTGATACTTGTGATATTTATGACATAATCATGGTTCTTTTTGTCATAATATGGTATTTTATATAGCTATTTACTTAAGTGACTATATGCATATGAACTACTAACATTTTTCACATTTTCTCTGCCCATATTTGGGCTGCTCAATAACAGATAGAAATGTTATAGTTAAAAAGAAAATTATTGGCCAGGTGCGGTGGCTCATGCCTGTAATCCCAGCACTTTGGGAGGCCGAGGCGGGCGGATCACGAGGTCAGGAGATTGAGACCATCCTGGCTAACACTGTGAAGCCCCGTCTTACTAAAAATCCAAAAAATTAGCCAGGCGTGGAAGGACATGCCTGTAATCCCAGCTACTTGGGAAGCTGAGGCAGGAGAATCGCTTGAACCTGGGAGGCGGAGGTTGCAGTGAGCCAAGATCGCACCACTGCACTCCAGCCTGGATGACAGAGTGAGACTCCGTCTCAAATTAAAAAAAAAATAAAAAAGAAAATTATTATCTGGCTGGGTGTAGTGGCTCAACCTGTAATCCCAGAACTTTGGGGGCTGAAGGGGTGGATCACCTGAGGTCGGGAGTTTGAGACAAGCCTGACCAACATGGTGAAACCCCGTCTCTACTAAAAATACAAAAAAATTACTGGGCGTGGTGGCAGGTGCCTGTAATCCCATCTATTCGGGCAGCTGAGGCAGGAGAATCACTTGAACCTGGGAGGCAGGGGTTACCATAAGCTGAGATTGCGCCATTGCACTCCAGCCTGGGTGACAAGAGCGAAACTCCATCTCAACAACAACAAAAAAAAAAAAAAAAGAAAGAAGAAAAAAAGAAAATTGTTACCTATTCTCCTTAGATAACCCTAATCTTAATCTAGTAATACTGTATCCTTTTTGAGAAGATTTCAGCTGTATCCTTTTTGAGAAGATTCAGCTAAAGGTTAATTCAGCTAAAGGTTAACTTCAGCTAAAGGTTAATTGGTTAACGTGACATATTACGCTTAAAAATCCCTAAATGAGTCGTTTTAAAAACCTGTCTTTCCCTCTAATAGCCAGAGTTTCTTTGTGCTATTGTGTTACCTTCTGATTCATCCGAGTGATGCTTGAGAATGCCAGGAAAACAATAAAAACATTTCTTGCCACTGAGCCCTACCTTTGCCTGGAACTCAGTGAACATCCTCCATGAGGTGGCAAAATTGTTCTGGTATTAGTTTGTAGTAAAATTTCCTGAATTAGGAGTGGAAAGGAAGACAATATTATGTAAAACTTTCCGTGGGTTCACAAAAATGAAGTGTTATCTTGTGTTCAGATCCCAGACTTAGAGAAAATGATTGTGTTTTCTTTTTCTTTTCTTTTTTTTTTTTTTTGAGACAGAGTTTTGTTCTTGTTGCCCAGGCTGGAGTGCAATGGCGCAATCTCGGCTCACCGCAACTTCCGCCTCCCAGGTTTAAGCGATTCTCCTGCCTCAGCCCCCTGAGTAGCTGGGATTACAGGTGTGAGCCACCATGCCCGGTTAATTTTGTATTTTTAGTAGAGACGGGGTTTCTCTACGTTGGTCAGGCTGGTCTCGAACTCCCAACCTCGGGTGATCCGCCCGCCTCGGCCTCCCAAAGTGCTGGGATTACAGGCATAAGCCACCATGCCCTGCCAATAAAATGATTTTGAACATATAGTTCTATATTATTTATAGTGAACATTTAATGGAGGGGAAGTTCTGCCTTCAGGAAGACTATGAATATTGGGACTGTGTCCTTAGTAGACTTGGCACTAAAAAAATTCACTCATTTGACATCACAAGATTGCACAATAAATATTGGAGATGTTGGAAAGGTACAGGTACACAATGGAATACTACACATTCGAAATGAAGCTGTAGAATTGAATTTATTGACAAAGATGTTTATAATATATCATCATTAAGTGCACAAAAAGGGTAAACTATATGCTGAAGGATAGTTTGGGCAGCAAGCAAAAGAACATCTAATTCAAAATGAATTAAATAAATATATTTATTTTTATAATTATCATAATTACATTTATTAATCTAATTGTTCTAGTGCAGAGGTAAAATAGGCTTCAGGGTAGACTGATTCAGTGACCCAACAATATTATTAAAAAACAATGTTCTTTCTGTCTCTCTGCTCTGTAATCCAAAATATCTGCTTTATCTCACAGCTAGTTCCCCCAAATAATTGTAAGATAGATTCCAGGTGCAATTGGATATTACTACTTGCTTTCTCATTCATATGCTGAAGAAAGAGAGAATGGCTTGTTATTGCTTTCTGCAAAGACCAAAGAGGAAATTTTTGAAGTCTGTAGCCACTATCTCTTCATTTATCATTGGCTAGAACTGCTGATTTCTAAACTGATAGCTGGCGGAAAGAATGTGATTATCTTTAGACCAGTCAGACTCACACATTGAGTTAAAGGCAATTTCTAAAATCAGAGTACTGCCATTTCATGGATAGTAGAGTGGAATGCATTTGGGGATTTGGACACAGTTAAAAAAATCTCTATCTAATCTCTCTCTATGGATATTCTAGAAAATTAATATTGTCATATGATAGTATCTGGACAATGACTTACATTTCTTTTTAATTTTCTTCCTTTCACTCACATGTATATAATATTCTTCTGTAAATAAGCATACATTGTTTTTTGTCTCTTTAACATTTTAGTATGGAAAATTTCAAATAAATCCAAAAATAAAGATAGTAATAAAATGAAACCTCAAGTATCCATCACCCAGATTCAACAATTATCAACTTCTGGAAAACCTTGTTTTATGCACTGTTTGTAATAAGAAAAAAAAAAGTTGATTTTAGTTAAAAAAGAAGTTAAGATCTGCTTAACATTTTCTCTTGTCCATAGAATATACCTTAAAGCAAATCAGTAAAGTTTAGCTAAGGATAGCCCAATATTTTTCCTGTCAATTGCCCAAGATCTCTCTTAAATTATACCCCAAGTATTTTTTTGAAAATTTGGTTTTTCTCAGTTTCTTATCCTACATATGCATCTCAAAAATTTGGACCGCAGTACCCCAACATCAGGAGAAAAGCACAAAACTCTAGGAGCTTGTGTATATGAAACAAAGTGGCTCACTAAAAGCATAGTTATTTTGAAATCTCATTTTTAGTTTTAAAGTCTGTATTTTTTTTTTTTTACTCTATCTACCAATGTTTAATAGAAATAAAATATTTCAAATTACTCACCATTGAATAAACTTGACACTGTTGGAAGATGGTCCATGTTGGTCTTTTGGCTTCTTGTCCTCTGAGGCACCCTGACAAATACCCCTGTGAACACAAGGTCCCCAATTTAAGAGTCATAGATTATAGTTTTCTTCCCTTTTAAGACTCCCCTTTTGATCTTTGACCATATTTCCTTGACTTTTAAACTTCATTCTCTTTGAGGACTTTGCTTTGAATTCAGTCCTCTTGTTTTTTCCATTTTAGACCTCCTCAGCTCGTATGCCCTATCTTAGGATTAATACTCACTTTCCAGTCCTGGCCAGGCCTGGCCCAGTACTCTGCAAGAGGATCTTGGACCTGTAAGTCACAAATATCAAGGTACTCATTCATTTACTAAATCTTTATTGAGTATCAACCATGTTTCTGGCACTTAGCTAGTCCCTGGGGATACTGTGGTTAAAAAGGATAAAATCTCAGTGTTTAAGAAGACTAAAGACATCAGGAACACAAAAAATATTTAGGCAATTATAAAATGGGCAAATAAGTGCTACATTGGATGAAGTACTGCATCCTATAAAGCACAAAGCAGTATCCTAAGCAGATGAGGGAAGTCTTCCAGGAATGAGATGCAGTATAACAATAGGAAGGAAAAGTAAGTGGTGGTAATTTTCTATATTTGAATGAAAACTTACTCTTGCTCAACCACGAAGGATGTTTTCTTAGAAATAAAGGGATTGTCAAAAGCAGCATTCAGTATGGGAGCTTACAGTGATGTATCTAGAGGGGACAAGCATGAAGAGTTTGATTACTCGGGAGTGCAGTTTAGAAAATAACTATGTTTCCTTCACAGAAAGGAAGTGTTCTGCCAGGCGGAGTCATTGCTTCCTTTTCTCTCTTCCCTTAGTCCTTTGTTTTCTTTTTTCTCTTGTTTTCTTTTCTATTTTTTCTATTTTTTTTTTTTTTTTTTGAGATGGAGTCTCACTCTGTAACTCAGGCTGGAGTGCAATGGTGCAATCTCTGCTCACTGCAACCTCTGCCTCCCAGGCTATTCTCCTGCCTCAGCCTCCTAAGTAGCTGAGATTACAGGCACATGCCACCACACCAAGCTAATTTTTGTATTATTAATAGAGACAGGGGTTTTACCATGTTGGCCAGGCTGGTCTCGAACTCCTGACCTCAGGTGATTCGCCTGCCTGGGCCTCCCAAAGTGCTGAGATTACAGGTGTGAGCCACCACGCCTGGGCCAGCCCTTTGCTGTCATATCACATGTGGAACATCCCTACCTGCCTCTCCTATGCCTTCCTACCTGAAGAAATAAATTAATCATTTTCCCTTCTAATCTACAAACTGTGTATTATACTGAAACACAATGATACTTTAAAAAATTTAAGAATTAAATTGATTCAAATTTTATTTTATTTTTAGATTCAACTGATTATTTTGATTACTTAATCATTAAAAAATGATACTGTTCAGTATTCAGAAAGTTTGGGTTCATTTTTTTCTTTCTTGTTTCTCAATAAAAGAAATGGGTAGTGGTAGTGATGTTGGCATTTGTTCTGAAAGATAAATGTGACATGATACTCATTTCCTGCCTGGCGCGGTGGCTCACGCCTATAATTGCAGCACTTTGGGAGGCTGAGGCAGGTGGATCGCTTGAGCCCAGGAATTCGAGATCAGCCTGGGCAACATAGCAAGACCGCATCCCTAAAAAAGGAGTACAAAAAAAAATTAGCCAGTCTCATAACTTGGCCTGAAAATAAATAAATAAATAAATAAATAAATAGACTCATTTCCCATTGAGTAATCCAGAAAGAGACACACCCTGAATGGTATTGCCTAGGTTTTCTTCTAGGGTTTTTATGGTTTTAGGTCTAACATTTAAGTCTTTAATCCATCTTGAATTAATTTTTGTATAAAGTATAAGGAAGGGATCCAGTTTCAGCTTTCTACATTTGGCTAGCCAGTTTTCCCAGCACCATTTATTAAATAGGGAATCCTTTCCCCATTTCTTGTTTTTGTCAGGTTTGTCAAAGATCAGATGGTTGTAGATGTGTGGTATTATTTCTGAGGGCTCTGCTCTGTTCCACTGGTTATAGGAATTGGCAAGGACTTCATGACTAAAACACCAAAAGCAATGGCAACAAAAGCCAAAATTGACAAATGGGATCTAATTAAACTGAAGGGCTTCTGCACAGCAAAAGAAACTACCATCAGAGTGAACAGGCAACCTACAGAATGGGAGGAAATTTTTGCAATCTACCCATCTGACAAAGGGCTAATATCCAGAATCTACAAAGAACTTAAACAAATTTACAAGAAAAAAATCAAACAACTCCATCAAAAAATGGGCAAAGGATATGAACAGACAATTCTCAAAAGAACACATTTATGCAGCCAACAGACACATGAAAAAGTGCTCATCATCACTGGCCATCAGAGAAATGCAAATCAAAACCACAATGCGATACCATCTCACACCAGTTAGAATGGCAATCATTAAAAAGTCAGGAAACAACAGGTGCTGGAGAGGATGTGGAGAAATAGGAATGCTTTTACACTATTGGTGGGAGTGTAAACTAGTTCAGTCATTGTGGAAGACAGTGTGGTGATTCCTCAGGGATCTAGAACTAGAAATACCATTTGACCCAGCCATCCCATTACTGGGCATATACGTAAAGGAGTATAAATCATGCTGCTATAAGGACACATGCACATGTATGTTTATTGTGGCACTATTCACAATAGCAAAGACTTGGAACCAACCCAAATGTCCATCAGTGATAGACTGGATTAAGAAAATGTGGCACATATACAGCATGGAATACTATGCAGCCATAAAAAAGGATGAGTTTATGTCCTTTGTAGGGACATGGATGAAGCTGGAAACCATCATTCTGAGCAAACTATCACAAGGACAGAAAACCAAACACCGCATGTTCTCACTCATAGGTGGGAATTGAGTAATGAGAACACATGGACCCAGGGTGGGGAACATCACACACCAGGGCCTGTCATGGGGTAGAGGGAGGGAGGAGGGATAGCATTAGGAGATCTACCTAATGTAAATGACGAGTTAATGGGTGCAGCACACCAACATGGCACGTGTATACATATGTAACAAACCTGCATGTTGTGTGCATGTACCCTAGTACTTAAAGTATAATAAAAAAATAAAAATAAATAAAAAAAAGAAAGAGACACACCCAACCATTATTGAAGTCCTCTAAGGTGGGGATAGAGGACACACAGTTCATCAGGGCTGAGGAATAGAGAATGGGAAAACAGATGAAGAAAGGCCTGTGCTGACCTTTTCCATGCCCTCCCATGGATGTGTTTTTCCTGCACGTCAAGTTATTTAAGCAAAGGATTGTTTTTGTCTGGATTTTTTTCTTTTCCAACTTCAGCCATTTCTTTTGTTCTTTTTAGGCATGAAACATTAAATAAAGTTATTCTTAATATGGGATATTCTCCCCTAAGTCTTTTTAGATGATAAGGAAACAGCATGTCCATTCCAATAGCCTGTTCAAGAGTTCTACTTTTAATAATTTGTGTCTCATACTTCCAGATAGTCCACACATAGGGCAGGTCTTATTATTTCTTGTGTATTTCATTATAACCTTATTAGGCCCAAACAAAATAAGAGTCACGAATAGGCAGGAAAACATATGACTGTAGTAAGCTAGGTGTTGAACAGGAAACTGTGGCTTCCAGAGATTAAAATAGTTTTGTTTTTGATCTTAGAGGAAACCCAAAAGGTGTTCACTTAGGTCTGGTTTTAAACAGGCAGAACAACATATTTTAAAGTAATATTTCTGGTAATTCTGCAGCTACTTTGTAGTGCCTCTGCTGTTCTAGGCATTGTGCTAGATGGTATGAGGAATTAAAGATGAATAAGAACAAAGTTTCCTTCTTAGGAGGGAATACAATCTAAGTTAGCTTTTCTCTTTATTTATTTATTTATTTTTCTGAGATGGAGTCTCACTCTTTCGCCCAGGCCGGACTGCAGTGGCACTATCTCAGCTCACTGCAAGCTCCGCCTCCTGGGTTCATGCCATTCTCCTGCCTCAGCCTCCCCAGTAGCTGGGACTACAGGTGCCCGCCACTGCACCCGGCTAATTTTTTTGTATTTTTAGTAGAGACGGGGTTTCACCGTGTTAGCCAGGATGGTCTCGATCTGCTGACGTCGTGATCCACCCACCTCGGCCTCCCAAAGCGCTGGGATTACAGGTGTGAGCCACCGCGCCCAGCCTGCTTTTCTTTATTGTAACCAAAATCATTTGATGACTTCCAAACAGGGCAACATATGTGTCAAATATGGTCATATTTAAATAACTATGCCAAGGTTCTGCAGTTCAATTAACTTCATTTAATTTGGACACTTCTAGTATTAGAAAAATATCTTTTTTTGCTATCATCCATTAAATCATCAATATTTTTAAAGATTCACTTCCATCTCTCTTTTTAAGAATGAGGTGTTACATAAAACTATAGGTAAATGAATTTGAAAAAGAAAGCAAGTAAGGCTGAGTGCAGTGGCTTAATGCTGTAATCTTAGCTCTTTGGGAGGCCGAGGCAGGTGGATCACTTGAGGTCAGGAGTTCGAGACCAGCCTGGCCAACATGGTGAAAATCCAACTCTACTAAAAATACAAAAAATTGGGTGTGTTGGCATGCACCAGTAATCCCAATTACTTGGGAGGCTGAGGCAGGAGAATTGCTTGAACTCAGGAGGTGGAGGTTACAGTAAGCTGAGATTGTGCCACTGTACTGCGCCACTGCACTCCAGCCTGGGTGACAGAGCAAGACTCTGCACCCCCAACCCCCCAAAAAAAGCAAACAAGCAAGTGCAAGTAAGACTTTGTATCTCTGATTAGATGTTGAACAGTGAATGTCTCTTCCCAGACAATTTAGATAATTTACATACATTCTTTCTCTGGTTAGCCTTACAGATTAAAAAATGGTGGCTTTTTAAGTTTTAAGTTGAGTGACTTATCAAAAATACTTTAAGACTTGAAGACCACCAGTCTAGAAGTTAGAGATGAAATATTAGAATATGGCAGTAAACAGTCCAGCCTATGAACTAGAACTAGATTGACTGGGTTCAAATCTCAGCTTAGCCACCTACTAGTATGAGACTTGGGTTAAGTTAAAAAAGCCCTTGTATCTCAGTTCTCTTATTTTTAAAATGCTGATAACAATAATGTTTGTAAGATGTTGTGGGCATTAAATCAATAAATATATGTGAAGTGCTTGAAAAAAGGTATGGCATAGGCAAACACTCCATAGAGTGTCACCTATTATCATTTTTATGTGAGTGTGGGACCTGCTATCCAATGACATCAGTAGTCTCCCACTGTGACATAAAAGGATTGCATACAAAGAAATGCTTAATAAATAATTCATTCGTTCAAACAAGTATTTTTGAGAGCCTAAATTCTAGATTCTGGGGATAGAGCCAAGGAGGACAAGCTGAAGTTCTCAGTTTTAAGTGACTTTCATCTGAATGAAGTAAACTGACAATAAACAAGAGGAACAAATATACATAAACATATTAAGCATTACTACCTACTTTGAAGAAAAAGAAAGCAGGCTAAAGGGATAGAGACTAATAAGGAATAATAATGGGCAAGCTGTTATAGATGGGGAGATTTACACTCTTTTGAGGAGATGATATTTGAGCAGAGATATGAATGAAATGAGAGTGAATGCTGGGAAAATCAACAGGAAATGAATTCTAGAAAGTGGGAACAGCAGAATAAAGGCCAGGAGGCAGAACTGAATTCAGGGGTTCAAGAGTAAACAGAAGGCCCATCGTGGCGTGAAGTAAGATCTAGTATTCGAAGATGAGGTAGAAGTAGTCAAATAATTTTGGATGAATAATAGATACATTTAATGACTCAATCAAAATGATGAGACATCATGCTGAAAGGAAGCTTAAGATACATTTGTAAATAAGATTATAAGATGTTGAGTGGGACTTTTTTTGTTGCCCATAATTGAAAATAAGAAGAGCTAAGTAACCCCCTTTCTATGAGAAGCTCCTAATAGATGCCAAATATTGAGGCCAGACACTGTCCCCACCTACTAAAGGGTATGTTACGAGGCGAAAAAAATTCTCTCCTACCAGCAACTAGCACCTAGCTCTGGATACGCATAAAGAGAAAACTGGAGAGAGAACAGTGCAAGTCAGCAGACAGTGCTCACAGGGAAAGGTTACTCCTCTTCTCAAGGGGAACAGAAGGATTATTATTTTTTTCTTGCTGAAGCCAATTAATGGGAGTCCATCAGAGAATGTTTAGAGATTGTGTGCGAGTTTGTGGGAAGGAAGACTGGCAATTCATTTCTCAGCTGGCTGGATGGTAATTTACTAAACACACCAGTCCCTCTGGAGCTACTATGGCGGAGCGGGGGCGAATGTCTCCGCGGAGTTGTGTATTTGCTACCTGAAGTTTAGGACTCACCCCTGAATCCAAAACAGCTGCTAGTCTTAACATTTCTGAAGGAGAGGAAATTGCTGGAGTAGCTTATGGTAACAGAGTTAGAAGGAACTGTGGTTCAGAGTTTGTTCTTGAGAGGGGTTAAATTCCCTCCTTTATCCCCATCCTGGTCTTTTGTGGCCCTTGGAGCATTTAGAAGATGGTCTCAGAGGTTACTATGGCTCAATGCAAAACAGCATGGTGGTAAGGAAGGGAGCAGAATAGCTGGTAGTGAGGAGACACTCCAGCTGGGGAAGCAGTTAGGGGCATGGTCTGCTGTCAGGGTCCAGGCTTTTCTCTGAGGGATTCCTCAGTGAGTGAGGGGGCAAAGCAAAGACGAAGAGTGTCTATAGAAAACCAAGCACACCACCAGCACAGATTTCTCAACACCACCATCTGTTAGCAATAGACAAAACTGGATTGAACCAGAGAAAAACCTAGGACGCTTTCTCACGCAGACATGTAACTGATTATGTAAGATCTCTACCACCTTTGTCTTCTCTCTCTGACCCCAAAACTAGAGGAGTTCAGCAGCGGGGAGTGAGGATGGTTGTCTCAGAGTCAGATCTCCTTCCAACTTCTCTACTCCAAGCAGTCAGCCTCACAGTTTGTGTTGAGGGGAAAGAAAGGTAATCATATTTATGTTAGTTTCACAATCCAAGTTTTAAATTGGACAAAAATAAACTTCAAATAACTGAAACTGGTAGAAAGTTAGAAGATTTGCACTTTGGGAGGCCGAGGAGGGCTGATCACGAGGTCAGGAGATCAAGACCATACTGGCTAACACGGTGAAACCCCGTCTCTACTAAAAATACAAAAAATTAGCCGGGCGTGGTGGCGGGCGCCTGTAGTTCCAGCTACTCGGGAGGCTGAGGCAGGAGAATGGCGTGAACCCAGGAGGCGGAGCTTGCAGTGAGCAGAGATCAAGCCATTGCACTCCAGCCTGGGCGACAGAGCGAGACTCCATCTCAAAAAAAAAAAAAAGGACAGTTAGAAGATTTGCTAGGATATTCATTAAAGGACACGAGAATAAGACTTGACAATCATGATTGGAAGCCTTGATTAGAATAAAAAATATAACTCTTTTGTATCTATGCTCTTGTTGAGACACATTACATGAGTAACCAAACAATGAAACATAACACTATAAACCACAGCACATCTATGGAGAAATCAAAATGCACTAATCGAAAATTATAATTTCGTGGGACATTTTATTTAAATGTAAAATTTCATCTGGCTTCTCAGTTTTGATAAAGTAGAGAGTCTGTCAATTGCTTCTTTCTTATAATAAAGTGAGTCAATCTTCCTTCCATCAGCAACATATAATACAAATTCTTCAGGCCCTTGTCAGGAATATAAACTCATACTTTCTCCTATTCCGTTTCTAAAAAGGTCTTCTAAGGAAGTAATATTTAAGAAAGTTCATCTAAGAAACATTGTACCCTTTGTCTAAGTACTTTGAATTCTGCCTTTGAATCAAGCTAGACCACTGGAAGTATATGCACCTGACCACAAAAATATATCTCCTTTAAAAATCTGTCACCAACTTTAACTTCAAAATTTTATTCTCAGGCTTCTTTGAATTATCATAAGAAAGTTTATAAAATTCTCTTCTATTTGTTGGTAAAAATATTGCTGATATTATTCAACGCGTTGCTCAGTGTCATCTCCATATGAGAAATTTCTCCATCAACTTAGTGGCAGGAAAAATTCTCTCTTGATTTGTTTCTTTCTTTTAAATAATGAGAATTGTGAAACTCCCTAAGTTTCCCTTGTTATTCTTGCTATCGGCAAGTTCAAAGCCAAATTTGCAGCTCTGTCAGAGCAAGTCTCTTATACAATATGTACAATGTATTCCACTTCGGTTTTTTCTTGAATTTGAACCTTATTTTATCAGTATATTTTATATTTTAGGGGCGTTGTCTATTTGTAAAGAAATGGAGTATAGGTAAATAAATTTGGTTCATGTGCTAGGAAAAGTTGGTTCAGATGACTGAAAGTTGATCTCCTAACATGAAATTGATTAATCTTTGAGGTGTTTTTCAAAGACTACTTGCAAAAAAAAAGAAAAAAAAAAAAGAGACTTAAAATGGCCCCCAAAATGTTATCTTCATTCATTAGTTTAATATCATTAACCAGGCTAAACTGTATATTCCAATAAATTGAACAATAATAGGATTATTTTAACATTATTACTGTCAGTTAATTCTAAAAACCTTATCTTTGGTTTTTATTATATGTACCATTATATATTGAAAAGCTTAGCAGATCCTCACATCAATGTCCAGAAAAATTATCTCCAGCATTATGAAGACACTTATATCAGTTGTAGAACATCTTATAGAAGAATAGGGAAGAGAGGTAATATTTTGGGTAAGAATGTAGCACAAGCAAAAGGAGAGTCAGTGACAGAGTAGTGACAGCTTGTCTCTAAATGCTAATTAATTATATTGATCCTCTTTGTTTTCTCAGCTTAAACAAAATAAAGTGCATGGGTACCTTCAAAACAACACATGATAGAAGGGAATGGATTCACAAATGACAATAGCTGTGTTTACCTGGACACCTAGTTAATTCACTAGTTTAACAATATTGGCCAGTCTGTAATGTACATCCCAATAAACTGACCAATAAAAGGATTGCCTTAGCATTATGGAAATATAGCTAAAGTATAAGTTTAAGGGCTTCCATAAATTAATCAGATTATTATTATACATAGGCATTTATGTATTATCAGGTATAAAAGACATTTGTTCAAACTAGGAGATATTCAAATAATGATAAAAATCATCTATGACTAGCCACCTGGGAACTATACTTTTCTAGTTTAAAGCCATAAGATGCCTCATTGCTTTGACATTGCTAAGTATAAAAAGGACTGTAGAATAATTTGTTGGTGATAAAAATGTCTGTGGTCACATTGCTATTTTACTTATTATGCAATGTAAGATATCTACTGTGGATTTCTAACAGACTCAAGTCCACAAATATATTTCTCCTGACTGTTCCTGACATTGCACAGAATGGCACAGGGAACACAGACCAACACACAAAAAGAAGAGTAACTCTTTGAAAACATTTTCTTCACACTGTAGTTTAGGACAAAAGTATTGCAGAATAAAATTTATGGTTTTAGAAAAAACAGCAACAAAAATTTGAATGAAAGACAAACTTTTGCTTTTTCGAACTTTTGGAAGACAAAATTATGACTCTAATGTTTCATTCCTTCTTCTTTCCTTGCCATTCAAATTTCTACTAAAGTGTAAGATATATCATAAAATTTGATAATATACACTGCAATGCCCATTGAGCAGACTGAACAAAGGCCATTAATATAGCAAGGAAGACATATTTTTAATATCTTTAGTCTGACATTCACTTGTCCTTTATTTACATATGCGTAATCTCTTAATTTTCTACAAATTGTAGCTTATACTCACAGAGTTTTAAAAAAATTCATGATAGCCCTCTCATTTTCTGTATCTACAATTCTAGGTTATATATTACCCTAAGTATACAGGTCCATAGGCCTATATAAAGAATTTATTTGAATTTGAAATCTTGATTTTGTGAAAGAAACAAATGTCTTGAGATTTTGTTAAAATAAGTCTGGCAAGTCTTGGCCCAAAGTTACACTGAGAGGGAATCTGTTTTCCTTTGAAAACAAAAGTATTATCAATATTTTCATAAAATGTGAGTATAAAATAGAACATAGTATTATTAAACCATATTAACATTTCATTGGCAGAGATTTCACTTTGTTAAAGGCTGTATAAGAACAGCTTAATCTCATAACCCAGAAGTTTTTACTGTTATTATTGCCTCTTTATTTTTGGCTAAAGTGTAATTTTTAAATGAGTATACAGAAACCTAATACTATATATTGAATGACTTTAAGTAAATAAATATCCATGCTATTCATCAGGATAAGTGACCTAGTGACCAGAATAAAAAGGATATATGTTGGTAGCCCCTAGCACAGTATGCCTCAGCACAGAGGTTTCTTGGGTTACTGCTAGTGAATGATTCCAATTCTTGGCCGTCTGATCCCACACATTACATAAATTCCAACTCCTGCATCTGTTTAGGTGAGCTGTTGGCTAAATGGATATGTAATGAAATTAAACAATATTTTTAAGGTGCTTTTTAGGATGGGTTATACCCCCTCTTTTTCTCCTCCTTTCCTTGCAACCTGCCCTCTACTCATTCTTTTTATGCATATTTTTGAGAGCCTGAATATGCTAGGAAGAGGGTTTCAGTCTGTTAAGAATTCACAACCTTGTGGAGTTGAGATACAATTAATAAAATTTCTAGTATAATGAGGTAAGTATTATGATACCATGAAAGCACAGAGGAGAAACACCTACTCTGTTTTGTAAGGATTAGGGAAAGCAATTTAGAGATTATACCTAACACAAACACACAGATATTTGCATAGTATGTGAGCACACGTTTAAAAAAATGTAATTTTCACCCTAGAAATAAGACAGTAGTGATTCAGCGTGAGTTGATATGCCTGTCTCCACTATAATGAAAGAAATATAACGTCTTAAGTATGGGTTGACATTTGCAAACTAACTGATTTTTCTAGAAGAATGATGCCACATAATTTAAAAATATTAATGCTTTTCTAATCTCTAGTGTATTTTCAATGGCTAACATAGTTAAAACCAAAGTGAAATTTTTATTATGTACATAATCGAATGCAAATTGTGTCAGGCTAGTTTAAAAAATATGAATGTCAGTCCTGGCTTGGCAATTTAATAACTATTTGGTTTTTGACCAAGTCATTTAACTTAATTAAACCTCAGTTTCTTCTCTGTAAACAAGAGAAGGTCAAGCAAGATAGTTTTAAAATTTCTTTCCAAATTTATACGTCTGACTTTTCTAAAAAATCTGGTTTACACTAATACTTAAAAGAAATTATCTTAAAACAATAAATTATAAATTTATTTTTTGCTCTTGCTCCCTGTAAAATTTGTCCTTGTCCTGCTAGTCACATATAGTCCCCACTACACCAGCCAAGACTTGTCAGACTGGTTCTGTTGAGATCATCAGTGACTTATTTCCTCACTTCAATTCAGCCCACAAAGTCATTGATAGAGCTGGATTCACACACTTGGATGTAGACCTCGACCTTCACAGGACTCTTCATTGCTGGTTGGCAATGATGTATCGGTGAGTTAGTTCCCTTTTTCTTTCTAGAAGTCTTAAGGTAACTTTTAGTTTAAAACAGTATGAGCCACACCAAGGAATGTGTAGATCTACAGTTTATTATTTTTTTAAATATAGAAACATATTTTTGAGATTTTACATAAAATTATGTCAAGAAAAAGATTTCTATTCTTTCTGTATTAGTGTTTCCTGTCCTCTTTTGTTGTATCCCATGTGTTTTTCTGTTTACTTTTAGAAGGTTTCTACACAATGTAAAGGTACATGGTGTTTGACAGCTGTCTTTTAGTTAGTTTGGCCATATGTTTCAAGAAAGATATAACATATTTTTAGCTTGGGCTTTGTTTGTCTTATTGAGAAACACTTTTATTTTAGAAGGTGTACATGAAAAAAAGTCTGAAATAATGCAGAAAAAAATGTTTATTTCTGTAAGTAGTTAAAAATTTAAAAACTCTAGATGTTTTGAAAGAATCAGAAACAACTGAAGAAAATAATATGACTAAATTATTATAGCCTGATTTAAAAAATAAATCCACTGATATGCCTGGCCATAGTCAACTTCTCCAAAGATAAGTCATGATCATTTTGAGGTTTTCTTTCAAAGTTAGAAACTAATCAGTAACAAGGTTTTGGGGTACTAGTTTTGTCTTTGAAAATAATTTTATCTCCTGATTAAAATTTATTTTCTCTGATTCTCATATTGGCATATCATTTTTTATTAGTTTTTACTTTGAGAACAGTTTGAAAATGTTAAACTTTGAATGAAATCTGTGGTCTTCATTTAACATGGAAAAACAGGTTCTGTCATCAGTTGAAAGTTCTACATACTTGTTATTAGAAGTTTAATACTCTTCTGTACATATCCATGAAGCAACTAAAAGCTACGGATACTAAACATTTTGTTGGGCTTATCAAGGCTCCCTGCCTTTTGCAAGTATTTCTTTACAACCAATGATGGTTTTGTATCCTATTCTCTTTTTCTCATTGACTTTACTATAGAAAACAGTGCTTCAAGAAAGCTTCCAATAAACTTAACATACTAAATAGATTACAAGCCTTATCTATGGTATATGTCAGAGATTTGGAATTTGGTTATAAATGTGTAGAGGCGGTATAATGTGGGAATACTGGAGTGAATTTTTCTGAGTGTAGTCTCTAATTTGAAGCAAAAGATGTGACTATTTTTAAAAATCCTGCTGCAGAATAGATGCAAATAATCTCTCATGGAAAAAACCAAAAACCAAAACCAACCATCTAACAAACAAAAACGTCTTCCTGATCTGAAGATTGTATGAAAGATGAAGCACATCTATGTTTGAGTGGGTCTAGATGAGATAAAATGTTAAGAGCATGTACTAGAGCAAAAAAGGATTAAGTTTATTATTCACATTTGCTGTCGTAAATGTGCCAACAGGAGTGTTATCGAGGAAGAGGGATAATTGAAATCCTAGGATATAAGTAGACAATTTCTTCTTAAGGTCATTGGTTTTAACTCAGAAAGAATACAAGAAACAGGTGGGGAATTTTATTAAATAGCATGCTCCTTCCTTTTCAGTCAGATTTCGGATAGCCTTCTCCCTGACTCTACCTGAATAAGAATCAGTTTTTTTTTTTTTTTTTTAGAATTTAAGGGTAGGAAAAAATTTAAACTGGGTAAGCATTATTCTTCTTGTACTGCCATTTTCTCCAAACTCTTATTTTGGACTATTCTTTGAGCATGAAGAGATCAACACATGAATTTTATAAACACACAACAGAAAGTTAAAGAAAACTCTATCAGGCATAAGTTTATAGAGAACAGATTTGGGAAGAGAAGAATGTGTCCATTAAATATATTTATTGGTCATAGGGGTGTATACTAACTGTATTTATCAGCAACCACTGAGAAGAAGTGAAAATAAGCAGACTGAATTTATAGGCATCGACATCCACACATATTGAGATGGCTGAAGGTGAAATGAGTAATATTCAAATGACACAAAATGGACAACTTTAATTTTTACCTAATAGGGTAAGCACTGTCTCTAAAAGTGTGGTCCGTAGACCCCTGCATTACAGTGCTTATTAAAAATAGGAATCTCCAGCTCTCATCCCAGAAATTCTAATGAATCTCTGGTTGAGACATGGAAATCATATTTAAAACATTTACACAATGTAATTCTTATTTACCCTAAAGTTTGACAAGCACTAATGGTGTAAAGACATAGAAAAAGAAAAAGAAATGTGTAAGCCTGAAAGAAATTAAACCATAAATGAAATAGGCCAGTTGTTAAAAGTAGTTCTGTTTTATTTAAATTGGTGTAATTACATCTGAATGGGAGGTGCTCTTTCCCAGTCACCTTTCCCTTCAAGGGAGAAGAGTACTCATTTATGCAACATGGTGATGATTAAGAAAGAGAGGATAATTTCAGAAAGGAGGGGAAACTGAGGGGGGAGAACATAGACATTTTTTGCTTAGTTTGTGTCTGATAAGGAGGATGACTTTATATGGATCATAAAAATCTATTTGTTTACAGGAAAAACCTTGGTATAAAATTAATGTAGCAGTGTTACCCTGTGACATTAGTCAGTATGGATACTGAAGAGACACTCCTTTTAGGCTTAGGCCCAGAGTTGCTATATGGTTGTGTTATAAGTATTTAGCATGTGCTCACACTTCTCCTTCAACTAGAATCAGCCCTGATCCATATAACAACTTTTAGTGAGTTCTCATTGCATACTAAGTCCTGTGTGGAAGAAAACTCTCTGTTGAGCACCTACTATATATTGTGTATTTTATAAAATGCAATTTCATTAAATTTTGGTAATGTTTTGATAAGTGGTTATTGCTTTCATTCCTTTTAAAAGATGAAGCACCTGTGGCTCAGATTGTCTAGGCGGTTAGTAAGTGTCGAATCTAGAATCTAATTCTGATCTTTCTGATTTTAAAATATACTTTTTTCCCTGTAACATATTGTCTACCATGTGTAGGAAGCTATAAGTAGAATCTTTGAGAAGTTTACAGAGAAAATAGATGGCAACAGAGAAATAGAAAATAAACGCACACATATCCACACATGGAGAAAATGTTGGTGCATAGATTTAAAAAACCAGAAGATGTAAAGACTAATATGAAATCATGCACATTTATGCTGAGGAAAGAAGTGTGGAGGTGTAATTTTACTTTCATTTATAAGTTTTAAAAACATTTTAAAAAATGCATTGCCTGCCCTTATACAACCGACTTTGTATTTAAACTAAATAAACAGTGATCTATCTTTTCTGCACTGTTTCAAAGGTGATCAGAGTATAGCACTTTAACTACATCATCTCTGTTTTCTAAAAAGGATTACATTTGCTATATTGTGAAAATCATGTTTATCTTAGAGCAATATTTCATGGAACTAATTCACTGGTCTGCAGTAGCTGTCTGCTAAATGAATCTTTGTTGTTCTGTCATTGTTGTCTGCTTTCCTCCAAAAATATGTCATTGCTTCAACTTAAAGAGAAAATAAATAGAAACAATCCAGAGAAACATGAAAAATAGCAGTGTCGTGTGTTTCCGTATTAGCACTGAGATTTATAAGCATGCCTGATGGTTTTAGTGCTTGTGAAAGAGGTAGATTGAACAGTCGTGAAGCAGGTCTTCTGGAAGGGTAGGAGGTAAAATGGGTTCTCTGGCTTGTTTTATGGCTCTATCAGGGTTAGAGTTTAGAGAAACTGCACAGAGAAGTTCTTCAAGTGCGCTCCTTTGGATCTGCTCTCATTGAAGATAATAGCTAAGAACTGTGAAGAATACTTTCACATTTTCAGGTTTTAATAGGTTTAAAATGACTGGACTAGAGAGAAGGAAGGTTTTAAGAGGCTGAGAAAGAAAAATGGGCTGCAGAAACACTGAGTCATGCCAGAACCTGTAAGCCCAACCTTCTTCTCCCATGTACACACATGGCCTGTGTGGTAGGGCAATTTTTAGAATTGCAATTCTAAGATGATAGAACTAATCTTAGGGGGATCCAAAGTACTATACAGGCATATTTAAATTCTATTTTGCAACCTTTTATCTGAAAATGTCAGATGATATCTCTGTTTTGAAACTGCAAAAGCAGACACAGAGGGATTTAGCACTTTGTTTAAAGTTGAACTGTGAGTCAGTGCAGGACAAAATAATAATTGCTATCTTTAGTTTCACATGTACTATCTGCCAACTACTGTCTTAAAACATCATATGCATTTAAACTTTATATCAACCTATGGTTATATTATCATACTCATTTTACAGATGAGAAAAATGAGGCTCAGACAGGTAATTTTTTTTTGCCCAGGGGTAATAATAAAAGGCAGAACTGATGGTTAACCAGGGTCTATCTGACTTCAAAGCCTATGCTCTTAATCACAGTGCTATACCACCCTCACAATGTCTCCTTTGTCTGCCTAAGTGGTTCTTTTACTACTTTGATTTAACTGACTTACTGTCTTAAAAGGTGAAAAATTTACATTTTCAAGAAACATTGTTATGGATGATCTTTAAAGTAGACCTCTAAGGCCAGTGGATAGGAAGCATTGCTGTATGCATTCTCTAAAGGAAGGGAACAAAATGCTCAAAGATGAGATAATTTGCATGTGGCCACAGGAATGGGTGAGTCAGTCAAGACAGAGATGTAGTCTGTCCTCCCACTTCACCTGTATACTGATGTCAATACAGTCAAACAGAAGAGTTAAATTAACACCGGTGGCTACATGACCCAAGACATATTATTGTTATTTTTATTACTATTACCATTTAAGCTTGTATGAAAATATGTGGCCCATTTAAAATTAGTTACTTTACATTAAATTTTGTCAGGTCACAGTTAGTAAAATTTAGAGAGGGTACATATCGTAACAATAAAAATATTATTTGACGTAAATATGCTACATATGTAATTTCAACATATGTTTTCTCATTTGGTACTTTACAACACTGAGAATCAGATAATTTTAATATTACCATGACTTTACAGCTAGGGAAACCAAAAATTAGGAAGACTGAGACTTCCAAATCTCTGCTAAGTGACTGGTAGAGCTGGAATCTGAGCACACCTGTTCTCACATCAGCCCTGTGCTTTCTAGTCCTGGCTTCTGCCAGGTCATGATTCTGGGATCAGAAGTGCTTCTTTGGTGAAGCACAGATAACTTACCTTGGCTTTCAAAAAATTACTTTATCTTAGTGTTTCAACTTTCCTAATTCAGAAAATACCAAAGATAATAAATGAACACTTTAAAAATATTTCAAACCAATCTTTTAATTATATAGTACATTCAAGTCATTATTAGGCATTTGGGGATACATTATTTGATTCAACAATAAAGCTATATTTGGCCTTTTAAAAACAGGGTAATGAATTCTTGTACTAAACTGTAGGACAACTGGCAGCTGCCTGACTCAAATCTCTGAATTGGATGGGTCCGAAGATGAACGCTTTTTAAAGTTTTCTTTACTAGTTGAATCCCTTTTTGCACTGGAAGCTTAATGCAGACCCTTGATGTTTGGAGCAGAATTGCTGTGGGTGGAGTGGGATAGAGGCTAGAAGCTTCCTCTACCTTCCTGTCTTTTATTCCCTTAGGCATACGTGAGGCATCTGAGTGGATTTTTCAACCCACCTTAAAGCTAATTTTTCATTATGAAAGAGGAAATAATGACAATGGCCAACTTTTGTGGTGTATTTACTGTGTGCCTGGCATGGTGCCATCTCCCTTGTGTTACTTTATTTAATCTTCAGAAGAATCTTCTGAGTTAGGTCTTATCATTATCTCCATTTGTGGGTGGGGAAATGTAGATTTAGAGAAGGTGAGTAACTTTCCTAGAGCCACCTAACTAGTAACAGGCAGTTAGGACTAATCCCAAGCTGTTTGATGCCTAAGCCCAAGTCTTTATCCACTAAACAAGAAAATGGAAGTCATTTGCTTAAAGTCATAGAGCTTGTTACAAAGAGGCTCTTGACTAGAACCTTGGTCTTCTGATATATTAATATTATAATTATTAATTGTATCTCAAAATTATGCTGCTAGAGAAAATTAAGTTAAAATAGTTTACCATCTTTCACATATACAGAATTTGCAAGAGAATTAGTAAATACACGTCTTCATGTCCTCTTTTCCCAAAGATCATTATGTGAAAGTGGCAATTTCCCTTGATTGCAACAATCTGTTTTGCATATTATAATAGTATCGGATTTAGCTACGAGTGACAGGAAACCCAGAGTAACAGGGGATTACATAAAATGGAATTTTATTCCGTTTAATGTGAAACAATTCTGGAGATAGGCAGGTAAGAGCTAATAGGGAGGTTCACAAAATAATTAGGAATCTAGTCTCCTACTATTGTGCTGTCCTACCAGCTTGATTACGTGTCTTCCAAATCCTGGTCTACTGTGGCAATCCATGCTTCAACTAGCACATATGTATTCTAACTATGAAATGCACATTAGGATTCCAGCCAACAAAATAGAGACTCCATTGGAAAGAAAGTATTCATATGCTGACTCTTATGGACAAGGGGCACTATTTGATTTTTCTGGTGGCTGTGTGCCTAACCAAAGATCAAGGTTTCTGTTATTAGAAAAAAAAGAATAAATATTTGGGATAGGCGTCTAGGAGTTTCTAGTATAGCTGTATTAAGTTTGAATGGTAAGAGGTATAGCCCATTGTGATGAACATAGGCTGGTGGATATATAGTTTTGAAGTGTAGGCAAGTGAGCTGAGCTGCAGTTATAGATTTGGTAGTCATCAGTATATAGATATGAATTAAACGCATGGACATTGGTAACTAAAAGTATTTGTTCTTTTGGGTAAAATAATGCATTTCTTATAATTTTTATGGTATTAATTTGCACAGAAATCCTACTTTATTCTAATATGAACCTGAGCTTATTTCACTATGTTATTATTAAATGCCAATATATTAGAACGTAATTGTCAAGGTGAGTATATAATAAAAAATTTCATAAATTTTATGTACCATCCAAAAATTAAAACTGAATTCTTACATATATTTCAGGTCGATAACTGGGGCAGAAAATTCTTTAATCAGGAAAACTCACTTTTCATTTTGGAAGAATTATTTAAACATCGAGAGGGTCTATACATTTTTCAATTTCTCCTCATTGCTGAATTAATTCAGATAGAATTTTGTTACATGTAGAAATTTCTAGACTGTCTAAAGAATTCTTGGTGTATGGTTTAGAGTGCTTTCTAAGGAAACAGCAAGCCAGAGGACACAACAAGGTGTCAGCATGTGGCCCAACTGTCACATTCAGGCACATTTTAATCAGGGTCTAGAGATTTTAAAAAGTTGGTGTATAGTAGTTATACATATTTTGGGGGTATCTGTGATATTTTGATGCTTGTATGCAATGTGTAATGATCAAATCAAGGTAACTGGGATGTCTATGACCATCTTGTGTTGGAAATATTACAGTTCTCTTCTAGCTATTTTGAAATGCAAAACAAGATATTGTTAACTAAAATTTCCCTACTGTACTGAATGGTAGAACTTATTCCTTCTATCTATACATTTGTACCCCTTAACCAACTTCTCAATACAAGTAGTAAAGTATGATTTTCAAAGTCTGGCTTTCTCAGGTATGGTATTTAGATTGTTTCAAATAACTTGTAGTCTCTTAGTTTGACTGCAAATTATTTCAAATTATCTGACATTGTAGTCAACAGAAAAATGAGGCATTTGAAAAATTGCCTGAAGTCTGATTGTTTAACAAATGCTGAATTTTAATTAGGATATGTAACTTTTTGTGTTATGTGAGGCATGGAACATTAGCTTGGATGAAAATTGAAGACCATTTAGATCAATTTAAATTTCCGCTGATTTTTTAACATGTGAAGAAAAGGAGAGCTCTCAATATCATACAAGTTGGGGCTCAGGGGATGCTGGAACTCGTTTGATGTGGAGTATGCTCTCAGATTTCTCATCTGTTTGAACTAACACTAAGACATAGGTTACTGGTTTTACAGTTTAGATCTACTTCCATTCTATCATGCAAACTTTCTTGGAGTCATCTAGACAATGTCAAGAAGAAGATTTGGTAGGAAGACAGCTAAAATTTTAAAAAGTTTCTGAAAGTCTCAAGCTATATATTAGCAGCCACAAGAGTGTCTCTAGCTCAGGTTTCTCAATCATTTTTCTTCTGATACACTTGCAGTGATATCAGCACACTGCTTGTTAATTCTTATTTTTCTTCCACATTTTGAAGTGTGTAAAATTCCCTATGATTGGCTGCAATGGCATCGCTCGTTAACTTTGCTGTGGGATATTGTTGTGTATAAAGTTGCTCAGGTAATGCCAGTTTATTATCTTGAACTAAAAAGAGTTTGAGGAAAAGAAAGCAAATATATTAGTAGAATTCAAACTTCAGTAGCTTAGTTTAAGTCTATAAACCCATAACTAATTACTTAATAATATCTTTAATTTTTTTGCAACCCACCTATCTGTATGTAGTTGCAAATTTCTAGAGATCAGGCCAAGTGTCAACTTAAATATCAGTTTGTAGTCACCTGTGCTGTACCATATTTAGTTGGGAACTTAATAAAACCTTGATGATAATCACAGTGGAGGTCAGAGACATTCCTTACTGTTGAGTTGCCACTAATATTTATGTAGTACACCTATCTAACAAAGTCTATTGATATCATATGCAATCTTCACAACCTCCTTTTAAAGGTAAGGGAAAGATACTGTCACGTAAGTTTTATGGTTGGCTAAACAGAAATAGTTAAACTCTGGGTTTTGTAACTTCTCTATGAGAACTAGCCGTAATTATTATGGTAGGGAATGCAAACATTGTGATTCAGCCCAAGCGCCTGGCTGATGCTATCAGATACTTATAGATGTGTTTTATCTTCCAGTGGATAGGACAGAAATATGTTATTTGTAATTTTATGTGGAGTAATTTGCTTGTATTTCTTCTTTTTTTAAAAAAACAGCAATGAAAATATATAATCCATGCACGTATATATGATATTCTGTTTTATTTCTACTGTGGATATTTTTATAGTCCTGTTCTAGAAAGTGTGAGAAGGATTAATTATGTCACCAATGCTTGCTGGTTTGGGCTTTTCACAAAGTAAAACACATCTCAAATACTTTTGTTGATAGGATAAGCAGGCACAATCCTATGAGCTAAGCTACGGTCAAATACATATCATATGCCAAAACAAATATATAGACCAATGGAACAGAACAGAGGCCTCAGAAATAATGCCACACATCTGCAACCATCTGATCTTTGACAAACCTGACAAAAACAAGCAATGAGGAAAGGATTCCCTATTTAATCAATGGTGTTGAGAAAATTGGCTAGTCATATGCAGAAAACTGAAAGTGGACCTCTTCCTTACACCTTAAACAAAAATTAACTCAAGATGGATTAAACTTAAATGTAAGACCTAAAACCATAAAAACTCTAGAAGAAAACCTAGGCAATACCATTCAGGACATAGGCATGGGCAAAGACTTCATGACTAAAACACCAAAAGCAATGGCAACAGAAGCCAAAATTGACAAATGGGATCTAATTAAACTAAAGAGCCTCTGCACAACAAAAGAAACTATCATCAGAGTGAACAGGCAACCTAGAGAATGGGAGAAAATTTTTGCAATCTATTTATCTGACAAAGGGCTAATATGCAGAATCTACAAAGAACTTAAATTTACAAGAAGAAAACAACCCCATAAAAAAGTAGGCAAAGGATATGAACAGACACTTCTCAAAAGAAGACATTTATGCAGCCAACAAACATATGAAAAAAAGCTCATCATCACTGTTCATCAGAGAAATGCAAATCAAAACCACAATGAGTACCATCTCATGCCAGTTAGAATGGCGATCATTAAAAAGTCAGGAAACAACAGATGTTGGAGAGGATGTGGAGAAATAGGGACATTTTTACACTGTTGGTGGGAGTGTAAATTAGTTCAACCATTGTGGAAGACAGTGTGGTGATTCCTCAAGGATCTAGAACCAGAAATACTATTTGACCCAGACATCCCATTACTGGGTATATACCAAAAGGATTATAAATCATGCTACTATAAAGACACATGCACACGTATGTTTATTGCGGCACTGTTCACAATAGCAAAGACTTGGAACCAACCCAAATGCCCATCAATGATGTCTGTTATACGTATCTCATTTCTTCTTCAATGATAGACTGGATAAAGAAAACATGGCACATATACACCATGGAATACTATGCAGCCATAAAAGAGGATGAGTTCATGTTCTTTGCAGGGACACGGATGAAGCCGGAAACCATCATTCTCAGCAAACTAACACAGGAACAGAAAACCAAATACTGCATGTTTTCACTCATAAGTGGGAGTTAAACAATGAGAATACATGGACACAGGGAGCAGAACATCATACACTGGGGCCTATCAGTGGGTGGGGGGCTAGGGGAGGGATAGTATTAGGAGAAATACCTAATGTAGATGATGGGTTGATGGGTGCAGCAAACCACCATGGCACGTGTATACCTATGTAACACACCTGCACATTCTGCCCATGTACCCCAAAACTTAAAGTATAATTTTTCTTTTTTTAAAAGACCAACTATTGATTGGTGGTATTGCTGTGAAGAGGCTTCTTCTGGTAAATTTTTCTTTGAAACACTGAGCCTTGACTTGTCATTTTCCAGTGCTTGCCATTAGCTTTATTTGCACTAGTACATTTTCCCCTTGTCTTTTTGCTGTTGCTGCTGCTTTTCTTTTTTAGCACTATTCTAAAAATTACACATTAATAAGCAATAATAATAATGCAGCCTAAGCATATTGCTTGTTTTCTGGCAATTTGGGGCTAAAAAAACAAAGCATACTTTAACTGTTATATTCACTTGACTTGTCACTAATTATACATGTCTCCAGATTGAAAAGAAAATCATATAAAGAAAGAAATTTGATATTACTAAAGCTGTTAGAATTCAATCAGTCTATCTGAAGGTGATTTTACACGAATAGGTGCACATAAGTTTTGATAGATGAAAATATTGACTGGACAAGTGTTTATGTATGTTCAGGAGGAGGTTAATTATACAAACGTCTGTTGATATGTAAAATAAATTTATTCCTTCACTTTACTACTTTCTTTGAGCATACTTTTTTCACATCTAATTTGGAGGAATTCAGTATTGAATCACTTACTGAGAAAATAAAAAAGTAACTAAGAAATAGGATCAATTATATCTCAAAAAAGCTAAAAAATAGGGTGAATCAGTTTGAAAAACAATGCTATACAGACTGGGAAAAGAACAAATAATGTTTCAAGTGACAAACATCTTAGTAATGTGGTCATTACCACTATTACTAATAATTAAAATAATGATGATGATAATTATCATCCTCGTTATTTGTACAATGATTTTTCCACTTGGGAGCTCAAAGTACCAAACCGCCTTCTCATTTTTATCTCTACCTAGCTCATTAGGTTAGGAGGGGTCTGGACTTATTATCCTTGTTTTTCATATGGAGAAATTAAGACAGATAATTGAATCTCTGCGTACAAGACTATATAATAAATGAGTTGGTGGCAGGGCTCAGAAATATAATCTCTTAATTGTTTATTCAAAGTATTTTTGACTGGATTCTCTTTTTCCTTTGTCCCATATTATCCCTTTTGTCTACTTCTAGCCACTCAGGAGAGCATGTCACTAAAATAGTTGTGAGTAATGTGGAAAGGTGGGGGTCAGAAGAAGAATCACAGTGGTACCTTGGACACTGCAGTGATGTAAATTCCATGAAAATACATATATAATCTTCCTTAGTTTTTTTTTCATATTTTAAGAATGTCCTATGTCTCTCGCTCTCTTTTTTTTAATTCAAACGCCATAATGTTGTTCTTAAAAAATCCACCATAAAACAAACAAATCCATAAATTAAAATTAAAATTTCTCACTTATTTGTTATTCGGCTTCTTACTAATAAATATTGGTTGTGTCTTCTATATATTTTGTTATGCACACACATATATAGTTTCATTATTTATGAAAACCGAAACATGAAATGCATATTATTCTATAACTTTTTAAAATTGAAACTTATCATTAACCTTTTTAATGTTAATACATGAAACCTACTTCATCAATAGAATGGCTGCATTGCTTACATTTTTGTCTTGATTAAAACTTACTGTAGAACAAATAGAACGTGTCTAATATTTCACAATTCTATATAACAATCATATACTTTTGATAATTTCATGTTTTCTACAAGCACACATTCATTTTCTTCATCTGACATGTTTTGATATTAGTTGAGAAACCCTTCTCTCCCTGTATTCCCCCCAAAGTTTTGCTTACGTGTGTTATACCCATCTCCTTTCTTCTGTAACAGATTAATAGCAAGCATTCAGGGATGAAGGAAGAAGAGTCAGTTTTGGGGGTTTCTTAGGCTCAGTTGCACATAAAACATAATCTCATTGTGGAGAAGACTTTTTATATTGCAGTAATTGACATTCTAGGAACAGGTGTTTGGAATTCTACTCAAGGGAAAACTGGAGATGGGAAAGGTTGAGGAGAGTAAGATAAAAGCTTCCCTGGTTACGGCCCCGTGGAAAAATCACAGGAACAAGGCAGGAGAACAAGCAGAGCCCCTGGAGCCTTCCACTACATCTCAGTCCCTTTCCCAGGGACAGGATTATACAGCGATGATAACACCATTGACTTCTATGCCAATGCTCTTTATTTTGTGTCCAGCCAGAGCCAGGATCTAATGATGGTGTGACAGGGGCCAACATGATAATATTATCACTTCCTGATCCTATATCATCAGGAAACAGAGCGTTCTTGTTTTCTGTAAACAAAAGGCATTTATTGTGAAATGCTTTGCTGTTTACACGTTCATGATCTAATTTTAGGTCCCAAAGTGCTTTAGACGGAATGGTTATCCCGCCCCTTACTGATATATGGGGAAATTGAGCTCAGAGTTTAAATGATTTTTCCGTCGCTGATCTGTTAATGAAAGGGCTGCACTTAGAATTCTCCTTATTCTGATTCAACACCCAGTACTCCTCCAGGAGAATACCATGTTTTCCTCAAGTCCTCATGTAGCAGACAGTTAGCACTCTAGAAAAAAGAAAAAAGCATAGCACACACTGGCGTAAATACCTCAAGAAATCTAAAATAAGAGTATCATATTCAAACTCCTTAGTCATCTCTGACTTATTATTTCACATTTCTGGCTTTAGAGTTTGCTTACCAAATATTATAACCCAATGGGACAGCAACTTTACCAATCAAACAAAAATCATGTGGATCAATGTTTTTCAGTAACATGTATTTTTGAAGGCAGAACAAATAGAAGTTGAGGGAATCTCATGCAAAAAGAATTTCCTGTAGCTTTTTTTTTTTTTTTAAGACGGAGTCTCGCTCTACCGCCCAGGCTGGAGTGCAGTGGCCCGATCTTAGCTCACTCCAAGCTCCGCCTCCCAGGTTCACGCCATTCTCCTGCCTCAGCCTCCAGAGTAGCTGGGACTACAGGCGCCTGCCACCATGCCCGGCTAATTTTTTTGTATTTTTAGTAGAGACGGGGTTTCACCATGTTAGCCAGGATGGTCTTGATCTCCCGACCTCATGATCCGCCCGCCTCGGCCTCCCAAAGTGCTGGGATTATAGGCGTGAGCCACCGTGCCCGGCCTTCTGTAGCATCATTAAAGCTTAAAGGTAAATATTAGCTCAAAACCTCAGGTTCTTTAGGAAGGGGCCTCTGGTTGTTTCTTCTATGTATCCTCAAAGTTTGGTTTGGAAATAGATCAGAAAATTAGAAGAATAGAATTAGCAACTCCATGTGAAACCTGGTATGCTTCAAGCTGTAACACACTTCAAAGGCTATTTAAGATTCTAGAGTGCTAGAGAAAAGGCTTAAAATATTTTTGTAGCCCCTGCAGTGTCTAACTCTATATCAAGTACATGGCTGGCTCAACAAGTGATAGCTAACATTTAATATTGCACTTTTCTACATGTCAGGCATTGTTACAGGCACTTTATATGTAGTACTTCATTTAATCCTCACAATAATCATATGAAATAGGTACTATCATTATCATCTTCCTTTTATGGATGAGGAAACCCAAGCACAAAAGTCAAACTACTTGCCTAGCAACAGGAGTCAGAGTCAGGACTGGCCTCAGCAGCCTGGAACCAGGGTGTGCTCTAAACCCAGACAGTACACGACCCTCCAACTGAATGTCCTTTATTCCCCCAAAATATCTGTTTTGTCTAATGAGTGGATGTGTTGCATGCTCTGAAATAATCTATCTATTTATTTTCTTCCTTAGGCCAGATGTGGTGAGGGCTAGGAAAAGAGTTTGTTGGGAACCCTGGGTTATCGGCCTCGTCATCTTCATATCCCTGATTGTCCTGGCAGTGTGCATTGGACTCACTGTTCATTATGTGAGATATAGTAAGTATAAGCTGCCTTGGCATCATGTGATTTACCCCAAATATTTCCTCATACCTTGCTGTTTTGATTTGCCTCAGGCTTATTCATTTATCACTACGATTCATTTGCATAGCCTGTACAAAGGGATCTTTACCTGCTTTCTCTCTTATTTAGTCCTCATAAGTCAAGGAGGATTCTTTTTTCTATCTTTGATGTAGTGATGCTTTCTGCTGGGAACAGCATGCTTATTTGCATCTTCCTTAATAAGCAATAAGTGAGTATTAATCAAAGGAAAACTACAGGATAGCTAGAACCAATGTCTTGAGTTGTTTGAGGTCACAGGGCAAGCATCTTGATTTAAAATAATTCTGACCGGGTGCAGTGGCTCACGCCTGTAATCTCAGCACTTTGGGAGGCTGAGGCGGGTGGATCACTTGAGGTCAGGAGTTTGAGACCAGGCTGGCCAACATGGTGAAACCCCGTGTCTACTAAAAAAAAAAAAAAAAAAAATAGCCAGGTGTGATGGTGTACACCTGTAGTCCCAGTTCCTGGGGAGGCTGAGGCAGGAGAATCACTTGAACCCAGGAGGCGGAGGTTTCAGTGAGCCGAGATCACACCGCTGCACTCCAGTCTGGGCAAGAGAGAGAGACTCGGTCTCAAAAAGAAAAAAAAAAATCCAACTCGTTGAAGTCCTGACATCCCAATAAATCAATGACACAATCTGGAGTCATAAAGAAGTAGGCTCTATTCTGTACCAGTAAGTTACAAAAATAGTCATAGTGATGTATTGTTGAGTAAGTGCCTATTTCTGTTATTAAAATCTCATCTTAGGATATATTGTAGGTGATTAAAGAGGATAGGGTATGCCAAGAAAGCTAATTATAAAGATGTTCACCCTGCGGTTATCAGGTACCTCATTGCTAGATGAACTGTTAGTTGCTATGTTATTAGAAAGGTCTCCAGGGTACTTCAGAACTGTTATTCTGGGATGTAACAGCCCTTCTGAAGTTTCCTCCTACTCTGCCTAGGGTTTTAATTACTTGACTCAACCATGACCTGTTAGTTTAATATCTTCCTCTGTTACTAGATTATACTTGGATGTTCAAGGCACCGTAACCATAGAAGCTAATAACTTGATTCTAATTTAATTGGGACCTTGTTGAAGTTTCTTTCCAGTAACGAGAAAGAGTACTCTGTAACCTGGTTATCTTCCTCTACTATCCACGCAAGTATAATCTCAATTTACAAAGCAAGGTGGATCATTTCTGGATAGTTTAAAAAAATATTTAAAACAAAGATTTTTTTGGTAGAATTTGCATACAGGCAAGTCTTTAAATTTGGAGTATCTGCATATTAATAACAGATTTTTCTGTAGCACACTTTTTTTTTGCTTTTTGAGACGGAGTCTTGGTCTGTTCCCAGGCTGGAGTGCAGTGGCTCGATCTCGGCTCACTGCAACCCCTGCCTCCTGGGTTCAAGTGATTTTTGTGCCTCAGCCTCCTGAGTAGCTGAGATTACAGGCATGCGCCACCACACCCGGCTAATTTTTTCTATTTTTAGCAGAGACAGGGTTTCACCATGTTCGTCAGGCTGGTCTCGAACTTCTGACCTCAAAAGATCTGCCTTCCTTGGCCTCCCAAAGTGTTGGGATTACAGGCATAAGCCACTGTGCTGGGACTGAAGCATACTTTAAATAAAAATGAATTGCTGGAATAACTTTATAGTTCTACAGTTCTGCTGAGAATATTGAGTCCTACTTTGTTGTAAGCATCATTATTTGTCCCCATGGATGTCTAGGACTGTTTTACACACTTTTGTGTGTCTAGAATTTATCAGAATCTTGGCACATGTTATGTGCTTTATAAATATTTATTAAATACTGAATGATAATATCAAATGAATCATGCCTACAATATTTTCTTGGGCCATACTTCGGCTTGTCTGACTTCACAAGGAATTCCTAGTAACACTAGGGGCTAATCACCTCAGTGAGAGAAAATGTCCCTTTCTACTTCTCATTTGCCTCTTCCCAAGCCAAGTTTTATAAGATTCATAAATCTTACTCATATGTATACAGTGAAAACTTGGCAAGAATTTTTTCAGTAACCTGTTCCTGAATCCTGTTGTTTGGATGATCAACTGAGTAATACTGAACACACAGCTTCTACTGCCCACACAGTACACCTGAATAAACAGTGATTGTTGTGATGTGTGTTACTGCCTTCTATTTGTGACCTGCTTTCTGTTTTGGGATGTAAACTAACCGAGTGGCTTTGGCAGACAAATATTTAGAAGCTGACATGCCAAAATAACCAAATCAAACCAAACCAAAAAAATCTGTCACAGAAATAGACAGATACAGACAAAGGTAATCAGATTTGGAAAAATATCATTTTGGTTCTCATTTCATAAAGCCCAGGACAATGTAGAATTCTGTGTATGGTTCGTGTCTGGGGCCTTTGGGGGTGCATTTCTGCCCCTGTGTAATTTGGATGTCAGAAGATGAATCTGTTATAAGCAACATCACTGCAGATTATAGAATCACAAAACTGCTAGAAATTTACCAACAAACTCATGTTTATCCTTATTTTTAACTTTTCTGTTAATATTCCCAACATATTTTAGTAACTACTCATACCATATATTTATGGCAGCTGGTAATATGTTTTAACAGTGGCATGCTTAAGTCTACAGGGTAAAGTAAAATACTGAGCACAGATAATAAATTGTTAACTTGGTTAAACCATATGAAATTGCCAATATTTGACTATTTTTGACCTGTACTAATGGTGATTTTAAATCATTCAATCTAATAAGCCAAAAAACTACATTTAAGGGTGTAGAAGGGTCTGTTAGCATTCTGTCTAGAATCTTGCTATTTAATATGTGATTAGCTACCAGAAGCATCAACATCACTTGCTAGCTTGTTAGAAATGCAAAATCTTGAGTCTAACTTTAGACCTCATGTACCAGAATGTGCATTTTAACAGGCTCCCTAGGCAGTTCACTTTCACATTAAAATTTGAAGCAGAATTCTAGAAGAATGGATACAACTCCACAGAGAGTTATAGTTAACTATGAGGCAGATGTTAAAAAATACAAATGTAGTAGAACAGTAGTTTACAGAGATAGTTATGAGTTATTTCCCAGTATTTCAATAAATTTAAAATCTTACTTGAAGTTATGTATATTTCCAGGTACCTGCCTGAATTTCATGTCACCCTGGCCATTCAGAGAAAGGGAGGTGAGGAAGGATGGAGGAAGAGTAAAACCTCCCAAGTCCTTCACTTAGGTCTCTTGTACTCTGGTGACTCAACTTTCAGTGTCTCCTGCCTGCCATTCATCTCTTTTATTCATCACCAACCGCACCCAAGCCCTTGTCAGAGTCTGATGGCTGCTTCCCTCTCTGTCCCATCAAATCCTCTGGATGGCCAGGGTGTTTTATTTGAAATACACCAGTAGTTTTTTGCATAACTTTTATACAACAAAAGATTTGTCCTCTAGCTTTAATAAGTGGCTTTTTTTCCTACTCTAAGAAGCAGCATGTGAAGTAAGTGGGTACTTTGGGAGTTAGTCTTGGCTATGTCCTGCTGGACTTGGGCAAGTTATTTACATTTCCAAGACTGTAATCTATTAAATGTGGATAACATTGCCTTTTCATGGAGTTATTGTAAATTAAATGAGATATGTGAATGTACTAGGGACACTGGTGTCCAGTGTTAGTTTCCTTTTCTTCTGTGGTTTAAGTGAAGAGGGAAAGAATAGGGAGGAAGAGAAAGGAGGAGAGAGACTGTGACTGGATGAGCCACAGTCTGCTTTCCTATAGTAACTATATACAACTGTCTTGATCACCAGTGTATTTCTAATGGTTGACACAGTGTCTCTTCCTGAAAAGTGGTTGGCATTAATATTTGTTGAATGAATACATTAATTTTCTGAGGGCTGTCTGCTTGCTTTATGCACTGGAGGGTAGAGGAAAAGTTATATCACATTAACTTTTCAGCAGGTCAAAAATGTGGGTTGCTTAAATTGAATGCAGAATGTAGAGACAGTGGCTAAGGAGCAGACAAGCCAACCCCTGTGGTTGGTGGGAAAAACATACATGCAGTGACAAGGGACCCAGGTGAAACTAAATAGTGTCCCTGGAAGGTTATGCCAGGTGGCAACTTTAGCTCCCTAAACTTCCATTTACTGAATCCCTTGCATTTTAATTCCTAACCTCATCTTCCTTTTCAGCCAAAATAAATTTTCTCAAACTAGAGTTCTTGCGGCCAGAATTGATGTATAGTTGATGGAAGGGAAAAGAAAATCTATGTTTGGAATATAAAAATGCAGTGACCCTTGGGAGGCTTCTGAATCCATCCCTGTTTGTATGCTCAGATGGCATGACTTGCTGTCTCTTGTGGCTTACTTAGGAATGAGTAACACATGAATAATCAGCCCACTGTTCCAATGAGCTACTTGTACAGTACTCCAGGAACACCAGGCATTTCTTACAGCTTTTATTCTCTAAATCACATGATGATAAATGTTGTTGTTTTTTATCCTGAGATAACTATGAGGCCTGGGGCAGGATGATGATGATGACCTGTGCTAAGAGCATTCCTTCCTGTTTCAGTCTTCCAGCAACCACCAAGCGGGGATATAATGATGCTTTACACACATCTGATAAAAATTATGATAGTGTTTTGCTTCTTTCCTTGTAGATCAAAAGAAGACCTACAATTACTATAGCACATTGTCATTTACAACTGACAAACTATATGCTGAGTTTGGCAGAGAGGCTTCTAACAATTTTACAGAAATGAGCCAGAGACTTGAATCAATGGTAAGCAACTTGTCATCTACTTCTAGTGCATTTGCTTTCACTTTTTACCATATTTTTAGCATCCTAGCTTCTAAAAGATCCATTCAACTAACGGATCCCTGTGTATTTGCAAAATGAAAAGAGGCCCTAACCCAAGGAATATAAAACAAAATGGACAATACATCACTTAGCACAATATGACTCACAGGGTTGAACCAAAGAAACTTTAGCCATTCGGTCAGGTCCTTCTTACTCACCTTTCCTTAGCTAGTGATATACTCTTGATCAGTAGAGTCCAGAGATTCTGGAAATGTGAGTGTGGCTTAAAATATATTTGTTGTATCCTAGACTTCCTAAAAAAGAGACCCCGAGCAGAAGATTGCCAAGATTGAAACTATTTAGGCACATACCTAAATAGTCTGTTAGGTTTTAAAAATATCTAACCTTCAACCAGCTTTTGGTATATAAATCTGTAGTAAATCCACAGATATGCAACTCTACCCAGTTTTTAAAAATATTTAACCTTCAACTAGCTTTTGGTATGTAAATCCACAGATAAGCAACTCTACCCTTAACGCATCAACATTCATCTTGAGGGATCAATTAAATACTTAAGAAACTGGAAAAATTAGCAGCATGGGCCAAAAGAACAAGGGCCTAAGTGGTAACTTCTTGTCATTATCAGATTAATTAAAGAATAATTTAACTTTTCCTGGAAACCTGTGAGGTAATTCATGATATAATGTGATGGAAAGAACACTGAACTGGGAGCTGGGAGGCACATGTATCTCCAATGGTATCTACTAGGTAATGATACATCACTTGGAATATTAGTTTATCATTCTGCACAAAGTTCTGTAAATTGAAAATTAAGGTATTAGGTTAGATAATTTCCAAATTGTCTTCCAGTTCCAATAACCTGAATAAGAATGGAAGTGAGACCCTGGAAACCGCCCAGTAGACAGAAGCCTGGGGATTTGGCCACCTTGCTGAGACAGTGGTTGAATCCTGGTTACATTTGCACTTGCAAACACCAAATCAGGGAAATATTTGACCAGGCTCTTCTCTAAGGCTAAATACATATGCAAAATGAAGGAAATGAAATTGAATTAAAAAGGTCAAGAAGAGATGCCACTATTTCCCTTGTTCTTTGTGCCATTCATTCAAATAAATTTTATTTAAGTAAATAAAATCCAGACAGATTTAAATCTAAAGGAATATACATAAGGCTCTTTAATGCCTTCAAAATTAATAATAGTTTTGAAGTTACTTGACAAAAATTAACCCTTAAATAAAAATTTTCTTGTGAATACTGCCATCCTATTCAGAGGACTTCTGCTATTCAGCTTTGTCTCATAATTGCAAGAAGTGTCCTTAGTAAAAAAATTCGGAATTAATAAAATGTAAGAAAGAATTAAAAGGCTCATTGCTTCTGTTAATCACCAGCATGTAGTAAGTGTTTACTAAATATCCACATACTGGAAACAAGACACCTTTGAGTGTTTCCTTACATAAACTCCTAATTAAAAAATTAAGTTGCCTAGAATTCTTATTTAGAATAATAACTAACGTCTCTACAAAAATAGACTCTTTCACTTTAGTAGAGTAAAACTCATAGGTGTGTTAGGCTAAGTATCCCAGTTCACCTGGGCCTTTTTAAGAGCACTTGGAGTGCTGAACTTCGTGTACATTATGCCAGGAAAACTGACAACTTTGTCACTAGGTTTGGGAAGCATTTGACATGGTCATGCACTCATTTCTATAATCCAAGTATTATGTGGCAGAATTATTTCATTTCCTTTGTCTATGGGCAGTAAAAGTCCTTACTTCAGAGTAAAATTTCTCACTCTTAATTTTGAAGAAACAGCATGTTCATTTTCTTTGGTCTCTTTCTGAGCATTAGTACAGCAGATATCACTTCTGGCCCCACTGCGGTTCCCTACTCCTATCATTCCTAAGACAGCGTTCAGTTGAAATCACTGAGAAAACCACAATAGATTCCTCAAGCTTCCTCAGTTCCACTCACTGTGAAATGTCAATGTTTTTTGCTCTGTTTTGTTTTTTAATTTTCTAAAAAGCTTTGAATTAATTTGTGGAATTTCAGAAAGTTGTTCTTGCTGATATATTTTGAATATTTTTACAAACAGGTGAAAAATGCATTTTATAAATCTCCATTAAGGGAAGAATTTGTCAAGTCTCAGGTTATCAAGTTCAGGTATGTAAATCTGAATTGCTGACTTCTGAATTTAAAGTTGAAGCTGTTAATCTGCTCAGCAATAAATATGTTTTCAAGTGTTAAAGATATAATTCAATCCAACAAACATTTGACACTTGTCCTGTGTAAGTCATGGGTTACAAAGTCCCTTATTCATTCCTTAAATCCCAAAGTAAGCATTTGCAAGATGGTTGCTGGGGACAGAGGTATAATTGGTGCCTATGTTATAAAATTGTTTTCTGGGAAACTTACCAAGTACAGATAGTACTAAATACAGATAGACCTAACACACATCCTTGGTTTAATGGCAAGTAGTGCCCCATGTAAGACAATATAGTAGATCAGGTTTGTCTTTAGCTCTTCTTCCTCCTATTAATCAATCTTCTTTATCTTCTTCTATTCCATCCCTCCATTCTCAAAATATGTAGCTGAGAAAATCTCATCTGTCAACTAACCATTGATAAATGGGTTTAGTACATAATGTTAAGGAAAATATTATAAGAATTTTCAATAAGATATTGACATAATACAAATTATTTGTATTAAAAAACAGAATAAGAATTATTTCCAATATTATTCCAATGACAAAACTTTAAAAGTTTCCTGCCATTCTATTACTTAGCTGATATCTCTAAGGCATTACTTTGATCACTGTCTTCTAAAAATTCTGTACTCTCTGGTGTTTGAGATACTGCCCTTTCTTGGATCTGCAACTACTTCTCTTATCTTTAAGTTTCACTTTCTCAAAGGGACCTCATTCACCCACATGGTCTCATATGCTATTGAAATACAAGTTTCTATCTCTAGTCTGAACTATTTTTCTGATTTCTATAACTATATACACATCCCCATGTGGAAGTTCCACAGAAAATTCCCTAACTCAGGAAGAATCCAATCACATAAATGAGAAACCTGGAAGTCATCAAACACTCCTTCCTTTCCTGGTCCCCTCATACTTTATGAATAACTAAGTTCCACTAATTCTATTTTCCCAATAACTTTCCAATTTGCTCACCTCTTTATTCCAGTAATCTTGCTACTGCTACTCATTATTCTGTCTTCTGTTACTGCAATAGTGAGAAGAGCAAGTTTATTGGAAAGATGAAGTCAATTTTGGAGATGTTGAATTTACATTCTAAGGGACCATATGAACCTGAAAAATGAGGGTGACTCAGTAGAGGGAAATGGAACTGAGCAGAAGATAGAAATTTGCTCATGATCAACTCAAAAATTTGGAAGCATGGGTGTAAATTTCTCAGAAAAAGAATAATAAAAGGGAATGAAAAGGATGACAAAGAAAGCTTGAAGACCAATATTTAAGGTGATGGAAGGAATATAGGAAACTTAGATATAGGGAAAGAGCAGGAAAATAGAAAAATCATGACAAAATCACCACTGATGCAAAAGATAAGAAGTTTCAAAGAGAGTGTGGTCGGCATTGACAAATATTCCTGACTGAGTAATATAAATATTGAAAAGAATCCACTGGCTTTGTCAACTAGGATACTTGGGTTGTTACTTATTTTCGTGTCCTGAAAATAGTGTTACAATTAACATGTTTATAGGTATGTCCTTGCACAAATGTATGAGTGCATTTGAATGTTTAATTTCTAGAAGTGGAAATGCTGTGCCAGAGAAGACAGATATTCAAACTTATAATAGATAACACTGCCATCCAAAAATAAGACTCTAATTTGTATTCCCACTTCCAGTTTATGAGAGTAGTGGTTGATGCAATATATAGTGAAGAGTTAGATTCAGAAGTGACTATGAAAAGGAGTGGGTAAAGTAGCTGGCAGGATGATTCCAAGGTAGTAATTCATACAAATAGTATTAAGACTAATTAATGCTCTGTGTTGAAAATACAGTCACATGAAGTCAGTACAATTTGGTAAAGCGGTCTTATATCTTTAGGATTAGGAGTTGTTTAGGATAGCCTGAAGATTGTTTAGGGGAGGTAAGTAGACTTGAGTCACAAGAATAAAACCTGAAATTCAAAACCACAGTTGATTTCATATTTAAGACACACTGTATTTGATAATTTTGAATGGTTTTTGACAAGGTGTCTTTTTATATTAATAGCCATATACTTAACTAGACCTTTTGATGGTAAGGGAGACCATGAACAGACTAACTCACTATATGAGAGGCTGAATTTGTGGTTCTTCACATAGTAAACAGTAGCAATATAGAAGGAAACATTTATGGATGTATTTTATGTGTGCATTTCATGTAAGTGATAAAGAAAAAAGCAGATTGTGATATTACCCTTCTTTCTTTTCTTTTCTCTTTTCTTTTCTTTCTCTCTCTCTCCCTCTCTCTCCTTCCTCCCCTCCATTCCCTTCTCTTCACTTCCTTTTTCCTTTCCCTTCTCCTTCCTTCCTTTTCTCTTTTCTTTCTTTCCTCCCTCCCTCCTTTCTTCACTTCCTCCTTCCCTCCCTCCCTCCCTCCCTTCCTGCCTTTCTTTCTTCTTTTCTTTTCTTTCTTTCATTTTCTTCTTTTTTGGCCCACAGTCAACAGAAGCATGGAGTGTTGGCTCATATGCTGTTGATTTGTAGATTTCACTCTACTGAGGATCCTGAAACTGTAGATAAAATTGTTCAACTTGTTTTACATGAAAAGCTGCAAGATGCTGTAGGACCCCCTAAAGTAGATCCTCACTCAGTTAAAATTAAAAGTAAGTTAATTTCTCTTATTTTTCTTTCATAGAACAGCTTCATGTTAGGTTTGATCTTGGCACTTATTAAAAAATTTTTTTTGATGTCCTTTAATTCTGGGGTCTTGCCACCAACAGTATATTTCTTTGGAACTAAATTTGTCCTAATGAAGTATTTTAATTTTTAAGACTACCCTAAACTTAGGCCTCCCATGCAAGCTTTTTATTAACTCCTTAGCAGTTTTCTTTATATTACACTTTATAGTTTGGCTATAGAATCCAATTATAAGTGAAGAAAATGGCTTTGTATTTTCTTCTTTTTCTTGTTGCTTTCATTGTGTGTTCTGAGGGTGTGGTATATGGAAAGGTTCATGCCATTTACACATTTGTTTTCAAATGTCATTAATATACCTTGCTATACTTTCTTCCCTTAAACTTTTCACCAGTGAAACATTTATAATAAACTTATTTTTGGTATATTTACAACTATAAATGAAAAATTTAGGTAGATTTTTGTTGTTCTTGTTGTTATTGTTTGTAGGGCCACATGGGACAAAACAAGTGATGATAGGTCCTCACATTTAGAAAATAAGAAATATGAGATCCTCAGTGGAAATTAAGATCTGGCTAAGGGCTGGTTCATATGTTACAGAACAATGAAGGTCTATAGAAATACTATCTGGGCACAAGTATAATGTTACATTTTCTAGAAGTTACATTAAAAATAAAAATAAACATGTAAAATTAATTTTCAATAATTTGTATATTCAACCCAATATGTCCAAAGTATTATCATTTAAACAAATAGTCAATGTAAAAATTAATTATTCATCAAATATTTCACTTTTTTTTGTAGTAAGGCTCTGGAATCTAGCGTACATTTTATACTGATAGTACATTTCAATTTAGACTAGCCACACTGCAAAAGCTCATTGGCCACAGGTGGCTAGTGGATACAGTAGTGGATATGGCAGCACTGGAAACTACAGAATAGGGGACAAGTAGAGAGAATGAATACAAACTGCTAATATAATATCTGATAGATCTAAGTAGATGCCTAAATTGATGGCCAGCCAACCCACTTGCTTAGGAAGGAGGCTTCAGTAGTCAGGGACAGATACATAATTTATGCGCCTTAGCACAAAATGAAAATGCTAGACCTGTTTTCAAAAAGCAAGAAAAAAGTGCTGTTAAAAGTACAAAGATATAACACTTTTCTTTCTTCCCTGGTCTCGCTCTCGACTTTCCATGGTGTTTTCATTTGCTGATTATTGTCATTCTAAGAGAAAAAAATTAAATTTGTAGATTACTAATATGAGTTTAATTGTTTATATCATGCAATGTCGATATAAATGCATATATAAGTACATTTAACTTGTATTTCAAATCATGGAAATTATGCAACTATATTTCGTAGCTTATACATACATGTTTTTCATTTTTGCCTCAATGGAAATAGTACAAAAGGCTAATGACTCTTTTTATTTTCCTGGTTAATATGAGAAAATTCTACCAACACTCTCTACCTTCAGCTTATTGAGGGGTGAGGAAGGACTAGAAGGAAAAGGAGATCTGGATTTCCCTATCTTTCTCTTTCTACATTGTAGTTTTCAGCAAAAGTTGTTGGCTAATACACAGAAGTAACAGAAGCAAGAAAGGATATGGCAGGATCTGTTGTTCATTTGTGTTTATTAGAATGCTATTGTCTTTTCTATGGGTTCTAAGCAAGTTTTGGTTCAAACAGAAAACATGGCCTCCAAGGCATGTCAGTCCACCTCTGCTTACTTAATGGAAGGGATAGCACACTTACCTTGTACTTGCTTTGAGTCTTGCTGAACCCCTGTGGATTGTGGGTCCACTAGAATTCTGATTTCATAGGGAATTGTGAATGATATATGCAAATGGAGTGGAAAGAAACTATGGACACACTTATTGCACATATCTTGTCTGCCAACACTATAATCCATTATCCTATTGAACTTCATTTTCAAAACACAAGTTACAAGATAAAATTATTAAGAATGTCAAGTGAGCAATAGCAGAGCATTGTACCAAGCACAAGGCCATTGTGAGTGTGAGACCCAGTGCAGATGTATAAGTCACACATGAAGCCAGCCTTGTCAGTGCTATCAATACTCAGAGCTTGACATTTTCCTAGGAAGAGCTTGAGATAGAGAACAGGTTATTTGAAACAAAGAGATCAGAGGTGGTCCTTTTAATATTAACTGAGACTAAATTGTAAATTCTTCCTTATTTTTGCCATTTTCCCCACAAGTAGCCAGAATAAATAAAGTCAGAAAGAAGGCCTTCTAGAATATAGATTTCCACTTCATTCATACTATTAAATACTAAAGAAAAAAATTAACACTAATAATATTTTTGCATTTAGAGCATCCATCCTTCCATGTACAAAGAATAGTTTTGGTCATTAGAACTCTGCTGAGTCAGAAAGTTTGAGCTTAGAGTTTTATGTATCTATTAGCTGGGTTAGTGTTTGCATAGGGTTTGAGACTGACTAGTGAGAAGTCAGCAAGCTAAGAAGTCATTGGCTGGAGCTAAATGACAATTTGAGGGCAGACTGTCTTTTGAAATTTGACTTCAAAAAGGGTAACATTGTTTTTAACTGTGAGTGAGTACAAATTTATGGAGATGCTACTCAGGTGTGTTATACAAATGGGACTAGGCTTATGAGCTCAATGATACAATCTGAAATAATGGTTAATAAAGGTATTGTTACATTTGGGGAATTAATACTATGGTTTAGAGTAGTATTTCCCATGGAGGGGCTGTGGACTCTCTGCATCTTATTTACTGGTATAAAATCCAAATTCTTGGGCGTCATTACAAGCTACTGAATTAGAGTTACTGGGAAGGTGAACAGGAGTTTCATTATAAATATGCTTCCTATGTGACTCTTACCCACATTAAAGTTTAACACACCGTTCACATTCTCTGCAATGTGATGATCATCCTATGTCTATGACAAGCTATGTTGCCTTCTTTATAATCTAGAGATACTGTTTTATAATAAAATTAAGCAGCCTTTTAGTATTTGAAATACTCGGAGGCATAGTGTAACTCTGATGTGCTGACCCTATTTGCCATTTCTGTGTGTTTCAGAAATCAACAAGACAGAAACAGACAGCTATCTAAACCATTGTAAGTTTAATATATTTATTAAAATAGCATTACCTGAAGGTAAAAAGCTAACACTATAGGTCATTTAGGTTTACTTTGTGTTGATATCATAGGGACAGAACACATAAAGTTTGATTAATTTGTGTACAGTTCATGGTACTTTATCATATCTTGGAGATACATTTTATTAGTAAAGGATAGCAAAATTGAGATAACTTTGGAGTGGATGTATGGGTGCCTGTGGCAGATGTGTAGTGGAATTGAGTTGTACAGCTGTTAAAGAAGAGGCAAGAAATGTTTACTTATCAATGTTCTGTTTGTAGATATCTATAAGATAAAACAAATCTATACATTGTGTTTTTCAGCTAGAGGCAGAAACTCATTGTCACTATATCCTAGATAAAATCTTCTTGATGTTATTAATCCTACGGATTAATACGAAAGTGCAGGAAATTATCGGGTCATGGAAGAGTCACAGAAAGTGCAGGAAATTATGGGGTATATTTTAATAAAATTACTGAAGACACATAGATAATATCTTCACCTATATTATAAAAGTGCTGAGTCTAGGCCTAGCATTTTTCTTCGCCTATAGCCAAGTATGCCACCATGATTTACAGTATACATTCAATAGTTATGGGGTTGTTGCACATTACATTTCTCTTAAAAGGTGGAAAAATATGTGCTACTCACCAGCTCATATAGTTGGTTAATTTCTAAAATCAACTAAACACAAAACCAAAAGATAATCTCATTACCTAAATAGCATATATTCTCACCACCAATATTTATTGGGAACCTACCATGTGCTAGCACTGTGTTAGACAACAGGCATTCCAAATGGATAAGATATAATATCTCTACCTGAAGCACCTTATACTTTAATGGGACTAGGTGCATGAGACTAATTCATGAACACATCATTCTTAAACAACACTTCTCAACCAAGGGAAATATTGTTGGCCAAGCTATCATGCCCCACTGTGGCATTTTTGTCATGAATATAGGGGGAGGGCTACTGGCATCTATAGTGGATCTACAGTATATAGGCCAAGATCTTATGATGCACAGGGCAGCCCCCTACAACAAAGAATTAAATGGTTCAATATGTTAGTGGTGCCAAGGTTGAGGAACCCTGTCATAAACAATGTCAGTATGTATACATACACATAAGCACACATACAGAGTGTGTTTGTTATACACATAAGCACACACACAGAGTGTATTTGTTACTATTATTATTTTGGAAGCACCAAGAAAGTAATAACTAATCCAGATTGGAGACAGGGGAGTTAGAGAAAGCATCCTAGAGAGGTAACAACTGATTTAGATTTTACAAAATGAACAGGAGTTAGCTAAATAAAACACTACAGTTTACAGAAAGGTAAGAGCATGAGAAAACATTTGATACTTTTGGAGCACAAAGTAGAAGAAATATGGGACATAGTAACACAATTTGATGTGCAAAACAACTGCTAATTAATGCACCCACCAATGCACCCCCCCTCTCTCTTTTGCAGGCTGCGGAACACGAAGAAGTAAAACTCTAGGTCAGAGTCTCAGGATCGTTGGTGGGACAGAAGTAGAAGAGGGTGAATGGCCCTGGCAGGCTAGCCTGCAGTGGGATGGGAGTCATCGCTGTGGAGCAACCTTAATTAATGCCACATGGCTTGTGAGTGCTGCTCACTGTTTTACAACGTAAGTCTTGAAGCTTGAGAATGATTGGGAGTGAACAAAGTGCACTGGGTTTTGGCAAGAAAATACCTCATGAATTTTGGGAGATATGAGTTTAGCATAAATTAAAAATAGTGTGTATATCACAAAAGACTGGATCATTTGTAAACATTAGTAAGAGGTTTTAAAGTCTGGAAATGGAAATGGAGTCAAAGTATATGTAAATAAATAATCTTTTGATAAACACACAATAGTTTCTCAAAGAAAGCAGGAATTTTAAAGTCATTTTTGGATTTGAATTTGCTGTCAAACAGGAGTGCTCTATCTCTGCTGAGTACCTTAATCAGAGATGGAGTCTGGATAGGTTGTAGGTTTGATCCTAAGGGGGAAATTTCACATGGTAAGAAAAAGAATTAAATACGAAGAATTATGTAATGAAGATATGAAGAATTTGGAAGTAGCAAGTTGTATAAATGAATAGATTGACTAATTATATTGCAAGAAATGGAGGACCCTTCAATCTATTGTCAAAATGTCTATAGTATATAAAATAATAATACTTTGTTAAATTATTGTGTGGACTTTTTGGTTTTCAGAGAAATGTGTATATTTCTGGGTGGGGTACATGAGACACATAGAATATATTAATTTCTCTTATTCTGTACAGGGTACTTTCCATAGGTCCCTTGGAGTCATTAATATACAGAAAAATCAAAAAGCCTTAGCATTTGGAGTGGATGACTTGGCATATGGAGTGGCATGTATATTATAGGAAATGGTGGCTTTTTCACCTGGTCAGAACCCTGAGCCTTATTATCAAATTGGAAAGAGTTCTATACATCAAAACTATAAAAAGAAAAAAAAATCTACACCTGTAGACTAAATTATTTAATATAAATTATTCGACTGGTAGCATGGTAAAAAGAAATTTATTCTTCATTTTTTTCTCCCCAGATATAAGAACCCTGCCAGATGGACTGCTTCCTTTGGAGTAACAATAAAACCTTCGAAAATGAAACGGGGTCTCCGGAGAATAATTGTCCATGAAAAATACAAACACCCATCACATGACTATGATATTTCTCTTGCAGAGCTTTCTAGCCCTGTTCCCTACACAAATGCAGTACATAGAGTTTGTCTCCCTGATGCATCCTATGAGTTTCAACCAGGTGATGTGATGTTTGTGACAGGATTTGGAGCACTGAAAAATGATGGTGAGCATCGGAAGAGGAACTCAAGTAAAAGTTAAATTGGTATTTTATGGCATTTAAGCAATGAAATGCCATTATGCCAAAATATGTTAGTTGTGTGGTCATATGACCTGGACCAAGTCAGGCCCTAAAAGTGAAGTAAATAACTTGGAAGGCACAAAAATTCCTTCCTGCCTAAGTTAATATCGAGTAAATTGCTCCTACTATATACTACAGTCATAGTACTGCTAAGATGTCTGAAAAAGCAAATATGTCTCCTAGCCATGAACTTTCTTTAGAGAATTAACCAGTTTAGAGATTAGCAATCAATAATATACCCAATTCTGAAGATTGGAGAATCATAAAGCCACCATTCTCCCCTACTGAAATTTCCTTGTAATCTTAACAATGGAGTGGACATTATTTAGATAACTTGTGGTTCTTTCCTAGGCACCCAACTTTTTGCTCAAAGTAGTTAGGAACAAATTATCTTCCCAAATATTATTGTTCTAAACATATGTAGTCTAAGATTCTGTATCACTATCTTTTTTTTTTTTTTTTGAGACAGAGTCTCCTTGTTGAGACAGAGTCTCCAGGCAGAAGTGCAATGGTGCGATCTTGGCTCACTGCAACCTCTGCCTCACAGGTTCAAGCGATTCTCCTGCCTCAGCCTCCCCAGTGATTGGGACTACAGGTGCCCGCCTAATTTTTCCATTTTTAGTAGAGACAGGGTTTCACCATGTTGGCCAGGCTGGTCTCAAACTCTTGACCTCAGGTGATCTGCCCTCCTCGGCCTCCGAAAGTGCTGGGATTACAGGTGTAAGCCACCGCACCCGGTATCCCCCGCTTTTTTTTTTTTTTTTTTTTTAAGATGGGGCTTCTTTCTGTCCCCCAGGCTGGAGTTCAGTGGCCCGATCTTGGCTCACTGCAACCTCTGCCTCCCGGGTTCAAGAGATTTACCTGCATCAGCCTCCTGAATAGCTGGGATTACAGGTGCATGCCACCACCCCCGGCTAATTTTTGTATTTTTAGTAGAGACAGGATTTCACCATGTTGGCCAAGCTGGTCTTGAACTCCTGGCTTCAAGCGATCCTCCAATCTCGGCCTCTCAAAGTGCTGGGATTACTGGCGTTAGTCACCGTGCCTGGCCTGTATCACCATCTTATTCCTAATCATGAAACATTTTCTTCAAGTTTATAAAATATATGTATGTCTACAAATACAAAGACTTTTTTTTCTTTTAGGTTACAGTCAAAATCATCTTCGACAAGCACAGGTGACTCTCATAGACGCTACAACTTGCAATGAACCTCAAGCTTACAATGACGCCATAACTCCTAGAATGTTATGTGCTGGCTCCTTAGAAGGAAAAACAGATGCATGCCAGGTAAACAGTTTTGCCCATTAGTAGGTTGTGTAATTTTTTGTTTACTTTTCTTTGAAATAATTATATATCTACAGGAAGTTGCAAAGATAGTACAGAGGAGTCACAACATCTCACCCAGTTTTCTCCAATGATTACATCTCACATAACTATAGTTCAATATAAGATCTGGGAAACTGACAGTCGTACAAAGTATGTGTCTAATTCTATGGCATTTTGTCACATCTGTAGATTTGTGTAACCACCACTACAGTTAAGATGAAGAACTATTCTATCACCACAAAGACCTACCTTTTTCCCTCCTCCTACTATCCCTAACATCTGGCAATCACTAATTTATTCTCCATCTCTATAATTTTTCAATTTTCAGAATGTTATATAAATAGAGTAACAGTAGCTTTTTAAACAGAATTTAATTTTGGATCATCTATTGGTATTTTTGGCTTTTTGTTGTAGAAAAATTTTAGTGGTTCCTTTAAGTTATATATATGTGTATATAAATATATATTTATTTATATATACATACATAACATCACTGTCTATGTGTATTGAAATTTTACTAGTTTTGGTGGAGTATAGAATAAAAAACTTACTTCCCCTTAAATCCCTTTGCTTTTCCCTCTTTAATATTAAACATTAACAAATATAAACATTAAATATTAATAAATATAAATATTAAATATTTGCTTTATATTTTGAGAACCACAGAAGACAATGTTTTGCTTCAACTGTCAAATGTAATTTAGAAAACATAAGAGGAAAAGGAAAGACTATTTACCTATGGATTTCTTCTTTCCTCTTTCCTGATTCCTTTTTTAAAAACAGTCATTTCTGTTTTAGGAACTTCTTTTAGCCACTCTTTTAGTATAGGTATGCTGGTGAAAAATTCTCTTAGATTTTCTTTGTCTCTAACAGTCTTTATTTCTTCTTCATTACTGGAGCATAATTTAGCACTGACAGTTCTTTTCTTTCAGCATTTAAATCATTGCCTCTGTGATTTCTGCAAGGAATTTGCTGCTATTAGAATTATTTTTTTCCAATAGATGAGGTGTCATTTCTTGCTGTGTTCAAGAGTTTGTCTTTAGTTTTCAGAAGTTTGATTATGTATCTTGGCATGGATTTCTTTGGGCTTATCCTGTTTGAGGTTTGCTCAGCTTTTTGAATATGTAGATTTATATCCTTTGTCAAGTTTGAGAAATTTTTGGTCATTATTTCTTAAAATACTCTTTCAGTCCCACCTTCTTTCTTCTTTCCTTCTGGAACTCTAACCACAGCAATGTTTACTCTTTTATTATAGTCCCAGAGTTTCCTAAGCTTTTGTTTATTTTTTTTGCACTCTAGTTTCTCTCTGTTTTTGAGATTGGGTAATTTCAATGTATCTTCAAGTTTACTGATTCTTTGCTCTGTCTTCTCTATTCTTATGTTAAGCCCGTCCAGTGAGTTTTGAATTTTGCTTATCATATTTTTTAGTTCCAGGGTTTTTCTTTGTTTCTTCTTTTTATATTTACTATTTCTTTGTTGACACTTCCTATTTCTTTTCCTTTGTTTTAAACATGATGGTAATTGCTCATTGAGATGTATTTATGATGGCTGCTTTAAAATCTTTGTCAAATAATTTCAACATTTGTGTTATCTCAGTGTTGGTATCTGTTGATTGCCTTTTCTCATTCAAGTAAAAACTTTTATATTTCATTGTATGATGACTGATATTCAGATATATGCTGAGCATCTAATTATTATTTATTCTGTTTTGTTGTTGTTGTTATATCATGCTTTTAAATTTATATTATTTTATTTAATTAATTACTTTGCTTCTTCCAACTTTTATTTTAGGTTCAGAGGTTACATCTGCAGGATTGTTACATGGGTAAATTGTGTGTTGCTGGGGTTTGGTGTACAAATTATTTCATCATGCAGGTAGTAAGCATAATAACCAATAGGTAGTTTTTGGTTCTCATCCTCCTCCCACCCTCAACCCTCAAGTAAGCCCCAGTATGTATTGTTCCTCTCTTTGTGTCCATATGTACTCAATGTTTAGCTTCCACTTATAAGTGAGAACATGAGGTATTTGGTTTTCTGTTCCTGCATTCATTTGCTTAGTATAATGGCCTGTGGCTGCATCCATATTGCTGCAAAAACCATGGTTTCATTTTGCTTTCTGGCTCCATAGCATTCCATGGGGTATATTTACCACATTTTCTGTATCCAGTCCACTGTTGATGGACATTTTAGGTTGATTCCATGACTATTGTGACAATTGCTGCCATGAACATATGCATACATGTGTCTTTATGGCAGAACAATTTGTATTCCTTTGTGTATAATATACCCAGTAATGGGATTGCTGGGTCAAATTGTAGTTCTGTCTTAATTTCTTTGAGAAATCTCCAAGCTGCTTCCCACAGTGGCTGACCTAATTTACATTCCCACGAGCAGTGTATAAGCATTCCCTTTTCTCCACAACCTCAACAACATCTGTTGTTTTTTTGACTTTTTAGTAATAGCCATTCTGACTGGTTTGAGATGGTATCTTATTATGGTTTTTAATTTCCCATTTCCCTGATTAGTGATGTTGAGCATTTGTCCATATGTTTGTTGGCTGCTTGTGTGTCTTCATTTGAGAAGTGTCTGTTCCTGTCTGTATTAGGCTGTTCTTACACTGCTATAAAAAAATACCTGGGTCGGGAATGGTGGCTCATGCAGGTAATCTCAGCACTTTGGGAGGCCAAGGGAGGTGGATCACTAGAGCTCAGAAGTTCAAGACCAGCTTGGGCAACATGGGGAAATCCTGTCTCTGCTAGAAATACAAACATTAGCCAATGTGGTGGTGTGTGCCTGTAGTCCCAGCTACTTGGAAATTATGAGGCAGGAGGATTGTTTGAACCCAAGAGGTCGAGGCTGCACTGCACCCACTGCACTCCAGCTTGGGTGACAGAGCAAAACCCTGTCTCCAAAAACAAACAAACAAACTAACAAAACCAAGTAAACAAAAAGCCAATATTAGGTAATGTATAAAGAGAAAAGGTTTAATTGGCTTATGATTCTGCAGGCTTTATGGGCAGCATGGTGCTGGCATCTGCTCGGTTTCTAGGGAGGAAGCTTACAATCATGGCAGAAGGTGAAGTGTGAAATGGGAGGGAGCAGGTACATCACATGGTGAAAGCAGGAGCAAGAGGGATAGAGGTGCCATACACTTTTAAACAATCCGATCTCACAAGAGCTCACTCACTATTGCAAAGATAACTCCAAGCCGTGAGTGATTGGCTCCCATGACCTGAACACCTCCCACCAGGTCCTACCTTCAGCATTGGGGGTGACAAAGCAACATGAGATTTGGGCAGGGATAAATATCCAAATTATATCATTCTGCTCCTGGCCTCTCCCAAATCTCATGTCTTCTCACATTGCAAAATATAATTATGCCTTCCTAACAGTCCCCAAAAGTCTTAACTCATTCCGACTTTAACTCAAAAATTCAAAGTTGGCCAGATGCAGTGGCTCACACCTATAATCCCAGCATTTTGGAAGGCCAAGGTGGGTGGATTTCTTGAGCCCAGGAGTTTGAGACCAGCCTGGGTAATGTGGCAAAACTGCATCTCCACAAAAAAAAAAAAAAAAAAAAAAAAAAAAAAAATTAGCTGGGCTTTGTGGCATATGCCTATAGTTCCAGCTGTTTGGGAGGCTGAGGTGGGAAGATTGATTGATCGTGGGAGGTTTAGGCTGCATTGAGCTGTGATCGCACCACTGCAGTCCAGCTTGGGTGACACAGAAAGACTTCATCTTGGGGAAAAAAAAAAAGTCTGAAGTCCAAAGTCTCATCTGAGATAAAGCAATTCCCTTCCACCTCATCAATCTGGATTTCACTGTCGATGTAACTATCAGCATTTTGGTCACAACCATTTAACCAGTTTCTAAGAAATTTCAGACTTGATCATATCTGTCTTCTGAGCCTTCAAAATTCTTCCATTCTTTACCTGTTACCCAGTTGCCAAGTCGCTTTCACATTTTCCAATATCTTTATAGCAATGCCACACTCATAGTTACCAATTTTCTGTGTTAGGCTGTTCTTGCATTGCTATTAAGAAATATCTGAGGCTGGGTAATTTATTAGAAAAGATGTTTAATTGGCTCATGGCTTTTCAGACTTTATAGTAAGCCTGATGCTGGCATTAACTTAGCTCCTAGGGAGGCATCAGGAAGCTTATAATCATGGTGGGAGGTGAAAGGGGAGCAGGAACATCATGTGGTGAAAGCAGGAGCGAGAGAGAGAGAGAGTGGGAGGAGGTGCCACACACTTTTAAACAACCAGATATCGTGACAGTTCACTTGCTATCGCAAAGACAGCACTATGCTGTCAGGGATCCGTTACCCAAACAACTCCCACCAGCCTCACTTCCAGCAATGGAGATTAAACTTCAACATGAGATTTGAGAGGGGACAAATATTCAAACTGTATCTATGTTTTTTTTCCCCATTTTAAAAGGGAGTTGTTTGTTTTTTGCTTGTTGATTTGTTTAAGATTTCTTAAAGATTCTGGATATTAGACCTTTGTCAGATGCATAGTTTGCAAATATTTTTTCCTATTCTGTAGGTCGTCTGTTTACTCTGTTAATAGTTTATTTTCCTGTGCAGAAGCTCTTTAGTTTAATTAGATCCCAGTTGTCAATTTTTGTTTTAGTTGCAATTGCTTTTAGGGTCTTTGTTATAAAAGCTTTGCTAAGGCTGATGTCCAGAATGGTAGTTCCTAGGTTTTCTTCTAGAGTTTTTATAGTTTTAGGTTTTACACTTAAGTATTTCAACCATCTCAAGTTGATTTTTGTATATGGTGAAAGAAAGGGGTTCAGTTTTAATTTTTTGCATATGGCTAGCCAGTTATACCCAGCACCATTTATTGAGTAGGGAGTCCTTTCCCCATTTCTTGTTATGGTCAGCTTTGTCAAAGATGAGATGGTTGTAGACATGCAGCTTTACTTCTGGCTTCTCTATTTGGTTCCATTGATCTATGTGTCTACTTTTTTTGTACTAGCACCATGATCTTCTGGTTACTATAGCTTTGTGGTATAGTTTGAAGTCTGGTAGTGTGATGCCACCAGCTTTGTTTTTTTGTTTAGGATTGCTTTGGCTATTAAGGCTCTTTTTTGGTTCCATATAAATATTACAACAGTTTTTACTAATTCTGTGAAAAATGACATTGGTAGTTTTATAGGAATAACATTTAATCTGTAAATTTCTTTGAGCAGTATGGCCATTTTAACAATACTGATTCTTTCTATTCATGAACACAAACTGTTTTACCATTTGTTTGTGTCAACTATGGTTTCTTTCTTTTTTTTCTTGAGACAAGGTCTTACCCTGTTGACCAGGCTGGAGTGCAGTGCCACAACTATAGTTCACTGCAGCCTTGAACTCCTGGGCTCAAGCGATCCTCCCACTTCAGTCTCCTGAGTAGCGGGGACTATAGGCATTCACCACCACACATGGCTAATTTTTTAGATTTTTGGTAGAGATGGAGTCTTGCCATGTTGCTCATGCTGGTCTTGAACTCCTGAGCTCAAGCAATCCTCCTGCCTCTGCCTCCTAAAGTGCTGGGATTACGGGCATCAGCCACTGTACCTGGCCTTCAACTATGATTTCTTTCAGCAGTGTTTTTAATTCTCATTGTAGAGGTCCTTCACCTTCCTAGTTAGCCATATGTCTATGTATTTTATTCTTCTTGTGGCAATTGTGAATGAGATTGCACTCTTGATTTGGCTCTCGGCTAAGATGTTAATGTTGTATAGAAGTGCTCCTCATTTTAGTACATTGATTTTGTATTCAGAAACTTTACTGAAGTTGTTTATCAGTTCTAGGAGCCTTTGGGCAGAGACTGTGGAGTTTTCTGGGTGTAGAATCATATCATTTGTGAAGAGAGATAGTTTGACTTCCTCTCTTCTATTTGGATGCCTTTTATGTCTTTCTCTTGCCTAATTGCTTTGGTCAAAACTTCCAGTACTATGTTGAATAACAGTAGTGAGAGTGCACATCCTTGTCTTTTCTGGTTCACAGGGGAATGCTTCTAGCTTTTGCCCATTCATTATGATGTTGGTTATGGGGTTGTCATAGAAGGCTTTTATTATTTTGAAGTATGTTCCTCTGATGCCTAGTTAGTTCAAGGTTTTTTTCTTTTTTTTCTTTTTGAGACAGAGTCTCGCTTTGTCACCCAGGCTGGAGTGCAGTGGTGCGATCTCAGCTCACTGCAACCTCTGTCCCCCAGGTTCTAGTGATTCTCCTGCCTTAGCCTCCTGAGTAGCTGGGATTACAGGTGCCAACCACCATGCCTGGCTAATTTTTGTATTTTTAGTAGAGATGGGGTTTTGCCATGTTGGTCAGGCTGGTCTTGAACACTTGACCTCAGGTGATCCACACATCTCGGCCTCCCAAAGTGCTGGGATTACAGGCATGAGCCACCGTGCCCAGCCATATTTATTTATTTTCATATGTTGAACCAGCCTTGCATCCTAGAAAATAAGACTACATTACTGTGGTGGATAAGCTTTTTGATGTGCTGCTGGATTTGGTTTGCAAGTATTTTGTTGAGGATTTTTGCATCAATGTTCATCAAGGATATTGTCCTGAAGTTTTCTCTTTTTGTTGTGTCTCTTCCAGGTTTTGGTATCAGAAAAACACTGCCTTCATAAAATGTGTTAGGGAGGCTTCTCTTTTTCTAGAATTTTGGGAGTATTTTCAATATAATTGGTACCAGCTCTTCTTTATATATCTGGTAGAATTTGGCTGTGAATCTCTCTGTTCCAGGGCCTTCCTTGTTGGCTGTTTTTTTAAAATTACTGGTTCAATTTTGGAACTCATTATTTATCTTCTCAGGTATTCAATTTCTTCCTGGTTCAATATTGGGAGTTTGTGTTTCCAAGAATTTATCCATTCCTTCTAGATTTTCTAGTTTGTGTGCACAGAGGTGTTTACAATCATCTTTGAAATTTTTTGTAAAAAATATTTCTCTTCCCTTTGGCATTTCTGATGGTGCTTATTTGAAAGTTCTTTCTTTTTTTTCTTTGTTAGTCTTGCTAGCAGTGTATCAATCTTATTTATTCTTTCAAAGAACAAGTTGTTTGGTTTCATTGATCTTTTATATGGATTTTTGTGTCTCTATTTCATTCAGTTCAGCTCTAATTTTGGTTATTTTTGTCTTGTGCTAGTTTAGGGGTTCACTTACTCTTGTTTTTCTAGTTCCTCAAGGTGTGATGCTACATTGTTAATTTAAGATATTTATATCTTTTCGATGTTGGCATTTTGCCCCATAAACTTTCCTGTTAATACTGCTTTACCTGTGTCCCAGAAATTCTGGCATGTTGTATCTTTATTTTCATTAATTTCAAAGAATTTCTTGCTTTCTGTCTTAATTTCATTCTTTACTCAAAAGACATTCAGGAGCAGGCTGTTTAATTTCCATGTAATTGTATAATTTTGAGAGATCTTGGTATTGATTTCTATTTTTATTGCACTGTGGTCTGAGAGTGTGATTGGAATGATTTTTAAAAATTTGTTTAGAATTGCTTTATGGCCAAGTGCATGGTTGATCTTAGAGTATGTGCCATACATATGCAGATGAAAAGAATGTATATTTTCTTGTTGTTAGGTGGAGTGTTCTATAGATATCTCTTAGGTTCATTTGGTCAAGTGTTGAGTTTAGGTTCGGAATATCTTTGTTAGTTTTCTGCCTTTATAACACCTTTAGAGGGGTGTTGAAATCTCCACTATAATTTTGTATTTATCTAAGTCTTTTTTGTAGGCTCTAAGAACTTATTTTCTGAGTCTGGATGCTCCAGTGTTGGATGCATATACATTTAGATAGTTAATCTTCTTGTTGAATTGAACACTTTATCACTTTGTTACACCATTTTTTGTCCTTTTTAATTATTGTTTTAAAGTCTGTTTTGTCTGAAATAAGAGTAGCAACCCCTGTTCTTTTTTGTTTTTCATTTGCTTGGTAGATCTTTCCTTATGCCTTTACTTTGAGACTATGAGTGTCATTGCATTTGAGATGGGTCTCCTGATGATAGCATACAGTTGGGTCTTGCTTCTTTATCCAATGGGCTACTCTGTCCCTTGTAAGTGGGGCATTAAGCCTGTTTATATTCAAGTTATAATATTGATATGTGAAGATTTGATCCTGCCATCATGTTGCTAGCTGGTTATTCCACAGGCTTGATTGTATAGTTGCATATAGTGTCAGTGGACTATGTAATTGTCTTTTCTGTGGTGTCAGGAATTTTTTTTTTTTTTTGAGACCGCGTTTTGCTCTTGTTGCTCAGGCTGGAGTGCAAAGGTGCAATCTGAGCTCACTACATCCTCTACCTCCTGGGTTCAAGCGATTCTTCTGCCTTAGCCTCCTGAGTACCTGGGATTACAAATGCATGCCATTACACCTGGCTAATTTTGTATTTTTAGTAGAGATGGGATTTCGCTATGTTGGCCAGGCTGGTCTTGAACTCCTGGCCTCAGGTGATCTGCCCACCTCGGCCTTCCAAAGTGCTGGGATTACAGGCGTGAGAAACCATGCCTAGCCAGGTAATGGTCTTTTGTTGCCATGTTTAGCACTCTCTTAAGGACTTTTTGCAAGGCAAGTCTGGTGGTAATAAATTCCCTTAACATTTGCTTGTCTGAAAAAGATTCCGTTTCTCCTTCGCTTATGAAGCTTAGTTTGGCTGGATATGAAATTCTTGATTGGAATTTTTTTCTTTAAGAATGCTGAATATACCAGCCTGGCCAACATGGTGAAACCCCATCTCTACTAAAAATACAAAAATTAGCCAGGCATGCTAATGGGCGCCTGTAATCCCAGCTATTCGGGAGGCTGAGGCAGGAGAATTGCTTTCACCTGAGAGGCAGAGGTTACAGTGAGCTGAGATCATATCATTGCGCTCCAGCCTGGGTGACAAGGGTGAGACTCTGTCTCAAAAAAAAAAAAAAAAAAAAAAAAGAATGCTGGCTGAGTATAGGTCCCCAATCTCTTTTGGCTTATAAGGTTTCTGCTGAAGGTTCTGCTGTTATCCTGATATCACCCCCTTTGTATGTGACCTGTCCCTTTGCTCTACTGCTTTTAAGATTTTTTCTTTCATGTTGACCTTGGAGAATCTGACGACAAGGCGTCTGGAGGATGGGTGTCTTGTATGTTATATCTCTGGGGTTCTCTGAATTTCTTGAATTTGTATGTTAACCTCTGCAGCAAGATTGGGGAAATTTTCAGGAACGATATTCATAAATGAGTTTTCCAAGTTGCTTGCTCTCTCTCTTTCCTTGGGGATGCCAGTGAATTGTAGATTTGGTATATTTATATAATTCCATATTTCTTGGAGATTTTGTTCATTAAAGAATATCTTTTTCTTTATCTAACTGAGTTGATTTGAAGAACTGGCCTTCAAGTTCTAAAATTGTTTTCAGTTTGATCTGTTCTGCTGTTAATACTGCCCATTGTATTATGAAATTCTTGTAGTGAGTTTTTCAGCTCTAGGAGATCAGTTTCTCTTCTTTTCTTTCCTTTTTTCTTTTCTCTCTTCTCTTCTCTTCTTTTCTCTCAGAGTCTCACTCGGTTGCCCAGGCTGGAGTGCAGTGGCAAGATATCGGCTCACTGCAAGCTCCGCCTCCCGGGTTAATGCCATTCTCCTGCCTCAGCCTCCTGAGTAGCTGGGATTACAGGGGCCCGCCACCATGCCCGGCTAATTTTTTTGTATTTTTAATAGAGACGGGGTTTCACCGTGTTAGCCAGGATGGTTTCGATCTCCTGACCTCGTGATCTACCCACCTTCGGCCTCCCAAAGTGCTGGGATTACAGGCGTGAGCCACCGCGCCCGACCCTGATTCTTTCTTAAAATGGCAATTTCATCTTTCAGCTCTTGTGTTATTTTATTGATGCCATAAGTTCCTTAGACTGTGTTTCAACTTTCCCCTGAATCTTGATGATCTTCATTGACATCTGTATTCTGAATTCCATGTCTGTCATTTCAGTCTGGTTATGAACCATTGCTGGGGAGCTAGTTCAGTCATTTGGAGGTAAGAAGACACTCTTGCTTTTAGAGTTACCAGAGTTCTTGCATTGGTTCTTTCTCATCTGTGTGTGTGAAGTTGTTGTCCTTTGTATGGAGCTTTTTACTTTTATATTCTTTGATGCCTTTTGTGGTTTGATTGTGGTATTAGTTGTGCTTAGTTAATTTCATTCGTTTTTGGATGATTTCAGGGGTCCAAGGGTTAGCTCAGCACTCCTGGGCTGCATGCTGTACCAGGCTGTAACCTTGGGAAATTGGGACCAGGTCTGAGGCGGTTTTCTCTAGCCCCTAGAGGTTAAGTACCTCCTGGGTTGGAAGGAATGAGGTGTTCCTGGTCCACTGGCAACAAAACTGTGCTGGCAAAGGCACTTTGGCGGGGTGGCAGTGGGTCAGTGAGGGTCCTTGTGCTCACATACGTGCTGGTCGTGGGGTAGTGGCAAGTCCTGCACAGGCATGCGTGCTGGTGGTGGGGCAGTGATGGGGTCAGTGTGCATGCATACACCAGTGAGTCAGTGGCTGGAGGCTGCAGGCAAAGGCATGACAGCAAAGCAGCAGGTAGAGGCTGCCAGTGAGTGCATGCTGGTGGGCGCTCACTGACAGGGACCTGCCTTCAGGAGCTCTCCAGCTGTTAGGCAGGGTCTGCCATCAAAATAGCAATGGCTGTGGCTGTCAAAAAATGCCTTGGCTGGGCAGCTGAGGCAGTGCTGCAAGTTTGTGTAGCCAGGCAGGGAATTTGGCATAGGCCAGCAGACAAGCGAGTGCTTGGATCAGATTGTTCCCATCCCACAAGCAAGAGAGCCCTGTGATGTCCAGGTCTGTCCATCAACAAAGGCGAAAGCCACCTAGAGATGTATGATATTTGGGGGATGGGCACCCATGCCATGCTCTGCTGTAGCCATTCTCATGCCAAACCCTGTGGACTCTGTGCAGGCTAGAATTCTGTCTCTTTCAACTCTCCAGGCTGTTCTCCCTGCCACCTTAACTGTCCATGGGGGATGAGGGGTCTCCTGCAGCTAAGATTCTGGAGGTCTGTGGTGTGAGTTGGCCACTCCATGACCATTTAACTTACTCCTTCCCCAGGAGCCTCTCCAGGCCAGGAACAAGTTCTGGTGCTTGGCAACCCTGTGCAGGGTTACCAGCTTCCTTCCCTTTCAGCCTGGGGTCTGCATTCTCCTTCCATCAACTCTCAATGCCTTCTTTCTGAAAATTTGTTCAGAGTGTGCCAGTCTTCTTGATGGTCTGGTCCCTCACTGGGAGAAGGTCTTCTTGTCTGCGTCTGGTCGGCCATTTTGTTTTAGTATTTATTAAATAATGAAATAATAATAATTTGAAAAAATTAAATTATTATTATTTAAAACTCTAGATCTTATTTAAATTTTCTATTTAACCATGCCTCAGCAGACATTGTGATGCAGAGGGAGGGGGATGTATGAAGGAATTGCCTCATTTCCCACTCAGCTTCCTTTGATGCTCAGGTGAGGGACTAATGCTCATTACTACTGCATGGAGGTTAGGCCTCTTCTGATAACACTCTGGCTGAAGGTACTTTGTTACTGCTCCCCTTTTGGCCTCCACTGACATCATGGGGTAGTGATTTCATTACTGCTTCGCAGTGGTGAAAGACTTGACTTCCCACTACCTCTCCTCAGACATGGTTCTAGTAGATGGGGAGAGTTATTCCTCATTACTGGGTGGTAGTTCATGCTTCCCACTCAGCATATTCTTTTTTTTTTTTTTTTTTTTTTTTTTGAGGTGGAGTCTCGCTTGTTGCCCAGGCTGGAGTGCAGTGGTGCCATCTTGGCTCACTGCAACCTCTGCCTCCTAGGTTCCAGCAATTCTCCTGCCTCAGCCTCCTGAGTAGCTGAGATTAAAGGCATGTGCCACGACACCTGACTAATTTTTGTATTTTTAGTAGAGACGGCGTTTTGCCATGTTTGCTAGGCTGGTCTGAAACTCCTGATTTCAGGTCATCCACCTGCTTCAGCCTTCCAACGTGCTGGGATTACGAGTGTGAGCCACTGCACCTGGTGCCTATTCAGCATATTCTGACACCAATCTAGTAGGGAATTGGGCCTTCTTACAGCCTGGTAAGCATGGAAGTCTTTTCAGTTGGGATTTATTGTCTTCCTGGATTTGCTGTTTTCCCAAGTTGTCCTCTTATTGATTATTTTACTAGGGAGAGCAGGATTTTCTTGGAGCCTTTTAAAAAACTTGCACTTGTTGGCAGGTTGCCAGGTTGCTGGCTTCTTCCAAGTCCATGATATATGAAGCAAAAAAAAAAAAAAAAAAAAAAAAATTGAGAGAGCTCACTCTTGTATCATTCCTTTTGTCCTGCATTTCTGAGCCCACCTGTCGTCTTCTCTCTAATTTTCAGAGTCTTTTTATGTTTGTTTTATTTGTAATGCCCAGGTATTTTTTTGTTTGTTTTAGCCATATTTAGCTGGGGAAAAAAGAATAAGTAAGTCTGTCCCATATTGGTCTGGAGCGTTTACATATTTTTGAAGCCGGGTTTTGTTTTCCAGTGTTTGGCTATTGCCACCAATTTTGTGCCTTTGGTGGATACAAAAATTTTGACCTCTATGTCTTCATGTGCATCACTCACAAAATCATGGAGGGGGCCAATAACTGGTTCCTTCTGTGTGTCACTAAATGCTTTCATAATTTTCATTTTGTGATTTGACAGAATTTTTGTTTAATGTGCTTTCTAAGCCCTATAGTTCTCTTCAGAATTCCATGTTACTCTGTGTGCTTTCTAATCTGTATTCATAAAATGGTACCATTAATTTCTAAGATTTTTTTTTACAATTTTTAATGTTATTCCTTTCATGCTTTCGCATGAACACTATCTGTATTGCCTTCATTTGCTCCACCTCATTTAATTCCCTGTTGGCATCACTATAGTTCTTTCCCAACTTTTACCTTTGGGTTAGTCGTTTTAGCAATGTTCAGTTTGCTACATTAAATTCTTTTATTCAGTTGACCTTTGTTTATACTCTGGCAAATGCCCAAGTTTAGACTCACTTCATTTTGTTTCTTTTTCTGTGTTTCCTAATTGCTCCTGGAGGAACACACGGAACAAAGTAGATTGGTCCCATTACCACACACTACTAAAAATTCCTTCCTAACAATTGAAATTGATTCTGTAATTCAATCTCCTGAAATGAATTCAACTTAAAAGATGACTTGAAAATATACTTGATCCTTGTTATTTGCAGATTCCATATTTGCAAATTCACCTACTCACTAAAATTTATTTGTAACCCCCAAATCAATACTCAAGGCACTTTTATGATCATTCACAAGCATGCACAGAGTGGCAAAATATCTTATTACTCAATGAGCATATTCTTACCTGAGGTTGAAAAATGTGATACTGTGCCTTTTTGTTTCAGTTCTCATTCTGTAAACAAGTGTCTTTTCTTGGTCTACATAGTGCTACATTTTTCACATTTTTATTATCTTTGCTGGCGATTTTGCTGTTTAAAATAGTCCCCAACTGTAGTGCCAAAGTATAGTGCAAGAAGGTTGTGATGTGCCATATGGAGAAAATATGTATATTTGGTAAGCTTTGTTTAGTTATAAGTTTTAGCGGTGTTTACTGTGAGTTTAATGTTAATGAATCAACAATGTATATTAAATAGAACGTCTTTAAACAGAAACACACACGAAATCTGTTTATGTCTTGAGCAGTTGACAAAAATGTGACCAGAGTCTCCTGGAAAACCAACCCTGTATTTCTCCTAAGAACAAGGACTCAACAGTCATTAATTCAGCATTTGTGGTGACTTCACAGAACACGACTACCATGAATAATGAGAATAACCTGTATTTTATTTGTCTTCTTGACGGTCATGGAATCATTGATGGTTTAGATATTATGCTAGACCTTCTTTTGTCCTAATCATCATCATCCTACTTGCCTCCAACTTTCCTGAAACTGTTGAAAACATCGTGCACTTTTACATTTATGATCATCCATTATTTTCTTTATTCAACTATCTCGGTTTCTATAGTCTCTATAGTAATGTCCTTCCTAAAAATTTCAGAGAAACAGATGTATGCCCTCTTAATCTTTTATTTTATAATTTTTATTATAAAAATTTCAATGGTATGCAAAAATAGGGAGGATAAAATAATGAACTTTCATGTACTCATCACCTAGTTCAAAAATTTACAACTCATGGCCAACCTTACGTTATCCGTACATACCCTGATAAAATCCCCTCATCCCCTTTCCCTACCAAAATATCAAATCTATTTTGAAGTTAATCCCAGATGTTATATACTTTCATCTGAAAATGTCCCCATTCAAAAATACTATTTTGATGGTGATATTAGAGGTACACGCTTTACAAACTTTGTGAGCTACAGAAGAGAAGCCAAATTTGCCCTATGATTACAATATTCTACTTTCTTATCTCTGGGAAGACATGGCACCCATTTTTTTGGGGGGGAGGGATGGAGTTTCATGCTTGTTACCCAGGCTGGAGTGCAGTGGTGTGATCTCGGCTCACTGCAACCTCCACCTTCTGGATTTAAGCTATTCTCTCGCCTCAGCCTCCTGAGTAGCTGAGATTACAGGCAACCGCCACCACACCAGACTAATTTTTGTATTTTTAGTAGAGACAAGGTTTCACCATGTTGGTGAAAAATTCCTTCCTAGCTTCCAGGCTGGTCTCAAGCTCCTGACCTCAGGAGATCTACCTGCCTCAGCTTCCCAAGGTGCTGGGATTACAGGTGTAAGCCATCTTGCCCAGCCTCCATTTAAAAAATGTTCATGTCTAGCATCCACAGTTTTTACCACTTGCCTTGCTCTTTATATTTTAATATCACAAAAACCACTAATAACCTCATATGTAAAAATTTTTCCTTGAATCTCCTACTGTTTCTCATCTCAGTGGTATTTGGCGACCTTGCCTTTCTTAAGACATATCCCTTGTTTGAATTTCATAATTCTGAAATTTGCTGATTTCTTTCCTCCTCCTCCATCTACTCATTTCTGGCTGTATCCTTTGATTAATCTTTCTCTCTCTCTCTCAATCTGGCTATGCTCAAGATTCAGATCTCAGATAAAGTTTTTATCTGCTGTCTATATTCTCACTCAAAGAAGCCATCTTTTCTTTGAACTCAGCTATCACCTTAATGAGTGCCAAACCTGTGTCTCCAGAATTCAACTCTTGCCCATATTTAGTCTTACATTTCTACCTACTTCAAAGTGATTTCTATTTATATATTTTAAGTTCTTAATAGGAAATGAAAATTTGTATATGTGCCATTTGAAACTCAACAGGCATCATGAAATGTTGCCTGGGTTTTTAAGTTTCTCGCTCATATTATTAGGGTTCACTATTAGAGTTTTTTTTACTCTTATGTTTCCTCCACATGTATTCAGTTAAGTCCTAGACTATTTTCCCACTTTACCATATCTTTTATGTTTATTTCTTATGCCCCTATTATTTCTGTTAACACCCTAATCTATTCCCTCATTTCTTTGTGTCTTAATACTTCCACGGCTTCCTGTTTGGCTTCTTCCAATTTTAGAAGTTTCTGAATACACTTCCTGTTCTGTTTCTCACTAAACCATTCACTAAAAATAACAGGATTAATGAGACAAATAGAGATAGAGACAGACTGGTCCCTCAAAAGCTATGCAACTTTATAACTGAAGAATTAACAAATATAATAATTGGTACCTTTAAAAATAGCTTGCACAGTGTAGGCAGGCAAAACGCCCAAAGTCTGGTGGCTTACTCAGGGCATGTTAAAAATGCAAAGAAAAATAATGTGGAAACACAGGTTTGCTGGTGCTAAGGCAATATACACAGGGAAGTGTAGTCCTGAGCAGAAGAGGAAATGCAACCTAAAACTGATACAAAGCTAGGATACATCTCTCTGGGGAGGGAGTTTTGGGTACAGGCACTCAGGCATTTTCTTAAAACAGTGCCCCAAATGTGTCTGCCTGTGTAATAGCTGAGTTGAAAGGGTTTTCCTTTTCTTCTGAAGTTTATAATTCCACTCCCATTATTCTGGCTCCCTTGCCTAAAAAAAAGCATATCTAAACCATCATAATTTCCATCTTCTACTGACATAACTCTGCCATTCACTAATCAAATGTGAGCTAATTAGTGCTGGTAGAATAGACTCTATATTTTTTTCTATTTGATACTTGCTGGACATCACCTTACTTTTCAGCTTGTAATGCTATTTACTGCTATTTATATACTATTATTTATATTATTTACTATTTGTATACTGCTATCTCTTTAAAATAATTATTTATTCTCGGACTCATTTATTCCTGTCTCTTATGCTGATTAAAGCTTTGTTTTCTCTTGTATCTTCTATTTCTCTATCCTGATTTTCTCTGCCTGCATATAGACTTGGGATTTTATTATCAAAATTATTTATTTTTGAATAGCTTCATATGGCATATCTTATTTCTATAAGCAGATTGCAGGTTTCTAGAGGACAAGATCCATGTGTTTATAATACTCTTTTTATATCTCCTCCTACATACGAGGGTATCAGTAAATGCTTATTGGTTAGTTGATTTAAAATCACAAATGTATTATTTCAAATTTACTATTATATTAGTTAATTTTTTAAATGGACAAAAGAAAATTCACAAGGAAGTTAGCATAACGTAGGGAAAAAAGCATGGGCTTCTGAATTAGATCGCTCTGGATTCAAATTCGGGGTCTGCCACTGATTAGCACGTGATCTCAGGCAAATTACTTAATGTTTCTGAGTTTCAGTTTTCTTAGTAACCCAGAAAAAATTAACCTAGTTCTATGTTTTTTGTAAACAAGAATTACATGAATTAATGAGATAATATTTTAATCAATTAAGAACTTCATAGAGTGAGTATGAATACTTAATGGGTGGTCAATAATTAGAAGCGCCAGGATCTTGAGGAATAATCAGCCAGTACCTCATTATTACAAGCCATATAAAGAATCAAAACTCTGGAGTTTGCAGGATATAAATAATGAGAATTTGTGATTTTATATATGCATTTCCTAAGTTCTGCCTTTTGCTAGACTAAGCACTTTACATTCACTGTCTTACATCATCTTCATAGCACTCATCACAGGTAGGTATTATTAGGAGCATTTACAGATAAATAAATTAAAGGTCTTAGCCAGCATGGAAAGGCCAAACTTGAGATAGAAACCCTGGTGTCTGACTCTAATGTCTGTTTTTTTTTGTTTGTTTGTTTTTTTAAAATCAGTAATAGACTCTTCACTCCCTTTTTTGGGGGGTTATGTTACACTAATAAAGAGTATAGACAAAATAATTAGGGAGTTATTTTGTCAGATGTGTCACATAAGTTAAGAGTACAGTTCTTCAAAGAGATGGAGGCTTCAATCTCATTGTTTTGAAGGTTTCAAGGTATTTCAAGGTTTCAAGGTTTCAATCTCATCAGTTTTCAAGGTATTGGAGGTCCTCTTTTAGGTGGATAACTGACATAGATGGAGAAAATCACTTATGCATGCGAACACACGGAATACTTTTGAAAATTACCCCTTTCATTACATTCTTAAGTTAGAAAAATAGCCAATTCCTCTGTAATGAACTGAATTATGAATTACTAATTTCTGTCTTCTCCTTTAGGGTGACTCTGGAGGACCACTGGTTAGTTCAGATGCTAGAGATATCTGGTACCTTGCTGGAATAGTGAGCTGGGGAGATGAATGTGCGAAACCCAACAAGCCTGGTGTTTATACTAGAGTTACGGCCTTGCGGGACTGGATTACTTCAAAAACTGGTATCTAAGAGAGAAAAGCCTCATGGAACAGATAACATTTTTTTTTGTTTTTTGGGTGTGGAGGCCATTTTTAGAGATACAGAATTGGAGAAGACTTGCAAAACAGCTAGATTTGACTGATCTCAATAAACTGTTTGCTTGATGCATGTATTTTCTTCCCAGCTCTGTTCCGCACATAAGCATCCTGCTTCTGCCAGATCAACTCTGTCATCTGTGAGCAATAGTTGAAACTTTATGTACATAGAGAAATAGATAATACAATATTACATTACAGCCTGTATTCATTTGTTCTCTAGAAGTTTTGTCAGAATTTTGACTTGTTGACATAAATTTGTAATGCATATATACAATTTGAAGCACTCCTTTTCTTCAGTTCCTCAGCTCCTCTCATTTCAGCAAATATCCATTTTCAAGGTGCAGAACAAGGAGTGAAAGAAAATATAAGAAGAAAAAAATCCCCTACATTTTATTGGCACAGAAAAGTATTAGGTGTTTTTCTTAGTGGAATATTAGAAATGATCATATTCATTATGAAAGGTCAAGCAAAGACAGCAGAATACCAATCACTTCATCATTTAGGAAGTATGGGAACTAAGTTAAGGAAATCCAGAAAGAAGCCAAGATATATCCTTATTTTCATTTCCAAACAACTACTATGATAAATGTGAAGAAGATTCTGTTTTTTTGTGACCTATAATAATTATACAAACTTCATGCAATGTACTTGTTCTAAGCAAATTAAAGCAAATATTTATTTAACATTGTTACTGAGGATGTCAACATATAACAATAAAATATAAATCACCCATTTGCTTGACATTATGATATGATAATCCACAAAGAAGGGGAAGATGGGAAAAATGTTACTAGTCAATTTATTGTAAATTTTTTTAAAATTTGAGGCTAGGATGAAAATTAATTTAATAACAATCAGCATGCTTATGTACTAAAATAATTGTGTTGTGGAATGGGAGGGAACGAAGAGTTCAAACAATTGACTGGAAAGGTTTTATTCATCTAAGACTTTCCCAAACAGCAAATCCTTGAAGGGAATGAGATCCAGGTGTTAGTGTACAGTCTAGTCATGCAACTGAACTGGGGCTCAGACCTCTATTTTGAGATGATTGTAGATATTTTTCTTCCCCTGCTGCTGTGTTTACAGTTCATACATGGTTAATGGTCCTGTTAGACTCCTCTTCGCTGAGATGGAAAGATACCATAGAGAAAATATCCTGGAAGCTGCCTCACTGCTGCATCTAGTGTGACACTGAATGGCTAACTGCCTGGATAACAAAACTGAAGAGTAAAAGCATGATATTGGCCACCTTCATGATTTTTAGTTTTGGTAAATTATTACTGAGCTGTTAGAGACACAGCTTTCAAGTAATCCAGACCGTAATGAAGTTAGGACTGGTACCATGATGTACGGCATGTTAATGGTGAGATTTCACCAAGTCTGTCCTCATTGCATATAGCTACTCATATAAGTTCTATATTGTACAATAATTACCCTGAAAACCAGTATTGCCACGAAAAATTTAAGTTTATTGATCTGAATAACACTGGAGTATGAACTGATAACATTTAGGCACTTGGCAAAAATATGAAAACTGACATGAATTGATAGTGCTAAATATTTTGCATAAGCTATTTTTGTTTCATTTAGCAAAATGCTCTGGGAAAAAACAAAATTGAGGAAAACCTTGAATTTTAAGCAAGGATATAAGTACCTTTAAAACTACTCTCAGTGTTCTGTTAAAAATGGATTCCTCTTGTTTCAGTGTATTCTGTAGTTGGGCCTCTAGGTGGCACCCACAAGCTGTAGGAAGCTATGGGGAAGCCTGACATCAAGAAGGATGTCTAGATCTGTAAGTAATAATGAGAACTGTACCTGAAATTAGAGTCTCGTGAAACCAAAAGAATACAGTTTTTCTTTGCAAATGGCGTTTAAAAATTAATTCGTGTTGATTTACATCATTATTCGTATTTTTCAAATTTCTGGACATTTGATTCCAAACTAAAATAAAATTTATGTTGCATGATTTGAGGAACTCCCTCTGCAAAAGCACCTGGAGCAATTTAAATTAAGAAGAAATTTTAAAAGCTTAATTTTGCAATGACATCTTATTCCTAAGAGAAATACTTTTGATATTTCCTTCTACAAAGGATTTGAGAAATAGAAGTTTGGGTCAAAGTGAAAATATGAGCGATAGTTCAAACTTTATGTACATAGAGAAATAGGTAATACATTTCTAAAATGGTAACTTCTTTTGAAAAGTAATTACCAAAGGGTTTTATCTGCATGTCTGTGTTAACTGTTTCATTGGAGATAGTTAAGAAGATGTGACGATAATATTTATTACTTTTTTCAAGAGGGCAGGCAGTTCCTCTTCTATATCTTCGATCTCTCTTCCTACAGCACTAGTAAAGTACTCTGTATATAACAGTCCTTCAATAAATGTTGTTGAATGACTCTTTTATTTTTACATTATGCAGAAAACATAGCTTTATTATTATTTACACATTGATTTTTAAAAGTAATCCCAGATTTTACACTGAGTGAATTAAGCCGGTTACTATTTATCTAAGCCTATAATCTCACCCGTAAGATAGAGATGATATTTGCTCAAATGATTGTTGTGGAAATAAAACTGTGAATGTTTAAAAAGTGCTTAGCACAGTTCTTGGAACATTAGTAGGTGTTCAAGAGACCATAGTAATAATAACTGTTGCTATAATGAAACTACACTCTTGTTTTAAAAAATATGGTATTTGATTATAACAGGCTGAATACCTTTTTTTTTTGAAATGACAAGATAATTAGACCAACAAAATGTGCTAGTTAAAAAAATTTCTGATTCTACAAAAAGTTTTACTGGGATAATTCCGAAACATATTTATCAAAGTGGTCTGTCAATGTGAGGGTTCATTCTAACTTTTGACTTCAATTTTAAAAAATGATAAACTTTATTAACCACCGAGTGGCTGGATTATATCAAGATCTATGGTGTAGTTCAAATGTCGCCTCTTCCCTGAAGCCTTTTTTTACTTCCTCAAGTGGATGTACTATACGTTTCTTCTGAACTTCCTTACCATTAATTTTTTTTATTTTCAGATAATCATTGATTCAGATACGGTTAAGATATAACTGTAAGATATAATTCACAGAGATTCTGTGTACCCTTTACTCAGTTTACCTCAATAGTAAGATCTTGCTTAGGTGTAGTATAATATTACAATGAAGAAGTTGACATTGAGACAATCCATTAACTTTATTAGGATGCAATCAATTATATATGTGTGTGTAGGTGTGTGTGTAATTAGTTCTATGTAATTTAATTACATATGTAGATTCATGTGATTACCAAGATACAGATAGTTTGTTCACAAGGCTACATCACGCTACCGACAGCCATCCAGCTCCCTCCCTAGGCCTGTGTCTAGTCTCTAATCCCTGGCAACCACTAATCTGCTCTCCATCTTTATAATTTTTATTGTTTCAAGAATGGTATATAAATATATTATACAATATGTAACTTTTTCAGGTTGGCTTTTTCGCTCAGTATAATTTTCTTGAGATCTGTCCAAGTTGTTGTGTGTGTCAGTAGTTAATTCTTTTTTTATTACTGAGTAGTATTACATGATAGGGCTGTACCTCAGTTTGTTAACTGTATACCCACTGAAGGGCATTTGGATTGTTCTCAGGTTTTGGCTATTACAAATAAAGCTGCTATGAAGATTTGTGTGTAAGCTTTTGTGTGGACATAAGTTTTATTTTTCTGAGATTTATGGCCTAGAGTATGCTGGGTCATACGGTAAGTACATGTTTAGATTTTTAAGAAACGGCCATATTCTTTTCACATGGCTCCTTACTACTTGTAAAACTCTCTGTACTTAGAATATCTACCTGTGTATTTCACATGTGCAGACAGATGTGATTTCAACAACTAGACTGTAAACTCCATGAGGGTGGGGACACTAACTGGTTCATTTTTATATCCTTCACAGTTCACAGGAAACTATAATATTGTTTATGGCAGTTGTTCTATAAAGATTTATTAAATAAAAATAAAGAGTAATAAAAGCAAACAAATAAATATACGTGAAATAAAAAAGAAGAAATGGCTTTGGGTAGAAAAGAATGAACAGTATTTCCTTCATGAAGGTATTACTGCTCAATTTCTGTAATTCTGCATGGACTCTACCATGGCACTTCCATGTATCTTATGTTGGTTGATATAAAGTCTGTTTTTCACCTTTCCACAGGGTACACAATCAAACATAGACTAAAGACATGGTTGATATGGAGAATCTTTATACCTGAATTTAGTTTCTGATACATGTTATATTTAAGAGTTTTCTGACACATCTGTATCAGCTTCTACTGTATTTGTGGAATGGATTCCAGTTTAGGAGCACAATCAATAAATATTTGTTGCTCTTACTTTTTATAACTATGATTCTATAATTTGTCCTAATGTAATTTTTATTATATAACTCAAGGTGGAGTGAAAGACAGAGACCTGTGAAATGTAATCAGAAGTTCTCTCTTAATTGTCTCTAACACATTAATCAGTACCTCTTTGGCGTAGATGTAGTCAGCTTAAATTTTACAATCACTGTACTCACTGCCTTGCATATACCCCTCACCTGCTTGTTCTCTTGCTCCACCACTCTGTGACACTTGCTTTTTACTATGATCCTGGTAAAATTTAACTCTCCACTTACTGTTTTTAAAAACTAATTAATTTCCCCCAATTTTATTAAAGTATAATTGGCTAATAAAAATTGTATATAGTTACAGTGTAAAATTTGATGTTTTGATATATGTATACATTGTGAAATTATTTAATCAAGCTAATTAATATATTCATTACCTCAATACTTACTATTTTTTAAAAGAACATTTAATATCTATTCAGCAATATCTACTTTTAACAATTTAAAAATACTCAATACATTATTATTAACTGTAGTCTCCATGCTGTAAATAGGCCTCCAGAACTTATTTCTTCTATATAACTGAAACTTTGTACCTTTTAATCAATATCTTCTCATTTCTACCACACTCCAGCCTCTAGCAACCACCATTTTACTCTCTGCTTCTATTAGTTCAGCTTTCTTAGATTCCACATATAAGTGAGATCATGTAGTAATCAGCACTCTGTGTTTGGCTTATTTCACTTAACATAATATCCTCCAGATTCATCTATGTTGTCACAAATGACACGATTCCCTTCGTTTTTAAAGCTGTATCATATTCCAATGTGTGTATTTCTTTATTCTTCCACCAATGGACATGTAGGTTGATTCTATATTTTGGCTATTGTGAATAATGCTACAATAAACATGAGAATACAAGTATTTCTGTACCAAAAGTGAAAAACAGAATGGTTGTATGGTACTTAAAGTATGGTTTCTACTGAATATTTCAATTAATCACTGCTGAGATAACCAAAATAGTGTGTAAAAAACAAGCAAATCAGCAAAACCAAAATTGCACTTTTTCAAAATGTCAGATAAATGACTAATCTTTTAACTAGACTGAACTCCCATAAAGGAGATGATTCACATTTTAATAATAAAGTCAGATATAATAGTAAAGACATTATTACCAATCATACAGAAATAAAAGAATTATAATTGTATATTAGGAGCACTGGTATGTCAACAAATTATAATAACTTAAATGAAATGAACAAATCTCTAAAAGACACAGTCATACAGACTCAAGAGTTCTAACACAATTCCATTATGTTCAAAGGACACACTTCGTATGATTTCAGTACTTTTATTGAGAGACACGGCCTAGCAATGGCCTATCTTGGAAAATGTTAATGTACTTGAGAATATTATATACAGTCATGCATTGCTTAACAACAGGGATATATGAACTGCATTGTTACATGATTTTGTTGTGTGAACATCATACAGTGTACTTACATAAATCTACAGGGTGTAGCCTACTACACACCTAGGCTGTATGGCATAATCTATTGCTCCTAACTTACAACCTGTACAGCATATTACTATACTGAATACTACAGGGAATTGTAACACAGTGGGAAGCATTTGTGTATTTAAACATAACTATACGTAGAAAAGTTACTGTACAAATACAATCATCTAAAAAATTAAAAAATGGTATACCTGTTAAAATTCTTATCATGAATGGAGTTTTCAGGGCTAGAAGTTGCTCTGGGTGAGTCAGTGAGTGAGTGGTGAATGAATGTGAAGGCATAGGACATTATTATACACTACCGTAGACTTTATAAACACCATGCACTTAGGCTACACTAAATTTGTAAACAATTTTCCCTCTTCAATGAAAAATCAACTTTAGCTTACTGTAACCCTTTTAATTTATAAACTTTAAATTTCTTTTACTTTTTGACTCTTTTATAATAGCACTTAGCTTAAAAACAAACATATTTTTCAGCCATACAAAAATATTTTTTCTTTATACCCTTATTCTATAAGCTTTTTAAAATATTTTAATAATTTATTATTTTTTACCTTTAAACTTTTTGGTTAAAAACTAAGAGCCCACCACAGCTCAGCAAGGCCACTGTGGCCAGACTGACTCTCTAGATTCCCTCCTCTCTGGGCAGAACATCTCTGAAAAAAAGGCAGCAGCCCCAGTCAGGGACTTATAGATAAAACCCCCACCTCCTGGGACAGAGCAGCTGGGGGAAGGGGTGGTTGTGGGCACAGCTTCAGCAGACTTAAATGTTCCTACCTGGCAGCTCTGAAGACAGCAGTGGATCTCCCAGCACAGCGTTCAAGCTCTGATAAGGGACAGCCTGCCTCCTCAAGTGGGTCACTGACCCCCGTGTATCCTGACTGGGAGACACCTCCCAGTAGAGGCCGACAGACACCTCATACAGGAGAGCTCTGGCTGACATCTGGTGGGTGCTCCTCTGGGACAAAGCTTCCAGAGGAAGGAACAAGCAGCAATTTTTGCTGTTCTGTAGCCTCCGCTAGTGATAGCCAGGCAAACAGGTTCTGGAGTGGACCTCCAGCAAACTCCAGCAGACCTGCAGCAGAGGGCCCTGAATGTTAGAGGGAAAACTAACAAACAGAAAGGAATAGTATCGACATCAACAAAAAGGATGTCCACTCAGAGACCCCATCGGAAAGTCACTGACTTCAAAGACCAAAGGTAGATAAATCCACGAAGATGGGGAGAAACAAGTGCAAAAAGGCTGAAAATCCAAAAACCAGAATGCCTCCTCTCCTCCAAAGGATCACAACTCCTCACCAGCAAGGGAACAAAATGGGATGGAGAATGAGTTTGATGAATTGACAGAAGTAGGCTTCAGAAGGTGGGTAATAACAAACTCCTCCGAGCTAAAGGAGCATGTTCTAACCCAATGCAAGGAAGCTAAGAACCTTGAAAAAAGGTTAGATGAATTGCTAACTAGAATAAACAGTTTAGAGAAGAGCATAAATGACCTGATAGAGCTGAAAAACACAGCAGGAGAACTTCATGAAGCATACGCAAGTATCAATAGCTGAACCAATCAAGCAGAAGAAAGGATATCAGAGATTGAAGATCAACTCAATGAAATAAAGCAAGAAGACAAGATTAGAGCAAAAAGAGTGAAAAGAAAAGAACAAAGCATCCAAGAAATATAGGACTATGTGAAAAGACCAAATCTATGTGTGATTGGTGTACCTGAAAGTGATGGAGAGAATGGAACCAAGTTGGAAAACACTCTTCAGGATATTATCCAGGAGAACTTTCCCAACCTAGCAAGGCAGGCCAACATTCAAATTCAGGAAATACAGAGATCACCACAAAGATATTCCTGGAGAAGAGCAACCCCAAGACACATAATTGTCAGATTCACCAAGGTTGAAGTGAAGGAAAAAAATGTTAAGGGCAGCCAGAGAGAAACGTTGGGTTACCCACAAAGGGAAGCCAATCAGACTAACAGCAGATCTCTCTGCAGAAACCCTACAAGCCAGAAGAGAGTGGGGGCCAATATTCAACATTCTTAAAAAAATTTTCAACCCAGAATTTCATATCCAGACAAACTAAGTTTCCTAAGCGAAGGAGAAATAAAATCCTTTACAGAAAAGGAAATACTGAGAGATTTTTGTCACCACCAGGCCTGCCCTACAGGAGCTCCTGCAGTAGTTTCTGCTGCCTTTTGTTCAGCTATGACCTGCCACCAGAGGTGGAGTCTACAGAGGTAGGCAGGGCTCCTTGAGCTGCAGTGGGCTCCACCCAGTTCAAGCTTCCTGGCTGCTTTGTTTACCTACTCAAGCCTCAGCAATGGCGAATGCCCCTCCCACAGCCAGTCTGCCACCTTGCAGTTCTATCTCAGACTGCTGTGCTAGCAGTGAGCAAGGCTCTGTGGGCATGGGACCCGCTGAGCCAGGGCCGGGATATAATCTCCTGGTGTGCTGTTTGCTGAGACCATTGGAAAAGGTGGGAGTGTCCCAATTTTCCTGGTAGAGTCTGTCATGGCTTCCCCTGGCTAGGAAATGGAAATCCCCCAACCCCTTGCACTTCCAGGGTGAGGTGATGCCCCACCCTGCTTCAGCTTGCCTTCTGTGGGCTGCACCCACTACCCAACCAGTCCCAGTAGGATGAACCAGGTACCTCAGTTGAAAATGCAGAAATCACCCATCTTCTGCATTGATCATGCTGGGAGCTGCAGACCAGAGCTGTTCCTATTTGGCCATCTTGGTTCTTCACTATAGACATGTTACAAAGGAAGATATACAAGCAGTCAACAAGCATATGAACAAAAAGATCAATATCACTGATCATTAGGGAAATGCAAATTGAAACCACAGTGAGATACCACTGATCATTAGATAAATGCAAATCAAAACCACAGTGAGATACTATTTCACACAAGTTAGAGTGGCTATAATTAGTCAAAAAATAGCAGATACTGGTGAGGTTGCAGAGAAAAGGGAACACTTATACACTGTTGGTGGGAGCGTAAATTAGTTCAACCATTGTGGAAAGAGGTGTGGTGATTACTCAAAAAGCTAAAAGCAGAACTACCATTTGACCCAGCAGTCCTGTTACTGGATATATGCCCAAAGGAATATATATCATTCTACCATAAAGACACATGTACATTTATGTTCATTGCAGCACTGTTCACAATAGCAAAGACATGGAATCAACCTAAATGCCCATCAATGGTAGACTGGATAAAGAATATGTGGTACATATACACCATGGGATGCTATGCAGCCATAAAAAAGAATGAGATCATGTCCTTTGCAGGAACATGGATGGAACTGGAGACCATCATCCTTAGCAAACTAACACAGGAACAGAAAACCAAATGCTGCATGTACTCACTTATGAGGGGGAGCTAACTGATGAGAACACATGGATGCAAAGAGACAACAGACACTGGGGTCTACTTGAGGGTGGAGGGTTGGGGAGAAGAATAGGATCAGAAAAAATAACTATTGGGTCCTAGGCTTTGTACCTGGGTGATGAAGTAGTCTGCACAACAAACTCCCATGACAGGAGATCACCTATATTAGAAGCCTGCACTTTTACCCCTGAACCTAAACTATAAGTTTTTTTTTAAAAAAAATCTTAAGAAAGAAACATAAAGTCAAACGTTTTGTGAATATTATGTCAAAATTATGTGCTTATCATTTTGCTGCTGTTCCTTTTTTAAAAATGCTTTTTTTATCTCTCTGTAAAATAATGGTGTTCCCTTTCTAATGCAAACATACTTTCAGATCCTAATCATTGGGGTAAACATTCTTTTTAAAACTATTGTTTACAAAAGTAAAAATCTGACTTTGTCCATGCAGATCATCTATTGACAAGTATTTTTCAACAACATAATTTTAACCTTATGACATCAGTTTTAATAGCAGTCATTACACTATTATTCCAGGTGATTCTGGGACACCTGAGTACTCTGTGTAATTGAAGTTATCTGTAGCCACATTTAATATGACATGTTCAATGTTTGGTCTCACAAGCTCACTGCTTAGAGTCTTCTTCATCCACCCAATATTGAAGTAATGAAATGGCTGTTAATAGATTCATCACTGATCTCATTCTGCGACATCTTTATCAGAATAATATAAAATCAATGTAAGAAATTTGGTGAAATTATGAAAATTTAGGAAAAAATAAATTTCATTTATAAAATCTGTGTGCTTTCATTATGGTTTTATTCTATTTATATAACTCAAAGTACATATATTATGTTTACATAAAAATTTTTTATCTCATTGCATGTATCTTTTCTTCTGACACAAAAATTGTGATATTTTTCTGTTCATCATTTTGTTCCGTAGTATTCAACAATACCTGTACTATGGCTGACAGTGTAATTTAACATTTTTTGATAAAACAATTGTAATGACATGGTACACACATTGTATACATTTTAAATCATTTCTCAATGTAAAATATTTGAATTGTCTCCAGTGTTTATTTTATGAATGTCTGCCACAAATATTGAATCTGACCATCGTGATTTAGGTGTTCTCTGTATAGTTTCATATGAGTATATTATGAAGCCAATGTCTATATGCATTTTTATAATACTTAATACTTTTCCCCAAGTGTCTGATTCTTTTAAAATATGCAATCATTATCTGAGAATCTAATACATAATGGAAAAGCAAGAAAATTTGTGACAAAAATTATTTTATGTAAGAAAGAAGTAGAGGACAGGCTGCACAACTATTGACCTGGATTCGAACCTACCTTCTGCAAATGAATAACAACAGCTAGTATTAGTATTTATCACTATTGTTCTAATAGTCATTCTTGCCCTTGTCTTCCTTCTCCACCTACTCTCTTCCCCCTTCTAATGGCACCATCACTTTCCTCTAATGTGAATGGGAAAATTTTTTGAGAATAAGGTTAGAGTGCATAGAATTTTCATTGGTCTTACCTCTGCCTTTGTCCTTTGGGAAATTACCACATAGAGCCTATGCAATTTTCATTCAACATAAACATTGAGTTTTAACTCAAGTAAGATTTCAGTTTTCTGTTGCTGCTTATAAGAAGGTAGACAAAAAGATCTCTTAAGGCTTATATAATAAAGTAGTGAGGAATGCTTGCTTTCTGCTTATGTCTCAAAAGAATAACATTAAAGTAAAATATATGAGGTTCTTTTGTTTCTTCGTAAGGAAGATCATCCTATATCCTGACAGAATTCTTTTGTAAATCTCAGTGTAGTTTTCAGATGCAAGTGGTAGACATTATTTGGATCTTATTATACATGCATTGTTCATTTTTTTTTGGTGCTTCTCTGTCAGGCAGCTGTGATGATGAGTCCCAAGTTTCCCAGAGATTTTTACTGAGGTGTCCTATAGGCTTGGTATAAGGCAGAAAACATTAAAAGGGTAAACTGACCCTTTTATGCTCTAAGATATAAACCTCTGTCATCTCACTGACTAATGTTTTAAATGCTAGAGTGAAAGCAAGTAAACATTGGCTTTGGCTGTGAATATTCTGGTGGCACACATTTATGTCGTTGATGAATAGTGTACCTTGAAAAGCCTTAACCCTTACGCCGTTAGCATTTCATCTTGTTCATCTGACTGCCCAAACATCTATATTTAAACAAATCCACAGGGGATCTGTTCTCTAGGACTTTGCTGGAGAACCTTGATGTGTCGGAAAACTGTTCCTATTAATAGAGGAATTATATCTCGAGTGGCTGGCATATGTTAACTAATGGATACTATTAATAGTAATAACAAAAATAAAAAATCATTACAATATTACTACTATTTGAATCACTGACTATGTATGAGAGACATTATAAGTGTTTTATCTATGTTAAGTATATTTCCAACACGACACAATAGGAGGTAATTGCCATTATTATAGAAGTAGGCATAATTATCTCTATCAACATTCTAGTCCACTTTTCCATCATTATCTGTTGCATAAACTCATGCAAAATCTTCTAAATGATCTACACTTTTCACAATCTGGCCTTTTTGCGATGTAATCCATTGACAACATTGAGAGCTTTTTAAAGAAAGGGAATCTGATAATATCTCTCCATTTCTGAACTCTGTGCAGTAGCTCCCCTTTGCCCTTAATAGATACTTAGATCTCCTTATAGTTATATTGCTTCAACTTACCTCTCTAGCATCATCTGCTACTTTACTCAGCTTTTTCCTGCATACTAATTTGAAACCTTAGGCACTGCCTTTACTTCACTACCTGCTTTTCTTTTTGTGTTTTCCTCTCCCCCTCATCTTTTCATCTACTCCTAGACATTATTGAGGACTCACTTTATCAATGACTTTGAGATCTCTTCTACATGTTTCCTTAGCATTGTGACCTTATAACACTTTTAGACTTTTCCTTTTTACTTGCTTATAGTCTATCTTTCAAAGTACAACGTAAGGCATGAGGGAGCAGAAAGTGCCTACATTTCTTCTCTGAAAATCCAGCACTTATCCGTGGTTTGTGCTGATCAATTCATAAATATTCCTTGAAGGAATGACTTATTTTTTTTTTTACATTGCACAATGAAGGCTTTCATTGAATCAACCCTGTTTTCAGAGTCTCTTTAGTATCCCTCTTTGATATTTAATGACACTAAAGTTTACACAGTTGTGATGATATAGCAACATATGAGTTTCTAATGGTAGGTCACTTTCTTTGACCTCCCGTATTTCTCTCACTGTGAGTCAAACACTCTGAATGAAAACATATCTGGCCATTCCTTCTGAAATGCAAAGCAAATAAATCAAACATGAATACATTTACCTTAGGCAGGGTTTTGGCTGGTTTACAGTGGAGTTCCCCCACAAAATCGACATTTGGTAAGGGTGGGTGAAGAAATTCAAAATCCCAGTACGTTTGAATGAGCCACACTTCAGCTTTCCCCATTGTCTCAAATAATGTACATTAATAAAATAAATATATACATATATTTTTATATATAAGCATAACAATTTTATATATTGCATATTACTTATATATAAGGAAAGCAAAATGTTCAGAGAATTAAGAGGAAATTACATATATTTTTTTCTTTTTCTTTTTTTTATTATACTTTAAGTTTTAGGGTACATGTGCACATTGTGCAGGTTAGTTACATATGTATACATGTGCCATGCTGGTGCACTGCACCCACTAACTCGTCATCTAGCATTAGGTATATCTCCCAATGCTATCCCTGCCCCCTGCCCCTACCCCACCACAGTCCCCAGAGTGTGATATTCCCCTTCCTGTGTCCATGTGATCTCATTGTTCAATTCCCACCTATGAGTGAGAATATGTGGTGTTTGGTTTTTTGTTCTTGCGATAGTTTACTGAGAATGATGATTTCCAATTTCATCCATGTCCCTACAAAGGACATGAACTCATCATTTTTTATGGCTGCATAGTATTCCATGGTATATATGTGCCACATTTTCTTAATCCAGTCTATCATTGTTGGACATTTGGGTTGGTTCCAAGTCTTTGCTATTGTGAATAATGTCACAATAAACATACGTGTGCATGTGTCTTTATAGCAGTATGATTTTTAGTCCTTTGGGTATATACCCAGTAATGGGATGGCTGGGTCAAATGGTATTTCTAGTTCTAGATCCCTGAGGAATTGCCACACTGACTTCCACAATGGTTGAACTAGTTTACAGTCCCACCAACAGTGTAAAAGTGTTCCTATTTCTCCACATCCTCTCCAGCACCTGTTTTTTCCTGACTTTTTAATGATTGCCATTCTAACTGGTGTGAGATGGTATCTCATTGTGGTTTTGATTTGCATTTCTCTGATGGCCAGTGATGATGAGCATTTTTTCATGTCTTTTTTGGCTGCATAAATGTCTTCTTTTGAGAAGTGTCTGTTCATGTCCTTTGCCCACTTTTTGATGGGGTTGTTTGTTTTTTTCTTGTAAATTTGTTTGAGTTCATTGTAGATTCTGGATATTAGCCCTTTGTCAGTTGAGTAGGTTGCAAAAATTTTCTCCCATTCTGTAGGTTGCCTGTTCACTCTGATGGTAGTTTCTTTTGCTGTGCAGAAGCTCTTTAGTTTAATTAGATCCCATTTGTCAATTTTGGCTTTTCTTGCCATTGCTTTTGGTGTTTTAGACATGAAGTCCTTGCCCATGCCTATGTCCTGAATGGTAATGCCTAGATTTTCTTCTAGGGTTTTTATGGTTTTAGGTCTAACGTTTAAGTCTTTAATCCATCTTGAATTGATTTTTGTATAAGGTGTAAGGAAGGGATCCAGTTTCAGCTTTCTACATATGGCTAGCCAGTTTTCCCAGCACCATTTATTAAATAGGGAATCCTTTCCCCATTGCTTGTTTTTCTCAGGTTTGTCAAAGATCAGATAGTTGTAGATATGCGGCGTTATTTCTGAGGGCTCTGTTGTGTTCCATTGATCTATATCTCTGTTTTGGTACCAGTACCATGCTGTTTTGGTTACTGTAGCCTTGTAGTATAGTTTGAAGTCAGGTAGCGTGATGCCTCCAGCTTTGTTCTTTTGGCTTAGGATTGACTTGGTGATGCGGGCTCTTTTTTGGTTCCATATGAACTTTAAAGTAGTTTTTTCCAATTCTGTGAAGAAAGGCATTGGTAGCTTGATGGGGATGGCATTGCATCTGTAAATTACCTTGGGCAGTATGGCCATTTTCACGATATCGATTCTTCCTACCCATGAGCAGGGAATGTTCTTCCATTTGTTTGTATCCTCTTTTATTTCCTTGAGCAGTGGTTTGCAGTTCTCCTTGAAGAGGTCCTTCATATCCCTTGTAATTTGGATTCCTAGGTATTTAATTCTCTTTGAAGCAATTGTGAATGGGAGTTCACTCATGATTTGGCTCTCTGTTTGTCTGTTGTTGGTGTATAAGAATGCTTGTGATTTTGGTACATTGATTTTGTATCCTGAGACTTTGCTAAAGTTGCTTATCAGCTTAAGGAGATTTTGGGCTGAGACAATGGGGTTTTCTAGATATACAATCATGTCTTCTGCAAACAGGGACAATTTGACTTCCTCTTTTCCTAATTGAATACCCTTTATTTCCTTCTCCTGCCTCATTGCCCTGGCCAGAACTTCCAACACTATGTTGAATAGGAGTGGTGAGAGAGGGCATCCCTGTCTTGTGCCAGTTTTCAAAGGGAATGCTTCCAGTTTTTGCCCATTCAGTATGATATTGGCTGTGGGTTTGTCATAGATAGCTCTTATTATTTTGAAATACGTCCCATCAATACCTAATTTATTGAGAGTTTTTAGCATGAAGGGTTGTTGAATTTTGTCAAAGGCTTTTTCTGCATCTATTGAGATAATCATGTGGTTTTTGTCTTTGGCTCTGTTTATATGCTGGATTACATTTATTGATTTGTGTATATTGAACCAGCCTTGCATCCCAGGGATGAAGCCCACTTGATCATGGTGGATACGCTTTTTGATGTGCTGCTGGATTCGATTTGGCAGTATTTTATTGAGGATTTTTGCATCAATGTTCATCAAGGATATTGGTCTAAAATTCTCTTTTTTGGTTGTGTCTCTGCCTGGCTTTGGTATTAGAATGATGCTGGCCTCATAAAATGAGTTAGGGAGGATTCCCTCTTTTTCTATTGATTGGAATAGTTTCAGAAGGAATGGTACCAGTTCCTCCTTGTACCTCTGGTAGAATTCGGCTGTGAATCCATCTGGTCCTGGACTCTTTTTTGTTGGTAAGCTATTGATTATTGCCATAATTTCAGATCCTGTTATTGGTCTATTCAGAGATTCACCTTCTTCCTGGTTTAGTCTTGGGAGAGTGTATGTGTCGAGGAATTTATCCATTTCTTCTAGATTTTCTAGTTTATTTGCGTAGAGGTGTTTGTAGTATTCTCTGATGGTAGTTTGTATTTCTGTGGGATCAGTGGTGATATCCCCTTTATCATTTTTTATTGCGTCTATTTGATTCTTCTCTCTTTTTTTCTTTATTAGTCTTGCTAGCGGTCTATCAATTTTGTTGATCCTTTCAAAAAACCAGCTCCTGGATTCATTAATTTTTTGAAGGGTTTTTTGTGTCTCTATTTCCTTCAGTTCTGCTCTGATTTTAGTTATTTCTTGCCTTCTGCTAGCTTTTGAATGTGTTTGCTCTTGCTTTTCTAGTTATTTTAATTGTGATGTTAGGGTGTCAATTTTGGATCTTTCCTGCTTTCTCTTGTGGGCATTTAGTGCTATAAATTTCCCTCTACACACTGCTTTAAATGCGTCCCAGAGATTCTGGTATGTTGTGTCTTTGTTCTCATTGGTTTCAAAGAACATCTTTATTTCTGCCTTCATTTTGTTATGTACCCAGTAGTCATTCAGGAGCAGGTTGTTCAGTTTCCATGTAGTTGAGCGGTTTTGAGTGAGATTCTTAATCCTGAGTTCTACTTTGATTGTACTGTGGTCTGAGAGATAGTTTGTTGTAATTTCTGTTCTTTTACATTTGCTGAGGAGAGCTTTACTTCCAAGTACGTGGTCAATTTTGGAATAGGTGTGGTGTGGTGCTGAAAAAAATGTATATTCTGTTGATTTGGGGTGGAGAGTTTTGTAGATGTCTATTAGGTCCGCTTGGTGCAGAGCTGAGTTCAATTCCTGGGTATCCTTGTTGACTTTCTCTCTCGTTGATCTGTCTAATGTTGACAGTGGGGTGTTAAAGTCTCCCATTATTAATGTGTGGGAGTCTAAGTCTCTTTGTAGGTCACTTAGGACTTGCTTTATGAATCTGGGTGCTCCTGTATTGGGTGCATGTATATTTAGGATAGTTAGCTCTTCTTGTTGAATTGATCCCTTTACCATTATGTAATGACCTTCTTTGTCTCTTTTGATCTTTGTTGGTTTAAAGTCTGTTTTATCAGAGACTAGGATTGCAACCCCTGCCTTTTTTTGTTTTCCATTTGCTTGGTAGATCTTCCTCCATCCTTTTATTTTGAGCCTATGTGTGTCTCTGCACGTGGGATGGGTTTCCTGAATACAGCACACTGATGGGTCTTGACTTTTTATCCAATTTGCCAGTCTGTGTCTTTTAATTGGAGCATTTAGTCCATTTACATTTAAAGTTAATATTGTTATGTGTGAATTTGATCCTGTCATTATGATGTTAGCTGGTTATTTTGCTAGTTAGTTGATGCAGTTTCTTCCTAGTCTCAATGGTCTTTACATTTTGGCATGATTTTGCAGCAGCTGGTACCGGTTGTTCCTTTCCATGTTTAGCATTTCCTTCAGGAGCTCTTTTAGGGCAGGACTGGTGGTGACAAAATCTTTCAGCATTTGCTTGTCTGTAAAGTATTTTATTTCTCCTTCACTTATGAAACTTAGTTTGGCTGGATATGAAATTCTGGGTTGAAAATTCTTTTCTTTAAGAATGTTGAGTATTGGCCCCCACTCTCTTCTGGCTTGTAGGGTTTCTGCCGAGAGATCCACTGTTAGTCTGATGGGCTTCCCTTTGAGGGTAAGCCCACCCTTCTCTCTGTCTGCCCTTAACATTTTTTTCTTCATTTCAACTTTGGTGAATCTGACAATTATGTGTCTTGGAGTTGCTCTTCTCGAGGAGTATCTTTGTGGCGTTCTTTGTATTTCCTGAATCTGAATGTTGGCCTGCCTTGCTAGATTGGGGAAGTTCTCCTGGATAATACCCTGCAGAGTGTTTTCCAACTTGGTTCCATTCTCCCCATCACTTTCAGGTACACCAATCAGACGTAGATTTGGTCTTTTCACATAGTCCCATATTTCTTGGAGGCTTTGCTCATTTCTTTTTATTCTTTTTTCTCTAAACTTCCCTTCTCGCTTCATTTCATTCATTTCATCTTCCATTGCTGATACCCTTTCTTCCAGTTGATCGCATCGGCTCCTGAGGCTTCTGCATTCTTCACGTAGTTCTCGAGCCTTGGTTTTCAGCTCCATCAGCTCCTTTAAGCACTTCTCTGTGTTGGTTATTCTAGTTATACATTCTTCTAAATTTTTTTCAAAGTTTTCAACTTATTTGCCTTTGGTTTGAATGTCCTCCCGTACCTCAGAGTAATTTGATCGTCTGAAGCCTTCTTCTCTCAGCTCGTCAAAGTCATTCTCCATCCAGCTTTGTTCCGTTGCTGGTGAGGAACTATGTTCCTTTGGAGGAGGAGAGGCGCTCTGCTTTTTAGAGTTTCCAGTTTTTCTGTTCTGTTTTTTCCCCATCTTTGTGGTTTTATCTACTTTTGGTCTTTGATGATGGTGATGTACAGATGGGTTTTTGGTGTGGATGTCCTTTCTGTTTGTTAGTTTTCCTTCTAACAGACAGGACCCTCAGCTGCAGGTCTGTTGGAATACCCCACCGTGTGAGGTGTCAGTGTGCCCCTGCTGCGGGGTGCCTCTCAGTTAGGCTGCTTGGGGGTCAGGGGTCAGGGACCCACTTGAGGAGGCAGTCTGCCCGTTCTCAGATCTCCAGCTGCGTGCTGGGAGAACCACTGCTCTCTTCAAAGCTGTCAGACAGGGACATTTAAGTCTGCAGAGGTTACTGCTGTCTTTTTGTCTGTGCCCTGCCCCCAGAGGTGGAGCCTACAGAGGCAGGCAGGCCTCCTTGAGCTGTGGTGGGCTCCACCCAGTTCGAGCTTCCCTGTTGCTTTGTTTACCTAAGCAAGCCTGGGCAATGGCGGGCGCCCCTCCCCCAGCCTCACTGCCACCTTGCAGTTTGATCTCAGACTGCTGTGCTAGCAATCAGCGAGACTCCATGGGCGTAGGACCCTCCGATCCAGGTGCGGGATATAATCTCGTGGTGCACCATTTTTTAAGCCCGTCGGAAAAGCCCAGTATTTGGGTGGGAGTGACCCGATTTTCCAGGTACGTCCCTCACCCCTTTCTTTGACTCGGAAAGGGAACTCCCTGACCCCTTGTGCTTCCCAAGTGAGGCATTGCCTCGCCCTGCTTTGGCTCACGCATGGTACGCGCACCCACTGACCTGTGCCCACTGTCTGGCACTCCCTAGTGAGATGAACCCGGTACCTCAGATGGAAATGCAGAAATCACCTGTCTTCTGCGTCGCTCACACTGGGAGCTGTAGACCTGAGCTGTTCCTATTCGGCCATCTTCGGAAATTACATATTTAATGTAACATTAGTATATTCACAATCTCAAATAGTTATTAAAATAAGCCACTATGGACTTAAATATGCATTTGTTTCCTCTCTGAAACTGCAGTAGTAACTGATATACATTTAAACAGCTCTTTGAGCTCCAGGATGAATTCATCTTACTATACTCATAAAAACAGCTTTCTACGAAGTGCACAATCTCGTTTCCACAATTTATCAAGTCAGTCCCTTGATCCTTGGTTCTCCAAGTGAACTGTGAGTTTTCTGAGAGTATGCCTGAAATCCTTGAACATACTACTGCTTCTAGTTCACGTTAAGATTTTAACAATATTAGCTTTAAAATACATACATTAAAAATGATAGCTAGTATATTTTCAGAATTTATTGAAACAGAGATATGTGCTCCCCCTTAACTTGGCCCATATTTTCCCTAATAAAGAGATGTAGTTAATAAAGTATAGATTAAAAGCTTGAATGTTCACTTTCAACAAGATTTTAATTCACAAAGCAAATAATTTCTCAGTTGTTAGTGAATGATATACAAACACTAGAAACCTCAAATTTTAGGTTTCTGTTTCTGAAATAGAGCCAGTATACCTCTCAACTGTGAAGGAATCCTTCTGTTTATAGAGAAAAATATTTTAATACCTAAATAAGAAAACTGAGGTACACAAAGAGAAACAAGTTTCTCAATGCTGCATTGATAGTTATGCTAGAAATATGTGTAGCTCCTCATCTAAATGTCTGCCTTCATCAAGTTGTTTATTGATATATGTTTTGCCTTTTTTAAAGATGAAAAAAGTATAGTAAAATACGTATATAGTTGCTTAAAGAAATCATAAGTGCTTTACTTTGTAGTTTTTTTTTTTTTAATTCCTGTAGTGTCCTATAGGAGTGATGACCAAAGGGTTCTAGCTGAGCCTATAATATCAACATTTCTATAATATTTGTGAGATTGATAGATCATCTTACATTTGGCATTCATCATTTCATTTAAACAACACTATCCTCTTACATTATATTTATATACGCTCACCTTCAAAGGCAAAAGGAAAGTTAGGACTTATTAATCATTGATTAGAAACATGACTTACCTAGAACTTCACTGTAAAACTTCTCCCACTTCTCGTATCAAACATTTGAAACCAAAAGTCAAAATAAAGCACATGTATTAGATTTTTAATCCTCTCCACGAATGTCATTTTACCACTTAATTCAGACAGAACAGCAGGTATGCGGGAAATGGGGAATGGAAGTCCTCCATTATACTTCTCAAGTGTGTAGCCAGGAGACTGTCAACAAAGGACATGTATTTAACATGCCTTTAACATGCTCAGCTAGCAGTTCACCACAGGCACCAAGGGCATCTGCAAGAACGACATCAAACTTTGACTCTTGTAGTTTTGTCGTAATTTTCTTGTTCAAAACTACATCTTTACAGAGATTATTAACACAGTCTGTAGATTCCCAAAAGAGTTCTTGTGCTTGTGAAAAATATGACCAAAATGCATCTTTTGGAAGATCGTATATCCATCTATTGATCAGTTTCACAACAAGACCCTCAAAATTATTTTTAATTAGAGATGTTGGATAAACTTCAAATTTAATAGCAGATGATTTACTAGGGTCAATAATAATGGAAGCCGAAGATGTCAACACAGTCATCTTGTGGCCTCTCCAAACAAGTTCATCCAGGATTGTCTTTATATTCATCCAATGGCTGTATTCTGTGGGCCACAGCAGCACCTTTCCACAACTCCCAGAGCTAAAGTAACAACTGAGTTGTATCAGGAGAATATTTGACATCGATTTCAATGTCCTCCTGGTGCAATGCAATGTTTCTTTTCAAATTGCTGTTTCTTTCTGTCTTTCTCATACTTACATCTGAGCATAAATCAATCAAGTGAAAGTATAACTGCTACAATTCAAAGTAGCAGTTACCATATAATTTCTAAATTATCATAGGAATTGTCTGTTACCATACAATTTCTAAATTACCATAGGAATTTTCAGATTGTTTTTCACAGTGGTTGCTTCCATTTCCATTCTCACCAGCAATGTATAAGAATTTTAATTTCTTCCCAACATTGCCAACACTTGGGATTACATTTCGTTTGATTATAGCCAGTGTGAATGAAGTGATATCTCATTATGCTTTACCTTTCCTTGATATGAAATCATGTTGAGAATGTTTTGCCTAGTTTTGATTGAATTATTTGTCTTCTTATGGACTTGTGTTTTTAATATTTTTGATGTAAGAACCTTATCACATGTATGATTTCCTTGTATTTTTTTATTCTTTGGGCTGTCCTTTTACTTTCTTAATGGTGTTAATTGAAGCACAAAAGTATTGATTTTAATGAAGTCCAACTAATCAATTTTAATTTGGTTGCTTTTATTTTTGATTTTATATCTCACAAACCATTTCCAAGTTATGAAAATTAGTACCTGTTATTTATTATTAGAGTTTTATAGTTCTAGTGCTTACATTTAAGTTTTTGATCACCTATGAATTAGCTTTTGTAAGTGATTTGAGGTAGAGGGTCCCAACTTAATTATTTTGTATACAGATAATCATTTTTCCCACTTATATTTGTTGAATAATCTATTCTTTCCCCTATTAAAACGTTTTGAAACTTTTGTCAAAAACTTTAAATGCATGGGCATATTTCTATGTTCTAAAATCATTCCATTGATCTACATGTCTATCTGTAGGCCTGTATCACACTCTCTTGATTATCATATATTTGTATTTGTCTTTAAAGGCAGGAAATGTAAGTTTTCCAGCTTTTTTTTATTTAAATTGTTTCAGTTTTTTTTTTAATTTTTTTCTTCTTGTTTTTTTTTTTTTTTTTTTAAGAGATAGAAGTCTTACTATATTGCCCAGGCTAGATTCAAATTTCTGGGCTCAAGCAATCCTCCCAACACAGCTTCTTGAGTAGCTGGAATTACAGGTGTGTTTCACTATACCTAGCTTCTTTTGGCTATTAGTATGTCTCTTGAATATGTACATAAATTTCAGGATCAGTTTGTCTGTTTATACAAAGAAGCAATCTGGGATTTTGATACGGATTGCATTGATTTGGTATATCAGTTTGGGGAGTAGAGTATGGTCATTATCACAATTTTAGGTCTTTCAATAAATGAAAATGAGATGCCTTTCTATTTATTTAGATGTTCTTATTTCCACAGTGTTTTGTAGATTTTGTTACAGTGGCTAGCTAGTCAGACACAAACAGGGCAGAAGAGGGCTCCCACACCCTACCAGGAAAGTCAGGTGACCATCAGTTAATGGCCAGGCAGTTGTCACACTGTTTAAAACAATAATTGGTTGCAGCCAGCCAGGGAAAGGCAGATTTCTTATAGATAGAAAAAATCAAATCTGGTAATCAGCAGCTTCCTGATAAGATCTCAGCAGTTGGGAGAGTGGGTTCACACACACACATTAAGAGGCCAAATGGTGGAGTACGACATTCCGGGGGCACCAGAAAAGGGAAGAATGCCTCAGGGGAGCATGCATATGACTCCAGTAAATATACTGTGCATGCTCATCTCCTAAGTGGTAGCAGGCCATCACACATGCCAGCAGGTCATTCTAAGGAAAGAATCAAGGAAAAGGGAAGCAGGACCCGGAAAGTATGCCAACATATAAAACCCTAAGTCAAAGGTCAAACACCACACTTTACCTTCAAAATGGCTACTTGTATCTATCCCAAGTGTACTTTCCTTTCTTTCCTGCTATAAAACTTTTTAATAAATTTTCACTTCTGTTCTGAAACTTGTGCTGGTCTCTTTTTCTGCCTTATGCCGCTCAGTCAAATTCATTCTTCTGAGGAGGCAAGAATTCAGGTTGCTGCAGAACCATAAATACTTGCTGCAGTAACCACCGCTGGTAATAATGTCACAGTAAGAGTTGTACAATTTTTTGATAAACTTATTGCTAAGAATTATATTTTTTCATGGTATTATAGGGGTGACTGTGTAATCTTTATTTTAGTTTAAATTTCCATTGCAATTGTGTAGATTTTTTGTTTGTTTATTTACCTTGTATCCCAAAATCTTGTTTTATTAGTTTACTTGAATATTTTTTAGTGGATTTGTAAAAATTTTCTATTATAAGATCATGATATATGCCAATAGAGACAGTTTAACTTCTTTCTTTCTAATGTGGATTCCTTTTATTTCATTTTCTTTCCTATTTGTTGGCTGAAAGTTCTACTGCAATATTGAGTGAAAGTGAGAAGAGTCAGTTTAGTGTGATGTTAGCTGTGTGTTTTTTTATAGACACTATTGATCAGTTTTAGAATGTTCCCCTTTACTTCTAGTTTAAGTGTTCTTATCATGAAGAATATTGAATTTCATTAAGTAAGTTTTTCTGCAGTTATCGAAATGATTATGCAGTTTTTTCCTTTATTCTAATGATATGATATATTAGTTGGCTTTTTCAGATGTTAACATAACTTTGCATTCCTGGAATAAAGTTCATTTGTTTATGGCATTTAAGCTTTTCATGTGTTCCTGAATTTTGTTTGCTAGTGTGAAAAGAAAGTAAAAATCTTGAGTCATTAAACTCACTATGTCAAAGAGAAAAGTTAATCTTGGGAAATGAAGCATGTAAAATTGGCTCCCATTTTGTTCCTAAACAGATAGCTGCAAAGATAGAAGGCCACATACCTCCCCAGATGGCCTCCTTCCCAATTTACTCACAAGGAAATTCACAAGGCCCTAAAACAGAGTTCTCTTGAATTTTACCCTGACAATATAAATTAACATTTTATATTCACAGGTATATAAAAGACAGGACTTGAAGCCATTGTGTGGTTTTTAGCATAAGGGCTTACTGAATGGTGGTTATGTTTTCTCCTCTTTTATTTTTTGGAGAATTAGTTATTTTAAATACTTGATAGAAGTATAGAGCTTTTATATTTTCTACTCTACCATTTCCAGTTATTACCCAGCTATGTTTTTCTAAATAATATTTCATTGGAAGCCGTCAGACACTGGGCTTTTCTTTTATGGGAGACTTTTTCTTACAGCTTCAATCTTGTTACTTGTTATTAGTTTGTTCAGGTTTTTTATTTCTTCATGGGTCTATTTTGGCCGGTTGTATGTGTCCAGGAATTTATTAATATCATCTAGGTTTTCCAAATTGTTGGTATATAGTTGTTCATAATATTCTGTAATAATTTGTGTTTCTGTAATCTCAGTTTTTATGTCTCCTCTTTCACTTCTGATTTTATTTAGTGGGTCTGTTCTCACTTTTTCTTACTTAGTCTAGCTAACAGTTTGTTGATTTTGTTTACTTTTACAGAGTTTACCTTATTGACTATGGCTGCTTTTGTACTACAATGGAAGAGTTGAGTAGGCACAGGAGTCCAAAGGGTTTGCAAATTCCAAAAATGTTTACCATCTGAGGCTTTATAGAACCTATTCTGATCTCTGCTCTACAGTAAGCAGGTTCGTTTTTTCCTTTAACCTTTCTATATATTCAATGCAATTTTACTAAAACAGTATAGATTTTTAGTGAGTGAGCCAGATGGTTTACGTTTAATTTTGTTAATAATTAGTTAATAAATTAATCTATTTGTATTTCCATTTTATTTAGAATAGGTGAATTTGTTTATTATGTGGAATGGTGCTTCTGTTTTGCCTTTTTTTTTTGAGAAATCTCTAAACTGCTTTCCACAGTAGTTCAACTAATTTGCATTCCACCAACAGTGTATAAGCATTTCCTTTTCTCTGGATCCTCACCAGCATATGGTTTTTTTTTTTTTTTTTTACTTTTTAATAATAGCTGTTATGACTAGTGCGAGATGGTCTCATTGTGATTTTGATTTGCATTTCTATGATGATTAGTGATGTTGAGCATTTTTGTCATATGTTTGTTGGTTCCTTGTATGTCATCCTTTGAGAAGTACCTGTTCACATCTTTTGCCCAGTTTTTCATAGGGTTACTTGATTTTTGCTTGTTGAATTATTCAAGTTTCTTATAGATTCTGGATATTAGACCTTTAACAGATGTGTAGCTTGCTAATATATTCTTCCATTCAATAGGTTGTTTGTTTATTCTCTTGATAGTCTGCTGTGCAGAAGCTCTTCAGTTTACATCTCACTTGTGAATTTTGAGTTTTGTTGCAATTGCTATTGAGGACTTAGTTATAAATTCTTTCCCAAGGCTGATGTCTAGAATGGTATTTCCTAGATTTTCTTCAATTATTCTTATAGCTTTAGGTCTTATATTTAAACATTTAATCCATCATGGGTTAATTTTTGCATGGTGAAAAGTAGAGGTCCAGTTTTGTTCTTTTCCTTATGGCTAGCAAGCTATCCCACCATCGTTTATTGAATAGGGAGTCCTTTTCTCCTTTGCTTATTTTTGTTGACTTAGTGATGGATGACTATAGGTCTGTTGCTGTATTTCTGGGCTCTGTATTCTGTTTCATTGATTTATGTGTCTGTTTTTGTAACAGAACCATGCTGTTTTGGTATCTGCAGCCTTATAGTTTGAAGTTGGGTAATGTGATGCCTCTGGCTTTGTTCTCTTTGCCCAGGCATGCTTCAGCTATTTGGACTAACTTTTGGTTTTATGGAAATTTTTGAATATTTTTTTCTAATTCTGTGAATAATGACATTGGCATTTTAATAGGAATAGCATTTAATGTGTGGATGGCTTTGGTTAGGATGGTTATTTTAATGATACTGATTCTTCCAGCCTTGAGCATAAAATGTTCTACCATTTGTTTGAGTCATCTATGATTTATTTCAGCAGTGCTTTGTAGTTCTTGTAGAAATCTTTTGTCTCCTCGGTTAGATGTATTTTTAAGTATATTTTGTTTATGTGACTGGTGTAAATGTGATTTTGTTCTTGATTTGATTCTCAGCCTGAATTCTTATTGGTGTATAGAAATGGTATTGATTTTTGTACATTGATTTTGCATCTTGAAACCCTACTGAAGTCATTTTTCAGTTCTAGCAGGCTTTAGGCAGTCTTTAGGATTTTCTAGGTATAGAATCATATCATCAGGAAAGAGAGATACCTTCAATTCTTTTCCTGTTTGGATGCCTTTTATAGCTTTCTCTTGCCTAAGTGCTCAATTAGTACATTATTGAAATAGAAAGTGCTGTTATTTTAATCATTTATATTTGAAACATAAAATTTAAAAAATGTATTAGCCTATGTTAAGTCCAAATTCATTGCGGAAATGTACTCATCCACCTAATAATAATAATAGTTGTAGCAAATTGAATATTACTATATACAGCAATTACTTACAGCAACTCTTTTAGCCTCAGCAATGCTATTAAGTAGGTAGTGCCATTGCCTCATCTCCATTTCACTGAAGGAGAATGTGAGGCATAGACCTGATAAGTAATTTGCTTAACCATAAGTGATTCTGTAATGGTTTTGCAAAGATGATATAGGTTATCTGGATTCAGAGTGCAAGCTCTTACCCACCATCCTATGCTGACTACTCTTTCTGGGTTACAGGTAGTTACAAAATGTAACATAGAATCACATTTTTTTCGTACGTATATATTAATTATAATATTATTACAGGTGTATGATTCAAATATGTAAAAATATTTTTCTGGTTGTCTATCACTGCTTAACCAACTGCTCTCAAATGAAGGTGCTTAGAACAGCAACATTTTATCATCGCCTGTTTTAATTCTAGGTTGTTGGCCAGGCTCAATTAGGTGTTTATGGCACAGCATTTCTCAACTGGTTACTGTCCTAAGGTAGCTTAGGCTAATCATCTGAAGGTTAATCACTCACATATCTGGTAATTAGTATTAAAAGTCTCAAGCTACTGGAGTGCTGGACCAATTGTGACTTCTTAGGCATACATATGTATTTCTACACCAAATGGTATATTTCTCCTGGGGACTGTGGATATGGCACAGGGCTCCAAAGTGAGTGGAGAGACCGAGAGAAAGGAAAAAAAATGACAGAAACACAGAGAAAAGGACAGAAGGACAGACAGAGAAAATGTATTCACAACTTTTTTGAGCTTTGGAAGTTAAGCTCCTCACTTCCACTATATTCTCTTTTTTAAGACAGCCACAAAGTTTGCTAAATTTCACAGGAAGGGTATATGACTTGATTAGAGGATTGCCAATGCATTTGTAATCACATCCCAAAATTACTGCAAATATAACCTTAAAAATTAGAAGAAATCACTAAATTACTATAGAATTCATAAAATGTTGACATAAGACAGTAAAATTTAAAAAAATTTTGTATTTAAATTTTAACCATGATTAAAAATTTTAATTAACATTCTAATATATTTATTCATAAATATTTAAAATATCAAGTAGGTGTCCAAAAACAATCTGTAAATTTATCAGATAGAGAGTACCAGATTCCTGGTCAATTTAAGTTTTCTAAATGGCACTAATAGATTGATAATATTATATTAAAACCTAAGAACATGCTATCTCAAATCAATGTTTATTTCACTAATTAATTTTTAAAACTATATAATTAAATATAAAAACAAATTTGTGCAAGGTTAGTGAATGAAGTATGTAGAATCAAAATTAAAAGTAGAATCCTCTATGTTTATACAGATTTACAGATTCTTAATTTTATTTCAAAGAAGTATACTCATTTTTTTCTGGAACTTGTTTTTCATTTAGCAATGTGATGTGGAGAACATTCCCTGATATTGTCTGTAATATGCCTGTTCTCTGTAATTACTTCATACCTTCTACTTTTTGTGGGAGGTATGTATGTGCACTGACTGATAGCCATGTAAGTGATGGAGGGAACAACCTGTACATACACGCACTCAGGTGCAAGTGTATCTGGATAGCAGATGACTAGATGTAGAATTGCAGAGTCAAACTCTAAGTATAATTTTTTTTGTAAGGGTTATTTCACTTTATACTCTCTCACAAACTCTTTTCTCAGGTTCTTATGTTTGATCAATCTTCTGTGGGAAAATAATTCATTGACTTTTTATGGCTACATAGTAATCCATGGTGTATACATACTGCACTTTCCTTATTCAGTCTATCATTGATGGACATTTAGGTTGATTTCATGTCTTTGCTATTGTGAATAGTGTTGTAATCAACATATATGTGCATGTGTCTTTATAATAGAATGATTATATTCCTTTGGGTATATACCCAGTAATGGGATTGCTGGGTCAAATGGTATTTCTGTCATTAGGTCTTGGAACAGACAACCAAATGCTGCATGTTCTCACTTACAAGTGGAAGCTAAATAATGAGAACACCTGGAACACATGAACAACACACACTGGGGCCTATTGGAGGGTAGAAGGTGGGAGGGGGGAGAGGATCAAGAAAAATAAGTAGTGGGTTCTGGGCTTAATACCTGGGTGATGACACATATTTGCCTATGTAACAAACTTGCACATGTACCCCTGAACTTAAAAGTTAAAAAAGTTCATTGACTTAACATTATTGACTTAATAAATTATAATGTCCAATTTTCTAGTACAAGTAGCTTTTGTCATCTTTTTGATGTGATTGGCCATTTTTACTTCTGTGAATTGTCAATTCATATCCTTCATCTATTTTCATATTGGTCTGTTTGTCTTTTTGGTTGGTGATATATAATAGCTCTCATTGTACAAGGGATACCAGTCCTTTGTCTACGTATTGCAGGATAGGCTTGATGTAAATTACTTTAGGTTGGTATGCATGATGTAACAATATTATCTGCTATGACACTATATTTATTCAATATTTCTTAAAAATGTTTCATTTATCTGGATACATTTTATAAAAATTCTGCTGCAATCTCTTCCAATAATTCCCTTAGCATCAAAGTTTTAATTTATTTTTAGAATACATTCATGCCATAGGTCATAGAGTGGTTGTTGTGAGACTTGGATGATGGTCTTCTTGCCAATAAAGACACAAAGGTTTTTGTTAACCCATACTACTTTGATCACAAAGTGTTTCCTTGATGTGTAGCTTTTAGGAGGGCCTTGAGAATTCCTGAGATTTTATTATTTGCCATTTTTTTGGTAATTTTTGTGTTCTTGATATTATTACTGATTATGATTAGTTGCAATATGTTTACATTAAAAATGATTATCTTATTTTTAGTCATGCTAAATGACTTATGTTTTCATATTAGTGTTATGGGATGAATAGAGCTACAGGCTTCTGTGGAAAGAGAGAAACATGAGACATCCTTATATAAAATAGGGTTATATAGAATAATGGTCACTTTTAACTGTCTTCTACAAACACATTCAGTTTCACAAACATCTGTAAGGTAGCTCAATAATTCTGTGCCTTGTTTTGGAAGAAGTGAACACATATATACATGTACAGTTGTGATAATCAAAATCGGTAAGTCCCCTTAAAGTGCTGGTTCTATATTATCACAACCTACAATTCAGACATTTAATCCACTATTAACGTTTATAAATGACCGTGAAAGCAACCAGTTCACACTTTAGAAAAGTTCATGGGGAAAAGACAATTAGCTTGTGAACAAAGGTTTTCCCAAATAGTTAAATTTTGTAGTATTTGTCAGGTAGGAGTCATTCTATCTCTAATTTGTCATATATTGTGCTTTTGATCCTTGAACAACATGGAGGTTTGAACTGAACCTCTGATTATATGCAGATTTTCTTTTGCCTCTGCCAGCCTGAGATAACAAGGCCAACTTCTCTTTCTCTTCCTCCTTTGCCTACTTAATGTGAATACATGAAGAAGAAAACCTTTGTGATGATCCACTTCCACTTAATAAATAGTAAACATATTTAACCTTCCTTGTGATTTTCTTAATAACATTTTCTTTTGTCTATCTTACTTTATTGTAAAACTATGATATACAATACATATAGCATGCACAATATGTGTTAATTTACTGTTTATGTTATTGGTAAGGCTTCTGGCCAACAGTAAACTATCTGTAGTTAAATTTTGTGGAGTCAAAAGTTATAAATGGCTTTTTGATGGTGTGATAGGAGAGATTTGCCCGTAGGTCCACTGCTGTTCACAGGTCAACTTTACTGCAAAATGATTTAAGTTGGCAGAAGCCAAATGCACTGCCATATTTTTTTAGAAAAGAGGTGATGTTGTAGCCGGATGCACATTAAGGACTAGCAGCATTACTTGTCTCCAAACCACAGAGGAATATGGTGGTCCCAGATTTTCAGTTTTGTTCCCCAACTCCATGTATCTGAGTCCCATTATTTTGCTCTTCAGGCCCTAAATGTGGCATAAAGTGTAGTAGAGGCGGACAGTGTCGTCTCCTGTGCATCACTGTTGTTTTGCGATGAAATTCTCAATGTGGTCAGCTGCTGCTGCTGCAGAAGTCGATTTTCTTCAAACACTGCCAAGAACATCTGACTTACATAGCATATTTTGATTTGATATTTATTCAAACTGAGCCTTTTTTCTTTTTACAAGCTCTCTGAAACTGTTAAAAGTCTTCACTTTATAAACTATGTAGTTACCATGATCTTTATACTGTTGGTAAAGCAATGATTCACTTTCCCCGTGTCTTTCACCTCAGTTCTTTTCTTCCCTGTGTGAATTGTATCCATTTTGATCAAAGTGATTTTACTGAATACCAGGAGTTATCACCTCTCAAGTGTTGTTGGCAAGGAGACTGTTTTTGCCAGTTATCAGTGAGTTATTAAATTCCAAAGTCCCATTTTGAGGGTCTGCTTTTTAGTGCCACTTGCCCAAGCTGCCATAGTCTATTTTTCTCAGAAAGCAAAGCCTGAGATAAGAATTAGTGTGCAATAACTAATTTGAGAAATGTTCTTAGGGTACAGGAGTAGGGGACAGGAAAGGGTGAAACAAGAAGGGAGAAAAGTCAGTACAAGAATGTGTTACCAAACTAATCATCACCGTGACTGTTGGGACTTAAGCTCATGTGGACCCAGTAGGAAGCTGTGTGGATGTAAGGCGTGATCATTAACCATCACTTTCTATTGTTCACACTGCCAGGTTATGCACATGTGAGTGAGTGTTAGCTGAGTTTCTTTGACGGTTCCATGAAGAGATGTTAAAGAAGACTGGTGCAGAAAATGAGAGACCTGTCCTATCAGAAGATGACTTTACAAAGCTCCTTGACACAGCAAAGGCTAGAGAAAAAAAAATTAGCTGAAAAATATGGGGTGCAACCTAATTTGATCAAATGTATTAGAGCTTTCTTTTTTCTTTTGTTTCATTTTCACAGTATATTACATTTCATATGATTGAATACTGTAAATTTTCTCAGTTTTCTGATAAAGTTATGTCTGTGATACAGGAACTAGAAAGAAATTATTCAGGCAGATAGTGAGGGTGAGAGTCCTCGGTAAGGTTTTGTTTTAATAAAAAGCAGCTCCGCAAATCATTTCCTTGCTAACAAAAAGCAGCCTGAAAAATCAAGCTTCAAACATAGAGAAACAAGCTAAAAGCTTGCATAGGTAGGGAAAAGAAAGAGAGATCAGACTGTTACTGTGTCTATGTAGAAAGGGAAGACATAAGAGACTCCATTTTGAAAAAGACCTGTACTTTAAACAATTGCTTTGCTGAGATGTTGTTAATTTGTAGCTTTGCCCCAGCCACTTTGCCCCAGCCACTTTGACCCAACCTGGAGCTCACAAAAACATGTGTTGTATGAAATCAAGGTTTAAGGGATCTAGGACTGTGCAGGACATGCCTTTTTAACAAAATGTTTACAGGCAGTATACTTGGTAAAAGTCATCACCATTCTCTAGTCTCAATAAACCAGGGGCACAATGCACTGCGGAAAGCCGCAGGGACCTCTGCCCTTGAAAGCTGGGTACTGTCCAAGGTTTCTCTCCATGTGATAGTCTGAAATATGGCCTCATGGGATGAGAAAGACCTGGCTGTCCCCCAGCCTGACACCCGTAAAGGGTCTGTGCTGAGGTGGAGTAGTAGAAGAGGAAAGCCTCTTGCAGTCGAGATAGAGGAAGGCCACTATCTCCCGCCTGCCCCTGGGAACTGAATGTCTCAGTATAAAATCCGATTGTACATTTCTTCAATTCTGAGATGAGAGAAAAAAACCACCCTATGGTGGGAGGTGAGACATGTTTGCAGCAATGCTGCCTTGTTATTTTTTACTCCACTGAGATGTTTGGGTGGAGAGAAACATAAATCTGGCTTACGTGCACGTCCAGTCATAGTACCTTCCCTTGAACTTAATTATGACATAGATTCTATTGCTCACATGTTTGTTGCTGACCTTCTCCTTATTATCACCCTGCTCTCCTACTACATTCCTTCCTGCTGAAATAATGAAGATAATAATCAATAAAAACTGAGGGAACTCAGAGACCGGTGCTGGTGCAGATCCTTGGTATGCTGAGTGCTGGTCCACTGGGCCTACTGTTGTTTCTCTATATTTTGTCTCTGTGTCTCATTTCTCTTTCTCAGTCTCTCATCCCACCTGACTAGAAATACCCACAGGTGTGGAGGGTCAGGCCACCCCTTCACTTGCTAACAAAAAGCAGCCTGAAAAATCAAGCTTCAAACATAGATAAACAAGCTAAAAGCTTGCATAAGTAAATGCTGGCAACTGTGCCAATAATTCCTCAAGGATCTAGAACTAGAAATACCATTTGACACAGCAATCCCATTACTGGATATATACCCAAAGGATTCTAAATCATTCTACTATAAAGACACATGCACACATATGTTTATTGCAGCACTATTCACAATAGCAAAGACTTGGAGCCAACCCAAATGTCCATCAATGATAGACTGGATAAAGAAAACGTGGCACATATACACCATGGAATACTATGCATCCATAAAAAAGATGAGTTCATGTCCTTTGCAGGGACATGGATGAAGCTGGAAACCATCATTTTCAGCAAACTAACACAAGAACAGAAAACCAAACACCAATTGTTCTCACTCATAAGTGGGAGTTGAACAATGAGATCACATAGACACAGGGAGGGGAACATCACACACTGGGGCCCGTTGAGGTGTGGGGGACTAGGGGAGGGATAGCATCAGGAGAAATATCTAATGGAGGTGATGGGTTGATGGTTGCAGCAAACCACTGTGGCACATGTATGCCTATGTAACAAAACTGCATATTCTGCACATGTACCCCAGAACTTAAAGTATAATTAAAAAAAAAAAAAAGAAAGAAAAGGGATGGGATACCTTGAAGCCAGGTATATTCAACAGGGAGGTTCCCTCTTTCCTTTCCTTTGTCAACCACACGTGCAATAAAGAAGCAGGCAACATGGCACTGGCCAGGTAGAGAAAGCATATGCATAATAGAAGATTAGGGTGGGGCAGCAAGCTTCTTCTTACACTATGTAAATGGCACCCCTGGTTCCACCAATCCTTTGGGCCCTATATAAATCAGACACTGCTTCCTCAAGCTTGTCTATAAAACCCAGTGCATTTCGCCATGGAACTAGAAGATCTATTTGGGATCACCTTTCTGCAGGAAAGAGAGCTATTCTCTTTTCTCTTTCTTTCCCCTATTAAACCTCCATTCTTAAACTCACTTCTCGTGTGTCCGTGTTTTCAGTTTCCCTGGAGTGAGATGATGAGTCTTGGGTATTTACCCCAGACAATGATGCTGCTTAACCTGTTACTTTTATTTATTCTTACTTGAAAAATTTTTATTTATTTTTTATTTATTTTACTTAAATTCTGTGATACATGTACAGAACGTGCAGGTTTGTTACCTAGGTACACATGTGCCATTGTGGTTTGCTGCACCCATCGACCCATCATCTAGGTTTTAAGCCCTGCGTGCATTAGGTATTTGTTCTAATGCTCTCTGTCTCCTTGTCCCAGACCCCCTGACAGGCTCCAGTGTGTGATGTTCCCCTCTGTGTCTATGTGTTCTCATTGTTCAACTCCCATTTATAAGTGAGAACATGCAGCATTTGGTTTTCTGTTCCTTTGTTAGTTTGCTGAGAATGATGGTTTCTATCCACATCCCTGCAAAGGACATGAACTCATGCTTTTTTATGGCTGCATAGTATTCCATGGTGTATATGTACACATTTTCTTTATTCGGTCTATCATTGATAGGCATTTGGGTTGTTTCCAAGTCTTTGCTATTGTAAATAGTGGTGCAATAAACATACGTGTGCATGTCTCTTTATAGTAGAATGATTTGTAATCCTTTGGGTATATACCCAGTAATGGGATTGCTGGGTGAAATCGTATTTCTGCTTCTAGATCCTTGAGCAATTGCCACAATGTCTTCCACAATGGTTGAACTAATTTGCACTGCCATCAACAGTGTAAAAGTGTTCCTATTTCTCCAAATCCTCTCCAGCATCTGTTGTTTCTTGACTTTTTAATGATTGTCATTCTAATTGGCATGAGAAGGTATCTTATTGTGGATTTAATTTGTATTTCTCTAATGACCAGTGATGATGAGCTTTTTTTCATATGTTTGTTGGCCATGTAAATGTCTTCTTTTGAGAAGTGTCTGTTTATAGCCTTTGTGATGGTGTTGTTTGTTTTTGTCTTGTAAATTTGTTTAAGTTCCTTGTAGACTCTAGATATTAGACCGTTGTCAGAGGGATAGATTGCAAAAATGTTTGCCGATTCTGTAGGTTGCCTGTTCCCTCTGATGATAGTTTATTTTGCTGTGCAGAAGCTCTTTAGTTTAATTAGATCTCATTTGTCAATTTTGGCTTTTGCTGCAATTGCTTTTGGTGTTTTAGTCATGAAGTCTTTGCCCATGCCTATGTCTTGAATGGTATTGCCTAGGTTTTCTTCTAGTGTTCTTATGGTTTTGGGTTTTACATTTAAGTCTTTAATCCATCTTGAGTTAATTTTTATATAAGGTGTAAGAAAGGGGACCAGTTTTTGTTTTCTGCATATGGATAGCAAGTTTTCCCAGTACCATTTATTAAATAGGGAATCCTTTTCCCATTGCTTGTTTTTGTCAGGTTTGTCAAAGATCAGATGGTTGTAGATGTATGGTGTATGGTGTTATTTCTGAAGCCTCTGTTCTGTTCCATTGGTCTATATATCTGTCTTGGTACCAGTACCATGCTGTTTTGGTTACTGTAGCTTTGTAGTATAGTTTGAAGTCAGGTAGAGTGATGCCTCCAGTTTTTTTTTTTTTTTTTTTGCTTAGGGTTGTTTTGGCTATACAAGCTCTTTTTTGTTCCATATAAAATGCAAAGTAGTTTTTTCTAGTTCTGAGAAGAAAGTCAATGGTAGCTTGATTTGAATAGCATTGAATCTATAAATTACTCTAAGCACTGTGGCCATTTTCATGATATTGATTCTTCCTAGCCGTGAGTATGGAATGCTTTTTCATTTGTTTGTGTCCTCTCTTATTTCCTTGAGCAGTGGTTTGTAGTTCTCCTTGAAGAAATCCTTCATGACTGTTTTTAGGAGTATTCCTAGGTATTTTATTCTCTTTGTAGTGCTTGTGAATGGGAGTTCACTCATGATTTGACTGTCAGTTTGTCTATTATCAGTGTATAAGAATGCTTGTGATTTTTGCCCATTGATTTTGTATTCAGAGACTTTGCTGAAGTTGCTTATCAGCTTAAGGAGTTTTTGGGCTGAGATGATGGGGTTTTCCAAATATAGAATCATGTCATCTGCAAACAGAGACAACTTGACGTCCTCTTTTTCTATTTCAATACACTTTATTTCTTTCTCTTGCCTGATTGCCCTGGGCAGAACTTCCAATACTATGTTGAAAAGGAGTAGTGAGAGAGGGCATCCTTGTCTTGTGCCAGTTTTCAAAGGGAGTGCTTCCAGCTTTTTCCCATTCAGTATGATATGGGCTATGGATTTGTCATAAGTTGCTTTTATTATTTTGACATATGTTCCATCAATACCTAGTGAATTGAAAGTTTTTAGCATGAAGGCATGTTGAATTTTATCAAAGGCCTTTTCTGCATCTATTGAGATAATCATGTGGTATTTGTAATTCGTTCTGTTTATGTGATGGATTATGTTCATTGAGTTCTGTATGTTGAACCAGCCTTGCATCCTGGGGATGAAGCTGGCCTGATTGTGGTGGATAAGCTTTTTGATGTGTGGTTAGATTCAGTTTGCCAGTATTTTATTGAATATTTTTGCATCGATGTCCATCAGGGATATTGGCCTGAAATTTTCTTTTTTGTTGTGTCTCTGCCAGTCTTTGGTATCAGCATGATGCTGGCCTCATAAAGTGAGTTAGGGAGAATTCCCTCTCTTTCTGTTGTTTGGAATAGTTTCACAAGGAATGGTACCAGCTCCTCTTTGTACCTCTGGTAGAATTTGGCTGCAAATCTGTCTGGTCCTGGGCTTGTTTTAGTTGGTAGGCTATTAATTACTGCCTCAATTTCAGAACTTGTTATTGTTCTATTCAGGGATTTGACTTCTTCCTGGTTTAGACTGGTGAGGCTGTATGTATCCAGGAATTTATCCACTTCTAGGTTTTCTAGTTTATTTGTGTTGAGATGTTTTTATAGTATTTTCTGATGGTAGTTTGTATTTCTGTGAGATCAGTGGTGATATCCTATTTAACTTTTTTCATTGAGTCTATTTGATTATTCTCTCTTTTCCTTTTTATTAGCTTGGCTAGTGGTCTATTTTGTTAACCTTTTCTAAAAACCAGCTCCTGCATTCATTGACTTTTTTTGAAGGGTGTTTTATGTCTCCATCTCTTTCAGTTCAGCTCTGATCTTAGTTATTTCTTGTCTTCTGCTAGCTTTTGAATGTGTTTGCTCTTGCTTCTCCAGTTCTTTTAATTGGGATATTAGGGTGTCAATTTTGGATCTTTCCTGCTTTCTCTTGTGGGCATTTAGTGCTATAAATTTCCCTCTAAACACTGCTTTAGCTGTGTCTCAGAGATCCTAGTATGTTGTCTCTTTGTTCTCATTGGTTTCAACAAACTTTGTTATTTCTGCCTTAATTTTGTTATTTAACCCAGTAGTCATTCAGGAGCAGGTTATTCAGTTTCCATGTAGTTGAATGGTTTTGAGTGAATTTCTTAATCCTGAGTTCTAATTGTATTGCACTGTGGTCTGAGAGACTGTTTGTTATGATTTCCGTTCTTTTGCGTTTGCTGAGGAGTGTTTTACTCCCAGTTATGTGGTTGATTTTAGAGTAAGTGCTATGTGCTGTGAGAAGAATGTATATCTGTTGATTTGGGTTGGAGAGTTCTGTAGATGTCTATTAGGTCTACTTGGTCTAGAGATGAGTTCAAATCCTGAATAGGCTTGTTAAATTTCTGTCTCATTGATCTGTCTAATACTGATAGTGGAAAGTTAAAGTCTCCCACTATTATTATGTGGGACCTAAGTCTCTTTATAGGTCTCTAAGAACTTCTTTTATGAATCTGGGTGCTCCTGTATTGGGTGCATATATATTAGAATAGTTAGCTCTTCTTGTTTCATTGGTCCGTTTACCATTATGTAGTGGCCTTCTTTGTCTCTTTTGATCTTTGTTGTTTTAAAGTCTGTTTTATCAGAGACTAGGATTGCAACCCCTGCTGCTTTTTGCTTTCCATTTGCTTGGCAAATTTTCCTCCATCCCTTTATTTGTTTTGAGCCTACGTGTGTCTTTGCATGTGACATGGGTCTCCTTAATATAGGACACTGATGGATCCTGACTCTTTATCCAATTTTCCCATCTGTGTCTTTTAATTGGGGCATTTAGCCCATTTACATTTAAGGTTAATATTGTTATGTGTGAATTTGATCCTGTCATCATGATGCTAGCTGTTTATTTTTCACATTAGTTTATGCAGTTTCTTCATAGAGTCATTAGTCTTTATATTTTGGTGTGTTTTTGCAGTGGCTGGTACTGATTTTTCCTTTCCATATTTAAGTCTTCCTTCAGGAGCTCTGGTAAGGCAGGCCTGGTGGTGACAAAATCCTCAGCATTTGCTTGTCTGTAAAGATTTTATTTCTCCTTCACTTATGAAGCTTAGTTTGGCTGGATATGAAATTCCAGGTTAAAAATTCTTTTCTTTAAGAATGTTGAATATTGGCCCCCACTCTCTTCTGGTTTGTAGGGTTTCTGCCGAGAGATCCACTGTTAGTCTGATGGGCTTCCCTTTGTAGATAACCTGTCCGTTCTCTCTGGCTGCCCTACACATTTTTTCCTTAGTTTCAACCTTGGAGAATCTGATGATTATGTGTCTTGGGGTTCCTCTTCTCGAGGAGTATGTTAGCGTTGTTTTCTATATTTCCTGGATTTGAATGTTGGCCTGTCTTGCTAGGTTGGGGAAGTTCTCCTGGATAATATCCTGAAGAGTGTTTTCCAACTTGGTTCCATTTTCCCCATCACTTTTGGGTAAACCAATCACTGCTTATTTCATTAAGTTGACCTTCAGTCTCTGATATCCTTTCTTCTGCTTCATCAATTCAGCTATTGATACTTCTGTATGCTTCACGAAGTTCTTGTGCTGTGTTTTTTTTTTTTTTTTTATATCTCCATCAGGTCATTAATGTTCTTCTCTAAACTGGTTATTCTAGTTAGCAGCTCCTGTAACCTTTTATCAAGGTTCTTAGCTTCCATGCATTGGGTTAGAATATGAGTTCCCCTCTAGCTGAGAGGAGTTTGTTATTATCCATCTTCTGAAGCCTACTTCTGTTAACTCAGCAAACTCCTTCTCCATCCAGTTTTGTGCCCTTGCTGGAGAGGAGTTGCAATCATTTGGAGGAGAAGAGGCATTCTGGTTTTTGGATTTTTTTTTTTTTTTTTTTGCATTTTTACGCTAGTTTTCCTTATCTTCCTAGATGTATCTACTTTTGATCTTTGAGGCTGATGACCATTGGATGGGGTTTTAGTGTGGGGGTCTTTTATGTTGATGTTGATGTTATTACTTTCTGTTTGCTAGTTTTTCTTCCAACAGTCAGCTCCCTCTTCTGCAGGTCTCCTGCAGTTTGGTGGAGGTCCACTCCAGACCCTGTTTGCCTGGGTATCACCAGCAGAGGCTGTGGAACAGCAAAGATTGCTGCCTGCTCCTTCCTATGGAAGCCTTGCCCCAGAGGGGCACTGGCCTGATGCCAGCTGGAGCTCTCCTGTATGAGGTATCTGTCAACCCTTGCTGGGAGTTCTCTCCCAGTCAAGAGGCATGGGGTTCAGGGACCCACTTGAGGAGGCAGTCTGTCCCTTAGCAGAGCTCGAGGACTCTGCTGGGAGAATCCTCCTTGTCAGGATCCACTCTTCTGTTCAAAGCTGGCAGGCAAGAAGGTTTAAATCCACTGAAGCTTTGCCCACAGTTGCTCCTTCCCCCAGGTGCTCTGTCCCAGGGAGATGGGAGTTTTATCTATAAGTCCCTGACTGGTGCTGCTGCCTTTCTTTCAGAGATGCCCTGCCGAGTGGGGAGGAATTTAGAGGCGTAGTCTGGCCACAGCTGCTTTGCTGCGCTGTGGTGAATTCTGTCCAGTACAAATTTCCTGGCCTGCTTAGCACTGTCAGGGGAAAACTGCTTACTGAAACCTCAGTAATGGCCCCTCCCCCCAGTAAGCTCGGTTGTCCCAGGTTGACTTCAGATTGCTGTGCTGGCAGCGAAAATTTCAATCTAGTGGTTCCTAGCTTGCTGGGCTTCATGGGAGTGGGACCCACTAAGCGAGACCACTTGGCTCCCTGGCTTCAGTCCCCTTTGTAGGGGAGTGAATGGTTCTGTCTCACTTGGGCTCCAGGCACAAAACAAACAAACAAAACAACAACAACAGCAACAAAAAACTCCTGTAGCTAGCTTGGTGTCTGCCCAAACAGCTCCCCAGTTTGGCGCTTGCAACCCAGTGCTCTGGCGATGTCAGCACAGAAGGGAGTATCCTGCTCCGTGGATTGCAAAAACCATGGGGAAAGCATAATATCTGGGCTGGATAGCATAGTCCCTCATGGCTTCCCTTGGCTGTGGGAGGAAGATCCCTGGCAATGCAGAAACACCCTGCCTTCTGCATTGGTCTCACTGAGAGCTGCAGACAGGAGCTGTTCCTATTCAACCATCTTGCCAGATCTCCATCTTCTCAAAGTTTTACTGTTTCTAGTCTTATGTTGCCATCTTTCATCCATTTTGAGTTGATTTTTGTATATGATAAAAAATAAGGGTTCACTTTTTTCTTTTGGTTGTGGACATCCAATTTTCTCAGCACCATTTTTTGAAGAAACTCATCTTTCTTCATTGAGTATATTTGGGACTCTTATTGAAGATCAGTTAGCTGTATATATTCATGGATTTATTTCTAGGCTTTCTAGTTTGTTATGTAGATCTGTATCTGTTAATGTGGTATAATATACGTGTTAATTTTTGTATGTGAAACTATCTTTCATTCTAGGAATAAACTTGCCATGTCTTCTAGGAAAGAAGTGATGCTGAGTCTGAATACACAGTAAAAGCCAAGCAACACTACTGGTCTTGCAATCTCAAAAGGAAGAGTGAGACTTTTTACATAATTTAATTATTGAAGATTTCATTGGCAAAATTAAAAACAAAAATTCTGCTCAAAATGAAGCCAAAATATTCTGAGTATTTGCAAAACAATGTTGATACTATGAGTGGAGTTGTTAATGTTTTGTGTTCAAATACAATGTGTGAAACATAAGGAAGCTCAGTAACTTTTGTGTGGGGTAACTTTTGGATTAGAATAATAAATTTCAATATAAGCCCATAAGGTTTTATATTATTATTTTTCATAGCTTAAAAATCATTGACATAGAATAATTCCAACTAAAGTACATATTAAATTCCTGGAAAATAAATTTTGACTTAACAGGGTAAGTTGTGAAAAGACGTTTTGTCGCAGGAAAAAGGAAATCCTCCATTTAAAACCCTCCATGCTGGAATAAAGGAGGAGTCCCATCTTTTGGTCATTCCACTTCAGGCTTTTGATATAACTAATCCCTTTTCTTCTTCTTTCCTGTTTTGGCAAGCTTTCGGAAACAAAACAGGCAACATTTTGTGATCATAAATATCATAGTTGCCACGCAGGCCAGCAGGAATGCTATCACATCCAAAGAGTGGTACTGGATCCAGGTGAGGTTGTGGGCTGCGACCCGAAGGTGCTTGGCTCCTTTATGGCGCATGACAAACTCAATCCAGAAGACTGCTCGATCCAGGGGCTTCACCGGTTGATCATGATGAATTCTTGATAATTTCATGATATTCTCTTTATAGCTGAAGGATAAATATAAAGATATCAACATTAAAAGTAAATTTATTGCTTAAGCATATCAAGTCTATGGATGGTCTTTGAAAAGCGCCACACAAGTGATTCAAAGTAAGTGTCATTGAATTGACATAAAATATTAATGTTTTAATGTATGTCATTACAGAAAGTTTGGTTTTTAAATTGGAGTTTTATCACTGACAAATACCTTTAAAAATGAAAAATGGAATTTTCGGTGGGAAAGTTAATGTTTTTCTAGAGCAGAAAATATTGTGAGCCATTCTAAGTGCTATAAGTAAGATAGTGGAAATAGAATCTGGGAATGATCATTTTGATATTTTTAGTTTTTTTTTTTTTTGAGACAGGCTTTTGCTCCATTACACAGGCTGAGTGCAGTCACATGATCATGGCTCAGTGCAGCCTTTCCGTTTCGGTCTCAGGTAATCCTCCACCTCAGCCTCATGAGAAGCTGGGGCTACAGCTGCGCACCACCATGCCTGGCTATATTTTTTATTTTTTACATTTTTAGATATGAGGTCTTGCTGTAGTGCCCATACTCATCTGGAACTCCTGTGGTCTAATCATTCTGCCTCTGTCTCCCAAAGTGTTGGCCCTACAGACATGAACCACTGTGCCCAGCCCATTTTGACATATTTAAAGAAGAATTGTGTCACAACTGGTGAAATGTCTCCTAACTAGTTTCTCAGCTTCTACTCTAATCTTCTGTCTTCTACCGTATTTTCCTACTAGTAGCCAGAACATTTTCTAAATTAATGTCAAATTATGACAGTTGCCTGTCAAGATTTCCATCTGGTTTCTTGTTACATTAAGAATAAAATCCAAATCTGTCTGTGGTCTAGAGAACGCTACACAGACACCTACTTGTCCTAACCCTTTCCCCCTGTACACTTTCTTCTAGAGACAATGGCCTTCTGTTGTTCTTTAAACTCCTGAAGGTGTTCTCACCTTAGCCCGTTTACACCTTTTGTTCCCCGTGTCTCTCTCATTGAGCATTCTTTCTTGCAACTACTTGAGGTTTGCTTCTATTTCTTTTTGAGGCTTCCCCTTAAATGATACCTCTTAGAGAGTGTTTTCCTGGCCACACTATAGGCACCCATAGGATTTCTCTACTGCTTCGTTCTTATTTTGCTATTTGATTTCTGGAACTTTAAAATATGTTATATATCTTCCACAATAAAAGTTTAAGTATGAAATACATAGGATAAATGTATATACGCTATGTGACTATCTCAAAATTTTAAGATTATCTTAAACATTATCCAAAAGTGAAAACACCAATTTATCACAAACTGCATAGAAGAACTCTTTCCTCCTGGGCCATTTTAGTCACTACTTTTATCCTCAAAGTAAGTATTAACCTGAATTCTAATATCATAGATTATGTTTATATAATTGAATTAAATAATACTTATTCATTTCTGTTTTTGTTTAGCAGTTGTTTAATTGCACTGGTGTAGAGTATTCAGTTGATTGACAAAGACCACAGATCTCTTCATTTATGATTAATGGATATTTGTGTTGTTAACATTTTTTGATCTTACTAATAATTATGGTATTAAGATATTTATATATTTTATTAGATTTACATACTTATTCATTTTTGTTGGATGTATACTTGGAAGAATAGTTGATGAGAGAAAGGCATATTTATAATTAGAATTTTTTGACTGAATTTTTTAAAAAATATTTTTTATTTTAAAGAATCAGAGATTGTTTTTAGTTATCATTTTCTGGATGATTTATAATTTGATTCTAGTATGACTAGAACATACTATTTTTATGAATTTGAATCTTATACAATTTACTTAGCATTTTTTTATGGCCCAGCATATGGTCAATTCCAGTAACTATTTCATACATATAATCTTTTTTTTTTTTTTTTTTTGAGACAGAGTCTCTCTCTGTCACCCAGGCTTGAGTATGACGGAGCGATCTTGGCTGACTGCAACTTACGTCTCCTGGGTTCAAGTGATTCTCATGCCTCAACCTCCCAAGTGTCTGGGACTACAGGTGCTCATCCCCCACATCTGGCTAAGTTTTGTATTACTAGTGGACACAGGATTTCACCATGTTGGCCAGGCTGGTCTCGAACTCCTGACCAAATGTGATCCTCCCACCTTGGCCTCCCAAAGTGTTGGAATTACAGGTGTGAGCCACCACACCCAGTCTCCATAAACTCTTTTAAAAATGTTTATTTTCTGTCTACACACACACAACCAGAGATATATGTATGGATACATATATACAGATATATGTGCAATATATATACACACACACACATATAACACATAGGTTACATTTAATTGTGTACTTCAAATGTTTTATCTCCTTAAATAAAAGTTTTCAAAGATCATTATTTTGTCTACTTTGGTCTGTTTAAATTTAATGCGAGTACTGGTAGGTTCACTTTTTTGTTGTGATCTTTGAGATGGAGTCTCGCTCTGTCACCAGGCTGGAGTGCAGTGGCACTATCTCAGCTCACTGAAACCTCCGTCTCCCAGGTTCAAGTGATTCTCCTGCCTCAAACTCCTGAGGAGCTGGGACTACAGGTGCACACCACCATGCCTAGCTAATTTTTGTATTTTTAGTAGAGACAGGGTTTCACTATGTTGGCCAGGAGTATGGTCTCGATCTCTTGACCTCGTGATCTGCCCTCCTCAGCCACCCAAAGTGCTGGGATTACAGGCTTGAGCCACCACATCTGGTCGGTTCACATTTTTTAAAAACAGTTTTATTTTAAGTTCCAGGATACATACGCAGAATGTGTGGGTTTGTTACATAGGTATATGTGTGCCATGGTGGTTTGCAGCACCTATCAATCTGTCATCTAGATTTTAAGTCCCTCATGTATTAGCTATTTGTCCTGATACTCTCACTCCCATTCCATGCCCCGAATGGCCCCGGTGTGTTTTGCTCCCCTCCCTGAGTCCATGTATTCTCATTTTTCGACTCCCTCTTATGAGTGAGAACATGTGGTGTTTGGTTTTCTGTTCCTGTGTTAGTTTGCTGAGGATAATGGCTTTGAGTTTCATCCATGTCCCTGCAACAGACATAATCTCATTCCTTTTTATGGCACATAGTATGCCGCCATACTGTACATGCATCATATTTTCTTTATCCAGTCTATCATTGATGAGTATTTGTGTTGGTTCCATATCTTTGATATTGTAGATAGTGCTGCAATAGACATACATGTGCATGTGTCTTTACAGTAGAATGATTTATATGCCTTTGGGTATATATCAAGTAATGAGATTGCTAGGTCAAATGGTGTTTCTGGTTCTAGATCTTTGAGGAATCACCACATTGTTTTCCATGATGGTTGAACTAACTTACATTCCCACCAAAAATGTAAAAGTTTTCCTATATCTCCCCAGTTTCACCAGCATCTGTTGTTTTTTGACTTTTTAATCATCTCCATTCTGACTGGCATGAGATTGTATCTCATTGTGGTTTTGATTTGCATTTCTCTAATGATCAGTGATATTGAGCTTTTCTCATAAGTGTGTTGGCTGCATAAATGTATTTTTTTGAGAAGTGTCTGTTTATATCCTTTGCCCACTTTTTGGTGGTGGTGTTTTTTTTCTTGTAAATTTGTTTAAGTTACTTGTAGATTCTGGATATTGGACCTTTGTCAGAGGGATAGATTGCAAAAATGTTCCCTCATTCTGTAGGTTGCCTGTGCCCTCTGATGATGGTTTATTTTGCTGTGCAGAAGCTCTTTAGTTTAATTTGATCCCATTTGTCAACTTTGGCTTTTATTGTAATTGCTTTTGGTGTTTGTGTCATGAAATTTTTGCCCACGCCTATGTCCTGAATGATGTTGCTTAGGTTTTCTTCCAGGGTTTTTATGGTTTTGGGTTTTACATTTAAGTCTTTAATCCATCTTGAGTTAATTTTTGTATAAGGTGTAAGGCAGGGGTATAGTTTCTGTTTTTTGCATATGGCCAGCCAGTTTCCCCAGCACCATTTATTAAATAGGGAATCCTTTCCCATTGCTTGTTTTTGTCAGTTTTGTCGAAGATCAGATGGCTGTAGATGTGTGGTGTTATTTCTGAGGCCTCTGTTCTGTTCCATTGGTCTATATGTCTGCTTTTGTTCCAGTACTATGCTGGTTTGGTTACTGTAAGGTGTAAGGAAGGGATCCAGTTGCAGTTTTCTCCATATGGCTAACCAGTTTTTCCAAAACACCATTTATTAAATAGGGAATCCTTCCCCTAATTGCTTGTTTTTGTCAGGTTTGTCAAAGATCAGATGGTTGTAGATGTGTAATGTTATTTCTGAGGCGTATGTTCTGTTCCATTGGTCAATACATCTTTTTGGTACCAGTACCATTCTGTTTTGGTTATGTAGCCTAATAGTATAGTTTGACATCAGGTAGCGTGATGCCTCCAGCTTTGTTCTTTTTGCTTAGGGTTGTCTTGGCTATATGGGCTCTTTTTTGGTTCCATATTAAATTTAAAGTAGTTTTTTTCTAGCTCTGTGAGGAATGTCAATGGTAGTTTGATGGGAATAGCTTTGAATATATAAATTACTGTGGGAAGAAGCCAAGATGGCCGAATAAGAACAGCTCCAGTCTACAGCTCCCAGTGTGAATGACACAGATGAGGAATGATTTCTGCATTTCCAACTGAGGTACTGGGTTCATCTCCCAGGGGACTGTCAGACAGTGGGTGCAGGACAGTGGGTGCAGCGCACCACGTGTGAGCCAAAGCATGGCGAGGCATTGCCTCATCAGGGAAGCACAAGGGGTCTGTGAATTCCCTTCCCTAGCCAAGGATAGGGGTAACAGATGGCACCTGGAAAATTGGGTTACTCCCACCCTAATACTGCGCTTTTCCAAAAGGTTTTAGCAAACGGCACACCAGGAGATTATATCGCGCACCTGGCTCAGAGGGTCCTACGCCCACGGAGCCTCGCTCATTGCTAGCACAGCAGTCTGAGATCGAACTGCAAGGCAGCAGTGAGACTGGGGGAGGGGCGCCTGCCATTCCCATGGATTGAATAGGTAAACAAAGCGGCCCAGAAGCTTGAACTGGGTGGAGCCCACCGCAGCTCAAGGACGCCTGCCTGCCTCTGTAGATCCACCTCTGGGGGCAGGGCATAACCAAACAAAAGGCAGCAGAAACCTCTGCAGTCTTAAATGTCCCTGTCTGACAGCTTTGAAAAGAGTAGTGGTTCTCCCAGCACGCAGCTTGAGATCTGAGAATGGACAGACTGCTACTCAAGTGGGTCCTGATCCCCGAGTAGCCTGACTGGGAGGCACCCCCCAGTAGGGGCAGACTGACACCTCACACAGCCGGGTACTCCTCTGAGAAAACTTCCAGAGGAACAATCAGACAGCAACATTTGCTGTTCACTAATATCCACTGTTCTGCAGTGTCCGCTGCTGATACCCAGGCAAACAGGATCTGCAGTGGACCTCCAGCAAACTCGAACAGACCTGCAGCTGAGGGTCCTGACTGTTAGAAGGAAAACTAACAAACGGAAAGGACATCCACACCAAAACCCATTTCTACATCGCCATCATCAAAAACCAAAGGTAGATAAAACCACAAAGATGGGGGAAAAAAGAGCAGAAAAACTGGAAATTATAAAATCAGAATGCCTCTCCTCCTCCAAAGAAATGCAGCTCCTCACCAGCAATGGAACAAAGCTGGATGGAGAATGACTTTGACGAGTTCAGAGAAGAAGGCTTCAGACGATCAAACTACTCCGGACTAAAGGAGGAAGTTCGAACCGAAGGCAAAGAAGGTAAAAACCTTGAAAAAAGATTAGATGAATGGCTAACTAGATAACCAATGCAGAGAAGTCCTTAAAGGACCTGATGGAGCTGAAAACCATGGCACGAGAACTATGTGATGAATGCACAAGCCTCAGTAGCTGATTTGATCAACTGGAAGAAACGGTATCAGTGATGGAAGATGAAATGAATGAAATGAAGCAAGAAGAGAAGTTTAGACAAAAAAGAATAAAAAGAAATGAACAAAGCCTCCAAGAAATATGGGACTATGTGAAAAGACCAAATCTACATCTGATTGGTGTACCTGAAAGTGACGGGGAGAATGGAAACAAGTTGGAAAACACTCTGCAGGTTATCATCCAGGAGAGCTTCCCCAATCTAGCAAGGCAGGCTGACATTCAAATTCAAGACATACAGAGAATGCCATAAAGATACTCCTCAAGAAGAGCAACTCCAAGACACATAATTGTTAGATTCACCAAAGTTGAAATGAAGGAAAAAATGTTAAGTGCAGCAAGAGAGAAAGGTCAGGTTACCCACAAAGGGAAGCCCATCAGACTAACAGCTGATCTCTTGGCAGAAACTCTACAAGCCAGAAGAGAGTGGGGGCCAATATTCAACATTCTTAAAGAAAAGAATCTTCAACCCAGAATTTCATATCCAGCCAAACTAAGCTTCATAAGTGAAGGAGAAATAAAATAAAATCTCTAAGCATTTACAGACAAGCAAATGCTGAGAGATTTTGTCACCACCAGGCCTGCCCTAAAAGAGCTCCTGAAGGAAGCACTAAACATGGAAAGGAACAACTGGTACCAGCCACTGCAAAAACATGCCAAATGATAAAGACCACTGAGGCTAGGAAAAAACGGCATCAACTATCGAGCAAAACAATCAGCTAACATCATAATGACAGGATCAAATTTACACATAACAATATTAACCTTAAATGTAAATGGGTTAAATGCTAGAATTAAAAGACACAGACTGGCAAACTGGATCAAGAGTCAAGACCCATCACTGTGCTGTATTCAGGAAACCCATCTCATGTGCAGAGACACACATAGGCTCAAAATAAAGGGATGGAGGAAGATCTACCAAGCAAATGGAAAGCAAAAAAAGGCAGGGATTACAATCCTAGTCTCTGATAAAACAGACTTTAAACCAGCAAAGATCAAAAGAGACAAGGCCATTACATAATGGTAAAGGGATCAATTCAACAAGAAGAGCTAACTATCCTAAATATACATGCACCCAGATTCATAAAGCAAGTCCTTAGATACCTACAAAGAGACTTAGACTCCCACACAATAATAATGGGACACTTTAACAAACCACCGTCAACATTAGACAGATCAACGAGAAAAAGTTAACAAGGATATCCAAGAATTGAACTCAGCTCTGCACGAAGAGGACCTAATAGACATCTACAGAACTCTGCACCCCAAATCAACAGAATGTACATTCTTTTCAGCACCACACCACACCAACTCCAAAACTGACCACATAGTTGGAAGTAAAGCACTCCTCAGCAAATGTAAAAGAACAGAAATTATAACAAACTATCTCTCAGACCACAGTGCAATCAAACTAGAACTCAGGATTAAGAAACTCACTCAAAACTGTTCAACTACATGGAAACTGAACAACCTGCTTCTGAATGACTACTGGGTACATAATGAAATGAAGGCAGAATTAAAGATGTTCTTTGAAACCAACGAGAACAAAGACACAACATACCAGAATCTCTGGGACGCATTCAAAGCAGTGTGTAGATGGAAATTTATAGCACTAAATGCCCACAAGAGAAAGCAGGAAACATCTAAAATTGACACCCTAACGTCACAATTAAAAGAACTAGAGAAGCAAGAGCAAACACATTCAAAAGCTAGCAGAAGGCAAGAAATAACTAAAATCAGAGCAGAACTGAAGGAAATAGAGACACAAAAAACTCTTCAAAAAATCAATGAATCCAAGAGCTGGTTTTTTGAAAAGGCCAACAAAATTGATAGACTGCTAGCAAGACTAATAAAGAAGAAAAGAGAGACGAATCAAATAGATGGAATAAAAATGATTAAGGGGGTATCACCACCGATTCCAGAGAAATACAAACTACCATCAGAGAATACTATAAACACCTCTACGCAAATAAACTAGAAAATCAAGAAGAAATGGATAAATTCCTCGACACACACACCCTCCCAAGACTAAACCAGGAAGAAGTTGAATCTCTGAATAGACTAATAACAGGCTCTGAAATTGAGGCAATAATTAATAGCTTACCAACCAAAAAAAGTCCAGGACCAGATGGATTCACAGCTGAATTCTACCAGAGGTACAAGGAGGAGCTGGTACCCTTCCTTCTGAAACTATTCCAATCAACAGAAAAAGAGGGAATCCTCCCTAACTCATTTTATGAGGCCAACATCATCCTGATACCAAAGCCTGGCAGGGACACAAGAAAAAAAAGAGAATTGTAGACCAATATCCCTGATGAACATCGATGCAAAAATCCTCAATAAAATACTGGCAAACTGAATCCAGCAGCACATCAAAAAGCTTATCCACCTTGACCAAGTGGGCTTCATCCCTGGGATGCAAGGCTAGTTCAACGTACACAAATCAATGAATGTAATCCAGCACATAAACAGAACCAATGACAAAAACCACATGATTATCTCAATAGATGCAGAAAAGACCTTTGACAAAATTCAACAACACTTCATGCTAAAAACTCTCAATAAATTAGGTATTGATGGGGAGTATCTCCAAATAATAAGAGTTATCTATGACAAACCCACAGCAAATATCATGTTGAATGGGCAAAAGGTGGAAGCATTCCCTTTGAAGACTGGTACAAGACAGGGATGCCCTCTCTCACCACTCCTATTCAACACAGTGTTGGATGTTCTGGCCAGGAGAATAAGGCAGGATAAGGAAATACAGGGTATTCAATTAGGAAAAGAGGAAGTCAAATTGTCCCTGTTTGCAGAAGACATGATTGTATATCTAGAAAACCTGATCGTCTGAGCCCCAAATCTCCTTAAGCTGATAAGCAACTTCAGCAAAGTCTCAGGATAAAAAATCAATGTGCAAAAATCACAAGCATTCTTATACACCCATAACAGACAAACAGAGAGCCAAATCATGAGTGAACTCCCATTCACAATTGCTTCAAAGAGAATAAAATACCTAGGAATCCAACTTACAAGGGATGTGAAGGACCTCTTCAAGGAGAACTACAAACCACTGCTCAAGGAAATAAAAGAGGAAACAAACCAATGGAAGAACGTTCCATGCTCATGGGTAGGAAGAATCAATATCGTGAAAACGGCCATACTGCCCAAGGTAATTTATAGATCCAATGCCATCCCCATCAAGCTACCAATGACTTTCTTCACAGAATTGGAAAAAACTACTTGAATTCATATGGAACCAAAAAAGAGCCCGCATCACCAAGTCAATCCTAAGCCAAAAGAACAAAGCTGGAGGCATCACACTACCTGACTTCAAACTATACTACAAGGCTACAGTAACCAAAACAGCATGGTACTGGTACCAAAACAGAGATATAGACCAATGGAACAGAACAGAGCCCTCAGAAATAATGCCACACATCTACAACTATCTGATCTTTGACAAACCTTACAAAAACAAGAAATGGGGAAAGGATTCCCTATTTAATAAATGGTGCTAGGAAAACTGGCTAGCCATATGTAGAAAGCTGAAACTGGATACCTTCCTTACACCTTATACAAAAATTAATTGAAGATGGATTAAAGACTTACATGTTAGACCTAAAACCATAAAAACTCTAGAAGAAAACCTAGGCAATACCATTCAGGACATAGGCATGGGCAAGGACTTCATGACTAAAACACCAAAAGCAATGGCAACAAAAGCCAAAATTGACAAATGGGATCTCATTAAACTAAAGAGCTTCTGCACAGCAAAGGAAACTACCATCAGATTGAACAGGCAACCTACAGAATGGGAGAACATTTTTGCAATCTACTCATCTGACAAAGGGCTAATATCCAGAATCTACAATGAACTCAAACAAATTTACAAGAAAAAAACAAACAACCTCATCAGCTTGTGGGTGAAGGAAATGAACAGACACTTCTCAAAAGAAGACATTTAGGCAGCCAAAAGACATATGAAAAAATGCTCATCATCGCTGGCCATCAGAGAAATGCAAATCAAAACCACAATGAGATACCATCTCACCCCAGTTAGAATGGCAATCATTAAAAAGTCAGGAAACCACAGGTGCTGGAGAGGATATGGAGAAATAGGAACACTTTTACACTGTTGGTGGGACTGTAAACTAGTTCAACCATTGTGGAAGTCAGTGTGGCGATTCCTCAGGGATCTAGAACTAGAAATATCATTTATCTAGCATTCCCATTACTGGGTATATACCCAAAGGGTTATAAATCATGCTTCTATAAAGACATGTGCACAAGTATGTTTATGGAGGCACTATTCACAATAGCAAAGACTTGGAACCAACCCAAATGTCCAACAATGATAGACTGGATTAAGAAAATGTGGCACACATACACTATAGAATACTATGCAGCCATAAAAAATGATGAGTTCATGTCCTTTGCAGGGACATGGATGAAGCTGGAAACCATCATTCCCAGCAAACTATCGCAAGGACAAAAAACCAAACACCGCATGTTCTCACTCATAGGTGGGAATTGAACAATGAGAACACGAGGACACAGGAAGGGGAATATCACACACCGGGGCCTGCTTGGGGGTAGCGGGAGTGGGGAGGGATAGCATTAGGAGATACACTTAATGTTAAATGACGAGTTAATGGGTGCAGCACACCAACATGGCACATGTATACATATGTAGCAAAGCTGCACCTTGTGCACAGATACCCTAAAACTTAAAGTATAATAAAAAAAATTACTTTGGGCAGCATGGCCATTTTTACAATTCTGATTTTTTTATCCATGAGGATGGAATGTTTTTCCATTTGTTTGTGTCCTCTCTTAATTCCTTCAGCAGGGTTTTCTATTTCTCCTTGAAGAGGTCCTTCACGTACCTTGTTAGGCATATTCCTAGGTATTTTATTCTCTTTGTTGCAATTGCAAATGGGAATTTATTCGTGATTTGGCTCTGCTTGTGTATTGTTGGTGTATAGGAATACTTGTAATTTTTGCATATTGATTTTTCTATCCGGAGGCTTTGCTGAAGTTGCTTATCAGCTTAAGGAATTTTAGAACTGAGATGAAGGGGTTTTCTAAATATAGAATTATGTCATCTGCAAATAGAGACAATTTAACTTCTTCTCTTTCTATTTATAGAATACCCTTTATTTCTTTTTCTTGCCTGATTGCCCTAGTTCACATTTAAATCCACCATTTTATTCTATATATTTTTGTTTTCTAACCTGTTTTCTGTTTCTTTGCTTTTTTACTTTATTTGAAGTATTTTAAATCATTTCTTGTCTTACTAATTTTTTGGTAAAGTGTTTTTAATGTATTCTCTTAGCTGGTACCACCTTACATCATAATAATATTGGTAGGATTAATAGACTCTGAATTGATGGTAGCTGGTGTAGTCACAGCATTTTCCATATTATTTCCCTTGGATTATGGAAAACTATTACATATTTATTTTATCAATATTAAAACCTTCATGTTTCAAAAGGCATCCTCCAAAAAGTAAAAAAAAAAAAAAATCTATCTGCCCATAGTGGAAGAAAATATATGAAAATCGTATATTTGATAAGGGATAGTATCTATAACATATTAATAATTCTTATGAATCCATAATAAGGTAAATAGAAAAATGACAAAATGTTCACAAGATTAAAATAGAAATTTTATCTAAGGAAGATGCATGAATGATCAGTAAGCACATGAAAAGAGGGTTAACATCTTCAGCCATAAGGAAATGCAAATGAAAACCATAATGAGAGACCACTTTACACACACTAGAAAGGCTGTAATAGAAAGACAGGTGATAACAAGTGTTGGGAAGAGTGTGAAGAAATTAGAGCCCTCCTATCCAGCTGGTGGTAATGAAAAATGATGCAAATACTTTGAAAAACAGTTTAGCCATTCTTCATAAACAACAATTTCCCATATGCCTCAGCAAGTCCACTCCTAGCCTCTCCTCAAAAGAAGTAAAAACATATTTTTACACAGAAAATATGTATAACAATATTCGTAAGTGCCAAAATTGGAAAGACCTAAAATGTCCATGCCCTGATAAATGGGTAATTTTGGTATAAACATATCAAAGAATATTATATAGAAATAAAAATGAATGAGTTCTGATACATCCAACAACATAAATAAAACTAAAAATAATTATGCTAAGTGAAAGAAGTCGTTTACAAAACACTATAAATTGTATGATTTCATTTATATAAAATATGTGAAGAGAATAATCTATTGAGAAACAAAGTAAGTCGGTATTTTTCTAGGACTGGAGGTGTATTGGGAGTGACTTCATGCATTTTGAGTTTAATTTGAGCTCACAAAAATGTTATTTAGGGTTGTGGCTTCGTAACTATGTAAACATACTAAATATATTTAGATTTTAAATTTTAGTGAATGTTATGCTATGCAAATTGTAACTCATTTTCAAATTGATTAAAATAATGATAATAATAAAAATAAATTTTTGAGAAAGAATAGATTCATACTTTCAGAAATTTTAGGTATTGAATTGAAATATTTTATCATATTTCTCTAGTTACATAATTTCTATTGTGTATTCTATCATTAAAAATATTTAAAATAATTATGTACATATCTTTAATTTTTTTGATTTTATAATTCATTGCAGTCATTGGTGACCCATTAAATCTGTGGGGTTGAAATGTAACTTTGAAATAATTGTCTGGTGGAAAATAAGAGCAGATTTTACATTGGTTAAATCACTTCAATCCCTTCAAAATTAGTCTCTTAACAAAGGGTTCAAACTCATATTCACTGTTGACAAAATAATTTGTAAGTACCACCTGGTCACAAAATTGTAATACTCACATAGGGTCATTAATGACTGACTTCAATGCATTGAGCAAATCTCTACTTGACATGGTCCTGATGTCCACACTGAGGGCTGCTCCCTTGGCTTTCATGTGAGCAATGTTATCATGTTGATCCGCAAACAAGGGAATGCCCACCATAGGGATCCCATGGTAGATTGCCTCATAGATGCCATTGGTTCCACCATGAGTTATAAAAGCTTTGGTTTTGGGATGACCTAAAAGTGGATGCATTTTAACAAAGTTATTAATTATAAGGCACAGGAATTGAATAAGAAATGCACAATATAAGGAACTTAAAGCAAAACTGTTCCCTAGGTAACATTATACCCACAAAACTGCATTGAAATTGTTTTCAAATTTCAGAGGAAGAAGCACCTACTTCTGCTGGAAAGGTAAGTGAAGGCTACATGAAAAGGTGGTGGTCTGTGTGTCTTCACAGTGGAAACATAAATTTAAAAGTTTGCCAGGTGAACAAAATGAAAAAACATATTCTTAATTAAAAAATTAAAATGTGCAAAAAAGAAAAGAATAAGATTTGGTATACAAGAACATAGTCTCTTAAGTAGTATAAATTATGCAGTCACATTTATATATTTAAAAAATATTTAAATAGTTAAAATATTTAAAATACTTAAATTTTTTTTTAAAGGCAGCAAGGAGTAGGGTGGAGGTGGTGCTGAGGAAGGACAGGTTACACATCATCATGAAATGTGTTATCACTTTATGATAAAGATTGGTGATTTATTCCCACAGAAAATAGAGTCACTGGTAATAGAAGAATGTCTGTTATTTTTCAGTACCTGTTGAAATAACCCTGCAGTAGGGGAAGGAACAGATGTAAAGTTGCAGAAATAAGAGACAGAAAATCCAGGATGTTATTTAAAACCTGTGAGAGGTAATTACACCTGAATAAAGAGATTTTTATTCTGACCATAAAGAATGTGACTGTATGTAACAAAATGCCAACTACCATAGTGTATTCTTCTTATACTAAGACTAGAAAATAAATATAAAGTAGTTAAATTTGATTTTTTTTTAGTTTTCCAATAATAAATGTTAAATATGTTTGTTTTATGTTGAAATATTATCACTTCTAATTGGCTGTTACTAATATATTCAGTATTTGTTCTCCAGAGTCTTACCAAGAAGGTCATTCTGGGGTAACCACTTATACAGTCGAGTATTGGAACCTAAAGTATTTGGCTTCTTGCCATCAAATCTCCATAGAACCTGTTAGGGCAAGGAAAATATCTTGTTCAATGAATAGAACTCTAAAAATATAACTTGTTAGAATTCTGAAGAGATTAATAATCAGTTAATCCATATAAAAGATGAAGAAATAAGAAGAAGTGATGTCAAGTAATGAGAACTACTAAAAGTCTGAGGTAAGCTGAATACCCACATTTAATATCTTTACTTTTATAATCAATTTGGTATATAAAAAAATGACATTTCTAACTTAATAGCTAGACACATGAGAGTGTGAGAGGAAAATAAATCTTGGTGCCCCAAAATCTATGCTAAAGGGAAAAGTTAAGCTGCTCAGGGCAAACCTACTTCCCATTCTATTCAAAGTCAGCCCTTGGCTCACTGAGATAAATGCATATCTAATTGCCTCATTTGGAGAGGCTAATCAGAAACTCAAAGGAATTCAGCCATTTGTCTCCTATCTACCTATGACCTGGAAGCCCCTTCCATGCTTCAAGTTGCTCTGCCTTTGTTTCTAGTTGTCCCCCATTTCTGGACTGAACAAATGTCCATCTTATATAAGTTGATTGATGTCTCATGTATCCCTAAAATGTATAAAACCAAACTGTCCCCCCACCACCTTGGGACACATGTCACCAGGACCCCCTGAGGCTGTGTCATGGGTGCACATTTTCAACCTTGGCAAAATAAACTTTCTAAATTAACTGAGACCTGCCTCAGATATTCAGGGTTCACATTTTGGTAACCATGAAGAGACTCTGAGTGGAGGTTCCCTGACCTTTGATAAATGTCCTGTCAGTGCTTGGTACCAGCATGAGCTAACTTTATGGCTCAAACAAATAAGACAATTGGCTGAGGTCTGGGAGCAACCCCTCCAGAGAATCCCTGATACCCCAAAATTCAGTCAAGACCAAAAGTTTATTTTGCTGTACAACTCCTTTTTTTTTGTTTTTTATTTTTTTTTGGAGTTTTACTTGCTTCCTACAAGAAAGGCAATATTTCCTGTTTCCATGACAATGGAAGGCAGGTAACTCTATGGAGTTTGAGCTCACTCCCAGGAGGGAGGATAAATTTGAGGTTTCTTTCCTACTTCTAGGACGACAGAGGGCAGTTTTAGCCTGAAACCCATCCGTAGGTAAATAGCTGAATTGGGGTTTTGTCTTGGTTAATGTTTAACAACTAGCTGGACTTAATTTCTCCTTACCATTACAGTGCTTAATGATCACATTTTTGGGAGTATTTTTTTTGTACATTCCAGTATTTCTCCCATCAGATTTGACAAACTTTACCTGACTTGATCATATCTGAGTGAGAATTCCAAATTGTGGGTAACAAAGCCTGTCTAATTTGGTGAAAATTCTTCACAGATGCAAAAGAGAAAACAAAACAAAACCTAAAAACCATGCTCTTGGTTTCTGTGTTTGCTTCCTGTCTTTAAAAAAACAAATGTTCTTTTGTTTACTTTTCCTCCACCCTATACCTCCTTTTGTCTTTTGCCATTTGTAGTACCAAAAATCTAGAGAAGGCTTCTAATGATTTGAACTCTTTTAAAGAATTCAGAACAAAGGCACCACTCACCCCTTTGGGGGTGCTCTGTTTTCTTTGTGGAGTTTCAAGAGTTGTGGGCAGATTTTTTCTTAGGTCCAAAGCTCTGTTTTCCTATGTTGAATGACCTGATCTCTTTGGCTTCGAGATTACCACAGATTACCTTGTACTGTGAGAGGATTTTACCTTGGCGTGTGTAATGGCAGACGAGTTACAAAGTAGAGGGTGGCTGAGTACAGTTTACTGGAAGTAGTATTGACTGTTGTTATTTTTTTCCTCCTAGGAAGTTGTTGTTTAAGAATCCTAATTCTAGTTTGGAGATGTGTTGTAAAGGGTCTCCTCTATTGTTTTTATTCCCCAAATTAATCTCATTTGGCTTGTCTGTGTGGATTTGTGTGAGAAACTGAACTGTGGTTTACATAGGAAAATGAAAGACTGAGTTTTCTCAGCTCCAAAGTGAAAGGGCATCTGCTCCTCCCAGGCAAAAGGCACCCCTAAGCAACTGGGGGCCTTGTGGGAGTGTCTTGGGTTTGACCCCCTATGACATGCAGTGGTCCTGCAGGGAAATCCCCAAGAAAAATTAACTTTTAAAAAAAGGCTAGTCCAGGAAACACATATGAGGGCAGATCACCCAGCATTTTGAGCCCTCTCAGAGGTCATACACCTCTGGAGGGAGAAACTGAGACACGTAAGAGGGTGGAAACAACTCAGTGGTGACACACTGTGGAGTACTGCCCACAAGCAGCACACATTGATTCACCACACATAAACCCTAGGCCACAGCTCAGTTCCTCCTTTTAGGAAAAAAAGTGGGAAACAAATAATCTAAGAATGATGAGAAAAGAAGAAGAATGATCCCCTGATATCGCCTGTTTGGATTTATGACACCTCTACTTGGCAGAGTTTATGTAAAATGAAGGTAATACGGTCTTTGTGCACATATACATTAAGAGCCCTAAGGTTGTCCTACAAACTGTAGAGTTCCTAAGTTCTCTCTTTTTTAAAAATTTTCTTTTATTCTTGCTTTAAATTTGCTTTTATTTTTCTATTAAGTTAAAAACCACTGTTTTGATTCAACAGGTTTTTGTCTGCAAGCTGGTGATTTTTTTTTATCTCATAGCTAAATTTCTGAAGTAAAAACCACATAATCTTTTGTGTGTGTGTAAGTGTTTGCATATATTTAAAAGGCCATTATAATTTCTATAATTTTATGTTTAATTGGCAATTAAATCCATTTTATTTTCCTTCTAGCACACCAATTTTTTTCTCTGTGTACATTATGATGTAAATTTTGCTATTTGATTTTCACCTGAATGGTTTCTTTTAATATGCAAATGTAAGATTATTTAGCTCACAACTGCCTATGGTGATCAAGTATTCATACAGATTACCTATTGAAACAGGTTATCAAGAATTTGAAAGTCTAATATGGCAAAGAGGAGTTTTTATAAACCTGTAAGATGTACTTCTGTTGGCATGCTTACTACATCTATGTATTTATGTGTTTTGTACACAATGTTTTATTACTGAAAATATATAAAAGAGCTCTAATTAATTGGCTTAAGAAAATAAAAGTGCTTGAATTAAATACTTTGCCAGAAAAAAAGACTAATTAAATGCTTTTTCAAGTTTATGTAACTTAAATAAAATCTTTTATAAATAAGATAACAACAATTATTGATAAAGTATGATAATATTAGAAATGCATTAAGACTTGCCAGCATACATTTTTGTTTGCATTTATTAATCAAGAAATTTCATACTTATTCTTGCCAAATACTTTAAGGTGTCAAAATTTGACATAGGGGTTACAAAACTGTAAACCAAGCCCAAAACAGAATGATCTTCACTTGTGTAATTTTTAATAAATAAGACATTAATATTGGTTTAATGCAAATAGCTACACCTTGAATTAAGTAAGATTATCATAACTTCTCATCTTGTGGCCTTAAGCAATCTAGTCCACAGGCATTAAGCTTTGTTTTGGGAAAAGACTGTTATCATTTTTATTTCAAAGCTAAACTATAAACTAAGTTCCTCCTTAAGTTAGTTTGGCCTACACCCAGAAATAAACACGGAGAGCTTGGAGGTTAAAAGCAAGATGGAGTTAGGTCAGATCTTTTTCACTGTCTCAGTTATAATTTTGCAATGGCAATTCCATAACTTTAAATGATGACTACCACACTTTTCACAAATATTCTAGGTAAATGACTAAATAATTAGGTAAATGTAATGGGATAAATACTTATAGACAAACTCATAATTTAGAATCTAAGGTTATATTAAATTAAATAATAGATATTTCATTGTTTGGGTATTTTTAAAAAAAAATTTGTAGGAAAACATTCTTTCCAAAAAAAAGTGCATCTTTTTTAAAAAGGTGAAGAAGTGTTGTCTAATTCAAAGCTTATTTAAAGGTTATGTATAAAACAAGGTAAAAGGAACCAGGAAGTAAGGGAGATGTAAAGAAAGTTATAAAAATAAAAAGTTTTTTTTTTTTTTTTTTGTAAAAAGCTTGAAGAGAAATAATTTTATATGAGAAAGAATCTTGTGTGGTAAATTTAGTCCTAGAATAAAATGATCAGTTGTGTAAGAAAGAAGGATGTTCAGGACAAACCAGAAAGTCCAAACATATCATGAATGATCTGTGTAAGTCACAATAAGAAGATTAAAAAAACTTTTATATGATCAAGTTGTCTATAATTAAAGGGAAATTATAATGGTGTTTCTACAGATTGGGCTTGATGTAAAAAAAGCACTTATGCACTAAATAATTGGTTAGAACAATAACATTTTCTTAAGGGATTGATTTACTCTTAAAATATTATGAGTTTTTTTTTTTTAACCCAAAGTTTAACTTTTCTTGCATCTCACTGTTTTTGGTTTTCTCTCCCCTTTTAAAGGGTGTGAAATAGTAACACTCTCCTTCAACTCATTTTCAACTCATGTAAGTTTTTTCCTCAAGTTCTGTTTGTTGTGGCATAATGCTAACAGTGTTTTCTAAAAGCTATTCAACTCCTCAAGGTCCAGGGACTATCACAGAAGAGGTGGGTGTGTGAGATTGAAAGAACTGATACTAAGAGATAAAATAAGTTCCGTTTATGCATAAATTAATCATTAATGTCAAAGACACACTAATGCAAGACCAACATATGGGCCCCTGTGTCAGATTAACAAGGTTTTCTTGAAGCATAAACTGACTTCTTAATAAAGATTATAAACGTTATGAAAGGCTGAGGAAAGTTATATCTTATGGTCAAGATTAGAATTTTATAGATTGTTCATACAATTTTGAAAAACAAACTTATTTGGCTTCATGCTGTTTTATTAGGGCTTATTGTTTGGCAAATTGAGTCTCCTCTCTCAAAGAATGAAGATTTTTGCCTTTTTTTGAAATCCTTGAGTTACTACTTTAGTCAAATGAATGCTTTATTTTACCTGTGATATCAAGCTTTTTAATCCTTTGATATTTGACAAATTTTCCAAAATTATGTTTTTTTCTGACCTAAGTAATCCTTTAATTTATTAGTTTCCCTAAAGTCCAAAAATGACATAATTTGGCTTATTTGGTATAAAAATTATACAGGGAACATTGTCAAACATGAAATGGTGTTTGGTCTTTTTGAGCTGTATTTATATAAATATGTTATTGGCATGTGTTCCAAAATTATGGGAAACTCCTATAATTCTGATATGACTTAGTGTGTACATTATCAGTAATAATTATATTTGTTATGTTAAGTTATTGTGTGCCACAGAGGTAACAAATTTCCTTGTCCATTGTGTCTTTGACTGAGGCTGCCCTAAAACTTTTTGTCATCCACAGACAATTGTTGTCTGACTTTGGTCCTCTTTAGAAGGCGATTTTATACTCAGCCATGAAATTCTAACAGGTGCTCTTGAAAAAAAGTTTTTGATAATTTTGGAGATTGTGACATTAGAATGGAAGAAAAACTTTCAGGACTCATGGAGAACTAAAATGTTCATGAATATCAAGCAGAACAGGAATTAACTACATGGACTGAAATAATAGAAAACTAAAGTAATCTTTTTGACTTTGCTTAAAACATTGCTGATCCTTTGTTTTGTTTTGTTTTTTTTTTTAGAGTGAAGGAATCTTTCTTTTTTTGAGCTATTAACAGCTTTTAACAATTTAGTATACTCCTATGAAAAAAATTTAGAACATATTTGTTTCCCTCTACCTGATTTTTCAGAATTTGGAAACTATTTGTGAGTATTTTTTACTTTTGTCAATACAGTTATTTGCATAAGTGCAATAAGAATCTATTTTCATTTTTAACAAAACACAATTGGAGAAACTGGTTATTTTATCAAGGCTTCCACTGGAATGGTGGGCTTTCCTTTAGGGAATCAAACTTAACTTATGGAGCCAATAAAACCCCTTGGGAAAACTGGCCTCATACCTTCATCTATAAGGTCCCTGTACAGGGTTCCTGAACTGTGTTAAGCAAAGAATGTAACTTTCTGACAGGCCCAGGAGCCCCAAGTTTATTTTGGAACCCCAAGAGGAGAGGAATTCACCCAACTCATAGGTATTTGATGGTACAAATCTATGGCTTGCCTCAGCTTTAAAAAAGTCCTATCTGAGATTCTTTCTATAAGACAAAGTTCCATCAAAGCCACTTTAAAAGCCTATGTAAATAAAAAATTATTCTTCCTCCTCTGTATACAATAATCAGGCCAAGTATAATAAAGCAAATCAGTTGTACCATGGTTTGTCTTTAGTAAAATTGGGAAACTGAAGACAGAAAAATTATGTTTCAAAAATAACAGTATACCTGTTGTTAGATTCTAGTCTTGCCTAATGTTTTTCAATTTTTATTACTGTCTACAGTTTGGACTGAATTCTAATTTTTCATGGCTACACGTCTTCAAAATAGTGTCTTCAGGTTTTTTTTCCTCCCCTTCCACAATTTTTCCTAATTTGGAGTCACTGTAAACTAAGCTATGCTTTCATAAAGCCCTACAAATTAAGCTAGACAACTTAAACTCCAGAAGAAAATAACAGCAACCAATTTACATACATAATCCACTTTCATACCTGCCTACTGATTTATGGACTTCAGAGTAATGTGGCCTATATTAATTTTAAAGGATTGTTCTTTTGTTTTTGTTTTTCTCACTTCCTCCCTTTATTTTGTCTTCACAGTACATGAGACTTCAGAACCTGCTAAAAATGAACTTTCCTAATAACTCAGGACCTGCTTAGGAATAAACCTTCCTTGCCATTAGAGATCAGATGAAAACCTGAGACCAGAGACTCATTTTCTTCTAAAATGCTTTCTCCAAAAGATTTTTTTAAAATGTAAAATGAAAATAAACCTGGGGGCCCCAAAGTCACTAAGCAAATCACTGCCTCCCATTCTATTCAAAGACACCCCTCTGCTCACTGAGATAAATGCATATCTGATTGCCTCCTTTGGAGAGCCTAATCAGAAGCTCAAAGGAATGCCTCTTCCCTGCTTCAAGTTGGCAAAATAAACTTTCTAAATGTACTGAGACCTGTATCAGATATTTGGGGTTCACAAGATTATCAATGAAATATTCAAATATATAAGAATTGTTAGGCAGTCTTAATTCTAGTAATAAAAAAGTAGCAAATTAGTAATAACCTATATATTTATTTTATATACTTTATACTAGCTGTAACCTTCCAAATTTAATATAAATTTATTAATTTTTGAGTGATATGGGAAGAGTTTACTTATATCCACTTGTCTACTAGTCATAAGTTATTTTATGAATTTGACATCATTGATTACAAAAGACTAAATACTTAAACTGCACATATGGTGAGAAATAATGCTACATATGTAGTAAATTCAGACTATTATCAGTATTGCTACTTTTGTAAATGCTAACAATGTAGGAAAAAGGAGCCCATTGACAATTCATGATTAACAATACAGATGCTGAGAATGTAGAAAATTGTATTTTGCTACTTTTTGCTTAACTGATCTTTCACACTTAGATGATGCACTACCTAGCATTGACAGCCTTGATATATGGTCAGCTATAGCCAGTCATTACCATGTCTAGTACCAAACTAAGGTACTGATTTTAGATTTCCCAAGCAATCTTTATAAACTGGAGTAGAATTTACAAGTGTTGTCCTTGTATTTGATATGGGAGTGTTAAAGTAACTCTGTGTTTTCAGCAAAAACTTGCATAGATCATTCAGAGAGGGCTATGCAGATAAGAAAGTAAAACGTAAATTGAAAATACACAAAGATTGTAGGTATATTCTATAGATTAGAAAATAAGTTCCTACCATGTTTATTTATAGTTCCTGCTCCTTCCTCAATGTGGAGAAGGCACTAATCTGATTCTTAGAGCATAGTCTTTGTTGGGCCACATTTAATAATGCACATAGTCTACCCTAAAAGCAGGATTCTATCTCCATCCTTTCCATTACATTTTTCTGCTTAAGACATTAGCGGCACCCAAGCCAGCAGAGCAGACAAGTTTTTCTTTTTCTCTAAATCTACTTGGCTAGGTGGGTACCTCCAGAGCAGTGGCTAGTCAGACTAGGACATTCTTTCTCTGAATGGCACCCTGAACAGAACGCTAAATAGACCTATTCCAATGCATGGGAAGTAAAAACAGCCAGATTGCTTGGTAAGACGAAGCTGCATGATGCATTTCAAAGTTTTTTCAATACCTGCTTATTGTTATTGTGATAGTACAGTAACTTATTAAAATTTTACCGCTTTTTGATAATATCTACAGTGTATACAGTACCTTCTAAAATCCTGTAAACCAAAAGGAGCAAATGACAGGGCAGAATTTAGTGATTTCTATGTACATGCTACGATACCATGATAATACCAAACTTCACTAGCACCTCTTAAATATATTTCCTTCTGATCACAATATTAATGCCAACGTTATTATCAACCAAAACTCCTCTCTTTATGATTTTAAGATCTTCCATATATGTTTTTGCTTTGAACAGATGTCTGAGATAATTAGAACTATCATAGCAGTTAAATTTTCAGGCAGAACATTTCTGTAATGGACTCTTGAAGAGTTTAACAGATTCATTTAGTAGCCATCCACAGTTAAGGCACTTTATCTAACCTTTTGTGGGATCTGGGCAAGGGCTGATGCAATCATGTTGGCACTTTCTTCTGACATGTTACTGATCATCGACCCCAGAGAAAACACCACAATACCATTTTCTCCAGAGCTCTGCACAAACTCTTCCATTTCCTGTGAAGAAAGAATTTGTTCTATCAGAAAAGAGCAACAGCACAGAAAACACTGTTGACAGGATTGTTACAAACATCTAAGATGAGAAAGTCAGGAGCTATTGGAGTAATTTTTTTAAACTGACCTAATCATTCAGTTTCTTTGAAAGGAGATGTGTAATATAATATATGTGGGATCTTTCATGCAAATTTGTGTAAATATGTGTGCATATGCATGTATGTATGTGTGTGTAAGGAAGAAATGAAACAAAGCTATGACACTGCAGTAGGAGGAGATAATGCTAGAAAATATTACACCCAGACACTTTATTTATAATATTATAATTACTAACATAGGTTATTGGAAGGTAGCTTTACTTGGCTTTAATTCTATTTTTTTTTGTAGTTCTACTAAATCTCTTGTGTTTATTTGGGGTCATTTTATTTTATTTTTTTCTGTTCAGTTCTTTTAGTTAGGAGTCATTGGAGCCATTACATGACTATGAGCAATGAGGAAAAGTTAGTTACAATTAGAATGATTTTATATCTACATTTATTTAGCTTCTTTAGCTCTCTAACCCTTTATATTTCACTTAGAGTTTCCTAGTCTTACCCCACTACCCCTCACTTCCCCCGACACCCCCACCCCCAAAAAACACCTTAAAAGCTGAAGTATAAGAATCATTGACGTTCATCAGTCTGGTGTTGGGGCTTGGAATTTCCGGGAAATAGTTCTGAGAATTCCATTTATAATACAGTATTATATACTATTTAGTTACATAATTAAGTGATCTTATTTCTCAGATCATTGTTTAGGTATGACTATGATACCTTTTGTCCTGAAATCACACTGTGAAATTGATGTGCTATTTATAACTTACCATGAGGGACCCTCATCCTCACTTTGCTGTGTCTCACAGGGGGCACTTGAACCACAGTGGGAGAGGTCACCAAGCCTTTCTCCAGTGGAGATCTGCTCACCCCCTAGAGTAGCTCCCTCACACTATATGAAGCTCCTGGTAAATATGTGTTTGCTTCGAAATGAATGAGAATTATTCTGACTTGTGTTTCCTGATGTGTTCCTGTTTTTAAACTTAAATCCATTCTCTAATGCCACATCAGTCAATGTATTCTCACACCAAAAAAAAAAAAAAAGAAAAAGAAAGAGAGAAAGAGGAAAAGAAATGTAGACTCATAAGTTTCCCGGATATCATATCAAAATTGTATACTCATCTTTTTGTTGCTATTGTCCCTTTTGTTCTAAATTCTTTTTTTCTCAGTAAAATAATGACCAACCCCTTCTATCATAACAAATATACTTTCTGGTCCTAATCATTGGGGGAAATTTCTTTATAAAACTGTTTACGAATAAAAAAGGAAATTCTAAAATATGTCAATTCAGACCATATATTGGTATTTTTCAAAAATATAATTGAACTTTATGACATCTTTTATTTTTATTTTATTTTATTTATTTATTTATTTTTGAGATGGAGTCTTGCTCTGTCACCTAGGCTGGAGTGCAATGATGCAATCTTGGCTCATTGCGACCTCTGCCTCCCAGGTTCAAGCAATTCTCCTGCCTCAGCCTCCTGAGTAGCTGGGATTACAGGCACCTGCCACCACGCCTGGCTAATTTTTCTGTTTTTAGTAGAGACAGGTTTCACCATCTTGGCCAGACTGGTCTTGACCTCCTGACCTCATGATCCACCTGCCTCGGCCTCCCAAAGTGGTGGGATTACAGGCTTGAGCCACTGTGCCCGGTCTGATATCAGTTTTAATTGGAGATTCAGTGTATGGCTATTAGAGTTAATTCATGAGGCATCCAGGAACTCAGTGTAATTGCAGTTGCCTGTAGCCACATTTAATGTAACTTCGGTTTAATGTTTTGTCTCATTCACTGACAAAAGTCTTCTTCATCCACCAAGTATTGAAGTAAAAAATCGTCTGTTTATAGACAGATCAGCACTGATCTCATTCTGTGACGTCTTTATGAAAGCAATGGTAATAGAAGATCAATGTAAGTAGTCTTGTAAAAGTATGAAAATTTAGGAAAAAAATCATTTTTCCCATATCTCTATCTCAATTTAAAATGTGTACCATTTCATTATGGTTTTAATTCTATTTATATAACTCAATGTACATATGTGATGTTTATTTAGAAAATTTTTTCTCATTGTATATGCCTTTTTATCCTACAAAAAAATTGTGATCTTGTTCTACTCATCATTCTGTTCCTTAGTTTCCAACTATACCTGTACTACAGCTGACAGTGTAATTAAACATTGTTTTGAAAAAATGGATTGTAATGGCTTGGTATGCGCATTGTATAAGTTTTTAACCATTTCTTAATGTAAGATATTTGAATTATTTCCAGAGTTTTTTAACGAATATTTGCTACTAATATTGAATCTTACCATCATGATTTATTCTCTGTACAGTTTCATGTGAATATATTACAAAGGCAATAACTATATGCAGTTTTCAAACACTTGATACTTTTTGGCAAGAGTCTTATTCTTTTGAAATATACAAACATTATCTGAGAATCTAATACATAATGGAAAAGCAAGCAAATTTGTGGCAACAATTATTTTGTGTACAAAAGAATTAGAGAATCGGTTTCACAATTATTTACTTAGATTCAAGTCTACCTTTTGCAGGTTAACAACAACAGCCAGTGCCGGGCACGGAGGCTCACACTTGTAATCCCAGCACTTTGGAAGGTTGAGGCAAGTGGATCACCTGAGGTCAGGAGTTCGAGACCAGCCTGGCCAACATGGCGAAACTCTGTCTCTACTAAAAATACAAAAATTATCCGGATGTGTTGGTGGGTGCCTGTAATCCCAGCTACTTGGGAGTCTGAGGCAGGAGAATCAGAATCACTTGAACCTAGAGGGTGGAGGTTGCAGTGAGCTGAGATCATGGTAGTATTAGTAATAATCACTATTGTACTACTAGTCATTTATTCCTTGTCCTCCTTATTCTCCTATTCTCTTCCCCCTGCTAATGGCACTATCACTTTCTTTTGATGTGAGTGAGGATTTTTTTTTGAGAATAAGATAAGAGTACACAGAATTACCTTTTAAGCTAAAATATTAATGAAGTGCCTCCACCTTTGCAATACAACTTTAGCTTTCCAGCGTGTTCAACTGACTGCCCAAACTTAAACATTTATATTTAAACAAGCACACAGAGTATCTGTTCTCTAGGATTTTGCTAGGAAAATCAATCATTATTAAATGAAGACTGATATCTTAAATGGCTGGCACATGTTAGCTAATTTAAAATATTAGAAATAATGACTAAAATAATAATCATAATATCAACAATATTTTTGGATCACTGGCTATGTGTCAGAGACAACTTAAGTGTTTTATCTGTGGTAACTACTTTTTTCCACACAACACAATATGAAGTTGTGATTATTATTGTAAAAGTAGTCATGATTGCCTAAACTCATGTAAAAGTTCCTAAATATTCTTTACATTGTACAAAGTTGCCTTTCTGTAATATTACACATTGAGAACATTGGGATTTTTTTTGAAAGGAAATCTGATCATATCTCTTCATTTCTTAACTCTTTTCAGTAGCTCTCCATTGTCCTTAATGGGTATATCAAATTTCATATATATATATATATATATATTTTTTTTTTTTGAGACAGAGTCTCACTCTGTTGCCCAGGCTGTTGTGCAATAGCATGATCTCGGCTCTCTGCAACCTCTGCCTCCCGCGTTCAAGCGATTCTCCTGCCTCAGCTTCCCGAGTAGCTGCTATTAGAGGTGCCTGCCAACATGCCTGACTAATTTTTGTATTTTTAGTAGAGACGGGGTTTCACCATGCTGGCCAGTCTGGTCTCAAACTCCTGACCTCAGGCGATCCGCCTGCCTCGGCCTCCCAAAGTGCTGGGATTACAGGTGTAAGCCACCACGCCCGGCCCATCATTGACTTTTACTCAACCTTTTCCTGTAAACTAAATTTGGAGTCCTGGGAACTGCCCTTACTGCTTTTCTACTTTTCTGCCTTAATGCAAGACTTTACTTTTTTGTTTGTTTATTTGTTTGTTTTTGAGACAGAGTCTCACTCCGTCGCACAGGCTAGAGTTCAGTGGTGTGGTCTCAGCTCACTGCAGCCTCTGCCCCCAGACTCAAGCAAGCCTCCTGCCTCAGCCTCTTAAGTAGCTGGGACTATGAGACTACAGGCACACACCAGCATGCCTGGCTATTATTTTTATTTTTGTTAGAGATGAGGTTTTACCATGTTGCCCAGGCTGGTCTCAAACTCCTGAGCCCAAGCAATCGTCCCTTCTCTGCCTCCCAAAATTCAGGGATTATAGGTGTGAGCCACCTTGCCTGGCCTCTGGTTTTCTTTTTGGGTCTTTCTCATCCCCTCATCGTTTCACCTATCTCTGCACATTATTGAGTACTCACTTTAATTGTCAATGAGTTTGGGATCTCTTCTGCATATTTCTTTATCATTGTGGTCTTTCCTTATAACACTTTTTAGACTTTTCTTTTTCACTTGTTTTTATTCTATCTTTCAAAGTACAATGTTAGGCATGAGGGCGCAGAAACTGTGCTACCTTTATTCTCTGAAAATCCAGCACTTACCTGTGGTTTGCATTAATCACTCTACAAATATTTTTTGAAGAAATGAACCATACTATCTTGTGGGTTGCACAATGAAGGCCTTACTTTAACCAACCCTGTTTTCAAAATCTCCCTAGTAAACCTCTTTGGTCTTTAATGATAATAACATTCACATACTTGTGATAGTATAGAAATATATGATTTTCTAATGGCAAGTCCTTTTTTTTGACCTCCCATATTCCCCTCACTCTGAGTTAAACACTCTGAAAGAAACATATCCAGCCATTCCTTCTGAAAATGTCAAGCAAACAAATGAAACAAGAATATGTTCACCTTAGGCAAGGGTTTGGCTGGTTTACAGTGAAGTCCTCCAACAAAATCAACATTTGGTAAGAATGGGCGAGGAAATTCAAAATCCCAATAGGTTCGAATGAGCCACATTTCAGCTTTCCCCATTGTCTCAAATAATGTAGTGGGTCTTCCTGATGGAAAAAAACAAAACAAAACAAAAGGTAGCTAACACGAGAATTGTTATTTTAATATTGAATATGCAGGTATTTTCCTGAAAGGACTTGGAATAACATACCTAAAAATATATAAAATGTCTGCACATTGATAATATATATAAATACATTTATATAATATAATACATTATATTAAATACATTATATTAAATTAATGTATATTAAATAATATTAAATACATTATATTAAATTAATGTATTTAATATATGTTAATATATTTTAATTTAATAGTATTTAATTTTTAATTTTTAATATTTAATAAAGTTTAATATTTAATATTAATAAAATTTTATTAATTTTATTTTATTAATAAAACATTAATAAAGTTAATAAAATTAAACAATATTTAATATTTAATTTAATATTTAATATTTAATAGTTTTAATTTAATATTTAAATTATTTAATAAAATAATTTAATATAATGTAAATACATTATATTAAATACATTTATATAGTCATCATTTAATTTTTATGTATTGCATATGTTGCTCATATGTATATATAAGGAAGGCAAAGTGTTCAGAGAGCTGTAAGAAGAAATCACATCTTTAATGTAACATCAGTATATTCACAATCATAAATAATTATTAAAATAAGTCACTAATATGGTTTGACTGTCCCCACCCAAATCTCCTCTCATCTTGAATTATAATCCCCATAATCCCCATGTGTCGAGGGAGGGACCCAGTGGCAGGTGATTGGATCATGGTGTGGATTCCTCCATGCTGTTCTCATGATATTGAGTGAGCTCTCATGAGATCTGATAGTTTTATAAGTGTCTGGTATTTCCCCTGCTTGCACTTCTCTCTCCTGCCACTAAGTGAGAAGATCCAAGCTTGCTTCCCCTTAGCCTTTCACCATGATTCTAAGTTTCTTGAGGCATCCCAGTCATGTAGAACTGAGTCTATTAAACTTCTTTTCTTTATAAATTGCCCAGTCTCAGGTATTTCTTTACAGCAGTGTGAGAATGGACTAATGTAGCCACTATGAACTTAAATACACATTTGTCTTCCCTCTGAAGCTGCAATAGTAACAAATATACCTTTAAACAACTCTTTCAGTTCCACAATTAATTCATCTTACCTTACCCATGAAAACAGCTTTCCAGGAAGTACTCTAGTGTCTACAGTTTATTAAGCTAGTCCCTTGATCCTTGGTTCTCAAAGTAAACCATGAGTTTTTTGAGCTCAACACTGAAATCTTTACACCTACTACTGTCTTGGTTCATCTTAAGATCTTAATATAATTAGATTTTTAAAATAAATATATTTACAAATGAGAATTAAAAATTTTTCAGAATTTATTGACATAGAGATATGTGCTCTTCCTTATTTTGGCCCCTATTTTCTTTGATGGAGAGATGCAGTTTAATAAAATATAGATTAAAACTTAGATGTTCACTTTCAACAAGATTTCAGTTTTTGAAGGAAATAATTGTGAAGTTGTTATTGAAGGAATGTATAAATATTAGAAATCTCAAGTTTTAGGCTTCTGTTTCTGGAGTAGAGCCACTATATTTCTCAACTGTGAAGGAATCCTTCTTATATGAAAAACAAAATTTAATTTCTAAATGAGGAAACTGAGGTACTCAGGTACAAGTTCCTCAATCCTGCATTGATAATATTTTTAGAAATATGTGTAAATATAAAATTTGTATGTCTGCCTTCATGAAGATGTTTCTTGAAGTATCTATTGACTTTTTTAAAGATGAAAAAATGTATAGCAAAATGATATGTGATGGCTTAAAGAAATCATAAGTGTTTTACATTGAAGGTTTATGACTCTCTTGGTGTCCTATAGCAGTGATGGCACCAGGGTTCTAACTGATTCTATAAGGTCAACATTCTATATTTTTGAGACTCATAGATCATCTTACATTTGCAATTCATAATTTCCCATAAAAACACTATCTTCTGACATTATATTTATATAAGCCCACCTTCAAAGGCACAGGAAAATTAGAACTTAATAAACACCAATTGGACACACGACTTACCTAGAACTTCACTATAAAACTGGTCCCACTTCTTCAGATCATATGCTTGAAACCAAAAGTCAAAATAAAGCATATATATCATATTTTTTATCCTCTCCATGAAAATCATTTGATCACTTAATTCTGACATAACAACAGGTACATAGGAAGGAGGGAACAGAAATCCTCCACCATTCTTCTCAACTGTGTAGCCAACAGAGAAGCGGAGACTGTACAGAAAGGGTATGTTAAGTAGCTCAGCCAGCAGCTCACCACAGGGATTAACGGCATCTGCCAGAAGGACATCAAATTTTGACTCTTGTAGTTTTCTCATAAGTTTCTTGTTCAAAACTGCATCTTCACAGAGCTTTATATTATAGTCAGAATATTCCCAACACAATTCTTGTAGTTGTGAAAAATATGACCAAAATGTATTTTTTGAAATACTATATGTCCATCTATCGAACATTTTCATAAAAAAATCTTCCAAATCATTTTTAGTTAAAGATGTAGGATAAACTTCTAATTTAATAGCAGATGATTTACTGGCATTGACAAGAATAGAAGCCGAAGATGTCAACACAATCACCTCATGACCCCTCTGAACAAGCTCTTCCAGGATTGTCTTCATATTTATCCAATGGCTGTATTCTGTGGGCCACACCAGCACCTTTCCACAACTCCCAGAGCTAAAGTAACAACTGAGCTGCATCAGCAGAAAGACTGACATCCATTTCAGAGACATCCTGGTCTTATGCAGTGCTTCTTTTCCAGTTGTTGTTTCTTTCTGTCATTTCTCATACTTATATCTGAGGAAAAATCAATCAAGTTAAAATATAACTGCTAAAATTTGAGTTGACCTCATATTTATTTTAGTGTGTTTGGTGTTCTTTTATATTTACAATTACTCTAGTCAAGCAATAATTTTTATGACCTAGAATACGTAAGTAACCTGTCTTATGTAATTATTTTATAATACTGTTAAGAACAGTGGCAGGTGAGAGGCTCCTGCCTGTTCGGTGCCCTTGACATAGAGAGAAGAAGTAATTATACAACTCAAACGCCATTTTTTAATATCGTGGTGCAAGTAATGTCTTCTAAAACTTTGTTGACACATAATTCATATACCATATGACTCACCAATTAGTGTGTACAGTTCAATGTTTCCTAGTATATTCACAGAATTTTACTTTCACTACAATAATCAGTATTATCTCCAAAAGATTCTATACAATAGCCTCTAACCCCCCACTCTGAAATTTTGCATCCATCCTACCCTAGGCAACCACTAATCTAATTTCTATCTCTATAGATTAGCATTTTCTGGACCCTTTAAAAAATAAATGAGGGTTTTCCAGTGATCATGGCAGATGGGATGCAGGACTAGATTGCAGCTCCAGACAGAGCAGCATGCAGAGGCTTGCATTGTGAATTTTAGCTGCAGGTCAACTGCAAGGACAGACCAGCAATTCTGAGAGGATCCACACACCCTCTGCAGGAAGCGTACTGCTCCTGCAGGACCTGGGAGACATCCCAAACACTGTGAGTGCCCCAACAATGGAAGTGGGAAAGGGTGATCCCCCTCTCCAGAATACACATCCCCACTGGAGAAGCTGAAGTTCTGTTTGCAGGAGAAGTTCCTGACTTTATGTGAAGCTGAGTCAAATTAGAGAACCAAGCCAAGCAAAATATAGGGGTAGAGGAAGTAGCAGAAAGGTACTGGGAGCTCTCTGGATACCCAAGCAGCTCATTCCTGCCTGGCACCACAGTGATCCTTTAGGAGGGTGGCCAGCGGAGCAGGGGGTTCAAAGATTCTTCTGGGGCCTGAAAGCTTGAAGGGATGAGTAACTCCTCCCTTCTCAGGCCCAGTCCCAAGATGCAAGGCTGCTTGCATCAGCAGCGTGTGTCAGCAAGATAGCAGAAGCAGGAAGAGAGCCGGCCAGAAGACACCTACCCTGGCTGGAGACATGAACCCTTGAAGATCAAGAGGCCATCCAGATACTACATAGCAGTCACGTTAGATTGGGACACTTACTCTTTACAGAGAACTATAAAACCACTGTCCCATCCTCACTTGGGGCTGATGCCATTTTAGGCCTCAGCCCACCTGCACCCAGGCACTCATTAAAACAGCACGCTGCTCCGCACTGCCTCGTGTTGTCTGTTGGCATGCTCTCAGGGATCAAACCAATTCAAGAACCTTATATCTGGTGCCAAAACCTGGGTGGGGCTCAGGTCTGTGTCCCTTGTGGACCTACCCCTCCACCCCAGAGAGCAAGCCACAGCAACCAGACAAAGGAAACTCCTCAGCCTCCAGTTGCCTCTCTGTGCATGTGTAGCAGGATGAGCCACAGACAAAACTTCTCAGACACCAAGTTGTAGAAGGAAGGGCTTTATTCAGCTGGGAGCATCGGCAAGCTACTGCCTTAAAATCCAAGCTCCTCAAGTGCGCAATTTTTGTCCTTTTTAAGGGCTCACAACACTAAAGATTTCACATGAAATGGTCGTGATTGATTTAAGCAAGCAGTGGGTATGTGACAGGTGCTGCATGCACTGCTGGTCAGAGAGAAACAGAACAGGGCAGGGGGTTTTACAGTGTTCTTCTGTACAATGTCTGGAATCTCTGAATAACATCGGTTTCTAAGTTATGAGTTGATTTTTAACTACTGGGTTTAGGTCAGGCAGGCCCAGGCCTGGTTTCAGGCCTGGAGCCAGGCTGCCTGTCTTTGGTTTTACTTCTTTGTTGTTTTTTCTTAAAACAGGTACTGAGCATAAAACAATATAAAATAATCTGAGAGGGTCCTTCTCTTCCTTCATTCCCCCCTTTTGAGACTCTCACTTTTTATTAGTGGGAGTTCTCACTCATTTTTTTACTTATGTCTTTTTGTGGAATAGACTGATAGTGATTCATATAGTACAGTTGTGCTGAAGCATTTTGTTGAACTAAGGTAGCGATGAAGCTTTTTATCATTTGAAGAAGTACAGGTAGCAAACAAGGGAGCAGTAAGCAGGTTTTTATAATTATTGTAACTCCTATTATAAGAGTTTTAAATTTTTCTAGTGCTGGGAACCACTTTCTAAACATGGCTTCAGGGTTGAATCCGTGCTACACTTGCACAGGTACATGTGCCAGTTTTGTCATATTTTTAACTATGTCTTTAATAACTTGCCTGATTATCTATGTGTAGACAGTAATTAGTAAGGTTAAATTTTTCACAAACTCCTCCTTCAGCTGCTAGCAAGTAGTCAAGAGCTAGTCTATTTTGATAGATTGCATTTCTCATCTGAGTCTCTTGCCGGGCAAGAACGGTCAAGGCTTGACCGGTTTTATTAGTAAAAATTTCTAAAACAGCTTGTAACCATATGATTCGGTTGAGCATGTAGATGGGGGTCCAATATCCTCATGAGCCATCTTGTGCCTAAGTGGCGGGTCCATAGTATTGTATGATTTTTTTCAGGGGGCTATTTATCATCTTTTCCTATGGCTATGCTTCATTTTTTTGTTCCCAGGAAGCATAGACTGGGAAGCCTAGAAGTTCATGTTTTTATGGGCAGTAAGAAGAAAGAAGGCTTAATGGTGCGAATTACACAGCTACCTGTCTACTGATCAGGCAGCTTAGCATAAGCTTTGTGTCCACATATATCCAGTATAATCCGGTGGGGGCCGTCCAGTCCCAGTGGAATTCTGGGTGGGCCCAAACAGTCTGCAACTTTGGAAATTTACTGAATGGATTTCTTTCTGTGTAATTGGAACTCCACCATGTGACTGTTTTTGTGGTACTATTATAGAGCTTTTGTCTAAGACAGCTAAGCTGCCTTACAGGATGAGTGAATCCTTTTCCTTCTTTAGCTATGCAATACTGTCTAATAATTGAGACTTTTAGAACCTAGAGATGATCAGGGTGATTCTTTTGGGCTGGGAATTCATCAGGAAATGGGTCTGTAGGAACTAATTCTTGGGCTTCCTATGGCCATTGATCTACTGTTATGGTTCCTCCACAAACATAATATGAGGTGACTTGTAGAGACTGGGCTACGTGTTAGGCTAATTGCAAAAAGAAATTTTTAGTTTTTCCTGGAATCTCAGGTACTGGCACATTTAGTTCATCATAGAAAGTCTGAAACACTGGTTCTGGAGAGCGTTTTTGAACCTCTCCTTTTATTAGGATGCTTACATTAGGATCTAGTCCCTTTTTATCCATGTCTAATGATATATATTTTTCTTTTATTTTACTTTGGGTCTGAGGGGTTTGTGATTATCAATTCTAAAAGGTTGTAGCTCCTATTCATGCAAGAGGGGCTGAGTTTTCCTTTTTGGAGTCAAACACGATCTTTTTTATTTTCCTTTTAAGTAGTCTGAATGACACGAGACCAGTATTGACACATCTCACATAAATATGATTTTTGACAGATATACTTATTTTTTTTACTGTGTAACTTTCTTTTTTAATTTAGAGAATCACATCCTGTTTCATGCTGCTTACTATTAATAGCGGCACAAGTGTCAAATTTTAAGGTTACATTTTGAGGAGCTCTGTTTTTTTCGGTTCTACCTATTACCTTACTTGTGTCACATAGAAAAGGAGCAGTCCTTAATTTTATTTTAAAAACTGTGATCATGGGAGGCTTAAAATTGTTCATAACACACATCAGGTTGGTTATTTCCTGGGCTACATACCTTGGATAGAATAGCATTATACAAACAATTTGTTGTTGTTTTTGTTGCTATTTAATTTTTTTAGAGTCCTCGGGCGTCCGTGATATTAGTGTTAGTCAGTTTTGTTGTGAGTGTTAGAAAGAGGGCATATAGAACCAGGAAGCTGATAAGAAAGACGATTATGAGGGCGTGATCATGGAAGGCAATTAGCTCTTTTATAATAACCATAAAGTAATTAGCTCTTTTATAATAACTATAAAGTAATAGGACTGTAGCAATCTTTTGTTCCACCTCAGTGACTTGATGTATATACTGGAAACAGTTCTTAGTCTGAGGAAGGTCAGTTGAAGTCCTTCCTGTACAAGTCCAAATTCTGAGGAAAATGAGTCCTGCGATGAGTCTCCTCATGCTTCAGCCATGCGTGGACCAGTCAGCTTCTGGGTGTGACTGGAGCAGTGTTTGTTGTCTTCTTCAGAGTCATTTTGCAGGGATTGGTGAAGCTGCTCCCATCCACGTACAGCTCCCAGTCTACTGATGTACAGTTATGTTTAACTGGGCTCTCTGATAATAGGAGTAAGATAGTGAGCTTAGGGTGTTGCAAACTTCAATGGTTATGTGGGGATTTTCACAATGCAAGCTTTGGTATCTAGTTAGTCTATCATTTATTAGCTAATGATGTCCTTTGGTATTTATTAAAATTACCACAGCATGGGGAGACTTTATGTTTAGGTTTTTCCTAAGAGTTAGCTTATTTGCTTCTTGTGTTAACAGGGCTGTTGCTGCCAGGGCCCTTGGACATGGGGGCCAGCCTTTGGAAACCCCGTCTAGTTGTTTTGAGAGACAGGCCATTGGCCTTGGCCAGGAACCTCCAGTCTGGGTTAAAACTCCAACTGCCATTTTTTTCTCTTTCTGACACATAGAGTGTGAAGAGTTTTGTCAGGTCAGGTAGCCTCAGGGCTGGGGCCGACATGAGTTTTTTTTTTTTTTTTAACTCATGAAAAGCTCTTTGCTGTTGGTTGTAATAGATGTAGTTTATCTAATCTACATTTTTATTGACTGTTATCTACTAAAATATTGACTTAAATCTTGTAACTATTTGATTTCAAGCTTTAAATTGATCTGGTATTCCTTGCAGGGCTTCGATTGCATCTAAATAGATGTGAGAGTTGAAAGACTTATAAGGGGCTCCTCTCACTTTACGATGTGTTATTATTATTTTTTCCTTCCTCTGGTTGATGAAATGCCAGGGTGAAAGGGATAGCCCAATGGACTAAGGCACAAATGCCACTCTAGTTATTTGGCAGAGTGCCTAGTAAAGGTCCACCACAATACTACCACACATCTGCTCAGGGATGAACAAGGGCTGATTGATTGATAAGCTCTTGAAAATTCTTAAGCTCACTGCATCCTTTTAGGTCTCCAAGGAATGCTAAGTTTCCTCCCTGCCGTGAGAGACAGGAAGTGAACTTAGTGTTGAGAGACAGAAGCTGGATGGCCCTTGGGGGCTGACTGGCAGGGACTTCAGGATATAGCAGAGAGAGCTTGGCATGACTTATTACTCCAGGCTGTAGAATCCTGGAAAAGAGCTACCATCAGGCCCACACCTGGTGAACTGGAGGACCACCGTAGTGGGAAGGGGACAATTAGGGCCTCTGGCCTGCCATGTGCACAAGCATAACAATTGCTTTTGTTTATTGTGTAGTTGGAATATTTGATCCATTTCAACCAGGCATTTGTAGCTTGATATACTGTCTTAATTGCTAAAGTTTGTTTTAAGTCTTTAACTTTTATGATCCTCTAGTAAAATGAATATTTCCATTAGCACTAATTTTTATTAGTTTTTAGACCAAAGAAAGCTAAACATCATTTTATATTTAATGTTTCTTGTATGATTTTTATACCAGATAAGCTAAATTTTACTTTTATATTAGTGTGTTATTAATATTAAACTTAATTTTAATAAAACCTTGTAGACATATTTATCCAATTTTTCATAGTTGACCATAAGGTAAGATTTTATAGACTCTGTTTAACCTTTTACAATTTTTGTTAAAGAGCAGGTTGATGCTTTAAGGAAAAAACCTGTTGCATTTTTACTTTCATGTCTAGTTCACAGAAAAACTGGATAATACTTTTTTAACTTTAGCTAATAAGTTTACACACAGAATTTTCTTTAAATTAACATTTTAAAACTTGCTTGAACTTTTCAAACAATAATTCTTTTTTGACTTTTTAATGTAGGTAAAAATCCACATTCTTATGCCTCCTTATAATCTTCTCATTAAAGTTATATTTTACTTTTTTATACACCTGCACATAAACTGTTTCTTCAATAGCACTCAGGAGGCCTTATTACTTTTAAATTATGCAACATTTTTTGCATAAAATTTTTTATAACTTTTTTTCACGACTTTCGCCAACAATTTTTCAACATGTCTCAACTTTCTGACTTATTACAAACATTTTTTTCTTCTCTTTAAACAACAAGTTAATTTATTTCAGGACAAGAATTTACCATATAACACTCTTTTTACATAAATTTTACCTCCTCCCCCCCCTTTTTTTTTTGAAGATAACCATTCCTTTTTTTTAAAAAGTGAACTTTCTTTATGTCTTTGGACTAGACTGTCTAAGGCCACAAGATTAGAAGTTACCATAATATGTGTTACACTGTCAACTTTTAGCAAACTTCGCTTTTGTTGAAAACCTTGTAAGTTTGAAATTTCAATTATCCTTTGCTATTAATAAGACCTTGTTTAGTCTAAATTTACTTAGAATTGGTATAGATGGCCTTTTTTTTTTTTTTCTCTGCTGGTCTTTCCTTGCCTCTGCCAGCTGCTTATGCTGCTGTTCTCTTAACTATTGTGAGGGGGGGTGGGGGGAAGGGGTCTAAAACCAGCTGTAACTGTCTATGTACAGAACCTGGTCTGGGTGCCTTGGCTTACAGGTTACCTTGTGCCATACCTTAGAAACTAAAAAGACCTATCTAGGCTTCCTTCTGATGGCTAACCTACCTCTAATGCTGGCCAATCTATTTCACACAAAGTTCTAAGTTTTCCTGGAGTCATAGTGACTCCATAGTCTCTATTAAATCCTTTCTTGAAATTCATTATCATAGTTCCCAGTGCAGTGGGCTTACTTTGTGCCTGATCTATGTTTTTTTGAGACAAAACACCATGCTCACAGCACACACACACCACAAAACAAAGAACGGGTAAAAGGGCACACACAAACATTTCAGTTTACACCAAACCAAAATCAAAACCAAAATCAGAGTATCCAGAAATCCAAGCCAGGTCAAAAACCAAAACCAAAGTATCCAGCAATTCAAGTCAAGTCAAAACCAGATCAAAAGTGCCAATACAGGCACACCGTGGGTGATCAGGCTATGCTACACTTCCATTCAGGTGGAGTGGGGCAAGTTCAAAAGACTAGTCCTACCAAGTCTAGCCAAGTCAAAACCAGAACAAAGGTGCCAACACAGGCACACCGTGGGTGACCAGGCCATGCTTCTACTCAGGTGGAGTGGGACAAGTTCAAAAGACTAGTCTTACCAAGTTCCAGATGTCCAGACTCCAAGTGCCAGTTCCTTCCCGGTGTTCAGCCACTGTGTTAATCCTCCACGGGGGCCTGCTACGTGTTGATCTGGTGAGGTGTTCCACTGGGGCAATTTCCTACCCAGGAGCGCTCTTTGGATCTCATCACTCAGGCTGCCCGGAGTACCCCACAGGGATGCTCCACAGGGCAGGCTTAAGCCACCTAAGGGGCTGCCTCAGCCTTCCGTCAGTCACCTTGCTTCTGGGTCAGGGAGCCAAGAAATGTAGCAGGACGAGCCACAGACAAAACCTCTCAGACATCGAGTTGTAGAAGGAAGGGCTTTATTCAGCTGGGAACATTGGCAAGATACTGCCTTAAAATCTGAGCTCCCCGAGTGCACAATTTCTGTCCTTTTTAAGGGCTCACTACACTAAAGATTTCACATGAAAGGGTCGTGATTGATTTGAGCAAGCAGTGGGTATGTGACAGGGGCTGCATGCACTGGTGGTCAGAGAGAAACAGAACAGGGCAGGGAGTTTCACAATGTTCTTCTATACATGTCTGGAATCTATGAATAACATTGGTTTCTAAGTTATGAGTTGAGTTTTAACTACTAAGTTTAGGCCAGGCAGGCCCAGGCATAGTTTCAGTCCTGGCGTTTGGGCTGCCTGTCTTTGGTTTTACTTCCTTGTTGTTTTTTCTTAAACATGTACTGAGTGAAAAACAATATAAAATAATATGAGAAGGTCTTTCTCTTCCTTCACATGCACATTGGTCACTGATCTCGCCTACTGTTAGGCTTCCCTGGGAGCCCAGTTAACAGGGGAAAATCTGCATGACCTCTCTTGGTTTCTCCTGTCCCAAAATCCAACACTGATCCAAGAAGGCTCCAGTATGTGCCAGGCACTCCCTGATCATCTGGTCTTAGGGGGACGCCTCTAAGCCATTTGATTCCGTTCCAGGAACCAAAAAGGCAGAGGTGATAATAGCTCCTTTTATTGTCTTCCTCCAGCTGTCCAGGACAGTCTTCTTTTTCCCTGTTCTCCAGAGCCTACCCTTTGATATGGAAAACTCCCCATCCTCCATTCCAAAAAACAGCCCTCCAGACTGCCTCATAAAAAATCTGCAAACCTTAGGCCTCAGGCAAGATACCCACCCTAAGCGCCTTGTCTTTTTTATACAATAAAACCTGGCCGCAGTATGAATTAGATAACGGGTCCAAATGGCCAGCAAATGAAACACTTGACTTTACAATTTTAACTGGTTAAAGCAATTATTGCCGATGACTGGAAAAATGGGGAGAAATTCCTTGTTCCAGGCCTTTTTGCACTCAGATCACAACCTGACTTCTGCAATTCTTGCTTACCTGTTCAAATCCTTCATTCTCACCGCCCTCATAACCTTTCTCCTCCTGACCCTACCTCTTTTTCCTTGTTGGATCCAGCAGACTGCTGTCCACCCCTCCCAGCCCCTACCCCCACGTCTCAACCATCTTCTATAACTCCCCAAGCTTTCTCATTGTCTTCGCAGTCACCATCTTCCCAGCCACCATCTTCCCAGCCGGCATCACCTCCAAAAGTACCCACTTCTTTTTCTACACCGTCCTCTCCTCAGGAAAACTCTAGCATTGCCTGTACTCAGTCTCCTTCCTCACTGCCCTCTCCTGAAGCCTGTAAACCCATCAAGCCACCTTACACCCCTATGTATCCTCCACTGCCTGTCAACTCAACCCGCCTTCCCCCTTCAAACCCTCAGCAGGAACCCCTTCTGGCTTCTTTCTTCTCTCCTGTCCATACCAGCTTGGGCACCATCTTTGGCCCACGCTGCACCCATACTTCAGTGCGGGTGCTAGAATGCCCCCTTCAGGAAGTAGCAGGAACTGAAGGTATTGTTAGAGTTCATGTTCCCTTCTCCTTCACTGATCTCTCAAACTAACAAGACTCAGTTCATTTCCAGAAGACCCTACCTCTTATATTAGGGAGTTTCAGTACCTTACCCAGTCTTATGCACTAACCTGGTATGACCTCTACTTATCCTGTCTTCCACCCTCACCTTCTACTTATCCTCTCTTCCACCCTCACCCCAGAAGACAGGGACCATATTTGGACCCTGGTTCAGGAGCATGCTAATACAATTCATCATCAAGCTCCTGCCCAGCCTACTGGCACGGAGGCAGTCCCCAACCAGGAGCCCCACCAGGATTATCAAGACAGGGCCTCTGGACACTGCCATCAAGACCACATGATTGTGTATCTCCTTGCAGGACTCAAAAAGGGTGCCCATAAAGTGGTAAACTATAAAAACCTTTCAGAAATCACCCAAGGTCCTGACAGAAACCCAGCCTTTTTTCTCTCTTGTTTAACTGAAGCCATGAGAAAATATACCAACCTAGACCCAGCCAACCCAGAAGGAATCACTATTTTAAACCTTTGGTTCCTCATCCAATCTACCCCTGATATTTGGTGCAAGATTCAGAAGCTTGACAATGGCCCTGAAACCCCACAATGACACCTTCTTAATTTAGTCTTCAAAGTCTTTAACAGTTATAACGAGGAAAGTAAAAGAAAAAAAAAAAAGACAGAGTTTCAAATGCTTGCCTCCACCATCACGGGCCCTGCAGGCCCACAGGCTGCAGCTCCACACAGATGCCTCCTAGCAATCCACCTCCCCCTGGCACCTGTTTCAAGTGTGGCAATGAAGGCCACTGGTCCAGGCAATGCCCAAACCCAGGTAAGCCCACCAGGCTGTGCCCTCTCTGCGGAGGACCCCACTGGAAGTCAGACTGTGAGGTGCCCCAGCAAGGACCGCCCCCATCCCTGCCCCAGCCGGCCAAAACCTCCTACTAGGATCTCATCAGCCTTGCCGCTGAAGACTGACAGTGCCCTGGAACAGATGCCCCAGCAACTACCATTGCTTCATCTGAGCCAAGGATAACCTTGATGTTGGCAGATAGGCCAGTATTTTTTTTTTAATTAATATTGGGGCAACCTACTCTGCTTTACCTAAATTTTCAGGACCCACCCAGTCCTCCCAAGTCTCTGTTGTGGGAATCAATGGACAAGTCTCCAAACCCCAAGACCCCCCTCCACTTTTCTGCTCCCTGCACACCTTTTCCTTCAGTCACTCTTTCTTAGTCCTGCCTTCATGCCCAGCTCTGCTCCTAGGCAGAGATATTCTTTCAAAACTCCACACTACTCTCCACTTCCACATTCCCCATAGTACCCAACACATCAACCCAGACCCCTCCAAGGCTTCTAACAGGCTTCTAACTTTCTTCTACTCCTCCGACCTCCCACCCTGAAGCATGCAACTTTTCCTTATCCCGCACCTGTAGTTAACCCCACTGTTTGGGATACTTCCACACCCTCGGTCACAGAGCACCACACCCCCATCCACATCACCCTTAAAGAGCCCACCCCGTTCCTATCACAGAAGCAGTATCTCATCCCCCAAGCAGCTCTCATAGGCCTAAAGCCTATCATTTCTCTCCTCCTCACCAGTCACCTACTCTGCCCAACAAACTCTCCTTTTAACACATCAGTTCTACCTGTTAAAAAGCCAGATGGAACTTATCACTTAGTCCAGGACCTCAGGCTCATTAACCAAGCTGTACTCCCAGTGTGTCCAGTAGTTTCTAACCCATATACTTTACTTTCCTCACTTCCCTCGAATACCACCCATTTTTCTGTTCTAAACCTAAATGATGCTTTTTCACAATTCCTTTACACCCTGATTCCCAAAATCTCTTTGCCTTTACCTGGGAGAACCCCGACACCCACCTTTCAGGTCAGCTCACCTCGTGTGTACTACCTCAAGGTTTTAGAGACAGCCCCCACCTTTTTGGACAGGCCCTTGCTAGTAACTTCTGTACTTTATCCCTAAAATCATCCTCTCTTCTTTAATATGTTAATAATCTGCTCCTGTGTAGCCCCTCTCAAAGAGACTGCAACACCCATACATACTATCTCTCTTTTAAACCTCTTGGCAGAACAGGGGTATCAGGTCTCCCCTAAGAAAGCCCAAATATGCACCCCCCAGTCACCTATCTAGGCCTAGCTCTCACTCCTGAACGCAAGGGCTCACAACAGACCACATATTCCCTCCTTCAGTCCCTCCCGCCTCCACAAACTAAGCAAGAAATTCTCTCTTTTCCAGGATTAGCGGGATATTTTAGGCTCTGGGTTTCCTCCTTCGCTTTACTTGCCAAAAAATTATACGAAGCTGTTAAAGTCCCTCTCTATGAGCCTTTAAAACCTGCACAGCCTATTACCCAACCTTTCCATCTACTCCAAAAGTCTCTCATCTCAGCCCCCATCCTCACTCTCCCAGACTTCACCAAACCTTTCTCCCTTTATACTGATGAATGGCGTGGAGTTGCACTAGGTGTTCTAACCCAGTCTAAGGGGCCCACCCGGCCAGGTTGTTGCCTACCTCCCTAAAGAGCTTGAGACCACAGTTCTTGGATGGCCTGCCTGCCCCTGAGCATTGGTGGCAGCTGCTCTCCTCACTCTTAAAAGCCTAATACTATCTCTTCATGCCAACCTAACAGTTTATTCAACCCATAACATCAAAGACATGTTAGCTCACCGCAGTGTACTAAGTCTTTTCTCTGCCCCACGGCTCCTCCAGCTGTATGCTCTATTCATAGAAACTCCCCACATCACCATGCTAACCACCTCCCATCTAAACCTGTCCATGCTCTTACCTGAAGCTACAACTGCCCAAGACTCTACACTCTTCTGTGTGAATACTGTTCAAACCTTTCTTATACCTTTTCCATACCTAACAGACCAATCCCTTCCAGATGCCTCCTTTATTTGGTTTGTACATGGCAGCTCCTTCCTACATCAAGGACACTGACATGGGGGCTATGCTATAGTGTCACCCCCCAACACTATTGAAGCCAATCCGCTCCTCTTAGGCACCACCTCCCAAAAAGCTGAATTCAATGCCCTCACTCCAGCTCTCACTCTAGCATCCGGAAAACAGATCAATTTATTCAAATTCTCATTATGCGCTCCACGTAGTGCACTCACACTCATCCATCTGGAAAGAACGGGGTTTCCTAACTGCAAACAATACTCCTGTCATAAGACAAGTCTTCTAGTCCTTGTCTGTACTTTCTCTGGGTAGGTAGAAGAATTCCCAACAACTTCAGAAGGTGCAACTGTCATCGCACAAACTCATCATGCATACCTGCAATTCCCCGTTTTGGACTCCCAACATCCATCCAGTCTGATAACAGTCCTGCCTTCATCAGCCAAATTACCCGAGGCATCTCTACATCCTTAAGAATAAAGTAAGCTCTCCACACACCCTACAGGCCTCAATCTTCAGGCGAAGTTAGAAAAATTAACTCTGTCTTTAAAGCCCAACTCACCAAGCTGGCTGTAGAAACCCAACAGTCGTGGACAAAAAAAATCTCCCTTTCGCCCTCATAAGACTTTGCACAACACCAAAAGCACACTCTTTTTATAGTCCCTTTGAAATCATGTATGACCAAAATTTTGTCTTGGGGCCTCCACCCTTACCAGACTCTGAGCCACTCAGAAATTACCACCCCTCCTTAATCCAGACATGGTCTTTCATTTGTGAAGCAGCAAATGAGCCATGCCTCTCCCTGTCGACACCTCCTGGTCCTCTCAACATAACTGACTTGCAGGCACAGACATGTTTCCAGACAATACAGATGGTGCTCCTGCTACAGCGACATGGTGGATACCAACCTGTCTCTCAAGAATACCCCAAAAATTAAGTTTTTTTTTTCCAAGGTGCCCACTCCAATCCCTGTGTCATGCCTGAAGTAGTTACTGAGAAAGTCACCCCTTTTCCCTTTATTCTATAACCAAATAAACAGGAAGATTCTCCCTGGGGCCTGAAAGCTTGAAGGGATGAGTAACTCCTCCTCTCAGGCCCAGTTCCAAGATGCAAAGCCATTTGTGTCAACAGCTTGCATCAGAAAGATAGCAGAAGCAGGAAGAGAGCCAACTGGAAGACACCTACCCTGGCTGGAAGACACATACCCCTGAAGATCAAGAAAGAGACCGTCTGGGTACTACATAGCAGTCACATCAGACTGGGACACTTACTGTTTACAGAGGACTACAAAACCCCTGTCCCATCCTCACTTGGGGCTGACGCCCCTTTAGGCCCTAGCCCACCTGCACCCAGGTGCTCATTAAAACAGCATGTTGCTCCACACCACCTCGTGGTTTCTGTTGGCATGCTCTCAGGGTTTGAACCGATACAAGAACATTACAGGGGTAAAACTCCACAGTAAGAGGGACTTCTCTAGCTGAACTTTGTAACAATTTGAACAGGCAAGAAGCCTCATGGCCAGAAATTGGGGGAGGGCATGAATCTAGCTTGCAGACTTCACAGGCAGGGGAAGAACTAAAGCCCTTTTCTTTGCAGCTGGGAGGTGGAAAATCTCAGGCAAATATTCAAGTCCAACTCTCCCTCCTCCTTGAAAAAGACTCGGGACTATTGCAGGGGCCACGGTGGAAGTGGGAGTGGCCCTTCAGTGTGCATGGGAGGTGGGTTAGAACTGAGACTGCTGGCTTTCCCACACTTCCCTGACGACCTCATGACTCAGCAGAGGCAGCCAAAATCCACCTAGGTACACAACTCCAGTGACCTGAGAATCTCACCTCCATCCCCAGCAGTAGCCAAAGCAAGGCCCTCCCAAGGAAGGTCTGAGCTCAAACACGCCTGGACCTGGCCCACCTGGTGGTCCTTCCCTACCCCCCTGGTAGCAGAAGACAGAGGACCTACAATCTTGGGAGTTGTAGGGCCGTGACCACCACCAGTCCCTCTCCACAATACTACAGCTGATGCTTTCTGGAAAGTACCACCTCCTGGCAGAAGGCCAATCAGCAGAAAATAGAGCATTAAGCCACCAAAGCTAAGGACCCCCACAGAGTCCTTTGCACCCTCCACCTGAACAGGCACTGGTATCCACAGCTGAGAGATCCATAGATATTTCATATCACAGGACTCTGCAGACAACCCCCAGTACCAGCCTGGAGCTGGATAGACTTGCTGGGTGGCTAGACCCAGAAGAGAGACAACAATCACTGTAATTTGGCTCACAGGAAGCCACATCCACAAAAAAAGGGGAGAGTACCACAACAAGGGAACACCCCATAGGACAAAAAAATCTGAACAACAGTCTTCAGCCCTAGACCTTCCCTCTGACAGAGCCTACACAAATGAGAAGGAACCAGAAAACCAACCTGGGAATATGATAAAACAAAGCTCGTTAATACCCCCCCCAAAAATCACACTAGTTCACCAGTAACAGACCTAAACCAAGAAGTCCCTGATTTACCTGAAAAAGAATTCAGGAGGTTAGTTATGAAGCTAATCAGGGAGGGAACAGAGAAAGGCAAAGCCCAATGCAAGGAAATCCAAAACATAATACAAGAAGTGAGGAGAGAAATATTCAATGAAATAGATAGCTGAAAGACAAAACAATAAAAAATTCAGGAAACTTTGGACACACTTTTAGAAATGCAAAATGCTCAGGAAAGTCTCAGCAATATAATAGAACAGATAGATGAAAGAAATTCAGAGTTCAAAGACAAGGTCTTCAATTAACTTGTTCCAATAAAGAAAAAGAAAAAAGAAAAAGAAAATATGAACAAAGTCTCCAAGAAGTCTAAGATTACGTTAAATAACCAAATCTAACAGTAATCGGTATTCCTGAGGAAGAAGACAATTCGAAAAGTTTGGAAACATATTTGGGAGAATAATTGAGGAAAACTTCCCCAGTCTTGCTAGAGACCTATACAAGAAGCACAAAGAACACCTGGGAAATTCATCACAAAAAGATCTTCACCTAGGCACATTTTCATCAGGTTATTCAAAGTTAAGATGAAGGAAAGAAGCTGGGCATATTGGCTCACGCCTGTAATCCCAGACCTGATCAGGTGGTCGGAGGTGGGTGGACAACCTGAAGTCAGGAGTTCGAGACCAGCCTGACCAACATGGAGAAACCCTGTCTCTACTAAAAATACAAAACTTTGCTGGGTGCGGTGGCACATGCCTCTAATCCCAGCTACTCGGGAGGCTGAGGCAGGAGAATCACTTGAACCCAAGAGGTAGAGGTTGTGGTGAGATCATGCCATTGCACTCTAACCTGGGCAACAAGAGTGAAACTCCATCTCAAAATAAAAAAAAAAAAAAGATGAAGGAAAGAATCTTAAGAGTTGTGAGAGAGAAGCACCAGGTAACCTACAAAGGACAACCTATTTGATTAACAGCAGATTTCTCAGCAGAAACCCTATAAGCTAGAAAGGATTAGGGCCCTATCTTCAGCCTCTTCAAACAAACAATTATCAGCCAAGAATTTTGTATCCAGTGAAACTAAGCATCATATATGAAGGGAAGATAGCCGTTTTCAGACAAACAAATGCTGACAGAATTCGCCATTACCAAGCTACCACTACAAGAACTGTTAAAGGAACTCTAAATCTTGAAACAAATTCTGGAAACACATCAAAACAGAATATCTTTAAAACATAAATCACACAGGACCCAAAAGATCATTCAAGGCTGCTATGAACACCTTTATGCACATAAACTAGAAACTTAGAAGAGATGGATAAATTTCTGGAAAAATACAAGCCTCCTAACTTGAATCAGGAAGAATTAAATACACTGAACATACCAATAAGAAGCAGCAAGGTTGAAATGGTAATTTAAAAATTACCAACAACAAAAAGTCCAGGACCAGACAGATTCACAGCAGAATTCTACCAGACATTCAAAGAAGAATTGGCACCAATCCTTTTGACATTATTCCACAAGACAGAGAAAAGAGGAACCCTCCCTAATTCATTCTATGAAGCCAGCATCTCCCTAAAACCAAAACCAAAAAAGGACACAACCAAAAAAGGAAACTACAGACCTATATCCTTAATGAACATAGATGCTAAAATCCTTAACATGATACTAGCTAACCGAATCCAACAACATATCAAAAAGATAATCCACCGTGATAACGTGAGTTTTACACCAGGGATGCAGGGATGGTTTAACATACACAAGTCAATATATGTGATACATCACATAAACAGAATTAAAAACAAACATCACATGATCATCTCAATAGATGCAGAAAAAGTGTTTGACAAAATCCAGCATCATTTTATGATTAAAACTCTCAGCAAAACTGACATACAGGGGAATACCTTAATATAATAAAAGCCATCTATGACAAACCCACAGCCAACGTAATACTGAATGGGAAAAAGTTGAAAGCGTTCCCTCTGAGAAAGGGAAGAAGACAAGGATGCCCACTCTCACCACTCCTCTTCAACATAGTACTAGAAATCCTAGCCAGAGCAATCAGAAAAGAGAAAGAAATAAAGGACATCCAAATCAGTAAAGAAGAAGTCAAACTGTCCCTGTTTGCTAACAATATCATTGTTTACCTTGAAAATCCTAAGGACTCCTCCAGAAAGCACCTAGAACTGGTAAAGGAATTCCACAAAGTGTCCAGATGCAAGATTAATGTACACAAATGAGTAGATCTTCTATACACCAAAGGCAACCAAGCAGAGAATCAAATCAAGAACTCAACCCCTTTTACAATAGCTGCAAAAAAGTAAAGTAGAGTAAAATACTTAGGAATATACCTAACAAAGGAGTCAAAAGACCTGTCTACAAGGAAAACTACAAATCACTGCTGAAAGAAATCATAGATGACACAAACAGATGGAAAAACATCCCATGCTCATGGATGGGTAGAATCAATATTGTGAAAATGATCATACTGCCAAAAGCAATCTACAAATTCAATGCAATCTCCATCAAAATACCACGATCATTCTTCACAGAGTTAGAATAAACAATTCTAAAATTCATATGGAACCAAAAAAGGGCCCACACAGCCAAAGCAAGACTAAGCAAAAAGAACAAATCTGGAGCCATCACACTACTTGATTTCAAACTGTACTCTAGGGCCATAGTCACCAAAACAGAGTGGTACTGGTATAAAAACAGGCACATAGATGAATGGAACAGAATAGAGAACCCCAAAACAACACAAATACTTACAGCCAACTGATCTTTGATGAAGTAAACGGAAACATAAAGTGGGGAAAGGACACCCTTTTCAACAAATGGTACTGGGATAATTGGCTAGCCACATGTAGGAGAATGAAACTGGATCCTTATCTCTCACCTTATACAACAATCACCTCAAAATGGATTAAAGACTTAAACCTAAGACCTGAAACTGTAACTCTAGAAGGTAACATTGGGAAAACCCTTCTAGACGTTGGCTTAGGCAAGGATTTCATGACCAAAAACCCAAAAGAAAAGCAGTAAAACCAAAGCTAAATAGCTGGGATCTAATTAAACTAACTTTTGCACAGCAAAAGGAGCAGGCAGCAGAGTAAACAGACAACCCACAGAGTGGGAGAAAATCTTCTCAATCTATACATCTGACAAAGTACTAATATCCAGGATCTACAACGAATTCAAACAAATCAGTAAGAAAAAAAAAACCCCAATAAAAAGTGGGCTAAGGACATGAATAGACAATTCTCAAAATAAGTATACAAATGACCAAGAAACATATGAAAAAAGTGCTCGACATCGCTAATGATCAGGCACATGCAAATCAAAACCACAATGCAATACTACCTTACTCCTTCAAGAATGGCCATAGTAAAAAAATCAAAATACAGTAGATGTTGGCATGGATGCAGTGATCAGGGAACACTTCTACACTGCTGGTGAGAGTGTAAACTAGTACAGCCACTATGGAAAACAGTGTGACGATTCCTTAAAGAACTAAAAGAACTACCATTTGATCTGGCAATCCCACTTCTGGGTATTTACCCAGAGGAAAAGAAGTCATTATTCAAAAAAGATACTTGCACATGCATGTTTATAGTAGCACAATTCACAACTACAAAATTATGGAACCAACCCAAATGTCCATCAGTCAATGAGTGGATAAAGAAACTGGTATATCCATATGATGGAATATTACTCAGCCATAAAAATTAATGAATTAGTAGCATTTGCAATGATCTGAATGAGATTGGAGATTATTATTTTAAGTGAAGTAACTCAGGAGTGGAAAACCAAACATCATCTGTTCTCAATGATAATGTGGGAGCTAAGCTATGAGGACACAAAGGCATAAGAATGTTACAATGGATTTTAGGGACTTGAGCAGAAGAGTGTGAGGAAGCAAGGGATAAACGACAACATATGTGGTACAGTATGTACTGCTTGGGTGATGGGTGCACCAGGATTTCACAAATCACCACTAAAGAACTTATGTAACCAAATACCGCCTGCACGCCAAAAACCTATGGAAAAATAAAAAAAATTTAAAAAATGAAATCATACAATGTATGGTCTTTAGTGAGTGGCTTCTTGTGCTTAGCATAATGTATTAAAGGTTCACCCATGGAAGAGTGTATATAAGGACTTCATTTCTTTCTATTGTCAAATAGTACTCCAAAGTGCATATATACTCATTTTATTTGTTCATTTATCAGTTGGTAGACATAGATTTTTTCCATTTTTGATGATTATGAATAATATTGATTAACATTTATGTACAAGTTTTCTGTGGACATATTTTTATTTCTCTTGGGTGTATATCTAGAAGTGGAATTACTGGATTACATGGTAAATGTATATGTAACCTTTTGAGGAATTGCTAACTGTTTTTCACAGTGGCAGAATTATTTTCCATTCTCACCACCAATGCATGATGGCTTTAATGTCTCCATAACCTTGTCAATGGTTGTTATCCTATGTTTTTTGATTACAGCCAGTGTGAGTGAAGTGATATCTCATTATGATTTATATTTCCTTCATATCTAACAATATTGAGCATTCTTATGTGCTAATTTCCCATTATATATTTTCTTAGAAAAATTTCTATTTTGATACTTTGCCCATTTTGATTATTTGTCCTCCTTTTATGGACTTATGCATTTAATAAATTTTTGACATAAGTCCCTTGTCACATATATGATATCCAAGTATATTATCTTATTTTTTTGGTTGTCTTTTTACTTTCTTAATGATGTCCATTGAAACACAAAAATATTAATTTTGATGAAATCCTATGAATCAACTTGAATTGGGTCACTTTTATTTTTAGTGTCATATCTACTAAACTATCCCCAAATGCAAAATCATGGACATTAGCAACCATGTTTCATTATTAGAGTTTTACAGTTCTATTGCTTACATTTAGCTTTTAACTTATTTTGAGTTAATTTTTGTAAGTGGTTTGAGGTAGGGGGCCAACCTCTATTATTTCGTATATGGATAATCAGTTTTCTCAATTACATTTGTTGAATAATCTATTCTTTGACTCATTAAATTGGGCACTTTGGTCAAAAACCATAAATGCGTGAGTATATTCCTAGATTCCAAAATCTATTACACTGATTTGTATGCCTACCTTATGTCTGTATCACACTCTCTTGATTATTGTATATTGGTATTTGTCTTTAAAAGCAGAAAGTGTAAGCCTTCCAACTTTGTTTTTTATTTTAAATTGTTTCAGCTATTTTTTTTTCTTCTAGCTTTTTTTTTTTTTTTTTTTTTTTTTTAAGGCAGGGGTCTCACTACATTTCCCAGGCTGAACTAGAAGTCCTGGGCTCCAGCAATCAATGAATTTCAGCCACCTGAGTAGCTGGGGCTACAGGTGCATGCCACTACATCTAAATTGTTTCAGTTATTACTGTCTCCTACATATCTACATACATTTTAGAATCAGCTAGTCAATTTATGCAAGAAGTTATCTGGGATTTTAATAGGGATTGAATTGAATCTGCATAACAATTTGGGGAGCAGAGTATGGGCATTGTCACAATATTAGGTGTTTCAATACATGAGTATAAGATGCCTTTTCATTTATTTAGATATCATTTAATTTATTTCCATAATGTTTTGTAGATTTCACAGGGCAAGTTTTACTCTCCTTTTGTTAAATTTATTGATGGCCAGGCGTGGTGACTCACACCTGTAATCCCAGCACTTTGGGAGGCCTAGGTGGGCAGATCACAAGGTCAGGGGTTCGAGATCAGCCCGACCTACATGGTGAAACCCCGTCTCTACTAAAAATACAAAAATTAGCCAGGTGTGGTGGTGCATGCCTGTAACCCCAGCTACTCAGGAGGCCAAGGCAGGAGAATTGCTTGAACCCAGGAGGTGAAGGTTGCAGTGAGCCGAGATCATGCCACTGCACTCCAGCCTGGGCTACAGAGTGAGACTCCATCTCAAAAAAAAAAAAAAAAAAAAGAGAAAAAAATTATTCACGAACTGTATTTTTGTGCTATTTTAATTGTGATTGTTTTAATCGTTATTTTAGCCTAAATTTTTATTGCAATTAGGGAGAAATAACTTTTTTTTTATTGATCCTATATCCTAAAACCTTGCTTTATTGGTTTACTGCTCTAATATTTTTCTAGCGGATTTGTAAATGTTTACTATTATAACATTATGACAAAAGCCAATAAAGATAGCTTAACTTGTTTATTTCTAGTATGGAGTCTTTTATTCTTTCATTTTTTAAACCAATTTATCTTATCTAGAACCTCTAATACAGTGTTGAATGGAAGTGAGAAAAGCCAATTTAGTCTTTCTCCATTAAGTGCGGTGTCAGTGTGTGTTTTATTTATAGATACTATTTGTCAGTTTAAGGATGTTTCTGAAAGGTATTGCATTAATCACATGATTTTTTCTGCCTTTATTAAAATGATTATGCAGTTATTGTCCTTATTCTAATGATATTACATATTCACCAGTTTTTTGAGATGTTAAAGTTAGTTTGCATTTCTGGCATAAAATTCCCTTCTGGTTAAAGTTAGTTTGCATTTCTGGCATAAAATTCCCTTCTGTATGTCCAAAGCTTTTTGCACATGCTAGGGTTCTGTTTGCTAGTGTGAAAGAAAAATAAAGAATCAAGATCCTAAAGTCACTATGCCAAAGGGAAAAAAGTTTAGCTTGGGAACTGAGTCACACAAACTGTCAGAGGCATTCTAACCAGAGTGATTCCACCTTGAATAAGTCAGACAAGGTCAAACCTGCCAGGTTACATTCCCAGGGGATTGAGCACTCTTGGTTACAAGATACTCATGGTTGAGGGAATGAGTTAATGATGATAATTAACTAAATAAAGACCCAGAACTTATGAAAATGTCCCAATAGTTTGAAAACAAAAACTTCTTAATTTAAGAATTAGTTTTCCTTTAAAAAACTAGCCCACTTGTAAAATCTTGCTGAAATCAATAATACATAGGAAAATAACAATATTAATAGCCTGTCACAAGCTGATCACAAACCTTTGTAATAAAGTACAGTATTCTTAACAACCTATATAAGCAAGCACTAAGTTTAAGGTAGGGGTATTTCTCTTCTTGCTTTCTGAGGATGCCCTATTCTGTAATAGAGTAGTCTCTAACAAACTGTTAATTTTACTGTACTCTGCGACTCACCTTGCATTCTTTCCCACATGAGATCCACAAACCCACCCTTAACGTCTGGGACAAGACCACTTTTCCAGTAATATTTTCCTCTGGTGACTCTGCTGGGACCTAAATGAGGTGAGATTCCAACCCAAAGGAAATAGACTATGCAACACCAATTGGCTGATTTGGGTAAGTGGTGGAACATATTTTTATACTCGAACAGAGACACTGTTCAAAATCGGTTTAGAGGCCCAACTTAGGACAGTTAGAGGCCCTTCTGACAGATAAGAGGTTTAGAGGCCTTTCCGAAAGCTAAGGGGGTTAGAAGCCCTTCACAACAAGAAATGGGTTCAATGCTACAAAATGTTAATTACTACTCCCTTTCAATTAGCCCTCCCTGTGCTCTCTGTCATTCACTAAAGACTGTCTGCTGTCTGCCAATTTTCTGACTGCTGACTATACTTACTGTTTCTTTGCAGAGACCTTGCTTGATGGTCCTGAGATTTTTAACTTTCACGTTCCTCATTTGTCTTTGGATTAGTGGCCCTTTACTTGTGTGCTTCGGCATGTTGCTAAAAGACATTAGAGATGAATGGCTCTGCAAGATTTACTTTCCCTATATCTAGCCCATTCGAATGAATTATTTATTGTCTCATCTCTCAAAAGATTAATTGAAATTTGGTACTTACAAGTTTTGGTCCAGTGTGCACGATTTAGCCCAGTAGCAATTATGCCAATCTCCCATGGGTGAACAGCTCCCAGAAGGAGAACTGGAGATTTCTTTTTGGAAATTCTTTTTCATCCCCTCACTAATCAACTGACCTTTATTTCTTGATTATGAACAGCATGATCATGTAAGTTTTACCCTACTTACCATTACTATCCTTAACCTGGACATTCCTCTCTGGATGCATATCATTTCCCTTACTTAGTGTGACATTTCTTTGGTCAGGCCCTCTATTGTAGATTCTCTAGTTCAGGTGACTCAGCTCATTTATATTATGCGACTAACAAGAATGCCAGAATTAAGTCAACTACTGAATCATTTTCCCTTGCTTGTTTAGCTCTGAAAGCTCCTTTATCCTTTTTAGTGAAGCTTGCCCTGTGGCAGCACTACCTTGTTCACAAGGATCTCTACCTTCACCTGCTCTGCTCCTGTGTAATACAGCTTTGATCCTGAAGAGTTCTGAGTTCTCCACTAGGATGTCTAGTAGAGCATTGGAACAAATTTCAATTAGGTGAGCTTAAGAAAAATAAATTGACATTTTTATGTAATACTGTTTGGCCTCATTATGATTTGGAATATCAAGATAAATGGCCACCTAATGGAACCACAGCCTTTAATATTATACATCAACTTGATTTGTTTTGCAAGTGGGAGAGAAAATGAGGTAAAATACCATATGTTCAAGCATTTTTATTGCTTAGTCAGGATGAAACTTTACAGCAAGCGTGTGCATGTTTAATGAAAGGAAGGAAAGAAAAGGAATTAGATATACTAGATGACCCTTTAATGCAAGTCCCCTGAGTCCAATGGGTGCCTTTGGGTGGAACAGTACCTCCCTGTGTCAGCTCTAATGCTTCAGGTGCATCTCCCTCTGTCTCTTCTAGCCCTTCTAGTAGTCCTGTTTAGACACTTTCATTCCCTTCTCCTTACCCGTCTAGTCTAATTTTATACCTACCTCATTCTGAGAGGCCCAGTCCTATTCTGTAACTGTCACTCCCTGAGGAGGCCAGCCTTGCTAGTACTACCCAGAGTGGAGCCTCTTCTCAGTCTCCAAAGGAAAATCTTTGTTGGCTTAGAGAAGTGGCAAATGGGGAAGAGCGCACTATAAGGTCCCTTTCCCCATGTTTTTTTTTTGGTCTTATGTAAAGGTTATTTCTCTGAAGACCCAGGAAAATGTATAGATAAATTTGAGAAGCTAATGCTGACTTATAATTTGACCTGGTAGGATTTTCATATTTTGTTATCCACATGTTGTACAGTGGAAGAAAAACAATGAATTTTGGGATTAGCTAGAATACATTCAGACAAAGTACTAGCCTGCAATCCTAATGATATCTATAGAACAAGGGGTATTTCAGTGCCTGATTAAGATCTAGGATTGAACTATCAAAGAAATAGGAGGGCTTACAGAAGAGAGATCATATGATTACTTGGTTATTAAAAGAGAGGAGAGATGTGTGAAAAAGTCTCTTAATTATTATAAGGTGAAAGAAATTACTCAAGGTAAAGATGAGAATCCAGCATTATTTCAGGGAAATTTGGTTGAGGCAATTAGAAAATATACTAAAATTGATCCCATTTCAATGGAAGGACAAACCTTACTGGGGCTGTATTTTATAACCCAGTCTGCCACTGATGTCTGTCAGAAACTACAAAAAGCAGCCTGGGTCTGCAGACATCTATGAATCAACTTTTCAGTATGGCATTTATGGTTCTTAATAACAGATACATGGCAGAGGAAGTGAAAAACTTAAGAGAGCCTCCTAAAAGGCACAGTTTTTAGCTGCAGCATTAAGCTTACCAACCACGTGAGATCATCCTTACACTTCTTAGCCATGGCAAAGGAAGCTGGAAGGCAGAAAGCCACAAGCTGGGGTTCTAAGCACTGCACCTTGGGTGTAAATCAATGTGCTCACTGTCATAAAATTGGCTATTGAAAGAGGGAACACCCAGCACTCCAAAGTGAGTCTTTGGCCCCTGAACAAATGATGGCAGTTCAAGAGTGACAGGGCCCTAGAGCTTCTGTCACAGCTCCCATTGGACAATTAGCCATATCTCCAGAGGAGCTTCGGGTAATCATTGATGTGACAGGTAACAATATTAATTTCCTTTTGGACATGGGTGCTTCTTACTCTGTTTTGACTCATCATAATGGGCCATTATCATCCCAAGACTCTGTGGTCATGGGGATAAACGGACGAGCTCATAGACTCCATTTTCCCTATCCTCCAAGCTGCTCTTCAGGGACTCTTGTTTTTTCGCATGCTTTTCTTATAATGCCTGAATGTCCTACTCCATTTTCAGGAAGAGATTTATGAACTCAGCTGCAAACTCTGGTTTTCTTCAGAGATCACAAGGCAGATGATTGATTGCTTTTACTTGTCTCCCATGATAAGGGAAGAAAAATTAATAGGAGACACTCTCATAATATCTTGCTATCTTTACTTATACCCTCTTTGCAGAAAGTTGAAATTTAAAAAGGGAAAAGTAACTAGGCATTCACTAGAATTAGGTTAACTAAAAATTTCTCTGCAGAGCTCCTTACTAGGCATAGGAACTACAGCAAGCATCCTGAAGGAGTCTCATTAGAGTGTCTTTTAGACAATTGCTCCAAATATGTCCACATAGTAAAGAAAAGATGACACAGAACAACATACACAATCAAGTATACAACCACTACTTGGTAGCATTAGGGGAAGTTCCATGGATAGATGCTTGTAGGAGCTATAAAAAGAAGTGGTTTTGGAAGGAATCAAAATGAGACAAAGACCTTAAAACTAGGAAAAAAATGTATCTACAGAGTTCAGGGAATTTCTGCTATAAAAATTAATTGTAACAATAAATTGTAAAAAAAATGACAAGAAAAGCCAAATTGTAATGAAAGTGATCTGCCTAGGTTACAGCAGAGGCAATCAATAAATTATTCTGATGTTCTCACAATGCAGAATATGAAGAATGTTTGCAGAAATCAATACCTGTTGAAGATTAACTAATGAAAACCAAATGAAGAAATAACCAACTATATACAATATACAATAGTATACAACTATATACAATATACAATAGTTTACAATAGTATACAACTATATACTATGTATAATAGTAACATTTGCACCAAAGGATTATAGATATAGAAAATAAATCAAAATGATGTTTTATAATAAACATAGTTCAAATGTCCAGAGATGAAAAATAGTTCATATAATATATGTATGGAAAATGACGAGAACCATAAACATAAAAAGAAACACATCAATTCTAGAAATTAGAAATAAACTCACTGGTTACACTAAAATGTAATTGATAACATGAAATAAAATGGAACTGAATGAATGAACAAAAGAACAAACAATAACAGCAGTAGAAAGAACTAGTGAATCTTTCTATTTTTCTCCCTGAATCTTGACTCATAGAGCCCCAATAGGAATCACCTAATACTCTAGGAATTGCCACTAAGCTGATTAAAATATAAAAGTGTTATTTGTTAAAAAAGAAAAAAAAGCTGAATTAGTGCTCTCCCGATTGCCTGCTTTATTCCCAAAACTCTCTTATTTCTAATTGTTTTACTGGTCTTAATCATTCATGCTATGTTTCACTGAAGTATTTGTGAAATATTTCATGTGTTTATCTCAATTTTGATTTTATCTCAATTTTGGTTTCATTCTATCTTGACTCTTGCAACCTGCATGTCCTCATTTTACTTTACCAATCCAGCTCCAAAGACAACCTTCTCATAGACCTAGGATTTCTCATTAAATTTTTACCAGTTTATCTGAGCTTCATTGATCTTGTTTCTCTGCCAATTACTCTGAGCCACTGTCATCATGACCTAAAATTTTTTCACAAATTACAAATTTACCCTTTATAATTTATCTGTGTCAAGGAAGACTCTGTAGACAATACCAGAAGAAAAAAATGTGTGCAGTACATGAATGAAAAACCTGATGTTTCCTGACTTTTTGATGATTGTCATTCTAACTGGTGTGAGATGATATCTCATTGTGGTTTTGATTTGAATTTCTCTGATGGCCAGTGATGGTGAGCATTTTTTCATGTGTTTTTTGGCTGCATAAATGTCTTCTTTTGAGAAGTGTCTGTTCATGCCCTTTGCCCACTTTTTGATGGGGTTGTTTGTTTTTTTCTTGTAAATTTGTTTGAGTTCATTGTAGATTCTGGATATGAGCCCTTTGTCAGATGAGTAGGTTGTGAAAATTTTCTCCCATTTTGTGGGTGGCCAGTTCACTCTGATGGTAGTTTCTTTTGCTGTGCAGAAGCTCTTTAGTTTAATTAGATCCCATTTGTCAATTTTGGCTTTTGTTGCCATTGCTTTTGGTGTTTTAGACATGAAGTCCTTGCCCATGCCTATGTCCTGAATGGTAATGCCTAGGTTTTCTTCTAGGGTTTTTATGGTTTTAGGTCTAACGTTTAAGTCTTTAATCCATCTTGAATTGATTTTTGTATAATGTGTAAGGAAGGGATCCAGTTTCAGCTTTCTACATATGGCTAGCCAGTTTTCCCAGCACCATTTATTAAATAGGATGTGGAGAAATAGGAACACTTTTACACTGTTGGTGGGACTGTAAACTAGTTCAACCATTGTGGAAGTCAGTGTGGCGATTCCTCAGGGATCTAGAACTAGAAATACCATTTGACCCAGCCATCCCATTACTGGATATATACCCAAAGGACTATAAATCATGCTGCTATAAAGACACATGCACACGTATGTTTATTGTGGCATTATTCACAATAGCAAAGACTTGGAACCAACCCAAATGTCCAACAATGATAGACTGGATTAAGAAAATGTGGCACATATACACCATGGAATACTATGCAGCCATAAAAAAGGATGAGTTCATGTCCTTTGTAGGGACATGGATGAAATTGGAAATCATCATTCTCAGTAAACTATCGCAAGAACAAAAAACCAAACACCACATATTCTCACTCATAGGTGGGAATTGAACGATGAGATCACATGGACACAGGAAGGGGAACATCACACTCTGGGGACTGTTGTGGGGTGGAGGGAGGGGGGAGGGATAGCATTGGGAGATATACCTAATGCTAGATGACGAGTTAGTTAGTGGGTGCAGCGCACCAGCATGGCACATGTATACATATGTAACCAACCTGCATATTGTGCACATGTACCCTAAAACTTAAAGTATAATAATTAATAAATAAAAAAATGAAAGGACAAGAGTAGGAAAGTGTAAAAAAAAAAAAAGAAAAACCTGACTGAATCATAAACAAAAATAGGCAATTAGATTAAAAATTTAGTATTTGCTAATTAAATCAATGATAGATTTTTATATACTTTGGATTGGTAAAAATTAATATCACCATAGGGGAAGAACCAACTACCTGGCCACTCCAGTGCTGTATAGAGTGGCAATAGTAGAAAGATACACACGGGCTCAACAAACTCTCTCTACTTAAAACTAAGGTAGCTATTACTGAAATCAAAAATTCAACCTGCTAATATGTAAATTCTGATCATACCTTTAGAGATCAGAGAAGTGACCAGTAGTGAGGCTGCAGACACAATGAAACAACTCTAATCTCACCTTGTTATGAACTGTATCTGCTCCTGTGTTGAAGAGCTTCATTTGCGTAAGATTTTGCTTTTTCTTCATCTGAATTTTACTATGAGGCAATGCACAAGATTTTAACAACCTATAGATACTAACTGATATGATTTGGCTGTGTTCCCACCCAAATCTCATCTTGATTTGTAGCTTTTATAATTCCATGTGTTGTGGGAGGGACCTGGTAGGAGATAACTGAATCATAGGAGCAGTTTCCTCCATACTTTTCTCATAGTAGTGAATAAGTCTTATGAGATCTGATGGTTGTATAAAGGGCAACACCTCTTGCTTGGGTCGCAATACTCACTTGCCTGCTGCCATATCAGTTTCCTCCATACTTTTCTCATAGTTGTGAATGAGTCTTTTGAGATCTGATGGTTGTATAAAGGGCAACATCTCTTGCTTGGGCCGCAATACTCACTTGCCTGCTGCCATATCAATTTCCTCCATACTTTTCTCATAGTTGTGAATGAGTCTTTTGAGATCTGATGGTTGTATAAAGGGCAACATCTCTTGCTTGGGTCTCAATACTCACTTGCCTGCCATCATATCAGATGTGACTTTGCTCCTCCTTCCTTTCCACCATGATTGTGAGGTCTCCCCAGCCATGTGGAACTGTGAGTCATTAAACTTCGTTCCTTTTTGAATTACTCAGTCTTGAGCATATCTTTATTAGCAGCATGAGAAAGACCAATACAGTAAATTGGTACTAGGCCATAGGGCACTGCTATAAAGATACCAGAAAATGTGGAAGCAACTTTGGAACTGGGTAACAGGCAGAGGTTGGAACAGTTTGGTGGGCTGAGATGACAGGAAGATGTGGAAAAGTTTGGAACTTCCTTAAGACTTGTTGAACGGCTTTGACCAAAGTGTGATAATGATATGAATGATAAAATCCAGGTTGAGGTGGACTCAGATGGAGTTGAGGAATGTGTTGGGAAATGGAGTAAAGGTCAATTGCGCTATGCAAAGAGACTGGTGGCATCTAGCCCCTGGCCTAGAGATATGTGGAACTTTGAACTTGAGAGAGATGATATGAGGTATCTGGTGGAAGAAACTTCTAAGCAGCAAAATATTCAAGAGGTGACAGAGTATAAAAGTTGGGAAAATTTGCAGTCTGAAAATGCAGTAGAAAAGAAAACCCCATTTTCTGGGGAGAAATTCAAGTTGGCTGCAGAAATTTACATAAGTAATGAGGAGCCAAATGCTAATCATCAAGAAAATGGGGAAAGTGTTTCTGGGGCTTATCAGAGAACTTCACGGTAGACCCTCCCATCACAGATTGTAGGGAAAAGAAAGAGAGATCAGACTGTTATTGTGTCTATGTAGAAAGGGAAGACATAAGAAATTCCATTTTGACCTGTACCTTGAACAATTACTTTGCTGAGATGCCGGTAATTTGTAACTTTGCCCCAGCCACTTTGCCTCAGCCACTTTACCTCAGCCACTTTGCCCCAACTTTGAGCTCACAAAAGCATGTGTTGTATGGAATCAAGGTTTAATGGATCTAGGGCTGTGCAGGACGTGCCTTATTAACAAAATGTTTACAAGCAGTATGCTTGGTAAAAGTCATCGCCATTCTCTAGTCTCAATAAACCAGGGGCACAATGCACTGTGGAAAGCTGCAGGGTACTCTGCCCTTGAAAGCCAGGTATTGTCCAAGGTTTCTCCCCATGTGATAGTCTGAAATATAACCTCCTGGGATGAGAAAGACCTGACTGTCCCCCAGCCCGACACCCGTGAAGGGTCTGTGCTGAGGTGGGTTAGTAAAAGAGGAAAGCCTCTCGCAGTTGAGATAGAGGAAGGCCACTGTCTCCTGCCTGCCCCTGGGAACTGAATATGTCGGTATAAAACCCAATTGTACAGTTGTTCAATTCTGACATAGGAGAAAAACTGCCCTATGGCAGTAGGTGAGACATTTTGGCAGCAATGCTGCCTTGTTATTCTTTACTCCACTGAGATGTTTGGGCAGAGAGAAACATAAATCTGGCTACGTGCACATCCAGGCATAGTACCTCCCCTTGAACTTAATTATGACATAGATTCTTTTGCTCACATGCTTTTTGCTGACATTCTCCTTATTATCACCCTGCTGTCCGACACATTCCTCTTGCTGAGATAATGAAAATAATAATCAACAAAAACTGAGGGAACTCAGAGACTGGTGCCAGTGCAAGTCCTTGGTATGCTGAGTGCTGGTCCCCTGGGCCCACTTTTCTTTCTCTATACTTTGTGTACTGTACAGTCTCCAACGGGCATTATTTTTCAAAATACAGACCTTGTGCGGTGGTCATTCCTTCCTCACAGTATAATTAAGACTTTTACATTGTATTTAGATGAAATGGCTGCATTAATTGGTCAGGCAAGACTATGAATAGTAAAATCGTGTGGAAGTGACCCAGATGAAATCATTGTTCCTTTAAACAAGGAACAGGTTAGACAAGCCGTTGTCAATTCTGGTGCATGACAGATTGGTCTTACCGATTTTGTGGGAATTATTGATAATCACTACCCAAAAACAAAAATCTTCCATTTTTAAAAATTGACTACTTGGATTTTACCTAAAATTACCAGACATAAACTTTTAGAAAATGCTCTGACGGTGTTTACTGATGGTTCCAGCAATGGAAAAGTGGCTTACACAGGCCAAAAGAATGAGTCATTGAAACTCAATGTCACTCAGCTCAAAGAGCAGAGTTGGTTGCTGTTATTTCAGTGTTACAAGATTTTAATCAGCCTATTAACATTGTTTCAGATTCTGCATATGTAGTACAAGCTAAAAAGGATGTTGAGACAGCCCTAATCAAATATAGCATGGATGATCACTTAAACCAGCTGTTTAATTTATTACAACAAACTGTAAGAAAAAGAAATTTCCCATTTTATATTACTCATATTAGAGCACATACTAATTTACCAGGGCCTTTAAAGCAAATGAACAAGCTGACTCGCTAGTATCATCTGCATTCATAAAAGCACAAGAACTTCATGCTTTGACTCATGTAAATGCATCAGGACTAAAAAATAAATTTGATATCACATGGAAACAGGCAAAAAATATTGTACAACATTGCATTCAGTGTCAAGTCCTACACCTGCCCACTCAGGAGGAAGGACTTAATCCCAGAAGTCTAAGTCCTAATGCTTTATGGCAAATGGATGTCACATATGTACCTCATTTGGAAAATTGTCATTTGTCCATGTGACAGTTGATACTTATTCACATGTTGTATGGGAAACCTGCCAGAAAGGAGAAAGTACTTCCCATGTTAAAAGACATTTATTATCTTGTTTTGCTCTCATGGGAGTATCAGAAAAAATTAAAACGGATAATGGGCCAAGATACTGTAGTAAAGCATTTCAAAACTTCTTAAATCAGTGGAAAATTACACATAAAACAGGAATCCCTTATGATTCCCAAGGGCAGGCCATAATTGAAAGAACTAATAGAACACTCAAAGCTCAATTGGTTAAATAAAAAAAAGGAAAAAGAGAGTAGAAGTGTAACACTTCCCAGATGCAACTTAATCTATCTAGCACACTATACTTTAAATTTTTTAAACATTTATAGAAATCAGACCACTACTTCTGCAGAACAACATTTTACTGGTAAAAAGAACAGACCACATGAGGGAAAACTGAATTGGTGGAAAGACATGAAAAATAAGACATGGGAAATAGGTAAGATGATAACATGAGGGAGAGGTTTTGCTTGTGTTTCACCAGGAGAAAATCAGCTTCCTGTTTGGATACCCACAAGGCATTTAAAATTCTACAATGAACCCATCGGAGATGCAAAAAAAGTGCCTCCACAGAGACAGAAAACCTGCAATCGAGCATCATCTACTCGCCAGGTGAATAAAATGGTGATATCAGAAGAACAGAGGAAGTTGCCATCCACCAAGAAAGCGGAGCCACCGACCTGGGCCCAACTAAAAAAGCTGACACAGTTAGCTGAAAAAAGCCTGAAGAACACAAGGGTAACACAAACTCCAGAGAATATGCTGCTTGCAGCTTTAATGATTGTATCAACGGTGGTAAGTCTCCCTATGTCTGCAGGAGCAGCTGCAGCTAATTACACTTACTGGGCCTATGTGCCTTTCCCGCCCTTAATTCGGGCAGTCGTTTGGATAGATAATCCTATTGAAGTATATGCTAATAATAGTGCATGAGTGCCAGGCCCCACAGATGACCGTGGCCCTGCCCAACCTGAGGAAGAAGGAATGATGATAAACATTTCCATTGGGTATCATTTTCCTATTTGCCTGGGGAAGGCACCAGGATTCTTAATGCCTACAACCCAAAATTGATTGGTAGAAGTACCTACTGTCAGTGCCACCAGTAAATTTACTTATCACATGGTAAGTGGAATGTCACTTGGGTCACAAATAAATAATTTATAGCACTCTTCTTATTAAAGATCATTAAAATTTAGGCCTCAGGGAAAACCTTGCCCCAAGGAAATTCGCAAAGAATCAAAAGACCCAGAAGTCTTAGTTCAGGAAGAATGTGTGGCTGATACTGCGATGGTATTACAAAACAATAAATTTGGAACTATTATAGACTGGGCCCCTTGAGGCCAATTATATTATGATTGTACAGGCCAGACTCACTCATGTTCACAGGCCCCATCTGTCTGGCCCACTAATCTGGCCTATGATAGTGATTTAACTGAAAGGCTAGACCAGGTTTATAGAAGGTTAGAATCACCCTATCCATGGAAATGGGGTGAAAAGGGAATTTCATCACCTCGACCACAGTTAGTTACTCCTGTTACTGGTCCCGAACATCCAGAATTATGGAAGCTTACTGTGGCCTCACACCACATTAGAATTTGATCTGGAAATCAAGTTATGGGAACAAGAAATCATAAGCCATATTATACTATTAACTTAAATTCCTTTGCAAAGTTGTGGAAAACCCCCTTATATGCTAGTTGTAGGTAACATAGTTATTAAACCAGATTCCTAAACTATAACCTGTGAAAATTACAGATTGTTTACTTGCATTGATTCAACTTTTGATTGGCAGCACCGTATTCTGCTAGTGAGGGCAAGAGAGGGCGTGTGGATTCCTGTGTCCATGGACTGAACGTGGGAGGCTTCCCCATCTGTCCATATGTTAACAGAAGTATTAAAAGGAGTTCTAACTAGATCCAAACGATTCATTTTTACTTTGATTGCAATGATTATGGGCCTTATTGCAGTCGCAGCTACTGCTGTGGCTGCTGTAATTGCTTTACACTCCTGTCTTCAAACTGCAGAATATGTCAATAATTGGCAAAAGAATTCTTCAAAATTGTGGAATTCTCAGACCCAAATAGATAAAAAAATTGGCAAACCAAGTTAATGATCTTAGACAAACTGTCATTTGGATGGGAGATTGACTTGTGACTGGAATATGTCAGATTTTTGTATTAAACCTCGAGCCTGTAATGAATCTGAATATCACTGGGACACGGTTAGACACCATCTACAAGGAAGAGAAGATAATATTACCTTAGATATTTCAAAATTAAAAGAACAAATTTTTGAGGCATCAAAATCCCAGTTAAATCTGGTGCCAGAAACTGAGGAAATGGTGAAAGCTGCTGATAGCCTCACAAATCTTAACCCCGTCACTTGGGTTAAAACCATTGGAAGTTCCACTATTGCAAATTTTGTATTAATCCTTGTGGGTCTGTTCTCTCTGTTGTTAGTCTACAGGTGTATCCAGCAGTTCCAGAGAGACAGCGACCAGTGAGAATGGGCCATGATGACGATGGTGGTTTTGTCAAAAAGAAAAAGGGGATATGTAGGGAAAAGAAAGAGAGATCAGACTGTTACTGTGTCTATGTAGAAAGGGAAGGCATAAGAAATTCCATTTTGACCTGTACCTTGAACAATTGCTTTGCTGAGATGCTGGTAATTTGTAACTTTGCCCAGCCACTTTGCCCCAACTTCGAGCTCACAAAAACATGTGTTGTGTGGAATCAAGGTTTAAGGGATCTAGGGCTGTGCAGGATGTGCCTTGTTAACAAAATGTTTACAAGCAGTATGCTTGGTAAAAGTCATCGCCATTCTCTAGTCTTGATAAGCCAGGGGCACAATGCACTGCAGAAAGCGCAGGGACTTCTGCCGTGGAAAGCCATGTATTTTCCAAGGTTTCTCCCCATGTGATAGTCTGAAATATGGCCTCATGGGATGAGAGACCTGACTGTCCCCCAGCCCGACACCCATGAAGGGTCTGTGCTGAGGTGGATTAGTAAAAGAGGAACGCCTCTTGCAATTGAGATAGAGGAAGGCCACTGTCTCCTGCCTGCCCCTGGGAACTGAATGTCTTGGTATAAAACCCGATTGTACATTTGTTCAGTTCTGAGATAGGAGAAAAACCACCCTTTGGTGGGAGGTGAGACATGTTGGCAGCAATGCTGCCTTGTTATTCTTTACTCCACTGAGATGTTTGGGTGGAGAGAAATGTAAATCTGGCCTACGTGCACATCCAGGCATAGTACCTCCCCTTGAACTTAATTGTGACATAGATTCTTTTGCTCACATGTTTTTCTGTTGATCTTCTCCTTATTATCACCCTGCTCTCCTACTGTATTCCTCTTGCTGAGATAATGAAAATAATAATCAATAAAAACTGAGGGAACTCAGAGACTGGTGCCAGTGCAGGTCCTTGGTATGCTGAGCGCCAGTCCACTGGGCCCACTTTTCTTTCTCTATACTTTGTCTTTGTGTCTGATTTCTTTTCTCAGTCTCTCATCCCACCTGATGAGATATAACCACAGGTGTTGAGGTGCTGGCCACCCCTTCACACCTATGGATATATCTTGACAGGTGGGTCACACAAATTGGGAAAATTTGCAGTAGAAAAGAAAACCCCATTTTCTGGGCAGAAATTCAAGTTGTCTGCAGAAATTTATGTAAGTAATGAGAAGCCAAATTCTAATCATCAAGAAAATTGGGAAAATGTTTCTGGGGCATATCAGAGAACTTCACGGCAGACCCTCCCATCACAGGCCTGGAGTCCTAGGAAGGAAAATGGTTTCACAGGCCAGGCCTAGGGCCCCCCATGCTCTGGGCAGCTTCAGGACATGATGTCCTTCATCCAAGCTGTTTCAGCTCCAGCCATGGCTAAAAGGGGCCAAGGTATAGCTCAGGCCATTGCTTCAGAGGGTGCAAGCCCCAAGCCTTGGTAGCTTTTCTGGGGTGTTGAGCTTGCAGGTGTACAGAAGTCAAGAACTGAGTTTTGGGAACCTGTGCTTAGATTTCAGAGGATGTATGGAAATACCTAGATGTCCAGGCAGAAGTTTCCTGCATGGGCGGGACCCTCATGCAGAAACTCTGCTAGGGTAGTCAGAAGGGAAATGTGGGGTTGAAGTCCCAACCCAGTGTCGCCACTGGGGCACCACCTAGTAGAGCTGTGAGAAGAGGGCCACCATCCTCCAGACCCCAGAATGGTAGATTCACTGATAGCTTTCACTATGTGCCTAGAAAAGCTGAAGACACTCAATGCCAGCCTGTAAAGTAGCAGGGAGGGAGGCCCTACCCTGCAAAGTCACAAGTGTGAAGCTGCCCAAGACCATGGGAACCCACTACTTGCATTAGCGTGACCTGGATGTAAGACATTAAGTCAAAGGAGATAATTTTGGAGTTTTAATATTTGACTGCCCCTCTGGATTTTAGATTCACATGAGGCATGTAGCCCCTTTGTTTTTGTCAAGTTCTCCCATGTGGAATGGCTGAATTTACCCAATGCCTGTACTCCCATGTATTGAGGAAGAAACTAACTTGTTTTTGATTTTACAGGCTCATAGGTGGAAGGAACTTGCCTTGTGTCAGCTGAGACTTTGGACTGTGGACTTTTGAATTAATGCTGAAATGAATTAAGGCTTTGGGGGACTGTTGGAAAGGTATGCTTTGTTTTGAAATGTGAGGGCATGAGATTTGGAGAGGCTGAGGGCGGAATGATATGGTTTGTCTCCACCCAAATCTCACCTTGAATTGTAGCTCCCATAATTTCATGTGTTGTGGGAGGGACCTGGTGGGAGATAATTGAATCATGGGGGCAATTTTTTCCATACTATTCTTGTGGTAGTGAATGAGTCTCAATAGATCTGATTTTTTTTTTTTTTTTTTTTTTTGAGACGGAGTCTCACTCTGTCTCCCAAGCTGGAGGGCAATGGCACGATCTCGGTTTGCTGCAACTTCCACCTCCTGGGTTCAAGCCATTCTCCTGCCCCAGCTTCCTGAACAGCTGGGACTACAGGCACATGCTGGTACATCCAGCTAATTTTTTGTATTTTTTTTTTAGTAGAGATGGGGTTTTACCATATTGCCTGGGCTGGTCTCAAACTCCTGAACTCAGGCAATCCGCACACCTTTGTCTCCCAAAGTACTAGGATTACAGGTGTGAGCCACCACACCTGGCCTGATCTGATGATTTTATAAAGGAAACCCCTTTCATTTGGGTCTCAATGTTCTCTTGCCTGCCACCTTGTGATATGTGAATTTGCTCCTTCTTGCCTTCTGCCATGATTGTGAGGCTTCCCCAGCCATGTGGAACTGTGAGTCTGTTAAACCTCTTTCCTTTATAAATTACTCTGTATTGGATATGTCTTTATTGGCAGCACGAGAACAGACTAACACAGTAACAAATGAGAAATTTATAATATTGTTGTCTGCTATACCACTTTTCAATTTGTTGAAGGTGGAGATTTTTAAGCAGTAGGAAATCCTTAGATGGTTATTACAAAATAGGATGATTATAATGAAAATTAATGTGCTTAAAATAAAGGTTTTAATACAATATCATCAGAAGTTGGGAGAATTAATGGAACCCCTAGAAAGTTCCCGAACCCTCAGACTTCCAAGCCAATCTGCTCCATTTATCACAGTTTGGAGTAGTTTACAAAGCACAAATGCAGAAATCACAATGTGAAAATTTATTAACGCTTTCCTCAGATAATATTGAGATATTAATCAAGATAAAAGTTTGCAAAAAGGCAAGCGTCTCTTGGCTCAATCACCTTGTACAGACACAAAACACATTAAGTCCTAATAGAGCCTAAGTAAAGGTTAATGAAATGAAGATAAAAGGTTATAGAAAAGTTGGTATATATCCACAAGCTTTATGTGAAGTAGTTACATCTCTTTTATCTGACAGTATTATTAGAATGGACATTGTATCTAACTGGGAAATGTTTCCCACATCTAGTATTATACAATGGAAGGCATCCAAATTTGTCTTTAAATCATTATGAATTGGGCATTCTAAATAGAAGCCAGTAAGATATTCCATCCAAGTTCATACAGTGTAGAATAGAAGCTGGAGTGCTGATAGAAAAAAATTCTCTGTTCGATAGCCCTATATCAAGCATAACTTATAGTAATATGCTGTGAGTATCTCCCAGTGATAAATACTGGGATTTGGGAAAGGAGAATTTCCACTTGAGTGGCATTTACTACCTTGCTGTAGTACATTAATTGAAGCTATCCATAACAGTTCATCAAATAACCTTGAAACATGAAATACCCATGATGTCTTGCATAATGTAAATGAAACACTCCAGTCATATAGCAGTACCCAGAAGAGTTTTGTACTACAATGGAAATTGTCTATATAGAATCAAACTGCGTCATGAATGCCTGAAGGAGATATTCTTAAGCTCAGAACCCCTTTCCTCCTAGGACTGATTCTGAAACTGTGTGAGGAGTTGCCTAATTCCACAGTGCTCTATAAATAGCTCACAACTGACTGACAAAGATCTGCTAGGCTTGTAGATGGCACTTACAGGGTGAATGAACAAACTACTGCCATATTGATTCTTTTTTTCTAGTTCTTATGTAAATCCTTTTTAAAAAAAGGGTTTTTTTTTTTTTTTTTTTTTTTTTTTGGAATGGTCTCACTCTGTTGGCCAGGCTGAAGAGCATACAATTACAGTTTACTGCAGCCTCAGCCTCAAACTCCCAGGCTCAGATGATTCACCAACTTCAGTCCCCCAAGTAGCTGGGACTACAGGCATACATGGCCATGCCTGACATTTTTAAAAAGCTTTATTTGTAGGTATAGGGTCTCACTATAATGCCCTGGCTGGTGTTGAACTCCTAGGCTTAAGTCCTTCTCTCACCTTAGCCTCCTAGAATGCCAAGATTATAGGTGTGAGCTGCTGCTGTATCTGGTCTGTAAATCCTTTTTTCTGTCTTCATCATTTATTGGCTTCCTTGGAATTAAGGGATTATCTTGTTGTATGTTTTTATTTCTTCCTTTTTATTTTTAGGGTATTTATTATAGGTGTTCTGTGCTTATCATAAGGCTTACATGAAAACACCTTCTTTTTTATTATACTTTAAGTTCTAGGGTACATGTGCACAACATACAGGTTTGATACATAGGTGTACATGGGCCATGTTGGCTTGCTGCCCCCATCAACTCATCACTTACATTAGGAATTTCTCCTAATGTTATATCCCTCCTCCAGCCACCCACCCCCAACAGGCCCCAGTGTGTGGTCCTCTGCCCTGTGTCCAAGTGATCTCATTGTTCAATTCCCACCTATGAGTGAGAACATGCATTGTTTGGTTTTCTGTCCTTGTGACAGTTTGCTGAGAATGATGGTTTCCAGCTTCATCCATGTCCCTGCAAAGGATATGAACTCATCATTTTTTATGGCTGCATAATATTCCATGCTGTATATGTGCCACATTTTCTTAATCCAGTCTATCATTGATGGACATTTGGGTTGGTTCCAAGTCTTTGCTATTGTGAATAGTGCTGCAGTAAACATACGTGTGCATGTGTCTTTATAGTAGCATGATTTAAAATCCTTTGGATATGTACCCAGTAAAGGGATCGCTGGGTCAAATGGTATTTCTAGTTCTAGATCCTTGAGGAATCGCCACACAGTGCTCCACAAAGGTTGAACTAATTTACACTCCCACCAACAGTGTAAAAGCGTTCCTATTTTTCCACACCCTCTCCAGCATCTGTTGTTTCTTGTCTTTTTAATGATTGCCGTTCTAACTGGTGTGAGATGGTATCTTATTGTGGTTTTGGTTTGCATTTCTCTGATGACCAGTGATGATGATCATTTTTTCGTGTATCTGTTGGCTGCATAGATGTCTTCTTTTGAGAATTGTCTGTTCGTATCCTTCACCCACTTTTTGATGGGGTTGCTTGTTTTTTTCTTGTAAATTTGTTTGAGTTCTTTGTAGATTCTGGATATTAGCCCTATGTCAGATGCGTAGATTGCAAAATTTTTCTCCCATTCTGTAGGTTGCCTATTCACTCTGATGGTAGTTTCTTTTGTCATGCGCAAAAGCTTTTTGTTTAATTTGATCCCATTTGTCAATTTTGGCTTTTGTTGCCATTGCTTTTTGTGTTTTAGTCATGAAGTCCTTGCTCATGCCTACATCCTGAATGGTATTGCCTAGGTTTTCTTAAAGGGTTTTTATGGTTTTAGGTCTAACATTTAAGTCTTTAATCCATCTTGAATTAATTTATGTGAAAAGTGTAAGGAAGGGATCCAGTTTCAGCTTTCTACATATGTCTAGCCAATTTTCGCACCACCATTTATTAAATAGGGAATCCTTTCCCCATTGCTTGTTTTTGTCAGGTTTGTCAAAAATCAGATGGTTGTAGATGTGTCGTGTTATTTCTGATGTCTCTGTTGTGTTCCATTGGTCTACATCTCTGCTTTGGTATCAGTACTATGCTATTTTGGTTACTGTAGCCTTATAGTATAGTTTGAAGTCAGGTAGCAAGATGCCTCCAGCTTTGTTATTTTTGCTTAGGATTGTCTTGGCTGTGTGGGCTCTTTTTTGGTTCTATATGAATTTTAAAATAGTTTTTTTCCAATTCTGTGAAGAAAGTCATTGGTAGCTTGATGGGAATACCATCAAATCTATAAATTACCTTGGGCAGCATGGCCATTTTCATGATATTTATTCTTTCTATCCATGAGCATGGAATGTTCTTCCATTTGTTTGTATCCTCTTTTATTTCATTGAGCAGTGGTTTGTAGTTCTCCTTGAAGAGGTCCTTCACATCCCTTGTAAGTTGGATTCCTAGGTATTTTATTCTCTTAGCAGCAATTGTGAATGGGAGTTCACTCATGATTTGGCTCTCTGTTGGTCTGTTATTGATGTTTAAAAATGCTTGTGATTTTTGCACGTCCATTTTGTATCCTGAAACTTTGCTGAAGTTGCTTATCAGCTTAAGGAGATTTTGGGCTGAAAAGATGGGTTTTTCTAAATATAAAATCATGCCATCTGCAAACAGAGACAATTTGACTTCCTCTTTTCCTAATTGAATACTCTTTATTTCTTTCTCTTGCCTGATCACCCTGGCCAGAACTTCCAACACTATGCTGAATAGGAGTGGTGAGAGAGGGCATTCCTATCTTGTGCTGGTTTTCAGAGGGAATTCTTCCAGTTTTTGCCCATTCAGTATGATATTGGCTGTGGGTTTGTCATAAATAGCTCTTAGTATTTTGAGATACGTTCCATCAATACCTCGTTTATTGAGAGTTTTAGCATGAAGAGTTGTTGAATTTCATTGAAGGTCTTTTCTGCATTTATTGAGATAATCAAGTGGTTTTTCATTGGTTCTGTTTATGTTATGGATTATATTTATTTATTTGCATATGTTGGACCAGCCTTGCCTCCCAGCTGACTTAATCATGGTGGATAAGCTTTTTGATGTGCTGCTGGATTCGGTTTGCCAGTATTTTATTGAGGATGTTCGCATTGATGTTCTTCAGGGATATTGGTCTAAAACTCTGTTTTTTTGTTGTGACTCTGCCAGGCTTTGGTATCAGGATGATGTTGGCCTCATAAAATTAGTTAGGGAGGATTCCCTCCTTTTCTATTGATTGGAATAGTTTTAGAAGGAATGGTACCAGCTCCTCTTTGTATCTCTGGTGAAATTCAGCTGTGAATCCATCTGGTCCTGGACTTTTTTTCATTGGTAGCCTATTAATTATTGCCTCAATTTCAGAGTCTGTTTCTGGTCTATGCAGAGATTCAACTTCTTCCTGGTTTAGTCTTGGGAGGGTGTATGTGTCCAGGAATTTATCCATTTCTTCTAGATTTTCTAGTTTATTTGCGTAGAGGTATTTATAGTATTCTCTGTTGGTAGTTTGTATATCTGTGGGATCAGTGGAGGTATCCCCTTTATCATTTTCTATTGAGTCTATTTGATTCTTCTCTCTTTTCTTTTTTATTATTCTTGCTAGTGGTCTATCAATTTTGTCGATCATTTCAAGAAGCCAGCTCCTGGATTCATTGATTTTTTGGAGGTTTTTTTTTGTCTCTATCTCTTTCAGTTCTGCCCTGATCATAGTTATTTCTTGCCTTCTGCTAGCTTTTGAATTTGTTTGCTCTTGCTTCTCTAGTTCTTTTAATTGTGATGTTAGGGTGTCAATTTTAGATATTTCCTGCTTTCTTTTGTGGGCATTTAGTGCCATAAATTTCCCTCTACACACTGCTTTAAATGTGTCCTAGAGATTCTGGTACATTATGTCTTTGTTCTCATTGGCTTCAAAGACATATTTATTTCTGCCTTCGTTTCCTTATTTGCCCAGTAGTCATGCAGGAGCAGGTTGTTCAGTTTCCATGTAGTTGTGCAGTTTTGAGTGAGTTTCTTAATTCTGAGTTCTAATTTGATTGCACTGTGGTCTGAGAGACAGTTTGTTGTGATTTCTGTTCTTTTACATTTGCTGAGGAGTGCTTTACTTCCAATTATGTGGTCAATTTTAGAATAAGTGGGATGTGGTGCTGAGAAGAATGTATATTCTGTTGATTTGGGGTTGAAAGTTTTGTAAATGTCTATTAGGTCTTAAACTTAAAGTATAATTTAAAAAAAGAAAGTAAAAAGATGATAATCCACTTCATGAAAACACACAAAATTATATAACTCACTCATAGAGCCAACAGACAAAGGAGAAAGAAAAAAGAATCAAACTTTATCAGTATAGAAAACTACCAAACTGTCAAAAATAAGTAATAAGAGAGAAATTAAGGAATAAGGGTTATACAAAATAAACAGAAAAAATAAAAGAATAAGCCTTTACCTATAAATACATAAATAAATACCTTGAAAATAGGTGGATTAAATTATACAACTCAAAACATAGACTAATGGATTAAAAAACAAGACCCAACTATATACAGCCTAAAAGAAACTCATCTCACCTATAAAGTTACACATAGACTGCAATTGAAAAGATGAAATAGATATGCTATGCAAACAGAAACCCAAATCAAGCAGAAATAGCTTCACTTACATAAGCAAAACACAAACTTTAAGCCAAAACTTTAAGGAGAGGAAAAGAGAGACTTAATATGATAATAAATGAATCAATTGTTCAAAAAGACAAAAATGTAAATATATATGCAAACAACCATGAACCATTGAGATATATGAAGCAAATATTATTATACCTGAAAGGAGAGATGGACCTAAGTTCAATAATATTTGAGGATGTCACCACCACCTTTTCAGCATTGGACAGATATTTAGACAAAAAATCAATAGAAACACATGAGATTTATACTGTACCATAGACCAAATCGAAGTAATTGACATTTACAGAACATTTTATCCAACAGCTGCAGAATATAAGATTCTTTTTATAGCACATATAACATCCCCAGAATTAACCATATATGAGGACATTAAGCAAGTCTCAACAAATTTTAAAAAATAAAAATTTTACTAATTATTTTATCTGAACACAATGAAATAAAGTATAAAATCAATGACAAGACAAAACTAGAAAAATCCATGAAAATTTAACAACGTATTCCTTATAACCAATAGGTAAAAAAAGAAACAATTTTAAAATTACTTAAAACAAGAAAAATTACATCATGCGATAGCAAAATGTATGAGATTCAACAGAAGCACTATTAAGAGACAAGTTTAGAACAAGAAATGCCTACATGAAAGAAGTAGAAAAGTTTCAAATAAACAACCTAATGATCTCTCTCAAAGAACTCTAAAAATAGGAACAAACCAAAACCAAAATTAGTGTAAGTAAAGAAATACTAAAAATTAGAGAGAAAAAATGAAATTAAGACTAAAAAAGATGAAACAAAATGCTAACTTTTTTAAAAGACAAAATCAGCAAGGCATTGACTAGACTAATAAAGAAAAACAAGAAAATATCCAATTTAATAAAATCAAAAACAGAACAGGAAACTTCACAACTGATACAGAAATACAGCACATCATTAAAGATTGTAATCAGCAACTACACAACAAATTTGAAAACCTGGAAGAAATGGATACATTTCTTGACATATACATTAGACTAAGATAAAAACAACAAAAAATATAAATCTTGCACAGACTAATACTGAATAACAACATTAAATCAGTAACAAAAAGCCCTCCAATAAATAAAAGTCCAGGACTACCTGGAGTCACAACTGTATTCTACCAACTTTAAATTATTATGCTAACTACAGAAACCAGTTACAAAAAACACATCTTGTGTGATTCCATTTATATGAAGCCCTCAAAATTGGAAAATGTATAGAGACAGAAAGTAGATTAGAGGTTGTCCAGGGTTGAGGGATAAGGAGATGCTAAGGATACGAGGTTAGTTAAGGATGATGAAATAATGTAAAATTGAACATCACGATAGTCACACAAATTCTGTGAAAATACAATGAGCCACTGAATTGTCTTGGCTTTAAATTAGTAAACTGTATTATATGTCAAATATATGTCAACAAAACTTTTACAAAACAAATAAACAAACATCCCTTGGACCATGATATCTAAGAAAGTCTGATTCAGCTGTGTAAGTACTTTAGGCCTACGCCAAGCAGACTGCAGACACAAAGCACCTCTTGCTATCCACTGTTCATAACATGATTCTAAACTTTCTTATATCACATAGGTGATTTGTATTTGCAAGATAATCAGAACTTAAATGGGGAAAAGCATTTGTAATTGTTAAAAGAGATATTAAACACATCATATAACACAAGGTCATCTAGATTTCACTTTTTCCACTTGCCATGAAGATACTCTGACCATTCAAATAATGTACTTACATTGATATGTAGTAGTTATATTTTAAATTCTTGACAATCTCTTCTTTAATATAAGCAAGATAAATGGTACAGGGATAAAATTTGAAAGGAAGTACCGCATTTAATCAGGATGTCTATGAAATGAATTTCAGCTCTACTATAGCTACTGCTGAGTTTTTTCCTCAACTCTGGAAGTCGTGAAAAGGTGCTGATGTAGCTATGGAATACAGTCATTGGATCGATTTAGAGGCAAAACTGGATGAACTTATCCAGATGAATCATGAGATCATTGTGAGACCATCGGCTTCCATTTTTCTTGATCTCAGCAAACCATTTGCTATTACCTTGGAATTTAATTCTATATCTTTATTGAAAGAAAACTTAAAGGATTATTGTCTCAGTTAATAAATATAATTGGTGGAAAGATATATTTTAGACATTTATTTCATTCATCAAAAAATATTTTGCAAATATTTTGTTTATTTTAAAAGCTCTGTCAGATGTTGTTTTACAAATAGAAAAGTATCGCAGGCTTATGGATTGGAAAAATAAATATTGTGAAAATGACCATACTGCCCAAAGCAATCTACAGATTCAATGCAATTTCTATTGAATTATCAATGTCATTTATAAGATAATTATAAAATATAATTCTAAAGTTTATATGGAACCAAAAAAAGAACCCAGATTACAAAGGAAATCCTGAGCAAAAGGAACAAAGCTGATGGCATAACATTACCTATCTTCAACATATACTACAAAACTGTAGTAACCAAAACAGCAAAGTACTGGTATAAAAGTAGACACATAGACCAACAGAACAGAATAGAGAACCCAGAAATAAAGCCAAATACTTAAAACCAACTGTTCAACAAAGCAGACACAAACATGCACAAAGGAAAGGACACTCTATTCAAAAAATTGTGATAGAAAAAAAGGAGAGCCACATGCAGAAGCGTGAAACTGGATGACTATCTCTCATCATATGCAAAAATTAACTGAAGGTGGATTAAAGACTTAAATGCAGAAGAAAATATAAGAAATACTCTTTTGGACATTGACCTACACAAAGAATTTATGACTAAAGACACAAAAAGAAAAGCAACAAAACCAAAATAAAGAAATGGGACTTTAAAAAGCTTCTGCACAGCAAAAGAAATAATCAATAGAGTAAACAGACAACGTACAGAATGGGAGAAAATATTTACAAACTCTATATCTGACAGAGGATTACTAATCAGAATCAACAAGTAACTCAAACAAATCAGCAAGAAGAAACAATCTTATAAAAAATGGGCAAATGACATGAATAGACATTTCTCAAAAGAAGATATACAAATGGTCAGCAAATATGGAAAAAAGCTGAACATCAGTAACCATCAGGGAAATGCAAATTAAAACCACAATGAGATATCACCTGACTAATGGTATACTCTTATCAGAATGATTGTATTTTAAAAGTCAAAAAAAGTAGATATTGGCGCAGATGTGGTGAAATGGGAACATTTAAACACTGTTGGTGGGAACATAAACTAGTACAACCTCTGTGAAAAACTGCATGGAGATTTCTCAAATAACTAAAAGTAGGTAAAATATTTGATCCAGTAATCTTACTACCAGTTACCTACACAAAGGAAAGGAAGTCATTATATTAAAAAGACATCTGCACTCATATGTTTATTGCAACAAACTTCACAATTCCAAAGATATGGAATCAACCTAAGTGCCCATCGACAGATGAGTGAATAAAGAAAATGTGATCTATATATCACATGGATATACACGGCCACATCTCACAGGAAAAATTCCAGATCATCCATGGGAACTTCCCCTTACCTCAGCGCCTTTGGGGACTTTGACCAAAACTAGGAAGGCTGCATCAGTAGGGAAAAGATGCTTTCCTTTTCCTGTGCTTCAGCTCCTTGCTGGGAGTCTACATGGGTTTTGTACACAGTTTCCAGGAGGGCAACTCCTAGAGTGCAGTAGCCTGCTGCCACTGCGAAGCCCTGATCCTGGGCATCTATAAGCAGGGCCTCAACTGCCAAGCCAGTGGTATGAGCTGCCACCAGCAGTGCAAGGATTGCCTGTAAGTTGAGCACCAGTGCAGGCCCCAGAGTGTGGGCCTGGAGGAGTCTCCACGTCACCCTCACACACTCATACCCACCATCATCCCACCTTCAGCTTCTCCCTGCCCTGCCATGGCAAACGAGACTCCCAGCCTCCAGAGATTCATGAGGAGGAGATGCAGATGGTGAAGGATGGGGTGTTTGACAACTGCTTGTAATTGATGCTATGATTGGATCAAGGACTCATTCCTGCCTTGGAGAAAAGACTTGAACCAGAGCAGGGAGCCTGGGGGTGCTGGGACAGAAGGTTGGGGCTGAGGGCAGAATGTGATGGTGGCATGCAGCTAAGGGCAGGGCCAGGGCAGGCGTCCCTAAGGTTGTACCAACTTTTGTGAATATTTGTATTTTCCTCATGGAATAAAAAGGCTCATGTAATTAATCTCCATATATATATACATTTATATATGTGTATATATACATTTATATATATATAAATGTATACACACACACACACACACACACAGAAAGAGAGTAGTATATACATACACAGCATACATGCATATATATTCCCTTTTTTCTGGGAGTTTTTCCACTCATTTCCATTCACCAAAGCAATGCCTTTGTGCCATGTACGTGAAGAAATATTCGTCTGCTCTAGCAAAGACCTCATCTGGCACAGAAGCTGTCAGGGAAACAACTACTTGGTTGAATTTGCAGGAGGGAAAAGGGGAGACTTCTTTGAGATCCCTGGTTTTTTTAATGAAGACTTTATATGGCTTACCCTGTGAGAAATGTTAAATTTCTGGACAATCCTTGGCTAACCAGATCTGTATATTAGTACGTTCCAAGTTGTTCAGCAGAACAGCAGACAAATTACTTTTATTTTTAATTTCAATACTCTTTGCTTTAGAAACAATTTTGCTGTGGCACTTCCTAGTCTGTGACTCTGTCTTGAAAAGGGCTGGAACTCAGGCTGCGTAGACATACATATTTCATTTATCTGGTCTTCAACTTAAACATTCACCTCTTTATAAAAACTTCTCTGTAATTCTGAAGGTAATTCCCCTTTTTTTGATGGAGTTCAAAAATTGCTGACTTGCACTGTTGGGAAATCATCACTGACTGTGATTTCATTTTCCATACTTTCATATTTACATCCACCTGCTTTTTCTGTTCAGTGGGAGACAAGCAGTTGGAGCCAACCTTCTGAGCTTCTTCAAAAAGGCTATCAACAAAATATTCACAATTTGTTGATTATCACTGAGAGATTGATTGTCAGATACTGTTTCACAAACCCATCTTCTTTTATACTTTCGAGATTATCTACCTCTTTCATTCTCTTTTGTCTTATTCTGGGCAGGGTCTCCTGGCCTCAGCCTCACTCAGCTCAGAGGCCACGAGCACCCTTTGGCCCCGGGCTCCGTCTGGAGCCCGCTGCTCCAGACCTCCTTAGGTTCCGCCGCGGCACAGCTAGGATCCTGACGGACTCTCTAGGTCTCTGCCAGGCACCAGACACCAAAAGCATGCTGATGTAGTCTCAATTGATTTGTTTTTAAATTGGTAATTAAACCTCCACCTTTATTGAAAGATCATTTGGAAGATTTTGTTCTCATACTCGGTCAGTTAATAAACATATGATTTGTCAAAAGATAGATTTTAGAAACATTTTATGAATTCAAAAAATTTGAGGGAAATATTTGGGTTGTTTTAGAAGCTCTGTCAAGATGTAGTTTTAATCAAGAAACTTATGTCAAAAGTTTAAGAATCAAGCCTTAATATTATTCTTGCAGATGTCCTTGGTAAAATCTGCTGGTGGGGATAATTAAAATACACATTGTATATACTTTGTATTTCCTTTTTGGCCTTTTTTTTTTTTTTAATGGAGTCTAACTGTCACCCAGGCTGGAGTGCTAGAGTGCAGTGGCACAATCTTGGCTCACCACAACCTCTGCCTTCCAGATGGAAGCAATTCTCGTGCCTCAGCCTCCTGAGTAGCTGGGACTACAGGTGTGCCCCACCACGCCTGGCTAATTTTTTTGTATTTTTATTAAAGATGGGGTTTCACCATGTTGGCCAGGCTGGTCTTGAACTCCTGACCTCAGGTGATCTCTCTACCTTGGCCTCCCAAAGTGCTGGGATTACAGGTATGAGCCCCTGTGCCCAGCCCAGTGTGGAGCTTCTATTCACTCCTTTCTATGTACCTGTGGTTCTGTCAGAATTAAGTGATCAAATAACATAAATGGAGATGGTAAAAAAATGTGATAAGACATCAGAAAGATAGTGGGATAGAAAGCCAGCAACTCATGTCTCCCCTTGCAACAATAAGAATTTTTCACACAACCACAGATAAAAGACTCTTTAGTTTTGGTATTCAGGTAGGATGTTGTGAAACCCCTGTGTAGCCCAAGACCTAGCAAGGGCATTTTGAGAATACATAACAGAACTCAGGTATTAGACTCACTTATAATGCCAGAAACAGCCCCATTTCCCAAAAAGCTTGTCTACAGCCCTGTTTGGCCTTGAGCCTGTAATCAAAATTATCTTCCCAGGAGTCCAGGAGGAATCATACTCACTAGTGCCTTAGCAGAAAAGCTTATCTGTCCACCAACATTGGTCTCAGCAGCAGAATTGACAGTTATCCTGTAACTCAGGGGAAACCCCTTCAGTTGTGGTGCCAGATTATTACTGCTTGGGCAAGGACATAGAAGCAGATTTACCCATGTCTTTCAGTCCAGTAATTACCTGTTCATCTGAGTGTGTGACAGGCCTGTCAATCTTCATTCAAACACAAATTATGAGGAAGCCTAGTTTCAGCTCTAGCCCTTCTGGCTGCAGTTGGAGAACTATCCTACCCACATAGGAAAGTGCTGGGGGTTGCTTGTCCACCTGCTAATGAGGTCGGCTCACCATCCTCCTTCTGCAGTAAGTCCCTAGGGAGCCCAGCCCCAGCTCCAACCTTCCTTTCTGCAGTCAGGGACCTTCCCTGCTCGTGCAGAAAACTATTGGGAAGCACATTTGCCTGGGCCACCATCCAGGCTCACCAGTCTCTGCTCCCAGAGCATATTCTGGGAGTGGGAAGGGCAGTCTCGACTCAAACCCCTCTTGCTACATTCAAAGAACTGCTTCTACTTTTCAAGAAAGACAAAAGAGACAAGAGACAAAAGAGCAGAAGGCTATTCAAAGAAATAATAGCGGAAAACTTTCATAACTTGGAGAAGATATAAACATCCAGGTAGAGTTAGGTAAAATTAACCGATAAGATACAACATAAATAAGATTACTCTAATATATATTATAATCAAACTCTCAAAAGTCAAAGACAAGCTGCTGAAAGCAGCAAGATAAAAGAAGTAAAATGCATGTAAAGGAATTACAAGACATCTGGCAACAGACTTCTCTGGAGAAACCTTGTCAGCCATGATAGTGTCAGACAATACATTCAGAGTACCTAAGGCAAAACAAAACAAAACAAAACAAAACAAAACAAAACAAAACCTGCCAATCAAAAATACTGCATCCAGTATTAGAAATGCTATCCTTTAGAAATGAAGTAGAGATAAAGACTTTCCAGACAGACTGAGTAAATCTAGCATCACCAGACATGTCCTACAAGAAATACAAAAATGAGTTATTCAAACTGAAGGAAAAAGATGTTTTTGCATAACAAGAAATCATCTGAAGACAGAAACTTCACTGGAAAATGTAAGTAGGAAGGCAAATTCAGAATACTCTAATACTGTAATTGTAGTGTGTAAACCACTTACATCTTCAGTATAAATACTAAAAGACAAAACAATAAAAAGTAATAATAACTACAAAAATTTATTAAGAGATTGGAAATATAAAAAATGTAAATTGTGGCATCGAAAACTTAAAATACAAGGGAATATTACAGTTAAAGTATACAGGGGTTTTTTTTGCTTCTCTTTCAAATCAAAGATAATTGTATTGGTTTAAAATAACTTTTTATAAGATATTTTTCTCTCCATTCCAAGATGGCTGAACAGGAACAGCCCCGGTCTGCAACTCACAGCATGATGGATGCAGAAGATAGGTGATTTCTGCATTTCCAATGGAGGTACCTCGTTAATCTCTTTGGGACTGGATGGACAGTGGGTGCAGCCCACGGAGGGTGAGCTGAAGTGTAAGGGGTCAGGGTGTTTCCCTTTCCTAGCAAGGGAAGCTGTGACAGACTGTACCTGGAAAAATGGGGCACTCCTGCCCAAATATTGCACTTTTCCCAGGGTCTTAGCAACTGGCAGACAAGGAGATTCTCTCCCGTGCCTGACTTGGGGGGGTCCCATGCCCATGGAGCCTTGCTCTCTGCTAGCACAGCAGTCTGAGATCAAATTGTGAGGCAACAGCCTGGCTGCAGGAGGGGTATCCATCATTGCTGAGGCTTGAGTAGGTAAACAAAGCAGCCGAGAAGCTTGAACTGGGTGGAGTGCATGGAAGTTCAGCAAGCCCTACTGCCTCTAGACTCCACCTCTGTGGACAGGACATAGCTGAACAAAAGGCAGCAGACAACTTCTGCAGACTTAAACGTCCCTGTCTGAGAGCTCTGGAGAGAGCAGTAGTTCTCCCAGCACGGAGTTTGAGCTCTGAGAACAGACAGACTGCCTTCTCAAGTGGGTCCCTGATCCCTGTGTAGCCTAACTGAGAGACATCTCCCAGTAGGGGCCAACAGACACCTCATGTAGGTGGGTGTGCCTCTGGTACGAAGCTTCTAGACGAAGGATCGGGCAGCAATATTTGCCGTTCTGCAATATTTGCTGTTCTGCAGCCTCCACTGGTGATACCCAGGCAAACGGGGTCTGGAGTGGACCTCCAGCAAACTCCAACAAACCTGCAGCTGAGGGACCTGTCTGTTAGAAGGAAAGCCAACAAACAGAAAGGAATAGCATCAACATCAACAAAGAGGACCTCCACACCAAAACCCCATCTGTAGGTCACCAACATCAAAGACCAAAGGTAGATAAAACCACAAAGATGGGGAAAAACCAGAGCAGAAAAGCTGAAAATTCTAAAAATCAGAATGCTACTTCTCCTCAAAAGTATCACAGCTCCTCACCAGCAACAGAACAAAGCTGGACAGAGAATGACTTTGACGAGTTGATAGAAGTAGGCTTCAGAAGGTCGTTAATAACAAACTTCTCTAAGCTAAAGGAGCATGTTCAAACCCATTGCAAGGAAGCTAAAAACCTTGAAAAAAAGGTTAGACAAATGGATAGTTAGAATAAACAGTGTAGAGAAGACCTTAAATGACCTGATGGAGCTGAAAACCATGGCACGAGAACTTCGTGATGCATGCACAAGGTTCAATAGCTGAATCAATCAAGTGGAAGAAAGGGTATCAATGACTGAAGATCAAATTTATGAAATAATTGTGAGAAGACAAGGTAAGAGAAAAAAGAAGAAAAAGAAATGAACAAAGCCTGCAAGAAATACAGGATTGTGTGAAGAGGCCAAATATACATTAGATTGGTGTACCTGAAAGTGATAGGGAGAATGGAACCAAGTTGGAAAACACTCTTCAGTTTATTATCCAGGAGAACTTCCCCAACCTAGCAAGGCAGGCCAACATTCAAATTCAAGAAGTACAGAGAACACCATAAAGATAATCCTCGAGAAGAGCAAACCCAAGGCACATAATTGTCAGGTTCACCAAGGTTGAAATGCAGGAAAAAATGTTAAGGGCAGCCAGAGAGAAAGATCGGGTTACCCACAAAGGGAAGCCCATCAGACTAACAGCAGCTCTCTCAGCAGAAACTCTACAAGCCAGAAGAGGGTGGGGGTCAATATTCAACATTCTTAAAGAAAAGAATTTTCAACCCAGAATTTCATATCCAGCCAAACTAAGCTTCATAAGTGAAGGAGAAATAAAATCCTTTACAGACAAGCAAATACTGAGAGATCTTGTCACCACCAGAACTGCCTTAAAAGAGCTCCTGAAGGAAGCACTAAATATGGAAAGGAACAACTGGTACTAGCCACTGCAAAAACATGCCAAATTGTAAAGACCATTGATGTTAGGAAGAAACTGCATCAACTAACAGGCAAAATAACCAGCTAACATCACAATGACAGGATCAAATTCACACATAACAATATTAACCTTAAAGGTAAATTGGCTAAATGCCCCAGTTAAAAGACAAAGACCGGCAAATTGAATAGAGTCCAGACCCATCAGTGTGCTATATTCAGGAGACCCATCTCACGTGCAGAGACACACATAGGCTCAAATAAAGGGTTGGAGGAAGATCTAACAACCAAACGGAAAACAAAAAAAAGCAGGGGTTGTAATCCTAGTCTCTGATAAAACAGACTTTAAATCAACAAAGATCAGGAGACAAAGAAAGCCATTACATAATGATAAAGGGATCAATTCAACAAGAAGAGATAACTATTCTAAATATATATGCACTGAATACAGGAGCACCCAGATTCATAAGGCAAGTCCTTGGAGACCTACAAAGAGACTTAGGCTCCCACACGATAGTAAAGGGAGACTTTAACACCCCACTGTCAATATTAGACACATCCATGAAACAGAAGGTTAACAAGGATATCCAGGACTTGAACTCAGCTCTGCAACGAGCAGACCTAATAGACATCTACAGAACTCTCCACCCAAAAGTCAACAGAATATGCATTCTTCTTGGAACCACATCACACTTGTTCCAAAACTGACCACATAGTTGGAAGTAAAGCCCTCCACAACAAATGTAAAAGAACAGAAATAACAACAAACTGTCTCTCAGACCACAGTACACTGAAATTAGAACTCAGGATTAAGAAACTCACTCAAAACCACACAACTACATGGAAACTCAACAACCTGCTCCTGCATGACTACTGTGTAAATAACAAAATGCAGGCAGAAGTAAAGATGTTCTTTGACACCAATGAGAACAAAGACACAATATACCATAATCTCTGGGACACCTTTAAAGCAGTGTGTAGAAGGAAATTTATAGTACTAAATGCCCACAAAAGAAAGCAAGAAAAATCTAAAATCAACACCCTAACATCACAATTAAAAGAACTAGAGAAGCAAGAGTAAACACATTCAAAAGCTAGCAGAAGGCAAGCAATACCTAAGATTAGAACAGAACTGAAGGAGATAGAGACACACAAAAAAACCCTTCAAAAAAATCAATGAATCCAGGAGCTGGTTTTTTGAAAAGATCAACAGCAAGTATTGTAGAACAGCAAACATTGCTGCCTGATCCTTCCTCTGGAAGCTTCATCTCAGAGGGGCACCTGGCTGCATGAGGTGTCAGTTGGCCCCTACTCAGAAGTGTCTCCCAGTTAGGCTACCCAGGGGCCAGAGACCCACTTGAGGAGGCAGTCTGTCCATTTCAGAGCTCAAACACCATGGTGGGAGAACCACTGCTCTCTTCAGAGCTGTCAGACAGGGATGTTTAAGTCTGCAGAAGCTTCTGCTGCCTTTTGTTCAGCTATGCCCTGCCAGCAAAGGTGGAGTCTACAGAGGTAGGCAGGCCTCCTTGAGCTGTGGTGGGCTCCACCCAGTTCAAGCGTCCTGGCTGCTTTGTTTACCTACTCAAGCCTCAGCAATGGCGAATGCCCCTCCCCCAGCCAGTCTGCCTCCTTGCAGTTGGATCTTGGACTGCTGTGCTAGCAGTGAGCAAGGCTCCATGGGCATGGGACCCACTGAGCCAGGCATGGGATGTAATCTCCTGGGTGTGTCATTTGCTGAGACCATTGGAAAAGTGCAGTATTAAGGTGGGAGTGTCCTGATTTTCCTGGTAGAGTCTGTCATGGCTTCCCCTGGCTAGGAAAGGGAAATCCCCCAACCCCTTGCACCTCCGGGGTGAGGCGATGCCCCGCCCAGCTTCAGCCTGCCTTCCGTGGGCTGCACCCACTGTCCAACCAGTCCCAGTGAGATGAACCAGGTACCTCAGTTGAAAATGCAGAAATCACCCATCTTCTGCATTGATCATGCTGGGAGCTGCAGACCAGAGCCGTTCCTGTTCAGCCATCTTGGTTCATCACTATAGACACGTTACAAAGGAAGATATACAAGCAGCCAACAAGCATATGAACAAAAAGGTCAATATCACTGATCATTAGGGAAATGCAAATTGTAACCACAGTGAGATACCACTGATCATTAGATAAATGCAAATCAAAACCACAGTGAGATACTATTTCACACAAGTAAGAGTGGCTATAATTAGTCAAAAAATAGCAGATACTGGTGAGGTTGCAGAGCAAAGGGAACATTTATACACTGTTGGTGGAAGTATAAATTAGTTCAACCATTGTGGAAAGAGGTGTGGTGATTACTCAAAAAGCTAAAAGCAGAACTACCATTTGACCCAGCAGTCCTATTACTGGATATATGCCCAAAGGAATATGTATCATTCTACCATAAAGACACATGTACATTTATGTTCATTGCAGCACTGTTCACAATAGGAAAGATATGGAATCACCTAAATGCCCATCAGTGGTAGACTGGATAAAGAATATATGGTACATATACACCATGGAATACTATGCAGCCATAAAAAAGACTGAGATCATGTACTTTGCAGGCACATGGATGGAGCTGGAGACCATCATCCTTAGCAAACTAACACAGGAACAGAAAACCAAATGCTGCATGTACTCACTTATGAGGAGGAGCTAACTGATGAGAACACATGGATGCAAAGAGACAACAGACACTGGGGTCTACTTGAGGGTGGAGGGTTGGGGAGAAGAATAGGATCAGAAAAAATAACTATTGGGTCCTAGGCTTTGTACCTGGGTGATGAAGTAGTCTGCACAGCAAACTCCCGTGACAGGAGATCAGCTATATTAGAAGCCTGCACTTTTACCCCTGAACCTAAACTATAAGTTAAAAAAAAAAAACTTAATAAAGAAACGTAAAGTCAAAAGTTTTGTGACTATTATGTCAAAATTATGTGCTTATCATTTTGCTGCTATTCCTTTTTTAAAAAATGCATTTTTTTCTCTCTCTGTAAAATAATGGTGTTCCCTTTCCAATGCAAACATACTTTCAGATCCTAATCATTGGGGTAAACATTCTTTTTAAAACTACTGTTTACAAAAGTAAAAATCTGACTTTGTCCATGCAGATCATCTATTGACAAGTATTTTTCAACAGCATAATTTTAACCTTAAGACATCAGTTTTAATAGCAGTCATTACATTATTATTCCAGGTGATTCATGGGACACCTGAGCACTCTGTATAATTGAAGTTATCTGTAGCCACATTTAATATGACATGTTCAATGTTTGGTCTCACAAGCTCACTGCTTAGAGTCTTCTTCATCCACCCAATATTGAAGTAATGAAATGGCTGTTAATAGATTCATCACTGATCTCATTCTGTGACATCTTTATCAGAATAATATAAAATCAATGTAAGAAATTTTGTGAAATTATGAAAATTTAGAAAAAAATAAATTTCATTTATAAAATCTGTGTGCTTTCATTATGGTTTTATTCTATTTATATAACTCAATGTACATATATTATGTTTATATAAAATCTTTTTATCTCATTGCATATGTCTTTTCTTCCGACACAAAAATTGTGATATTTTTCTGTTCATCATTATGTTGCATAGTATTCAACAATACCTGTACTATGGCTGACAGTGTAATTTAACATTTTTTGATAAAACAATTGTAATGGCATGGTACACACATTGTATACATTTTAAATCATTTCTCAATGTAAAATATTTGAATTGTCTCCAGTGTTTATTTTATGAATGTCTGCCACAAATATTGAATCTGACCATCGTGATTTAGTTGTTCTCTGTATAGTTTCATATGAGTATATTATGAAGCCAATGTCTATGTGCATTTTTATAATACTTAATACTTTTCCCCAAGTGTCTGATTCTTTTAAAATATGCAAACATTATCTGAGAATCTAATGCATAATGGAAAAGCAAGCAAATTTGTGACAACAATTATTTTATGTAAGAAGGAATTAGAGGACAGGCTGCACAACTATTGACTTGGATTGGAACCTACCTTCTGCAAATGAATAACAACAGCTAGTATTAGTATTTATCACCATTGTACTAATAGTCATTCTTGCCCTTGTCTTCCTTCTCCACCTACTCTCTTCCCCCTTCTAATGGCACCATCACTTTCCTCTATTGCGAAAGGGGAAATTTTTTGAGAATAAGGTTAGAGTGCATAGAATTTTCATTGGTCCTACCTCTGCCTTTGTCCTTTGGGAAATTACCACATAGAGCCTATGCAATTTTCATTCAGCATAAACATTGGGATTTAACTCGACTAAGATTTCAGTTTTCTGTTGTTGCTAATAAGAAGGTAGACAAAAAGATCTCTTAAGACTTATATAATAAAGTAGTGAGGAATGCTTGCTTTCTACTTATGTCTCAAAAGAATAACATTAAAGTAAAATATATGAGGTTCTTTTGTTTCTTCATAAGGAAGATCATCCTATATCCTGGCATAATTCTTTGATAAATCTCAGTGTAGTTTTCAGATGCAAGTGGTAGACATTATTTGGATCTTATTATACATGCATTGTTCATTTTTTTTTTGGTGCTTCTCTGTCAGGCAGCTGTGATGATGAGTCCCAAGTTTCCCAGAGATTTTTACTGAGGTGTCCTATAGGCGTGGCATAAGGCAGAAAACATTAAAAGGGTAAACTGACCCTTTTATGCTCTAAGATATAAACCTCTGTGATCTCACTGACGAAAGTTTTAAATGCTAGAGTGAAAGCAAGTAAACATTGGCTTTGGCTGAGAATATTCTGGTGGCACACATTTATGTCGTTGATGAATAGTGTACCTTGAAAAGCCTTAACCCTTACATCGTTAGCATTTCATCTTGTTCATCTGACTGCCCAAAAATCTATATTTAAACAAGTCCACAGGGGATCTGTTCTCTAGGACTTTGCTGGAGAACCTTGATGTGTTGGAAAACTGTTCCTATTAATAGAAAAATTATATCTCGAGTGGCTGGCATATGTTAACTAATGGATACTATTAATAGTAATAACAAAAATAAAAAATCATTACAATATTACTACTATTTGAATCACTATGTACGAGAGACATTATAAGTGTTTTATCTGTATTAAGTATATTTTCAACACAACACAATAGGAAGAAATTGCCATTATTATAGAAGTAGGCATAATTATCTCTATCAACATTCTAGTCCACTTTTCCATTATCTGTTGCATAAACTCATGCAAAATCTTCTAAATGATCTACACTTTTCACAATCTGGCCTTTTTGTGATGTAATCCATTGACAACATTGAGAGCTTTTTAAAGAAAGGGAATCTGATCACATCTCTCCATTTCTTAACTCTGTGCAGTAGCTCCCCATTGCCCTTAATAGACACTTCGATCTCCTTATAATTATATTGCTTCCACTTACCTCTCTAGCAACATCTGCTACTTTACTCAGCTTTTTCCTGCATACTAATTAGAAATCTTAGGAACTGCCTTTACTTCACTACCTGCTTTTCTTTTTTTGTTTTCCTCTCCCCCTCTTCTTTTCACCTATTCCTGCACATTACTGAGGACTCACTTTACCAATGACTTTGAGATCTCTTCTAGATGTTTGCTTAGCATTGTGACCTTATAACACTTTTAGACTTTTCCTTTTTACTTGCTTATAGTCTATCTTTCAAAGTACAACGTAAGGCATGAGGGAGCAGAAAGTGCCTACATTTCTTCTCTGAAAATCGAGCACTTATCCATGGTTTATGCTGATCACTTCATAAACATTCTTTGAAGGAATGACTTATACTTTTTTTTTACTTTGCACAATGAAGGCTTTCATTGAATCAACCCTGTTTTCAGAGTCTCTTTAGTATCCCTCTTTGATATTTAATGACACTAAAGTTTACACAGTTGTGATGATATAGAAACATATGAGTTTCTAATGGTAGGTCGCTTTACTCGACCTCCCATATTTTCTCTTACTGTGAGTCAAACACTCTGAATAAAAACATATCTGGCCATTCCTTCTGAAATGCAAAGCAAACAAATCAAACAGGAGTAAATTTACCTTAGGCAGGGTTTTGGCTGGTTTACAGTGGAGTTCCCCCACAAAATCGACATTTGGTAAGGGTGGGTGAAGAAATTCAAAATCCCAGTACAGTTGAATGAGCCACACTTCAGCTTTCCCCATTGTCTGAAATAATGTACATTAATAAAATAAATGTATACATATCTTTTTATACATAAGCATAACAATTTTCATATATTGCATGTTACTTATATATAAGGAAAGCAAAGTGTTCAGATAATTAAGAGGAAATTACATATTTAATGTAACATAAGTATATTCACAATCACAAATAGTTATTGAAATAAGCCACTATGGACTTAAATATGCATTTGTTTCCTCTCTAAAGTTGCAGTAGTAACCAATATAGATTTAAACAGCTCTTTGAGCTCCACGATTAATTCATCTTACTATACTTATAAAAACAGCTTTCTACAAAGCACAAAATCTAGTTTCCACAATTTATCAAGTCAGTCCCTTGATCCTTGGTTCTCCAAGTGAACTGTGAGTTTTCTGAGAGTATGGCTGAAATCCTTGAACATACTACTGCTTCTAGTTCATGTTAAGATTTTAATGATATTAGTTGTAAAATACATACATTTAAAAATGATAGCTAGTATATATTCAGAATTTATTGAAACAGAGATATGTGCTCCCCCTTAACTTGGCCCATATTTTCCCTAATAAAGAGAAGTAGTTCAATAAAATATAGATTAAAAGCTTGAATGTTCACTTTCAACAAGGTTTCAGTTCACAAAGCAAATAATTTCCAAGTTGTTAGTGAACTATGAACAAACACTAGAAACCTCAAATTTTAGGTTTCTGTTTCTGAAATAGAGCCAGTATACCTCTCAACTGTGAAGGAATCCTTCTGTTTATAGAGAAAAATATTTTAATACCTAAATAAGAAAACTGAGGTACACAAAGAGAAACAAGTTTCTCAATGCTGCATTAATAGTTATGCTAGAAATATGTGTAGCTCCTCATCTAAATGTCTGCCTTCATCAAGTTGTTTATTGATATATGTATTGCCTTTTTTAAAGATGAAAAAAGTATAGTAAAATACTTATATAGTTGCTTAAAGAAATCATAAGTGCTTTACTTTGTAGTTTTTTTTTTTTAATTCCTGTAGTGTCCTATAGGAGCGATGGCCAAAGGGTTCTAGCTGAGCCTATAATATCAACATTTCTATAATATTTGTGAGATTGATAGATCATCTTACATTTGCCATTCATCATTTCATTTAAACAACACTATCTTCTTACATTATATTTATATACGCTCACCTTCAAAGGCAAAAGGAAAGTTAGAACTTATTAACCATTGATTAGAAACATGACTTACCTAGAACTTCACTGTAAAACTTCTCCCACTTCTCGTATCAAACATTTGAAACCAAAAGTCAAAATAAAGCACATGTATTAAATTTTTAATCCTCTCCACGAATGTCATTTTACCACTTAATTCAGACAGAACAGCAGGTATGCGGGAAGTGGGGAATAGAAGTCCTCCACTATACTTCTCAAGTGTGTAGCCAGGAGACTGTCAACAAAGGACATGTATTTAACATGCCTTTAACATGCTCAGCTAGCAGTTCACCACAGGCACCAAGGGCATCTGCAAGAACGACATCAAACTTTGACTCTTGTAGTTTTGTCGTAATTTTCTTGTTCAAAACTACATCTTTACAGAGATTATTAACACAGTCTGTAGATTCCCAAAAGAGTTCTTGTGCTTGTGAGAAATATGACCAAAATGCATCTTTCTGAAGATCGTATATCCATCTATTGATCAGTTTCACAACAAGACCCTCAAAATTATTTTTAATTAGAGATGTTGGATAAACCTCAAATCTAATAGCAGATGATTTACTAGGGTGAATAATAATGGAAGCCAAAGATGACAGCACAGTCATCTTATGGCCTCTCCAAACAAGTTCATCCAGGATTGTCTTTATATTCATCCAATGGCTGTATTCTGTGGGCCACACTAGCACCTTTCCACAACTCCCAGAACTAAAGTGACAACTGAGTTGTATCAGGAGAATATTTGACATCGATTTCATAGTTCTCCTGGTGCAATGCAATGCTTCTTTTCAAATCGCTGTTTCTTTCTGTTTTTCTCCTACTTATATCTGAAGATAAATCAATCAAGTGAAAGTATAACTGCTACAATTCAAAGTAGTAGTTACCATATAATTTCTAAATTACCATAGGAATTGTCTGTTACCATATAATTTCTAAATTACCATAGGAATTTCCAGATTGTTTTTCACAGTGGATGCTTCAATTTCCATTCTCACCAGCAATGTATAAGAATTTTAATTTCTTCCCAACCTTGCCAACACTTGGGATTATATTTCGTTTGATTATAGCCAGTGTGAATGAAGTGATATCTGGTTATGCTTTACCTTTCTTTGATATGAAATCATGTTGAGCATGTTTTGCCTAATTTTGGTTGAATTATTTGTCTTCTTATGGACTTGTGTTTTTAATATCTTTCTGATATAAGAACCTTATCACATATATGATTTCCTTGTTTTTTTTTTATTCTTTGGGCTGTCCTTTTACTTTCTTAACGGTGTTCATTGAAGCACAAAAGTATTGATTTTGATGAAGTCCAACTAATCAATTTTAATTTGGTTGCTTTTATTTTTGATTTTATATCTCACAAACCATTTCCAAGTTACAAAAATTAGTACCTGTTATTTATTATTAGAGTTTTATAGTTCTAGTGCTTACATTTAAGTTTTTGATCACCTTTGAATTAGCTTTTGTAAGTGATTTGAGGTAGAGGGTCCCAACTCAATTATTTTGTATATGGATAATCATTATTCCCACTTATATTTGTTGAATAATCTATTCTTTCCCCCTTAAATAGTTTTGAAACTTTTGTCAAAAACTTTAAATGCATGGGTGTATTTCTATATTCTAAAATCCATTCCATTGATCTACATGTCTATCTGTAGGCCTGTATCACACTCTCTTGATTATTGTATATTTGTATTTGTCTTTAAAAGCAGGAAATGTAAGTTTTCCAGCTCATTTTTATTTTAAATTGTTTCAGTTTTTTAAAAAATTTTTTTCTTCTTGCTTTTTTTCTTTAAGAGGTAGAGGTGTTACTATATTGCCCAGACTAGATTCAAATTTCTGGGCTCAAGCAATCCTCCCAACACAGCCTCTTGAGTAGCTGGATTTACAGATGTGTTTCACTACACCTAGCTTCTTTTGGCTATTAGTATGTCTCTTGAATATGTATAAATTTCAGAATCAGCTTGTCTGTTTATGCAAAGAAGTGATCTGGGATTTTGATAGGGATTGCATTGATTTGGTATATGAATTTGGGGAGTAGAGTATGGTAATTATCACAATATTAGGTCTTTCAATAAATGAAGATGTGATGCCTTTCTATTTATTTAGATGTTCTTATTTCCACAGCGTTTTGTAGATTTTGTTACAGTGGCTAGCTAGTCAGACACAAACAGGGCAGAAGACGGCTCCCACACCCTACCAGGAAAGTCAGATGACCATCAGTTAATGGTCAGGCAGTTGTCACACTGTCTCGCTAAAATAATAATTGGTTGCAGCCAGCCAGAGAAAGGCAGCTTTCCTATAAATAGAAAAAATCAAATCTGGTAATCAGCAGCTTCCTGATAAGATCTCAGGAGTTGGGTGAGTGGGCTCACGCATGCACATTAAGAGGCCAAATGGTGGAGTAAGACATTCCGGTGGCACCAGAAAAGGGAAGAATGCCTCAGGGGAGCATTCATATGACTCCAGTAAACATACTGTGCATACTCATCTCCTAAGTGCTAGCAGGCCATCACACATACCAGCAGGTCACCCTAAGGAAAGAATCAAGGAAAATGGAAGCAGGATCCTGGAAGTATGCCAACATATAAAACCCTAAGTCAAAGGTCAAACACTGCACTTTACCTTCAAAATGGCCACTTGGATATACCCCAAGTGTACTTTCCTTTCTTTCCTGCTATAAACCTTTTTAATAAATTTTCACTTTTGTTCTGAAACTTGTCCCGGTCTCTTTTTTTGCCTTGTGCCCCTCAATCAAATTCTTTCTTCTGAGGAGGCAAGAATTCAGGTTGCTGCAGAACCACAAAAATTTGCTGCAGTAACCACCACTAGTAATAATTTCACAGTGAGAGTTGTACAATTTTTTGTTAAACTTATTACTAAGAATTATATTTTTTCATGGTATTATAAGGGTGATTGTTTAATCTTCATTTTAGTTTAAATTTCCATTGCAATTTTGTAGATTTTTTGTTTTCTTATCTTGGATCCCAAAATCTTGTTTTATTGGTTTACTTGAATATTTTTTAGTGGATTTGTAAAAATTTCCTATTACAAGATCATTATATATGCCAATAGAGATAGTTTAACTTCTTTCTTTCTAATGTGGATTCCTTTTATTTCATTTTCTTTCTTATTTGTTGACTGAAATTTCTACTGCAATATTGAGTGGAAGTGAGAAGAGTCAATTTAGTGTGATGTTAGCTGTGTATTTTTTTTTTTTTTTTTTTTTTTGAGACGGAGTCTCGCTCTGTCGCCCAGGCCGGACTGCGGACTGCAGTGGCGCAATCTCGGCTCACTGCAAGCTCCGCTTCCCGGGTTCACGCCATTTTCCTGCCTCAGCCTCCCGAGTAGCAGCTGTGTATTTTTTTATAGATACTATTGATCAGTTTTAAGATGTTCTCCTTTACTTCTAGTTTAAGTGTTCTTATGATGAAGAGTATTGAATTTCATTAAATAAGTTTTTCTGCAGTTATTGAAGTGATTATGCAGTTTTTTCCTTTATTCTAATGATATGATATACTAGTTGGCTTTTTCAGATGTTAACATAACTTTGCATTCCTGGAATAAAATTCATTTGTTTATGGCATTTAAGCTTTTCGTATGTTCCTGAATTTTCTTTGCTAGTGCGAAAGGAAAGTAAAAATCTTGAGACATTAAACTCACTATGTCAAAGAGAAAAGTTAATCTTGGGAAACAAACCATGTAAAACTGGCTCCCATTTTGTTCCTAAACAGATAAATGCAAAAATAGAAGGCCACATACCTCTCCAGAGGGCCTCCTTCCCAATTTACTCACAAGGAAAATCACAAGGTCCTAAAACAGAGTTCTCTTGACTTTTACCCTGAGAGTATAAATTAACATTTTATATTTGCAGGTATATAAAAGACAGGACTTGAAGCCATTGTGTGGTTTTTAGCATAAGGGCTTACTGAATGGTGGTTATGTTTTCTCCTCTTTTATTTTTTGGAGGATTAATTATTTTAAATATTTGATAGAAGTATAGAGCTTTGATATTTTCTACTCTACCATTTCCAGTTATTACCCCACTATTTTTTTCTAAATAATATTTCACTGGAAGCCATCAGACACTGGCTTTTCTTTTATGGGAGACTTTTTCCTTACAGCTTCAATCTTGTTACTTGTTATTAGTTTGTTCAGGTTTTTTATTTCTTCATGGGTCTATCTTGGTTGGTTGTATGTGTCCAGGAATTTATTAATATCATCTAGGTTTTCCAATTTGTTGGTATATAGTTGTTCATAATATTCTGTAATAATTTGTGTTTCTGTAATCTCAGTTTTTTGTCTCCTCTTTCACTTCTGATTTTATTTAGTGGGTCTGTTCTCACTTTTTCCAACTTAGTCTAGCTAACAGTTTGTTGATTTTGTTTACTTTTACAGAGTTTACCTTATTGTCTGTGGCTGCTTTTGTACTACAGTGGAAGAGTTGAGTAGGAACAAGAGTCTAAAGGGTTTGCAAATTCCAAAAATATTTACCATCTGAGGCTTTATAGAACCTATTCTGATCTCTGCAGGTTCATTTTTTCCTTTAACCTTTCTATATATTCAATATATATTTCTATATATTTCTGTATTACTATATATTCAATATATTGTATATATTCAATGCAATTTTAATAAAATAGTATAGATTTTTAGTGAGTCAGATGATTTATGTTTAATTATGTTAATAATGAGTTAATAAATTAATTTGTATTTCCATTTTATTTAGAATAGGTGAGTTTGTTTGTTATGTGGAATGGTGCTTCTGTTTTACCTTTTTTTTGAGAAATCTCTAAACTGCTTTCCACAGTAATTCAACTAATTTGCAATCCACCAACAGTATATAAGCATTTCCTTTTCTCTGGATCCTCACTAGCATGTGGTATTATTATTAATTTATACTTTTTAGTAATAGCCATTATGACTAGTGTGAGATGGTCTCATTGTGGTTTTGATTTGCATTTCTATGATGATTAGTGATGTTGAGCATTTTTGTCACGTTTGTTGGTTCCTTGTATGTCTTCTTTTGAGAAGTACCTGTTCACATCTTTTGCCCGGTTTTTCACGGGGTTACTTGATTTTTGCTTGTTGAATTATTCAAGTTTCTTATAGATTCTAGATATTAGACCTTTAACAGATGTGTAGTTTGCTAATATTTCTTCAGTTTACATCTCACTTGTGAATTTTGAGTTTTGTTGCAATTGTTATTAAGGACTTAGTTATAAATTCTTTCCCAAGGCTGATGTCTAGAATGGTATTTCCTAGATTTTCTTCAATAAGTCTTATAGCTTTAGGTCTTATATTTAAACATTTAATTCATCTTGGGTTAATTTTTGCTTGGTGAAAAGTAGAGATCCAGTTTCATTCTTTTTCTTATGGCTAGCAAGCTATCCCACCATCATTTATTGAATAGGGAGTCCTTTTCTCCATTGCTTATTTTTGTTGACTCAGTGATAGATGACTATAGGTCTGTTGCTGTATTTCTGGGCTCTGTATTCTGTTTCATTGATTTATGTGTCTGTTTTTGTAACAGAACCATGCTGTTTTGGTGTCTGCAGCCTTATAACATAGTTTGAAGTTGGGTAATGTGATGCCTCTGGCTTTGTTCTCTTTGCTGAGGCATTCTTCAGCTATTTGGGCTAATTTTTGGTTTTATGGAAATTTTTGAATATTTTTTTCTAATTCTGTGAATAATGACATTGGCATTTTAATAGGAATAGCATTTAATGTGTGGATGGCTTTGGTTAGGATGGTTATTTTAATGATATTGATTCTTCCAACCCTGAGCATAAAATGCTCTACCATTTGTTTGAGTCATCTATGATTTATTTCAGCAGTGCTTTGTAGTTCTTGTAGAAAACTTTTGTCTCCTTGGTTAGATGTATTTTTAAGTATATTTTGTTTGTGTGTGTGGTATAAATGTGATTGTGTTCTTGATTTGACTCTTAGCCTGAATTTTTATTGGTGTATAGAAATGGTATTGATTTTTGTACATGGATTTTGTATCTTGAAACATTACTGAAGTCATTTTTCAGTTCTAGCAGGCTTTAGGCAGTCTTTAGGATTTTCTAGGTATAGAATCATATCATCACCAAAGAACAATACCTTCAATTCTTTTCCTATTTGGATGCCTTTTATAGCTTTCTCTTGCTTAGGTGCTCAATTAATACATTATTGAAATAGAAAGTGCTGTCATTTTAATCATTTATATTTGAAATATAAAATTTTAAAAATTTATATTTGAAATTTTAATCATTTATATTTGAAACATAAAATTTTAAAATTTTAAAATTTTAAAAGATTTGGACTATGTTAAGTCCAAATTCATTGCAGAAATGTACTTATCCATTTAATAATAATAATAGTTATAGCAAATTGAATTTTGCTATATACAGCAATTACATACAGCAACTCTTTTAGTCTCAGCAATGCTATTAAGTAGGTAGTGACATTGCTTCATCTACATTTCACTGAAGGAGAATGTGAGGCATAGACCTGATAAGTAATTTGCTTAACCATAAGTGATTCTGTAATGGTTTTGCAAAGATGATATAGGTTATCTGGATTCAGAGTGCAAGCTCTTACCCACCATCCTATGCTGACTACTCTTTCTGGGTTACAGGTAGTTACAAAATGTAATATAGATTCACTTTTTTTGTAGGTATATATTAATTTTAATATTATTACAGGAGTATAACTCAAATATGTAAAAATATTTTTCTGGTTGTCTATCACTGCTTAACCAACTGCTCTGAAATGAAGGTGCTTAGAACAGCAACATTTTATCATCATCTGTTTTAATTCTAGGTTGTTGGCCAGGCTCAGTTAGGTGTTTATGGCACAGCATTTCTCAGTTGGTTACTGTCCTAAGGTAGCTTGGGCTAATCATCTGAAGGTTAATCACTCACATATCTGGTGATTAGTATTAAAAGTCTCAAGCTACTGCAGTGCTGGGCCAATTGTGACTTATTAGGCATACATATGTATTTCTACACCAAATGGTATATTTCTCCTGGGGACTGTGGATATAGCACAGGGCTCCAAAGCGAGTGGAGAGACAGAGAAAAAGGAAAAAAGAATGACAGAAACACAGAGAAAAGGACAGAAGGACAGACAGAGAAAATGTATTAACAATTTTTTTGAGCTTTGGAAGTTAAGCTCCTCACTTCCACTATATTCTCTTTTTTGAGACAGCCACAAAATTTGCTAAATTTCACAGGAAGGGTATATGACTTGATGAGAGGATTGCCAATGCATTTGTAATCACATCTCAAAATTACTGCGAATATAACCTTAAAAATTAGAAGAAATCACTAAACTACTGTAGAATTCATAAAATGTTGACATAAGACATTAAAATTTTAAAAATTTGTTTGCTAAAATTTTAGCCATAATTAAAAATTTTAATTAACATTCTAATATATTTATTAATAAATATTTAAAATATCAAGTAGGTGTCCAAAAACAGGCTGTAAATTTATCAGATAGAGAGCACCGGATTGCTGGTCAATTTAAGTTTTCTAAATGGCACTAATGGATTGATAATATTATATTAAAACCCAAGAACATGCTATCTCAAATCAATGTTTATTTCACTAATTAATTTTTAAAACTATATAATTAATATATAAAAACAAATTTGTGAAAGGTTAGTGAATGAAGTATATAGAATCAAAATTAAAAGTAGAATCCTCTATGTTTATACAGATTTACAGATTCTTAATTTTATTTCAAAGAAGAATATCATACTTTTTTTTCTGAAACTTTTTTTCATTTAGCAATGTGATGTGGAGAGCATTCCATGATATTGTCTGTAATATGCCTGTTCTCTGTAATTGCTGCATACCTTCTACTTTTTGTGGTAGGTATGTATGTTCATTGACTGATAGCCAGGCAAGTGATGGAGGGAACATCCTGTACATACATGCACTCAGGTGCAAGTATATCTGGATGGCAGATGACTAGATGTAGAATTGCAGAGTCAAACTGTATGTTTAATTTTTTTTGTAAGAGTTGTTTCACTTTATACTCTCTCACAAACTCTTTTCTCAGATTCTTATGTTTGATCAATCTCCTGTGGGAAAATAATTCGTTGACTTTTTATGGCTACATAGTAATCCATGGTGTATACATACTGCACTTTCCTTATTCAGTCTACCATTGATGGACATTTAGGTTGATTTCATGTCTTTGCTATTGTGAATAGTGTTGCAATCAACATATACATGCATGTGTCTTTATAATAGAATGATTATATTCCTTTGGGTATATACCCAGCAATGGCATTGCTGGGTCAAATGGTATTTCTGTCATTAGGTCTTGGAACAGACAACCAAATGCTGCATGTTCTCACTTACAAGTGGAAGCTAAATGATGAGAACACATGGCCACACAGGAAGCTAAGTGATGAGAGCACATGGAACACATGAACAACACACACTGGGGCCTCTTGGAGGGTAGAAGGTGGGAGGGGGGAGAGGATCAGGAAAAATAATTAGTGGGTACTAGGCTTAATACCTGGGTGTTGACACATATTTACCTATGTAACAAACTTGCACATGTACCCCTGAGCTTAAAATAAAAGTTAAAATAAATTCATTGACTTAAGGTTATTGACTTACTAAATTATAATGTCCAACTTTCTAGTACAAGTAGCCATCTTTTTGATGTGATTGGCCATTTTTACTTCTGTGAATTGTCAATTCATATCCTTCATCTATTTTCATATTGGTCTGTTTGTCTTTTTGGTTGGTGATATATAATAGCTCTCACTATACAAGAGATACCAGTCCTTTATCTATGTGTTGCAGGATAAGCTTGATGTAAATTACTTTAGGTTTGTATGCATGATTTAGCAATATTATCTACTATGACACTATATTCATTCAATTTTTCTTAAAAATGTTTCATTTATCTAGATACATTTTATAAAAATGTTGCTGCAATCTCTTCCAATAATTCCCTTAGCATCAAAATTTTAATTTATTTTTAGAATACATTCATGCCATAGGTCATAGAGTGGTTATTGTGAGACTTGGATGATGGTCTTCTTACCAATAAAGACACATAGGTTTGTGTTAACCCATACTACTTTGATCATAAAGTGTTTCCTTGATGTGTAGCTTTTAAGAGGGCCTTGAGAATTCCTGAGATTTTATTATTTGCCAATTTTTGGTAATTTTTGTGGTCTTTTAATTGTTACTGATTATGATTAGTTGCAATATGCTTACATTTTAAAAAATCATTATCCTATTTTTGGTCATGCTAAATGACTTATGTTTTCATATTAGTGTTATGGGATGAATAGAGTTACAGGCTTCTGAGGAAAGAGAGAAACATGAGACATCCTTATATAAAATAGGGTTATATAGAATAATTATCATTTTTAACTGTCTTCTACAAACACATTCAGTTTCACAAACATCTGTAAGGCAGCTCAATAATTCTGTGCCTTGTTTTGGAAGAAGTGAACACATATATACATGTACATTTGTGATAATCAAAATCAGTAAGTCCCCTTAAAGTGCTGGTTTTATATTATCACAACCTACAATTCAGACATTTTATCCAATATTAAAGTTTAAAAATGACCGTGAAAGCAACCAGTTCACACTTTAGAAAAGTTCATGGGGAAAAGAGAATTAGCTTGTGAACAAAGGTTTTCCCAAATAGTTAAATTTTGTAGTATTTGTCAGGTAGGAGTCATTCTATCTCTAATTTGTTGTTCTCCAACTCCAAGTCTCTGAGTCCCATTATTTTGCTCTTCAGGCCCTGAATTTGGCATAAAGTGTAGTAGAGGCGGACAGTGTCGTCTCCTGTGCATCACTGTTGTTTTGCGAAGAAATTCTCAATGTGGTCAGCTGCTGCTGCTACAGAAGTCGATTTTCTTTAAACACTGCCAAGAACATCTGACTTACATAGTATATTTTGATTTGATATTTATTCAAACTGAGCCTGCTTTTTTTCTTTTTACAAACTCTCTAAAACTGCTAAAAGTCTTCACTTTATAAACTATGTAATTACCATGATCTTTATACTGTTGGTAAAGCAATGGTTCACTTTCCCCATGTCTTTCACCTCAGTTCTTTTCTCCCCTGTGTGAATTGTATCCATTTTGTTCAAAGTGATTTTACTGAATACCAGGAGTTATCACCTCTCAAGTGTTATTGGCAATGAGATTGTTTTTGCCAGTTATCAGTGAATTATTAAATTCCAAAGTCCCTTGTTGAGGGTCTGCTTTTTAGTGCCACTTGCCCAAGCTGCCATAGTCTATTTTTCTCAGAAAGCAAAGCCTGAGATAAGAATTAGTGTGCAATAACTTAATTTGAGAAATGTTCTTAGGGTACAGGAGTAGGGGACAGGAAAGGGTGAAACAAGAAGGGAGAAAAGTCAGTACAAGAATGTGTTACCAAACTAATCATCACCATAACTGTTGGGACTAAAGCTCATGCGGACCCAGTAGGAAGTTGTGTGGATGTAAAGCGTGATCATTAACCATCACTTTCTATTGCTCACACTGCCAGGTTATGCATATGTGAGTGAGTGCTAGCTGAGTTTCTTCGAGGGTTCCATGAAGAGATGTTAAAGAAGTCTGGTGCAGAAAATGAGAGACCTGTCCTATCAGAAGACGACTTCACAAAGCTCCTTGACACAGCAAAGGCTAGAGAAAAAAAAATTAGCTGAAAAAATATGGGGTGCAACCTAATTTGATCAAATGTATTAGAGCTTTCTTTTTTCTTTTGTTTCATTTTCACAGTATATTACTTTTCATATGATTAAATACTGTAAATTTTCTCAGGTTTCTGATAAAGTTATGCCTGTGATACAGGAGCTAGAAAGAAATTATTTAGGCAGATAGTGAGGGTGAAAGTCCTTGGTAAGGTTTTGTTTTAATAAAAAGCAGCCCCCCAAATCATTTCCTTGCTAACAAAAAGCAGCCAGAAAAATCAAGCTTCAAACCTAGATAAACAAGCTAAAGCTTGCATAGGTAAATGCTGGCAACTGTGCCAGTAATTCCTCAAGGATCTAGAACTAGAAATACCATTTGACCCAGCAATCCCATTACTTGGTACACGCCCAAAGGATTCTAAATCATTCTATTATAAAGACACATGCACACGTATGTTTATTGCAGCACTATTCGCAGTAGCAAAGACTTGGAACCAACCCAAATATCCATCAATGTTAGACTGGATAAAGAAAATGTGGCACATATACACCATGGAATACTACACAGCCATAAAAAAGGTAAGTTCATGTCCTTTGCAGGGACATGGATGAAGCTGGAAACCATCATTTTCAGCAAACTAACACAAGAACAGAACACCAAACACCACTTGTTCTCACTCATAAGTGGGAGTTGAACAGTGAGATCACATGGACACAGGGAGGGGAACATCACACACTGGGGCCTGTTGAGGTGTGGTGGACTAGGGGAGGGATAGGATTAGGAGAAATATCTAATGGAGGTGACGGGTTGATGGGTGCAGCAAACCACTGTTTCACATGTATACCCATGTAACAAAACTGCAGATTCTGCACATGTACCCCAGAACTTAAAGTATAATTAAAAAAAAAAAAGAAAGAAAAGGGATGGGATACCTTGAAGCCAGGTATATTCAACATGGATATTCAACGTGGAGGTCCCCTCTTTCCTTTTCTTTGTCAACCATATGTGCAGTAAAGAAGCAGCAACATGGCACTGGCCATGTAGAGAAACCATTTGCTTATTGAAAATTAAGGTGGGGCAGACAGCTTCTTCTTACACTATGTAAATGGCACACCTGGTTCCACCAATCCTTTGTGCCCTATATAAATCAGACACTGTTTCCTCAAGCTCATCTATAAATCCCTGTGCATTTCACCATGGGACTAGAAGATCCATTCGGGAGCACCTTTCTGCAGAAATGAGAGCTATTCTCCTTTCTCTTTCTTTCCCCTATTAAACCTCCATTCTTAAACTCACTTCTCGTGTGTCCATGTTTTCAGTTTCCCTGGAGTGAGATGATGAGTTTTGAGTATTTACCCCAGACAATGATGCTGCTTAACCTGTTACTTTTATTTATTCTTATTTTTAAAATTTTTATTTATTTTTTATTTATTTTACTTTAAGTTCTGTGATACATTTACAGAACGTGCAGGTTTGTGGCATAGGTATTCATGTGCCATTGTGATTTGCTGCACCCATCGACCTATCATCTAGGTTTTAAGCCCTGCATGCATTAGGTATTTGTCCTAATGCTTTCTGTCCCCTTGTCCCAGACCCCCTGACAGGCCCTGATATGTGATTTTCCCCTCTCTGTGTCTATGTGTTCTCATTGTTCAACTCCCACTAATGAGCGAGAACATGTAGTGTTTGGTTTTCTGTTCCTATGTTAGTTTGCTGAGAATGATGGTTTCTATCCATATCCCTGCAAAGGACATGAACTCATTTTTTATGGCTGCATAGTATTCCATGGTGTATAGGTACACATTTTATTTATTCGGCCTATCATTGGTAGGCATTTGGGTTGTTTCCAAGTCTTTGCTATTGTAAATAGGGCTGCAATAAACATACATGTGCATGTGTCTTTATATTACAATGATTTTTAATCCTTTGGGTATATATCCAGTAATGGGATTGCTGGGTCAAATGGTATTTCTGCTTCTAGATCCTTGAGCAATTGCCAAAATGTCTTCCACAATGGTTGAACTAATTTGCACTGCCATCAACAGTGTAAAAGTGTTCCTATTTCTCCAAATCCTCTCCAGCATCTGTTGTTTCTTGACTTTTTAATGATTGTCATTCTAATTGGCATGAGAAGGTATCTCATTGTGGATTTAATTTGTATTTCTCTAATGACCAGTGATGATGAGCTTTTTTTCATATGTTTGTTGGCCACGTAAATGTATTCTTTTGAGAAGAGTCTGTTTATAGCCTTTGCCCACTTTTTGATGGTGTTGTTTTTGTCTTATATATTTAAGTTCCTTGTAGATTCTAGATATTAGACCTTTGTCAGAGGGATAGATTGCAAAAAATTCCTCCATTCTGTAGGTTGCCTGTTCCCTCTGATGATAGTTTATTTTGCTGTGCAGAAGCTCTTTAGTTTAATTAGATCTCATTTGTCAATTTTGGCTTTTGCTGCAATTGCTTTTGGTGTTTTAGTCCTGAAGTCTTCGCCTATCCCTATGTCTTGGTATTGCCTAGGTTTTCTTCTAGGGTTCTTATGGTTTTGGGTTTTACATGTAAGTCTTTAATCCATCTTGAGTTAATTTTTGTATAAGGTGTAAGAAAGGGGATCAGTTTCTGTTTTCTGCATATAGCTAGCAAGTTTTCCCAGTTTTCCCGTTGCTTGTTTTTGTCAGTTTTGTCAAAGATCAGATTGTTGTAGATGTGTGGTGTTATTTCTGAAGCCTCTGTTCTGTTCCATTGGTCTATATATCTGTCTTGGTACCAGTACCATGCTGTTTTTGTTACTGTAGCTTTGTAGTACAGTTTGAAGTCAGGTAGAGTGATGCCTCCAGCCGCTTTTTTTTGTTTTGTTTTGTTTTGTTTTGCTTGGGGTTGCCTTGGCTATACAAGCTCTTTTTTCCTTCCATATAAAATGTAAAGTAGTTTTTCTAGTTGTGAGAAGAAAGTCAATGGTAGCTTGATTTGAATAGCATTGAATCTATAAATTACGTTAAGCACCGTGGCCATTTTCATGATATTGATTCTTCCTAGCTGTGAGTATGGAATATTTTTTCATTTGTTTGTGTCCTCTCTTATTTCCTTGGGCAGTGGTTTATAGTTCTCCTTGAAGAAATCCTTCACGTCTCTTTTTAGCCATATTCCTAGGTACTTTATTCTCTTTGTAGTGCTTGTGAATGGAAGTTCAATCATGATTTGGCTCTCAGTTTGTCTATTATCAGTGTATAGGAATACTTGTGATTTTTGCCCATTGATTTTGTATTTGGAGACTTTGCTGAAGTTGCTTATCAGCTTATGAAATTTTTGGGCTGAGATGATGGGGTTTTCCAAATATAGAATCATGTCATTTGCAAACAGAGACAACTTGACGTCCTCTCTTTCTATTTCCATACCCTTTATTTCTTTCTCTTGCTGATTGCCCTGGCTAGAACTTCCAATACAATGTTGAAAAGGAGTAGTGAGAGAGGGCATCCTTGTCTTGTGCCGGTTTTGAAAGGGAATGCTTCCAGCTTTTTTGCATTCAGTATGATATGGGCTATGGATTTGTCATAAATTGCTCTTATTATTTTGAGATATGTTCCATCAATACCTAGTGAATGGGGAGTTTTTAGCATGAAGGTGTGTTGAATTTATCGAAGGCCTTTTCTGCATCTATTGAGATAATCATGTGGTATTTGTGATTGGTTCTTTTTATGTGATGGATTATGTTCATTGAGTTCTGTATGTTGAGCCAGGCTTGCATCACGGGGATGAAGCTGACTTGATTGTGGTGGATAAGATTTTTGATGTGTTGTTAGATTCGGTTTGCCAGTATTTTATTGAAGATTTTTGGATCAATGTCCATCAGGGATATTGGCCTGAAATTTTCTTTTTTGTTGTGTCTCTGCCAGGCTTTGGTATCAGCATGATGCTGGCCTCATAAAATGAGTTAGGGAGAATTCCCTCTTTTTCTGTTGTTTGGAATAGTTTCAGAAGGAATGGTACCAGCTCCTCTTTGTACCTCTGGTAGAATTCAGCTGTGAATCCATCTGGTCCTGGACTTTTTTTGGTTGGTAAGCTATTGATTATTGCCACAATTTCAGATCCTGTTATTGGTCTATTAAGAGATTCAACTTCTTCCTGGTTTAATCTTGGGAGAGTGTATGTGTTGAGGAATTCATCCATTTCATCTAGATTTTCTAGATTATTTACATAGACATGTTTATAGTATTCTCTGATGGTAGTTTGTATTTCTGTGGGATTGGTGGTGATATCCTCTTTCTCATTTTTTATTTCATCTATTTGATTCTTCTCTCTTTTCTTCTTTATTAGTCTTGTTAGCCGTCGATCAATTTTGTTGATCTTTTCAAAAAAACAGCTCCTGGATTCATTAATTTTTTGAAGGGCTTTTTGTGTCTCTATTTCGTTCAGTTCTGCTCTGATCGTAGTTATTTCTTGCCTTCTGTTAGCTTTTGAATGTGTTTGCTCTTGCTTTTCTAGTTCTTTTAGTTGTTGTGTTAGGGTGTCAATTTTAGATCTTTCCTGCTTTCTCTTGTGGGCATTTAGTGCTATAAATTTCCCTCTACACACTGCTTTGAATGTGTCCCAGAGATTCTTGTATGTTGTGTCTTTGTTCTCATTGGTTTCAAAGAACATCTTGATTTCTGCCTTCATTTCATTATTTACCCAGTAGTCATTCAGGAGCAGGTTGTTTAGTTTACATGTAGTTGAGTGGTTTTGAGTGAGTTTCTTAATCCTGAGTTCTAGTTTGATTGCACTGTGGTCTGAGAGACTGTTTATTATAATTTCTGTTCTTTTACATTTGCTGAGGAGAGCTTTACTTCCAAGTATGTGGTCAATTTTGTAATAGGTGTGGTGTGGTGCTGAAAAGAATGTATATTCTGTTGATTTGGGGTGGAGAGTTCTGTAGATGTCTATTACGTCCGCTTGGTGCAGAGCTGAGTTCAATTCCTGGATATCCTTGTTAACTTTCTGTCTCGTTGATCTGTCTAATGTTGACAGTGGTGTGTTAACGTCTCCCATTATTATTGTGTGGGAGTCTAAGTCTCTTTGTAGGTCTCTAAGGACTTGCTTTGTGAATCTGGGTGCTCTTGTATTGGGTGCATATATATTTAGGATAGTTAGCTCTTCTTGTTGAATTGATCCCTTTACCATTATGTAATGGCCTTCTTTGTCTCTTTTGATCTTTGTTGGTTTAAAGTCTGTTTTATCAGAGACTAGGATTGCAACCCCTGCCTTTTTTTGTTTTCCATTTGCTTGGCAGATCTTCCTCCATCCTTTTATTTTGAGCCTATGTGTGTCTCTGCATGTGAGATGGGTTTTCTGAATACAGAACACTGATGGGTCTTGACTCTTTATCCAATTTGCCAGTCTGTGTCTTTTAATTGGAGTATTTAGTCCATTTACATTTAAAGTTAATATTGTTATGTGTGAATTTGATCCTGTCATTATGATATTAGCTGGTTACTTTGCTCATTATTTGATGCAGTTTCTTCCTAGTCTTGATGGGCTTTACATTTTGGCATGATTTTGGAGTGGCTGGTACCGGTTGTTCCTTTCCATGTTTAGTGCTTCCTTCAGGAGCTCTTTTAGGGCAGGCCTGGTGATGACAAAATCTCTGAGCATTTGCTTGTCTGTAAAGGATTTTTTTTCTCCTTCACTTATGAAGCTTAGTTTGGCTGGATATGAAATTCTGGGTTGAAAATTCTTTTCTTTAAGAATGTTGAATATTGGCCCCCACTCTCTTCTGGCTTGTAGAGTTTCTGCTGAGAGAGCTGCTGTTAGTCTGATGGGCTTCTCTTTGTGGGTAACCCGACCTTTCTCTCTGGCTGCCCTTAACATCTTTTCCTTCATTTCAACTTTGGTGAATCTGATAATTATGTGTCTTGGAGGTGCTCTTCTCGAGGAGTATCTTTGTGGCATTCGCTGTATTTCCTGAATCTGAATGTTGGCCTGCCTTGCTAGGTTGGGGAAGTTCTCCTGGATAATATCCTGCAGAGTGTTTTCCAACTTGGTTCCATTCTCCCTGTCACTTTCAGGTACACTAATCAGACGTAGATTTGGTCTTTTCACATAGTCCCATATTTCTTGGAGGCTTTGTTCATTTCCTTTTATACTTTTTTCTCTAAACTTCCCTTCTCACTTCGTTTCATTCATTTGACCTTCCATCACTGATACCCTTTCTTCCAGTTGATCACATCGGCTCCTGAGGCTTCTGCATTCTTCACGTAGTTCTCGAGCCTTGGCTTTCAGCTCCATCAGCTCCTTTAAGCACTTCTCTGTATTGGTTATTCTAGTTACACATTCGTCTAAATTTTTTTCAAAGTTTTCAACTTCTTTGCCTTTGGTTTGAATTTCCTCTTGTAGCTTGGAGTAGTTTGATCGTCTGAAGCCTTCTTCTCTCAACTCATCAAAGTCATTCTCCGTCCAGCTTTGTTCCATTGCTGGTGAGGAACTGTGTTCCTTTGGAGGAGAAGAGGTGCTCTGCTTTTTAGAGTTTCCAGTTTTTCTGCTCTGTTTTCCCCCCATCTTTGTGGTTTTAACTACTTTTGGTCTTTGATGATGGTGATGTACAGATGGGTTTTTGGTGTGGATGTCCTTTCTGTTTGTTAGTTTTCCTTCTAACAGACAGGACTCTCTGCTGCAGGTCTGTTGGAATTTGCTAGAGGTCCACTCCAGACCCTGTTTGCCTGGGTATCAGCAGTGGTGGCTGCAGAACAGCAGATTTTCGTGAACCGCGAATGCTGCTGTCTGATCATTCCTCTGGAAGTTTTGTCTCAGAGGAGTTCCCGGCCGTGTGAGGTGTCAGTTCTCCCCTACTGGGGGGTGCCTCCCAGTTAGGCTGCTCAGGGGTCAGGGGTCAGGGACCCACTTGAGGAGGCAGTCTGCCCATTCTCAGATCTCCAGCTGCGTGCTGGGAGAACCACTTCTCTCTTCAAAGCTGTCAGACAGGGACATTTAAGTCTGCAGAGGTTACTGCTGTCTCTTTGTTTGTCTGTGTCCTGCCCCCAGAGGTGGGGCCTTCAGAGGCAGGTAGGCCTTCTTGAGCTCTGGTGGGCTCCACCCAGTTCGAGCTTCCTGGCTGCTTTGTTTACCTAAGCAAGCCTGGGCAATGGCAAGTGCCCCTCCCCCAGCCTTGTTGCCATCTTGCAGTTTGATCTCAGAGTGCTGTGCTAGCAATCAGTGAGACTCTGTGGGTGTAGGACCCTCCAAGCCACGTGCGGGATATAATCTCCTGGTGCACCGTTTTTTAAGCCCATTGGAAAAGTGCAGTATTCAGGTGGGAGTGACCCAATTTTCCAGGTGCCATCTGTCACCCCTTTCTTTGACTAGGAAAGGGAACTCCCTGACCCCTTGCACTTCCTCAGTGAGGCAATGCCTTGCCCTGCTTCAGCTTACACACAGTGTGCTGCACCCACTGTCCTGTGCCCACTGTCTGTCACTCCTTAGTGAGATGAACCCGGTACCTCAGATGGAAATGCAGAAATCACCCGTCTTCTGTGTCACTCACGCTGGGAGCTGTAGACTGGAGCTGTTCCTATTTGGTCATCTTGGCTCCTCCTCCTAATTCTTGAAGATTTCATTGGCTAAAGTAAAACAAAAATTCTGCTCAAAATGAAGCCAAAATATTTTGAGTATTTGCAAAACAATGTTGATACTATGAGTGGAGTTCTTAATGTTGTTGTGTTCAAATACAATGTGTGAAACATAATGAAGCTCAGTAACTTTCGTGTGTAACTTTTGGATTAGAATAATAAATATCAATATAAGCCCATAAGGTTTTATATTATTTTTATTTTTCTTTTCTTTTTTTTTTATGGCTTGGATGACACTTTATTTTCAGATCCAATACTAGAAGTTGTTTCCATGTTCACATTTTCCTTCCTGGTTTAAAAAAAAGAGTTGTATTTTTTTTTTTTGCTTTTTTTAAATTATACTTTAAGTTTTAGGGTACATGTGCACAACGTGCAGGTTAGCTACATATGTATACATGTGCCATGTTGGCGTGCTGCATCCAGTAACTCGTCATTTAACATTAGGTATATCTCCAAATGCTATCCTTCCCCCCATTGTATTTTTCATAGCTTAAAAATCATTGACATAGAATAATTCAGCTAAAGTACGTATTAAATCCCTGGAAAATAAATTTTGTCTTAACAAGGTAAGTTGTGAAAAGATGTTTTGTCACAGGAAAAAGGAAATCCTCCATTTAAAACCCTCCATGCTGAAATAAAGGAGGAGTCCCATCTTTCAGTCATTCCACTTCAGGCTTTTGATATAACTAATCTCTTTTCTTCTTCTTTCCTTTTTTGGCAAGCTTTCGGAAACAAAACAGGCAAAATTTTGTGATGATAAATATCACAGTTGCCACGCAGGCCAGCAGGAATGCTATCACATCCAAAGAGTGGTACTGGATCCAGGTGAGGTTGTGAGCTGCGACTCGAAGGTGCTTGGCTCCTTTGTGGCGCATGACAAACTCAATCCAGAAGACTGCTCGATCCAGGGGCTTCATTGGTTGGTCATGATGAATTCTTGATAATTTCATGACATTCTCTTTATAGCTGAAGGATAAATATAAAGATATCAACATTAAAAGTAAATTTATTGCTTAAGCATATCAAGTCTATGGATGGTCTTTGAAAAGTGTCACACAAATGATTGAAAGTAAGTGTCACTGAATTGGCATGAAATTTCAATGTTTTAATTCATGTCATTACAGAAAGTTTGGTTTTTAAATTGGAGTTTTATCACTGACAAATACCTTTAAAAATGAAAAATGGAATTTTCGGTGGGAAAGTTAATGTTTTCTGGAGCAGAAAATATTATGAGCCATTCTAAGTGCTATAAGTAAGATAGTGGAAATGGAATTTGAGAATGATCTTTTTGATCTTTTTAATTTTTTTTTATTTTTTGAGACAGGCTTTTGCTCCATTACACAGGCTGAGTGCAGTCACATGATCATGGCTCAGTTCAGCCTTTCTCTTTCGGTCTCAAGTAATCCTACATCTCAGTCTCATGAGAAGCTAGGACTACAACTGCACACCACCATGCCTGGCTATATTTTTTTATTTTTTACACTTTTAGATATGAGGTGTTGCTGTAGTGCCCATACTGGTCTGGAACTCCTGTAGTCAAGTCATTCTCCTGCCTCTGCCTCCCAAAGTGTTGGCCCTACAGACATGAACCACTGTGCCCAGCCCATTTTGACGTATTTAAAGAAGAATTGTGACACAACTGGTGAAATGCCTCCTAACTAGTTTCTCAGCTTCTACTCTAATCTTTTGTCTTCTACCATATTTTCCTTCTAGTAGCCAGAATATTTTCCAAATTAATATCAAATTATGACACTCACCTGTTAAGATTTCCATCTGGTTTCTTGTTACATTAAGAATAAATTCCAAATCTGTCTTTGGTCTAGAGAACTCTACACAGGCACCTACTTGTCCTAGCCCTTTCCCCCTGTACACTTTCTTCTAGAGACAATGGCCTTCGGTTTTTCTCTAAACTCCTGAAGGTGTTCTCACCTTAGCCCCTTTACACCTTTTGTTCCCCGTGTCTCTCTCATTGAGCATTCTTTCTTGCAACTACTTGAGGTTTGCTTCTATTTCTTTTTGAGGCTTCCCCTTGTATGATACCTCTTGGAGAGTCTTTTCCTGGCCACACTATAGGCACCCATAGGATTTCTCTAGTGCTTCATGCTTACTTTGCTATTTGATTTCTGGAACTTTAAAATATGTTGTATATCTTCTACAGTAAAACTTCAAGTATGAAATACATAGGATAAATGTATATATACTATGTGACTACCTCAAAATTTTAAGATTATCTTAAACATTATCCCAAAGTGAAGACACCAATTTATCACAAACTGCATAGAAGAACTCTCTCCTCCTGGGCCATTTTAGTCACTATTTTTATCCTCAAAGTAAGTATTAACCTGATTTCTGATATCATAGATTAGTATTGTTTATATAATTGAATTAAATAATACATATTCATTTCTGTTTTTGGTTAGCAGTTGTTTAATAGCATTGGTGTAGAGAGTATTCAGTTGATTGACAAAGACCACAGATGATCTCTTCATTTTGTGATTAATGGATATTTGTGTTGTTAACATTTTTTGACCTTACTAATAATTATGGTATTAAGATATTTGTATATTTTATTAGGTTTAAATATTTATTCATTTTTGTTGGATGTATACTTGGAAGAATAGTTGATGAGAGAAAGGCACATTTATAATTAGAATTTTTTGTTGACTGAATTTTTTAAAAAATATTTTTTATTTTAAAGAATCAGATTGTTTTCAGTTATCGTTTTTGGATGATTTATAATTTATTTCTAGTATGACTAGAACATATAATTTTTATGAATTTGAATCTGATACAATTTACTTAGTGTTTATTTATGGCCCAGCATATGGTAAATTCAGGTAACTATTTCATATAATCTTTTTTTTTTTTTTTTTTTTTTTTTGAGACAGAGTCTCTCTGTCACCCAGGCTTGAGTGCAATGGAGTGATCTTGGCTGACTGCAATTTGCATCTCCTGGGTTCAAGTGATTCTCATGCCTCAATCTCCCAAGTATCTGGGACTACAGGTGCTCATCCCCTACATCTGGCTAAGTTTTGTATTATTAGTGGACACAGGATTTCACCATGTTGGCCAGGCTGGTCTCTTAACTCCTGACCTCATGTGATCCTCCCACTTTGGCTTCCCAAAGTGTCGGGATTACAGGTGTGAGCCACCACACCCGGTCTCCATAAACTCTTTTAAAAATGTTTATTTTCTGTCTACACACACACAACCAGAGATATATGTATGGATACATATATACAGATAAATGTGCAATATATATACACACACACATATATAACACATAGATTACATTTAATTGTGTACTTCAAATGTTTTATCTCCTTAAATAAAATATTTCAAAGATCACTATTTTGTCTTTTCTTTTTGGTCTGCTTAAATTTAATGTGAGTACTGGTAGGTTCACTTTTTTGTTTTTTTGCTTTTTTGTTTTTTTTTGAGATGGAGTCTCGCTCTGTCACCAGGAGTTCAGTGGCACTATCTCGGCTCACTGCAACCTCCGTCTCCCGGGTTCAAGTGATTCTCCTGCCTCAACCTCCTGAGTAGCTGGGACTATAGGTGCACACCACCATGCCCAGATAATTTTTGTATTTTTAGTAGAGACAGGGTTTCACTATGTTGGCCAGGAGTATGGTCTCGATATCTTGACCTCGTGATCTGCCCTCCTCAGCCTCCCAAAGTGCTGGGATTACGGGCGTGAGTCACTGCACCTGGTCAGTTCAAATTTTTTTAAAAAGTTTTATTTTTACTTTAAGTTCCAGTATACATGTGCAGAATGTGCAGGTTTGTTACATACGTATATACGTGCCATGGTGGTTTGCAGCACCGATCAACCTGTCATCTAGATTTTAAGCCCCTCATGTATTAGCTATTTGTCCTGATACTCTCACTCCCCTTCCATCCCCCGGTGTGTGTTGTTCCCCTCCCTGAGTCCATGTATTCTCATTGTTCAACTCCCTCTTATAAGTGAGAACATGTGGTGTTTGGTTTTCTGTTCCTGTGTTAGTTGCTGCGGATAATGGCTTTGCATTTCATCCGTGTCCCTGCAACAGACATGATCTCATTCCTTTTTATGGTGCATAGTATTCCATAGTGTACATGTATCATATTTTCTTTATCCAGTCTATCACTGATGAGCATTTGGGTTGGTTCCATATCTTTGATATTGTAGATAGCGCTGCAATAGACATACATGTGCATGTGTCTTTATAGTAGAATGATTTATATGCCTTTGGGTATATACGAAGTAATGAGATTGCTAGGTCAAATGGTGTTTCTGGTTCTAGGTCTTTGAGGAATCACCACACTGTTTTCCATGATGGTTGAACTAACTTACATTCCCGTCAAAAATGTAAAAAGCTTTCCTATTTCTCCCCAGCTTCACCAGGATCTGTTGTTTTTTGACTTTTTAATCATCGCCATTCTGACTGGCATGAGATTGTATCTCATTGTGGTTTTGATTTGCATTTCTCTAATGATCAGTGATATTGAGCTTTTTTCATAAGTGTGTTGGCTGCATAAATGTCTTTTTTTAAGAAGTGTCTGTTTATATCTTTTGCCCACTTTTTGATGGTGTTGTTTTTTTTTTTTTTTTTGTAAATTTGTTTAACTTTCTTGTAGATTCCGGATATTAGACCTTTGTCAGAGGGATAGATTGCAAAAATCTTCCCTCATTCTGTAGGTTGCCTGTTCCCTCTGACGATAGTTTATTTTGCTGTGCAGAAGCTCTTTAGTTTGATTTGACCCCATTTGTCAATTTTGGCTTTTGTTGCAATTGCTTTTGGTGTTTGTGTCATGAAATTTTTGCCCATGCCTATGTCCTGAATGATATTGCCTAGGTTTTCTCCTAGAGTTTTTATGGTTTTGGGTTTTACATTTAAGTCTTTAATCCATCTTGAGTTAATTTTTGTATAAGGTGTAAGGCAGGGGACTAGTTTCCGTTTTCTGCGTATGGCTAGCCGGTTTCTCCAGCACCATTTATTTAATAGGGAATCCTTTCCCCATTGCTTGTTTTTGTATGGTTTGTCAAAGATCAGATGGTTGTAGATGTGTGGTGTTTTTCTGAGGCCTCTGTTCTGTTCCACTGGTCTATATGTCTGTCTTTGTTCCAGTACTATGCTGGTTTGGTTACTGTAAGGTGTAAGGAAGGGATCCAGTGGCAGTTTTCTCCATATGGCTAGCCAGTTTTTCCAAAACATTTCTTAAATAAGGAATCCTTTCCCCAGTTGCTTGTTTTTGTCAGGTTTGTTAACAATCAGAGGGTTGTAGATGTGTAGTGTTATTTCTGAGGCCTATGTTCTGTTCCATTGGTCTATATATCTGTTTGGTACCAGTACCATTCTGTTTTGGTTATGTAGCCTTGTAGTACAGTTTGAAGTCAGGTAGCATGATGCCTCCAGCTTTGTTCTTTTTGCTTAGGATTGCCTTGGTTATATGGGCTCTTTTTTGTTTCCATATGAAATTTAAAGTAGTTTTTTTCTAATTCTGTGAGGAATGTCAATGGTAGTTTGATGGGAATAGCTTTGAATATATAAAATACTTTGGGCAGCATGGCCATTTTTACAATATTGATTCTTTTTATCCATGAGGATGGAATGTTTTTCCATTTGTTTGTGTCCTGTCTTAATTCCTTCAGCAGTGGTTTCTAGTCCTCCCTGAAGAGGTCCTTCACATCCCTTGTTAGGCATATGCCTAGGTATTTTATTCTCTTTGTTGCAATTGTGAATGGGAATTTATTCATGATTTGGCTCTCTGTCAAATCATGTACTGTCAGTGTATAGTAATGCTTGTGATTTTTGCATATTGATTTTTGTATCCAGAGGCTTTGCTGAAGTTGCTTATCAGCTTAAGGAATTTTGGAGCTGCGACAAAGGGGTTTTCTAACTATAGAATTATGTCATCTGCAAACAGAGACAATTTAACTTCTTCCCTTCCTATTTGAATACCCTTTATTTCTTTCTCTAGTTCACATTTAAATCCAGCATCTTATTCTATATATATATATATTTTAATTTTCTAACCTGTTTTATGTTTCTTTACTTTCTTACTTTTTTTGAAGTATCTTAAATCATTTCTTGTCTTACTAATTTTTTGGTAAAGTGTTTTTAATGTATTCCCTTAGCTGGTACCACCTAACCTCATAATAATATTGGTAGGAGTAATAGACTCTGAATTGATGGTAGCTGGTCTAGGCACAGCATTTTTCATAGTATTTCCTTTGGATTATGGAAAAGTTAAGTATTACATATTTATTTTATCAACATTGAAACCTTTGTATTTCAAAAGGCATCTTCCAAAAAGTAAAAAAAAAAATCTATCTGTCCATAGTGGAAGAAAATATTTGAAAATCACATATTTGATAAGGGATTGTATCTATAATATATAAATAATTCTTATGAATCCATAAGATAAATAGAAAAAGACAAAATATTCACAAGATTAAAATAGAAATTTATCTAAGGAAGATGTGTGAATGACCAGTAAGCACATGAAAAGAGGGTTAACATCTTCAGCCATAAGGAAATGCAAATGAAAACCATAATGAGAGACCACTTTACACACACTAGAATGGCTGTAATAGAAAGACAGGTGATAACAAGTGTTGGGAAGAGTGTGAAGAAATTAGAGCCCTCCTATCCAGCTGGTGGTAATGAAAAATGATGCAAATACTTTGAAAAACAGTTTAGCAGTTCTTCATAAACAACAATTTCCCATATGTCTCAGCAAGTCCACTCCTAGCATCTCCTCAAAAGAAGTAAAAACATATTTTTACACGGAAAATATGTATAACAATGTTCATAAATGCCAAAATTGGAAAGACCTAAAATGTCCATGACCTGATAAATGGGTAATTTTGGTATAAACATATCAAAGAATATTATATAGAAATAAAAATGAATGAGTTCTGATACATCCTACAACATAAATAAAACTAAAACTAATTATGCTAAGTGAAAGAAGTCATTTATGAAACACCATAAATTGTATGATTTCATTTATATAAAATATGTGAAGAGAATAATCTATTGAGAAACAAAGTAAGATGGTATTTTTCTAGGACTAGAGGTTTATTGGGAGTGACTTCATACATTATGAGTTTAATTTGAATTCATTAAAATGTTCTTTAGGGCTGTGGCTTTGTAACTATGTAAACATACTAAATATATTTAGATTTTAAATTTTAGTGAATGTTATGCTATGCAAATTATAATTCATTATCACATTTCTTAAAATAATGATAATAAAAATAAATTTTTGAGAAAGAATAGATTCATACTTTCAGAAATTTTAGGTATTGAATTGAAATATCATATTTCTCTAGTTATGTTCTTTCTTTTCATTGTGCATTCTATCATTAAAAATATTTAAAATAATTATCTACATATCTTTAATTTTTTTGATTTTATAATTCATTGCAGTCATTGGTGACCCATTAAATCTGTGGGGTTGAAATGTAACTTTGAAATAAACTGTCTGGTGGAAAGTAAGGACAGATTTTACATTGGTTAAATCACTTCAATCCCTTCAAAATTAGTCTCTTAAAAACGGGTTAAAATTCATATTCACTGTTGACAAAATAATTTATAAATACCACCTGGTCACAAAACTGTAATACTCACACAGGGTCATTAATGACTGACTTCAATGCATTGAGCAAATCTCTACTTGACATGGTCCTGATGTCCACACTGAGGGCTGCTCCCTTGGCTTTCATGTGAGCAATGTTATCATGTTGATCCGCAAACAAGGGAATGCCCACCATAGGGATCCCATGGTAGATCGCCTCATAGATGCCATTGGTTCCACCATGAGTTATAAAAGCTTTGGTTTTGGGATGACCTAAAAGTGGATGCATTTTAACAAAATTATTAATTACAAGGTATGAGAATTGAATAAGAAATGCACAATATAAGGAACTTAAAGCAAAACTGTTCCCTAGGTAACATTATACCCACAAAACTGCATTGAAATTGTTTTCAAATTTCAGAAGAATTGCCAGGTGAACAAAATGAAAAAGCATATTCTTAATTAAAAAATTAAAATGTGCAAAAAAAAGAATAAGATTGGGTATACAAGAACGTGGTCTTTTAAGTATTATAAATAATGAGGTCACATTTACATATTTAAAAAATATTTAAATACTTAAAATATTTAAAATATTTAATTTTTTTTAAAAGGCAGCAGGGAGTAGGGTGGAGGTGGGGCTGAGGAAGGACCGGTTATGCATCATCATGAAATGTGTTATCATTTTATCATGATAAAGATTGGTTATTTATTCCCATAAAAAGTAGAGTCACTGGTAATAGAAAAGTGTCCGCTATTTTTCAGTGCCTGTTGAAATAACCCTGCAGTAGGGGAAAGAACAGAGGTAAAGCTGCATAAATAGGAGACAGACAGAAAATCCAGGATGTTATTTAAAACCTGTGAGAGGAAATTACACCTGAACAAAGAGATTTTTATTCTGACCATAAAGAATGTGACTGTATGTAATAAAATGCCAACTACTATAGTGCATTCTTTTTATACTAAGACTGGAAAATAAATATAAAGTAGTTAAATTTGATTTGTTTTTTAGTTTTCCAATAATAAATGCTAAATATGTTTGTTTTATGTTGAACTATTATCACTCCAATTTGCTGTTACTAATATATTCACTGTTTGTTCTCCAGAATCTTACCAAGAAGGTCATTCTGGGGTAACCACTTGTACAGTCGAGTATTGGAACCTAAAGTATTTGGCTTCTTGCCATCAAATCTCCATAGAACCTGTTAGGGCAAGGAAAATATCTTGTTCAATGAATAGAACTCTAAAAACATAGCATGTTAGAATTCTGAAGAGATTAATAATCAGTTAGTTAATCCATATAAAAGATGAAGAAATAAGAAGAAGTGATGTCAAGTAATGAGAACTACTAAAAGTTTGAGGTAAGTTGAATACCCACGTTTAATGTCGTTACTTTTATAATCAATTTTGTATATAAAGAAATAATGACATTTCTAACATAATAGCTAGACACATGAGATTGTGAAAGGAAAATAAATCTTGGCAACCCAAACTCTATGCTAAAGGGAAAAGTTAAGCTGCTTAGGGCAAACCTACCTCCCATTCTATTCAAAGTCAGCCCTTGACTCACTGAGATAAATGAATATCAAATTGCCTCATTTCGAGAGGCTAATCAGAAACTCAAAGGAATTCAGCTATTTGTCTCTCATCTACCTATGACCTGGAAGCCCCTTCCATGCTTCAAGTTGCTCTGCCTTTGTTTCTAGCTGTCTCCCATTTCTGGACCGAACAAATGTTCATCTTATATATGTTGATTGATGTCTCATGTATCCCTAAAATGTATAAAACCAAACTGTCCCCCCACCACCTTGGACACATGTCATCAGGACCTCCTGAGGCTGTGTCATGGGTGCACATTTTCAACCTTGGCAAAATAAACTTTCTAAATTATCTGAGAACTGTCTCATATATTCAGGGTTCATATTTTGGTAACCATGAAGAGATTCTGAGTGGAGGTTCCCTGACCTTTGATAAATGTCCTATCAGTGCTTGGTACCAGCATGAGCTAAATTTATGGCTCAAACAAAGAAGACAATTGGCTGAGGTCTGGGAGCAACCCCTCCAGAGAATCTCTGATACCCCAAAATTCAGACAAGATCTGAAGTTTATTTTGCTGTACAACTCCTTTTTGTTTTTTTTGGAGTTTTACTTGCTTCCTACAAGAAAGGCAAGATTTCCTGTTTCCATGACAATGGAAGGCAGGTAACTCTATGGAGTTTGAGCTCGCTCCCAGGAGGGAGGATGAATTTGAGGTTTCTTTCCTGATTCTAGGATGGCAGAGGGCAGTTTTGGCCTGAAACCCATCCGTAGGTAAACAGCTGAATTGCGGTTTTGTCTTGGTTAATGTTTAACAACTAGCTGGACTTAATTTCTCCTTACCATTACAGTGCTTAGTGATCACATTTCTGGGATTTTTTTTTTTTTTTGTACATTCCAGTATTTCTCCCATCAGATTTGATGAACTTTACCTGACTTGATCAAATCTGAGTGAGAATTCCAAATTGTGGGTAACAAAGCCTGTCTAATTTGGCTAAAATTCTTTGCAGACGCAAAAGAGAAAACAAAACAAAACAAAACAAAACCTAAAAACCATGCTCTTGGTTTCTGTGTTTGCTTCCTGTCTTTAAAAAAACAAATGTTCTTTTGTTTACTTTTCCTCCACCCTATACCTCCTTTTGCCTTTTGCCATTTGCAGTATGAAAAATCTAGAGAAGGCTTCTAATGACTTGAACTCTTTTAAAGAATTCAGAACAAAGGCACCACTCACCCCTTTAGGGGTGTCTGTTTTCTTTGTGGAGTTCCAAGAGTTGTGGGCAGATTTTTTTCTCAGTCCAAAGCTCTGTTTTCCTATGTTGAATGACCTGATCTCTTTGGCTTTGAGATTACCACAGATTACCTTGTACTGTGAGAGGATTTTACCTTGGCATGTGTAATGGCAGACGAGTTACAAAGTAGGGGGTGGCTGAGTACAGTTTACTGGAAGTAGTATTGACTGTTGCTATTTTTTTCCTCCTAGGAAGTTGTTGTTTAAGAATCCTAATTCTAGTTTGGAGATGTGTTGTAAAGGGTCTCCTCTATTGTTTTTATTCCCCAAATTAATCTCATTTGGCTTGTCTGTGTGGATTTGTGTGAGAAACTGAACTGTGGTTTACATAGGAAAATGAGAGACTGAGTTTTCTCAGCTCCAAAGTGAAAGGGCATCTGCTCCTCCCAGGCAAAAGGCACCCCTAAGCAACTGGGGGCCTTGTGGGAGTGTCTTGGGGTTGACCCCCTGTGACATGGAGTGGCCCTGCAGGGAAATCCCCAATAAAAATTAACTTTTAAAAAAAGGCTAGTCCAGGAAACACATATGAGGGCAGATCACCCAGCATTTTGAGCCCTCTCAGAGGTCATACACCTCTGGAGAGAGAAACTGAGACATGTAAGAGGGTGGAAACAACTCAGTGGTGACACACTGTGGAGTACTGCCCACAAGCAGCACACATTGATTCACCACACATAAACCCTAGGCCACAGCTCAGTTCCTCCTTTTAGGAAAAAAAGTGGGAAACAAATAATCTAAGAATGATGAGAAAACAAGAAGAATGACCCCCTGATATCACTTGGTAGGTTTTATGACACCTCTACTTGGCAGAGTTTATGTAAAATGAAGGTAATACGGTCTTTGTGCACATATACATTAAGAACCCTAGGTTGTCCTGCAAGCTATAGAGTTCCTAAGTTCTCTCTTTTTAAAAAAAATTCTTTTCTTCTTGCTTTAAATTTGCTTTTATTTTTCTATTAAGATAAAAACCACACTATGGATTCAACAGGTTTTTGTCTGCAAGCTGGTCAATTTTTTTTATCTCATGGCTAAAGTTCTGAAGTAAAAGCCATAGAATCTTTTGTGTGTGTGTACATGTGTTTGCATATATTTAAAAGGCCATTATAATTTCTATAATTTTATGTTTAATAGGCAATTGAATCCATTTTATTTTCCTTCCAGCACACCAAATTTTTTGTCTCTGTACCTTATGATGTAAATTTTGCTATTTAATTTTCACTTGGTTTCTTTTAATATGCAAATGTAAGACTATTTAGCTTACAACTGCCTATGGTGATCAAGTATTCATACAGATTACCTATTGAAACAGGTTATCAAGAATTTGGAAGTCTAATATGGCAAAATGTAGTTTTCATAAATCTATAAGATGTACTTCTATTGGCATGCTTAATGTGTGTATGTATTTATGTGTTTTGTACACAGTGTTTTATTACTGAAAATATATAAAAGAGCTCTAATTAATTGGCTTAAGAAAATAAAAGTGCTTGAATTAAATACTTTGCCAGAAAAAAAAGACTAGTCAAATGCTTTTTCAAGTTTATGTAACTTCAATAAAATCTTTTATAAATAAGATAACTTTACAATTATTGCTAAAGTATGATAATATTAGAAATGTCTTAAGAATTTCCAGCATATATTTTTGTTTGCATTTATTAATCAAGCAATTTCATACTTATTGTTGCCAAATACTTTAAGGTGTCAAAATTTGACATAAGGGTTACAAAACTGTAAACCAAGCCCAAAACAGAATGATCTTTGCTTGTGTAATTTTTTAATAAATAAGACATTGATATTGGTTTAATGAAAATAGCCACATCTTGAATTAAGTAAGATTATCATAACTTCTAACCCTGTGGCCTTAAGCAATCTAGTCCACAGGCAGTAAGGTTTGTTTTGGGAAAAAACTGTTATCATTTTTATTTCAAAGCTAAACCATAAAGGGTGTGAAATGGCAACACTATCCTTCAACTCATTTTCAACTCATATAAGTTTTTTTCCTCAAGTTCTGTTTGTTGTGGCATAATGCTAACAGTGCTTTCTAAAAGCTATTCAGCTCCTCAAGGTCCAGGGACTATCACAGAAGAGGTGGGTGTGTGAGATTTTAAGAACTGATACTGAGAGATAAGTTAGTTTATTTACAAATTAATCATTAATGTCAAAGACACACTAATGCAAGACCAACATATGGGCCCCTGTGTCAGATTAACAAGGTTTTCTGGAAGCATAAACTGACTTCTTAATAAAGATTATAAAGGTTATGAAAGGCTGAGGAAAGTTATATCTTATGGTCAAGATTAGAATTTTATAGATTGTTCATAAAATTTTGAAAAACAAAGTTATTTGGCTTCATGCTATTTTATTAGGGCTTATTGTTTGGCAAATTGAGTCTCCTCTCTCAAAGAATGAAGATTTTTGCCTTTTTTTGAAATCCTTGAGTTACCACATTAGTCAAATGAATGATTTATCTTACCTGTGATATTAAGTGTTTTAAACCTTTGATATTTGAGAAATTTTCCAAACAAATTATAAATTATGATTTTTTCTGACCTAAGTAATCCTTTAATTTATTAGTTTCCCTAACATCCAAAAATGACATAATTTGGTTTATTTTGTATAAAAATTATACAGGAAACATTGTCAAATATGAAATGGTGTTTGGTCTTTTTGAGCTGTATTTATATAAGTATGTTATTGTTATGTGTTCCAAAATTATGGGAAACTCCTATAATTCTGATATGACTTAGTGTGTACGTTATCAGTAACAATTATATGTGTTAAGTTATTGTGTGCCACAGAGGTAACAAATTTCCTTGTCCATTGTGTCTTTGACTGAGTCTGCCCTAAAACTTTTTGTCCTCCACAGACAATTGTTGTCTTACTTTGGTCCTCTTTAGAAGGCGATTTTATACTCAGCCATAAAATTCTAACAGGTGCTCTTGAAAAAAAGTTTTTGATAATTTTGGAGATTGTGACATTAGAATGGAAGAAAAACTTTCAGGACTCATGGAGAACTAAAATGTTCATGAGTATCAAGCAGAACAGGAATTAACTACATGGACTGAAATAATAAAAAACTAAAGTAATCTTTTAGACTTTGCTTAAAACATTGCTGATCCTTTGTTTTGTTTTTTTTTCAGAGTGAAGGAATCTTTTTTTTTTTGAGCTATTAACAGCTTTTAACAATTTAGTATACTCCTATGAAAAAAATTTAGAACGTATTTGTTTCCCTCTACCTGATTTTTCAGAATTTGGAAACTATTTGTGAGTATTTTTTACTTTTGTCAATACAGTTATTTGCATAAGTGCAATAAGAATCTATTTTCATTTTTAACAAAACACAATTGGAGAAACTGGTTATTTTATCAAGGCTTCCACTGGTATGGTGGGCTTTCCTTTAGGGAATCAAACTTAACTTATGGAGCCAATAAAACCCCTTGGGAAAACTGGCCTCATACCTTCATCTATAAGGTCCCTGTACAGGGTTCCTGAACTGTGTTAAGCAAAGAATGTAACTTTCTGACAGGCCCAGGAGCCCCAAGTTTATTTTGGAACCCCAAGAGGAGAGGAATTCACCCAACTCGTAGGTATTTGATGGTAGAAATCTATGGCTTTCCTCAGCTTTAAAAAAGTCCTATCTGAGATTCTTTCTATAAGACAAAGTTCCATCAAAGCCACTTTAAAAGCCTATGTAAATAAAAAATTATTCTTCCTCCTCTGTATACAATAATCAGGCCAAGTATAATAAAGCAAATCAGTTGTACCATGGTTTGTCTTTAGTAAAATTGGGAAACTGAAGACAGAAAAATTATGTTTCAAAAATAACAGTATACCTGTTGTTAGATTCTAGTCTTGCCTAATGTTTTTCAACTTTTATTACTGTCTACAGTTTGGACTGAATTCTAATTTTTCATGGCGACACGTCTTCAAAATAGTGTCTTCAGGTTTTTTTTCCTCCCTTTCCACCATTTTTCCTAGTTTGGAGTCACTGTAAACTAAGTCATGCTTTCATGAAGCCCTACAAATTAAGCTAGACAACTTAAACTCCAGAAGAAAATAACAGCAACCAATTTACATACATAATCCACTTTCATACCTGCCTACTGATTTATGGACTTCAGAGTAATGGGCCTATATTAATTTTCAAGGATTTTTCTTTTGTTTGGTTTTGTTTTTCTCCCTTTCTCCCTTTATTTTGTCTTCATAGGACATGAGACTTCACAACCTACTAAAAATGAACTTTCCTAATAACTCAGGACCTGCTTAGGAATAAACCTTCCTTGCCATTAGAGATCAGATGAAAACCTGAGACCAGAGACTCATTTTCTTCTAAAATGCTTTCTCCAAAAGATTTTTTTTAAATGTAAAAGGAAAATAAGCCTGGGGGCCCCAAAGTCACTAAGCAAATCACTGCCTCCCATTCTATTCAAAGTCACCCCTCTGCTCACTGGGATAAATGCATATCTGATTGCCTCCTTGGAGAGGCTAATCAGAAAGTCAAAGGAATGCCTCCTCCCTGCTTCAAGTTGGCAAAAATAAACTTTCTAAATGTACTGAGACCTGTATCAGATATTTGGGGTTCACAAGATTATCAATGAAATATTCAAATATTTAAGAATTGTTAAGCAGTCTTAATTCTAGTAATAAAAAAGTAGCAAATTAGTAATAACCTATATATTTATTTTATATACTTTATACTAGCTGTAACCTTCCAAATTTAATATAAATTTATTAATTTTTGAGTGATATGAGAAGAGTTTACTTATATCCACTTGTCTACTAGTCATAAGTTATTTTATGAATTTGACATCATTGATTACAAAAGACTAAATATTTAAACTGCACATATGGTGAGAAATAATGCTACATATGTAGTATGTGTAATTTCTTTTCATTTGCTAACTATCAAGTGCTACTTTCAGGAAAAATTTCAAGTGGCAGTGTTTGACACAAATTCAGACTATTATCAGTATTGCTACTTTTGTAAATGCTAACAATGTAGGAAAAAGGAGCCCATTGACAATTCATGATTAACAATACAGATGCTGAAAATGTAGAAAATTGTATTTTGCTGCATTTTGCTTAACTGATCTTTCACACTTAGATGATGCACTACCTAGCATTGACAGCCTTGATATATGGTCAGCTATAGCCAGTCATTACCATGTCTAGTACCAAACTAAGGTACTGATTTTAGAATTCCCAAGCAATCTTTATAAACTGGAGTAGAATTTACAAGTGTTGACCTTGTATTTGATATGGGAGTGTTAAAGTAACTCTGTGTTTTCAGCAAAAACTTGTATAGATCATTCAGAGAGGGCTATGTCAGATAAGAAACTAAAACGTAAATTGAAAATACACAAAGATTGTATAGATTAGAAAATAAGTTCCTACCATGTTTATTTATATTTTCTGCTCCTTCCTCAATCTGGAGAAGGCACTAATCTGATTCTTAGAGCATAGTCTTTGTTGGGCCACATTTAATAATGCACATAGTCTACCCTAAAAGCAGGATTCTATCTCCATCCTTTCCATTACATTTTTCTGCTTAAGACATTAGCGGCACCCAAGTCAGCAGAGCAGACAAGTTTTTTTTTTTTTTCTCTAAATCTACTTGGCTAGGTGGGTACCTCCAGAGCAGTGGCTAGTCAGACTAGGACATTCTTTCTCTGAATGGCACCCTGAACAGAACACTAAATAGACCTATTCCAATACATGGGAAGTAAAAACAGCCAGATTGCTTGGTAAGACGAAGCTGCATGATGCATTTCAAAGTTTTTTCGATACCTGCTTATTGTTATTGTGATAGTACAGTAACTTATTAAAATTTAACTGCTTTTTGATAATATCTACAGTGTATACAGTACCTTCTAAAATCCTGTAAACCAAAAGGAGCAAATGACAGGGCAGAATTTAGTGATTTCTATGTACATGCTACGATACCATGATAATACCAAACTTCACTAGCACCTCTTAAATATATTTCCTTCTGATCACAATATTAATGCCAACGTTATTATCAACCAAAACTCCTCTCTTTATGATTTTAAGATCTTCCATATATGTTTTTGTTTTGAACAGATGTCTGAGATAATTAGAACTATCATAGCAGTTAAATTTTCAGGCAGAACATTTCTGTAATGGACTCTTGAAGAGTTTAACAGATTCATTTAGTAGCCATCCACAGTTAAGGCACTTTATCTAACCTTTTGTGGGATCTGGGCAAGGGCTGATGCAATCATGTTGGCACTTTCTTCTGACATGTTACTGATCATCGACCCCAGAGAAAACACCACAATACCATTTTCTCCAGAGCTCTGCACAAACTCTTCCATTTCCTGTGAAGAAAGAATTTGTTCTATCAGAAAAGAGCAACAGCACAGAAAACACTATTGACAGGATTGTTACAAACATCTAAGATGAGAAAGTCAGAAGCTATTGGAGTAATTTTTTTAAACTGACCTAATCATTCAGTTTCTTTGAAAGGAGATGTGTAATATAATATATGTGGGATCTTTCATGCAAATTTGTGTAAATATGTGTGCATATGCATGTATGTATGTGTGTGTAAGGAGGAAATGAAACAAAGCTATGACACTGCAGTAGGAGGAGATAATGCTAGAAAATGTTACACCCAGACACTTTATTTATAATATTATAATTACTAACATAGGTTATTGGAAGGTAGCTTTACTTGGCTTCAATTCTAATTTTTTTTGTGGTTCTACTAAATCTCTTGTGTTTATTTGGGGTAGTTTTATTTTATTTTATTTTTTTCTGTTCAGTTCTTTTAGTTAGGAGTCATTGGAGCCATTACATGACTATGAGCATTGAGGAAAAGTTAGTTACAATTGGAATGATATTATATCTACATTTATTTAGCTTCTAGCTCTCTAACCCTTTATATTTCACTTAAAGTTAGGGTTTCCTAGTCTTACCCCACTACCCCTCACTGCCCCCGACACCCCCACCCCCCAAAAACACCTTAAAAGCTGAAGTATAAGAATCACTGACATTCAGCAGTCTGGTATTGTGGTTTGGAATTTCTGGGAAATAGTTCTGAGAATTCCATTTATAATACAGTATTATATACTATATAGTTACATAATTAAGTGATCTTATTTCTCAGGTCATTGCTTAGGTATGACTATGACACCTTTTGTCCTGAAATCACACTGTGAATTTGATGTGCTATGTATAACTGAATGTGGGGGACCCTCATCATCACTTTGCTGTGTCTCACAGGGGGCACTTGAACCACAGTGGGAGAGGTCACCAGGACTTTCTCCAGTGGAGATCTGCTCACCCCCTAGAGTAGCTCCCTCACACTATATGAAGCTCCTGGTGAATATGTGTTTGCTTTGAAATGAATGAGAATTATTCTGACTTGTGTTTCCTGATGTGTCCCTGTTTTTAAACTTAAATCCATTCTCTAATGCCACATCGCTCAATGTATTCTCACACCAAAAAAAAAAAAAGAGAGAGAGAAAGAGGAAAAGAAATGTAGACCCATAAGTTTCCTGGATATCATATCAAAATTGTATACTCATCTTTTTGTTGCTGTTGTCCCTTTTGTTCAAAATTCTCTTTTTCTCAGTAAAATAATGACCAACCCCTTCTGTCATAACAAATATACTTTCTGGTCCTAATCATTGGGGGAAATTTCTTTATAAAACTGTTTACAAATAAAAAAAGAAATTCTAAAATATGTCAATTCAGACCATATATTGGTAAGTATTTTTAAAAAATATAATTTAACTTTATGACATCTTTTTTTTTTTTCCAGATGGAGTCTTTCTCTGTCACCCAGGCTGGAGTGCAATGATGCAATCTTGGCTCATTGCAACCTCTGCCTCCCAGGTTAAAGCAATTCTCCTGCCTCAGTCTCCTGAGTAGCTGGGATTACAGGCACCTGCCACCACGCCTGGCTAATTTTTCTGTTTTTAGTAGAGACAGGTTTCACCATCTTGGCCAGACTGGTCTTGACCTCCTGACCTTGTGATCCACCCGCCTCAGCCTCCCGATGTGCTGGGATTACAGGCATGAGCCACTGTGCCTGGCCTGACATCAGTTTTAATTGGAGATTCAGTGTATGGCTATTAGAGATAATTCATGAGGCATCCAGGAACTCAGTGTAATTGCAGTTGCCTGTAGCCACATTTAATGTAACTTGAGTTCAATGTTTTGTCTCATTCACTGCCAAAAGTCTGCTTCACCCACCCAGTATTGAAGTAATAAAACATCTATTTATAGACAGATCAGCACTGATCTCATTCTGTGATGTCTTTATGAAAGTAATGGTAATAGAAGATCAATGTAAGTAGTTTTATAAAAGTATGAAAATTTAGAAAAAGAAAATCATTTACCCATATCTCTATCTCAATTTAAAATGTGTGCCATTTCATTATGGGTTTAATTCTATTTATATAACTCAATGTACATATGTGATGTTTATTTAGAAAATTTTATTCTCATTGTATATGCCTTTTTATTCTACAAAAAAACTGTGATCTTGTTCTACTCATCATTTTGTTCCTTAGTTTCCAACTATACCTGTACCACGGCTGACAGTGTAATTAAACATTGTTTTGAAAAAAGGATTGTAATGGCTTGGTATGCACATTATGTAAGTTTTTAACCATTTCTTAATGTAAGATATTTGAATTATTTCCAGAGTTTTTTTAATGAGTATTTGCTACCGATATTGAATCTTACCATCATGATTTATTCTCTGTACAGTTTCATGTGAGTATATTATAAAGGCAATGCCTATATGCATTTTTCAAACACTTGATACTTTTTGGCAAGAGTCTTATTCTTTTGAAATATACAAACATTATCTGAGAATCTAATACATAATGGAAAAGCAAGCAAATTTGTCGCAACAATTATTTTGTGTACAAAAGAATTAGAGAATCAGTTTCACAATTATTTACTTGGATTCAAGTCTACCTTCTGCAAGTTAACAACAACGGAGGCTCACACTTGTAATCCCAGCACTTTGGGAGGCTGAGGCATGTGGATCACCTGAGGTCAGGAGTTCAAGACCAGCCTGGCCAACATGGTGAAACTCTGTCTCTACTAAAAACACAAAGATTAGTCAGATGTGTTGGCAGGTGCCTGTAATCCCAGCTACTCGGGAGGCTGAGGCAGGAGAATCAGATCGCTTGAACCTGGGGGGTGGAGGTTTCAGTGAGCCGAGATCATGCTAGTATCAGTAATAATCACTATTGTACTACTAGTCATTTATCCCTTGTCCTTATTCTGCTACTCTCTTCCCCCTGCTACTGGCACTATCACTTTCTTTTAATGTGAGTGAGGAATTTTTTTTTGAGAATAAGATAAGAGTACACAGAATTACCTTTTAAGCTAGAATATTAATGAAGAGCCTCCACCTTTACAATACAACTTTAGCTTTCCAGCTTGTTCAACTGACTGCCCAAACTTAAACATTTACATTTAAACAAGTACACAGAGTATCTGTTCTCTAGGACTTTGCTAGAGAATATAATCTTGATGTGTTGGAAAATCAATCACTATTAAATGAAGACTGATATCTTAAATGGCTGGCACATGTTAGCTAATTTAAAGTATTAAAAATAATGACTGAAATAATCATAATATCAACAATATTTTTGGATCACTGGCTGTGTGTCAGAGACAACTTAAGTGTTTTATCTGTGGTAACTACTTTTTTTCCACACAGCACAATATGAAGTTGTGATTATTATTATAAAAGTAGTCATGATTGCTTAAACTCATGTAAAAGTTCCTAAATGATCTTTACATTTTACAAACTTGCCTTTTTGCAATATTATACATTGGGAATATTGGGATTTTTTAAAAGGAAATCTGATCATATCTCTTCATTTCTTAACTCTTTTCACTCTTTTCAGTAGCTCTCCATTGTCCCTATGGGTATATCAAATTACATATATATATATATATATATTTTTTTTTTTTGAGACAGATTCTCACTCTGTTGCCCAGGCTGGAGTGCAATAGCGTGATCTCGGCTCTCTGCAACCTCTGCCTCCGGGGTTCAAGTGATTCTCCTGCCTCAGCTTCCCAAGTAGCTGCTATTACAGTCACCTGCCAACATGCCTGGCTAACTTTTGTATTTTTAGTAGAGACGGGGTTTCACCATGCTGGCCACTCTGGTCTCCAACTCCTGACCTCAGGTGATCCACCTGCCTTGGCCTCCCAAAGTGCTGGGATTACAGGTGTAAGCCACCACGCCCGGCCCATCATTGACTTTTACTCAACCTTTTCCTGTAAATTAAATTTGGAGTTCCTGGGAACTGCCCTTATTGCTTTTCTACTTTTCTGCCTTAATGCAAGCCTTTACTTTTTTTTTTTTTGTTTATTTGTTTGTTTTTGAGACAGAGTCTCGCTCTGTCGCACAGGCTAGAGTTCAGTGGTGTGGTCTCAGCTCACTGCAGCCTCTGCTCCCAGACTCAAGCAAGCCTCCTGCCTCAGCCTCTTAAGTAGCTACGACTATGAGACTACAGGCACACACCAGCATGCCTGGCTATTATTTTATTTTTTATTTTTGTTAGAGATGAGGTTTTACCACGTTTCCCAGGCTGGTCTCAAACTCCTGAGCCCAAGCAATCATGCCTTCTCTGCCTCCCAAAGTGCAGGGATTATAGGTGTGAGCCACCTTGCCTGGCCTCTGGTTTTCTTTTTGGGTGTTTATCAACCCCTCATCGTTTCACCTATCTCTGCACATTATTGAGTACTCACTTTAATTGTCAATGAGTTTGGGATCTCTTCTGCATATTTCTTTATCATTGTGGTCTTTCCTTATAACACTTTTTAGACTTTTCTTTTTCACTTGTTTTTATTCTATCTTTCAAAGTACAATGTAAGGCATGAGGGAGCAGAAACTGTGCTACCTTTATTCTCTGAAAATCCAGCACTTACCTGTGGTTTGTATTAATCACTCTACAAATATTTTTTGAAGAAATGAATCATACTATCTTTTGGGTGGCACAATGAAGGCCTTACTTTAACCAACCCTGTTTTCAAAATCTCCCTAGTAAACCTCTTTGGTCTTTAATGATAATAACATTCACATACTTGTGATACTACAGAAATATATGATTTTCTAATGGCAAGTCCTTGTTTTTGACCTCCCATATTCCCCTCACTCTGAGTTAAACACTCTGAAAGAAACATATCCAGCCATTCCTTCTGAAAATGTCAAGCAAACAAATGAAACAAGAATACATTTACCTTAGGCAGGGGTTTGGCTGGTTTACAGTGAAGTCCTCCAACAAAATCAACATTTGGTAAGAATGGGCGAGGAAATTCAAAATCCCAATAGGTTCGAATGAGCCACATTTCAGCTTTCCCCATTGTCTCAAATAATGTAGTGGGTCTTCCTGATGGAAAAAAACAAAACAAAACAAAAGGTAGCTAACACGAGAATTGTTATTTGAATATGCAGGTATTTTCCTGAAAGGACTTGGAATAACATACCCAAACATATATAAAATGTCTGTGCATTGATAAAATATATATAAATACATTTATATATAGTCATAATTTAGATTTTATTTATTGCATATGTTGCTCATATGTATATATAAGGAAGGCAATGTATTCAGAGATCTGTAAGAAGAAATCACATCTTTAATGTAACATCAGTATATTCACAATCATAAATAATTATTAAAATAAGTCACTAATATGGTTTGACTGTCCCCACCCAAATCTCCTCTCATCTTGAATTATAATCCCCATAATCCCCATGTGTCCAGGGAGGGACCCAGTGGCAGGTGATTGGATCATGGTGTGGATTCCTCCATGCTGTTCTCATGATATTGAGTGAGCTCTCATGAGATCTGATAGTTTTATAAGTGTCTAGTATTTCCCCTGCTTGCACTTCTCTCTCCTGCCACTAAGTGAGAAGATCCAAGCTTGCTTCCCCTTAGCCTTTCACCATGATTCTAAGTTTCTTGAGGCATCCCAGTCATGTAGAACTGAGTCTATTAAACTTCTTTTCTTTATAAATTACCCAGTCTCAGGTATTTCTTTACAGCAGTGTGAGAATGGACTAATGTAGCCACTATGAACTTAAATACACATTTGTCTTCCCTCTGAAGCTGCAATAGTAACAAATATACCTTTAAACAACTCTTTCAGTTCCACAATTAATTCATCTTACCTTACCCATGAAAACAGCTTTCCAGGAAGTACTCTAGTGTCTACAGTTTATTAAGCTAGTCCCTTGATCCTTGGTTCTCAAAGTAAACCATGAGTTTTTTGAGCTCAACACTGAAATCTTTACACCTACTACTGTCTTGGTTCATCTTAAGATCTTAATATAATTAGATTTTTAAAATAAATATATTTACAAATGAGAATTAAAACATTTTCAGAATTTATTGACATAGAGATATGTGCTCTCCCTTAATTTGGCCCCTATTTTCTTTGATGGAGAGATGCAGTTTAATAAAATATAGATTAAAACTTAGATGTTCACTTTCAACAAGATTTCAGTTTTTGAAAGAAATAATTGTCAACCTGTTATTGAAGGAATGTATAAACATTAGAAATCTCAAGTTTTAGGCTTCTGTTTCTGGAGTAGAGCCACTATATTACTCAACTGTGAAGGAATCCTTCTTACATGAAAAACAAAATTTAATTTCTAAATGAGGAAACTGAGGAACTCAAAGAGAAACAAATTCCTCAATCCTGCATTGATAATTTTTCTAGAAATATGTGTAAATACTAAATTTATGTGTCTGCCTTCATGAAGATGTTTCTTGAGGTATCTATTGACTTTTTTTAAAGATGAAAAAATGTATAGCAAAATGATATGTGATAGTTTAAAGAAATCATTAGTGCTTTACAATGAAGGTTTATGACTCTCTGGGTGTCCTGTAGTAGTGATGGCCCCAGGGTTCTAACTGATTCTATAAGGTCAACATTCTATAATATTTTTGAGACTGATAGATCATCTTACATTTGCAATTCATAATTTCCCTTAAAAACACTATCTTCTGACATTATATTTATATAAGCTCACCTTCAAAGGCACAGAAAAGTTAGAACTTAATAAGCACCAGTTAGACACATGACTTACCTAGAACTTCACTATAAAACTGGTCCCACTTCTTCAGATCATAAATTTGAAACCAAAAGTCAAAATAAAGCATATGTATCATATTTTTTATCCTCTCCATGAAAATCATTTGATCACTTAATTCTGACATAACAACAGGTACATAGGAAGGAGGGAACAGAAATCCTCCACCATTCTTCTCAAATGTGTAGCCAACAGAGAATCGAAGACTGTACAGAAAGGGTATGTTAAATAGTTCAGCCAGTAGCTCACCACAGGGATTAAGGGCATCTGCCAGAATGACATCAAACTTTGACTCTTGTAGTTTCATCATAAGTTTCTTATTCAAAACTGCATCTTTACAGAGCTTGTTACTGTAGTCATAATATTCCCAACACAATTCTTGTAATTGTGAAAAATATGACCAAAATGTATTTTTTGAAACACCATATATCCATCTATCGAGAATTTTCAGAAGAGAATCTTCCAAATAATTTTTAGTTAAAGATGTAGGATAAACTTCTAATTTAATAGCAGATGATTTACTGGCATTGACAAGAGTAGAAGCCGAAGATGTCAACACAGTCACCTCATGACCCCTCTGAACAAGCTCTTCCAGGATTGTCTTCATATTTATCCAATGGCTGTATTCTGTGGGCCACACTAGCACCTTTCCACAGCTTCCAGAGCTAAAGTAACAACTGAGCTGTATCAGCAGAAAGACTGACGTCCATTTCAGAGACATCCTGGTCTTATGCAATGCTTCTTTTCCAGTTGTTGTTTCTTTCTGTCATTTCTCATACTTATATCTGAGGAAAAATCAATCAAGTTAAAATATAACTGCTAAAATTTGAAGTAAATACATAATACTAACAGTCTGAATAGGTGCATGCCAAGGAGACCAACAAAAGATTGATGACCTCATATTTATTTTAGTGTGTTTGGTGTTCTTTTATGTTTACAATTACTCTAGTCAAGCAATAATTTTTATGACCTAGAATATGTAAGTAACCTGTCTTATGTAATTATTTTATAATACTGTTAAGAACAGTGGCAAGTGAGAGGCTCCTGCCTGTTCGGTGCCCTTGACATAGAGAGAAGAAGTAATTATACAACTCAAACGGCATTTTTTAATATCGTGGTGCAAGTAATGTCTTCTAAAACTTTGTTGACACATAATTCATATACCATATGACTCACCAATTAGTGTGTACAGTTCAATGTTTCCTAGTATATTCACAGAATTTTACATCCACTACAATAATCAGTATTATCTCCAAAAGATTCTATACAATAGCCTCTAACCCCCCACTCTGAAATTTTGCATCCATCCTACCCTAGGCAACCACTAATCTAATTTCTATCTCTATAGATTAGCATTTTCTGGACCCTTTAAAAAATAAATGAGGGTTTTCCAGTGATCATGGCAGATGGGATGCAGGACTAGATTGCAGCTCCAGACAGAGCAGCATGCAGAGGCTTGCATTGTGAATTTTAGCTGCAGATCAACTGCAAGAACAGACCAGCAATTCTGAGAGGATCCACACACCCTCTGCAGGAAGAGTACTGCTCCTGCAGGACCTGGGAGACATCCCAAACACTGTGAGTGCCCCAACAATGGAAGTGGGAAAGGGTGATCCCCCTCTCCAGAATACACATCCCCACTGGAGAAGCTGAAGTTCTGTTTGCAGGAGAAGTTCCTGACTTTATGTGAAGCTGAGTCAAATTAGAGAACCAAGCCAAGCAAAATACAGGGGTAGAGGAAGTAGCAGAAAGGCACTGGGAGCTCTCTGGATACCCAAGCGGCTCATTCCTGCCTGGCATCACAGGGATCTATCAGGAGGGTGGCCAGTGATGCAGGGGGTTCAAAGATTCTCCTCAGGACCTGAAGGCTTGAAGGGATGAGTAACTCCTCCCTTCTCAGGCCCAGCCCCAAGATGCAAGACCACTTGCATCAGCAGCGTGTGTCAGCAAGATAGCAGAAGCAGGAAGAGAGCCGGCCAGAAGACACTTACCCTGGCTGGAAGAGATGTACCCCTGAAGATCAAGAAATAGGCCATCCAGGTACTACATAGCAGTCACAACAGACTGGGACACTTACTGTTTACAGAGGACTACAAAACCCCTGTCCCATCCTCACTTGGGGCTGATGCCATTTTAGGCCTCAGCCCACCTGCAACCAGGCGTTCATTAAAACAGCATGTTGCTCCACACCGCCTCCTGTTGTCTGTTGGCGCGCTGTTGGGGTTCAAACTGATTCAAGAACCTTACATCTGGTGCCAAATCCTAGGAGGGGCTCAGGTCTGTGTCGCTTGTGGACCTATCCCTCCACCCCAGAGAGCAGGCCACAGCAATTAGACAGAGGAAGCTCCTCAGCCTCCAGTCGCCTCTCTGTGCATGCGCATCAGCCACTGATCTCGCCTACTGGTAAGTTTCCCTTGGAGCCCGGTTAACAGGGCAAAATCTACATGGCCTCTCTTGGTTTCTCCAGTCCAAAAATCCAACACTGATCCAAGAAGGCGCCAGCGTGCGCCAGGCACTCGCTGGTCATCTGGTCTTAGGGGGATGCCTCTAAGCCATTTCATCCCGTTCCAGGAACCAAAAAGGCAGCGGAGACGATAACTCCTTTTATCGTCTCCCTCCAGCTGTCCAGGATGGTCTCCTTTTTCCCTGTTCTCTCGAGCTACCCTTCATTATGGGAAACTCCCGGTCCTCAATTCCAAAAAACAGCCCTCCAGCCTGCCTCATTAAAAATCTGCAAACCTTAGGCCTCAGGCAAGATATCTGCCATAAGTGCCTTGTCTTTTTTATACGATAAAGCCTGGTCGCAGTATGAATTAGATAACGGGTCCAAATGGCCCGCAAATGGAACACTCAGCTTTACAGTTTTAACTGACTTAAGCAGTTATTGCAGATGACTGGGAAAATGGGGAGAAATTCCTTGTGTCCAGGCCTTTTTGCACTCAGATCACAGCCCGACCTCTGCAATTCTTGCTTACCTGTTCAAATCCTTCTTCATTCTCGCCGCCCTCATTGCCTTTATCCTCCCGACCCTACCTCTTTTTCCTCATTGGATGGAGCAGACTGCTGTCCACCCCTCCCAGACCCTACCCCTCCATCTCAACCAACTTCATTAACTCCCCAAGCTTCCTCATTGTCTTCTCAGCCACCATCTTCCCAGCCACCATCTTCCCAGCCAGCATCACCCACTTCTTTTCCTATACCATCCTCTCCTCAGGAAAACTCTAGCATTGCCTGTACTCATTCTCCTTCCTTACAGCCCTCTCACGGAGCCTGTAAACCCATCCCGCCACCTTACACCCGTATCTATCCTCCAATGCCTATCAACTCAACCCCCCTTCCCTCTTCAAACCCTCAGCAGGAACCCCTTCTGGCTTCTTCCTTCTCTCCTGCCCATACTAGCTCCGGCACCATCTTTGGCCCATGCCCCACCCGTACTTTAGCGCCAGTGCTAGAATGCCCCCTTCGGGAAGTAGCAGGAACTGAAGGTATTGTTAGAGTTCATGTTCCCTTCTCCCTCACTGATCTCTCTCAAACTAACAAAAGACTCAGTTCATTTCCAGAAGATCCTACCTCTTATATTAGGGAGATTCAGTACCTTACTCAGTCTTATGAACTAACCTGGCATGACAGCTACTTATCTTCTCTTCCACCCTCACCCCAGAAGACCAGCACCGTACTTGGACCCTAGCTCAGGTGCATGCTAATACAATTCATCATCAAGCTCCTGCCCAGCCTACTGGCACAGAGGCAGTTCCCAACCAGGACCCCCACTGGGATTATCAAGACAGGGCCTCTGGACACAGCCATCAAGACCTCATGATTATGTGTCTCCTTGCAGGACTCAAAAAGGGTGCCCATAAAGTGGTAAACTATGAAAAACTTTCAGAAATCACCGAAGGTCCTGACAAAAACCCAGCCCTTTTTCTCTCTTGTTTAACTGAAGCCATGAGAAAATTACCAACCTGGACCCAGCCAGCCCAGAAGGAACCACTATTTCAAACCTTCAGTTCCTCACCCAATCTACCATGATATTTGGCGCAAGCTTCAGAAGGTTGATGACGGCCCTCAAACCCCACAGTGGGACCTTCTTAATTTAGCCTTCAAAGTCTTTAACAGTTGTGATGAGGAAAGTAAAAGAAAAAAACAGTTTCCAATGCTTGCCTTTACCCTGCAGGCCCACAGGGCCACAGCTCCATACAGAAGCCTCCTAGCAAAACACCTCCACCTGGCGCCTGTTTCAAGTGTGGCAATGAAGGCTACTGGTCCAGGCCATGCCCAAACCCAGCTGTGCTCACCAGGCTGTGCCCCCTCTGTGGAGGACTCAGTGAAAGTCAGGCTGTGAGCGGCTCCAGCAAGGATCGCCTCCATCCCTTTCCGAGCTGGCCAAAACCTCCTACTCGGATCTCAATGGCCTTGCCACTAAAGACTGACAGTGCCCTGGAACAGATGTCCCAGCAACTACCATTGCTTCATCTGAGCCAAGGGTAACCCTGATGGTGGCAGGTAGGCATGCATGTTTTTTAAAAATTAATATTGGAGCAACCTACTCTGCTTTACCTAAATTTTCAGGACCCACCCAGTCCTCCCAAGTCTCTGTTGTGGGAATCAATGGACAAGTCTCCAAACCCCAAGACCCCCCTCCACTTTTCTGCTCCCTGAACACCTTTTCCTTCAGTCACTCTTTCTTAGTCCTGCCTTCATGCCCAGCTCCGCTCCTAGGCAGAGATATTCTTTCAAAACTCCACACTACTCTCCACTTCCACATTCCCCATAGTACCCAACACATCAACCCAGACCCCTCCAAGGCTTCTAACAGGCTTCTAACCTTCTTCTACTCCTCCGACCTCCCACCCTGAAACATGCAACTTTTCCTTATCCCCCACCTGTAGTTAACCCCACTGTTTGGGATACTTCCACACCCTCGGTCACAGAGCACCACACCCCCATCCACATCACCCTTAAAGAGCCCACCCCGTTCCTATCACAGAAGCAGTATCTCATCCCCCAAGCAGCTCTCATAGGCCTAAAGCCTATCATTTCTCTCCTCCTCACCAGTCACCTACTCTGCCCAACAAACTCTCCTTTTAACACATCAGTTCTACCTGTTAAAAAGCCAGATGGAACTTATCACTTAGTCCAGGACCTCAGGCTCATTAACCAAGCTGTACTCCCAGTGTGTCCAGTAGTTTCTAACCCATATACTTTACTTTCCTCACTTCCCTCGAATACCACCCACTTTTCTGTTCTAAACCTAAATGATGCTTTTTCACAATTCCTTTACACCCTGATTCCCAAAACCTCTTTGCCTTTACCTGGGAAAACCCCGACACCCACCTTTCAGGTCAGCTCACCTGGTGCGTACTACCTCAAGGTTTTAGAGACAGCCCCCACCTTTTTGGACAGGCCCTTGCTAGTAACTTCTGTACTTTATCCCTAAAATCATCCTCTCTTCTTTAATATGTTAATAATCTGCTCCTGTGTAGCCCCTCTCAAAGAGACTGCAACACCCATACATACTATCTCCCTTTTAAACCTCTTGGCAGAACAGGGGTATCAGGTCTCCCCTAAGAAAGCCCAAATATGCACCCCCCAGTCACCTATCTAGGCCTAGCTCTTACCCCTGAATGCAAGGGCTCACAACAGACCACATACTCCCTCCTTCAGTCCCTCCCGCCTCCACAAACTAAGCAAGAAATTCTCTCTTTTCCAGGATTAGCAGGATATTTTAAGCTCTGGGTTTCCTCCTTCGCTCTACTTACCAAACCGTTGTACCAAGCTGCTAAAGGCCCTCTCCATGAGCCTTTAAAACCTGCACAGCCTATTACCCAACCTTTCCATCTACTCCAAAAGTCTCTCATCTCAGCCCCCATCCTCACTCTCCCAGACTTCACCAAACCTTTCTCCCTCTATACCGATGAATGGCGTGGAGTTGCACTAGGTGTTCTAACCCAGTCTAAGGGACCCACCCGGCCAGGTTGTTGCCTACCTCCCTAAACAGCTTGAAGCCACAGTTCTCGGATGGCCTGCCTGCCCCTGAGCATTGGTGGCAGTTGCTGTCCTCACTCTTAAAAGCCTAAAACTATCTCTTCATGCCAACCTAACAGTTTATTCAACCCATAACATCAAAGACATGTTAGCTCACCGCAGTGTACTAAGTCTTTTCTCTGCCCCACGGCTCCTCCAGCTGTATGCTCTATTCATAGAAACTCCCCACATCACCATGCTAACCACCTCCCATCTAAACCCGGCCATGCTCTTACCCGAAGCTACAACCGCCCAAGACTCTTCTTCACACTCTTATGTGTGAATACTGTTCAAACCTTTCTTATACCTTTTCCAAACCTAACAGAAAAATCCCTTCCAGATGCGTCCTTTACTCGGTTTGTAGATGGCAGCTCCTTCCTACATCAAGGACACCGACATGCTGGCTATGCTATAGTGTCACCCCCCAACACTATTGAAGTCAATCTGCTCCTCTTAGGCACCACCTCCCAAAAGGCTGAACTCATTGCCCTCACTCGAGCTCTCATTCTAGCATCCGGAAAACAGATCAATATATTCAAATTCTCCTTATGTGTTCCACGTAGTGCACTCACACTCATCCATCTGGAAAGAACGGGGTTTCCTCACTGCAAACAATACTGTCATAAGTGGCTCTCTCATCAGCAAGCTCCTTCAAGCTGCCAGGCTCCCACAGAAAGTTGCCATCATTCATTGCAGGGGCCACCAAACCCCAGACAATCCTAAATTGGCTGGAAATGTGCTAGCAGATCAGGTAGCCAAACAAGTAGCCCTACTACCCTTTCGAGGCCAGTTGCTGTCCTTGTCCTTGTTCTCTCCTCTTTACTTCTAAGAAGAAAAAGATTTCCAAGCCCAAAACCTTCAAAAGCAAGGACGATATTATGTCAAGGAAGGGTGCTTAGTTATTCCTCACTCTCAAAGCCTTCCTCACCTCCAAAGCCTCCACAACTCTTTCCATGTTGGTTAACAACCTCTTGCAGCTTCTCCACGCTATTCTCACTTGTCGTCACTTTTCCAGCCATGTTCAAGAAATTATCCAGTCCTGCTCTATCTGCCACTCAATGTAACCCCAGGGATCCCTCCAGCCTCTGCCTTTTCATACCCACCAAGCCCAGGGCCAGTTACCTGGGGAAGATTGGCAAGTAGACTTCACTCATATGCTGCATGATAAATGTCTCTGCTATCTTCTAATCCTTGTCTGTACTTTCTCTGGCTAGGGAGAAGTGTTCCCAACAACTTCAAAAGGTGCAAATATCATCACACAAACTCATCATGCATACAGTTCCCTGTTTCAGACTCCCAACATCCATCCAGTCCGATAACAGTCCTGCCTTCATCAGCCACATTACCCGAGGCATCTCTACATCCTTAAGAATAAGTAAGTTCTCCACACACCCTACACACCTCAATCTTCAGGCAAAGTTGAAAAAATTAACTCTGTCCTTAAAGCCTAACTCATCAAGCCGGCTCTAGAAACCTGCGAGTCATGGACAAAAAAATCTCCCTTTTGCCCTCATGAGACTTTGCACAACACCAAAAGCACCCTCTTTTTTTGTTTTTGTTTTTGTTTTTGTTTTGTTTTGTTTTGTTTTTATTATACTTTAAGTTTTAGGGTACATGTGCACAACGTGCAGGTTAGTTACATATGCATACATGTGCCATGTTGGTGTGCTGCACCCATTAACTCGTCATTTAACATTAGGTATATCTCCTAATGCTATTCCTCCCCCCTCCCCCCACCCCATAACAGTCCCCAGTGTGTGATGTTCCCCTTCCTGTGTCCATGTGTTCTCATTGTTCAATTCCCACCTATGAGTGAGAACATGTGGTGTTTGGTTTTTTGTCCTTGCAATACTTTGCTGAGAATGATGGTTTCCAGCTTCATCCATGTCCCTACAAAGGACATGAACTCATCATTTTTTATGGCTGCATAGTATTCCATGGTGTATATGTGCCACATTTTCTTAATCCAGTCTATCATTGTTGGACATTTGGGTTGGTTCCAAGTCTTTGCTATTGTGAATAGTGCAGCAATAAACATACATGTGCATGTGTCTTTATAGCAGCATGATTTATAGTCCTTTGGGTATATACCCAGTAATGGGATGGCTGGGTCAAGTGGTATTTCTAGTTCTAGATCCCTGAGGAATCGCCACACTGACTTCCACAATGGTTGAACTAGTTTACAGTCCCACCAACAGTGTAAAAGTGTTCCTATTTCTCCACATCCTCCCTGGCACCTGTTGTTTCCTGACTTTTAATGATTGCCATTCTAACTGGTGTGAGATGGTATCTCATTGTGGTTTTGATTTGCAATTCTCTGATGGCCAGTGATGATGAGCATTTTTTCATGTGTCTGTTGGCTGCATAAATGTCTTCTTTTGAGAAGTGTCTGTTCATATCCTTTGCCCAGTTTTTGATGCGGTTGTTTGTTTTTTTCTTGTAAATTTGTTTGAGTTCATTGTAGATTCTGGATATTAGCCCTTTGTCAGATGAGTAGATTGCAAAAATGTTCTCCCATTCTGTAGGTTGCCTGTTCACTCTGATGGTAGTTTCTGTTGCTGTTCAGAAGCTCTTTAGTTTAATAAGATCCCATTTGCCAATTTTGGCTTTTGTTGCCGTTGCTTTTGGTGTTTTAGACGTGAAGTCCTTGCCCATGCCTAATGTCCTCAAAGTATTGCCTAGGTTTTCTTCTAGGGTTTCTATGGTTTTAGGTCAAACATGTAAGTCTTTAATCCATCTTGAATTAATTTTTGTATAAGGTGTAAGGAAGGGATCCATTTTCAGCTTTCTACATATGGCTAGCCAGTTTTCCCAGCACCATTTATTAATTAGGGAATCGTTTCCCCATTTGTGGTTTTTGTTAAGTATGTCAAAGTTCAGATGGTTGTAGATATGTGGCATTATTTCTGAGGGCTCTGTTCTGTTCCCTTGGTCTATATCTCTGTTTTGGTACCAGTACCATGCTGTTTTGGTTACTGTAGCCTTGTAGTATAGTTTGAAGTCAAGTAGTGTGATGCCTCCAGCTTTGTTCTTTTGGCTTAGGATTGACTTGGCAATGTGGGCTCTTTTTTGGTTCTATATGAACTTTAAAGTAGTTTTTTCCAATTCTGTGAAGAAAGTCATTGGTAGCTTGATGGGGATGGCATTGAATCTATAAATTACCTTGGGCAGTATGGCCATTTTCATGATATTGATTCTTCCTTCCCATGTGCATGGAATGTTCTTCTATTTGTTTGTATCCTCTTTTATTTCATTGAGCAGTGGTTTGTTGTTCTCCTTGAAAAGGTCCTTCACATCCCTTGTAATTTGGATTCCTAGGTATTTTATTCTCTTTGAAGCAATTGTGAATGGGAGTTCATTCATGATTTGGCTCTCTTTTTGTCTGTTATTGGTGTATAAGAATGCTTGTGATTTTTACACATTGATTTTGTATCCTCAGACTTTGGTGAAGTTGCCTATCAGCTTAAGGAGATTTTGGGCTGAGATGATGGGGTTTTCTAGATATACAATTATGTCATCTGCAAACAGGGACAATTTGACTTCCTCTTTTCCTAATTGAATACCCTTTATTTCCTTCTCCTGCCTGATTGCCCCGGCCAGAACTTCCAACACTATGTTGAATAGGAGTGGTGAGAGAGGGCATCCCTTTCTTGTGCCAATTTTCAAAGGGAATTCTTCCAGTTTTTGCCCATTCAGTATGATATTGGCTCTGGGTTGCTCATAGATAGCTCTTAGTATTTTGAGATACATCCCATCAATACCTAATTCATTGAGAGTTTTTAGCAAGAAGCGTCGTTGAATTTTGTCAAAGGCCTTTTCTGCATCTATTGAGATAATCATGTGGTTTTTGTCATTGGTTCTGTTTACATGCTGGATTAAGTTTATTGATTTGCATATGTAGAACCAGCTTTGCATCCCAGGGATGAAGCCCACTTGATCATGGTGGATAAGCTTTTTGATGTGCTGCTGGATTCAGTTTGCCAGTATTTTACTGAGGATTTTTCCATTGATGTTCATCAGGGATATTGGTCTAAATTCTCTTTTTTTTTGCTGTATCTCTGCGAGGCTTCAGTATTGGGATGATGCTGGCCTCATAAAATGAGCTAGGGAGGATTTCCTCTTTTTCTATTGATTGGAATAGTTTCAGAAAGAACGGTACCAGCTCCTCCTTGTGCCTCTGGTAGAATTCGGCTGTGAATCCATCTGGTCCTGGACTTTTTTTGGTTGGTAAGCTATTAATTATTGCCTCAATTTCAGAGCCTGTTATCAGTCTATTCAGAGATTCAACTTCTTCCTGGTTTAGTCTTGTGAGGGTGTATGTGTTGAGGAATTTATCCATTTCTTCCAGATTTTCTAGTTTATTTGCATAGAGGTGTTTACAGTATTATGTGATGGTAGTTTGTATTTCTCTGGGATTGGTGGTGATATCCCCTTAATCATTTTTTATTGCATCTATTTGATTCTTCTCTCTTTTCTTCTTTATTAGTCTTGCTAACGATGTATTAATTTTGTTGATCCTTTCAAAAAACCAGTTCCTGGATTTATTGATTTTTTGAAAGGTTTTTGTGTCTCTATTTCCTTCAGTTCTACTCTGATCTTAGTTATTTCTTGCTGTCTGCTAGCTTTTGAATGTGTTTGCTCTTGCTTCTCTAGCTCTTTTAATTGTAATGTTAGGGTGTCAATTTTAGATCTTTCCTGCTTCCTCTTGTGGGGATGTAGTGCTATAAATTTCCCTCGACACACTGCTTTGAATGTGTCCCAGAGATTCTGGTATGTTGTGTCTTTGTTCTCGTTGGTTTCAAAGAACATCTTTATTTCTGCCTTCATTTCGTTATGTACCCAGTAGTCATTCAGGAGCAGGTTGTTCAGTTTACATGTAGTTGAGTGGTTTTGAGTGAGTTTCTTAATCCTGAGTTCTAGTTTGATTGCACTGTGGTCTGAGAGACAGTTTGTTATAATTTCTGTTCTTTTACATTTGCTGAGGAGAGCTTTACTTCCAACTATGTAGTCAATTTTGGAATAGATGTGGTGTGGCGCTGAAAAGAATGTATATTCTGTTGATTTGGGGTGGAGAGTTCTGTAAATGTCTATCAGGTCACCTTGGTGCAGAGCTGAGTTCAGTTCCTGGATATCCTTGTTAACTTTCTGCCTTGTTGATCTGTCTAATGTTTACAGTCAGGTGTTAAAGTCTCCTATTATTATTGTGTGGGAGTCTAAGTCTCTTTGTAGGTCTCTAAGGACTTGCTTTATGAATCTGGGTGCCCTTGTATTGGGTGCATATATATTTAGGATAGTTAGCTCTTCTTGTTGAATTGATCCCTTTACCATTATGTAATGGCCTTCTTTGTCTCTTTTGATCTTTGTTGTTTTAAAGTCTGTTTTATCAGACACTAGGATTCCAACCCCTGCCTTTTTTTGTTTTCCATTTGCTCGGTAGATCTTCCTCCATCCCTTTATTTTGAGCCTATGTGTGTCTCTGCACGTCAGATGGGTTTCCTGAAAACAGCACACTGATGGGTCTTGACTCTTTATCCAATTTGCCAGTCTGTGGAGTATTTAACCCATTTACATTTATTTTTAAATGTATTGGAGTATTTAGCCCATTTACATTTAAAGTTAATATTGTTATGTGTGAATTTGATCCTGTCATTATGATGTTAGCTGGTTATTTTGCTCATTAGTTGATGCAGTTTCTTCCTAGCCATGACGGTCTTTACAATTTGGCATCTTTTGCAGTGGCTGCTACTAGTTGTTCCTTTCCATGTTTAGTGCTTCCTTCAGGAGCTCTTTTAGGGCAGGCCTGGTGGTGACAAAATCTCTCAGTATTTGCTTGTCTGTAAAGGATTTTATTTCTCCTTCACTTATGAAGCTTAGTTTGGCGGGATATGAAATTCTGGATTGAAAATTCTTTTCTTTAAGAATGTTGAATACTGGCCCCCACTCTCTTCTGGCTTGTAGAGTTTCTGTGGAGAGATCTGCTGTTAGTCTGATGGGCTTCCCTTTGTGGGTAACCCGACCTTTCTCTCTGGCTGCCCTTAACATTTTTTCCTTCATTTCAACATTGGTGAATCTGACAATTATGTGTCTTGGAGTTGCTCTTCTCGATGAGTATCTTTGTGTTGTTCTCTGTATTTCCCGAATTTGAATATTGGCCTGCATTGCTAGATTGGGGAAGTTCTCCTGGATAATATCCTGCAGAGTGTTTTCCAAGTTACTTCCATTCTCCCCGTCACTTTCAGGTTCACCAATCAGATGTAGATTTGGTCTTTTCACAGAGTCCCATATTTCTTGGAGGCTTTGTTCATTTCTTTTTATTATTTTTTCTCTAAACTTCTCTTCTCATTTCATTTCATTCATTTGATCTTCCATCACTGATACCCTTTCTTCCAGTTGATTGAATTGGCTACTGATGCTTGTGTATTCATCAAGTAGTCTCATCCTGTGGTTTTCAGCTCCATCAAGTCCTTTAAGGACTTCTCTGCACTGGTTGCTCTAGTTAGCCATTTGTCTAATTTTTTTTCAAGGTTTTTAACTTCTTTGCCATGGGTTTGAATTTCCTCCTTTAGCTTGGAGTAGTTTGATCATCTGAAGCCTTCTTCTCTCAACTCATCAAAGTCATTCTCCATCCAGCTTTGTTCCATTTCTGGTGAGGAGCTGCATTCCTTTGGAGGAGGAGAGGTGCTCTGATTTTTAGAATTTCCAGTTTTTCTACTCTTTTTTTTTCCCTATCTTTGTGGTTTTATCTACCTTTGGTCTTTGATGATGGTGATGTACAGATGGGGTTTTGGTGTGGATGTCCTTTCTGTTTGTTGGTTTTCCTTCTAACAGTTAGGACCCTCAGCTGCAGGTATGTTGGAGTTTGCTGGAGGTCCGCTCCAGACCCTGTTTGCCTTGGTATCAGCAGTGGATGCTGCAGAACAGCGGATATTGGTGAACAGCAAATGTTGCTGTCTGATTGTTCCTCTGGAAGTTTTGTCTCAGAGGAGTACCCGGCCATGTGAGGTGTCAGTCTGCCCCTACAGGGGAGTGCCTCCCATTTAGGCTACTCAGTTGTCAGAGACCCACTGGAGGAGGCAGTCTGTCCTTTCTCAGATCTGCAGCTGCATGCTGGGAGAACCAATACTCTCTTCAAGGCCATCAGACAGGGACACTTAAGTCTGCAGAGGTTTCTGCTTCCTTTTATTTGGCTATGCTTTGTTCCCAGAGGTGGAGTCTACAGAAGCAAGCAGGCATCCTTGAGTTGCAGTTGGCTCCACCCAGTTCGAGCTTCCCAGCTGCTTTGTTTACCTACTCAAGCCTCAGCAATGTCAGGCACCCCTCCCCCAGCCTCGCTGCCACCTTGCAGTTTGATCTCAGACTGCTGTGCTAGGTATGAGTGGGGCTCTGTGGGCATAGGACCCTCTGAGCCAGGCATGGGATGTAATCTCCTGGTGTGCCGTTCACTAAGACTGTTGGAAAAGCGCAGTATTATATTAAGAGTGACCTGATTTTCCAGGTGCCATCTGTCACCGCTTTCTTTGATTAGAAAAGGGAATTCCCTGACCCCTTGCACTTCCTGGGTGAGGCAATGCCTCACCCTGCTTTGGCTCATGCTCGGTGCACTGTACCCACTGTCCTGCACCCACTGTCTGACACTCCCCAGTGAGATGAACCTGGTACCTCAGTTGGAAATGCAGAAATCACCCATCTTCTGCATCACTCATGCTGAGAGCTGTAGACTGGAGCTGTTCCTATTCGGCCTAGCTAATTATTAATATTTCTTTTCTTATAGTAATTTTGGTTTTGGTTTGTTCTTGCTTTTCTAGTCATTTGAGATAGATCATTACATTTTTTATATGAAACCTTTCTCCTTTTCTTGTGTAGGCATTTCTTGTTCTAAACTTGTCTCTTAATAGTGCTTCTGTTGAATCTCACAGATTTTGCTATTGCATGATGTGATCTTTCTTTGTTTTAAGCAATTTCAAAATTGTTTCTTTTTTATCTATTGGTTATAAGGAATATGTTGTTAAATTTTCATGGATTTTTCTAGTTTTGTCTTGGCATTGATTTTATAATTTATTTCATTGTGTTCAGATAAAATAATTAGTAAAATTTTTATTTTTTAAAATTTGTTGAGACTTGCTTAATGTCCTCATATATGGTTAATTCTGGGGATGTTATATGTGCTATAAAAAGAATCTTACATTCTGCAGCTGTTGGTTAAAATGTTCTGTAAATATCAACTACTTCAATTTGGTCTATGGTACAGTTTAAATCTCATGTTGCTTTATTGTCTAAATATCTGTCCAATGCTGAAAAGGTGATGGTGACATCCTCAACTATTATTGGACTTAGGTCTATCTCTCCTTTCAGGTATAATAATATTTGCTTCATATATCTCAGCGGTTCATGGTTGGTTGCATATATATTTACATTTTTGTCTTTTTGAACAATTGATTCATTTATTATCATATTAAGTCTCTCTTTTCCTCTCAAAATTTTGGCTTAAAGTTTGTGTTTTGCTGAGGTAAGTGTAGCTATTTCTGCTTGATTTGGGTTTCTGTTTGCATAGCATATCTATTTCATCTTTTCAATTGCAGTCTATGTGTAACTTTATTGGTGAGATGAGTATCTTTTAGGCTGAATATTGTTGAGTCTTGTTTTTTAATCCATCAATCTACGTTTTCAGTTGTGTAATTTAATCCACTTATTTTCAAGGTATTTATTTATTTATAGGTAAAGGCTTATTCTTTTATTTTTTTCTGTTTATTTTGTATCTCCCTTATTCCTTAATTTCTCTATTACTTATTTTGACAGTTTGATAGTTTTCTATACTGATAAAGTTTGATTATTTTTTCTTTCACCTTTGTCTGTTGGCTGTATGAGTGAGTTATATAATTTTGTGTGTTTTTATGAAGTGTATTATCATCTTTTCACCTTCAGATGTTAGACTTCCTCAAATATTCCTTTTAAGGCTGGTTTAATGGTAATAAATTCTTTATGTTTTTGCTTGTTTGAGAAATACTTTATTCCTCTGTCTCTGTTTTTTTTGTAGGATCAAAGTTTGCTTTATATAATATTCTTCATTGACATGATTATAAAACAAATTTTATCACTTAGCATATATTTTCCTATTCTTTCCTGGCCTATAAGTTAATGCTGAGAAATCCACTATTAGCTGAATGGAGATTCCCTTATAGATGATGTGTCAGCTTTCTTCTGCCATTTTTAGAACACCTGCTTTGCATTTGACTTGATAATTTGACGATATGTGCATCAGTGAAGACCTTTTTGGATTGAAGTAACTTGGTGGAACTTTCAGCTTCTTGGATCTAGATGTTCATCTTTTGTCAATAACTTAAGAAGCTTTCTGCTATTATTTCATTGAATATAATTTCTATGCTGTTTATCTTCTCATTCTAGAATTTTCATCATGTTAATTTTTTTTCTTTTTTACTTAGTGATGTTGCATAAATTCTGTAGGATTACTTTATTCTTTTTCTTCTTTCTTGTCTATGTGAGTCATTTCAAAAACATGGTAATAGTTGGAAATTATTTCCTCTGCTTTGTCTCTTATGTTCTTGAAGCTCTCAATAGTATATTTTTAAAAAAATTTGTTCATTGCTTTAAAGTATTTTATATTTTTGTGGGTACATAGTTGGTGGATATGCTTACGGGGTACATGAGATATTTTGATCCAAGCATGTTCTAGTGAAAAATTTTTACAATGAACAATTCAATAAAGTTGCAGAACATGAAATTAACAGACAAAATCAATAACATTTCTATTTGCCTACAATGAGCAGCTGAAAAAGAAATCAAAAAAGTATTCCCATTTACAATAGTCACAAATAAAATTGAACATCTAGGAATTAAAGGACTGAAAGATCTCTATAATGAAAACTACTGATGTAAGAAATTAACACTGATGTAAGAAAACACTGATGTAAGAAATTAGAGGGTACCAAGAAATGAAAAAATATTCCATGTTCATTGATTAGATGAATAAATATTGTTAACATTTCTATATTAAGCAAAACAATCTACTGATGCAATAAAATCATGAAAATACCAATTACATTCTTCACAGAAATAGAAAAAAATCTCAAAATGTATATGAAACCGGAAAAGACCCAGAATAGTCAAAGGTATCCTAAGCAAAAGAAACCAACTTGGAGTCACATTATCTGACTTCATATTACACTACGCACCTATAGTAACCAAACCAGCATGTTACTGCCATAAAAACAGACACAGAGATCAATGAAACAGAATAGAGAACCCAGAAAACAATCTACACACCTGCAGTGAACTCATTTTCATCAAAGTTGCCATTAACATACACAGAAAAAAAGACAGTCTCTTTAATAAATGGTGCTGGGAAAACAGAATATCTATATGCAGAAGAATGAAACTAGATCCCTAGCTCTATCCATATACAAAAATCAAATAAAAATGGTTTAAAGGCTTATATCTCAGACCTCAAATTATGAACTACTACAAGAAAACATTAAAGAAAATCTCCAGGATGTTTTTCTGGGCCAAAATTTCTTGGGTTATACCCCATAATCACAGGCAAAGTAAAAATGAACAAATGAGATCACATCAAGTTAATCAGCTTCTATTCAGCAAAGGAAACAATCAACAAGTGAAGAGACAGTCCACAGAATGGGAAAAATATTTACAAACTATCCATCTGACAAGGAATTAATAACCAGAATATATAAGGGGCTCAAACCCTCTATAGGAAAAGATAAAAAAATGGACAAAGAATTTGAATAGAGATGTTTCTCAAAAGTAAACAGAAAAGTGGCAAACAGACATGTGAAAAGATGCTCAATATCACTGATCATCAGAGAAAGTCAAATCACAACTAAAATGAGACATCTTCTCACACCATTTAAAGTAGCTTATACCCAAAAGACAGACAAAAATAAATGCTGATGGGGATGTGAAGAAAAAGGAACCCTATACAATTTTGGTGGGAGTGAAAATTAGTAAAGACCACTATGGAGAACAGTTGACGGTTCCTCAAAAAAATGAAAAATAGAGCTACCATATGATCCAGCAATCTCATTGCTAGATATATACCCAAAAGAAATAAATCAGTATGTCAAAGAGATACCCGCACTCCCATGTTTGTTGCACTATTTACAATAGCTAAGATTTAGAATTAGCGTGAATGTCCATCAACAAATGAATGAAGAACATGTGTTGCATAGACACAATGGAGTACCATTCAGCCATGAAAAAGAATGAGATCCATTCATTTTCAACAACATGGATGGAACTGGAGCTCATTGTGCTAAGTGAAATAAGCCAGGCACAGAAAGACAAACATGGTATGTTATCACTTATTTGTGGGATCTAAAACTTAATTAAACTAATGAACATAGAAAGTAGAAGGCTGATTACTTGAGCCTGGGAAGGGTACTGGGGGCATGGGGGTAAGCAGGGATTTTAACAGGTACGTAAAAAGGAATAAGACATACTATTTGATCACACAACAGGGTGACTATAGTCAATAATAACTTCACTGTACATTTTTAAATAACTAAAATAGTGTAATTATATTGTGCATAAGACAAAGTAAAAATGCTTGAGGGGATAGATACTCCATTCTCCATAATATGCTTATTTCCAATTGCATCCCTGTATCAAAGTATCTCATGTACTCCACAAATATATACATTTACTAGGTAACCACAAAAATTTTTAAAAATTGAAAATTTAAAAATTTGAAAGATATACTTAATGGAAAAACAAGCAATTTGTAATACAATTATTTTATGTAATAAACAATTAGGGGACAGGTTTCAAAAACTATTGACTTGGATTTAGTAACAACAGTAAGTATTAGCAATTATCATGATTGTACTATTAGTCATTCTTTCACTTGTCCTACTTCCCTACCAACTCTTCCGTTTCCTGGTGGCACTATTAATTTCCCTTAATGTACATGGGAAAATTATTAAAATATAAAGTTAGATTGCTTTGAATTTTTATTAGTATTTCATCAACTTTTATCTCACGAGAAAGTTACCATGTAGACCTTATATAATTTGCATTCAACATGGATATTATGTTTTAGCCATTGAATAAGATTTTAGTTGTATGTTGATGCTAATAAGAAGGTAAACAGAAATGATCCCCTAAGAGACTGTATAATAATGTTGCAAAGAATAATTGCTATCTATATATATCTTAAAAGTGTGATATTAATTTAAAACACATGAGATTCTTGTGTTCTCTCATAAGGAATATTCTATAGAATAAATAATTGTTATTATGAACTAAGGGCACTTTTCAGATACAAGTGGTAGAAATTATTTGGTTTTTATTAGGCAAGCACTTTTCATTTTTTTCTTGGATTCTCTGAGATGCAGGTATGACGTTGAGACATAAGTTGCCCCAGGGAGCTTTCCTGAGTTGTCCTGCAGGCTTGGCATAAGGTGGAAAAACACCTGTTCTTATAGGGTAAAATGACCTTTTTTTGCTGTAACATGTAGACCTCTGGAATCTCAGGGATGAATGGTTTAAATGCTGGAGTGAAAGCAAGTAAACACTGGGTTTTGTTGCAAATATTTTGGGGGCACAATTTCTTTTTATGTTGAAGAATGGTGTACATTTTAAGCTAGAATACTGGTGAAGAGCCCCAATCCTTACAATACATCATTAGCATTTCACCTTGCTCATCTGTTTGCAAAAACTTCTGCTTCTGCTTTTAAACAAGTCCACAGGATATCTGTCATCTATAACATTGCTAGAGAATGTAATGTTGATGTGCTAGATGATAATCAGTATCTATTAAATGAGGAATGATATCTCAGGTGACTGGCATATGATAGGTAATTAATGTTATTGGAAATAACAAAAATAACCAAAATTGCAATATTAATATTTCTGGATCACTGACTTAGTGCCAGACACATTTTAAGTGTTTTACCTGCTTTAACTTTTTTCCACAATACAATATAAAGCTGGCAAAAGTACACATAAATATCTCTATCAACATGCTGGTATATTTTTCTATCATTTGCTGCCTGATTTTATTAAAAAAATTCTAAATTGTGTATTCTTTTTATTCTGACCCTCTGCAGTCTAATTCATTGAATATCTTGGAAACTTTTTAAAGGAAGGAAATATAATCAGATCTCTCCATTTGTTAACTCTTTTTAGTAGCTTCCCAATGCCATAATAAATATTTCAAGATCCTAATAATTATTTGGCTCCAACTTGCCTCTTCAGAATCATCTGTTTCTTAGTATTCTTCTGCAAACTAAACTTGAAGACTTGAGAACTGTCTTTACTACTTTGCCTGCTTTTCCTTTTGTGTCTTCCTCTCCCCCTCATTCATCACCTATTTCTTCACACCTTTCAGTTCTCATCTTGATTATCCATGTCTCCAGTATACTTTCTGTTATCCCAACTGGATATATCCTTGTTATTGTGGTACTGAAGATAATGCTTTTCACACATTTTATTACTTGCTTATATTTTATCTTTCAACATAGAGTTTAAGGAATGTGGGGACAGAAACTATGTCTACTTTTCTTGTCTTCTTAAAATCCAAAGCAGTGGTTTGTGTGAAGCACTTTATAAGAAGTATTGTTTGGTTGAATAACTAATACTTTCTTATATGTTGCAAAATGAAGGCTTTAATTTGAACATTACTAGGTTCAGATAGTCTCTAGTAGTACTCTTTTTTCTGTAGTAATAATGAAATTCATATAATTGTGATGATATAGAAATAGGAATCTTTAATTGGCATCTGGTTTACCCCACCCACTAAACATCTTTCTTTCACTTCAAGCAAAAACACTGAAAGAAGAATATAGTATCATTCCCACCAAAAATTTAAGACAAACAAAACAAAACAAAACAAAACAAACAGGTTTTTTTTTTTTTTTTTTTTTTTTTTTTTTTACCTTTGGCAGGGATTTTGCAGGTTTGCCGTGAAGTTTTCCAACAAAGTGAACATTTTGTAAGTGTGGGTGAGGAAATTAAAAATTCCTGTAGTTTTGAAGAAGCTTTGTTTCACTTTTCTCCATTATCTCAGATAATGTAGTATTTTTTCATAATGGGAAAAAGGAAAACAAAGGCATATGACACAAGATAATTGTTATGAGAATACAACTGATAATTATCTGAAAGGAGTTAGAATAATGTAGCCAAAGATATATAAATTGTCTATGCTTAGATAAAACAATATACATGTATTTATACCTGGGGATAATTTAGTTTTTGTGCATTATCTATTTTGCTCATATGTATTTACAAGAAAGACCAAGTGCTAAGAGAATTGTGGGAGAAAACTTATTCTTCTATCACATCAGTGTATTCGCCATCGTAAACCATAATTAAAATAAACCTTAGAGAATAAAACATGCATTTGTTTACTCTATAAAGCAGCAATAGTAATAGATATACACTTAAAACAAGTCTTTGAGGTCCATGATCAATGGATTCTACTCTACTCATAAAAAACAATTTTCTAAGAAGTACTCAATTTTTTTCAAAAATTAAGCTAGTCCCTTGATCTTTTGTTCTTCAAGTGAACTGTTGAGTATTTTGTGAGTATGGCTGAAATCCTTGTACCTACTACTGCTTTGGGTTCATGCTAAGGTCTTAATAATGTTAGATTTTAAGTAAACATATTGTCAAATAGCAGCTGAAATTTTTTCAGAAATTATTGAAATAGAGACTTTTGCCTAACATGGATTTCACTCATATTGTTCTTAGTGAAGAGACATAGTTAAAAAAAAAACTATACAGAAGTAACTTGATGTTCACATTTCAACAGATGTTTGACTTTAAGACAAATGATTTTCAATCCTTTAGTGAAGGAGTATAAAGATACTAGAAACTTCAAATTACCTGCATTGATTTTTGAGTCTTTGATAGAGAAATTGTATCGTTCAATTGTGAAGGAAACATTATGGTACTGTGGGAAAATATTTTAATTTCTAAATAAGGGACCTGAGATACACAATTCAAAACAATCCCCTCAATGCTAACTAGATAGTTGTGCTAGAAAAATGCATAACTCCTCAATCTACATGTCTGCATTCAGCAGGATGTTTCTTGATGTGTCTAATGACTTTTCTTAAATGAAAAATATGTCAAGTAAAATGGATGTGTGATTGCTGAAAGAAATCCTAATGACATTAATTTATAGGTTTATGAGTTCCTGGAGTGTGCTGTATTAGTGATGACCACAGGGTTCTAACAGATGCTATAATGTAAGTCTTTCCATAATATTTGTGAGATTGATAGATTATTTTATATTTTCATTTCCTCATTTCTTTTATTGAAAAACAGTACTTCTCTGACTTTATACGTACTTACCTTCTGTTTTAGTTAATTTTCACACTGTTGACAAAGACATACTCAAGATGGGATAAAAAGAAGTTTGAAGGACTCACAGTTCCACGTGGCTGGGAAGGCATCACAATCATGGTGGAATGCAAAGAGCAAGCCACGTCTTACATGGATGGCAGCAGGCAAAGAGAGAGAACTTGTGCAGGGAAACTACCCCTTATAAAACCATCAGCTATTGTCAGACTTATTCACTATCATGAGAACAGCACAGGAAAGACCTGCCTCCATGATTCAATTACCTCTTACTAGGACCCTCTCACAGCACATGGGAATACAAGATGAGATGTGGGTGGGGACACAGTCAAGCCATGTCATTCTGCCCCTGGCCCCTCCCAAATCTCATGTCCCCACATTTCAAAACCAATCATGCCTTACAGACAGTCCTCCAAAGTCTTAACTAATTTCAGTATTAACTCAGAGGTCCACAGCCCAAAGTCTCATCTGAGATGAGACAAGTGTCTTCTGCCTATGAACCTGTAGAATCAAAAGCAAGTTAGTTAATTCCCAGATACAATGAGGGTACCAGCATTGGATAAATACAGATATTTCAAATGGGAGAAATTGGCTAAAATGAAGGGGCTACAGGCCCCATGCATGCCAGAAATCCAACAGGGCAGTCATTAAGCCTTAAAATTACAAAATGATCTTTTTTGACTTCATGTCTCACATCCAGGTCACACTGATGCAAGAGGTGGGTTTCCATGGCCTTGGGCAGCTCCACACCTGTGGCTTTGCAGGGTGCAGCCTCCCTCCCAGCTGCTTTAAAGGGCTGGCATTGAGTGTCTTTAGCTTTTCCAGGTGCATGGTGCAAGTTGTTGGTGGATCTACCACTCAGGTGTCTGGAGGATGGTGGCCCTTTTCTCACAGCTCCTTTAGGCAGTGTCTGAGAAGCAACTCAGTGGGAGTTCCAACTCCACATTTTCCTTCTTGAAGTCCCTAGGCTACACAGAATACTGGGACGATTTTTTTCTTTCTAGCCCACCAGGCCTGTGATGGAAGGGGCTGCCGTGAAGGCCTGACATGCTCTGAAGACATTTCCCCCATTGTCTTGGTGATTAACATTTGGCTCCTCATTACTTATGCAAATTTCTGCAGCCAGCTTGAATTTTTCCTCAGAAGAAGTTAACTCTTATGGTTTAATGTAAACACAGTATATTAAAAGTCTAAGTATGTGCATGGCAAAGAGACAAACAACTTGCTCTTTACTTGAGTCTTTAATGTCCCTTTTATGTTTGTAAATGCTATTATCCAGGTAGTATCAATAATTTTGTGTGGATGAGTCACTTATTTTATGTAATATATTTTACAATAGTGTCAAGAACATTCACAGTGAGAAGTTCCTTTAGTTCTGCAATCACTTTGAGATGGAATTAAAGATGAAAATAATTATATGAGTATATCAGCATTTCTTGGATATTGTGCTTCAAGGAATTTTTTGGTAAAAGTTGACATATAATTGCTATGCTATACAATTTACTGATTATTTTGTAAAATCCATTATTTGTGGTATATTCACAGAATTGTACATCCATGACAACAATCAGTTTCAGAGCACTTTTATTTGTATCACAAAATAAACCCTGTACTCTTTAGTATTTTTTCCTCACCCTGAGTTTCTGCATTTCTCCTGCCCTGCTCAATTGCTAATTAAATTTGTATCTATAGATTTGCCTATTCTGGAAATTTTAAAATAAATATAATCGTACAATATATAGTTTCTTGTGACTGGCTTCCTTCATTTAGCATAACATTTTAAAGGTTCATTTATGATGTAGCATATGTAAGGACTTCATTCCTTTTTAATGGCAAAATAAACATTTTATATATGAGCATACACATTTTATCGATTTATTTATCAGTTGATGGACATTAATTTTTCCCTATTTTTGGCTAGTATGAATAATGATGCTTATGAACAAGCTTAGTGTAACTGTGTTTTCATTTCTGTCAGATACATATTCTTAGAAGTAGAATTGCTGTGTTGTGTTTCCTTGCATGTTTAGCTATAAAAGGTTAAACTGTACGTGTAAACTTTTGAGAAATTGCTAGACTGTTTTCCAATGTGGTTGCACCATTTTCCATTCCCATCAGCAATGTGTAAGTGTTACAATGTCTCCACATCGTTTTCAACAAATGATTATGTGTCTTTTTATTACAGCTAGGCTGGTGGGTTGAAGTAGTGTCTTGTGGGGAAAAGAAAGAGAGATCAGACTGTTACTGTGTCTATGTAGAAAGAAGTAGACATAAGAGACTCCATTTTGTTCTGTACTAAGAAAAAATCTTCTGCCTTGAGATGCAGTTAATCGATAACACTAGCCCCAACCCTGTGCTGGCAGAGACACGTGCTGTGTTGACTCAAGGTTTAATGGATTTAGGGCTATGCAGTATGTGCTTTGTTAAACAAGTGCTTGAAGGCAATATGTTTGTTAGAAGTCATCACCACTCTCTAATCTCAAGTACCCAGGCACACAATACACTGCGGAAGGCCACAGGGACCTCTGCTTAGGAAAGCCAGGTATTGTAAAAGGTTTCTCCCCATGCGATAGCCTGAGATATGGCCTCGTGGGAAGGGAAAGACCTGACCGTCCCCCAGCCCAACACCCGTAAAGGGTCTGTGCTGAGGAGGATTAGTAAAAGAGGAAGGCCTCTTTGCAGTTGAGATAAGAGGAAGTCATCTGTCTCCTGCTAATCCCTGGGCAATGGAATGTCTCATTGTAAAACCCGATTGCATGTTCCATTTACTAAGATAGGAGAAAACCACCTTAGGGCTGGAGGTAAGACATGCTGGTGACAATACTGCTCTTTAATGCACCGAGATGTTTATGTATGTGCACATCAAAGCACAGCACCTTTTCTTAACCTTGTTTATGACACAGAGACATTTGTTCACATGTTTTCCTGCTGACCCTCTCCCCACTATAACCCTATTGTCCTGCCACATCCCCCTCTCGAGATAGTAGAGATAATGATCAAAAAATACTGAGGGAACTCAGAGACCAGTGCCAGTGTGGGTCCTCTGTATGCTAAGTGCCGGTCCCCAGGGCCCACTTTTCTTTCTCTATACTTTGTCTCTCTGTCTCTTTCTTTTCTCAGTCTCTTGGCCCACCTGACAAGAAACACCCACAGGTGTGGAGGGGCTGGCCCCCTTCAGTATCTCATTGTTGATTATATTTCCTTGGTGTCTAATGATGTTGAACATTTTGACTTTGCTTATAAGCCACTGTATTTTTTTTCTTTTTTGGAGAAATTTCTATTCACATCCATTGCCCATTTTTAATTAATTTCTTTTTCTTATTAAGTTGTAAGTCGTATTTCTGATACAAGTACTTCATTAGTTATATCATTTGAAAATAGATTCTAAGATTATGTGGGCTTTTGTTTTCTTGATGCTGTCCTTTGAAGCACAAAAGTACTAAATTTGATAAAGACCTATTTATATATTTTTCATATTTGATTGCTTATGCTTTTGATGTCATATGTAAGAAACCACTGCCAAATTCAAAGCCATGAAGATTATCTTCTGTGTGTTCTTTTTGGAATTTTATGATTCTACCTCTTAAATTTAAGCCTTTGACCTACTTTTAGTAGTTTTGTAAATGGCTTGAGACCAGAAGTCAAACTTTATTCTTTTGTTTGTGGGCAATCCGTTATTCAATAAGCATTTGTTCAAGACTGTTCAATTTTTTCATTGAATTGTTTTGGCATCTTTGTAAAAAACCATAAATATGTGGGTATGTTTCTGGGTTCTAAAATCTATTTTGTTTGTATATATGTCTATTTGTATGCCTATACCAGGCTCATTTGATTATTATAGATTTGTAGTTGGCTTTGAAAGAAGAAAGTGTAAATCTTCCAACTTTGTTATTATTATTATTATTATTTTCAGACAGGATCTTACTCTGTTTCCCAGGCTGAAGTAGAGTGGTGTGATCATGGCTCACTGCAGCCTTGAACTCCCAGGCTCAAGCAATCCTATCACCTTAGCCTACTGAGTTGCTAGGACCACAGGCATGTGTCACCTCTCCTGGCTAATATATTATTATTAGTATTATAAAGACAAGAGTCTCCTTATGTTGCCCAGGCTGGTCTTAAACTCCTTTGCTCAAGTGATCTACCTGCCTTGGCATCACAAAGTACAACTTTGTTCTTTATTTTAAGACTTTTTTGGCTATCTTTAGGTTTCTTGAATATCTTTGTGAATTTCAGAATTAGTTTGTCAATTTACTGGAAGAAGCCAGTTGGGATTTTGATAGGGATTGCATTAAATCTGTATATCTATTTGGGGAGTGGAGTATGGACACTACAACAATACTGTGTTTTAATCTGTGAACATGAGATGTCTTTCCATTTATTTACATCTTTTAAATTTCTTTCCTCTATGCTTTACAGTATCCATAATGCAAGTTTTACACTTATTTTGTTAAAATTGATTCCTAATAGTTATATTCTTTTGGATGTTATTTGAAGTGCAATTGTTTTCTTAATTTCATTTTGGATATTTCATTGCAATTATGTAAAGTAATTTTTTTGTTTATTGATCTTTTATCCTGAAAATTTGCTTTGTTTATTGTTCCAATATTTTTTCTAGCAGATTCCTAAAGATTTTCTAGATGTAAGGTCATGTCATATGCCAAAAGTTTAACTTCTTTCTTTTCAATGTAGATTTATTTTTTTCATTTTCTTGCCTTTATCTTGACTAGAAGCTCCATTAAAATATTCAATATAGATAAAGAGTGGATTTAGTCTTTCTCCATTAAGTATGATGTTAGCTGTGCATTTTTTACAGATAACACTTACCAGTTTGAGAAAGTTTCCCTCTATCCCTACTTTACGGGGTACTGTTATAATGAAGGATATTGAATTTTATTAAATTAATTTTTCTGCATTTATTGAGATGATCATGCAGTTTTATTTTTCTGTTCTAATTACATTTTGTATTATGTTAATAGAGATTTTAACGTTAAAGCAACTTTGCATTTTTAATAAAACTTTTACTTATTCAGGGTATATAATTGCTTCTGTATATTCTTACATTCATTTTGCTAGCAAATTTTGTGGATTTCTGAGTTCATAATCATAAGATTTATCGATCTGTAGTTTTTATTTTTTGTGATATCTTTGTGTGGTTTTACTAGAAGGAATTAGTTAAATATGTTGATAATGCATTTTTCTTTTCTGTGATTTGAAGGATTATTTTTGAGGAATTGTTAATTTTTCTGCTTTAAATGACTTATAGATTTCAAAATAAAGGCATCTTGACCTAGGCAATTCTTTGTGGGTTGTATTTTGGACCAATTCAGCCTCTCTTTTTGTTATAGGTCTATTCAGATGTTCTGTTTCTTTTTGAATCAGTTTAATATATTTTCTTGTCTGTGTCTTCCTGTAGTAGAATTTATGTCAAATTAAGTTGGGAGTGGGTGAGGGAGCAGTTCATGGTTGAAATTAATAGGCTCTCATTATTTTTACCAGGACTTAGTAGATTTTCTTGAATAAATATTGCTAATATTACGCTTTATAATTTTAGGTCAATGCCTGGACACTTTAATTTTTTATAGAAAACACAATATTTTAATGCTAAAGATGTGTTTAAATTGTTTCTTTTTTACAATTGTGATGTTCTATGAAGATTTAAACTTTTGACTGTTAACAGATGATTTAAATAGAAATGTAGCATATGTACTCAGTGTACATGTGTATATTCAGCTTGTCAGCATTGAGTTATCTTTCATAAACTTATATTTATTTATTTGACACAACCAGGTGGGAGGGGTTCCCAGAGAAACACCAGAGAGCCTGTGCACTGGGAGGAGTGCACACTGGGGTGGAGCCACAGAAGTTCATATGATTTGCAGTGAGGAGGAGCCCGGCCCCTCCTCTTCTTGGATGGAACCTGGAATTCAGTCTGTGAGGTGGCAAACCCACCGGCAGGAAAACACACTCTCTCACTTCACTAAGAGCCTCTGTTTTGCCTTTTCTTCCTTTTTACCTAACAAAACTCTGCATTATTCACCTTCAAAGTCCGTGTGCCTAATTTTTCATGGCCATGTGACAAGAACCTTGCTTTTAGTTGAACTAAGAAAAAGTCCCACAACATATAGATACACACACACGCACACACACACACAGGCAAAAATGCAAAAACATTCCTCATTTTATTTTGTTTTACAGATATGGTCTTTTTTACAAATTGAAAGCTTATTGCTGCCCTGCATTGGGCAAGTTTACCAGTGCCATCTTTCCAACAGGATGTGCTAACTCTGTCACTGTGGCACATTTTGGTAAATTTCACAAAGTTCCAAACATTTTTATTATTATTATATTTATTATGATGAGTTGTGATAACTGATTGTTGATTTTACTGTAGTATTGTGTTGCGGGCACCAGAAACTGTATTGGGATAATACGATAAACTTAACTGATAAGTGCTGGTGTCTTCTGACTGCTCTACCAACCAGCCTTTCCCCCATTTCTCTCTCTCTCCTTAGGCCTCTCTATTTCCCGAGGCACAGCAATGTTGAAATCAGGCAAATTAGTAATCCTACAAATGGCCTCTAAATGTTCAAGGGAAAGGAAGGCTCTGTCATCTCAATATCAAAAGCTGGAAATGATTAAACTTATTAAGAAAGGCATGTTGAAAGCTGATACAGGCTCAGATCTGTACCTCTTATGCCAAATAGTTAGCCAAGTTGTGAATATAAAAAAAAAATTTGGGAAAGACATTAAAAGTGCTACACATGTACACATGAATGATATGAAAGTGCAACAGCCTTGTTGGCTGGATAAAAGATCAAACCAGTGACAATAGTCCCCAAATTTAGACAAAGCCTAAACCAGAACAAGGCCATAATTCTCTCCAATGCTGACAGGGGTGAAGAAGAAATCTTTGAATCTAGCAGTGGTTGGTTCACGAAGTTTAAGGGAATAAACCATCTCCATAACATAAAAGTGCAAAATAAAAGAAGCTACAGAAGATTATCCAGAAGATGTAGCCAAAATAGTTACTGAAAGTGGCCACACTAAACAGGAGATTTTTCCTTGTGTACAGAGCATCTTTCTCTTGAAAGAAGATAACATTTAGCTTTTTTATATCTTCACAGGAGAAGTCAATGTCTAGCTTCAATGCTTCAAAGGACAGGATGACTCTTTCATTAGAGGCTAATGCAGCTGGTGGCTTGAAGTTGAAGCCAATTTTTTTTTTTTTTTTAGATGGAGTCTTGCTCTGTCACCCAGGCTGGAGTGCAGTGGCACCATCTCAGTTCAGTGCAAGCTCCACCTCCCAGGTTCATGCCATTCTCCTGCCTCAGCCTCCCGAGTAGCTGAGACTACAGGCAACCGCCACCACGCCTGGCTAATTTTTTGTATTTTTAGTAGAGACGGGGTTTCACTGTGGTCTTGATCTCCTGACTTCATGATCCACCCACCTCGGCCTCCCAAAGTGGTGGGATTACAGGCATGAGCCACCGCACCCGGTTGAAGTCACTGTTTATTTACCATTTGGAATATCCTAGGGCCTTAGATAAATTATTCTAAATCTACTCTCTCTGTGCTCTATTAATGGAATATCAAAGCTTGGTTGATAACACATTTCTTTACAGCATAAATTACTAAATATTTTAATCCCACTGTTGAGATCTATTGACCAGAAAGAAATATTCCTTTAGAAATATTAGCATTCATTGACAATGTACCTGGTCACCCAAGAGCTCTTATGGAGATATACAGGGAGATCAATGTTGTTTTTATGCCTGGTAATACAACATTCATTCTGTAACACATATATCAAAAAGTAATTTCAACTTTTAAGTCAATTAAGGAATAAGTTTCGTAAGATTATTGCTGCCATTAACAGCAATTTCTCTGTTGGACGTTGTCAAAGTAAATTCAACACTTTCTGGAAAAGTTTCACCTTTCTAGATGATATTAAGAACATTTGAGTCATTAAATGAAGTAAACATATCAACATTAACAGGAATTTGGCAGAATTTGATTTCAAATATCATAGATAATGTTGAGAGCTTCAAGAATTCAATGGAAGAAGTAACCACAGATATGGTAGAAATAGTAAGGGAACTATTACTGGAATTAAAAGAAGAACCTGAAGTTGTGACTGAATTGCTATAATCTCATGATAAAACTTGAATAGATGAGTTCTTTCTTATGGATCAGCAAAAAAATTTGGTATAGTGAGATAGAACCTACTCCTGGTGAAGATGCTGTGAACATTGTTGAAATGACAACAAAGTATTTAGAATATTACTTAAGGTTATTTGATAAAGCAGCAGTAGGGTTTAAGTGGATTGATTCCAACTTTAAAAGAAGTTCTATCATGAGTAAAATGCTACCAAATTGCATTGCATGCTGCAGATAAATCCAAGTCAAAATCACAATGAGATGCTAACTCAAGCCAGTCAGAATGGCTATTTTTAATAAGTCAAAAACAACAGATGCTGGTGAGATTGTGGAGAAAAAGGAACACTTTTACACTGTTGGTGAGAGTTTAAATTTGTTCAACCATTGTGAAAGACAGTGTGGTGATTCCTGAAAGACCTAGAGGCAGAAATATAATTTTTCCCAGCAATCCCATTACTAGGTGTATACCCAAAGTAACATAAATTGTTCTATTATAAAGACACATGCATGCATATGTTCGTTGTGGCAATATTCACAATAGCAAAGACATGGACTCAACCTAAATGCCCATCAATGACAGACTGGACAAAGAAAATGTGGTACATATTCTCCTTGGAATACTATGCATCCCTAAAAAAGAATGAGATCATATCCTTTGCAGGGACATGGTTGGAGTTGGAGGCTGTTATTCATAGCAAAATAATGCAGAAACAGATAACCAAATACCACATGTCCTAACTTATATGTGATAGCTAAATAATGAGAAGATATGGATACATGGGGGGTAAAAACACACAGTGGGGACTTTTGGAGGTCAGGGGATGCGAGGAGGGAGAGGATCAGAAAGAATAGCTAATGGATTCTAGGCTTAATACCTGGGTAATGGGATGATCTGTGCAGCAAACCACGATGGCACACGTTTACCTTGTAACAAACCTGGACATCCTGCACATGTACCTTGAACTTTAAATAAAAGTTGGAAATTTTTAAAGAAGGAAGGTCAATGGGTGCAGCAAACATTATTTTTGTCTTTTTAAAAGACATTGCCACAGCTCCCCAAACTTTCAGCAGCCACCACCCTGATTAGTTAGCAGCTGTCATCATCAATGCAAGACCCTCCACCTACAAAATGATTACAACTCACTGCAGGCTCAGATGATTGTTAGGATTTTTAAAGCAATGAAGTATTTTCATTACAGTGTGTACATTATTTGTAACATATTTATATTGCAGACTTAAGAGACTACAGTATAGTGTACACATAACATCTATATGCCATGGAAAACCAGAAAATTTTGTTTGACTTACTTTACTTCAGTGTTCTGGGACCAAATCTGCAATATCTTGGAAGTATGTCTTGTATAAGTGAAAATAAAATGAGATCTACTCTTTTAAAAGTATTTTAAGTGTATGATACATTATTGTTAACTATGGCCACAATGTTGTGCAGCAGTGCTCTGAAACCTGCTCATCTTATTTTTACTGGAACTTTATACTCATTGAAAAGCAACTCTCAATTTCCTCCATTCTCCAGCCACTGGTAACCTCCATTCTACTCTCCGTTTCTTTGAGTTTGACTGTTTCAAATTTCTTACACAAGTAGAATCATAGAGTATGTGTCCCATTGAGACTGGCTTATTTCACTTAAAATTATTTCCTGAAGGTTCATCTATGTTGTTACATATTGCAGGATGGGTGGATCATATGGAAGTTCTATTTTTAATTTTTTGAGCAACCTCTACACTGTTTTCATTTTGGCTGTAAAAATTTATATTCACACTGACAGTGTATGAAAGTTTCAATTTCTCCATTTCCTAGCCAACAACTTTTATTGTGTGTGTATATATGTATGTGTGTGTTTGTGTCTGTATGTTGATAAAGACATGGTAAGAGGTATGAGGTGATATCTCATTGCAGTTTTGATTTTCCTGATGATGAATTTACATTAATTAGTTTTCATACAGCTGTTGTCCATATGTACAACTTCCTCAGAGAAATGTCTTTTTCAAGTATTTGCCTATTTATTAATCATGGCTTTTTTTCTCTTTTTGCTATTGAGTTGTTGCAGTTCCTAATATATTTTAGGTGTTAACCTCTCATGAGATATATGATTTGAAACTGTTTCCCATTCCCATTTTATCTTTTCACTCTGTTGACTTCTTTGCCCTGCAGAAACTTTTTAGTTTGATACAATTCTACTTTCATATATTTGACCTTGTTACCTGTACTTCTGAGGTCATACCCAATAGACCATTGCCCAGCCCAATGTCATAAAACTTTTTCCGTGTTTTATTGTGAGAGTTTTATAGTTTCAGGGCTTATGTTTAAGTCTTTCATTTGTTTTGTGTTGATTTTTGTATATGACATAAACTAAGGGTCCAATTTTATTCTTTTGCATGTGGACATCTGGTGTTCTCATGCAGTACCGTTTCTTGAAGAGAGTGACATTTATTGAGTATATTTGAGACTCATTGAATATAAGTGCATTGTATATTTGTGACTTTATCATCTGGGCTCTCTATTCTGTTACTTAAATCTCTCTCTATTTATGTCTTTATGTGAATATCATGTTATTTTAATAACTGTAGCTTTTAATATATTTTGAAATAAGGAGATGTGATGCCCTATAACTGTGTTTTACTTTTCCCACATTGTTTTGGCTAGTTACTTCTTCCTGGATCATTATACATTTTAAGATTTTTTTGTCTTTGTATAAGTCATTGGTGTTTCGATAGAGATTACATTTAATATGTTAATCACTTTAGGTTGTATAGATGTTTCTGTAACATTAAATCTTCCGGTCAATATACTATGTCTTTCTAAATTAGTATAATCTTTAATTTCATTCATCAGTGTTTTGTAGTTTTTAGTATACATGTCTTTCTTCCACTTGTTACAGTTTATTCTTATGTATTTTGTCCTTTTTGAGGCCATTGCAAATTGGAGTGTTTTGTTAATTTCCTTTTCTGATAGTTCTTTGTTAATACACAGAAAGGTAAGTGATTTTTGTATGCTGATTTTATATGCTGCAAATTTACTGAATTTATGCACTTGTTCTAATAATATTTGGTGGCATCTTTAGGGTTTTCCACATATAATATCATGTCCTCTGCAAACAGAGGTTATTTTACTGTTGATTCAGAAGCCTGTTGCTTTTTTTCTTTTTCTTGCCTAATTGTTCCGGCTAGGATTTCCAGTATGGTGTATAATAGAAGCAGCAAGAGTGAACATCCTTTCCTTATTGTGAAAACAGATGAAAAGTTTTCAGTTTTTTTTTAATCATTGAGTATGATGTTAGCTATGAGCTTTTCATATATTGCCTTTATCAGGTTAAGATAATTTCCTTCTATTTCTTGTTGCAGGAAGTCAGGGACCCTGAATGGAGGGACTGGCTGGAGCTGAGGCAGAACATCATAAATTGTGAAGATTTCATGGACATTTATCTGTTCCAAAAATTAATACTTTTATAATTTCTTATGCCTGTCTTTACTGCAATCTCTGAACATAAATTGTGAAGATTTCATGGACATTTATCACTTCCCTAATAATACTATTATAATTTCTTACGCTTGTCTTTACTTTAATCTCTTAGTCCTGTTGTCTTCATAAGTTGAGAATGTATGTCACCTCAGGACCACTATTGTACAAATTGGTTGTAGAACATGTGTGTTTGAACAATATGACATCTGTTTGTAAAACATATATGTTTGAACAATATGAAATCAGTGTACCCTGAAAAACAACAGAATAACAGCAATTTTCAGGGAACAAGGGAAGATAACCATAAGGTCTGACTGCCTGAGGGGTTGGGCAGAATAAGCCATATGTTTCTTCTTGCAGAAAGCCTATAAATGGATGTGCAAGGAGGAGAAATACCGCTGAATTCTTTTCCCAGCAAGGAGTAACCCTGGGGAAGGAATGCATTCCTGGGGAGAGGTCTATGAATGGCCACTCTGGGAGTGTCTGTCTTATGCGGTTGAGAAAAGGACTGAAATATGCCCTGGTCTCCTGCAGTACCCTCAGGCTTACTAGGATTGGGAAATTCCAGCCTGGTAAATTCTAGCTAGACTAGTTCTCTGCTCTCAAACCCTGTTTCCTGTTAAGATGTTTATAAAAACAATATGGGAACAGCAGGACATAGAGCCTCATCAGTAATTCTAATTCTGCCTTTGCCTTGTGATCTATATGGCCCTTTGAAGCATGTGATCCTTGTGACCTACTCCCTGTTTATACACCCCCTCCTCTTTTAAAATCCCTAATAAAAACTTGCTGGTTTTGCAGCTCAGGGTCGTCTGCACAGTCCTACCAATATGCGATGTCAACCCTGGAGGCCCAGCTGTAAAATTTCTCTCTTTTTACTCTTACTCTTTATTTCTCAGACCAGTCACCAATTAGGGAAAATAGAAAAGACCTACATTGAAATATTGGGGGCTTGTTCCCCCGATATCATTTCTATTTCTAGTTTGTTTAGAGCTCTCTTTTAAAAACTCATAAACAATTGATTTTTTTCAAATGCTTTGTTTTGCATTTACTGATATATCAAGTGATTTTTATGCATCATTGGGTTAAGGTGATATGTCACATTTGCTCATTTTTGTGTGTTCTATTATCCTTAAATCTAGGGATAAATTTGTCATTTCTTTTAGGAAAGAAGCAATGCTGAGTCTTGAACATAGTAAAAGCCAAGCAACACTACTGGTCTTGTAATATCAAAAGGAAGAGTGAGACTTTCTTCACAATTTAATTATTGAGTAGTTTCTTTGCAACAGTAAAAACAACAAAATTCTGCTGAAAATGAAACCAAAGAATTCTGAGTATTTGAAAAATGGTATTAATATTGTGAACGGATGTCTTAATATTGGGTCAATGTATAAAGTGTGAAACACAGCTCAGTAATTTTTGTGCATGTGCCACTTGTGAATAGAATAATGTATTTCACATAAACCCATATGGTTTTACATTATTTTTTATTTTTCCTTGTTTTTAAGTATTTGACTAAGAATATTTCTAACTTTTAAATAGGTACTAAATCTCTGGAAAATAAATTTTGACCTAACAGTGTAAGTTATAAAAATATGTTTTGTCACAGGAGGAAGGAAATCCTCTGTATCAACCTCTTCATGCTGGAATTAACTGAAGGAATTCTATCTTTTGGTCATTCCAGCTTCAAGCCTTTTATGTAACTAATCCCTTTTCTCCTTCTTTCCTGTTTTAGCAAACTTTCAGAAAGAAAACAGGCAACATCTTGTGATGATGAAGATCACAGTTGACACATAGGCCAGCAGGAACCTAATCACATGCAAGTTGTGGTATTGGAACCAGGTGAGGTCGTGGGCTGCAACCCGAAGGTGCTTGGCTCCTTTGTGCTGCATGACAAACTCAATCCAGAAGGCTGCTTGATCCAGGGGCTTAATTGGCAAATCATGGCGAATTATTGATAACTTCATAGCATTCTCTTTGTAGCTGAAGGATAAACATAAAAATACCAACATTGAAAGTAAATTTATTTCCTAAGTCTATGGATGGTCTTTGAAAAGTGTCACATCAATGCTTCAAAGTAAATATTATAGAATTGTCATAGGAATCGAATGTTTTGGTTTGGACAAATGTAGAAAGTTTATTTTTTAAAATGGAATTTTATAAAGAAAAATATGTCTTAAATTAAAAATGGAAGGTCTGATGAGAAAGTTAATGTCTTTGTAGCAGAGGAAATATTTTGAGCCATTCTATGTGCTACAGGTAAGACAGTGGAAATGCAATCTGAGATTGATCATCTTGATATTTTATTTTATTTTTTTTTGAGAAAGAGTCTTTCTCTACGGCCCAGATTGGAGTGCAGTGGCATGATTATGGGTCACAGCAGCCTCCACAGTGTGGGCTTAAACAATCCTCCCACCTCTGCCTCCTGAGTAGCTGGGACTGCAGGCATGCACCACTTTGCCCAGTAATTTTTAAATATTTTTTTGTAGAGATGGAGTCCTACCAGTTTGCCCAGGATGGTTTCAAACTCTTGGGCTCAAGTGATCCTTTTGCTTTAGCCTTCCAAATTTCTGGGACTACAGGTGTGAACTACCTTTATCGACCCATTTTGATATTTTTAAGGAAAAATTGTTTCACAGCTGGTGTAATATTTCTAAATTAGTCTTTCTCTTTCTACCCTACTATTCTGTGTTCTACCATATTTTCCTCTCAGTAGTCAGAATAATTTTTTGAAATAAAAGCCAGATTATGGCATTCCTCTGATAAGATTTTCACCTGGCTTCTCACTATATTAAGAATAAAATCTAAATCTGTCTTTGTTCTACAGAACCCTACATGGTCAGGCATGGGCAACTTCTTCTAACACTTTCCCCAACCACCTTCTCTCCTAGAGGCATTGCCCTTCTATTGTTCTTTGAGCTCCCCAATGTGTTCTCACCTGAGCCCCTTTACACCCTTTATCCCCTCTCTCCCTCTCTTGGAATATTCCTCCTTGCAACAACTTGAGGCTTGCTTCTATATCTTTTTGAGGCTTCCCCTTAAATAATACCTGTTAAAGAGGCTTTTCGTGGCCACACTATGGTAGTACCTGTAGGATTTCCTCTATTGTTTTGTGCTTATTTTGCTGTTTAACTCCTGGAACTTAAAAATATGTTACATGTCTTCTCAAATAAAACTTTAAGTATAAAATACATAAATGTACACAAATTCAGTGAATAGCTCAAAATTTTAACATTACCTTGAACAATATCCTGATGTGAACACCAACTTACCTACTACGCAGATTATAATATAAGACATCACAACCTGCCTAGAAAAACTCTGTCTTCTTGGGCCATTTTAGTCACTACTTTTGTCCTCAAGTTAAAACTACCTTGACTTCTAATAGATTAATATTGCTTGTTTACATAATGAATTATATAATATATACTCATTTGTGTCTTTTTTTGGGTAGAAGTTATTGGCTAATTCCATTGCTGTAATATGATTCAGTCAATTGACAAATACCACAGATTATCTCCTATTTTTATGACTGATGGATATTTGGGTTGTTAAGATTTTTGAACACTATTACTAATTCTGGGGTAAGCAAATGTGTGTATATCATTAGATATACATATTAATACATTTTTGATGGGTATATACTTGAGAGATGAGTTGCTGAGAAAAAGATGCATGTAGAATTATGATGTTTTGTTGACTAGCTTTTTAAATACACAAATTTAATTTCCAAAATTTAGAGTTGTTTTTTAAGTTATAATTTTTTGGATAATTTCGAATTTATTTCTAGTATGGCTAGAGCATTTCCTTTTTATGCTTTTGAATCTTATCACATTTGCTAAGTCCTGATTTTTGGCCCAGCAGAAGTTCAATTCACTAACTATTCCATATACTCTTAATAAACGTATATTCTCAATATACATTCACACTCACCTCCACACCTCCACACATAAAAATGTGTGTGTATATATATATATATACACACATATACACAAACTTACTATATATATACACAATACATATATATGTATACACACACATATATACAATAGGTTATATTTATGCTCTTCAAATGTTTATTTTTAAGTCACTTTTTTTTCTCTGTTTAAATTTAGTATGAGTTCTAGTAGATTCACTTTTAAATCTACTATCTTATTCTGTATTTTATTTTCTGTTTTCCAATCTGCTGTATGTTTCTTTTCTAATTCTTTCCTGTTTGCTTTTAAACTATTTTTAATCATTCACTGTCTTATTATCTTCCTGGTAAGGTATTTTCAGTATATTTTCTAAGATGGTACCTCCTTATATATATTGACAATAGTAATCAATAGTCACAGCATTTTCTACATTATTTCTTTTGGAGCACAGAAAAATTATTACAGATTTATTTTCTCAATATTAAAACTTTGTGCTTCAAGGGACATCTTCAATAAAGTAAAAAAAAAGAATCAACCTATAAAGAGTGGGAGAAAATATTTAAAAATCATAGACTGACAAGGCATTCCACCAATAATATAAAAATAATTCTTATGAATCAATAATAAGATAAAAATGTTAGAAATGTTCAAAAGATAGGAATAAAATTTTCTCAAAAGAAGACGAATGACTTGCCAGTAAGTGCATGAAAAGATGGTTATGTCTTTAGCCACAAGGAAAATGCAAATTAAATCCACAATGAAAGATCATTTTATATCCACTGGGATCCCTGTAACAAAAAGATAGGAGATAACAAGTGTAGGGAAGAGCATGAAGAAATTGGAACCCTCCTGTACAGCTAGAAGTAACGAAAAACGGTGCAAGTACTTTGAAAAACAGTTTAGCAGTTCTTCATAAACATCAACTTTCCATATGGCTCAGAAATTCCACTCCTAGTATCTTCTCAAAATTAGTGAAAACAACTTTTTTCACAAAAAATATGTATAGCAGTGTTTATAAGAGCTAAAATTGGAAATAACTGAAATGTCTGAAAGCTGATAAATGGGTAAATTCAAAATGGTACATTCATCAAAGAATATTAGCAATAAAAAGAAAAAATGTTCTGACACTTTCAACAATATGGGTGAAACTAATAAAAGACATTGTACTAAGTCAAAGAAATCATTTATAGAACACTGTAAATTGTATGATTTAATTTACATGAAATATCCAGAGAGAATAATCTATTGAGAAAGTAAGTTGATATTTCCCTAGGACTGGAGGTTTATCAACAGTGATTTTATGCATTTTGAGGTTTATTTTAGGGTGATAAAAATGTTCAAAAATTATATTATGGTGATGGCTTTGTAACTATGTAAATGTACTAACTACTTTTAGATCTCACTTTTAAATAGGTAAATATTATGCTATGCAAATTGTATCTTAAAATAATGATAATACTAAAAATACATTATTGAGCATGAATACAGTTATACTTTCAGAAATTTTATGTATTGAATTGAAATACTTTATTTTATTTCTCCAAGTTCATTATTTCATTGTATTATAATCCATCATTCAAAAAACTTATATTTTAAACAATTATCTATATATGTTTAAAAATATTTGTGTGTAGAAGGTTGTTACAGTAATTGGTGACCCATTAAATATATGGGATCAAATGTAACTAAAATAATTGGTGAAAAATAAAAGCAGGTTTCAAGTTGGTTAAATTATTTAAATTCTTTCAAAATTGGTCTCCTAAAAGGGGTAAGACATGTATTCAGTGTTGTCAAAAGAATCTGTAAATACCACATAGTAAAAAAAATTGTCATACTCACACAGGGTCATTAATGACTGTCTTCAGTGCATTGAGCAAATCTGTACTTGACATGGTCCTGATGTCCACATTGAGGGCCTTCATGTGAGCAATGTTATCAGGTTGATCTGCAAACAAAGGAATGCCCACCATAGGGATCCCATGGTAGATTGCCTCATAGATGCCACTGGTTTCACCATGAGTCATAAAAGATTTAGTTTTTGGATGACCTAGGATTGGATAAATTTTAGCAAAATTATTCATAAGACTAAAATGAGAAATGCACAATAGAATGCTCTGAAAGGGGCAGTGTCTACTAAATAACAGATTATTATACACATCAAACTCCATTAGAATTGCTTTCGGATTTCAGAGAAAGAAGCACCTAATTCTTCTGGAGGTAAGTGAAGGCTACATGAAGAGGTGGGGGCGTGTGTGACTTCAGACTCAAAAAATGAATTGATATTGCCAGGTGGACAAAATGAAAAAGCACATTCTGAATGAAAAAAATGTGCAAAAAAAAAGAGAAAAGAAAATCAATAATATTGTGTATGTTAGAGCATTTTCCCTTAAATACATACTGCGGTCTGAGTGGGATATGTGGTGTATGCAAGGCAACAGGGAGTGTGGTGGTGGTATTGGAATAGAAGAAAGGCAGGCCACATTACATCAGGAAACGTGTTATCACTTTATGATAAAGATTGAGGATTTAGGCCGGGTGCGGAGGCTCATGCCTATAATCCCAGCACTTTGAGAGGCAGAGGTGGGTGGATCACCTGAGGTCAGGAGTTCGAGACCAGCCTGGCCAACATGGTGAAACCTGGTCTCTACTAAAAATACAAAAATTAGAGAGGCTTGGTGGCAGGTGCCTGTAATCCCAGCTACTCGGGAAGCTGAGGCAGGAGAATCGCTTGAACCTGGGAGGTGAAGGTTGCAGTGAGCCAAGGTCATGCCAATGCACTCCAGCCTGGGGACAAGAGTGAGACTTCATCTCAAAAAAAAAAAAAGATTGAGGATTTATTTTCAGAAAATGCAGAGTTATTGGTAATAAAAGAGGCACTGTTATTTTTTAGTGTCTTTTGAAATTAACCCTGAAGTAGGGAAAAGGACAGGTGTAAAGCTGTACAAATAGGAGACAGAGAGACAATCCAGGAAGTTATTGGGAAACCCCGTGAGAGGTAATTATATCTGAAATAAAGATAATTTGATTCTGAACATAAAGAATGTGAGTGTCTATAATAAAATACCAACTATATAGTTATTTTCCTGGTAAGACTGGAAAATAAATATAAAGTAGTTAGCCTTTATATTTGAGTTTTTTGATAATAAATGTTCCGTAAGTTTCTTTCAGGTTGAACTATCCTTCTAATTAGCTGTTAGTCATATATTCAGTATTTGTTCTGCAGAGTATTACCAAGAAGGTCATTCTGGGATATCCACTTGTACAGCTGAGTATTGGATGCTAAAGTATTTGGTCTCTTTCCATCCACAGAACCTGTTGGGGTAAAGAAAATATCTTGTTCCATGAGTAGAATGCCAAAGCTATAAGATGTTAGAACTCTAAAGAAATTGTCAATCAACTAGTTAAACCCCTTCCATATAATAGATGAAAAAACGAGAACAAGCAATTTTAGGAAATGAGTACTACTAAAAGACTATTGAATATCCACATTTCATGTCTTTTATTATCAATTTGGTATATTAGAAAATCATGATGTTTTCAACAGAGAAGCTTAGACACTTGAGAGTATCAATAAAAAATTCAAAAATTTAAGAAATTATTAGACAGTCATTATAATTCTACTGTAAAATACAGTAACAAATTAGTGACAACCTATACATTTATTTTATGTATTTTATACTACCTGTAATCTTCCAAATTTAATGTTAGTTTATTTCTTGAGTGAAATGAGAAGTGTTACTTATATATATTTTTCTGTAAGTTATTTTGTTAGTGTTTGACATCTTTGATTTATAAAAAACAAAATCTATAAAATCAGCTACCTGTGAGAAATAAATCAGTGCTACATAGGTAGTACATATAACTTCTTGTAGATTACACATTACCCAGCACTACATCCAAGAAAAATTTCAAGTGACAATTTCTTTCTTTTCTTTTCTTTTTTCTTTTCTTTCTTTCTTTTTTTTTTTTTTTGAGATGGAGTCTTGCTCTGTTGCCCAGGCTGGAGTGCAGTGGCACCATCTCAGCTCACTGCAACCCTCGCCTCCTGGGTTCAAGCGATTTTTCTGCCTCAGCCTCCCAAGTAGCTGGGATTACAGGCATGCACTGCCATGCCCAGCTAATTTTTATATTTTTTAGTAGAGACGGGGTTTCACCATGTTGGCCGGGCTGGTCTCGAACTCCTGACCTCAAGTGATCTGCCCACCTAGGCATCCCAAAGTGCAAGTGGCAATTTCTGAGTCAAATTCAAAGTACTATCATTTTGCTAGTTTTGGAAATTCTTCCAATGTAGGCGAAAAGAGCCAATTGGCAATTTATGAATAAGAATATACACACTAAAAATTGTAAAATTATATTTTGCTAAATTTTGCTTAACTGATCATTAACACTTAGATGCTGCTATAAAGCATCGACAGCATAGATTAATATGGGCTGCTTTAGCCAAGCCATACCCATAGACAGTACCAAAATAAGATACTGATTTTAGATTCCCCAAGCAATCCTTATAAACTGGAGTGTAATTTACAAGTGTTTTCCTTGTATTTGCTATGTGAGTGTTAAAGTAACTTTGTGTTTCCAGAAAAAAATTAGCATAGGTCATTAGGAGAAGGCTATGTCAGAGAGGAAACTAAAAAGTAACTCACAAATACACAAAGACTTCAAGTGTATTCTGCATACTACAAAATAAGTTCCTACTATATTTCATGGAGTGAGGGCATCTGAACCTCTTTCCATGTCTGGCTTCCTTCTGCTTGACTCCTTCTTATATTCCCTTCTCCTTCCTCCGTTGGGAGGAGGTGTTTTTCTGATGGTTAGAGCAGAGGCTTTATGGGACCACATTTTATAATGCACGGAGTCTACCCTAAAAGCAGGATTCTGTTCCCTCCTTTTCTATCATATTTTCCTGTTTAAGACATTAGCAAGGCCCAGTAAACAGGGCAGGCAAGTTCTTCTGCTTCTCTAAATCTACTTGGCTAGGTGGATACCTCCAGAATAGCGGTTTGTCAGCCTGGACATCTTTTCTCTGAATGCATTCTGAATTGCCTACTAAATAGGTCTATTCCAAAATGTACAGGAAGTACAGGAGACCAGATTACCTAGCAAGCCTAAATTGAATGATGCATTTCAGACTTTTTTCAATACCTTATTGTTATTGTAATAGTGCAGTAACTGATTAAAATGTAAGTGATTTTAAATAATATCTATAGTGTATACCATGTTCTCAGGAAACTTGTAAGCAAAAGGGACAAATGACAGGGCAGAATTTGGTGATTTCTATGTACATGCCTACAATACTATGATAATACCACAACTTCACCTGCACCTCTTAAATATATTTTTTCTGATCACAATATTAATGTCAGAATTTTTATCAATCAAACACACCCTCGTTATTTTAGTATCTTCCATATATATTTTTGTTTTTGAACCAATATCTGAGATAATTAGAGCTATCATATCAGTTAGTTTTTCTGGCAGAAAATTTCTGTGATTGGACTCTTTACAGAGTTTAACAGACTCATTCAGTAGCTGTCCACCATTAAGACATTTTATCTAACCTTTCGTGGAATCTGGGCAAGAGCTGATGCAATCACGTTGGCCCTTTCTTCTGTGATGTTACTGACCATAGACTTAAGCAAGACTGCCACGACACCATTTTCTCCAGAGCTCTGCACAAACTCTTCCATTTTCTGTGAAGAATTTGTTCTATCACAAAAGAGTGTCAGCATAGCAAACACTATAGAAAAGATTAGTACATACATCTAAGAAGAGAAAATCAAGCATTATCAGAAATTTTTGGAGTAATGGCTATTTTTTAACTGACCTAATCTCTTTCTTTGGAAGAAGTTATGGAATATGATATACATGGCATCTGTTATGGCTATTTGTGTAAATATGTGTGTCTGTAAAAGGAAAAGATGAAAAACAACTATGACACTATAGAAGAAGGAGACAATGCTAGAAAATATTATACCCAGACTCTTCATTTACAATACTGTAATTACTAATATGGGTTCTTGGAAGGTGGCATTTGTTGTGTTTAATTCCATATGTTGTAGTTCTACTAAATTCCTTGTGTCTATTAAGGCAGGGTTTTTTGTTTGTTTGTTTGTTTGTTCTTTCTGTAGAGTATTTTTAGTTGGGAGTCATTGGAACCATTACCTGGCTATGAGCAGTGAGGAAAAGTTACTATTGAAATAATTTTATATGTCTATTTCTTTAGCTCTGTAATTCTTTATACCTCATTTAAAACTTGTCAGATTATGTCTTTTTCCCTAAAAAAAAATCTTTAAAAGCTGAAGTTTAATAATGATGGAGATTCAAGAGTCTGATACTGTGGTGTGAAATTTCTGTGAACTAGTCCTGAGAATCCCATTTATAATACAGAATTATGCAGTATATAGTTACATAACTGAGTGATTGTATTTCTCAGGTCATTGTTTAAATATTACTAAGACACTTTTTTTCCTGAAATCACACTGCATAAAATGATATGCTACTGGCCAGGCATGGTGGCTCACACCTGTAATCCTAGCACTTTGGGAGGTCGAGATGGGCAGATCACCAGGTCAAGAGATTGGGACCATCCTGGCCAACATGGTGAAACTCTGTCTCTACTAAAAATACAAAAATTAGCTGGGCGTGGTGGCACACACCTGTAATCCCAGATACTCGGGAGGCTGCGGCAGGAGAATTGCTTGAACCCGGGAGGTGGAGGTTGCAGTGAGCCGAGATTGTGCCGCTGCACTCCAGCCTGGGCGACCCAGCGAGACTCCATCTCAAAACAAAACAAAACAAAACAAACAAACCAAACAAACAACTGATGTGCTACCTATAACTGCCTGTGAGGGACCCTCATCATCACTTTTCTGTGTCTCACAGGGGCACTTAATCCTCAGTGGAAGAATCTACCAGTCATTTTTCCAGTGGAGATCTCTTCACTATCTTGAGTAGCTCATTCACACAATATAAAGCCCTTGTTGAATATGTGTTTGCTTGAAATTTATTGAGAATTACTCTGAATTGTGGTTTCCCTTATGTTCTCATTTGTAAATGTAAATGCATAGTGTAATTCCACATTGCTCAGTGCATACGCCTATCAAGACAAAATAAAGAGAAAGAGAAATGTAGCGCCAAAAGTTTTCAGTATATAATGTCAAAATTGAATACCCATCTTTTTGTTGTTGTTGTTTCTTTTGTTTTCCATTTATTATTTATTTATTTTCTCTGTAAAATAATGATGAACCCATTCTGACATAACCGGTATACTTTCAGATCCTAAACATGGGAGGTAAACTTTCTTTTAAAAACTTGTTTAAAAAAAGAAATCCTAAAGTTTGTGTATGCACAACATATTTTGCCAAGTATTTTTCAAAAATATAATTTGAGCCTTATGACATTAGTTTTAATTGGAGAGTCACTGTACTACTATTCCAGGTAGTTCTTGGGGCTCCCAGGTATTCTGTGTGACTCGTTACCTGTGTGAACACAAAGTATCTGAAACAGTTCTCAATTTAGAAAGTTTATTTTGCCAAGGATAAGGACATGCTCATGACACTGCCTCAGAAAGTCTCAATGACACGTGCTCAAGGTGGTTGGGGCACAGCTTGGTTTTACACATTTTAGCAGACATGAGACATCAATCAATATGCGTATGACGTACATTGGTTTGGTCAGGAAAGGTGGGGCAATTCAAAGTGATGCCTTCATGTCATAGATAAGAGTTAAAAGGTTGCATTCTTTTTTGGGTCTTAGATGAGCCTTTTGCTGAATACACAGTATACATATGAGAGAAGGGTTGAGAAATAGTCACTTATGCCTTAGTCTGACTCAGTAAATCTGCATTTTTTCCATAAACAATGGTGAAGGGATGGCTTTGAGTTCTGTCCTCTTTTGTCCCTCACCTGTGAAGATAAGCTATCAATTTACATTTCCAGGGTGAAATTCAACAGAAATGTTTCAGGTTAAAGATTTTGAGGCCCACAAGGAATTTCCTCTTGGGAAGATTGTAAGGGAGGTATGTAACTTAAAAACAACAACAACAACAACAACAACAAAAACCCAACTTTGTAGCTATTTTATTTAGGAATAAAATGGGAGGCAGGTTTGGCTGATACAGTTTCCAGCTTGACTTCCCTTTGACTTAGTGACTTTGGGTTTTCAAGATTATTTTTCTTTCAGACCTGTAGCCACATTTAATGGAACTTGTGTTTGATGTTTTTTCTCAATGCCTCGCTGCCCAGAGTCTTCTTCATCCACCCAATATTGAGGTAGCATATTGTCTGTTTATACACTCATCAGTGATCTCATTCTGGGATATCTTCATGAAAATAATATATCAGTGTACAAAATATTAGAGTATGAAAAGCTTAAAAAAATTAAATTTCCCTCATACTCTCTGTCTAGAGCTATTCCTGATTTAAATTTGTATGCTTTTATTATGGTTTTTATTCTATTTATATAATTCACTGTGATGTTTATTTAGATAATTTTAATCTTATTGTATATTCCTTTTCATCCTGCATAAAAATTGTGATCTAGTTCTATTCATCATTTTGTTTCTCAGTTTCCGACAATTCTTGTATTATAGCTGACACTGTAATTATACATATTTTGATAAAATGATTGTAATGGCATAGAATGCATATTGTATACATTTTTACATAGTACCCAATAGTTTTTCAGGCCTTCTGCCCTTCTCTTCCCTCTGTAGTAGTCCCCACTGTCTATTGTTCCCATTTTTGTCTATGTGTGCCCCAAGCTTAGCTCCCACTTTTAAGTGAGAACACATAGTATTTAGTTTTCTGTTTCTGGGTTAATTATTCTGGTTCATGTGTGTGTGTGTGTGCACAAATCTCCATGTATTTGTTTGTTTATCTTGGCTTTAATCTGTCATTTTATTTTCTTTTTTCAAATGTTGTCTGCCTATCTATCTATATATTTATCTATCTAATCTATCTATCTATCTATCTATTATCTATTTATCATCTATCTATATATTTAAGAATGAGGACATAGAATGATTCACTGGGATATCTTTGTATCTGTGAAGGACTTAGTATCTGGTTGGCTTTGATTTTTATGCTGAACGCGTACAACTACTAGACCTTACCTAAAGGGAACCAAAAATTTCATAAAAAAGATTATACTTTGATGTGTTACATCAATTCTAGTTTTCTCATTTTACCCTGGTGAATTTATTTCAATTTCTTTAAGGAAAAACTCTCTAGTTTTTGTGTGGAAAGTGCAAAGAGGAACGTATTATGTAATACAGTAAGGGTTAGTGCATTTCATTTTCATGTCTTTAGTTTCCTTTAGTCTGTAATTATCCCTTCATTTTTTGTCTCTGTTAATTTTTGACTTCTAGATGAATTATTGACCAGTTGTTTTGTAGAATGATTCTTATTTTACATTTGTTTAATGTTCCTTCATGATTAAGTTGCTATCACACATTTTTTGAAAGAATACTGCAGACATGTTGTTGTAGTCTTCACATTACATCATTTTTGGGCAGCAGATAGTGTTGATTTGTCATGCTGGTGATACTAACTTTGATTTCTTGGTTAAGATGCTGTCTACAGGTTTATTCCCTGTAAAATTATAATTTCTCATTTTGGAATTAGAAGTATCTTGATAGGAGACTTTGAGACTGTAAATATCCTGTTTCCATTACATCCTTTCCCTCTAATTTTAGCATCCATTCAAAGATAATTTTTGCCTGAATTAAATTACTGTGGAGTTTGTCTAATGATTATTTCTATGTCTATAATTTCTTTAACAATTAGTAAGAGAAATTCTACTCTAAGAAAGAACATTTTTTCCCTTTTATTTCCTTATACTGGTTTCTGTCAATATGATTTCATGAGTATTTGGTTTATTCCAAAGGTTACAATCCACAGCTATCATTATTCCATTGCTCAAATTGGTCCAGATTCGATTCATTGGGACTTCCTTCAGTTTCCTTCTATATTTTTCTGATATGTTGTCATCATGTTGTATACTTATTTACTTTCTGGCACCCCTAGATATTTCAGGCACATCCTGTACTTTTGTTGCCTCAGGGGTAATGTCATTTATATCTTGAGGAAGGCATGGTTCGTTTTATTGGAGTATAGTGTCTAGAAGCAAAATTTCAAGTACTTAGCATGTTCATTGCATCTGGGATATTATTACTTCTAGGCCATTTACGCATAGACATTTTGGAAATGTATCTATGCATAACTTTTCATTAACAGCTTAAGAGAATAAATAAATTATCATTTCCATAAAATACAGAAAAAGGAGAGTGTAGTAAGCTAAAACATGGTAAATCTAAATAGTAAATATTTACAGATAAGCTCAAACTAATAATTTAATGTAAAAAGTTATTTTCATTTAATGTCATGTAATAGTTATATATCAATTTAAAAAAGAATTAAATAAACTCACCCATTATGGTAGAGATTCTCAGATATTTCAATCTAGCTTTTATTTTTGTTTAAAAGAGAAACACCTAATAAAAATTACCCATATTACTATAAAATATATACAGATTTTACAAGAGGCATATACCCAATAGCAAATAAATGAAAATTGATGCAATGCTACAAAAATCAAACAAAGCAGAATTAAGATGCGAAGTATCAAATGTGATAAGTGAATCATTTCATGTGGATAGAAATAATTCACTTAAAATTAACAATAATAAGTATTTGGAGATTGAAATATATCTCAGAAACTGATAGATTGAACAGAGAAAATAAATTCTATGAAAGTTGATTGTATTAGCAACAAAAGTAACAAAAATAACGTACTGAATCCTGCATCTTCAAATAGAGTATAAATATTCTTTTGAAGTGCACATGAAAACTTTTATAAAATTAAACTAAGGCAATGTCACAGATGAAATCTCCACAAATTCTGAAGTATATATATCATATGTATCTATATAATGTGATACAATTAAAATAATTATAAACTTAAAGAGAATGTATTACCTTTCAAATATACACATTTAAGAATTTCATTCAGTGGAGTGGACTGTGCTTACCATTCATGACCCAAGTCTTTACTACCTTTTCTGCTCCAAACACATATACCATGAAGAGAAGACGGCATAGAATATACTCAGGTAAGTATACAACTGAGAAAACTTACACACCAGTTGTTAGCATTAGAGAAAATTATATGAATAGATTCTTATAGGAGCTATAACAAGATGGTTTTGGCAGGATAAAAAATGTGGCAAAAGCCTTAAAAGTGGAAAACAAAATTTACCTACGGAGTTCAGGGAATTTCTGTTCTGAAAAAATGTAAGTTGTAATAACTAAAAAATTAAAACAAATTATAATGAAACTGATCTCTCTAGATGACAGCAGACACATGCAGGAAATGAAAGTTTGCAGAAATTAACAGCTGTTGAAGATTAACTCATGAAAACCACATGAGGAAATAACCAATTCTACACAATAGTAAGATTTTCACCCAAAGTTTATAAATATAGGAAAAAATCAAAATAATTTTTTTTCTCAGAGATGAGAAAATACTTAACATAAAAATGGAATTGGGTGAGAAGCATGAATAGAAAGAGGAACATTTAGAAATTGTGGAAATTAGAAATACAGTCACTGATTGTATAAAATGTAATAGAGTTCACAAAATAAAATGGAACCGAATGAACGAATAAAAGAATGAACAAAACCTGCAATAAGGTGAATTAGTAAACTTTCTCTTTTTCTGACTGAACCTTGACTGATAGAGCTTCCAACAGAAATCACCTAATACTGTAGGAATTGCCATTAAGCTGATTAAAATATGAAAGTGTTATTTGCTATTACCACATGTTAGAGCCCTCCTGATTGCCTGCTTTACTTCTGAAGCTCTGTCATTATGGTTTCCTGGTTTTAATCACTCATTCTATGCTTCACTGAAATATTTTGAACTGATTCAATGTGTTTCTCTCAAATTTAATTTTATTCTATCCTGTCTCTTGCCTCCTGCAGGTTCTCACTGTGAGCAATCCAGCTCCAGAGCTTACCTTCTCTGACCTAGGGTTCCTCATTTTTTTTTTTTTACCAGTTTATCTGAACTTCATTGATCTTGTTCCTTTGCCAATCACTCTGAGCCACTGTCATCATGACTCAGGATTCTAGAATTTGAACAAATTATAAATTTGCCCTTTGTATCTTCTGTATCCCAAAGAAGAACCAGTAGACGGTACCACAAGAGAAAAATGAGTGCAGTACATGAACAAAACACCTGAATGAATCACAAACAAAAAGAGATGGTTGATTAGATTTATAATTAAGCATTTGCCAATCAAATCAGTGATTCATTTTTATATTATTTGGATTGGTAAAATTTAACATCCACCATAGATGAAGCACGAAATAACTGTCCACTCCAGTGCTGCATAGGTGGGTGTACATAGAGGGAGGTAGTGTTTGAAGGATACCCCTGGGCTCAACTGACTCAAGCTAGCTCAGTCTTGGTAAGAGGGAGACTGGACACTTCTGGTACAGTTGGGCTGCAGACACACTGTACCAACTGTAAGTTCACTTTGGTGAGAATCTTCATATGCCCTCACTTGAAAGAATTTTCTTTTCCAGATAAGTTTATGCCTTTTATTCATCCGAATTTTACCATGATGCTGTGCTCAAAGATACAACAACATTTGAGGCACTAAAAAATGAAAAATTTTAAATATTGTTGTCTGCTCTAACAGTTTTCAATTTACTGAAGGTGGAAATTTTACAGTTATTAAGAAATAAAGTAAACTGAAAAAACATAGGTGGAGTGAGACTGAGAGAAAAAGAAATGGAGAGAGTCATGGAACTCTTCCCAGCAGGGTGAAAATTATTGGATATTTATTAAGAAAAGGGATGAATGAAATGAAAATTAACATGGCTAAAAAAAGGTCTCAACACAACATTATGAGAGGTAAGGTGGTCAAATGAGACTTTTTGAAATTAATCCAACCTAAAAGGGCCCCAAACTAATCAGTTTCATTTATCGCAGTGTGGAGTAGTTTAAAAAGCAGGAATGCAGAGATCACAGTTAGAAAGCTGCTTAATAATTTCTTCAGATAATGCTGAGGCAGATTAATCAAGATAAAAATTAACACACAAAAAAAGGGTTTATTGGTTTAAGGCCCTGCTGTTGACCCAAAGCCTTGTGTAAGACTGTCAGGGGATAGGGAACAGAAATTCCAGAGACTCCTTAATACAAGACCCCATGTGATATGCTACCAAGATGCATTGGGGAAGCCTTGACCGAGGTTATAGTTAGGTTGAGAAACCATAAAAATATAAAGATTAATAGAATTATGAAATTTGTGATATTTAAACAGGCTTAATTTAAAGAAAGTGTGTCTTTTTAACTTAAATGTCTTATGAAATGGACTTTATGTCTGGCTGGAAACACTTGTTCTGCCTATTGATAATATTGTAACACAAAACCTGCTGATAAAGTCCTAAAGGAGCTTAAGTAAAGGTTAATGAAATGAAAAGGAAAATGTATAGGAAAGTTGGTATTTTTGAACATACTTTATGTGAAGTAGTATCTATTTTATCTGAATGTGTCAAGGTTGAAGGACACTGTATCTAACTAGGAAATGTTTCTTGAATCTAATATTGTATAACAGAAGGTATGCAAATTTGCCCTTCAGCCAACATTAATTGGACATGCTAAATGAAAACCACTATGGTAGGGTGGAGTCAAGATGGCCGAATAGGAATAGCTCCAGTCTACAGCTCCCAGCATGAGCGACACAGAAGACGAATGATTTCTGCATTTCCAACTGAGGTACCAGGTGTATCTCGCTGAGGATTGTTGGACAGTGGGTGCAGGACAGTGGGTGCAGTGCACTGAGCATGAGCCAAAGCAGGGCGAGGCATCTCCTCATCTGGGAAGTGCAAGGGGTCAGGGAATTCCTTTTACTAACCAAGGAAAGGGTGACAGATGGCACCTGGAAAATCTGGTCACTTCCACCCTAATACTGTGCTTTTCCGATGGTCTTAGCAAATGGCACACCAGGAGGTTATATCCCACACCTGGCTCAGAAGGTCCTACACCCACGGAGTCTCGCTCATTGCTAGCAAAGCAGTCTGAGATCAAACTGCAAGGTGGCAGCGAGGCTGGGGGAGGGGCTCCCACAATTGCCTTTTGTTTGGCTATGCCCTGACCCCAGAGGTGGACTCTACAGAGGCAGGCAGGCCTCCTTGAGCTGTGGTGGGCTCCACCCAGTTCGAACTTCCCAGCCACTTTGTTTACTCAAAACCGCTCAACTATATGGAAACTGAACAACCTGCTCCTGAATGACTACTGGGTACATAACAAAGTGAAGGCAGAAATAAAGATGTTCTTTGAAACCAATGAGAACAAAGACACAACATACCAGAATCTCTGGGACACATTCAAAGCAGTGTGTAGAGGGAAATTTGTAGCACTATATACCCTCAAAAGAAAGCAGGAAAGATCTAAAACTGACAACCTAACATCATAATTAAAAGAACTAGAGAAGCAAGAGCAAACACATTCAAAAGCTAGCAGAAGGCAAAAATAACTAAGATCAGAATGGAGCTGAAGGAGATAGAGACACAAAAAACCCTTCAAAAAATCAATGAATCCAGGAACTGGTTTTATGAAAGAATCAACAAAATTAGGAGACTGCTAGCAAGACTAATAAAGAAGAAAAGGGAGAAGAATCAAATAGATACAATAAAAAATGATAAAGGGGATATCACCACCGATCCCACAGAAATACAAACTGCCATCAGAGAATACTATAAACACCTCTATGCAAATAAACTAGAAAATCTGGAAGAAATAGATAAATTCCTCGACACAAACACTCTCCCAAGACTAAACCAGGAAGAAGTTGAATGTCTTAATAGGCCAATAAGAGGCTCTGAAATTGAGGCAATAATTAATAGCTTACCAACCAAAAAAAGTCCAGGATCAGACGGATTCACAGCAAGGACTTCATGTCTAAAACACCAAAAGCAATGGCAACAAAAGCCAAAATTGACAAATGGGATCTTATTAAACTAAAGAGCTTCTGCACAGCAAAAGAAACTACCGTCGGAGTGAACAGGCAACCTACAGAATGGGAGAAAATTTTTGCATTCTACTTATCTGACAAAGGGCTAATATCCAGAATCTACAATGAACTCAAACAAATTTACAAGAAAAAAACAACCCCATCAAAAAGTGGGCGAAGGATATGAACAGACACTTCTCAAAAGAAGACATTTATGCAGCCAACAGACACATGAAAAAATGCTCATCATCACTGGCCATCAGAGAAATGCAAATCAAAACCACAATGAGATACCATCTCACACCAGTTAGAATGGCAATCATTAAAAATTCAGGAAACAACAGGTGCTGAAGAGGGTGTGGAGAAATAGGAACACTTTTACACTGTTGGTGGGACTGTAAACTAGTTCAACCATTGTGGAAGTCAGTGTGGTGATTCCTCAGGGTTCTAGAACTAGGAATACCATTTGACCCAGCCATCCCATTACTGGGTATATACCCAAAGAACTTTGAAACATGCTGCTATAAAGACACATGCACATGTCTGTTTATAGTGGCACTATTCACAATAGCAAAGACTTGGAACCAACCCAAATGTCCAATAATGATAGATTGGATTAAGAAAATGTGTCACATATACACCATGGAATACTATGCAGCCATAAAAAATGATGAGTTCCTGTCCTTTGTAGGGACATGGATGAAGCTGGAAACCATCATTCTCAGCAAGCTATCACAAGGAAAAAAAACCAAACACCGCATGTTCTCACTCATAGGTGGGAATAGAACAATGAGAACACATGGACACAGGAAGGGGAACATCACACACTGGGGCCTGTTGTGGGGTGGGGGCAGTGGGGAGGGATAGCATTAGGAGATATACCTAATGTTAAATGATGAGTTAATGGGTGCAGCACACTAACATGACACATGTATACATATGTAACAAACCTGCACATTGTGTACATGTACCCTAAAACTTCAAGAATAAAAAAAAAAGAGTTTTTCAGGATGATGGTCCATCCTGAAGTACATAGGAAAAAAAAAAAAAAGGAAACCACTATGGTATTCCAAGTTCATACAATGTAGAATAGAAGCTGGAGTGTTAGTACAGAAAGCATTATCTGTTCGATAGCCCGGATAAACAACTTCAGGAAAGTTTCAGGATGCAAAATCAATGTGCAAGAATCACTAGCAGTCCTATATACCAACAAAATCCAAGTCAAGAGCCAAATCAGGAACACAATCCCATTCACAACTGCCACAAAAAATAAAATAAAATGTCTAGAAATACAGTTTACCAGGGATGTAAAATATCTTTACAAGGATCACTACAAACCACTGCTCAAGAAATCAGAGATGATACAAACAAATGGAAAAAAAATCCATGCTCATGGGTAGGAAGAATCAGTATCATTAAAATGGTTATACTGCCCAAAGCAATTTGTAGATTTCATGCTATTCTTATCAAACTGTCAATGACATTTTTCAAAGAATTAGAAAAATGTATTTTAAAATTCATATGGAACCAAAAATAAAAAGCCCAAATAGCCAAGGCAATTGTAAGCAAAAAGAATGAAGCTGGAGGTATCATATTACCTGATTTCAAACTATGCTACAGGGCCACAGTAACCAAAACAGCATGATACTAGTATAAAAACAGATACGTGGATCAATGGGACAGAATAGAGAACTCAGAAATAAGGTCGCATACCTACAACTGTCTGATCTTTAACAAAGCTGACAAAAAAAATGGGGAAAGGACACCCTATTTAATAAATGGTGTTGGGATAACTGGCTAGCCCTACGCAGAAGATTGAAACTGGACCCCTTCCTTACACAATATACAAAAATTAACTCAAGATGGACTAAAGACTTAAATGTAAAACTCAACACTATAAAAACCGTGGAAGACAACCTAGGCAATACCATTTTGTGCATAGGAACTTGTAAAGATTTCATGATAAAAACACCAAAAGCAACTGCAACAAAAGAAAATAAAAATGACAAACAGTATCTAAGTAAACTTAAGAGTTTCTGCATAGCAAAATAAAATATTAACAGAGTAAACAAACATACTAAAGAATGGGAGAAAATTTTTGCAAACTATGCATCTGACAAAGGTCTAATATCTAGCATCTACAAGGAACTAAAACACATTTTCAAGAAAAAAAACATTAAAAAGTGAGCAAAGGTCATGAACAGACACTTTTCAAAGGAAGTCATACATGCAACCAACAATCACATGAAAAAAAGCTCAACATAACTGATCATTAGATGTAGATGATGGGTTGATGGGTGCAGCAAACCATCACAGCACGTATATACCTACGTAACAAACCGGCATGTTCTTCACATGTGTCCCAGAACTTGAAGTATAATAAAAAAGTTAATTAATTAAAAAAAGAAAAATGTAAATCAAAACCACAATGAGATACCATCTCACACCAGAGTGGCTGTTCTTAAAAAGTCAAAAAATTACCGATGTTGATGAAGTCGTGGAGGAAAGGAAACACTTGTACACTCTAAGAGTGTAAATTAGTTCAATCAAGACCAGACTAAATATAGATATGCATCCAGAAATGCTTTTAGAAAATATATCATATGTTTATAATACATAAGCTAATAAAATGGGAGAGTTCTCTGATTCCCCTGGCAGGATGTGTGACAGGGGTGTGGCTCACCTGTTTGGTCACCCGGCAGCTCAAACCCCTAAGGCAGATGGGCAGGTGCAGAGGCCAGGCAGGTGCAGAGGCCAGGGCAGAGCGTTTTGGACTCTCAGCCCCATGGCAGCGTCTAGGGCTGGGTGCCTACAACCACAGTGTTACTAAGCTCTGTCAGCTTTGCCATCTGCAGGCGGCTTGTGTGTTAGTTAGCCCAATAAACCCTCTGCCTTATCTCAAGGGCAGAAGGCCAGTGTGACAGTCTTATGTATCCTGAGTTCTTGCCCAGTGTCCCAAAAGAATCGGATCACACGTGAGCGTGAAGGATTGAATGCAAGGTTTTGTTGTTGTTGTTGTTGTTGTTGTTTTCTTTCGTTTTGTTTTTGTTTTTTAGAGACGGAGCCTCACTCTGTAGCCCAAGCTGGAGTGCAGTGGCGCCGTCTTGGCTCACTGCAACCTTCACCTCTGGGGCTCAAGAGTGAATGCAAGGTTTTATTGAGTGGTGCAGGTGGCTCTCAGCGAGATGGATAGGTAGCAGAAGGAGGGATAGACTGGGAAGGTGGTCTTCCCCTGCAGTCGGGCTGCCCAGAGGCAGGACTCTGCTCTGACCGCCGCCAGCTCCCCACCACCCCACCTCTCCGCTGAACTATCCTAAGCATCTAGAGAGGTCCCTCCTCTTCTCTATTTCTCTGCCACATCGTTCTGCCGTTGCTAGTCTGCTTGTCGGCTGGTCGTCTGGCCTTGATGTTCAGCTGCTTGTGTGTGTGCCTGCTAAGGTCTCAGGTTTATGTGGGCACAGAATGGGGGGCGTGGTAAGCCAGAGAGGTCTTGGAAAATGCAACATTCAGGCTCAAAAACAGGAGTGCCTGTTCTCAATTAGGTCTGTGGGCACATGCCCGAGGGTGAATCCCTCACCAGTGACCTTGCTCTTCTCTACCCCACACTTCGCTGCCCAATCTCCAGTTCCACTAATATATCTAAAAGTCACATGGGATCCCTCCAGTCTAGATTATTGGTGAGACTACTGAAAGCTTCAGGTACAACTTTAACATCTGCTTACCTTGTTTTTTTTTCTCTTAAACAGCTTTAGTAATGTATAATTGATGTACTATAAATTCTACCTATTTAAAGTGTACAGTTGATAAGTTTTGACATGTAAACATTCATGAAACCATTACTACAATCAAGATAATAATAGATCAATTGCCGCAACAGTTTTATCATGTTCCTTTGTAATTGTCTTATACTTCTCCCCAGTCTCCTATAGCCAGGTAACCATTCATCTGTTTTCTGTTAATAGAGCTTTGCTTGCATGTTATAGAGTTTCATATAAATGGAACCACAGTCTGTATACTTGTTTCACTAGCATCTTTCACTCAGCATCATTATTTTTATTTTGAGATTTATTTACTCTTCATGTACCAATGGTTCATTCCTTCATAGTGCGGAGAAATACCTCATTGTATAGATATGCTACAATTTTTTTATTCATTCTCTGTTGATGGACATTTAAATTGTTTCCAATTTGAGGTCATTGCAAATAAAATTACGATGAACATTTGTGTAAAATCTTTAAATGGATATGTGTTTTCATTTCTCTTGGCTAAATACCTAGAAGTAAATTGGCTAGATCACAGGGTAAGTGGATGTTTAACTTTTTAGGAAACTATCAAACTGTTTTCCAAACTGATTTTACCATTTTATTTCCACCAGCAGCGATGGAGAGTTCTGGTTGCTTTATATTCTTGCCAACATTTGATATGACCTGTCTCTTTAATTTCAGCCTTTCTAATATGTGCATAGTACTTCATTCTGGTTTTAGATTGCCTTTCCCTAATAACTAATAATAATAAGCATCTTTTCATGTATTTACTGACCATCTGTATCTTCTTTGGTGACATGTCTTATCCAACATTTTAATTACTTTGTTTTATTATTTATCGAGTTTTAAGAGTTATTTATATGTGTTCTATGTATCTTTTAGCAGATATATGTTTTGTAAAATATTTTTTATTTCAATAGCTTTCGGGGTACAAGTGGTTTTTGGTTATATGTATTAATTGTATATTAGTTAATTCTGAGATTTTATTGCAACCATCACCCAAGTAGTGCATGTTGAACCCAATAGGTAGTATTTATCCCACACCCCATTCCTACCCTCTCCTTTCTGAGTCTCTAAAGCCCATTATATTACTTTATATACCTTTCCGTACTCACAGCTTAGCTCTCACTTACAAGCGAGAACATACGTTGTTTGGCTTTCCATTCCTGAGTGATTTCACTTGGAATAATGGCCTCCAGCTCCATTTAAGTTGCCGCAAAAGACATTATTTTGTTCCTTCTCATGGCTGAGTAGTATTTAATGATTTATATATACACCTCATTTTATTTATCTACTCTTTGGTCAGTGTAGACTTAGGTTAGTTCCATATCTTTACAATTGTTAATTGGATTGCAATAAACATATGTGTGCATGTTTTTTTTTTCTTCATATAATGACTCTTTTTTTGGTGGGGGGATAGATACACAGTAATGGCATTGCTGTATTGAATGGTAGATCTACTTTTCATTTCTTTTTTTTTGAGATGGAGTTTTGTTCTTATTGCCCAGGCTGAGGTGCAGTGGCGTGATCTCGGATCACTGCAACCTCCGCCTCCCAGATTCAAAAGATTCTCCTGCCTCAGCCTCCCAAGTAGCTGGGATTGTAGGTGCCCACCTCCATGCTCAGCTAATTTTTTGTACTCTTTTTAGTAGAGATAGAGTTTCACTATGTTAACCAGGCTGGTCTCAAACGCCTGAGCTCGTGATCCACTTGCCTCAGCCTCCCAATGTTCTGGGATTACAGGTGTGAGCCACCGTGCCTGGCCTCAACAGTGTTTTATAGTTCTCCTTGTACGGACATTTTATCTTCCTGGTTAAGTATGTTCTTAGGTATTATATTTTTTTGCAGTTAAAAAAGTGATGGAATTTTTAAATTTGATTCTCAGCTTGGATGTTATTGCTGTATAACTGTGCTACTGATTTGTGTATATTGATTTTGTAACCTGAGATGTAACTAAATTTGTTTATCAAATCTAGGAGTCTTTTGAAGAAATCTTTAGAGTTTTCTAGGTATACAATCATATCATAAGTGAACAGTGATAGTTTGACTTCATCTTTTTCAACTTGGATGTCTTTCATTTCTTTTTTTTCCCCTGATTGCTCTGACTAGGACTTCCAGTTCTATATTGAATAGAAGTGATAAAAGTGGGCATCCTTGTCTTGTTCCAGTTCTCAGAGGGAATTTCAGCATTTCCCCATTGAGTATAATGTTGGCTGTGAGTTTGTCCTATATGGCTTTTATTACTTTGAGGTAAGTCCCTTCTATGCCTAATTTGTTGAAGGTATTTATTATAAAGCATTGCTGCATATTATCAAATACTTTTTCTGCATCCATTGAGATGATTATGTGGCTTTTGTTTTTAAATCTGTTTATGTGATGTATTCCATTTATTGACTTGCATATGTTAAAACATCCCTGTATCCCTGGGATGAAACTCACTTGACCAGGATGTATTATCTTTTTGAGGTGCTATTGGAGTCAGTTAGCTAGTATTTTGTTGAGAATTTTTGCATCTCTGTTCATCAGGGATATTAGTCTGTAGATTTTTTTGTTTTTTGTTATGTCATTTATTAGTCTGTAGTTTTGTTGTTGTTGTTATATCATTTTCTAGATACTGGCTTCACAGAATGATTTAGGAAGAATTCCCTCTTTCTTTATTTTTGGGAATCATTTCAGTGGGAATAATTGATACTAATTATTCTCTGAGTGTGTGGTATAATTCAGCTCTGAATTCTTCTGGACCTGTATATTTTGTTGTTGGTGGTAATTTCTTTAATTTCTAATTCAATCCCACTGTTACTGGTCTGTTCAGGGTTTCTACTTCTTCCTGATTTAATCTAGAAGGGTTTTATGCTTCCAGGAATTTATCTATTTCCTCTAAATTTTTTAGTTGTGTGTGTAACAGTGATCATAGTAGCCTTGAATAATTTTTTGGATTTCTCTGGTATTGGTTGTAATACCTCCTGCTTCATTCCTAATTAAGCTTGTTTGGATATTCTCTCTTATTTTCTTGGTTAATCTCACTAATGGTCTATTAATTTTGTTTATCTTTTCAAAAAACCAGCTTTTTATTTCATTTCACTTACCTTTTGTATTTTTTGTTGTAATTTCATTTAGTTCTGCTCTGATCCTTCCTATTTCTTTCTTTCTGATGGCTTTGGGTTTAGTTTGTTCTTGTTTCTAGTGTTTCTTGAGTTGTGACAATATAGATTGTCAATTTGTGCTCTTTCAGCCTTTTTGATGTAGGCATTTAATGCTATGAACCTTAGTCTTAGCACTACTTTTGCTGTTTCCCAGAAATTTTGATCACTCTGTCACTATTATCATTCATTTTAAATAATTTATTAATTTCCATCTTGATTTTTACCCAAAAATCATTGAAGAGCAAATTACTTAGTTTTCATGTATTTATATAGCTTTGAGGGTTCTTTTTGGAGTTGATTTCCAGTTTTACTTCACTATGGTCTAAGAAGATACTTGATATGATTTTGATTTTCCTGATTTTACAGAGAACAATTTTACTGATTTATTTATCAGATCTAACAATTTTTAAATGAAATCCTTGGGTTTTTCTAGATATTATACTATGTCAAATGCAATGAAGAATAACTTGACTTATTTATTTCCAATTTGAATGCACTTTATTTTATTATTATTATTTTTTGCTCCTAATTGCACTAACAACATCTTCTGGTATTATGTTATATAAGAGGACTGACAGTGGGCATCTTTCTCTTGTTCCAGTCCCTAGGAAACATTCTTTAATTTTTTTCTTGTTCAGTATGATTTTAGTCATGGATCATATATGGCCTTTATCATTTTGGAGAATGTTTCCTCTAAAGTCATTTTGATGGTTTGGTGATCTAAAACCATTATAATTTATTATATAGGGATTTGGATTTTTATGGGCTTTTTTTAGCATGTACTGAAATAATCCTATAATTCTTGGATCTGTTAATACGGTGGGTCATGTTTACTGATTTGCATGTATTGAAACATCCTTCCCTCCTCCCTTGCACGAATTCTGTGTTACCCTAGAAAATTATCTTCTTAATGTATTATTAGTTTGGTTTGCTTGTATTTTTTGAGGACTTTTGCATCTACACTTGTATTAGTCCATTTTGACACTGCTAATAAAGACATACCTGAGACTGGGAAGAAAAAGCGGTTTAATTGGACTTAGAGTTCCACATGGCTGGGGAGGCCTCAGAATCATAACGGAAGGTGAAAGGCATTTCTTACATAGTGGCGGCAAGAGAAAATGATGAAGACGTACGAGCGGAAATCTCTGATAAAATCATCAGAGCTCATGAGACTTATTCAATACCACAGGAATGGTATGGGTGAAACTGCCCCGTGATTCAAATTAACTCTCACCACGTCCCTCCCACAAAAATGTGGAACTTTTGGGAGTACAATTCAAGACGAGATTTGGGTGGGGACACAGAGCCAAACCGTATAATTCTACCCCTGGCCCCTCCAAATCTCATGTCCTCACATTTCAAAACCTATCATGCCTTCCCCAATATTCCTCAAAGTCTTAAATCATTTCAGCATTAACCCAAAAGTCCACAGTTCAAAGTCTTATCTGAGGCAAGACAAGTCCCTTCCACATATGAGCCTGTAAAATCAAAAGCAAGCTAGTTACTTCCTAGATACAATGGGGTTACTGATATTGGGTAAATATAGCCATTCCAAATGGGAGAAATTGGCCAAAATAAAGGGGTTACAGGACCCATTCAAGTCCAAAATCCACCAGGGCAGTAAAAATTTAAAGTTCCAAAATGATATCCTTTGACTCCAGGTCTCATATCCAGGTCATGCTGATGCAAGAGGAGGATTCCAATGGTCTTGGGCAGTTCAGTCCCTGTGGCCTTGCAGGGTACAGCCTCCACCCTGGCTGCTTTCATGGGCTGGCAATGAGTGTCTATGGCTTTTCCAGTTGCATGGTCCAAGATGTTTGTGCATGTATCATTCTGGGGTCTGGAGGATGGTGGCCTTCTTCTTGCTGCTCCAATAAGCAGTGCCCTGGTGGGGACTCTCTGTGGGGGCTCACAGCACACATTTTCCTTTCACACTGCCTTAGCAGAGTTTTTCCATGATGGTCTCACCCCTGTAGCAAACTTCTGCCTGGACATTCAGGAGTTTCCGTACATCTTCTAAAATCAAGGTGGAGGTTCCCAAACCCCAATTTTTGACATCCATGTACTGCAGGCTCCATACCATGTGGAAGCTGCCAAGGTTTGAGGCTTCCACCCTCTGAAGCCATGGTCTGAGTTCTACATTGGCCCATTTCAGCCACGGCTGGAGTGGCTGAGATGAAAGGCACCAAGTCTCTAGACTGCACACAGCATGTGGACCCTGAGCCCTGCCTAGGAAACCATTTTTTTCTCCTAGACCTCTGGGTCTGTGATGGGAGAGGCTGCTGCAAAGGTCTCTGACATTCCTGGAAGACATTTTCCCCATTGTCTTGAGGATTAACATTCAGCTTTTCATTACTAATGCAAATACATGCAGCCAGTTTGAATTTCTCCTCAGAAAATAAGATTTTCTTTTCTATTGCATTATTAGGCTGCAAATTTTCCAAACTTTTATGCTCTGCTTTCCTTTCAAAAAGGAATGCATTTAACAGCACCCAAGTCACCTCTTGAATGCTTTGCTGCTTAGAAATTTCTTCTGTCAGATACCCTAAATCATCTCTCTCAAGTTCAAAGTTTCACAAATCTCTAGCCCGGGGCAAAATGCCACCCGTCTCTTTACTAAAACATAACAAGAATCACCTCTGCTCTAGTTCCTAACAAGTTCCTCATCTCTATCTAAGACAACCTGAGCCTGGATTTCATTGTCCATACCATTTCCAATACTTTTGTCAAAGTCATTCAACAAGTCTCTATGAAATTCCAAACTTTCTCTCATTTTTCTGTCTTCTTCTGAGCCCTCCAAACTGTTCCAATCTTTGCCTATTACCCAGTTCCAAAGTCGCTTCTACATTTTTGGGTATCTTTTCAGCAATGCCCCACCCTACTAGTACCAATTTACTCTATTTTTCTGTTTTCACACTGTTGATAAAGACAAACCAGATACTGTGAAGAAAAAGAGGCTTGGCCAGGCGTGGTGACTCACACCTGTAATCCCAGCACTTTGGGAGGCCAAGACGTGCAGATCATGAGGTCAGGAGATTGAAACCATCCTGGCTAACACGGTGAAACCCCATCTCTACTCAAAATACAAAAAATTAGCCAGACGCCTTGGTGGGCACCTGTAGTCCCAGCTACTCGGGAGGCTGAGGCAGGAGAATGCCATGAACCCGGGGGGCAGAGTTTGCAGTGAGCCGTGATCGCGCCACTGCACTCCAACCTGGGGGACAGAGCGAGACTCTGTCTCAAAAAAAAAAAAAAAAGAAAAGAAAGAAAAGGAGGCTTAATTAGACTTAAAGTTCCTCATGGCTGGGGAGGCCTCAGAATCAGAGCAGGAGGTGAATGGCACTTCTTACATGGTAGCAGCAACAGAAAATGTGGAAGATGCAAAAGTGGAAACCCCAGATAAAACCATCAGATCTCATGAGACTCATTCACTATAATGAGAACAGTATGGAAGAAACAGTCCCCGTGATTCAAATTAACTCCCATAGGGTCCCTCACACAACACATGGAAATTATGGGAGTACAATTCAAGATGATATTTGGGTGGGGACACAGAGCCAAACCATATCAATACTCATCAGTGATACTGGCTTGTAGTTTTATTGTTTTGTTATGCCCATGCTTTGTTTTTGTGTAAGAGTAACATTATCCTCATAGAATGAGTTTGAATTATTCCCTTTTTTTTTTATTTCTCTTTTTCTTTTCTTTTTTTTTTTTGAAAAGGTTGAGTCAGATTGGTATCAAGCTGTTACATGTTGGGTATAATTCAAAAGTGGGATCATAAGTTTCTGAACCTTTTTATTTTGATGAAAGACATTTTATTACTTCAATAACAGCTTCAATCCCTTGCCCATTATTATTTGTTTGATGTTTTCAACCGCTTTATAGTTCAATCTTAGTAAGTTTTGAGTCCAGAAATTCATATATTTCTTCTAGGTTTACTATTAATTTATCATAACAATTCTAATAGTTTTGTATTATTTTGGTCTCAGTTTTTATGTCTCTTCTTTTTCCATTTCTGATGGTTTTTATTTGCATCTTGTCTATGTTTTTCTTGCTTAACTTAGCTAAAGGTTTGTTAACATCATTGATCTTTGAAACAAGTCAGGGTCACTGGTCTGGTTGTCTAAGGTGTTATCAGAGCTTGTGATCTCAGGACCAAAAAAATTAAGAAGCGTGGTTACAAAGGGTGAGGTTGGAGCAAAAATTTAATAACAAAAAAACAAAGCTCTCGGCAGTGGAGAGGGTTCCCTGATGGTTGCTGTGTTACGGTTGTATTCAAAAGCTCTTATGAGGAACTGCTTTCATCTCTGTAACTGAGTAACTTTTCTTATCTATAAAACTGCCTGCATAGTTTCATCTCTGTAACTGAGTAACTTTTCTTATCTATAAAACCGCCTGCATATCTCCCAGTTATTCTCTGTCATTGTGGATATGTCTCCAGGAAAGCACAAAGTGCTGTTTCTTGCGTTTGTATAATGATGGGTTTGTTTTAGGTACACCCCCCTCCTCTCTTTGCAAATTCCCATGGAGCCCACTGTGTACATGTCTGAAAAGGGGAGGACACTTTTTCCTGGGAGCTTACTAATCATACAAAGAGCAAAGGGTTTCTATGCTGGACATTGCATGCCTTGCCTGCTTATCTGTGGCTTATCTGTGCAGGTGCACTGTAGCTGTGATTTTTTTTTTAGGCAGGCAGCTTCTGCAGTCTGAGTTTTTCCCCAAGCTGCTCTATTTTTCCTGTAGTTGTGAGTTTTCAGGAAGGCAGCATTTTTGAGGACCAGCCTTAATTGTTTACTTAACTGATTTTCTCTTTTCTTCTCCATCATCTTCACAAAAAAACAACTTTTTGTTTCATAGATCTTTTGTATTGTGTTTATTTTAGCCTCAAATTTATTTAACTGTGTTCTGGTCTTTATAATTTCTTTCTTTCTATTAGCTTTGGGTTTGGTTTGTTCCTGCTTTTTTAGTTCTTTGATGTATAGGATTAGGTTATTTGAAGTCTTTCAACTTTTTTGATACAGATGTTTGTTACAAGAAACTTTCTTCTTACAGTTTTTTTGGCCATCTTCCATAGATGTTGGTATGCTGTACTTCCATTTTCATTTGTCTCACAAAATTTTTAAATTTTCTTCTTAATAACTTCATTGACATGTTTGTCATTTAGCAGTATGTTTAATTTCCATGTGTTCATGTCTGTTTTCCAGATTCTTCTTTTAATTTATTTTTTGTTTTATTTCATTGTGGTCAGAAAATATACTTCATATGATACTTGTGTTTTTGAATTTGTACAGGCTTGTTTGGTAGCCTATCATAGAATTAAGGGAGACATTTTTTGTGCTAATAAAAAGAATGTCTATTCTACAGCAATTATGTGAAACTTTCTGTATATGTCAGTTAGGCCCTTCATATCTAGTGTGTACTTTAACTCTGATGTTTCTGTGTTGATTTTCTTCCTGGATAATCTTTCCATTACAGAGAATGGGGTGTTAAAGTCTCCTACTATTGCTGTGTTGCATGCTAGTTTTGCCTTTAGGTCTGTTAATGTTTGCTTTACATGCTTGAGAGCTCAGGTTTTGGTAAGTATAATGACTAAATCTTGCTAAACTGACCCCTTCATTATCATGTAGTTACTGTCTTTGTTTTTTGTTTTTTTTTTCCCGTCTGATTTGTAATCTGTTTATAACTACACCTGTACTTTTCTGGTTTCTAGTTGCATGGAATATATTTTGCCATCCCTTCACTTTCAGTCTATGTATGGCTTTATAAGTGAAGTGGGTTTCTTTAAGGCAGCATGATTCTTTATTCAGCCATTCTATGTCTTTTAACTGAGAACTGAGACAATTTACATCCATTTTTATTATTGACAAGTAAGGCTTACTAGAGCCATTTTGTTGATTGTTTACTGTTTGTTTTTAGACTCCTCTCTTCCTTCCTTCCTGTCTTTCTTCATAATTAGGTGATTGTCTCTGGTAGTATATTTCAAGTTGCTGCTTTTTAAGTACATCAATGATAGATTTCTTAACTGTGGTTACCAGTAGACTTACAGAAAACCATTTTAGAGATATGGCATGTTATTTTAAAGAGATCACAACTTAGATTGCAAATAAAATTATAAAATAAATAAGGGCAAAAGTCACAGAAAATGTATATACTTTAACTCAATCACCTACCCATTTTGACTCATAGTTATCTTGATTTACATATTTGTATATCATCTGTTTCTTAACCGGTTGCTATAGTTGTTATGTTTTCTGGGATAGGTGAAATGCAGAACACAAATTCAGTACTAGCTTATTCTGGGTTTTTGCATGTACTCAATTTTACCACTTGTTTTTATACCTTGAAAAGTTACTTTTTGCATGATAGTGTTTTACTCTTTCTGACTGAAGAGCTCCCATTAGCATTTTTTGCAAGATGGGTCTGGTGGTGGAGTCTCAGGACTTTTCCTTAGTTCAGCTAAAGATGGGATCCTTGTCTGTCCCATGGCCACAAAAATTTAGGCTCACAGATGGTTTGAATGTCGAGGACTCTGAAAGGCCAGAGTCCCCCTGCTAGAGTGCTTCCTGCTCAAAGCTTGAATCCCAGCTTCCACACAGAAAGAGGAGGGGCCTGGCTCTTCCCCACTGCAAATGGCACAAACTTGCTGAGGTTCCACCCCAGTGAACATTTTTCTCAGTGTTCAAGCTCTTTGGAGATTCTCTGGGGACCACCTCCTACCTGGCTGTCTCTTTCCCCCTTGTAAAGAAGTACATCTGAATGCTATTTGAAAGAGCATAAGGAAGATCAATCTTTACTGCTTCCTGCTGACAAGGGGTGCTGTTTTTGGGAAATGGTGGTCAGAGCTCACTCACAGGCCTATCTAAGAGTTCCCCCAGCAGAAAGGGCCATTGTCAGAGACTCTGCTTGCATTATTGTTTGGAGTTTGATGCCCTGAAGGCAAGAACAGACAAACTAGGTTATTAGAAAACATGTATCAAAATGAAACAAGGGGAGGAGTAAGGATAGCTCAAAAATTCTGAGGCCTTTTATCACTTTGCACAGGGAGAGAAAGGCCAAAAGCCAGACTGGTAAAATACCCTTTTGCTGGCATGTTGGTCTTCTGGGTTCCCTTCTTCTGGGCCCAATCTTTAGCCAACCAGCTTAAGGTTTGGAAAGTTAACTCTTTCCAGTTTGGAAGATGCATCTGAGGGGAATGTCCCAGAATACGGAGACATAATTACCTATCCGTGAAGAGAGAACAGAGGAGAAGAAAGGAAAAAGAAGGCACCTTTTAAAGAAGTCCCAGGGGGTCATGATGCATTCAAAATGGGTACAGACTGAAGGTGAATGGCTACTCACCTAGGAAGAGGGTGGCAGGTGTCCCTAGTTCTCTTCTCTTTCTAGCAGATACCTGGGGTACATGAGGGAGAAAGAGCATCCTCTTTTCTTCTTCCGTCCTTGCTTCCCCGAGTGCTGGTAACCTTGGTATGTGCTGAAACAGGTGTCAAAGCAACATGCACCCATGAACCAGTGGGGCCTAGGGGGTGAGAACATTCACTCTTACCCACTTACCCACATACACCCTATCTCCCCTGCTTTCAGTAGTCTGGGAGTCCCTAGACCTCATCTATGCCATGGATACTAACAAGGCTTTTATCCATGAACCAGGGAGCTTGGGCTTCACTTAATTGGCAGGAAACAGCCACACTCACCTGCACTGTGCATTTTGTTGCACAAAGTAGGGGCTTATCCTGCCTTAGGGACTGACTCTTTTTCAGGTTTGATATCTGCATGTTTTCCTTGGCCTGGCTCTTATAAAACCCCACCCAGGAACTGGGTTTTCTCCTGCCTGTCTGCGTGTGTGTTATGTGTAATGTCTGCAGAAAGAGCTCTAAATGATTTTGGCCTGAAAAAGACAAACACTTGCATCTAATATTTTTTAAAGAGAAGTTAAAAACTGTGGTACCGTTCAGTTCACGTGACTTTAATCTTTGAGAAATAGGAAGAGGCTTAAAGATTAATGGTAAAAAGCAGATGTCATTACAGTGTAAATAGGTGGACTAAATAACGCAATGGTGTCTTTGTCCATCTCAGGGCCATGAAAATTTAGGCTGGCAGATGGTTCAACAGGTGAGTAAAGCAGGGTTTTATTGGGTGAAAAGGAAAAAAAAAGGGGAAACAGGGATCTTCCACAAGGCTGGAGACCCCTGCCAGAGTGCTTCCCACTAGCAGCTTGAATCCCAGGTTCCACATGGGATATTTGCCGGGCTCCTCCCTGTTGCAAACAGTGCAAAATTCCTGAGGTTCCACCCCAGTGCACATTCCTCCCAGTGCACAGGCTTGTTGGAGATTCTCTGGGGACCTCCTTCTCCTCTGACTAGCTCAGTGGTCAATTCTATGTTTTGTTTGCCTGGTAAATACTTCATCTCTCATTTATATTTGATTGATAATTATTTTTGTTTCAATATTTTTTGGTGGCATCCTTTTGTGTTGAGCACTTTGAAAACATCATTCCAGTCCTTCCTGGTCTGTATAGTTTCTTTTGGGAAGTCTATCTCCATAAATATTGGCGCTGTTTTATATGTTATTTGCTTTCACTTGCTGATTTCAATCTTTTTTCTTTAATGTATTTTTTTTTGTCCTTTGTGACTTTGATTATTTTGTTAATTGGGGTAGTCTTATTTGGGTTTGCATTGTGTTCTAAGACCTTTCTGTACCTGGACATTTTATGTTTCTCAAGTTTTGAAAAGTTTTTTGTTACTATTTTTTTGAATGAGCGTTCTACCCTTGCTCTTACTCACATCTCTCTTGAACACCAATAATTCTTAGACTGGGTCTTTTGAAGTAATTTTCTATATTTTGTAGGTGGCACTTGCTTTTTTATTCTCTCTTGACTTTTTAAAAATAAAATAACGAGTCTTAGAGCTCACAGATTCTTTTCTGGGCTTGGATCATTCTGTGGTTTAAGACCTCTAATGGATTTTGAATTCAGCAAATGCATTTCTTAGTTCCAAGATTTCTGATTGATTTCTTTGTATTATTTTAACCTTTTTGTTAAATTTCTCGGATAAATTTCTGAAATAACTTCCTGTGTTAACTTAGACATTACTAAGTTTTCTTAAAACTGCTATTTTGTATTCTGGGTCAGAGAGCTCAGAAATTGGGTTATCTTATTAGTGTCAATCACTAGATTTTTGCATTGTCCTTTTGGAGAGGTCCTGGTTCCCTGTTCTCTGTTGTTTCTTGTGAATATATGCATGCCTTTGCATTGAAGGATTATTTGTTCCATTTTTTTTCTGTCTTTTTTTAATGGAATATATTTGCTTAGAAAATCTTTACCGAAAAGTCACTGCATTCACTTTAGTTCTAGGTGACATGTTAAGCCCAGGTTTACCTCAGCTCATGTGAATGATTAGAGCTCTGCCTGTCCCAAGTGATGGGGGTTCCAAATGGATTATCCTGGAAGTGTGAGAACACTGCCTAAGGGCTTGTTCCCAGTATACCTAAAGAACTTACATCCTACAGCATGCTGTTGCTAAGCAACTACTCTGATTTGAGGTCAATTTTTGGCTGAGTTACGGAGAAGAGTTTCCATGTCTAAGAGGTTGGTAGTCCTGCCTCTCTTTTTTGTCTCTGCCTGTCCTCAGGAATGTTTCTCCCTTCATGCACTCATAACATTTCCACTGGGTTAAGGAAAGACAGGTCTACCAGGGAACTTGATAAGATGGGGAAGCTTAGTGACCATATCAGTTTGTCTTTCTCTCATTTATATAAAAATTACTTGACATTGAGTAATTTATAAAGTAAAGAGGCTTAATTGCCTCACATTCTGTATGCTATACAGGAAGCATAGTGGCTTCTACCTCTCAGGAGGCCTCAGGAAGCTTGCAATCATAGTGGAAGGCAAAAGGGCAGTCAACACCTCATATGGCCAGAGCAAGAGGAAGGGAGTTGTAGGAGGTGCTACACACTTTTAAACAAACAGATCTCTTGAGAATGCTGTTACAAGAACAGCACCAAAGGGATAGTGCTGAATCATTCATGAAAGATCCACCTGATGATCCAATCACCTCCCAGAAAACCCATCTCCAACACTGGTGATTACAACTGAAAATGAGATTTGGGTGGGGACACAGATCCAAATCATATTGTAAATCATGAATTGGAGATAGATATTCTGCGTTTTTGGTGCAGAGCAGAGTTGCAAGTTAGGGGCATTATTAATGTAGACATAGACATATAATTCCCCTACGTAGTGTCTACTCAGACTTTTTCTACTTTTATGACACTGGGAAATGTGTTATCCTCTTAATTAAGCTTTTGGTTGTTGTGGTGTAGATCTCAGTGCCATATGTTTGTTTTGTTTTGTTTTGCATGAAGAAAAAAAGGCTGCTTGTCTCTACTCTGCCATTTTGGAACCAGAAGTCTCTTGCTCCGTATATTCTTAATAAACGTTTCTTATCAGATATATGAATTAGAACTTTTTAAATTCTACTTATCATCAGTACACTTTTTTGATGGTGTCCTTTCAAGAACAAACATATTCATTTATAAGAATATCAGTTTATCCATTTTAACTTAGTTTTTTGTGACTTTGTTGCCTTGTCCTAGAAACCATTGCCAAATTGAAGATAGAAAAGATTTACTTTTTCTATTCTGGGTTTTGTACTTCTGTTTGTTAACTTTGGGTTGTTGATGTATTTTAAATTAGTTCTTTATGTGTTGTCAGAGAAAGTGTATCTTGTTTTTTTGGCCTTTGGATAATCAGTCTCCCAGAAGTATTTGTGGAAAATATTGTTGTTTTCCTATTCAATAGTTTGACGTCTTTCTCAAAAATTAAGTCACCACTGTGTAAAAGGATTTCTGGATTCTAAAATCTGTTCCATTTATTTATATGGTGATCTGTGTTCCTGTGTCACACTCTTATAACTATTGATGATATGTTGTTGGTTGAAAATCGGAAATGCAAGGACTAAATTATTTTTCAAAATATTACTGGTTATTGAGATTGTGCCACTGCACTCCAGCCTGGCCACAGAGCAAGACTCTGTCTCAAAAAAATTATACATATATATATATATATATATATATATATATATATATTGTGTGTGTGTATATATATATAGTGTGTATATATATAGTGTGTATATATATAGTATATATACACACACACACGTATGTGTATGTGTGTATATATATATATATATCTCGCTATTTTTTGGTCTCCTGTATATCTATATTAATTTAGAATGAGCATGTTTATTTCTGTAAAGAACCCAGCTGGGAATTTAATATGGATTTTGGTTAATTTGTTTATTAATTAAGATTTTCAATTGAGGAATATGAGATTTTATTTATTCATTAAGAATTTTATTCCTCAATATTTAGTAACTTTTACAATTTAAGTTTTAAGTTTCGCAATTTATTTTATTTTTTTGAGATGGAGTCTCATTCTGTCACCCAGGTTGGAGTATAATGGTGCCATCTCAGCTCACTACAACCTCCACCTCCCAGGTTCAAGTGATTCTCCTGCTTCAGCCTCCCAAGTAGCTGGGATTACAGGCTCACGCCACCACGCCTGGCTAATTTTTTATATCTTTAGTAGAGCTGGGGCTTCACCATGTTGGCCAGGCTGGTCTCGAACTTCTGACCTCATGGTCTGCCCGCCTCGGCCTCCCAAAGTGCTGGGACTACAGGCATGAGCCACTGCACCTGGCCTAAGTTTTGCAATTCTTTTAATGTTTTTCCTGTTTTTTTAAAATAATTTTTGATTATATTTTATGTAGGATTTTTGAACATGTTATTTTCTTCTGTATTGTTCAATTATGTAACAATACAATTAATATTTGAAGGTTGACCGTTAGTCCTAAAAATGTGCTTATTTTGTTGTTGATCTAATATTTTCTAGGAAAGTCTAAGATATTCTTTACATAAGGTCATGCCTTTTGTCAACAAAGAGAGTGTACTTATTTCTTACCTTCTAATAAGGATTATTTTTGTTTTGTGTTACTTCCTATTTGCTTTGGCTGGAATCTCCAATATAATGTTGAATAGAAGTAATAAGAATGAATGTCTAGTCTTTTCCTTATTTTAGAAAAAAATGAGTTAATCTTCATAATAGGTGTCTCCAGACAAAAAGAGCCATGTATGAATACACACACATTAGTACACACCTATGAGGGAGGATTTTATTGTAGGAATTTGCTTAGGCTGAGAAATATTATGATATACACTTACACACTTTATATTTAGGAAAGCTGATGCTGTAATTCAATCTGAGACTGAAGGCCTTAGAACTAGGAGAAATAGTTGTGTAATTATTTGTCTGAGGATGATGGCCTTAGAACTTAAGGAGCTACAAGTGGGGTTTACTAGTGCAAACCCTAGTGTCCAATGGCCCAATATCCAGAAGCCTCAAATAAAGAAGGCAGAATAATATTAATGTCCCAGCCAAAGAAAAGAGAAATATTTGTCTTCTTCTGCCTTTTGCTCTATTTGGGTTCTTAACGGATTGGATGATACCTGCCCACAATCATGAGAGATATCTTTAGTCAGTCTACTGATTTAAATACTAATCTCTTTTTAAAGTATTGTAACGTTTGTCACAGAATCATAAAAATATCTATCCTAAAATTCATACAAACCCCAAAATAGCCAAATAAATCATAAACTAAAAGAAGAAAGCCAGAGGCATCAAATTACCTAATTTCAAAGGATATTAAAAGCCTGTAGTAACTAAAACAGCATGGTAGTAGTACAAAAACAGAGACATAGAGCAATGGAACAGAATAGAGAACCAAATAATAAAGCCACACACCTACTGCCACCTGATTTTTAATGAAGTCAGGAATAACAAGCAATGAAGAAAGAACCCTCTATTCAATAAATGATGCTGTGATAATTGTATAGTCATATGCAGAAGACTGAAATTTGACCTCTTCCTTTCACCACATACAGATATCAACTCAAGGTGTATTAAATACTTAAATGTAAAATCTAAGACTATATAAATATGAGAAGAAAACCTCAGAAATACCATCCTGGATACAAGCCCTGGCCAAAGTTTTATGACAATTACCCCAAAAGGAAATTGTAACAAAAAAAAAATTGACAAGTGAGACCTAATTAAACTAAAGAACTTGTGCACAGAAAAACATTCAATAACATAAACAGATAACCTACAGAATAGGAGAAAACATTTCAATACTATGCATCCAACAAAGGACTAATGTTTAGAATCTAGAAGGAACTTAAACAAATTAACAAGCAAAAAAGAAAAATCCCACTAAAGAGTGGCCAAAAGAGAACAGACACTTCTCAAGAATAAGTACACATGGCCAACAAGCATATGAAAAAATACTCAACATTACTAATCATCAGAGAAAAGAAAATCATAAAAACCACTATAAGATACCATCCCCCCTAGTCAGAATGAATATCATTAAAAAGCACAAAATGACAGGTGTTGGCAAGATTAGGGAGAAAAGAGGATGCTCATACACTGTTCGTGGGAATGTAAATTAGTTCAGCCACTGTAGAAAGCAGTTTGAAGATTTTTCAAATAACCTAAAATAGAATTACCATTTTACCCATCAATCGCATTACTGGGTATATACCCAAAGGACTGTAAGTTGTTCTACCAGAAAGACACATGCACACCTACGTTTATCAACAGCATCACAGTACTATTCATAATAGCAAAAACATGGAATCAATCTATATGCCCAACAATGGTGGCCTGGATAAAGAAAATATGGTACACATATAAATGATGGAATACTATGCAGCAATGAAAAAAAAACAAAATCATGTCTCTTGAGCAACACAGATGCAGCTGGAATTCATTACCCTAGGCAAATTACCACCAGAAAGGAAAACCAAATACCACATATTCTCAGTTGTAAGTGGGAACTAAACATTGAGTACCTATGGACAAAGAGAAAGGAATAATAGGCAATGGGAAATATGTGAAAGTGTAGAATGAGAGATCTATGAGAATCAAAAAACTACCTACCAGGTACTGTATTAACTATCTTGGTGATGAAATAATTTTTACACAAAAACCCTGTGACATGAAATTTACTCATGAAGAAGTTGACACTTTAACCTTCTGAACCTAAAGTAAAATTTAGAGGAGGAAAAATGAAATGCTCTCACAGATAAATCCAGAAATAATTTTTTTTTTTTTTAGCTATTTGGTAATCTCTTAAACCAGTCAAGTTGACACATAAAATTAACCATCATAGTTGTGCAATTATTTTTTGTGGCATTTATATTGTGCAATATATTTTATGGCATTTTCAGTGCAATTGTATTATTTTATATTGGATAATTAGAATTATGTAAATATATTGATTTTTATATATCAATCTTTTATCCTGACAAGGTTATTTATTTGTTTTTGATCTAATATTTTATACTAGATTTATTAAGATATTCTCTATGTAAAGTTGTATCATGTACTGACATATGTAATTGTATTAACTTCTTTTTCAATATGCATGTTTCTTATTTTCTGTCATTGTCTAATTGCCTTAGCTTAAATATACAATGGAATATTGTCCTAAAATGATAAATAGATCTCTTCATCTTGTTTTTTATCTTAGGTAGTATTTCACTGATACACATAATAATAGTTTTAGACTTTTCATAGCTGTCTTTTATCAGTTTCATGACATTTAACATCATTCTGGTTTTATTGAATATTTTTATTTTTTATTTTAAGTCTATTTCTATTTTCAGTTTCTGTCAATTGCATATCATAGTTAGTGTCTTTTGAGAGATTTGCTCATTTTATTGAGTTATATGATTTGTTGGTATGCATTTGCTCCTAGCAATGTACTGTAATATTTTGTATTTCTGTATAGTGTGTAGTAATGTGTAGTCTTTCATATCTGATTTTAATAATGGGAGTCTTCTCTTTTATGAGAGGTAAGTCTACATAAATACTCTTTGTTTTATTTAATTTTGTTAATCTTTTGAATGTACCAAATTTTGGTTTTATTTCCTTTGTTGTTTTTATTCTTTCATTTGCTTATTTTAGCAATAATCACTATTTCTTTTCTTCTGCTTTGGGGGGTTTGTTCATTTTTTCTAGTTCCTTAAAGTATAAAATTGCATATTAATTAAAAATTTTTGTCTAATTAATGTAGGCATTTTAAGGTCATAAATTGTCCTCTAAATATTGCTTTTTAATAAATTTTGGTGTATTTGTTTTTAATATTCTTAAACTTTGTTCTGTTTTCTTTTGATTTTATCTTTGTTATTTTGAATTATGTTGTTTAATGTGTAATCATTTGTGAATTTCTCAATTTTTTAAAACTGCTGACATTGAAGGTTATTCCTTTGTATTTTCAGAAAATAACACATACTATTTCAATCCTCTTAAACTTATTGAGGCTTTTCCGGTCAAGTGATGATTTGTTTTGGAAATATTAATATGCACTTGATAATATTAAATATGTAGCTGCTTTTTGGAGTGTGTTATAGTTGTGTGTTAGAGCTAGAAGATTTATAGTGTTCTTCTAGTATTCTATTTCCTTGTTGATCTTTTTTTAAATTTTTGTGTATTTTTAAGAGTGAAATAGAGGGGGTGGGCCAAGATGGCTGATTAGAAGCAGCAGTGGTCCATGGCTCTCATGGAGAAGAATGAAAACAGTGAATAAATTCTGCAACTTCAACTGAGGAATTAAGGTTCTCAAATTGGGACTGACTTAGCAGTTGGCACAACTCAGAGAGTGAGAAAAAGCGGAGTGGGATGACAGCCCACCCCAGAGTGCCACAAGCCAGGGGAGTCCCTACCCCCAGCCAAAGGAGGTATCTCTACTGGTGATACCTCCAGGTGTGTGAGAGACCGAGGCTGTTGCTGTCAGTTGCTATGGGATTGGGTGAAGGGGGATGAATGGAGAAATGAAGACAAAGACAAAAAGATCTGTTTTAAAAGAAGGTGTCAGGGGCTCCTTGCTTCTAGTGAACAAAGGCTTTGAGCTTCTACAGCCCTTCATATTTATTAGGTGAAAAGAGCAGGGAGGAAGAGGTAATGGTTGGTCAGCTGCTTGATTTATCACAGGTACACATAATTTCTTTCTTTGTACAACAGGCTTCAGATATTCCTACAGATAATCACAAGGAACACTGTGCTTGGGGTGTGATTGCCCTCAGCACTCCTTCTGGGGGCAGACATAGTCATCAGTTTTCCAACATCCTGCTTTCATGAGAACAGTTTTCTGTTTGCTCATATAGCCTCCAGTGGTATGCTGAGTTGGTCACGACCCTCATTCTTTTGGCCTGTAACATCTCCCTCTTTTTGTTTTTTCATTAATTGAATAAAGGTAATTGCAGGTTCTGCAGCTCTCAATTGCCATTTGGTGGTCCACCTGATTTTGAAGACTATGAACAAAAAACAGAAACATAATAACATTAATCCAATAGTAACAACAAAGACATTGAGTTGCTGTTTGCGGTAGGTCCAAGGGTTAAGGCTCTCTAAACCTTGTTGGAATTCTGCCCAAGCTTTTAAACAGGGCTGAAACACTTGAGTTTGCTTATCGAAGTTAAGGATTTTACTTTGTAAATCATTAATATCAAAAGTAACATTGGATGTGAAAGCTCCCTGTAAATGGGCCTTTACAAGGCTCCAGGAATATTCACTTTGGTTATATTCCAAATTGGTCACACAAATATGAGTATGATTAAAATGACAATGCAATTGCTGATGCAACTGCAAACTTTGTTATTTGTTCTCCTAGCCAAAGAACAGTAGCCTTTAACATTGCCACCTCTGTTCATATTTCAGCGTTAATTTTATTTTGAAGCATCCATGCCTGGCCAGCTGTGCGTGTCCAATTTTCTACATATTGAGCTGTTTGAATAGAGCGATGCATTGCTACTGAGGACATCACAACAGAGGTTATCAATGTAACTAAGGAGACTATAGCAACAATTATCATGCCTAAGGCTCTACGAGCACGATGAGTAAGCTGAGTAAAAAAGAGTTTTATAAGATGTAAAATGGGGGTGGCCACCCAAGGTTCAGACAGATTTACAGGAATCCATAATCTGGGAATGCAACCTAGAATTATTAGGGTGGATATATCATGTGTCTGTATTGTGCTTTGATTAAGGCAATGATAAAGTTGACAGGAATCACAAGTCGACTGGGCATCATCCACCTGGAGTTGGTCCTTTTTTGCTACTAAGAAAACGTAAGAATTAAAGCACAAATTATAAATTGAGTGGTAATATTTTCTACCATGATCATATTAAAACTGCATTTAGCACTGTTATTATTATTGAATAATGTCCCAACTCAAATGCTGCCATTAATAAATGGGAGTGCTGTTTTGCATATCGAATTCTGGATTGGACCTCTCTTTCCTTGAGAATGCCATTGAGGCAAAGGTGGGCTAAGGCCTGCGCCATGCCAAGTAATTTGCGCAGCAGATTCGGATTGAATCCCAATGTGACGTGGCAAAGAGATGTTAAAGTTTTGCCACCAGTGGCAGTGAAGTTCATGCCATGAGGTCTGATGCTCATCTCTCCCAACCAAGTGACCATGGGGACCCCAGTCAATAATGTCTCCCATCAGCATGGACTGTTGTCTAGCTAGGGAGCCAAGACACTGGGTCCAAGGAGGGGAGTTAGAATTATCAAAGGGAACCCATTCTGTATAATTAATACAATTTGGGCGATGAGACCAGGAGTGATTAGTAACTGCACTAGAAATATTAATAGAGCTGAGGCCCAATAGGCACAAATATTTTCTTTTTTTTACTATTATACTTTACGTTCTAGGGTACATTTGCACAACGTGCAGGTTTGTTACATATGTATACATGTGCCATGTTGGTGAGCTGCACCCATTAACTCATCATTTACATTAGGTATATCTCCTAATGCTTTCCTTCCCCCCTCCCCCCACCCCATGACAGGCCCCAGTGTGTGATGTTCCCCTTCCTGTGTCCAAGTGTTCTCATTGTTCAATTCCCACCTATGAGTGAGAACATGAGGTGTCTGGTTTTTTGTCCTTGCGACAGTTTGCTGAGAATGATGGTTTCCAGCCTCATCCATGTCCTTATAAAAGACATGAACTCATCCCTTTTTATGGCTGCATAGTATTCCATGGTGTATATGTGCCACATTTTCTTAATCCAGTCTATCATTGATGGACATTTGGGGTGGTTCCAAGTCTTTGCTATCGTGAATAGTGTTGCAATAAACATACGTGTGCATGTGAGGAAAGACAATTTTGAAACCAAAGTTTGATTTTGGAAAGCCTTTTTAGTATATTTAAAGCATTTGATATTGTAAAACAGAATTCCAAATTACTATAAGTCATTTATTTTGCCAAAATGATGACTCAGAAACGTTAAAGAAGCAAAAACCTTTTATAACTCTTTTGAATTTAGTTAATATATTCACATAGATAACCTATTCTGCAAGATTAATTTTCAGAATTTTTCTACCACTTGTTTGAAACTTCAGCTTTTTCCTAATTTGAAAAGCCAGGTGTCAGGAAAGACAATTTTTTAAATTATACTTTAAATTCTAGGGTACATGTGCACAATGTGCAGGTTTGTTACATTTGTATACATGGTTGCGTGGCACATATATTTTCTATGGTAACTCAATCATGCCTGGGATTAAATTGCAAGGAAACTGCAGTTGAGTGATGTATCCTGGGTGATGCATAAAGGAAGTCCCTCCAATGGAGCAGTATAATTGATACCATTGTCCTGAGAGTCTAATTGCTCTGTGTCAGGGGGAGTTAAGGGTCCTGGTGCCCATACTCCTTGATCATGATATAACTCAGGAGGATTGCCAGTCCAGAGTACCGGTCATACTACTGGGAGGTTAAGAACATATGCCCAATATGTTTTTGCCTCTGCACAGGGAAAACATACTGCACAGGATATTACAGCTGACATGGCCATAAACTTGGAGTTAGGGGTTTTTGCCTCACCCTGATGCTCTAGCAGTTTCTCAGCTTTTTGTGTGGTTTTCTTGATCTGTCCCCATGTCTTTGCATTCAGATTCAACTGGCTCATGGCTCATATTGGAGGAGCTGGGCCCATGGTTGGGATCCATGGGTCCCTCCAGTCTCCCATTCCATGGTCACATACATGGTGGGGGAACCCACACAGTTTGTCCATGTCCTGTAAAAACATAAGCATACCCTCATCCCCACGTTAGTAAATCTACTGGGCCTTTCCATTGCCCTTCTTCTGGGGACTTCTATAATACCTTTAGGTAAACTTTTTTCCCTTTAACATTTGCCACTGTCATTCTGCCGGAGTCTTATTATCTGTAACAGGAGCTAAAAAATTTAAAGTAAATAAGGCTAAATGTAATTTTATTTGAGGTGGTAGCTGGTCTCCTACTCCCCCTTTTTGTTTTTTTCAACATACACTGTATGTTAGTTACATCAATTACATTAATAAATGTAATGCATGTTTGATGTGCCAGCTCTATAATGCCTTGTCCTCAGGGATTGTAAGGAATTCCTGTCTTATGAGTAATTTCCCATAACTATAAAAAATTTTGAAAAGCATGACTAACATAAGCAGGTCCATTGTCAGATTTTATTGGTTTAGGAACACCCATATGGGCGAATGACAATAAACAATGCCGCTGTACATGGCCAGCTCTTTCTGTTTGACACGTAGCATGTAACATATGAGAGTAAGTGTCTACAGTCACATGAACACAGCTAAGCTTGCCAAAGGCTGCTATATGTGTAATACCCATTTGCCAGATTTCATTTGGAGCTAAGCCTCGTGGGTTACATCCTTTTATGGGTATATCACCAGGGACATACTGGCAAGTGGGACAGGCTTGCACAATAGCTCGAGCCTGGCTACGAGGCAGATGAAACATACAAGTAAGGGTGAGGTGTTTTGATGCAATAATGTATGAAAGGCTTGAGCTTGCTGAAACACAGAGTCAATCAATTTATCTGCTTTGTCATTGCCTACAGATAGTGGTCCAGGAAGTTGTGCGTGAGAGTGAATATGAGAAATATGTAAAGGAGCAGCATAAGAATGAATAACTTGCTGAAGTCTTAGAAACAAGTTAAACAGCTCTGGTTCTAGGGTGCTTTTAATAGTGGCAGTCTCAATGTGACTGGCTACATTTACAACATAGGCTGAATCACAGACAACGTTAATAGGAGTTGAAGCAGTGAGCTGTAAAACCTCAATAACTGCCATTAATTCTGAGTGTTGAGCTGAAACTCCAGAGGTTTTTATTGTTTGAGTATGCTTAGGTCCATAAATAGCTGCTCAGCCTTTGGAAGAGCCATCAGTGAAATAAGTCTGGCCACCTGGAATAGGCTTGTGATAAGTAATCACAGGGAGGATAAAAGGGTGAACTTTACAAAATTGCAAAACTTGCCTGATGGATAGTGGTTGTCTATTATTACTACAAAATCCACAAGAGCAATTTGCCAAGCAGTCAACATTTCCCATGCTGCAGCCTGTTGTTGGAAATCCAAGGGAACAATAATTTTGTCTGGGTCATATCCTGTAAACATTTTTGATCTATGCCTATCCATAGTTATAAGTTGAGTAATTAAAGAAAGATAAACTTGTAAAGATTTTACTGTTTGATTGGATAGAAAAAGCCATTCTATTACCATTACAAACTTGTCTATAAATGGGCCCAAAATTCCTATTGGAGAGTAGGGGGTTGGAAGAATAAACAGAAGCAAAGGCTTTTGTGGCTGTAGCCAGGAGGCATGTCTTCACTGAAGCATTTGTTCTACAAGCTGTAATTCAGCTTCTGCCTCCTTAGTAAGTTGCCAAGGAGAGTCTAATGAAGAATCTCCTTGGAGGGTCTGATAAAGGTGTTTGAGTCGATAAGTAGCAATACCTATCATCAGGCGCAGCCAATTAATATCCCCTAACAATTGTTGGAAATCTTTCAGTGTTTGTAATCTGTCCCTACGGAGAGTTACTTTCTGAAGTCGAACACTTCTTTCAGTAACAATAGTGCTTAAGTACCGATGTGGGGAGGTTGTTTGCACCTTTTCTGGAGCTATTTTGAGATTCCATTTAATCAAAGCCTGTTTTGTTTCTCTGAATAACTGATGTAAAATTTGATCTGTAGGAGTGGCCAAAAGAATATCCTCCATATAATGAACGATGTAAGCAGTAGGAAACATATTCCGAGGCTCCTTTAATGCCTGTCCTACAAAATGCTGACATAGCACAGGACTGTTAAGCATGCTTTGTGGTAAAACTTTCCATTGATAATGAGAACCAGGTTGTCTTTGATGGATAGAAAGCACAGAGAAGGCAAATCGAGGCTTATCCTTCTCGTGGAAGGGTATAGTACAGAAATAATCTTTAAGATCTATTACTAAGAGAGGCCAGTCCATTAAAATGGCTGCCGCGGATGCCAGACCTTGCTGTAATGCGCCCATTGGTTTAATTTGTGCATTAATGACTCTTTTGGAATTGCAAATACTGGTGAATTCCAGGGACTAACTGACTCTTCGATATGTTCTGCATCCAATTGCTCTTTTACTAGCTGATAGAGTTGAGTTAGTTTCTCCTGTGATAGGGGCCATTGATTCATAGAGGCATGGGTGGGACAACAGATTCTTTTAAATTTTTAGACTCAGAACATGACTCCTGCTGTCCAGCAGAATAAGGAGATAATGGCAGACAGACAGTAAGAAACAAACTCCAAGTGGAGAAATCAGAAGGGTCAACTTTAAGACCTTTTTGATGAGCTCGTTTTAATCCTTCTCCTATTCTGTTCCAAATTTCCACATCGAGAGTGCCCATCTGTGGAAACCATGGGTTATGTACAGTGACCTTCTTCAGCATCTTAGTTAATGTTTGAGAACTAACCTGAGCACCAGATTGTTTAAGTAAAACTTTAAGCAACTGCACATAATGTTGCTCCTGAATAGATAGATTCTGCCCCATGTTACCCTGATTCAGAAAACTTCCCATTCCCAGTACCTCTTTAGGGCACTAACCTTATATTAGCTGCCAGTAGACTTGTCCCAAGGTTTCTTGCTCATCTGGTCAGTTTCACTTTCTCTGCTCCAGCAGACCTTCTTTGCTCATGTCCCTGTCCTGGGCACCACTTGTCACTGCCAGTTGCTACAGGATTGAATGAAGGGGGATGAATGGAGAAATGAAGACAGAGACAGAAAGATCTGTTTTAAAAGAAGGTGACAGGGGGCTCCTTGTTTCTAGTGAACAAGGGATCTAAGCTTCTACAGCCCTTCGTATTTATAAGGTAGAAATAGGAGGGAGGGAGAGGTAATGGTTGGTCAGCTGCTTGATTTATCACAGGTACACTTAATTGCTTTCTTTGTACAACAGGCTTCAGATACTTCTATAGGTAATCACAAGGAACACTGTGCTTGGGGTGTGACTGCCCTCAGCACTCTTTCTGGGGGCAGACACAGTCATCAGTTTTCCAAATCCTGCTTTCATGAGAACAGTTTTCTGTTTGCTCCAGTGGTATACTGAGTTGGTCAGGACCCTCATTCTTTCAGCCTGTAACAGAGGGTATTAGAGTCTGGATTGAACCGTAGCAAACAGCAGTAGCCCTATAGAAGGAGGGCTTGACTGTTAAAAGAAAAACAAACAAATAGAAAGCTACAGCAACAACATGAACAAAAAAAAAAAAAACGCCCATAAAAAACCCGTTCAAAGGTCAGCAACCTCAACAAAGTTGAGAAAGAATCAATGCAAAAACGTTGAAAATTTAAAAAGCCAGAGTGCCTCTTCTTGAAATGATTGAAACAACTCTCCAGCAAGGGCACCTAACTTAGCCAAGTCTGAGATGGCTGAATTTACAAAAGTCAGCTTCAGAAGGTTGGTAATAACAAACTACACTGAGCTAAAGGAGCATGTTATAAAACAAGACAAAGAAGCTGAGAATCATAATAAAACAATACAGGGCTGGACACAGTGGCTAACACCTGCAATCCAAGCACCTTGGGAGGCTGAGGCAGCCAGATCCTGAGGTCAGGAGATTGAGATGATCCTGGCCAACATGGTGAAAGGCTGTCTCTACTAAAACACAAAAAATTAACCAGGTGTGGTGGTGCACACCTGTAGTCTCAGCTACTCAGAAGGCTGAAGCAGGGGAATCACTTGAACCCATGAGGTGGACATTGCAGTGAGCTGAGATCATGCCACTACACTCCAGCCTGGTGACAGAGCAAGACTCCATCTCAAGAAAAATTTACAGGAGCTCAAACCCAGAATTGCTCATTTAAAGAGGAACATAAATGACCCGATGAAGCTGAGAAACACAACATGAGAACTTCACGACACAATAACAAGTATTGATAGCCAAATAAACCAAGCAGAGGAACGAATCTCAGAGTGTGCAGACTATTTTTCTGAAATAAGACAGGCAGACAAAAATAGAGGAGAAAAGAATGAAAAGGAATCAACAAAACCTCTGAGAACTATGGCTCTATATAAAAATACCTATGATTGATTGGGGTACCTGAAAGAGATAGGGATAGTGGAACCAAGTTTGAAAGCATACTTTGAGATATAATCCAGGAGAATGTCCCCAACTTAGCAATACAGGGCAACATTTGAATTCAGAAAATCCAGAGAACCCCAGCAGGATGCTCCATGAGAAAATCAACCTCAAGACACATAATCATCAGATTCTCCAAGGTCACAATGAAAGAAAAGTGTTAAGAGCAGCCAGAGAGAAAGGCCAGGTCACCTACAAAGGAAAGCCCATCAGACTAACAACCTGTCATTGGAAACCCTACAAACCACAAGATATTTGGGACCAATATTCAACATTCTTAAAGAAGAGAATTTGTAACCCAGAATTTCATAACCAGACACACTAAGCTGTATAAGTGAAAGGGAAATCATATTCCTTTCAGACAAGCAAATGCTGAGGAAATTCATCACCACCAAGCTTGCCTTTCAAGAACTCCTGAGGGAACTACTAACTATTGAAAGGAAATACCGTTACCAGTGACTACAAAAAACACACCAAGGTACACAGACTAGTAACACTATAAAACAACCATGTAAACAAGTCTGCAAAATAGCCATCATGATGACAGGATGAAATTGACACAATATTAACCATAAATGTAAATGGACTTAACGCCTCAATTAAAAACACAGAATGGCAAGCTGGATAAAGAGTCAAGCTCCATCAGTATGTTGTCTTCAAGAGACCTATTTCACATGAAAAGACACACATAGGCTCAAAATAAAGGGATGGAGGAAAATTTACCAAGCAGAGGAAAACAGAAAAAAAGCAGTAGTTACAATTTTTGTTCCTGACAAAACAGATTTTAAACCAACAAATATTAAAAAAAAGACATTACATGATGATGAGTTTTCAATTCAACAAAAAAGCTAATTATTCTAAATATATGTGTACCCAATAAAGAAGCATCCAGATTCATAAAGCCAGTTCTTAGAGACCTCCAAAATGACTTAGACTCCCACACAATAATAGTGGAAGATTTTAACACTCCACTGACAATATTAGACAGATCATTGAGACAGAAAATTAACAAAGATTTTCAGGACCTGAACTCAGCTCTGGATCAAGTAGACCTAATAGATATCTAGAGAACTCTCCAACTGAAAACAACAGAATATACATTCTTCTCATGGCTGCACGGCACTTACTCTAAAATTGATCACATTATTGGAAATAAAACACTCCTCATCAAATGCAAAAGAACTGAAATCATAACAAACAGTCTCCCAGACCACAATGCAAATAAATTATAACTCAACATTAAGAAACTCAATCAAAATCACAAGACTATGTGGAACTTGTACAACATGCTCCTGAATGACTCCTGGGTAAATAATAAAATTACGGCAGAAATTAGGAAGTTCTCTGAAACTAATGAGAACAATGAGACAACATACCAGAATCTCTCGGATGCAGCTTAAGCAGTGGTAAGAGGAAAAGTTAGAGCACTAAATGCCCCATATCAAAAAGCTACAAATATCTCAAGTCAATGACCTAACATCACAAGTAAAAGAACTAGAGGACCAAGAGGAAAACTTCCCAAAGCTAGCAGAAGACAAGAAATAACCAAGATCAGAGCAGAACTGAATGAGATAGAGACACACAAAATCCTTCAAAAAACTCAAGGGATTCAGGAGCTGTATTTTTTTTTTTTTTTGAATAAAAGTTAACAAAATAGACCGCATCTGCACTAATAAAGAAGAAAACTTAAAAGAATTAAATAGACACAGTCAGAAATGATAAGGGGGATATCACCAATGACCCCACAAATATACAAACAACCATCAGAGAATACTTTAAAAATCTTTAGCACATAAACTAGAAAATCTAGAAGAAATGGATACATTCCTGGATGCACACACCCTCCCAAGTCTGAACCAGGGAAACATTAAATCCCTGAATAAACCAATAATAAGTTCAAAAATTGAGGCAGTAATAAATAGCCTACCACCACCACCAACAACAAAAATCCCAGGATCAGATAGACTTACAGCTGAATTCTAACAGAGATACTATTTCTTCTGAAACTATTCCAAATGATCGTAAAGGAGGGACTCCAACATCAACAACAACAACAACGACAAAACTTCAGGCCAATATCCCTGATGAATATCAAAGCAAAAATCCTCTAAAATACTGACAAACCAAATCCAGCAACACATCAATAAGTTTATCTATCACAATCAAGATGACTTCATCCTCAGAATACAAGTTTGGTTCAATGTACAAAAATCAATAAATGTTATTCATCACATAAACAGATCTAAAGACAAAAAACACATGATTATCTCAATAGATGCAGAAAAGGCCTTTCATAAAATTCAGCATTTCTTCACATTAAAAACTCTAAATTAACTAGGCATTAAAGGAACATACCTCAAAATAATAAGAGCCATTTATGATAAATACACAACCAATATCATACTGAATGGGCAAAAGCTGGAAGCATTTCCCTTGAAAAACAGCCCAAAACCACAGTGCCATCTCTCACCACTCCTATTCAACATTTTATTGAAAGTTTTGGTCAGGTCAATCAGTTGTGAGAAATAAATAAAAGTTATTCAATCAGAAGAGTGGAAGTAAAATTATCTTTGTTTGCAGATAACATGATTCTTTATCTAGAAATCCCATTGTTTCAGTCCAAAAGCTTCTTAAACTGAGAAGCAACTTCATTAATCTCAGAATACAAAATCAATGTTCAAAAATTGGTAGCTTTCCTGTACACCAACAACAGGCAAGCAAAGAGCCAAATAGTAAATAAACTTCCATTCACAATAGCTACCATGAAAATAAAATATCTAAGAATTCTACTAGCAAGGGAAGTGAAGGACTTCTTCAAGAACTACAAACCACTGCTCAAGGAAATCAGAGAGGACACCAACAAATGGAAAAACATTCCTTGATCATGGGTAGGAAGAATCAATATCATAAAAATGGCCACACTGCCCAAAGTAATTTATAGATTCAATGCTGTTCTCATTGAACTACCATTGACATGCTTTACAGAATTAGAAAAAAAAAAAACTATTTTAAAATGTATAAGGAACTAAAAAGTCAGTAGAGCCAAGACAATCCTAAGCAAATAGAATAAAGCTGGAGGTATCATGCTACCTGACTTCAAACTATACTACAAAGCTATAGTAACCAAAACAGCATAATACTTGTACAAAAACAGACAGGTAGTCCAATGGAGTAGAACAGAGACCTCAGAAATTACACCACACATCTACAACCATCTGATCTTTGACAAACCTTGTAAAAACAATCAGAAAAGGGTTTACTATTTAATACATAGCTCTGGGAGAACTGGCTAGTTGTATGCAGAAAATTAAAACTGGACCACTTCCTAATACTTTATATGAAAACTAACTCAAGGTGGATTAAAGAATTAAATGTAACAACAAAAACTTTAAAAACCCTAAAAGAAAATCTAGGTAATACCATTCAAGTCTTAGGAACAAGCAAAGATTTTATGATGAAAACACCAAAAGCAATTACAACAAAAGAAAAATGGACAAATGGGATCTAATTAAAGGTCTCCTGCACAGCAAAATAAACTATCATCAGAGTGAACAGACAACATATAGAAGGAGAGAATATTTTTCCCAGTTATGCATCTGACAAAGTACAATTTCAGTTACTTTGCTTTATTTGAAAATATTTTCCCTAAATCAAAATCTTATCCCTTCCTGAATATTTGCAACATTCCTTATATTTCTCACTTTTAGAAAGTATTTATCTTCTAAGTGCCTACTCCTGAACTTGTTTTGCAGATTGCCTTGTAATTCAGGCAAGTTGTATTTTGAAAAAAATCTCACCAGAAATTTCCATCAAAGTAGAATTAAGAAGGAAAAGATGCATGTGACAAAATAGACAAACATGTTTTTATTCTATTAATGGTCTGTTAACCTGCAATGAGGTAAATCTTTCTTAAAAGGATATTCAAACCCAGTTTCTGAGAAAATATTGCCTGCAGAGTGTCAATATTGTTCAATGTTTTTATTGTCGTTGAGTGCATGCATTACGTGTCACCCAGATTCCCCTTTTGGGAATATAGAAATTACTTTCCAGCTGATGAAGTGATGAACAACTGACATACCTCACCTATAAGCTCTCTCTCTCAGTACAACCCTGCTGAAAGCTATCTAGCATATAGTGACCTTTCCAAGACAGCCCATATCCAATGCCTGGTCACATGTAGGACTCTAAAGGCCCATTCTCCCCTTTTCAGTTTGGACCAACTCTGAAGGCCTAACAGCTTCAGAGCTCCCAGTGGGTGAGACAAAAGCTATGCTGAGACTGCATGTCTTAGCATGCTCAGGGTGCTATATAGAAAAATACCATACATTGGCTAGCTTACAGACAACAAACATTTATTTGTCACAGTTCTTGAGGCTGAAAGATTCACCATCAAGATGCTGGTATTGGGCATTCCTCCAAGATGGCAACTCGTCACCATGTCTTAATGGGGGAAAGAGATGAATGAGTTATTGTGAGCATATTTTTCAAAAGAATTAATTCCATTAATGAGGACTCTGCCTTCATGACCTAAACACCTCCTAAATGGTTCTATCAGCTAATACAGTAATTTTGGTTATTATAATTATAACTTATGAATTTTGGGGGCATTCAGACATTCAGACCATTGCACTGAATTATGTCCTAATTTGTTCCACTGTCCAATCCTGCTTCCTACTTTTTCACAGATGTTATTTCCAGGAAAACTCTCTAATTATCTCCCTCAAAAAATATTCAGCTTAGAATCTACTTCTTCAAGGCACTGAGCATTTGATAATATGTACCAAGAGAGGTCAGAAAAAAAGAACAGACAAGAAAATGAGATTGTAGAGTTGGATTATTCACTACCAAGTGTAATGAGAACCCTATCACTATTGGTACAGAGAACACAAATAGCCCCTGGAATGTGACAATTTAAATTTTTCATACATTCAGTAATGGTAAATTATGATGGAAATCTTTTGAGGGGAAAACATTAGTTATTAGGATATATCACATATTTATCAATATGGGAACAGTAGAAATTATGATCACAATACAGGCAAATGTTTTTTTCCACAGAGTTAAGGCTTGGGAGAAAATAATAGAAGAGTGAGGACTAATAACCATCAAATTAAGGCAAATGGTGAAAGCCAGAAATGTCTCCTTGGAAGTGTTACTGGAAAAAGGGGTCTTGATACAGACATGAAGTGAAGGTTCTTGGATTCCACACAGGAAGGAATTCAAGGTGAGTCACAGAGTACAGTGAGAAAAGATAGTTTATTAAAAGCTATGACATTACACAGTAGGGCATCCTCAGAAGGCAAGGAGTTGAATGCAACACCTTTGTTTTAAGTTTTTCTTATATAGAAGTCTTGTATCTGTAAAGATTAATTAAGCTGTATCTAGTCGTGGGTGGTCAGACAACAGGACAAAATTGATTATTCTATTTATTCCAAGAAAACTATCCTTGACACTTTCCTGTGTGAAAATATCAAAACATGACTGTTATTATCTTGAAAGCATATATCGTTATGAATATTGGGACATCTGGACTCTTCATTGCAGATGTGTGTGTTTATAGGGAGCTGAACTTAAAATCACATTACTCTGACTCTCCTACACTCCTGATTCCCTAACTGCAGCATATACAGAGACTCTCACTTCATGCAGAAGCACCTGGTCCCCATCACCAAATGAATCTGAATCTTAAGTCCAGGACTGAATTTTAAAAATAAGACCAGTTCAGTTCTAGCTGAATTCCCAGCCTAGTCTGATCACTAACCAGGTTTAGGGTCTCAGTTTCGATACAGTGAAATTATAAGACATTTGAGAAATAATTCATTGTAGTTAAAATCTTCAGTATCTACACTCCCCTGAACTCTGAATCTGCAAAAGTAGTCCATTCCTTTCTGTTAAGGGATAGCATTTTTTCATTGTTTGAAGATGATATAGTGTCCTCTTCCTTGCAGGACAGTTTATGTCCCACCTATGATTTGTGCTTGGTATGATTTCAATTATTTTAAGTCATTCAGGCTTGCTTCATGAGAAAGTTTGTTGTTGATCTTACAATATGTTCCATGTAAAAATGAGTGGAATGTATATTACGTGGTTGTAGGGTGGAGTGTTCTGTAGAGCTTTAGGTCCAATTGGTCAAGCATCAAGTTTAAGTCCAGAGTTTCTTTGTTAGGTTTTTGCCTCAATAATCTATCTAATGCTGTCAATGTGGTGTCAACTCCTGCCACTATTACTGTATGATTGGGTAAGTCTTTTCATAGGCCAAGAAGTACTTGTTTTATAAATCTGTCTGCACCAATGTTGGATGAGAACATATTTTGGACAATAAAAACTGCTTGTTGGATTGTATCTTTTATTATTAGGTAAAGCCATTCATTGTCCTTTTAAATTTTTATTCACTTAAAGTCTGTTTTACATAAGAATAGTAACTCCTTCTCTTTTTCATTTTCTGTTTGCAGGATAGTTTTTACTGTACCCTTTCATTTCGAACCTATGGTATAATTACAGGTAAGATGGGTCTATTGAATACAACATACTCTTGTGTCTGGCATATCAGACACTCTATGTCTTTTAAGTGGTACGTTTAGCCTGTGTACATTCAGTGAGAGTCTCTGTATATGCTGCAAGGATAGTATTAATATTTGTGATTTTGATCCTTTCATGGTGTGTTTAGCTGGTTATTATACAGACATGACTACGTAGTTTCTTTATAGTGCCTGTGGACTATGTGTTTAAGTGTGCTTTTGTGGTAGAAGGGGTAATTCTTTTGAATCTATAAGTAGCATGCCCTTAAAGACTTCTTACACTGCTGGTCTACTAGAAATATATTCTGTCGGCATTTGCTTGCCAGAGAAGAATTTTTTTTTCTCTTTCCATTAGTAAGTTTAGTTCAGGAGGATACAAAATTGTTGGTTGGAATTCCTTTTCTTTAAGGACACTGAAAACAGGCCCCAAGTCTCTTCTGGATTATAAACTTCCTTGAGAGGTCTGCTGCTAGCTTGATGGGATTAACTCTGTAGGTGACCTGCTCCTTCTTGAAGACTGGTTCTTCAAATCAACCAGTCATACAAAAATAAAGAAAAAAAAATTAAGAAAAATAAAGAAAACCTCTGAGAAAATACAATTATCTAAAAAGACCAAATCTCTGACTCATTGTCTTTCCTGAGAGAGAAGTAGAGAGAATTAGCAACTTGGAGAATATATTTGAGGATATAGTCAGGTCTACTGGGGCTCACTTGGGGAGAAGTCTGGTAGGACAACAGGCCACACCTTCACTGAAACAACCCTGTGGAGGAACCTACACAAGCCCGTGCATTTGTGTGCCCCAGCTCTCCAAGACTGCAGAGAGTGTAGTCTCCTTCCTTGTTCAAGTGATGAGCATAGCCACCAGCAGTGCACTTCTAAGCTGCAGGCTACAGCCCTGGGGCACTGGGACCCTGTTTGTAGCTCACTGCTGTGGTCACTTGGGGTTGGATTTTGGGTGCAGTGTAAAACCTGAAGGGCTTCCAAAGTGCCAGAATGCATTCAGATGGAGCAAAGCACTCAAACTGGCAAACAGAGGCTGTACTGTGTACAAGCTTCTATGGGGCAGCCAGAGAGGGGCCATGGGGTTGAGGGTTCTGGTGGGCCGGTATTCCTGCAGAACATATGTGTCACAGTTCCATTTGAAAGTAGGTTCTCCTCTCTCCCCATTGGTTAGCTAAGGCCAGAACCTATTAGAAATAGATGTGCATGGTATGTGGGCACTTATGGTTGGGCTCCACCAGAGGTGACCTATGCACAAAGGTCCCTGGCTTTTTGTCTGCAGCTTCATCTCTGTGTAATCTCTGGGAGACCCCTCTGCCAGTCCACATGTCCCTGAAGGTATGGAGCCCCATCTAGCCAGGATTCCAGATGTCTACAGTGAGAGGGAGCTATCTACTAGTCCTTTCACTCAGGTCTTCCCTAGAAACTGTTCAGGGCAGAGAATCAGCTGTATTAAGGCACCCCATTCAGTGTTCTCAGCCTTCTTCTGCTTCAGCCTCAGTGACTATTCCTTTTCTCCATCCACATTCAGCATTTTCTCTCCAAAGATCTGTTCAAATTATGATGATATGATAAAAAACCTGGTGTTCCCCTGGTGGCAGTTGCACATCCTGACTGCATCTAGTTGACCATCTTGAACACATCCCTGTGTATATATTCTTTTGAGAATTCTCTCTTGATGTCCCTTGCCCATTTTTTTAATGGAGTTGCTTGTGTATGGTTTGTCAATTTGTTTAAGTTCCTTACAGATTTTTGATATTAGACCTTTATCAGATGAGTAGCTTGCAATTATATTCTCCCATTCTGTAAGTCATCTGTTTATTCTGTTGATACTTACTTTTGTTGCACAGAAGCTCTTTAGTTCAATTATGTTCTATTCTCTTGATTTTATTCTAGGATTTTATACTTTTAGGATACTGTACTAGCCTGTTGTCATGCTGTTAATAAAGACATACCTGAGACTGGATAATTTATAAAGGAAAGAGGTTTAATAGATTCACAGTTACACATGGCTGGGGTGGCCTCACAATCATGATGAAAGGCAAATGAGAAGTAAAGTCATGTATTACATGGAAGCAGGCAAGGGAGCCTGTGTAGGGAAACTCTCCTTTATAAAACTGTAAGATCTCAAGAGACTTATTCACCGTCATGAGAATAGCATGGGAAAGATGTGCTACCATGATTCAATTACCACTCACCAAGTTCTTCCCACAACATTTGGGAATTATGGGAGCTACAATTCAAGATGAAATTTGGGTGAGGACACAGCCAAGTCATATCATTCTTCCCTTGGCCCCTTCCAAATATCAGGTCCTCACATTTCAAAACAAATCATGCACTCCCATCAGTTCCCCAAAGTCTTAGTTGATTTGAGCATTAACTCAAAAGTCCACAGTCCAAAGTCTCATCTGACATAAGGCAAGTATTTTCTGCCTATGAGTTTAAAAATCAAAAGCAAGTTAGTTACTTTCTAGATACAATGAGGATACAGGCATTGGGTAAATAACACTCCTAAATGGCAGAAACTGGCCGAAACATAGGGGCTACAGGTCCCATGCAAGTCCGAAATCCAGGTAAGGCAGTAAAATCCAAGGGGCAGTCACCTCCAAAATGATATTCTCTGACTCCATGTCTCACATACAGGTCACACTGATGTAAGAGGTAGGCTCCCATGGCCTTGGGCAGCTCAACCCCTGTGGCTTTGCAGGGTACAGCCCTCCTCTTGGGTGCTTTCATGGGCTGGCATTGAGTGTCTGTGGCTTTTCCAGTTGGGTGGTCCAAACTGTTTGTGGATATATCATTCTAGGGTCTGGAGGATGGTGGCCATCTTCTCCCAGCTCCACTAGGCAGTGCTCTGGTGGGGACTCTGTTTGTGTGTGTGTTGGGGTGGGGGGCTGCAGGGGGTTGCTCACACCACACATTTTCCTTTCATACTGCCCTAGCAGAGTTTCTCTGTGATGGTCTCATCCCTACTGCAAACTTCTACCTGAACATCCAGGCATTTCCATACATCTTCTGAAATCTAGACAGAGGTTCCCAAGCCTCAATTATTGATTTCTGTGTACCCACAGGCTCAATCCCACATCAAAGCTAATAATCTGCCAAGGCTTGGGGGTTGCCCCACTGAAACCATGGCTTGAGGTCTACCTTGGCCCCTTTTAGCCACAGCTGGGACACAGGGGACCGAGTACTGAGACTGCACAAAGCAGCAAGGTGCTGGGCCTGGCCTACAAAACTATTTTTTCCTTCTAGGCCTCCTAGCCTGTAATGGGAAAGGCTGCAGCCAGGAACACCTCTGACATGCCATAGAGACATCTTCTCCATTGTCTTGGTTATTGACAATTGGTTTCTAATTACTTATGAAAGTTTCTGCAACTTGAATTTCTCCTCAGAAAATGGGGTTTTCCTTTTATATCATATCACCAAGCTATGAATTTTCCAAACTTTTATGCTCTGCCTCCCTTTTCAACATAAGTTCCAATTCCAAACCTTATCTTTGTGAATATGTAAAACGGAATGCTTTTGTCTGTACCCAAGTCACCTCTTGAATACTTTGCTGCTTAGAAATTTCTTCCACCAGATGCCCTAAATCATCTCTCTCATGTTAAAAGTTTCACAAATCTCTAGGGCAGGAGGAAAGTGCCACCAATCTTTGCTAAAACATAACACAGTCACCTTTGCCCCAGTTACCAACAAGTTCGTTATTTCCATCTGAGACCACCTCCGCCTGGACTTTATTGTCCATATCACTATCAGCATTTTGGTGAAAGCACTCAACAAGTCTCTAGAAAGTTTCAAACTTTCACACATATTTCTGTTTTTTCTTCTGAGTCCTCTAAACTGTTCCAACCTCTGCCTGTTACCTAGTTCCAAAGTTGCTTCCACATTTTCTGATATCTTTACAGCAGTACCCCACTACCTAGTATCAATTTACTGTATTAGTCTATTCTTATGCTGTTAATAAAGACATACCCAAGGCTAGTTAATTTATAAAGGAAAGAGGTTTAATGGGCTCAGAGTTTCACATAACCAAGGAGACCTCACAATTATGGCGGAAGGTGAATGAGGAGCAAAGCCACATCTTACATGGCAGCAGGTAAGAGAGGTTCTATAAACTCCCCTTTATAGAACAATTAGATCTCATGAGACTTATTTACTATCACCAGAACAACATGTAAAAGACCCACCACTATGATTAAATTACCTCCCACTGGATCCCTCCCACAACACATGTAAATTATAGGTGCTACAATTCAAGATGAGATTTGGGTGGGGACACAGCCAAAGCATATCAGTTAAACATTTACATCTTTAACCCATCTTCAGTTGGTTTTTGCGTATGGTAAAAAGAAGATATCTAGATTCAGTCTTCTGCATATGGCCAGCCAGTTATTTCAGCACCTTTTGTTGAATAGTGAGTTGTTTCTCCATTGCTTGTTCTTATTGACTTTGTTTAAATCAGATGACTGTAGGTGTACTGCTTTATGTCTGAGTTCTTTAACTGGTTCCATTGGTCTATGTGTCTATTTTTGTACCAGAACCATGCTGTTTCAGTTACTGTAGCCTTGTATTATAGTTTGAAGTTGGGTATTGTAAGCCTCTGGTTTTGTTGTTTGTTCTTAGAACTGTTTTAACTTTTGGGCTACTTTGGTTTCACAGGAATTTTAGAAAATTTTTTTTCTAATTTCATTGAAAATGTTCATGGTAGTTTGATAGAAATAGCACTGAATCAGTAAAGTATTTTGGGCAGTATGGTCTTTTTAACAATATTAATTTTTCTATAATTGAGCATGAAACATATTTCTTTTTGTTGGTATTGCTTCTAATTTTGTCAACAGCATTTTGTAATGTTTGGGTAGAGATTTCTCACTTCCCTGGTTAGCTGTATTTCTAGGTATCTTATCTGTGGCTGTTGTAAATGGTAGTGCATTCTTGATTTGGCTGTCAGATTGGAGGTTGTTGGTATAAAAAAATGTTACTGATATTTGTACACACATTTTGTCTCCCAAAACTTTGCTGAAGTTGTTTTTCAGAAGTGGGAGCTTTTGGACAGGGGCTTTAGGGTTTTCACTGTATAAAATGATAACTCTGTGAAGAGAGATAGTTTGTCTTTCTCTCTTTCTATTTGGATGCCTTTTATTTTTCTCTTTTACTCTGGCTAGGACTTCCAATACTATACTGAATAGCAGTAGTTAGAGTGGCCATCACTGCCTTTTTCCAGTTCTCAAGAGGAATCCTTTGAGCTTTTGCTCATTCAGTATGATGTTGACTGTGGGTTTTCACAGATGGCTCACACTATTTTTGAGTATTTTTATTTAACTCATAATTTGTTCAGGGATTTTTAAAATGAAATTGAGATCAAACAATCATTAAAAAACATCAACAAAACTGAAAGTTTGTTATCTGAAAGAGTAAATAAGATGGATAAATCACTAGATAGACTAAAAAAGAATAAAAAAGGGATGATCCAAATAAACACAATCAGAAATGACAAAGAGAAGATCATCATTGACCCCAGGAAAAACAAACTACCTGCAAAGATCATTATGAATATCTCTATGCACACAAACTTAAAAACCTAGAAGAAGCAGATATATTTCTGGACACTTACATCATCTCAAAGTTGTACCAGGTAGAAATAGAAATCCTGAAGTGACCCAAAATGTGTTCCAAAATTGAATCAGTAATATAAAGTCCAGCAAACATAAAAGGCCTGAATCAGAGAGATTCACAGCCAAATTCTTTTATACATATAAAAAGAAATACTAGCCATCCTACTGAAGCTATTTCAAAAAATTGGAGAGGAGGGCCTCCTACTTAACTAATTCTATGAGGCCAAGATTGCTCTGATACCAAAACCTGGCAGAGACACAGGAAGATAAGAAAATATCATGCCAATATCCATCATGAACATGGACACAAAAATCCTCAACAAAGTACTAACTAATAGAATTCAGCAGCACATCAAAACCTAACCACCACAATCAAGTAGGCATTAATCCTAGGATGCAAGATTGGTTAAACATATGCAAATAAATAAATGTGATTCTCCACATACATAAGACTAAAAAGAAATACACCACAATCATTTCAATAGATGCAGCAAAGGCTTTCAAAAAATTCAACATCACTTTCCTTTTTTATTTTGAAGCACTCTCAAAGGAAACAATTTAATACTTCTGCTCAAACTTCAGGAGATAGTGGTAACAGACTACTACTAAGATATCTCCATAATCTTGGGAAAGACTGTGGCTACTACAAAATGAAGCTTGTGTGCTGGAACTCCCTTGACAGTGAATGAAAGAGGGAATCAGAAGGCTTATGACAGTGGATACATTAACATAGACATCCTATACCATGTTGGAAATCTATAGAATGTTTGCTGAAGTTATAATGAATGTTCAATATGTCTACCCTCTGAGGGCTAGGTCCTTTTGGACTTACCAAACCAATCTCACTGATATGATTTATGATCAGATATTGAAATAATAGAGACCTTCAGAAGGCAGATGGTCAAAATAAACAAGAGCACTAAGACTGGGGTGTTATCCAGAAAGACCTAATTTATGAAAGCTGTGTATATAGTAACAGAGAAGATAGCACTAGGGGCAAAATAGATAGGTGAGCAAGGGAATTTCTCAATCTATAATACCAGAAGAGTTCAAGAATGGATACTAAAAAGTTGAGGGCAGCTGTCCTCACTAGAAATCACAGTAAATTGTCAAGGGTCTGGACCTAAGTGTGTTTTCAGACCTGAAATTTATTGACTGAAGAAGACACCAGTGGCTCCAGGGGAAAAAAAACAGTAAACTGTAAAACCAAGGAAACTTACATGCTACTGATTCCATAATTTTTTTTTTTTTCCTGAAATGGAGAGTGGCATCCCTAGGATAACTGATGATTTCCTCAGCCTCCAAAATGCATAATTTTTTAGATCCACTTTGTCTTTAGAAAACCGTGAAATTGTATCATTGGTGTCTGGATACAAGTCATTTTAGTGGAAAAAGCCAAGTGGATTCTCTTTGCATTAGTTTCCTGGCTTCTTAAAACAGAAGTTATTCTCTGTTATTCTTATCTCTCTAAGCCAGAAGGTCAAAATCTGTGTTCTCAGGGTTCATTTGTTCTGGAGGCTCTAGGAGGGAAACAACCAATGCCTGTCTCTTGGCCTTTATTGGTTACCGACAATTCTTGGAATCCCGTGGCTTGTGACTTCTCTCCAACTTCTGTTTCCTCAGCATCATCTTTTCTTTTCTTTCTTACTAGTTTTATCCTGCCTTTATTCTTTTCAAAAGAAACTGTGTCTTGCTATATTGACTTGGCTGATCTTGAACTCCTGGCCTCAAGGGATCCTCCTGCCTTTCTCCTTATAAGAATATCTGTCATTGGATTTAAAGCACATCGTAAATCCAGAATAAACTTGTCTTGATTTTCTTACTTTACTTACATCTGCAAAGATCTTTTCTCCATTAAATTCACTTTAATAGATTCTGGAGGTTACTCACTGCACACATTTTTGGCAAAGACATCTATTCAATTCACTATATGCATGCAACTTCTTCATTCCTCCATTACCACAGATGTCAGGTGACCAAGAAAATGGAAAATAATATTGCATTACATGCCTGGGGATTGTGAAAATTAAAGACCTTAAAGGTTTAAAGGATGCAGGATGATGGGCTCCATTACATCTTTGATTAAAAGTCTGACCACTGCAAAATCCAACAGATCCTAGAGTCTGGTAGTGGACTCCTGCAATTTCCACCAAGTAGTTGCTCCACTGGCATCCCCTGTTCCAGATGGAGTACCTTTGCTAGACCACATGAAAATTCATATTATTAAAATGTCTGTACTCCTGACAGTGATTAATAGATTTACTGCAATCTCTATTAAATTCCTATGGTATTTCTTATAGAATTGAAAAAACTTAAAATTTATATGAAAACACAAAAGACTGTTAATATGCAAACATGATTTTTTTAAAAATGCACAGAATGATCTTATATATTGCTTTTAAGAAAGCAACTATAAGACTTTATAGAAAAAATACTTTCTTTTATAGGTTAGAACTGAATCTACTCAGTTTTATTCAAGATTAAATCTGTCCACTTCTTCTTCACCTCAGAATGTTAACGTTTTTATAGGATTATTCAAAAGTACCTTAATTATGCCCTGTTCTGCATGCACAATCCAGGAGACAGTAAGTTCAGAGAATTATAGTCCAACTTGTTTGGACTGACTTTTGTTCCAATTTTGGGGATTGGCTTTTGGTCGTTCATTTCTTCTACGGTCAAAATGTAAGTGGACTCATTTTGATCCATGTCATCTCTCTCGAAAGAAATATGCTGTTTCCAAATTTTAAACTGAACTTAGCTTGGAAAAGAAGGCCTAGTAACAGAGATAGGAGTTGTCATTATATCTCTAGCTATCATTATATAATGAAAGCCAGACTTTGTCAACTCACTCTTTTACCAGAATTTTAAACTCCCTAATAGATGATTGAAGTGATAACATGATTTCCTTTAATGCTGCTCACAGACTTCCCACTTTATTTAGAAAATTCATTATTATAGAGCCTGGGTGATGGATAAAGTAAGGCATTCACTTGTTTTTCTTATGTTATAGACAGAAGCTGGGTTTCGGTCCATAATATCAAAATGTCATCTGTTATTTATATTGACATAACTTTCTGAAAACAGTGCAAGTCAAGATTTGCAGTGTTTAATGAAACCTGAATTTTGAAATTTTACCTCCTTTTGTGGGAAATAATTTTAAGAATCAGATATAGAGTTTAAAATTTAAAGTTCTGTCGGATCTAGGAAAGATTATTTTGCTATATTTGTGTTTCTCTCTGTGAAATTTTTGATCACCAATTCCAATAAAAACCACAATAGCATTTTCTCCAGAGATTTCAATGAATTCTTTGATTTCCTGTAAAGAAATAATTTGTACATCAATAAGAGAAATGCATCATATAAATTTCAAAAATAGATGCATATAATTTTAATAGCTTTACTGAAGGAAGAACAATTGATATACAAAAAACCTGCAAGTATTTTTACTTATATATTTATATTATTTATATATATATAAATTGATGAGTTTTGACATATACATGCACCTATGATGCTATCATTACAACAATGAAGGTAATAAACATATCCATCACCTACAAAAGCTCTCTTTGTCACTCTTTGTTTTTGATAGTAATAATGCTTAACATGAGATTGACCCTCTTAACACATTATTAAGTGTACAATACCGTGTTGTTAACTATAGGCATTATATTGTAGAGCAAATTTCTATGCTTATTCATAAACATAAGTGAAACTTTATACCCACTGAACAACAGCTCCCCATTTCTCTCTCTCCCAAACCCCTGGAAATCACTATTTTATTTCTGCTTCAATTAGTTTGCCTATTTTACTTAACTAATATAAGTGGAATCATAAAATATTTGTCCTTTTTTTATTATTATACTTTAAGTTCTAGGGTACATGTGCACAACGTGCAGGTTTGTTACATATGTATACATGTGCCATGTTGGTGTGCTGCACTCATTAACTCATCTTTTACATTAGGTATATCTCCTAATGCTATCCCTCCCCCTTCCCCCAACCCCACGACAGACCCCGGTGTGTGATGTTCCCCTTCCTGTGTCCATGTGTTCCCATTGTTCAATTCCCACCTATGAGTGAGAACATGCATTGTTTGTTTTTTTGCCCTTGTGATAGTTTGCTGAGAATGATGGTTTCCAGCTTCATCCATGTCCCTACAAAGGACATGAATTCATCCTTTTTTATTGCTGCATAGTATTCCGTGGTGTATATGTGCCACATTTTCTTAATCCAGTCTATCATTGTTGGACATTTGGGTTGGTTCCAAGCCTTTGCTATTGTGAATAGTGCCACAATAAACATAAGTGTGCATGTGTCTTTATAGTAGCATGATTTATAATCCTTTGGGCATATACCCAGTAATGTGATGGCTGGGTCAAATGGTATTTCTAGTTCTAGATCCTTGAGGAAACACCACACTGTCTTCCACAATGGTTGAACTAGTTTACGGTCCTACAAAGAGTGTGAAACTGTTCCTATTTCTCCACATTCTCTCCCACACCTGTTGTTTCCTGACTTTATAATGATCACCATTCTAAATGGTGTGAGATGGTATCTCATTGTGGTTTTGATTTGCATTTCTCTGATGGCCAGTGGTGGTGAGCACTTTTTCATGTGTCTGTTGGCTGCATAGGTGTCTTCTTTTGAGAAGTGTCTGTTCATATACTTTGCCCACTTTTTGATGGGTTTGTTTGTTTTTTTCTTGTAAATTTGTTTGAGTTCACTGTAGATTCTGGATATTAGCCCTTTGTCAGATGAGTAGATTGTAAAAATCTTCTGCCATTCTGTAGGTTTCCTGTTCACTCTGATGGTAGTTTCTTTTGCTGTGCAGAAGATCTTCAGTTTAATGAGATCCCATTTGTCAATTTTGGCTTTTGTTGCCATTGCTTTTAGTCTTTTAGACATGAAGTCCTTGCCCATGCCTATGTCCTGAATGGTATTGCCTAGGTTTTCTTCTATGGTTTTTATAGTTTTAGGTCTAACATGTAAGTCTTTAACCCATCTTGAATTAATTTTTGTGTAACATGTAAGGAAGGGATCCAGTCTCAGCTTTCTACATATGGCTAGCCAGTTTTCCCAGCACCGTTTATTAAATAGGGAATCCTTTCTCCATTTCTTGTTTTTGTCAGGTTTGTCCAAGATCAGATGGTTGTAGATGTGTGGTATTATTTCTGAGGGCTCTGTTCTGTTCCATTGGTCTATATCTCTGTTTTGGTATCACAACCATGCTGTTTTGGTTACTGTAGCCTTGTAGTGTAGTTTGAAGTCAGGTAGCATGATGCCTCCAGCTTTGTTCTATTGGCTTAGGATTGACTTGGCTATGAGGGCTCTTTTTTGGTTCCACATGAACTTTAAAGTAGTTTTTTCCAATTCTGTGAAGAAAGTCATTGGTAGCTTGATGGGGATGGCATTTAATCTATAAATTACCTTGGGCAGTGAAGGCATTTTCACAATATTGATTCTTCCTATCCATGAGCATGGAATATTCTTCCACTTGTTTGTGTCCTCTTTTATTTCGTTGAGCATTGGTTTGTAGTTCTCCTTGAAGAGGTCCTTCACAACCCTTGTAAGTTGGATTCCTAGGTATTTTATTCTCTTTGAAGCAATTGTGAATGGGAGTTCACTCATGATTTGACTCTCTGTTTGTCTGTTATTGATGTATAAGAATGCCTTTGATTTTTGTACATTGATTTTGTATTCTGAGACTTTGCTGATGTTGCTTATCACCTTAAGGAGATTTTGGACTGAAATGTTGGGGTTTTCTAAATATACAATCATGTCATCTGCAAACAGGGACAATTTGACTTCCTCTTTTCCTAATTGAATACCCTTTATTTCTTTCTCCTGCTTCATTGCCCTGGCCAGAATTTACAACACTATGTTGAATAGGAGTGGTGAGAGAGGGCATCCCTGTCTTGTGCCAGTTTTCAAAGGGAATTCTTCCAGTTTTTGCCCATTCAGTATGATATTGGCTGTGGGTTTGTCATAAATAGCTCTTATTATTTTGAGATACGTCCCATCAATACCTAATTTATTGAGAGTTTTTAGCATGAAGGGTTGTTGAATTTTGTCAAAGGCCTTTTCTGCATCTATTGAGATAATCATGTGGTTTTTGTCTTTGTTTCTGTTCATATGCTGGATTATGTTTATTGATTTGTGTATGTTGAACCAGCCTTGCATCCCAGGGATGAAGCCCACTTGATCATGGTGGATAAGCTTTTTGATGTGCTGCTGTATTCAGTTTGTCAGTATTTTATTGAGGATTTTTCCATCAATGTTCCTCAGGGATATTGGTCTAAAATTCTTTTTTGTTGTTGTGTCTCTGCCCGGCTTTGGTATCAGGATGATGCTGGCCTCATAAAATGAGTTAGGGAGGATTCCCTCTTTTTCCATTGATTGGAATAGTTTCAGAAGGAATGGTACCAGCTCCTTCTTGTACCTCTGGTAGAATTCAGCTGTGAATCCATCTGGTCCTAGACCTTTTTTGGTTGGTAGGCTATTAATTATTGCCTCAATTTCAGAGCCTGTTATTTGTCCATTCAGGGATTCAGTTTCTCCCTGGTTCAGTCTTGAGAGTGTGTATGTGTCCAGGAATTTATCCATTTCTTCCAGATTTTCTAGTTTATTTGCATAGAGGTGTTTATAGTATTCTCTGATGGTAGTTTGCATTTCTGTGGGAACAGTGGTGATATCCCATTTATCATTTTTTATTGCATCCATTTGATTCTTACCTCTTTTCTTCTTTATTAGTCTTGCTAGTGGTCTCCCAATTTTGTTGATCTTTTCAAAAAACCAGCTCCTGGATTCGTTGATTTTTTGAAGGCTTTCTTGTGTCTCTATCTCCTTCAGTTCTGCTCTGATATTAGTTATTTCTTGCCCTCTGCTAGCTTTTGAATGTGTTTGCTCTTCCTTCCCTAGTTCTTTTAATTGTGATATTTGGGTGTCAATTTTAGATCTTTCCTGCTTTCTCTTGTAGGCATTTAGTGCTATAAATTTCCCTCTACACACTGCTTTGAATGTGTCCCAGAGATTCTGTTATGTTGTTTCATAGTTCTCATTGGTTTCAACAAACATCTTTATTTCTGCCTTCATTTCTTATTTACCCAGTAGTCATTCAGGAGCAGGTTGTTCAGTTTCCATGTAGTTGAGTGGTTTTGAGTGAGTTTCTTAATTCTGAGTTCTAGTTTGATTGCCTTGTGGTCTGAGAGATAGCTTGTTATAATTTCTGTTCTTTTACATTTGCTGAGGAGTGCTTTACTTCCAACTATGTGGCCAATTTTGGAATAACTGCAATGTGGTGCTGAGAAGAATGTATATTCTGTTGATATGGGGTGGAGAGTTCTGTAGATGTCTATTAGGTCCGCTTGGTGCAGAGCTAAGTTCAATTCCTGGATATCCTTTTTAACTTTCTGTCTTGTTGATCTGTCTAATGTTGACAGTGGGGTGTTAAAGTCTCCAGTTATTAATGTGTGGGAGTCTAAGTCTCTTTGTAGGTTACTCAGGACTTGCTTTATGAATCTGGGTGCTCCTGTATTGGGTGCATATATATTTAGGATAGTTAGATCTTCTTGTTGAATTGATCCCTTTACCATTATGTGACAGCCTTCTTTGTCTCTTTTGATCTTTGTTGGTTTAAAGTCTGTTTTATCAGAGACTAGGATTGCAACATCTGCCTTTTTTTGTTTTCCATTTGCTTAGTAGATCTTTCTCCATTCCTTTATTTTGAGCCTATGTGTGTTTCTGCACATGATATGGGTCTCCTAAATACAGCACACTGATGGGTCTTGACTATCCAACTAGCAATTTGGATAAAATATCTTCTAATTGGAGCATTTAGCCCATTGACATTTAAGGTTAATATTGTTATGTGTGAATTTGATCCTGTGGTTATGATGTTAGCTGGTTATTTTGCTCGTTAGTTGATGCAGTTTCTTTCTGGCATCGATGGTCTTTAAAATTTGTCATGTTTTTGCACTGGCTGGTACCAGTTGTTCCTTTCCATGTTTAGTGCTTCTTTCAGGAGCTCTTGTAAGACAGGACTGGTGGCCACAAAATCTCTCAGCATTTGCTTGTCTACAAAGTGTTTTACTTCTCCTTGACTTATGAAGCTTAGTTTGGCTGGATATGACATTCTGGGTTGAAAATTCTTTTCTTTAGGAATGTTGAATATTGGCCCCCACTCTCTTCCGGCTTATGGAGTTTCTGCTGAGAGATCCACTGTTAGTCTGATGGGCTTCCCTTTGTGGGTAACCCGACCTTTCTCTCTGGCTGCCCTTAATATTTTTTCCTTCATTTCAACTTTGGTGAATCTGACAATTATGTGTATTTGAGTTACTCTTCTTGAGGAGTATCTTTGTGGCATTCTCTGTATTTCGTGAATTTGAATGTTGGCCTGCCTTGCTAGGTTGGGGAAGTTCTCCTGGATAATATCCTGCAGAGTGGTTTCCAACTTGGTTCCATTCTCCCTATCACTTTCAGGTACACCAGTCAGACATAGATTTGGTATTTTCACATAGTCCCATATTTCTTGGAGGCTTTGTTCATTTCATTTTACTCTTTTTTCTCTAAACTTCTCTTCTCGCTTCATTTCAGTCATTTGATCTTCAATCACTGATACCCTGTCTTCCAGTTGATCGAATCAGCTACTGAAGCTTATGCATGTGTCACATAGTTCTCCTGCCATGGTTTTCAGCTCCATCAGGTCATTTAAGGACTTCTCTACACTGGTTATTCTAGTTAGCCCTTTGTCTAATCTTTTTTCAAGGTTTTTAGCTTCTTTGTGATAGGTTCAAACTTTCTCCTTTAGCTTGGAGAAGATTGATCATCTGAAGCCTTCTTCTCTCAACTCTTCAAAGTCATTCTCCATCCAGCTTTGTTCCATTGCTGATGAGGAGCTGTGTTCCTTTGGAGGGGGAGAGGCACTGTGATTTTTATAATTTTCAACTTTTCTGCTCTGTTTTTTCCCCATCTTTGTGGTTTTATCTACCTTTGGTCTTTGTTTATGGTGACGTACAGATGGGATTTTGGTGTGAATGTCTTTTCTGTTTGTTAGTTTTCCTTCTAACGTTCAGGACCCTCAGCTTCAGGTCTGTTGGAGTTTGCTGGAGGTCCACTCCAGACCCTGTTTGCCTGGGTATCAGCATCAGAGGCTGCAGAACGGCTAATATTGCTGAACAGCAAATGTTGCTGCCTGATCGTTCCTGTGGAAGCTTTGTCTCAGAGGGGTACCTGGCCGTGTGAGGTGTCAGTCTGCCCCTACTGGGGGGGTGCCTCCCAGTTAGGCTACTCAGGGGTCAGGGACCCACTTGAGGAGGCAGTCTGTCTGTTCTCAGATCTCAAACTCTTTGATGGGGAGACCACTACTCTCTTCAAAGCTGTCAGACAGGGACAGTTAAGTCTGCAGAGGCTTCTGCTTCCTTTTGTTCAGCTATGCCCTGCCCCCCAGAGGTGGAGTCTACAGAGGCAGGCAGCCCTCCTGAGCTATGGTAGGCTCCACCTTGTTCCACCTTCCTGGCCGCTTTGTTTACCTACTCAAGCCTCAGCAATGGCGGGCACCCCTCCCCCAGCCTCACAGCTGCCTTGCAGTTCAATCTCAGAATGCTGTGCTAGCAATGAGTGAGGCTCCATGGGCATGCGACCCTCCGAACCAGGCATGGAATATAATCTCCTGGTGTTCCATTTGCTAAGACTGTTGGAAAAGCGCAGTGTTAGTGTGGGAGTGACCTGATTTTCCAGGTGCCATCTGTTACAGCTTCCCTTGGCTAGGAAAGGGAATTCCCTGATCCCTTGTGCTTCCTGGGTGAGGAGATGCCTGGACTTGCTTTGGCTCACACTCCATGGGTTGGTTGCACTCACTGTCCTGCACCCACTGTCTGACAAGCCCCAGTGAGATGAACCCAGTACCTCAGTTGGAAATGCAGAAATCAACCATCTTCTGTGCCGCTCATGCTGGGAGCCATAGACTGGAGCTGTTCCTATTGGGCCATCTTGGAACTGCCCCCCATATTAGTCCTTCTTGAACTTGCTTAATTCACTTAGCATAATACCCTCTAGGTTCATCCACATTGTCACAAATGGTACCTTTTGTCAAACCTTGGCAACTGAATTGACATTTCTACTGCTTCCATATACAGAGAAATTATACTAACTGAACTTGTGAAAATAATTTATTGATATTAAATTAAAATGCTCATGAATAGTTTTTGAATTCTTGTAAGATCAGATATGGAGAAAAATCTCAAATTTGTCTTTATTTTAATGAATGAAAAATATTTATGATTTTGAAATAATTAGCAATGGGAAACTAATTAGGAAAATTGAGATTTTTAGATTGTTCTACTGTTTTGATTATTATTGACATAACATAATATATCGTATATTTCTATATTTACTTTAAAATACATGTTTATATATACATATATATATATAGACAGAGCCATCGTGAGTAAATTAGTGTGTATGTGTAGTGGGGGTGTTTGTGTTTTCTTTAATGGATACTCTAGCAGCAGTTATCTAGTGTATGTCATGTACTAATTAATATTGCATCCCAGAAACAAATCCTAAAACTGCTTTAAATTTGTATCTTTTCTCTCTCTTCTTTCTAAGAAAGAAATGTATATATGGAACAATACTCTCTGAATTTGTTTCATTTTAGTATACCACATGATAGTGTGGTGAAGGAGTGTGAGGACAGGCAGACAGAGATGGGAGAAATGGAGAGACAGAGAGAGAAAGAAAGAAAGAAAGAGACAGAGAACTTATTATAGTGAAGCCTTATTTATCTTTGTATCATGAGGGGCTAGCTCAGGACCTGGCATGAATGGAGCTTATAAAGTGTATATTAAAATAAATAGGCCACTTATGACATGGGTTAAGTCATTCATATTCCAAATTTAATGTAAGAGGTTCGTTCTAGCATAAATATATATCTTAGGCTTTACAATAAAGTAAAATATTGTTACTTTTATACATATGATATAGGTTTAATTTTGAGAGCACGCACAATATTTATTTAAAAATGCTCCTTAAATAAATTTAAAAATATATTTCTACATGAATATAATGTAACATTACCAATTTTATTGAGTCTCTGTTTTTTTCTTATAAAAAGAACTTACAATGATAATACATAAGTAAAACTGTAATAATTATACCTACTAGACACATAAAAGCTTTGAATTGAAGAAAAATTTTACAATAATCTGTGTCAGGTTATGATTTAAATTTAGAATTACTGTATTCTAAATTCTCAAACAGAGATCATCAATATTTTTTAGTTATGGTACTGAATTCAATAGAACTTTAAATGTACATCATGTATGTGAGCTGACATAGAGGAATCATGATTAAGTAAATCAAAATAGTATTAATGTTCAATGACATGTGGTAGAGAGAAATATTTGATTTTTAAGTTAGAATTTAGGCATTCAAAACAGGAATCACAGGAATAACAAAAGGACATAACTCTGAACTATGCACACCAGATAAGCATAAAATTTATTTTGCAAATGTTTTTGCAGTTTAGTCCTTTGCATCAGTTTATATTGTGGGAAAGTAAGGGAGCAAGAACAGCTGAAATGATATAACACATAAAAATATCAGATAATTTTTATTGTAAACAGATATAAGCTGAATTTGAAAACAAAATTGATAAGAAATTAAAGAGGAATATATTTCCCACTTGTTCCTTTCATATATAATCCAAAGCCTAAAATTATGATTCTTTATAGAAATATCTTCCTGCTTTTCTGTCATTTGTCAAAAGAAGAATAAAATCAATATTTATTTTTAGGGCTACATTACTGCATCATGAACCTAAACTTAATTCTGACTCTAGAAACCAAGTCAAACCATCAAGAAATGTAAACCATGAGCAAATGAGAATAAATGCAATAAAATCACATCCAATATAAAAGGCACGGAGATACTACAAAGAGTAAGAAACATCAGAAAGGGTTTAGGTGAAAATATAATAAATATTCCTTTTCTAAAATGTTGTGGTAGTAATAGTTTATTACTTAATCTACAAAAAATATTGTCAGTATTTCCATACTTACCGAAATGAGTATGATACCTCAGCCTCACTCCTTCAGTATCTTTTTAAATCTATTACCGTACTACAGTATCATTTCAACAATGTTAAATATTTAATCACAATTTAAATATTAAATATTAATGATAAGGATAATAATCCTTTACTATGACCTATACTATTCATACCGTTCTGGAAATATAACATATAATACCAGCAGATCGCAAGTTAGATAGACCAAAACCCTCTCAAAACCAAGAACAAACAAACAAAAAATACAAAGCAAAACATTTAGCCTCTGCATTTAAGGCATGTTTTTCATCAATCCTGATGTGCTGCCGGGAATATACAAAGAAGAGGTAAGACATCTGGGATTCCCATGGGAAACCAGAAACGAATATATAAATGAAATGTTGAGAAGCCCAGCCATCAATTCTCCATAGTAAGCTAAAGGGTCAGCAAAACAAATAAACTTGGCTGCCTACAGCCTGCTGAGTAACTCCTTATTTTTATTTGCCTGCCACACCATGAAAGACTCTGCAGTTCTAAAGAAGCTTTGTAGAGAAAAGCAAAGATATCTTCTGTGAGGGTTTCTTAGTTTACTGAAAGTAGGAGAACCTTCACATTAAAAGGAATCAGCATGATCAAGCAGAAGGCTTGGTGGAGGTGCTAACATGGTTATCTCATATCCATCAAGTTGGAGTTTTTCTAGAATAACTTTTAAATTGAGTGACTAAAATTCATGGGCCAGACAAGTACTTTCCCAAACTTTCCAGAGTCAAAGAAACACAGATTCAGCAGGAAAAAAAAAACAAAACCAAACACACACACACACACACACAGAAGACATTCACAGTTTTCATGACCAACTCTTCCTTTAATTTACCCTTGGTTTAAAATAAGTACAGCAAGCTCATAAGCCAGATTCATCCTAAATGTGTTTCATGCTTTAATTTCTCAGTCAATTGATGGTGAATGAGTCTGGACTTTGGACAGCCTACTTATTCCAATAGTCAAAGTGGAATATAGCTGTCCTCATGGAAAAGATCATCAAATTAAGCAATATAGCACAAATTACATAAAAGCTTTCTAAAATAATTTTATATAATAGGAATTTATGCACTTAAAATTAAATACAACGGAAAGGATTTCTGGTTGAGTCTAAGAAAGTTTTCCATGAGATCTTAATTGTTCTAATAAGAAGATTTGGATTCTCTTCTTTAGATTTATTGGAATGTTCATTTGGACATCTTATTTATTTTCACTTTGTTTATCTTAATGTTGGGATAATAGAAAGCATAGATATTGAGAATGCATACTCTACTATTGGTATTTTTTTTGTCAAAATGTATAATTTATTTTGAAATGTTAAATAGTGCTTATGGGCTGAGTCATGGCTCATTACTCAGAATTCATTTGTTTGTGTTCTAACCCCAAGTACCTCAGAATAGGACTACATTTGGAGACAGGGCCATTATGGAAAAAACTAATATAAAATGAGGGCATATAGAGAATATCTTATATGGACATAAGGACAAACACAGAGAAGGAAGTCCATGTAAAAACACTGAAGGAAGGCAACCATCTACAAACCAATCATAATGGCTTTAGAAGAAACCAACTCTGTTAATCACACTTTGATTACACACTTCTAGCCTCCTGAATGTGAGAAAGCATGTTCCTTGGAGAGAAGCACAACACACTGATCATTAGAGAAATGCAAATCAAAACCACAATGAGATACCATCTCACGCCAGTCAGAATGGTGATTATTAAAATGTCAAGAAACAATAAATGCTGGTGAGGCTGTAGAGAAATAGGAATGCTTTTACACTGTTGGTGGGAATGTAAATTAGAGCTAGGTCTTTGAGATTATGTTGATTAATTGATATCCAATACAAACCAAGTTCAAAGTAGATGAGTAGTTAGAGAGAGGGTAAAAAATGGAGAGTTAAAAATTAATAAATAATAAAGCAGTCTAGATGGTATACACACTACTTTTAAGGGAGCTTTTTTTTGAAGTTTAGTGAAACTTATGTAACTTTTAAAAATTTCAATTTTATTTGTAACTTCTGAGTGATTGGTTGTGTTAAAAAAGTTACCATACAATTTCCCATCTTAACAATTTTTAAGTTTGCAATTCAGCAATGTTAAAGTATATTTACATTTTTGTGCCACAGGTTTCTAGAAAATGTTCATCTTCGAAAACACATTGAACAACATACCATTTTCCCTTTACTCCAGCCCCTGGTATCCACTATTCCACTTTCTCTTTCTATGGGTTTTACTACTTTTGACACCACATGTCAGTGAAATCACTTATATGTGTATTTATCTTTTTTTGACTGGCTTATTCAACTTGTTATAACATCCTCAAGCTTCATCAATGTTGTCACATACGATAGAATAGAATTTTCCTTTTTTACAAGCTAAAAAAATCATTCATTTCATTTATATACCATGTTTTCTTTGTCCATTCATCCATCCATGGACATTTGTGTTGCTTTGCTCTCTTGACTATTGTGAATAATGTTGCAAAGAACATGGATGTGCAAATATGTCTTTGAGATCCTACTTTTAATTATTTTGGATAAATACCTAGAAGTAACATTGTTGGGTCATATGGTAATTTTATTTTATTTTATTTTTTTGAGGAACCTCCATACCTTAACTATACGGGTGTCACCATTTTTCATTCCTAACAATAATGCACAAGAGCTCCTATTTATATATATTATCTTCAATACTTTTTGTTTTCTGGGCTGTGTGTGTGTGTGGGGGGGGGGGTGTGTGTGTGTGTGAATATATGTATTCAAAAATATTTTGAGGTGGCTAATGGTTATGATGTGATAGTTCATTGTAATTTAGGTTTACATTTCTCTAATAATTAGTGATGTTAAGCATCTTTTCATATGCTTTTTGGCCATATGTCTATATTTTCTGAATAAATGTGTATTCAAGTCTTTGAATTATTTTAATTGAATTTTTGCTATTAAATTATAGGGAATTGTCATATATTTTGAATATAAAACACTTAGCTGATAAATTATTTACCAATATTTTCTTTCTTGCAACCTATTTCTATGGCATCAGTTGTAATGTCTTCTCTTTCTTATTTCTTTTTGTTTTTGGCTTGGTCTTTGTTGTGTCTCCAGGCTGCAGTGCAGCAGCAGCACCATCTCAGCTCACTGAAACCCTCACTTCCTGAGTTCAAGCGATTCTCTCATGTCAGCCTCCTGAGTAGCTGGGACTACAGGTGCATGCCACCACACCTGGCTAATTTTTGTAGTTTTAGTAGAGACAGGGTTTCACCATGTTGCCCAGACTGGTCTCCCACTCCTGGGCTCAAGCAGTCAGCCTGCCTCAGCATTCCAAAGTGCTGGGATTACAGGCATAAGCCACCATGCTCAGCCTGATTTTAATTATACAACTATTCGCTTTTTTTAATCAAGAAAACAATTTCTTGATTTTGTTGATCTTTTCAAAAAAAGAAAGCAATAACTCAGTTTTGCTGATTTTTCTCTATTTTCTATTGTATTTATTTCTGCTGTAATCTTTATTACTTTTTTCTTTCTGATAATTTTGGTCAGTTCTTTGATATGTAAAGTTAGATTGCTTTAGATATTTCTTCTTTTTAACATAGGCATTTATTACTATAAACTATTTTCATAGTATTGTTTTTGCTACATTTGTAAGTTCAGGTTCCTTTTTTCACTTCTTTTTGTGTATCTTCTACAGCAAGCTTGTCCAACCTGCAGCCTGACAGGTGCATGCAGCCCAGGACGGCTTTGAATGTGGCCCAGCACAAACTTGTAAACTTTCTTCAAACACTGTGATTTCTCTTACGATTTTTTCCCAGCTCATCAGCTATGGCTAGTGTTAGTGTATTTTATGTGTGTCCAAGGGCAATTCTTCTTTTCCCAATGTGGTTCAGGGAAGGCAAAAGATTGGGCACCCTTGTTCTATAGGTGTATTTTGTGGTTACCAGGAGGATTGCATGAAGTATTTTATAATAAACATTATATAATAAAACAAATTTAAAAATAAATAAATAAAATATAAATAAAATAAAATATAAAATTAATTTTATATAATTATAAAATAATTACAAATTATAAAAATAAAATATAAATAAATATTAAATAAAATAAACATTTTAAAATAACAGTTCATTTTAAACAAAAAACCCTTTAATTATACATGAAAAGTCTATTCCTTTACATCTCCCATTCCTACTTTATGTTAGCAATATCACTAGTTGTATATTTTGTGTTGTGTCCCAATTAATATAAATGTAATGTTACTTTTATGCTTTTCTCTTTTAAATTGCATATCAGAATTAAAAGAAACTTGTGAAGCAACATTAAAAACTTATGGGATTTTATATTTAATTACATATTTATCTCTACCAGAGAAATTTATACTTTTACATTCATTCATTTTGCTACCTAGTCTCCCTCATTTCAACTTGAAAGACTCCTTTTTGCTTTTCTGTAGGACAGGTGTGGTAATAATTACCTTCTTCAACCTTTTTTAAACCCGAGAAAATATTCAATTTTCCATTATTTCTGAATGACAGGTTTGCCAAATGAATGTCTTGTGTGGTAGGTTTTTTTTTTCTTTTCTGATTTTTCTTTCAACACTTTGAATATGTTACATCACTTACTTTTGGTTTAAAAAGATGTCTGCTGGTATCTTGTTGATAATACCATGTGAGTTCCCTTTTATGTCATGATTCATTTTTCTTCTGCTTCCGAGATTCTTTCTTTGTGACTTTTGAAAGTTTGATTATGATATTTATTGATGCAAAATTTTTGAATTGATCTCAGTGTACGGTAGTTGTATTTTAAAACAATTCTATGTCCATATTCTTCCTCAAATTTGGGAATTGTCTGCCTGCCATTATTTCTTTAAATAGACTTTTTATCTCAATCTTTTCCTCTTGTCCCATGAGGGCTCTCATAATGCATAACTGGTCAGGTTAACAATGTCCCATAAGCCTCCGGCTTTCTTCATTTTATTATGAGATTCTTCTTGCTCCTCTCCCTTAATAGCTTGAAATGGCCAATATTTCAAATTCATGAATTATTTTTTTCTAGCTGAACAAGTCATCTATTGAATTTCTCTAGTAAATTTTTCAATTTAGTTATTGTATTATTTACCTCCAGAATATCTATGTGGTTGTTTTCTATAATTTTTGTGTCTTTGTTGATACTTTTATTTCATATATGTATTATTTTCCTGATTTTTAAAAACTTGTCTATGTTCTTTTAGTTAATCGAGCATCTTTAATTATTTTTGAAATTTTTGATAGGTATTTAAGATATTTTGAATTTTTTGACAGGTAATGGATAGATCTTTGTTCATTCAGGATTGAAAAAAGGTTTACTTTGTTCCTTTAAACAGGTCATGCTTTCCAATGTCTGCATGTTTTGCATTTCTTTGTTTAAATTTTGAGATTTAAAGAAACACCCACATCTCCCAGTCTTTATGTACTGGCTTAGTGTAGGGAAATACCTTCATCTATCACCCCTCCTAGAGATTCTGGGAGTTTTGTGAACCATTCCAAGAGCTGTAGCCTCTCCAGGCTTTTGAATGTAATTACTAAGTTAAATCCAGTTTTTGTTTGTTTGTTTGTTTGTTTTCAGGATTTTGTAATATTTTACTTCACCTGTTGTCATTCTGTAGTAATAATGCAGCTCTTCTGGTACTGCCCTAAACTGCCCCACTGCCTTTATTCCCAGGCATTCAAATGCTGGGGTTTCTATAGGTGATTTAAGCTCAGTGACAGAAATCAGACCCTTGGGAAGTCTCTAAGGAGCCAGAACATTAGACCACATTTCAATTAGAGCACTAGAATATTCTGAATTTGTCTATATATTTACATTTACCAGTGACTTTTTATATTTTTATTTGTTACATGTTAGTGTCCTTTTCCTTTAGAGTGAAAAATACCCTTTGCATTTCTTCTTAAACAGGTTTCGTGTTGGTGAATTCTCCTAGTTTTATTTGTCTTGAAAAGTCTTTATCTCTTCCTCATATATGAAGAAGTGCTTTGATGAGTACAGTATTTTTGGATTAAAGGTTTTTCAAATTTTTGATTACTTCAGCATTTGGCTATATTATCCCACTCTCTTCTTGCCTGCAAGTTTGCTTTTTTTTCTTTCTTTCTTTTTTTTTGTTTTCACTGAAAATTCACTGAAAACCATTTGGTAACACTATTGAATGTGTTATGTTTTGTTGTTGTTGTTTTGTTTTGTTTTTCTATCTCTCCTGCTGCTTTCAGTATTGTTTTTGTTCTTTGATTTTTGGTAATTTGATTATAATGTGCTTTGGGAATTACTTTCTGCGTTGAATTTGTCTGGTGTTGTCCAAGCTAACTGTTCCCAGATATTATTGTCTTTCTCCAAATTTGGAAAACATTGAGTTATTATATTGAGTTTGTTTTCTAGTCCTTTCTTTTCTCATATCCTCTAGAAACTTAAATTATGTGGAGGTAGTTCCCTTCATAGTGTCATAAAATTTCTGTGGCCGCCATTCTTTCTTTTTACTTTTATCCCTCTGATTGGGTAATTACATGTTTTCTTTCTTTGAGCTTACTGATTCTTTCCTGTTTGATCAAGTCTACTGTTAAAGTTTTCTAATGAGTTTTTCAGTTTAACAATTTTATCCTGCATTTCAAGGATTTCATTTTTTTATTATTTTGATTTCTTTCTGAAATGTCTAATATTGTGTCTGCATTATTTTCCAAGTTTCTTTTAGTTTTTTGATTATGGTTTATGTGATTCCTGAACTTTTCAAAGAGATTTATTTTGAATTTGTTGTCAGATATTTAAGCATCTTCGAATCTTTTTGTGCATTATTGAAACTTGATTGGTTTCTTTTGGAGATGTCATATTTCCCTGTTTTTTTTTTTTTTTTTTAACAATACTTGCTGTTTACATTGATGCCTGCATATTTAAGAAGATGGCCACTTGATTCAGCTTTTTAATGTGTTATGCAGTGGTGTTAAAATATTACTGCTTAATACCAGAGCTGAATCACTACCCTGAGCATTCTTTCTGTTCTGAGGATGGCTTATATTTGATAGCAGAACCTAAATAGTGCATTAGAGCTAAATCTCTTCCATGCTGTTGTTTTCCTGTCTGGGGAAGACTTATCATGACCATGAAAACACAATGCTGCACCAGAACTTAAACCCAAAGCCGTAATAATTTCCGGGTTGGGGAAGGCTTAAGAAATAACTAGAACTTAGTTACTTACCTGATAGTTGTTTCTGGGTCAGAGAAAGGCTCTGTATGATCACCTGGGTTATTTGTAAAATCTGACCAAAGATTCTAGCCTTCCCCTGGATTGTGCCTCCTGTACTACTGTAGTGCTGGCTAGCCCCCCCATCAATGTGAATTCCCTGTTGATAGGAACACAAAGCGTCTGCCAAGATCTGTTTGCCATTTGCTGTGATTAGTGCTTCTGCTCTTTGCTTCCAATTCAACCCAGGTGGTTCAGTCCTTCTGACACTCCTAATACCTCCTGTGGGATGGAAAAAAGAAGATTTCTCACAATGATTCACACCCTGACATGGGGACTGAGCGTCCACCTGCAATTATTTTCTTCCACCTGGGTAATTGCAGGTACAGGGAAGTTTTCTGTGAGTGGTGCTATTTTGGTTTGGAGAATGGGTTGATGCAGCACAAATGACCTTTCTTCTTTCTGGTCATGGATTTTTTAATTTCCATGAACCAATAAGATTTTTCACCTTTCTCCTGAGCTCCGGTGCATTCAGAGTGGTATTTTTATATTTGAATAGTTGCTAGTTGTACTTTTAAGATGGATTGATGCTAGAGGTCTTCAGTTCCACCATCTTGCTGATGTCACTACTCAAAAATATTTTTACATGTTAGGAAATTATTTTGTTTTTAGGATTTTGTGTCTACGTGACACAGACATGAAAAGAGATGTACTCTTATCACTGAAACTTTTCGTATACTGTTTTGGTTGTGTGCATTTTCTAGTCATGAATGATTATTTATTTAAGCCATATGTTTTACACATAGACTTTCTTAAAAAGAGACTAGATGGTTCTATGTGTCAGAATATAGAGACAGAATATAACTACACACTAATAATTTCTCAACTCTTTATTTTAGAAGTGTAAATAACCTTTATTTTAATATTTTTCATATTACACCTCTGTAATGCAGAGAAATTTTTATCTTCAGGAAATGGAAAATTTTGTCCAGAGTTCATGGGAAGATGGTATTGTGGTGCTTTCTCTGGGGTCACTGTTTCAAAATGTTACAGAGGAAAAGGTTAATATCATTGCTTCAGCCCTTGCCCAGATCCCACAGAAGGTCAGTAAAACCTCCAATCCTGATAAGTAGCTATTCACATAATGAGAAAGTATAGCTTTTGCCTACTGATCCTTGCTGTTACTGGAAACAACACTCTTGATTGTGGTTTGTTTATAATAAAATAGAAATAATAAATTAAGCCCCTACATCTTATTTTACAATTTGAAATCTAAAGGCATGTGCCAACTGTTCCAAAATAAGTTCTGACATTTATTATTTCCAAGGACCAGAAAAAAGAAAACTGATAAAAAAAAGATAAAGAAGAATCAGTCTCAATCTCAAGAATATCCTTCTCATATTTGAGTGCATAAAAACTGTATTCATGGTACTTTTGCATAGAAATAAAAGCTCAGCTTAATGTAATCTTTCTCAATAATTAGAGTTTTTAAGAGTTAAATGTCAATTGCAATTATATTATAGTAACTTAATTATTTAAGTAATGTAATTATTTATAATACTCAACTGATTTTAACTTTGTTACTACTATAATTCCAGAATTTCACACTTTAGATAGTGCTATATATAAACTATCCAAAAGATATTTTACTTTCTATTTAGCTAAAATACATCAAACTCAATAAAGGCAAGTACACTAATTAGGAATGTGAAATCTTGTAATTTTAATTACAAAATTATCTGTTAAGTAGTTTGAAAAATCTGTGCCATCATTTCTTTTCAAATGTATGACATTTTTTATAGGTTTCCCACAATTAAAAATTATTGAAAACAGGTACAATCCCAAAGAAAATTTATCATTGAACAACGGAACATAAGTAATTCTCTAGCTTATACTTCTTCAATAAAACAGTTAAATATAAGAAAGCAGAGGTCAGAAAGAAAATAGAGAAGAAAAGACAACTGATTATCCAAAACACACACAAAATTGAAAGCAAATTTTATCTGCGGGGAATGGTAAATTTGATGGTAGAAGTAGAATAGTTCCATGGTTTAAAATGACATAGGGATCATGTACTTATAAAATTTTTAATTCTTATTAGAAAATTGAGTAGCCAGTGCTGAATTACTTTTTAATTATTCACTGATATTCTCATTTTCAGATATTTTTGATTGATAATAAAATAATAATTGTATACTTAATAGGCAACAAGTACACATTATCTGAAAAGACCTTTGTAAAATGTCCTACTATATCTTTTAGTGTTTACACAGTACGTCTACATACCCCTGTCTCAACCATCACCTGAAGTACAATGAGTGTATAATTTATAACTATATCTACATACTTAGAATGCTAATGTCCTGTAGTTCAATCTGTGAAGTACATGTGTTTCTTCCATAGGTGTTATGGAGGTACAAAGGAAAAAAAACCATCCACATTAGGAACCAGCACTAAGCTGTATGATTGGATACCCCAGACTGACCTTCTTGGTAGGCCTATGAGAAAGTAAAAATATGAACTAGATGAGGAAAAATGAATAAATGTTAAACAGTGAGCAAATTCAGCAAATATTTAAAATTATAAAACTTTATTTTACTTATACTTTTGAAGCAGATATAATTAAAGGATTGACTAAAATTGTATAGATAGACTCACACTTTCTATTGTTAAGATGAGAGTGACAGGAAATTCAGGAGGAATTAATGCCTCTTTTTCTGAAGATAGAAATGATCTTTACTAGCAATGCTCCATGTGCTCACCTTCTAAAGAAAATGCTGTACGCTTCAGTGAGTTATCTCATAATTCCCATCTTTGGTGCTGAAATTATTTTAAAAATTCATAATAAAATATCTCACCATTTCTCATTCAATTTGCATACAAGGTCACCCCAAACCAAAGCTTTTATCACTCATGGTGGAATGAATGGGATCTATGAAGCTATTTACCATGACGTCCCTATGGTGGGAGTTCCCATATTTGGTGATCAGCTTGATAACATAGCTCACAGGAAGGCCAAAGGAGCAGCTGTAGAAATTAACTTCAAAACTATCACAAGCGAAGATTTACTCAGTGTTTGAGAACAGCCATTAACAATTCCTCGTAAGTACTACTGATTGTAAAGACTGATCTAACATTGATTATGTTATACATTATGCCAGGAAATGTTAAATATAATCCTGGTAGACATTTTAAGGGATTTTCCTCCGCAATATTAAGTCATTAATCACCTTGGTATTGGAATAGTCCTGGATATTATAGTTCATAGTGTGTCAATCTTCATGGAAATATTAGGTTTAAGTTAACAACTGGCTTACTAAACTTTTATTCACCTCTTTGTTTTACCCCATTTTGTTAAGAATATACTCTTTTTCAGTCTCCCCACTATATCTGTTTAATGCTATGCAACCAATAATGTTCACGTCACAACCAGCATCAATCTTTTACCCAACAAATTTTTAGCTTGCATAACATATACTACAGTTTATCTACCTGTCTTTTATGAAAACAAAACTACAACTTTCTAATTTCTATGTGTGTTTTTGCCTTCCAGTTACAAGGAGGATGCTATGAGATTATCAAGAATTCACCATGATCAACCCATAAAGACCCTGGATAGAGCAGTCTCCTGGATTGAGTTTGTCATGTGCCACAAAGGAGCCAAGCACCTGCGATCAGCTGCCAACGACCTCACCTGGTTCCAGCACTACTCTATAGACATGATTGGGTTCCCACGTGCCTGGGTGGCAACTGCTATATTCTTGGTCTCATGATGTTGTTTATTTTCCTCTCAAAAATTTAATAAAACTAGAAAGATAGAAAAGAGGGAACAGATCTTTCCAAATTTAGGGAAGACCTGATGGGGTAATCCTGTTAATTCCAGCCACAAAGACTTTAGTGAAAACATGTTCCCTTCCTATTTTCATACTATCTATTCTGATATTTTATCTTAGCTAAGTAGCCTAGAATTCCACGATCATGAAGTTGTGAGTATATCTTATTGTTGCATTGTATTTTCCTAGGTGTCCTTACTCTCTTCTGTCACTTATTAACACAAGGACATTAATACATCTACATTTTCCTATTTCTGATATCATGGTTTCCATGATGTCATCACTTCTATAACCTTAAGTGATAGGGTGACCTTCAGTATGCTGATTCCTGGTGTTTGCACAAACACATGGATGTAAAGAAGTAAAAAATGTAAAATTCACGAAATTCAGTAAACCACACAAATCAGTTAAGCATTCTATGCCTTAGCTTGTTATGAGAAACATAATGATTTTTATTTTTCAATTTAAATAAGCCCTTCTACATACCCAGCATTACTGATCTCAGACAATGAATTGCTAAAAATGACAATAGAGCATTACACTCAGAATAGTTTGCTATATTTCCACATACCTCATCTAGATGTCATGGCCTACATTTCTGCCATCACTCAACCAACATTTTTTGTGTGCTCTTGATGATAAATAGACAGTCCTCAAATAATAAAAGAAACTAATAATTTCTTACATAGAGAAAATGTCAATAAGATATTCAAGGTAACCAGATTATTTTGAGATAAGTAACCATTAGAAATATGTGGTTTTAATTGCTGATTTTATAAAATTTTAGTTGATGGTACACTTAATAAAGAAGATTTAAATGTCTATTCTTTAAAAATGATGAATACTTATAATTCTTATCTCTATAATCAAAAGTCTAATTAATGTAGAAAAATAAAGAGATGCTTGCTCTGAAAGTAAGATCAGTATACGGTTTTTCAGTCTCAATCTTCGAGAACTGCAAATTCATCAAGTAATGGCTTACATGGCAAAAATTTAAGGTATTAGAATACCTGCTTCACAAATAATAGTATGTATTAAATATTTAGATATGTAAAGCTGTATACTAAACTAAATATAGTTTAATAATCTTTACACAAATTAAGCAAATATGTTACACTTTTTATTTTGTTTACTGTTGTATAACCTTAGTGACATGCTTATTTATATTTTAATTTAAGGACTTGATTTATTAAATAAATAAATTGGCTCAACTGGATTTTTGAAAATGTTGAAATTGTTACACATGTTGATAAGGTATATATATAAATTAATTCCAGTTTTAAAATGACTATATAAAAAGAAATATAAGTATTGTTCTTCTGTATGTACATAATTAAATGTAAATAAAAATATTTACTATGTTTTTAACACTTTTTAAGTTTTTACACTGATACGTTTGACTTTTAAAATATTATTATAATCTAGGAAAAGCTGATTATAGCTCTTTTAAGTCTCTGTAATTAAATACAGTAATTGATTAACATGCTCTGACAGGTGAGAAGCCATTTCTGGAGTTGATCCTGCTGACACTCTGGGACTTTTTAGCTTGGACACTCATTGTACGTGGGACTCCCTTCCTCTCAAGAGCTGTTGCTCATAAGACTCTCCTTCATCAATCTGGCATTGCCTTTTAATATCAGTTGCAATCAGAATCCAACTGGCCTTGTAGTTGTAATATGTTCTATCTTAACCACCACTTTCTTACCAGGAGTCTGCCCAGGTTTGTTCTCTCATTCCCGTAAGAAGCTCCCAGCATAGACATTCTAAATTTCAGATCATTAAGTTATTAACAAAGCTTTGGACCATGTTCACTTTAGGCTGAGCATAGTGTGAGGAGATGTAAATTAAATTATAATCCTATATGTGCGTGTTATAAATATTAAAGTGTATAAATTAAATAACACATTCTAAGTGTCCAACAAGGGTCAAATAAATGATACAAAGTCACCATATCAATGCTATTTGATCTCATCTTATTTCAGAAATTTTCTTGTAATATCCTCTTTGGTTTTTTATATCAATTGTTGCAAACAAAGAAAAATCTCAAAGGAATTTTTAATAATTACCTAGAGCCTCACTTCTAGACCTAACAACTAAAAGCAAATTGCCATATTTTTATCACATAGTCTTTAAAATTTGCACATGGCGTGGTGGCAAAATTGATGTTTTAAAGGTGGCAGAGCAGGAATGCCCTGTCCCTGTTCCCCATGCAGAAAGAGACTTAACAACATCATATAGACCAATTTGCCATGGTGATAATCTCAGAAACCAGTGAAAAGGTTGCAGCACCTCAGAAAAGAGCAAAGCCAAAAAGAATTTTATTTTAATATCTAGGAAATGTTGTACCATATACTCTCAATAGATCCTTCTCTAGACCGTACAGCATTACACAATCAGGAAAAAAATCTTTAGTCATAACTTTTCCCATAGGAGTGAAAGAAGCGAGAAATGTGGTCTAATGTTCTGGCTCCTTAGGGGACTTCCCAAGGATCTGATTCCTGTCACCGAACTTAAATCACTTATAGAAACCCCAGCATTTGAATGCCTGGGAATAAAGGCAGTGTGGCTGTTTAGGGCAGTACAAGAACAGCTGCATTATTACTACAGAATGACAACAGGTGAAGTAAAATATTACAAAATCCTGAAAACAAACAAACAAACAAAAAACCCGATTTAACTTGGCAATTACATCCAAAAGCTCAGAGAGGATACAACTCTTGGAATGGTTTGCAAAGCTCCCAGGATCTCTAGCTGGGGTAATTGATGAAGGTTTTCCACTACACTAAGCCAGTATATAAAGACTGGGAGATGTGGATGTTTCTTTAAATCTCAGAATTTAAACAAAGAAATGCAAAACATGCAGACACTGAGAAGCATGACCTATTTAAGGGAACAAAATAAAGCTTTCATTCCACCCTCAATAAACAAAGATTTATTAATCACCTGTCAAAATATATTAAATACCTATCAAAAATTTCAAAAATAATTAAAGATGCTCGATTACCTAAAAAAACACAGACAAGTTTTTAAAAATCAGGAAAATAATGCATATATAAAATAAGAGTATCAACAAAGACATAAAAAGTATAGAAAAGAACCAAATAGAAATTCTGGAGGTAAATAATACAATAATTAAATTGAAAAATTTACAAGAGAAATTCAATAGATGACTTGATCAGCTAGAAAAAATAATTCATGAATTTGACAATATTGGTGACTTGAAACTTTTAAGGGAGAGGAGCAAAAAGAATGTGATAATAAAGTGAAGAAAGCCTGAGACTTATGGGACATTGTTAACCTGACCAGTTATGCATTATGAGAGTCCTCATGGGAGAAGAGGAAAAGATTGAGACAAAAAGTCTATTTAAAGAAATAATGGCAGGCAGAATATTTCCCAAATTTGAGGAAGAACACGGACATAGAATTGTTTTGAAACACAACTACTGTACACTGAGATCAGTTCAAAAATTTTACACCAATAAATATTATAATTAGTCTTTCAAAAGTCATAGACAAAGAAAGAATCTTGGAAGCAGAAAAAGAAAAATAAATCATGACATAAATGGGAACTCACATAATGTTATCAACAAGATACCAGCAGATATCCTTTCAAACCAAAGCTAAGCAACATAATATATTCAAAGTGTTGAAGAAAAACAAGAAAAAAACCCAACCACATAAGAGATTCATTTGGCAAACCTGTCATTCAGAAATTACGCAAAATAGAATATTTTCTTGGGTTAAAAAAAAGTTTGAAGAAGGTAAATATTACCACACCTGTCCTACAAGCAAAGCAAAAAGGAGTCATTCATGTTGAAATGAGGGAGGGTAGGTAGCAAAACGAATGAATGTTAAAATATAAATCTATCTGGTAGAGATAAATATATAATTAATTATAAAGTCCCGTAAGTTCTTAATGTTGATGCACAAGTTACTTCCAATTCTGATATGCAATTTAAAAGAGAAAAGCATAAAAGTAACATTACATTTGGATTAATTGGGACACAACATAAAATATATAACTAGTGATATTACTAACATAAAGTAGGAATGGGAGATGAAAAGGAATAGATTTTTCATATATAATTAAAGTTTTTGTTCGGTTTAAAATGGACTGTTATAACTAGAATATGTTTTATGCCATCCTCATGGTAACCACAAAATATACCTATAGGACAAGAGTGTCCAATCTTTTACCTTCTCTGGACCACATTAGGAAAAGAAGAATCACCTTGGGCCACACACAAAATACACTAACACTAGCCATAGCTGATGAGCTGGGAAAAAATCGCAAGAGAAATCACAATGTTTGAAGAAAGTTTACAAGTTTGTGCTGAGCTGCATTGAAAGCCATCCTGGGCTGCATGCAGCTCTCAGGCTGCAGGTTGGACAAGCTTGCTGTAAAAGATACAAAAAAAGTAGTGAAAAAAAGGAAACTGAACTTACAAAAGTAGCAAAAACAGTACTATGAGGATAGTTTATAGTAATAAATGCCTATGTTAAAAAGAAGAAATATCTAAAAGAATCTAACTTTACATATCAAAGAACTGACCAAAATTATCAGAAAGAAAAATGTAATAAAGATTACAACAGACATAAATGCAATAGGAAATAGAGAAAAATCAGCAAAACTGAATTATTGCTTTCTTTTTTTTGAAAAGATCAACAAAATTGAGAAATCATTTTCTCGACTAAAAAAAACAGTGAATAGTTGTATAATTAAAATCAGCCTGAGCTTGGGGGCTTAATCCTGTAATCCCAGCAGTTTGGAATGCCAAGGCAGGCAGACTGCTTGAGCACAGGAGTGGAAGACCAGTCTGGGCAACATAGTGAAAACCTGTTTCTACTAAAACTACAGAAATTAGCCAGGTGTGGTGGCATGTACCTGTAGTCCCAGCTACTCAGGAGGCTGACGTGAGAGAATCGCTTGAACTTCGGAAGTGAGGGTTTCAGTGACCAAGGTGATGCTGCTGCTGCGCTCCAGCCTGGGGACAGAGCAGAGACCCAGTCTAAAAGAAAAAAAAAATAACAAATCAGAAATGAAAGAGAAGACATTACAATTGATGTCATAGAAATAAATAGGTTGCAAGAGAGAAAATATTGGTAAATCACTTATCTGCTAAGTGTTTTATATACATATATGACAATTCTCTATAGTTTAATAGCAAAAACCCAATTAAAATAATTCAAAGACTTGAATACACGTTTATTCAGAAAATGTAGACATATGGCCAAAAAGCATATGAAAAGATGCTTAACATCACTAAATATTTGAGAAATGTAAATCAAAACTACAATGAGCTATGACATCATAACCATTAGCCACCTCAAAACATTTTTGAATACATATATTCACACACACGCAGACACACACACACACACACACACACAGAGCCCAGAAAACAAAAAGTATTGAAGATAATATATATAAATAGGAACTCCTGTGCATTGTTGGTAGGAATGAAAAATGATGACAGCCCTATAGTTAAGAGTATGAAGTTTCCTCAAAAAAATTAAAATAAAATTACCATATGACCCAACAATGTTACTTCTAGGCATTTATCCAAAATAATTAAAAGCAAGATCTCAAAGACATATTTGCACATCCATGTATTTTGCAACATTATTCACAATAGTCAAAAGAGGAAAGCAACACAAATGTCCACGGATGGATGAATGGATAAAGAAAACATGGTATATACATGAAATGAAAGATTATTTAGCTTTTAAAAAAAGAAAATTTTATCATATGTAACAACATTGATGAAGCTTGAGGATGTTATAGTAAGTTGAATAAGCCAGTCAAAAAAAGATAAATACACATATAAATAATTTCACATACATGTGGTATCAAAACTAGTAAAATCCATAGAAAGAAAAAGTGGAATAGTGGATACCAGGGGCTGGAGTAAAGGGAAAATGGGGTGTTGTTCAATGTGTTTTCCAAGATGAAAATTTTCTAGAAACCTGTGGCACAAAAATGTAAATATACTTAACATTGCTCAGCTGCAAACTTAAAAATTGTTAAGATGGGAAAATGTATGGTAACTTTTTTAACACAATCAATCACTCAGCAGTTACAGAGAAAATTGAAAGTTTTATTTTATTTATTTATTTTTGAATGTTAAATAACTTAAGTTTCACTAAACTTCAAAAAAACTCCCTTGAAATTAGTGTTTTTACCAACCAGACTCTTTTTATTTATTAATTTTTTAACTCAGTATGTTTTGTTTTCTAATTACTCATCTACTTTGAACTTGGTTTGTGTTGGAAATCAATCAATTAATCAACATAATATTAAAGACCTAGCTCTAATTTACGTTTTCACCAACAGTGTTAAAGCATTCCTGTTTCTCTATAGCCTCACCAGCATTTATTGTTTCTTGACATTTTAATAATCATCATTCTGACTGACATGGGATGGTATCTCATTTTGGCTTTGATTTGCATTTCTCTAATGATAAGTGATGTTGAGCTTTTTTCCGTATGTTTGTTGGCTGCATAAATGTCATCTTTTGAGAAGTGGCTCTTTATATTCTTCGACCAGTACTTAATGGTTTTGTTTTTTCTTGTAAATTTATTTAAGTTCCTTGTAAATTAAATAAATTTAATTGTAGATAATAGACCTTTGTCAGCTGGGTAGATTGCAAAATTTTTCTCCCATTCTGTAGGTTGCCTGTTCACTCTGATGGTAGTTTCTTTTGCTGTGCAGAAGCTCATTAGTTTAATTGGATCCCATTTGTCAACTTTGGCTTTCGTTGCAATTGTTTCTTGTGTTTTCATGATGAAGTCTTTGCCCATATCTACGTCCTGAATGGTATTGCCTAGATTTTCTTCTATGACTTTTATGGTTTTGGGTTTTACATTTAAGTCTTTAATCTTCCTTGGGTTAATTTTTGTATAAGGTGTGAGGAAGGTGTCCAGTTTCAGTTTTCTGCATGTGGTTACCCAGTTTTTTGATCACCATTTATTAAATAGGGAATTCTTTCTCCATTGCTTGTTTTTGTCAGATTTGTCTAAGATTAGATGGTTGCAGATGTGTGGTGTTATTTTTGAGGTGTCTTTTCTGTTCCATCGGTCTATATACCTGCTTTGGTACAAGTACCATGCTGTTTGGTTGCTGTTGCCTTTTATTACAGTTCAAAGTCAGGTAGCACGATGTCTCCAATTTTGTTTTTTTGCTTAGGATTGTCTTGGCTATACAGGGTGTTCTTTGATTACATATGAAATTCAAAGTAGCTTTTTTCTAATTCTACGAAGAATGTCAATGGTAGTTTGATGGGAATAGCATTGAATCTATAAAATACTTTGGGCAGTATGGCCATTTTCACAATGTTGATTTGTCCTGTCTGTGACGATGAAAAGTGTTTTCCATTTGTTTTCATCCTCTCTCATTTCCTTGCACAGTGGGTTGTTGTTCTCATTGAAGCAGTTATTCACATCCCTTGTTAGCTATATTCCTAGGTATTTTATTCTCTTTGTAGCAATTGTTAATGGGAGTTGATTCTTGATTTGGCTCTCCGCTTGTCTATTGTTAGGGTAAAGGTATCCTTGTGATTTTTGCACATTGATTTTGTATCCTGAGACTTTGCTGAATTTGCTTATCAGTTTAAGGAGTTTGGGGGCTGAGATGACGGGGTTTTCTAAATGAAAAATTATGTCACCTACAAACAGGGACAATTTGACTTCCTATCTTCCTATTTGAATACCCTTTATTTCTTTCTCTTGCCTGACTGCACTAGTCCTAACTTCCAATACTATGTTGAATAAGAGTGTAGAGAGAGGGCATCCTTGTCTTGTACCTTTTTTCACAGGGAATGCTTCCAGCTTTTGCCCATTCAATGTGATATTGGCTATGCATTTGTCACAAATAGCTCTTATTATTTTGAGTTATGTCCCATCAATGCCTAGATTACTGAGAGTTTTTAACATGAAGGGATGTTAAATTTTACCAGAGACCTGTTTTGTGCATCTATTGAGATGCCATACTGGCAGTTTCTCAAGGATCTAGAAACAGAAATACCATTTGACCCTGCAGTCTTATTACTGGGTATACACCTAAAGGAATATAAATCATTTTGCTGTGAAGACACATGCAGACATATGTTTATTGTGGCACTATTTACAGTAGCAAAGTCATGGAGCTAACGTAAATGCCCATCAATGACAGATGAGATAAAGAAAATGTGGTACATAGACACCACCAAATACTGCACAGCCAAAAATGGAATGAGATCAACTCCTTTTCAGAGACATGAATAAAGCTGGAAACCATCATCCTCAGCAAACTAACACAGGAACAGAAAACCAAACACTGTGTGCTCTCACTCATAAGGGGGAGTTGAACAATGAGGACACATGGACACAGGGAGGGAAACAACACACACCAGGGCCTATTGGGAGGTGGAGCATGAGGGAAGGAAACTTAGAGGATGGATCAATAGATGCAGCAAATCACCATGGCACACTTATACCTATGTAACAAACCTGCACGTTCTGCACATGTATCCTGGAACTTGTGCGTAAAAAGTAAAGGAAAAAAAAGAAGAAAGAAAAGAAAGAAAGAAAGAAAGAAAGAAAGAAAGAAAGAAAGAAAGAAAGAAAAGAAAGAAAGAAAGAAAACAGAAAGAAAGAAAAGAAAGCGAAAGAAAGAGACTTAGCTTTATATTATCAAGTGCTCAAAATATATTTTATATTATTGAGCAAGATAATGTATTAATAAATTTGAAGTGAATGGTTGTTACTAGCTCAAATTTATGAAAAATAAAAGCTAATCTGGATACAGTTATTCAATGTGCAAAGGAATAATCAGAAAATAAACAGTATGTTCCAGGAACCATATAAGGTTTTTTTTTCTCAAATGACCAAATTTGATAAGCATATAGTTATGTATGTATCATCTTCCAAACAGTGCATAATCCTTCTTTCATACTTTAATACATACCTGATGCTCTCAAAATTCATTTCATATATAACATCAACATTCAAACTTCAAGTGTATTTCTATATACCACTCTATTAGATGTCTAGGGCTGCCATAATAAAGTACCACAGGCTAGATGGCTTAAACAAGAAACATATTTTCTCAAAATTCAGGAGGCTAGAAGTGTGTAATCAAGTGTAATCAAGGTACGATTAACAGTGTTGTTTCCTTCTAAATCCTCAATGATTGGTTTGTAGATGGTTGCCTTCCTTCAGTGGTTTTACGTGGACTTTCTTCTCTGTGTTTGTCCTTATGTTCATATAAGACATCCTCTATATGTCCTCATTTTATATTATTGTTTTCCTTAATGGCCCTGTCTCCAAATGTAGACCTATTCTGAGGAACTGGGTGTTAGAACACAAACAAATGAATTTGGAGTAATGAGCCATGATTCAGCTCATAAGCACTATTTAATATTTCAAAATAATATATACATTTTGCCAAAAAATACCAATAGCAGAGTATGCATTCTCAACATATATGCTTTCTATTATCCCAACATTAAGAAAACAAAGTGAAATACGATGTCCAAATGAACATTCTAATAAATCTAAAGAAGATAATGAAAAACATCTTATTAGAAAAATTAAGATCTTATGACAAACTTTCTTACACTCAACTAGAAATCCTTTCCACTGTATTTAATTGTAAGTGCATAAATTCCTATTCTATAAAATTATTTTAGAAAGCTTTTATGTAATTTGTGCTATGTTGCTTAATTTGATGATCTTTTCCATGAAGTCAGCTATATTCCACTTTGACTATTGAGATAAGTAGGCTGTCCAAAGTTCAGACTCAGTCACCATCAATTGATTGAGAAATTGAAGCATGAAACACACTTAGGATTAATTTGGCTTATGAGCTTGCTGAATTTATCTTAAGCCCAGCGTAAATTAAAGGAAGAGTTGGTCATGAAAACTGGAAAACTGTGAATAGCTTCTGTTTTTTTATGTTTTGTTTTATTTTGTTTTTCTGCTGAATCTGTGTTTCTTTGACTCTGGAAAGTCTGGAAAAGTACTTATCCGGCCCATAAATTTTAGTCACTCAATTTAAAAGTTATTCTAGAAAAACTCCAGCTTGATGGACATGAGATAACCATGTTAATACTTCCACCAAGCCTTCTGCTTGATTATACCAAGATTCTATTTAATGTGAAGGTTCTCCTACTTTCAGTAACTAAGAAACCCTCACAGAAGATATCTATACTTTTCTCCTAACAGCTTCTTTAGAACTGCAGTCTTTCATGGTGTGGCAGGCAAATAAAACTGTCAGAAATAGAATATAAAAATAAAACTGCATATCTGAAAGTGTGTATGACAGTGCTATAATAAATAAAACTCCTCCTGCTGAGGAGTTACTCAGCAGGCTGTAGGCAGCCAAGTTTTTTTTGTTTTGCTAACCCTTTATGTTACAATGGAGAGTTGATGGCTGGGCTTCTCAACGTTTCATTTGTATATTCGTTTCTGGTTTCTCATGGGAATACCGATGTCTCACCTCTTCTTTGTATATTCCTGGAAGCACATCAGTATTAATGAAAAACATGCCTTAAATACAGAGGCTGAATGTTTTGGTTTGTATTTTTTGTTTGTTTGTTTGTTTTTGGTTTTGAGAGGGTATTGGTCTATGTACTTTGTGATCTGCTAGTATTATATGTTATATTTCCAGAATGGTATGAATAGTATAGGTCATAGTAAAGGTGTATTATCCTAATTTTTAATACTTAACATTTAAATTGTGATTAAATCTTTAACACTGTTGAAATGATACTGTAGTATAGTAATAGTTTAAAAAAGATACTGATTTAGTGAGCCTGAGGTTTCATACTCATTTTGGTAAGTATGGAAATGCTGACAATTTTTTTTTGTAGCCTATGTAGTAAACTATTGCTACCATAACATTTTAGAAAAGGAATATTTATTATATTTTCACCTAAGCCCTTTCTGATGTATCTTACTCTTTGTAGTATCTCTGTGCCTTTTATATCAGATGTGATTTTATTGCATTTAATCTCATTTGCACACGGTTTACATTTCTTAATGGTTTGACTTGGTTTCTAGAGTCAGCATTAAGTTTAGGTTCATGATGCAGTAATGTAGTCCTAAAAATAAATATTGATTTTATTCTTCTTTTGACAAATGACAGAAAAGCGGAGAGATAGTTCTATAAAGAATCATAATTTTAGGCTTTGGACTTACATACAAAAGGAAGAAATGGGAAATATATTCCCCTTTAATTTCTTATCAATGGTGTTTTCAAATTCAGCTTATATCTGTTTATAATAAAAATTATCTGATATTTTTATGTGTTATATCATTTCAGCTGTTCTTGCTCCCTTACTTTCCCACAATATAAACTGATGCAAAGGACTAAACTGCAAAAACATTTGCAAAATAAATTTTATGCTTATCTGGTGTGCATAGTTCAGAGTTATGTCCTTTTGTTATTCCTGTGATTCTTGTTTTGAATGCCTAAATTCTAACTTAAAAATTAAATATTTCTCTCTACCCCATGTCATTGAGCATTAATACTATTTTGATTTATTTAATCATGATTCCTCTGTGTCAGCTCACAGAAATGATGCACATTTAAAATTCTAATGAAATCAGTACCATCACTAAGAAATATTGCTGATATATGTTTGAGAATTTAGAATACCATAATTCTATATTTAAATCATAACCTAACCAAGGGTATTATAATATTATTCTTCAATTCCAAGCTTTTATGTGTCTAGTAGGCATAATTATTACAGTTTTACTTATGTATTATCATTGTAAGTTCCTTTTACAAGAAAAAAAATGGAGACTCAATAATAAAATCAGTGACATTACATTTAGGTAGTAGTATATTTTTAAGTTTATTTAAGGAGCATTTTTAATAAATATTGTGGGTGCTCTCAAATTTAAACCTATATCATAGGTATAAAAGTAACAATATTTTACTATATTGTAAAGCCTAACATATATATTTAGACTAGAATGAACCTGTTACATTAAATTTAGAATATGAATGACCTAAACCATGTCATAAGTGCCCTATCTATTTTAATATACACTTTATGAGCTCCATTCATGCCAGGTCGTGAGCTAGCCCCTCATGATACAAAGATAAGAAAGGCTTCACTATAATAAGTTCTCTCTCTCTCTTTCTTTCTTTCTCTCTCTGTGTCTCTGTTTCTCCCATCTCTGCCTGCCTGTCCTCACACCCCTTCACCATACTATCATGTGGTATCCTAAAATGAAACAATTCAGACAGTATTGTTCAAAACATACATGCATTTATTAGAAAGAAGACACAGAAAATGTACAAATTTAAAGTTTTGGGAGTTGTTTCTGGGATGTAATATTAATTAGGAAATGACAAACACTGGATAACTGCTGCTAGAACATCAATTAAAGAAAACATATACCCACATAGACATATACACTAACTTACTCACAATGTCTCTCTCTCTATATATATATATATGTATGTATTTTAAAGTAAGTATAGAAATATAACTAAGATTTATTACCATTATTTTAATAATAATCAAAACACATTAGAACAATCTGAAAATCTCAATTTTCCTAATTAGTTTCACATTGCTAATTATTTCAAGATCCTAAATATTTTTTATTCATTAAAATAACGATAAATTTGTGATTTTTCTCCATATCTGATTTTACAAAAATTCAAAAACTATTCATGAGCATTTTAATTTGATATCGATATAATTATTTTCATAAGTTCAGTTAGAATCATTTCTGTGTACACGGAAGCAATGGACATGTTAATTCAGTTGCCAAGGTTTGACAAAAAATACCATTTGCGACAACATGGATGAACCTAGAGGTTATTATGCTAAGTGAATTAAGCAAGTTCAAGAAGAACAAATATTTTATGATTCCACTTATATTAGTTAAATAAAATAGGCAAATTAATTGAAGCAGATAATAAAATAGTGTTTTCCAGGGGTTTGGGAGAGAGAGAAATGGGGAGCTGTTGTTCAGTGGGTATAAAGTTTCACTTATGCTTATGAATAAGCATAGAGATTTCCTCTGCAATATAATGCCTAGTTAACAACATGGTATTGTACACTTAATAATGTGTTAAGAGGGTCAATCTCATGTTAAGCATTATTACCATCAAAAACAAAGAGTGACAAAGAAAGTTTTGTAGGTGATGGATATGTTAATTACCTTCACTGTTATAATGATAGCATCATGGGTGCTTGTACATGTCCAAACTCATCAATTTATATATATATAAATAATATAAATATATATGTATAAAATACTTACAGGTGTTTTTTGTATATCAATTGTACTTCAGTAAAGCTATTAAAATTATATGCATCTATTTTTGAAATTTACATAATGCATTACTTTTATTGATGTACAAATTATTTCTTTACAGGAAATCAAATAATTCATTGAAATGTTGGGAAAATGGTATTGTGGTTTTTATTTAAATTGATGATCACAAATTTCACAGAGAAAAACACAAATATATCAAAATAATCTTTCCTAGATCCGACAGAAATTTATTTAAATTTTAAACTCTATATCTGATTCTTAAAATTACTTCCCACAAAAGGAGATAAAATTTCAAAATTCAGGTTTCCTTTAATACTGCAAATCTTGACTCGTACTGTTTTCAAACCATTATATCAATATAAACAACAGATGACATTTTTAAATTATGGACAGAAACCCAGCTTCTGTCTATAAAATAAAAAAAAAAGTGAATGCCTTACTTTATCCATCAACCAAGTTCTATGATAATGGATTTTCTAAATAAAGTGAGAAATAGCTAGATATATAATGATAATTCCTATCTCTGTTACAAGGCCTTCTTTTTCCAAGCTAAGGGCATTTCCTCCATTGCTCCCCAGATAAACTTTCCCCTTCCTTGGGGCCTCTCAAGTACAATCTGTGGTGCATGGGGACAGCTCTTAGAGCCACTGAGTTGCTATTTGAACTATTCAATAGTTGGAATTGGAAGGAAGAAAATATAGTCAGTTGGGACACAGGATACTGGCACCGCCGTAAGAGAGGGGCTTACTCCTTTGATGGCAAGTAGGGACAGAAGGCTAGAGTACAGCAGCGGTTCTCTCAGCCCTGGCCTAGAGGACATCTACCACCCCCTTTAAGCTTACTAAGCCTCCTGTTGCTAATTCAGAGATTTCTCCTTGAAGGACAGTTTTATGGCCAGGCCCACATAAATTGAGCCTTAGCATGCAGGCATCAGTGGTGCCCCAGACCCAGGCCTTGCCGCCATGGAACAGGTAGGATGCATTGGCAGAAGAATGACAATAAATCCAACAGTCTTTGTGCCCCATTTAGTGGTCAATGGGCGCACAGCAGGGGCAAGGGAAGTTTCCATCCCACGTGTAAGCATGGTTAAATCCGGTAGATGGAGGGCTCGGGAAAAGCGGCCATGAGCTTTGAGCACAATTGGGCCTGACCCTTGGGGGACGGCCTAAGGGAAGATGAGTCCCAGGACTAACCAGGATTGCGGACATCCCGGTGTGTAAAATTCCAGATGGGCACCACACCTTCCAAACCAGACACTCCCTTAAAATGTATCCTGAATAACTGGGACAAATTCGACCCTGAAACCTTAAAAAAGAAGTGGCTGATTGTCTTCTGTGCCACTGCCTGGCCACAGTATTCCTTACAAAATGGAGAAACTTGGCCCCCTGAGGGAAGTATTAATTATAACACCCTTCTACAATTAGATGTTTTCTGTAAACAGGAAGGTAAATGGAGTGAATTCCCTTAGGTACAGAGTTTCTTTGCCCTTCATCACAATATTGCCGTGTGCCAAGCCTGCAAGCTTTTCCCAAATGACAGAGGCCCACAATTGCCTCCATACTCAGGGCCTCTTCCCTCAGCCCCACTCTTCTCCCACACTGACTCTCCTCCATCCGGCCCCACTGAGGTGTTAAAGGCACACCAGCAAGAGAAGATAAATTCCATGAGTCAGGCACTGAAACTATGTCCCTTATAAGCAGTAGGAGGAAAATTTGGGCCCATTCACGTGCATGCCCCCTTCTCACTCTCAGACTTAAAACAAAAAAAAGGCAGATATAGGGAGATTCTCAGATGTCCTGATAACTATATAGATGTCCTTCAAGGATTGATGCAGTCCTTTGATCTAACATGGACAGATACCATGTTGCTTCTTGATCAGACCTTAAGTCCTACTGAAAAAGAAGCGGCTTTAGCAGTAGCCTGGCAATTTGGGGATCTGTGGTACCTTAGCCATGTAAATGATTGAATGACCCTGGAGGAGAGGGAAAAATTCTCCACAGGGCAACAGGCAGTCCCCAGTGTATACCCTCATTGGGATACTGACTCAGATCATTGAGATTGGAGCTGCAGGCATTTGCAAACTTGCATTTCAGAAGGCTTGAGGAAGACTAGGAAAAAGGCTACGAACTACTCAATGCTATCCACAATTACACAGGGAAAGGAGGAAAACACCTCGGCTTTTCTAGAAAGACTAAGGAAGGCCCTAAGAAAGCACACATCCTTAAGTCCAGATTCCGTAGAAGGCCAGCTTATTTTAAAGGATAAATTTATCACCCAATCAGCTGCTGACATTAGGAGAAAACTGCAAAAGTCTACTTTAGGCCCAGAACAAATTTAGAGACATTATTAAACCTGGCAACCTCGGTGCTCTATAACAGGGACCGAGAGGAAGAGGCCGAAAGTGAAAAGCGAGATAAGAGAAAGGCTGCAGCCTTAGTCATGGACTTCAGACAGGCAGACTTTGGTGGCTCAGAGGGAACCAAGAGAGGAGCAGACCAATTGCCTAGCAGGGCTTGTTATCAGTGTGGTTTGCAAGGACACTTTAAGAAAGATTGTCCAACAAAAAACAAACTGCCCCCTCACCCCTGTCCAATATGCCAAGGAAATCACTGGAAGGTGCACTGCCCCAAAGGATGAAGGTCCTCTGGACCAGAAGCACCCAACCAGATTATTCAGCAACAGGACTGAGGGTGCCTGGGGCAAGTGCCAGCTCATGCCATCACCCTCACAGAGCCCCGGGTAAGTTTAACCATTGAGGGCCAGGAAGTGGACTTCCTCCTGGGCACTGGCGCGGCCTTCTCAATTTTAATCCCCTGACCCAGATGACTGTTCTCAAAGTCCGTTACTATCTGAGGAATCTTAGGACAGCCTGTAACCAGGTATTTCTCTCGCCTCCTCAGCTGCAATTGAGAGACTTTGCTCTTTCACATGCCTTTTCTGTTATGTCTGAAAGTCCCACACCTTTATTAGGGAGAGACATATTTGCCAAAGCTGGGGCCATTATCTACATGAATATGGGGAACAAGTGACCCATTTGTTGTCCCCTACTTGAAGAAGAAATCAACTTTGAGCTCTGGGCCTTAGAAGGACAATTTGGAAGGGCAAAGAATATCCATCCAGTCCACATCAAGCTAAAAGACACCACCACTTTTCCTTATCAAAGGAAATATCACTTAAGGCCTGAAGTTCTCAAAGGATTACAGGATATTGTTAGAAATTTAAAAGCTCAAGGTTTAGTAAAAAAATGTAGCAGTCTTTGAAACACCCCAATCCTAGGAATACAAAAACCAAATAGTGGAGACTAGGGCAAGACCTCAGGTTTCACCTATCTACCTTCAGGAAATTTTTTTCATCTGTGATAACACAGCCTATCGATGCCAAAATGGCACTCCAAAAGAACTATGCTATGTCTCATTTCTAGCACCTCCCATGTCCATATATACTGAACAAGAGTTACAAAGTCTCCTTATACCCCAATCTCGCCACACCCGAGCCCTTATTGTCCCTTTTACAGTAGGAGCAGGAATACTAGGCAGGCTTGGGACTGGAATTGGAGGCATAACCTCCTCCACCCAATTCTATTATAAATTATCACGAGAATTAAATGATGACATGGAATGAGTTGCCGACTCCCTAGTGACCCTACAAAGCCAGCTTAATTGTCTAGCTGTGGTAGTCCTTCAAAATCAGAGAGCCCTAGACTTATTAACAACTGAAAGAGGAGGAACCTGCCTCTTCTTAGGAGAAGAATGTTGCTATTTCGTTAACCAGTCAGGAATCATTACTGAAAAGGTTAAAGAAATAAGAGAACAAATAGAAAGTAGACAAAAAGGAGCTTTAACACTCAGGGCCCTGGAATATGTTTAACAAATGTGTACCTTGGCTCCTCCCCTTTCTAAGCCCTGTGACAGTCATCCTACTATTACTCGCTTTCGGGCCTTGCATTTTTAACCTCCTTGTCAAATTTGTCTCCTCCAGGATCAAGGCCATCAAGCTGCAAATGGACTTACAAATGGAACCTCAAATGAACTCAACTCACGGCTTCTACTGAGAACCCCTGGATCCACCTGCTGGTCCCTCACTAGCCTAAAAAGTTCCCCTCTGGAGGACACCACAACTGCAGGGCCCCTTCTTCACCCCTAACCATCAGGAAGTAGCCAGAACGACTGCTGCCAGTTCCCAACAGCAATTGGTGTGTCCTGTCTAGAGGGGGGACTGAGGAGGTTCCAGCTGGGCTTCCTGGGTCGAGTAGGGGCTCAGAAAGCTGTGAAACTCACTCATTTCCTGTATCAGGACTTACTCTCATACTGGATGAATAATATTGAAGATATATGCTTAAAATATTCCTAACATCAGAATTTGTGCATGTGTTTTCTTCCCCCAAGAAAGCTATAAACAGCAAAACTTTTGCTGTAAGCTTCCCTGTGTCCTCACTCCCACTCTCCCTTCCCCCTCCCCTGAAACAAAAAGGAATGGTAAAAGCCAGTTTCTTTTTGTGACCAGCAGACCTTATCTATGCTCCCAGATCCAATTCCTTGTTAACACAATTTGTAAAATCCTGTGAGATTCTGTCTCCTTTGCCATGTGGCTGCAAGGTTATAAAGTAGATAAAACTTAAGTTAGAATTCCGGTTTTCCTTAAGACCTAAAACATGTTAATTGCCTTTGTTTCTCACTCTGGTAACATCTTCCCACCACATGTATTTCCCACCTTAAAGAGTTTAAAAGGTGACAAAAAAATCGAACACTGGCTACCCGCTAGGGACCACTTCCACGCTGTGGAAGCTTTGTACTGTCACTCTGCTCAATAAAGCCTAGGGCTTTTTTTTTTTCTCTTAGTCGGATACGCGTCTCTCTCTCACAGGGGGCTGCCGCCACACCAAATTTTTGGCATGGCTAAGGCAAGAACTTTCGGTGTTACACAAATATCAGTACCATTTGTTTATACCAACAACATCCAAGGTGAGAGCTAAATCAAGAATGTACTACTATTTACAACAGCCACAAATAAAATACCCAGAAATACAGCTAACCAGGGAGGTGAGAAATCTCTACCCTAAACATTACAAAATGCTGTTGAAAAAATTAGAAACAACAGCAACAAAAAGAAATATATTTCATGCTCAATTATAGAAAGAATTAATATTGTTAAAGTGATCATACTGCCCACAGTAATTTACTGGTTCAGTGCTATTTCTATCAAACTACCATGAACATTTTCAATGCAATTAGAAAAAAAACTCTAAAATTCCTATGAAACCAAAAATAGCCCAAAAGTCAAAACAGGTCTAAGAACAAAAACAAAGAGAGGCATCAAAATACACAACTTCACACTATAATACAAGGCTACAATAACTGAAACAGCATGGTAATGGTACAAAAACAGACACATAGACCCATGGAACCAGTTAAAGAAGCGGAAATAAAGCTTTACACCTACAGTCATCTGATTTAAGCAAAGTCAATAAGAACAAACATTGGGGAAACAACTCACTATTCAATAAATGGTACTAAATAACTGGCTAGCCATATGCAGAAGACTGAAACTAGATATCTTCTTTTTACCATATGCAAAAACCAACTGAAGATGGGTTAAAGATGTAACTGTTTAACTAATATGGTTTGGCTGTGTCCTCACCCAAATCTCATCTTGAATTGTAGCTCCCATAATTTCCACATGTTGTGGGAAGGATCCAGCAGGAGGTAATTTAATCATAGGGGTGGGTCTTTCCCATGTTGTTTTTGTGACAGTAAATAAGTCTCATGAGATATAATTGTTCTATAAAGGAGAGTTTCCCTACACAAGCTATTTTACCTGCTGCTGTGTAAGATGTGACTTTGCTCCTCATTCACCTTCTGCCATAATTGTGAGGTCTCCCTTGTTATGTGAAACTGTGAGCCCATTAAACCTCTTTCCTTTATAAATTAACTAGCCTTGGGTATGTCTTTATTAACAGCATAAGAATAGACTAATACAGTAAATTGGTACTAGGTAGTGGCATACTGCTGTAAAGATATCAGAAAATGTGGAAGCAACTTTGGAACTAGGTAACAGGCAGAGGTTGGAACAGTTTAGAGGACTCAGAAGAAAACAGAAAGATGTGTGAAAGTTTGAAACCTTCTAGAGACTTGTTGAATGCTTTGAACAAAATGCTGATAGTGATATCAACAATAAAGTCGAGGCAGAGGTGGTCTCAGATGGAGATAAGGAACTTGTTGGTAACTGGAGAAAAGGTGACTCTGCTCTGTTTTAGTGAAGACTGGTGGCATTTTCCTCCTGCCCTAGAGATTTGTGAAACTTTTAACATGAGAGAGCTGATTTAGAGCATCTGGTGGAAGAAATTTCTAAGCAGCAAAGCATTCAAGAGGTGGCTTGGGTACAGTCAAAAGCATTCCATTTTATGTATTTACAAAGATGTGGTTTGGAATTGGAACTTATGTTGAAAAGGGAAGCAGAGCATAAAAGTTTGGAAAATTCATAGCCTGACGATATGGTATAAAGGAAAAAAAAACATTTTCTGAGGAGAAATTCAAGCTGGCGGCAGAAACTTGCATAAGTAATTAGAAACCAACTGCCAAGAAAATGGGGAAAATGTCTCCAGGGCATGTCAGAGGTCTTCCTGGCTGAAGCCCTTCCCATTACAGACTGGGAGGCCTAGAAGGAAAAAATGGTTTTGTGGGCTAGGCCCAGCATCTTGCTGCTTTGTGCAGTCTCAGAACTCGGTCCCCTTTGTCTCAGCTGTGGCTAAAAGGAGCCAAGGTAGAGCTCAAGCCATGGCTTCAGTGGGGCAAGCCCCAAGCCTTGGAAGATTGTCAGCTTTGATGTGGTGTTGAGCCTGTGGGTACACAGAAGTTAATAATTGAGGCTTGGGAACCTCTGCCTAGATTTCAGAAGATGTAAGGAAATGGCTGGATGTTCAGGCAGAAGTTTGCTGCAGGGGCGAGACCCTCATGGAGAAACACTGCTAGCACAGTGTGAAAGGAAAATGTGTGTTGTGAGTGCCCCCAACACACCCACACACAGACTCCACCAGAGCACTACCTAGTGGAGCTGGGAGAAGTGGGCCACCATCCTCCAGACTGCAGTATGATACATCCAGAAACAGTTTAGACCATCCAACTGGAAAAGCCACAGACACTCAATGCCAGCCCATGAAAGCAGCCAACGGGAGGGCTGTACCCTGCAAAGCCACAGGGGTTGAGCTGCCCAAGACCATGGGAGCCCACCTCTTACATCAGTGTGACCTGTATTTGAGACAATGGAGTCAAAGAAGATCCTTTTGGCAATGACTGACCCATGGATTTTATTGCCTTACCTGGATTTCAGACTTGCGTGGGGCCTGTAGGCCCTTTTTTTGGCCAATTTCTGCCATTTAGAAGGAGTGTATTTAACCAAAGCCGTTTCTTCATTGTATCTAGAAAGTAACTAACTTGCTTTTGATTTTTAGGCTCATAGCTAAAAAGACTTGCCTTACTTCAGATGAGACTTTGGACTATGGACTTTTGACTTAATGCTGAAATTAGTTAAGTCTTTGGGGAACTGATGGGAGTGCATGATTGGTTTTAAAATGTGGGGATCTGATATTTGGAAGGTGCCAAGGGAAGAATGATATGATTTGGCTGTGTCCTCCCCCAAATTTCATCTTGAATTGTAGCTCTCATAATTCCCACATATTGTGGGAGGAACTTGGTGAGAGGTAATTGAATCATGGTAGTGCATCTTTCCCATGCTATTCCCGTAATAGTGAATAAGTCTCTTGAGATCTTATGGTTTTATAAAGGAGAGTTTCCCTACACAAGCTCTCTTGCCTGCCTCCATGTAATACATGACTTTACTTCTCACTTGCCTTTTGTCATGATTGTGAGGCTTCCCAAACCATGTTTTACTGTGAATCTATTAAACCTCTTTCCTTTATAAATTGCCCAGTCTCAGGTATGTCTTTTGTAAGAGCATGAGAAGAGGCTAGTACAGTATCCTAAAACTATAAAATCCTAGAATAAAATCAAGAGAATAGAACATAACTGAACTAAAAAGCCTTTGTCCAACAAAAGTAACTATCAACAGAATAAACAGATGACTTACAGAATGGGAGAATATAATTGTAAACTATGCACCTGAAAAAGGTCTAAAATCAAAAATCTATAAGGAACTTAAACAAATTAACAAAACATACACAAATAACTCCATTAAAAAATGGGCCAGGGACATTAAGAAAGAATTCTCAAAAGAATATATACACAGGAATGTGTTCAAGATGGTCAGCTAGATGCAGTCAGGAAGTGCCACTGCCACCAGGGGAACACCAGGATTTTAATCATACCAACAGAATTTGAACAGATCTTTGGAGAGAAAATGCTGAATATGGATGGAGAAAAGAAGTAGTCACTGAGGCCGAAGAGGAAGAAGGCTGAGGACGCTCAATGGGGTGCCTGAATACTACAGCTGGTTCTCTGCCCTGAACAGTTTCTAGGGAAGTGTGAGTGAAAGGACTAGTAGATAGCTCCCTCTCACTGTAGACATCTGGAATCCTGGCTAGATGGGGCTCCATACCTTCAAGGACATGTGGACTGGCAGAGGGGTCTCCCAGAGATTGCCCAGAGATGGAGCTGCAGACAAAAAGCCAGGGACATTTGTGCATAGGTCATTTCTGGTGGAGCCCAACCATAAGTGCCCACATACCACGCAAATCTACCTCTAATAGGCTCTGGCCTTAGCTAACCAATGGGGAGAGAGGAGAACCTACTTTCAAATGGAACTGTGACACATATTCTGCAGGAATACTGGCCCACCAGACCCCTCAACCCAAGGGCCCCTATCTGGCTGCTCCATAGGAGTTTGTACACAGTACAGCCTCTGTTTTCCAGTTTGAGTGCTTTGCTCCATCTGAATGCATTCTGGCACCCTGGAAGCCCTTCACATTTTACCCCACCCAAAATCCAACCCCAAGGGACCAGACGATGGAGCCACAAACAGGATCTTAGTTCCCCAGGGCTGCAACCTGCAGCTTTGGAGTGCCCAGCTGGTGGCTATGCTCAGCACTTGAACAAGGAAGGAGACTACACTCTCTGCAGTCTTGGATTGCTGGGGCACACAAATGCTTGGTCTTGTGTAGGTTCCTCCACAGGGTTGTTTCAGTGGGGGTGTGGCCTATTTTCCTACCAGACTTCTCCCCAAAGGAGCCCCAATAGACCTTTCTATATGCTCAAATATATTATCCAAATTTTTTCCTTTTCTCTACTTCTCTCTCAGGAAGGCCAATGAGTCAGAGATTTGGTCTTTTTAGATAATCGTATTTTCTCAGATGTTCTGTTCATTTTTCTTAATTTTTTAATTTATTTTTCTGTGACTGGTTGATTTGAAGAACCAGTCTTCCAGACGGAGCAGGTCACCTACGGAGTGAATCCCATCAAGCTAGCAGCAGACATCTCAGAAGGAAGTTTATAAGCCAGAAGAGACTTAGGGACTGTTTTCAGTGTCCTTAAAGAAAAGAAATTTCAACCAACAATTTTGTATCCTGCTGAACTAAACTTACTAAGGGAAAGAGAAAAAAGAAGGCTTCTCTGGCAAGCAAATGCCAACAGAAGATAGTTCTAGTGGATCAGCCACATAAGAAGTCCTTAAGGGCGTGCTACACATAGATTCAAAAGAATTACCCCTTCTACTACAAAAGCACACTTAAACACATAGTCCACAGGCACTATAAAGCAACCATGCAATCATGTCTGTATAACAACCAGCTAACCATACCATGACAAGATCAAAATCACAAATACCAATACTAACCTTGCAGCATATACAGGGACTCTCTTTGAATGTACACTGGCTAAATGTACCACTCAAAAGACATAGAGTATCTGATACGCCAGACACAAGAGTATGTTGTATACAATAGACCCATCTTACATGTAATTATATAATAGGCTTGAAATGAAAGGGTACAGTAATATCTATCCTGCAAACAAGAAATGAAAAAGAGAAGGAGTTACTATTATTATGTAAGACAGGCTTTAAGTGAATAAAAATTTAAAAAGAAAATAAATGATATGACCTAATAATAGAATATACAATCCAACAAGCAGTTTTTATTATCCTAAATATATACTCATCCAACATTGGTGCAAACACCTTTATAAAACAAGTATTTCTTGGCCTATGAAAAGATTTAGACAGTCATACAATAATAGTGGCAGGGGTTGACACCACACTGACAGCATTAGACAGATTATTGAGGCAAAAATGTAACAAAGAAACTCTGGACTTAAGCTTGACGCTTGACCAATTGGACCTAACACTCTGCAGAACACTCCACCCCACAACCATGAAATTTACATTCCACTCATTTTTACATGAAACATAGTCTAAGATCAACAACAACCTTTGTTATGAAGCAAGACTGAATACATTTACAATAATTGAAATCATTCCAAATGCAAATCACAGGGGAGGTATAAAATGTCCTGCAAGGAAAAGGACACTATGTCATCTTCAAACAATGGAAAAATGCTATCCCTTAACAGAAAGGAGTGGACCTCTTTTGCAGATTCGGAGTTCAGGGGAGTCTAGAAACTGAAGATTTTAACTGCAATGAATTATTTCTCAAATGTCTTATAATTTCACTCTATCTAAACTGAGACCCTGAATATGGTTAGTGATCAGACTAGGCTGGGAATTCAGCTAGAACTGAGCTGGGCTTATTTTTAAAATTCAGTCCTGGACTTAAGATTCAGATTCATTTGGTGGTGGGGACCGGGTGCTTCTACATGAAGTGAGAGTCTCTGTATATGCTGCAGTTAGGGAAGCAGGAGCTGAGGAGAGACAGAGTAATGTGATTTTAAGTTCAGCTCCCTATAAACACACACACCTGCAATGAAGAGTCCAGATGTCCCAATACCCAAAACGATACATGATTTCAAGATAATAACAGTTATGTTTTGATGTATTCACACAAGAAAGTGTCAAGGATAGTTTTCTTGGCATAAATAGAATAATCAGTTTTGTCCTGTTGTCTGACCACCCACAACTAGACACAGCTTAATTAACCTTTACAGAGATGAGACTCCTACATAAGAAAAACTTAAAACAAAGGTGTTGCATTCAACTCCTTGCCTTCTGAGGATGCCCTACTCTGTAATGTCATAGCTTTCAATGAATTGTCTTCTCATTGCACTCTGTGACTGACCTTGAATTCCTTACTGTGTGGAATCCAATAACCTTCTCTTGGTGTCTGAATCTAGACCCCTTTTTCTGGTAACACTTCCAAGGAGACTTCTGGCTTTCACCGTTTGCCTTAATTTGATGGTTATTGGTCCTCACTCTTCCATTATTTTCTCCCAAGCATTAATTCTGCAGAAAAAAACATTTGCCTCTATTGTGGTCATAATTTCTACTTTTCCCATATTGATAAATTTGTGATATATCCTAATAAGTAAAGCTTTCCCTTTCAAAATACTACCAGCATAATTTACCATTACTGAAAGTATGAAAAATTTAAATTATCACATTCCAGGGGCTATTTGTGTTCTCTGTACCAATAGTGATAGGATTCTCATTACAACTGGTAGTGTATGATCCAACTCTAAAATCTCATTTTGTTGTCTGTTCTTTTTTTCTGACCTCTCTTGGTACATATTATCAAATGTTGGGTGCTTCCAAGAAGTAGACTCTAAGCTGAATATTTTTTGAGGGAGATAATTAGGGAGATTTCTTGAAAATAACATCTGTGAAAAAGTAGGAAGCAAGATTGGACAGTGGAACAAAATAGTACATAATTCAGTGCAATAGTTTGAATGTCTGAGTGCCCCCAAAATTAATATGTTAAAATTCTTATAACCAAAATGATTGTATTAGCAGACAGAACCTTTTAGGAGGTGTTTATGTCATGAAGGCAGAGTCCTCTTTAATGGAATTAATTCTTTTGAAAAATATGCTCACAATAACTCATTCATCTATTTTCCCCATTAAGACATGGTGATGGGTTGCCATCTTGGAGGAATGCCCAATACCAGCATCTTGATGGTGAATCTTTCAGCCTCAAGAACTGTGACAAATAAATGTTTGTTGTCTGTAAGCTAGCCAATGTATGGTATTTTTCTATATAGCACCCTGAGCATGCTAAGACATGCAGTCTCAGCATAGGTTTCATCTCACCCACTGGAAATTCTGAAGCTAAGTTAGCCCTTCAGAGTTGGTCCAAGTTGAAATGAGGAGAATGGGCCTTTAGAGTCCTACATGTGACCAGGCATTGGATATTGGCTGTCTTGGAAAAGTCACTACATACTAGATAGCTTTCAGCAGAGATGTACTGAGAGAGAGAGCTTATAGGTGAGGTATGTCAGTTGTTCATCACTTCATCAGCTGGAAAGTAATTTCTATATTCCCAAAAGGGAAATCTGGGTGACACATAATGCCTGCACTCAAGGACATTGAAAATATTGAACAATATTGCCACTCTCCAGGCAATATTTGCTCAGAAACTGTGTTCAAATATCTTTTTAAGAAAGATTTACCTCATTTCAGATTAACAGATTATTAATAGAATAAAAACAAATATCTCTATTTTGTGACATGCATCTTTTCCTTCCTAATTCTACTTGATGTAAATTTCTATTTAGACTTTTTAAAAGTACAACTTGCCTGAATTACAAGGCAATCTGTGAAACAAGTTAAGTAGTAGGCATTTAGAAGATAAATATTTTCTAAGACTGAGAAATGTAAGCAATGTTGCAAATATTCAGAAAAGGATATTATTGTGATTTAGACAAAATATTTTCAAATGAAACAAAGTAACTGTAATTGTACTTAAAACATATCTGTTTGGATAAAAATAAAAGGAATTTCTACAGTCAGAAAAACAATGTCAAGGAACATGAAATGAAGCTAATATAATAAGTGTGAAACTACATAGAGAAAATGAAGATATTCTATTTGAGAATGTTTAGATAAATAAGAATAGATCACACCACTGCCTCATTGTTGACAGAATGATGCTTTCTTATACTAGAAACTCTTTATATACAATTAAATTATCTCTTGTTCTGGAGACAGCCACATTTACAATAAGCAAATAACAATAAATTTATTATTCACACATACAAACACAAAATCATTCATCCTTTTCTTTATTCTCTTGCTTTCCAAAAACTCTATTGTCAACACTTAAATCATTGTGACATTGATTGACATTGATATGTACCAAGTTAGAGAAAGTTAGAAAGAAAGATAGCATTTTAACAAGTTGTCTAAGAAATGGGCTTTTTTGTTTCTTATGCTGACAGTTGTATTCTAGCTCTGAGTCCTGTGAGAATGTGCTGGTGTGGCCAGTGAAATACAGTCTTTATATCAATTTAATAATGATACTTGATGAACTTGCTCAGAAACACCAAGAGGTAACTGTGCTTGTCACCTTCAGCTTCCATCCTCATTGATTCCAACAATTTGCTGTTAAATTTGAGGTTTATCCCACATCTTTTACTGAGAATGAACTTGATTTCATTTTTATGAAATTGATCAAGATATGGACATACAAGTTTCCAAAGAGTACATTTTGGCATATGATTCAAAGATACAAAAAACACATATTATGAATGTTCTGATACTGTTCAAAAGCTCTGTGAGTATGCTGTTTTGAACAAGAAACTTATAAGGAACAACAAGATTCCAGAATTTATGTCATTCTTGCAGATGTCATTTCTCATTAGTGAGCTGCTATCTGAACAGCTTAATCTGTTAAACATTTGTTATACATTTGGTCTACTATCATCCATTTACAACTGGCAGTATGTACCAAGAACTCTGTGGAGGACTTTCATTACCTCCTTCTGATGTAGCTGTTGTCATGTCAGAACTTAGTACCAAAATACATTTACAGAAAGATGAAAAATCTTTTGCATTTTCTTCATTTTAACTTTGCATTTGATAATTTTAACAAAAAGAAGTGTGATCAGTTTTACAGTGAAGTATTAGGTAAGTTAGTGGTTAATTTATTCCCTTTTCCCTCCAATATGTGGAAGGAAACTTTCCTTTCTTTGTGTCTGTTAGAGTGTGTTAATGAATTAAAATAGAAAATAACCTTTTTTGTTATTTGAAAGATGAGGTTTGGCAAGTTGGTGGAGACACTGAAACTCTCATACATTGTTGGTGAGAATAGAAAATTATTCACCCACTGTGAAAAAGTCTAGCAATTCCTCAAAAGTTTACACATATATTTACCACATAATTCAATAATTGCCTTTCTAGGCATATACCCAAGAAAAATAAAAACATGTCTACAGAAAGCATGTACATCAATGTTAATCAACGCTATTCATAATGGCCAAAAGTGGAAGAAAAACAATGTCCGTACACTGATAAATGAATGAATAAATAAATTGTGTTTATAAGTAGCATCTGATACTATTTGGCAATAAAAATGTGAACGCTATTTATAATGGCCAAAAGTGGAAGAAAATCAATGTCCATCCACTGAAAAATGAATAAATAATTTCTGCTTATAAGTAGCATCTGATAAAAAGCAATAAAAATGAAATCCTTATATACACTATTCTATGGATGGTCCTTTAAAAACATTAAACTAAATAAAAGTAGCCAGCCACAAAAGACCACATATTATATAGTTTCATTTATTTTTAAAAAGATCCTGAATAGGCATATTTGTAGAGGCAGAAATTAGATTACTGGTTGCCCAGTACAGTGTGGGTGCAGAAATTCAGGTGGGGAGATGACAGTTAATATACAGGATTTTTTTTTTTTTTAGATAAAACTGATTGCTATGTTGGATGCACAAGTCTGTGAATTTACTAGGAAATATTTAATTTTAAATAATCATTCATGAATCATATGGTATGTGAATTATACTTCAACAAAGTTTTACAAAATATTCCTTGAACCAAGATATTCAAAAATTCTATTTGCATTGTATAATTACTTCATCTCTCATTCTGTGTCAAGGGGCCTGCAGGACTCTCTCACTTGCCACTGTTCTTGACACTATTATAAAATACATTATATAAAACACGATATTTGCAAGGTCATTAAACTTAGGTGGATGACACCAAATATAAACATAAAAGAAACATCAAACATCCTTGAGTAAATATGAAGTAATCGAACTTTGTCTCCTTGCCATCCATGTACTCAGGATGCTCATATAATGTATTTACTTTGAATTGAAGGAGTTATGTTTTAACTTGATTGATTTATCTCTGTATATAAGTATGAGAAAGAAACAGTGACTGGAAAAGAATTATCACATTGCACAAGGATGGCTCTGAAATGGACTACAGTTCTGCTGATACAACTCAGTTTTTACTTTAGCTCTGGGAGTTGTGGAAAGGTGCTGGTATGGGCCGCAGAATACAGCCTTTGGATGAATATGAAGACAATCCTGAAAGAACTTGTTCAGAGAGGTCATGAGGTGACTGTACTGGCATCTTCAGCTTCCATTCTTTTTGATCCCAACGACTCATCCACTCTTAAACTTGAAGTTTATCCTACATCTTTAACTAAAACTGAATTTGAGAATATCATCATGCAATTGGTTAAGAGATTGTCAGAAATTCAAAAAGATACATTTTGGTTACCTTTTTCACAAGAACAAGAAATCCTGTGGGCAATTAATGACATAATTAGAAACTTCTGTAAAGATGTAGTTTCAAATAAGAAACTTATGAAAAAACTACAAGAGTCAAGATTTGACATCGTTTTTGCAGATGCTTATTTACCCTGTGGTGAGCTGCTGGCTGAGCTATTTAACATACCCTTTGTGTACAGTCACAGCTTCAGTCCTGGCTACTCATTTGAAAGGCACAGTGGAGGATTTATTTTCCCTCCTTCCTACGTACCTGTTGTTATGTCAAAATTAAGTGATCAAATGACTTTCATGGAGAGGGTAAAAAATATGCTCTATGTGCTTTATTTTGACTTTTGGTTCCAAATATTTAATATGAAGAAGTGGGATCAGTTTTACAGTGAAGTTTTAGGTAAGATTTTTTTCAATTAGTAACATGAAGCTCTAACTTATTTGTGTCTTTGAAGCACAACTTGCATAAAGCCATAAAGTCAGGGAAGTGGAGTTTTTGGTAAATGAATTTATGAAATGAAAATACAAGATGATCTACCAATCTCACAAATATTATAGAAAAGCTTAAATTATAGGGTCAGTGAAAACGCTGTGACCATCACTCATACAGAACACCCCAGGAAATCATAAACCTATATATTAGTACACCTAAGACTTTAAGCAATTATATATCTGTTTTACTATAGAATGTTTCAGATCTTAAAAACAGCAAGATCCGTCAAGTAACATCTAACCGAATGCATAGATTTAGAATGAGTAATTACACATTTTTCTACAACTATCTATATAACTGCAGAAATTTTTCCTTCTAAATCTCAGTTGTCTTATTTAGAAATTAAAAGATGTTCCCATGTTACCAGGAGGTTGTCTTCACAGTAGAGAGAGATAATGTCTATATCTCAGATGCAAAAATCAATAAGGGTAATTTGAAGTTTCAAATGTTTCTATACTCCTTCACTAAATAATTGGAAATCTTTTATTTAAAGTCCAATCATCTTGTTGAAGTGTGAAGGTTGTTATATCTATATAGTTTATTTGAAACTATGTCTCTTTATTTAAAAATACGAGACTGATTATGGTCGAGTACAGATCTCTATTTCAATAATTTCTCAAAAATTTCTAGCTATAATTTACAAATATTTTTACTTAATATTATTAAGATCTTAGCTTGGATCCAAATGAGTAGTTGGTACAATGATTTCAGCCATACTCACAAAATAGTCCACAGTTAACTTGAAGAACCAAAGATAAAAGGATTAGCTTAATGAGTTGTGTAAACTAGACTATTTGTTAGAAAATTGTTTCTATGGTTACTGTAGAATTAATTGATTATGGAGCTCAAAGATTTGTTTAAATATCTAGAGGCTACTATTGAAGCTTTAAAGAGAAAATAAATTGATGTTTAATTCTCTATGACTTATTTTAATAATTGTGAGTATACTGACATGACATTAGAGATGTAGCTTAACCTCATAATTCTCCCACTACTTTGCCTTTCTTATAAATAAACAAGGGCAAAATATAGAATACATAAAAAATAAATTATTCCTATATATGAATATATGTACATATTTTTCAAAGCACACAAACTTTACCAACATTTTTGCCTGCATTATTCTAACCCCTTTCAGAAAATTACATAAAGTAATTATCTTATGTCATCCACTTCTTCTTTTCTTTATTCCTATCAGGAAGACCCACTACATTATCTGAGACAATGAGGAAAGCTGACATATGGCTTATGCGAAACTCCTGGAATTTTAAATTTCCTCATCCATTCTTACCAAATGTTGATTTTGTTGGAGGACTCCACTGCAAACCTGCCAAACCCCTACCTAAGGTAAACATACTTTCGTTGGTTTTATTTTGTTGGCTTCAAATTTCAGTAGAAATGACTGTATAGTCTTCATTCAGAGTGTTTGACTAACACTGAAAAAGATGGGAAGTAGGTGGGGTAAAGCAGATACCAATTAGAAACTCATGTACATGTTAATACCATCACACGTATGTGAGTTTTATGCATGTTACAAATAGAGAGGAATACTAAAGAAACTTTGAAAATAGGGTTGGTTAAATTAAAGTCTTGATTATGCAACACCTAAGAAGGTATTGGTCATTCATTCAAAGAATATTTACAAAGAGATTATCACAAAACACAGGTAAGTGCACAATTTTCAGAGAAAAAAAATAGACACAGTTTCTGTCCCTACATACCTTACATTCTACTTTGAAATATAGAATATAAGTAAGTAATGAATATTATATAAAAACTATTATCTCAAGAAAAAAACCCAATGCTAAGAAAGCATCAGTGGAGATAATAGAAAGTATCCTGGAGTCACTGATGAGTACGATGAGAGCTGAACAATATGCAGGAATAGGGAAAAGAATGGTGGGGAGAGACAGACAAAAAGGGAAAGCAGATAAAGTGGTCAGGACAGTTCTCAAGTCCTCAGGTTTAGTTTGCAGGGAATGATTAAGAATCAGATGACCCTAAAAGGTAAATTAGAGCCAGATACGTATTAGGAGTTGAAATATTTATTAAGAACATTGAAAACATCCTAAAAAGAGTTCAGAAATAAGGATATATGAAATGATTCTTTTTATAAGAAAAGCCTCCAAGATATTCAATGGATTAAATTGCAGAAGGGCCAGACTGTAAAGACCGAAACATTCAGGAAATTTTCCATGGATTCAGGTAGCAGATGATGAAAAAGTGGACTACACTGTTGATAGAAATAATTATGCCTACATTTACAAAAATAGTGCCAACTTCATATTGTGTTGTGTGGAAAAAAATATTAACACAGACAAAACACTTAAAATGTCTCTGGCATATAGTCAGTGACTCAGAAATGTTATTAATTTTGCAATTATGGTTATTTTATTACTAATACTACTAACTACTTAACATGTGCATGTCACTTGAGATATCATTCCTCATTTAAGAGAACCAGATTATTCAGCACATCAAGGTTATATTGTCTTGGAATGTCATAGATGACAGATACCCTTGGACTTGATTAAAAGTAGACATATCAGTTGTGACAGCAAGATAAGCTAGTTGAAATTTTAAAATTCTTCCATAAGTAATAAGGATCTTCACCAGTATTCCAGCTTAAAACACTTCCTCAACAATATAAATGTGTGCCTCAAATATGTGCAGACAAACACAGGGTTCACATGATTTTAATAAAGCATTTAAATCATTCTGCATTGAGATCCCAGAATTTTACATTTTAGAGCATAAACATATCCTATTAGAGCAGATGATTTCTGCCTTATGACAGGCCACTCAATAAAGCTTCCTGGGGGAACTCGTCTTGACATCATAGGTGTCTGACAGAGAAGCACAGAGATAATGAACAATGCATGTATAATAAAGACCAAATAATTTCTGCCACTTGTTTCTGAATAGTGCCCTTAATTTCAATACGAAAAAAAATTCCGTCAGCATATAAGATTATATTCTTTTCGAAGGAATACAAGAACTTCATATATTTTAATTAACATCACATTTTAAGGCATATGTAAAAAGTAAGGCTTCTTCAATGGATTATTATGCAATCTCTTAAAAGATCATTTTTGCTTGCATAAAACTGAGAATTTGTTCCATTGTTAAAACTCAGTATCTATGTTTAATGCAAGTTGTATAGGCTTTATAGAGTCAGTTTCTTAAGAGACAAAAGTTGAGGTAAGACTAATGAAAAATATATGCCACTCTACCCTACTCTTGAAAGATTTCCCCACTCACACTAAGGGAAACTGACAGTGCCAGTAGAAGGAGGAAGAGAGTAGGACAATGTAGAAGGACAAGAAAAAAAGGTTGACTGGTAGTACAATAGTGGTAATAACTAATACTAGCTCTTGTTATTAACTTGCAGAAAGCATTGAATGAAAGTCAATGGTTGTGAAACCAGTTCTTTAATTGTTTATTATGTAAAATATTTGCTAAGCCAGGTTGCTTTCTTTTCAATTATATATTAGATTCTCAGATAATTTCTATATATTTTAAGAGAATAAGACACTTGACAAAATGTATCAGGTGTTTTAAAAATACATATTGTTATTAGTTTTATAATATAGTCATGTGAAATCATAAAAAAATTAATCAAGGTGTACCTTTTAAACATTATGGAAAATATTCACAAAATTAACATTGGAAGTAATCCAACATGTTACATGAAATAATGATTAGAAACATATGCCTACAATAGCACTAAAATGATTTTATCAATGAAATGTTCAATTATGCTGTCAGCCATAATACACATACAGTGAATAAGAAAATTATAAATATAACACGATGGCAAATTTTTGCAGGAGGAAATGTATATAAAATGAGATTAAAATTTTCTAAATAAGTGTCGTGTATGTACATTGACCTATATAAGTAGGGCAAAATCCATAATAAAAAATACATAATTTCTATAAATAATATCTCTAGATAGAAATTTTAGAAAAAATTATTTTTAAAAAACTTTTCTTACTGTTATAAAATTTCTTACATTAACTTTGTAGTATTTTTATAACATTATCACAAAAGGAGAAACAACCAGTCAATATCAGTGATGAATCTCTACACAGAGGTTAGATTCCTTCAACACTGCATAGAAAAACAAGGCTCTGGCATCAAGCCAGTAAGATGAAACACTGAACACGAGTTACATTAAATGTGGCTACAGGTAACTGCAATCACACACAATACCTAGATGCCCCAAGTATTATGTGGAATAGTAGTACAGGGACTCTCACGTTAACTTAAGATTACAAATCACATTTTAAAAAACGTTCTGCCATATGTGGTGCACAGTTTACACTTAGACACATTTTTTCTATGTTTTGTTAAAAACCACTGGGGAAAGTTTTACCCCAATGATTAAATCTGAAAGTATTTAAATTTATATATTGGCATACATTGGGGAACTCAAGTCAGAATAATTCTCAATCAATTGCAGCCAAGCACATCTTCACCAGGAGTGTAATGTGGTGTGCGTGAGCTACTCAAAAGAGAGACAAGATCCCCCTGAAGAAAGGCCTGGTGGCCTCTCCTATTCTGGTGCAAGTGCTGCCTCTGAGACACAACAAAGTGATGATGAGAGTTCCTCACATGCAGTTAGAAATAGCACATCAATTTAACAGTGTGATTTCAGGGCAATACGTGCTCCACCTAAACAATAACCTGAAAGGTACAATTATTCAACTACTAACTATAAACTGTACAATTCTGTATTATAAATGAGACTCTAAGGACTGATTCATAAATATTCCAAATCACAATACTAGACTCCAGAATGTCAGTGATTCTTAACCCCCAGCTTTTATTTTTTATTTTATTTTTTGAAAAACTACTGGAAAACTCTGACAAATTTTAAGTGAAGCAAAAAGCATTGTAGAGTAACGTAAATGTAGATATAAAATTATCCCAACTGTGAGTAGCTTTTCCTCAGTACTCATAGTTAGGGAAGTAAACCACTAATGGCTTCAAACTAAAAGAATTCTACAGAAAACCTGCCTGAAATAAACACAAGTGATTTAGTAGAACAAAAATATAGATTAAACCCTAGTGGTGCCACTTTTCCAAGGACTTATAGTAGCAATTATAGTATTATAAGTGAAGAGTCTGGGTATATGTTTTAACATTATCTCCCTGACTACAATGTAATAGCTCCTTTTCTTTTCTCCATTACACACATACAGACACATACCTACATACACACACATATTTACACAAATATCCTTAACAGAGGCCAACTATCTCATACATCTTCTTGCAAAGAAACAGTGATTGAGTCAGTTAAAAAATATTATTTACTCCAATAATTCCTCAAAATACTTGATTTTCTCTCTTTAATATTTTGTACCAATTCTTTCGGTAGTGCCTGCTGTGGTGATACTCTTTTATGATGAAACATTTTTTCTTTTTCCCACAGGAAATGGAGGAGTTTGTACAGAGCTCTGGAGAAAATGGTGTTGTGGTGTTTTCTCTGGGGTCAATGGTCAGTAACATGACAGAAGAAAGGGCCAACGTAATTGCAACAGCCCTTGCCAAGATCCCACAAAAGGTAAGATAAAGTGCCTTACTGGTGTGGAAAACTACTGAAAGAGGCTGTTAAAGTTTGTGATCTACATAGAAAGAATATTAAAGAGTAGACTGAACTATTTATAGCTGAATACAACCTTAAATATGCTTGTATAGCATCCACTGACAGAAGTAATAGTTGTGCCTCAGACTTAGTGATTACATGTGGCCCTGGGGTAGTTACTACCCTTGGTATGCATGAGTGATTCCTATTAGCATCAGTGGGAACTCAGTACTCCATATGTATCCACAAAAGGGAACTTGAGACCCACAATTACTTTTAATTTCTGATGTTAACAGTCATACCTACTGCTGAATTTAACTCAATATATTTCAGTTAAGTGAAAATGGTGCTTAATGTAGTCTTTAGAATGACTTTCAGGTGTTTTCAACTAAAAATATATATCCAGAACTGTGTTCTTGTAGAAATACAAGTAAGATTTATGATAATTTTCTTCAAAAGAGTTTTCCTAATCTCAGCAGTATCCAATGGGTGAAGAACACTTGACTAACTCTTGGGCCACCTCTATTACTTATTGTACTCTGGAAGCCCTTGGTGAATGTTTACAATTAAGGAATGTAGTATTTCTGTTTGTACTTTAAGTCAAATGCTTATATGAAATATGTGGCAACAAATAGAGAAGACTGGCTCTGGTGGTCATTATGCAGTATATACTCTATTTAAGGATCAGTGGTAGTATAGCATGATTGAATGTCATTAATATAGGAATAATAACTGGCATATGTGGAGAGTAGGGGAGTAAAAAGAATGAATTCCAGTCCTGTGATTAAAAGTGTAAACTATAGGATGGGCATGGTGGTTCGCGCCTGTAATCCCAGCACTTTGGGAGGCCAAGGCGGGCAGATCACGAGGTCAGGAGATCGAGATCACCCTGAACGATATGGTGAAACCCTGTCTCTACTAAAGATACAAAAAATTAGGCAGGAGTGGTGGTGTGTGCCTGTAACCCCAGCTATTCAGGACACTGAGGCAGGAGAATCCCTTGAACCAAGGAGGCGGAGGTTGCAATGAGGCAAGATCACAACATTGCACTCCAGCCTGGGCTACAGGGCCACACTCTGTCTCAAAAAAAGTAAACTAGTAAACTAGAGACTCTACTGTAGTATATTTCAGGACCTAGAAGTTTTACTTTTATAAACATGGTGCCTGGAAGATGTCACTAATGTATTTTACTTCAGCATAGGGAACAAACTTTTTAAGTATATTAATAAATATTCCTGTATGGTAAGTTTTTAAAATTTTTTAAAATAAACTTTATGAATATGACAAATAAAAAAGAAAGTTCGGGCCTAAAAATTAGAGCTTTTGGGAAAGCACTAATTATCTCAGATATTAGTTCAAAATCAAAAATATACATGGATGATGCTATAATAATAGGCTGTTTTTCATTGATAATAAGTTTGGCATTAATAATATGACCAGGAATAAATTTATTTAAGAAATGTAGATGAAGTATCGATATTATCATGTTATAGGGATCAGGTAAGAGTTATCACCAAATTCTGCCCCTGTCATTTGACCCTTTTGTTTAAGAATTCCTGAGGGCACTGTACACACTACAGATGTTATCAGAAAAAGTTACGTTTTAATGGGTGACTTCAGTAGCACAATAACAATAGCAGGTATTTCAAAAAGTCTGACATGCATCATGCAGTTTAGGTTTGCCATATTATCCAGCCTCAGATACTTCCTCTACATTTTGGCATAGGCCTATCTGAATGATGTTCAGGCTACTATTCAGAGAAAGAGTGGCCTAGGCCAACAGACAACTAGTCCAAGTACCCACACAACCAGGTAGATTTAGAGAAAGAGAAAAAGCAGCTTGCCCTGCTGGACTGGGCCCAGCCAATATCTGAAGCAGGCAGGTGAAAAGGAAAAGGTGCAGATGGATCCTGACCTGAAGGTGGATCCTGTCCAGTATAAAATGTGGCCCCACAAGGACTCAGCACTAATTACCAGATTAACAACCCCTCCCAATGGACGCAGCAGAAGGAAATATAGGAAGGAGACAAACAGAAGGAAGCCAGGCAGGGGAACAGGTTCAGATGCCCCCTCCATAGAACATAGTAGGAATATATTTTCTTCTATATAGAATAAACCAGTGACCTTTGTCCATTTGTCAATTACTTTCTAATTTCCTATCTGATAAAGCTTTCTTGTAATGGCCTCTAAATTTTGCTTAAACCTGAGTTACTTTAACAGTGATGTAGCAAATAAAATTAAACACTGTAAATTATTGTTCAGTTTATGAGGATTGCTTTGGAGTTTCAAAATTAGTAACAACATAAAAATGTCTTGGCTATAGAAGAACATATTAATCACTGTTGTCAAAGCTTTGTAGCACCTTGTCTAAGTGTTAATAATCTGTTGACCAAATTCAGCAAAATACAATTTTGAGGTTATTCAAAAGCTTTATTTTTATTCATGATACCAACATGTTCCTTATTTCTATGCCAAAAAAATCCAAAATTAGCAATACTGGTTGGTAATACTCTGAATTTGTGTCAAAAATTGTCACTTGAAATTTTTCTTGGAAGTAGTGCTTGATAATTTGTAATTCCAATGAAGTTATACATAAAACCCTTGCAGCATTTATTTATTTCTTGTAGTAGCTTATTTTATAGACTTGCTATTTTGTCAATCAAAGGACAACAGGCTGTAATATAATAACTTACAGACAAGTAGATATATTGAAACTACTCATATTACTCAAAAAGAAACGAATACATTACAATTAAATTTGGAGATGAAAACTAACATAAAATACATAAAACAAAATAAACATATAGGTCATTACTAAATTGTTACTTTTTTTATACCAGAATTACAATGACTCCCTATAATTTTTTATACTTTTTTTATAATATTTTTATTTTTTTAATTAAATTAACTTTTATTTTTAACTTTTATTTTAAGTTCAGGAGTACATGTGCAGGTTTTTTACATAGGGAAACTTGTGTCATGGGGGTTTGTTGTACTGATTGTTTCATCACCCACGTATTAAGACTAATATTCATTTATTATTTTTCCTGATCCTCTCTTTCCTCCCATCCTCCACCTTCCAATACATCTCAGTGTATGTTGTTGCCTTCTATGTGTACATGTGTTCTCATCTTTTAGCTTCCACTCATAAGTGAGGACTTGTTACACTTGGATTTCAATTCCTATGTTAGTTTGCTAAGGCTAATGGCCACCAGCTCAATCCTTATCCCTGCAAAATACATATTTTTATTCTTTTTATGGCTGCATAATATTCTGTAGTGTATATATACCATATTTTCTTTATTCAGTCCATAATTGATGGTCATTTAGGTTGATTTCATGTCCTTGCTATTGTGAATAGTAGTGCAACTAACATATAGTTTCATGGATCTTTATGACAGAACAAGTTATAGTCCTTTGGTTATATACCTAGTAATGGGATTGCTGGGTTTCATGGTATTTTTGCCTCTAGGTTTTTGAGGAATCACCACACTGTCTTCCACAATGATTGAACTAACTTACATTCCAACCAACAGAGTATAAGCATTCCTTTTCTATACAACCTCGCCAACATCATGATATTTTTTGAGTTTTTAATAATGGCCATTCTGACTGGTGTGCGATGTTATCTCATTGTGGTTTTGATTTGAATTTCTCTAATGATGTGTGATGTTAAACTTTTTTTCTTCGATGGTTAGCCGCAGGTAGTTCTTCTTTTAAAAAGTATAAAAATTTTCTAAATACTTGAACTTTTCATTGATAATCTTATTTTTCTAAGGTATTACTTTGGAAAATAATGGTTTCTTATATACCTAAATCATTATAAAAGTTCAGAAAATAAAATGTGGTTATTCTTTTTGCATCAGTCTTTGAGTAGATTTATTTACTAACATCCCTTGATTTCATTTCTACTCTTTTTACAGTTCTAACATTTTATAACTTTTGAGTTCCACTCGTGGAATAAGATATTCTCTTTACTGTAACAGGTTCTTTGGAGATTTGATGGGAATAAACCAGATGCCTTAGGTCTCAATACTCGACTGTACAAGTGGATACCCCAGAATGACCTTCTAGGTAACACTCTGGTGAACAATACTGGATATATTAGTAACTGCACATTAGAGTGTTAATAGTTCATCTCGAAGCATGCTTATTGAATATTTGTTATAGGAAAACAAAAAAGAACTTCTTTATATTTATTTTCCAGTCCTAGGGGAAAAGAATATGTTATAATTGTTGGCATTTTGTGATACACACTCACATTCTTTGTGGTCAGAATCAGAGGTAATCTTTATTTCAGGTGCTATTATATCTCACAGAATTTTTCAATATCTTCCTGGGCTGTCCCTCTGTCTCCTGTTTCTACAACTTTACACCTGTTTTCTCCTCTCCTGCAGGGTTATTTCAAATGCCACTAAATATAATAGCTCTTCTATCACCAGTGACTGTATTTTCTGGAGGACTAAATTCCTAATCTTAAAGTAATGACACATTTCATGATGAAGTGTGACCTGTCTTTCCTCAATCTTAGCACCACCACCAACCCACTGCCTGCTGCCTTGCACACCCCACATATCACACTCTGTGACTGTACTTAGAATAACACTTCATTTCATGCCCATCTCTTTGCTGTCCTCTTTTGTGCACATTTTAAAAATCTAGAATGCTCTTTTTCATTAGTCCAACTGGAAATCTTGTATTAAGTTTTGCAGTCTGAAGTCACACCACCATATAGCCTTCAGTTACATCTCCAACACAAGTACCTGTTTTTTCCTCTGAAATCTGAAAAGTAATAGCAAATTAGTTCAGTGTGTTATCTAGAAAACACTGTCACTTTCAGAGCCTTTCATTGTGCATCTCATTTTATTCCTATGAATAATTTTGCTAAAATTCATCCAATCCTAGGTCATCCAAAAACCAGAGCTTTTATAACTCATGGTGGAGCCAATGGCATCTATGAGGCAATCTACCATGGGATCCCTATGGTGGGCATTCCATTGTTTTTTGATCAACCTGATAATATTGCTCACATGAAGGCCAAGGGAGCAGCTGTTAGAGTGGACTTCAACACAATGTCGAGTACAGACCTGCTGAATGCACTGAAGACAGTAATTAATGATCCTTCGTGAGTAGAACAATATTTTTCACTAGATGGTATTAATAGATAGCTTTTCTTGTCAGTAGTGAGCATGAGTTTCATCCTTTTTATAAGAGAGTGATTTTGAAAGAATTTAAATGATTTAACCAATCCGAAATCTGCTTTTACTTTTTATCTGTTATTTAAAAATTGTATTTGAACCCCATACATCTAATGAGTAACCAGTTAGTGAAACAGTTTTCTAAATAAAAATAATTTTAAAATGATATAGATAATATAAAAAAATACATTTCTTAAAAATTTGACATAATGAATCCATAGTAGAAAGGAAGAATAATCTTGAAATAATATAATAAAATGTTTTAATTAAATATCTAAAATGTCTCAGAATATAACTATTTTCTTGCAGAAAAATTAATTTTTATTATTATCTTTATTGTAACAGACTTGAAAATGAGATTTAATTTTGATAGCATAAAACCCACCTATTTATGGCAAAAATTCCAAATATTTTTACTATGTTTACAGAGTCATGAAGTCATCACCAGTGTATAAGTTTGGAACATTTTTATCAACGCAAAAGAAACTGCAGTGACACCAAAATCACCTCCCATGACTGCTTAGTCATAGTCTAACACCAATTTGTTTTCTTTCTCTATAGATTATTCTCTATAGATGTTTCATATAAATGGAATCATACAGTCTAGGGTACTGTGTAAATGACATTTCACCTAGCCTAATTTTTTTTTATGGTTTTTAGTTTAATTCATGTCGTTGTGTGTTTTAATATTTAATTTCTTTTACACTTGTATAATATTTTTTAATATAGATACGTCATAATTTAGTTGTTCATTTATCAGTTCATTGGCCTTTGTGTAAGGAGGGTATCATCTAAAGAAATACTCTAAAAATACTTTATCACAAAGACAATAGAAGGATAAAGAATGATCAAAACACCTTTAAAGAAGATGGGAAATAATTGAATAGAAACACAAACCAACTTGGACAAATAGAAAAGAAATATAAAACAAAGTGGTAGATTTAAATGTGATTATACAAATACTTTCACTCAACCTAAACAGACTTTTTTAAAAAAACAAGCAAATAATGAGTAAGGACATAAAACGTTTGAAGAACACAATTAACAAATGGAATCTTATAATGTAAAATGATATACACACATGTACATATACAATACACATATATGTATCGTATATATCAACTGGAAGACACATTTTCCTAGAGCATGTTGAATAGTTAATAGTCATTTGAAGTGGCATGTGGTGGGAAATAAATCAAGACTTAGGAAATATAAAAAGATTCAATATCATAAAGACTATATGATCCAGCCATAGTGGAAGTAAGGGAGGTTATAAATACTATTACTAAAATATCTTTAAATTTTGGAAATTAACAAAATACACTTCAAATATTTAAAGTCAAGAAGTAAATCATAATTATGCATGCACTGTTATCTCAGCAATTCTACTCTCAATTATATACCCAACAGATATGTATAAATATATAAATCTAATGGTATATAGAAGAGTGGTCATGACAGAATTATCAACAGTGTCCAAAAAGCGTTAGCAACAGAAATATCTATTCAACATAAAATGAAGACATAGTTTGTGCTTTATCCATCAACAAAATACTACACAGCAATGGAATTACCCAAGAACGGTTACACTAAAAAAAATAAACACTAAGGAGTACATATTATATAATTCAATTACATAAACAAGCAAAGCTAGTGCTGCTATTCAAAGTCCGGTTATTCTTTAGTTGGTGGACAAAAGTGGTGACAAAATGGTTCAGAAAAAGAGAGCTATTCTAGGCAGGTTGTGATATCCTGTACCATGAACTGAACAATAGGTAAATTGGTATTTTTGCCTCAAGATAATGTTCAAGATGATCTTCCATTTTTGAACTATTCACTTAGTGTACGTATATTTATCTTTTGTATTTTGTATTTAAATATATATTTTATGAGATATATAAATCATTTTAAAAATTCTAGGAATCAGATAGAAAATAAGCACAGTAAACAGAGAAAATCCTAGAGGTTCCGTCAGATTGTGGCCAGTAAAAGCCTCTCTTAGAGGTAACACTTAGAGGGAAGCCACAAAAAGGGAGAGAAGCATGCCTTGGGTATAGCAAGAAAGAATACTCCAAGAGCGGGAGAGAAGGGATAAAATGTGTAAAGTGCTAAGATGAGAACACCTTTGGAAGCTTAAAGAAAAATAGTAGGCCAATCTAGAAGACAGTGTGCAGGTAAAAGTGTTAGAAAAAGACCTTGCCAGTGTCTAACAATGTAGGGTTCTGTAGACCAAATAACAGAGTTGGATTTTATTCTTAAAATAATGAGAAGCCAGGCAAAAATCTTAATCAGGGGAGTGCCATAATCTCACTTTAGTTGCAAAACATCATTCTGGCTACAGGGTGGGAAACAGTAGGAGACAAAAGAGTAATCTAGAAGCCAAGTGACTAGCTATGAGGCATGTCACTCACCATGATAAAATTCCTTTTTAGGAACTTAGAGATGTTAATTCTCAGATTGCATTTTCACATCTTTCTTGCAGCACTTAAAATGGCTCATGATGTTGAGCACGTTCTAATATGCCTGTTTTAGAACTAATAGTGTAATGTGGAATGTGTTCATAATACAAAGGATAAATGCTTAAGGAATGAATATCTTATTTTCCATGATGTGATTATTTCACTTTGTATCAAAACATCTCATATACCCCATAAACATATGCACTTAATATGGACCCACAAAAACTTAAAATTAAAAAATTAAAAACAAATTAAAAATGCCTGATACTTTCTCTGCTTGAAAAAAATAACTTTCTCACCTGACTTTCCTTTTCTACTTTAAAAATATTTGTCAATGAGAAAAGTCCAATTTAAAAGCCAAACTTTGTATGATGACTCAAATTAAAATACATAAATTCTATATCAATTCTTTGACATTTACTTTGAATTATTTGACACTTTAAAAGCCTTTCATAGACTTGATATCTACAGGCAAATTAACTTACTTTCAGTGTCGGTATCTTTATTTTTATCCTTCAGATATAAAGAGAATATTATGAAATTATCAAGAATTCAACATGATCAACCAGTGAAGCCCCTGGATCGAGCAGTCTTCTGGATTGAATTTGTCATGCGCCACAAAGGAGCCAAACATCTTCGAGTTGCAGCCCACAACCTCACCTGGTTCCAGTACCACTCTTTGGATGTGATTGGGTTCCTGCTGGCTTGTGTGGCAACCGTGCTATTTATCATCACAAAGTGTTGTCTGTTTTGTTTCTGGAAGTTTGCTAGAAAAGGAAAGAAGGGAAAAAGGGATTAGTTATATCTGAGATTTGAAGCTGGAAAACCTGATAGATAGGAATACTTCAGTTGATTCCAGCAATAAATATTGTGATGCAAGATTTCTTTCTTCCTGTGACAAAAAAAAATCCTTTCGAAGTCTACCTTGTCAAGTAAAAATTTGTTTTTCAGAGATTTACCACCCAGTTAATGGTTAGAAATATTCTGTGGCAATGAAGAAAACACTAGGGGAAATAAAAAATAATATAAAGCCATATGAGCTTGTATTGAAATTTGTTGCACTTATATTGAAATGTGATCATGGCTCACTTCAGCCTCAACTTACTAAGCTCAAGAGGTTCTCTCACCTCAGCCCCCCAAGTAGCTGGGACCATAGGTGCATGTCACCATGTCCAACTAATTTTTTATTTTTTGTAGTGATGAGATCTCATTGTGTTCTCCATGCTGATTTCAAACTCCTGGGCTCAAACAATCCTCCCATTTTAGCATCCCAAAGGGATGAGATTACAGGTATGTACCACCATAACTTTACAAAATGAGATTTTTATATAAGAATGATTCAAATGTTCAGGGATGAAAGAGTCACTAACATAAAAGAAGAATGGGATGAGGTGAGAAGGATGAATACAAAAATAATTAGATATTCTTGAAATCAGAAATGTGCTCCCTAATTATATGAAATGTTGTTTGATTACATAAAATAAAGTGGAAATGAATGATTGACTGAACAGCCCACAAGAAGAATCACTTAATGCTCTGAAAATTACCAGTAAACTGATTAAAATCTAAAATTGCTTTCTGTTAAAGCTTTACTGATTAGTTTTTCTTCCAAAGCTCTCTTGTTTCTAGTTGTTTTCTTGGTCTTAACTACCCATTATATGCTTTGTTAAAGTGTTTATGCCCTGATTCAATGTGATTATCTCAATTTTTATTTCATTCTGTCCTAACTCTTGCAACCTGCATGTCCTCTTTATTATTGATCAATCCAACTGCAAAGTTCACCTTACCTGACTAAGGATTATTCATTAAGTTTTACTTGTTTATCTGACATTTATTATTTTGTCTCTTTGCTAGTCACTCTGAGCCATGGTCATGATGACTTAGGATTCTGGATCTCTTATGAATAACAAATTTATCCTTAATAAAGTCTCTATACTAAAGAAGAATCTAATGAAAAATATCACTTGATAAAATGAGTGCAGTACGTGAACAAATTTCTGACTGGATCATAAACCCAAAAAGTGATTAATCAATTTATTATTTAGGGACTAACAATGAAATCAATTATATATCATTATATAATTTGAATTGGTAAAAATTAATATTTATCATAGGTAAAGCACAAAATAACTGGCGACTCCAGTGCTGGTTTGTTGGGAGTATGAATAGAGTGGTGATAGGTGAAGGGCACCCATGGGCCCAGCACAACAAGAATCCCTCTAACCAGGTCCGAGCTAGCAACTACTGAAATCAAAAATCCAACCTACTAGTATCTCAATTTTTAATATATATTTGGACATTAGACAAGTGACCACCAGTGGAACTGTGGACTCAGTGGCTCAAATCTAAGCTCACCTTTGTCTGAACCTCTATATGGCCCCCAACTTTCAAAAAAGAAAGTCATGCCTCCTACTCATCCAAACTTTACCAAGATTCAGTGTCTTAGGGTACAACTTAAAAATAATAACAAATGAGAAATTTGAAATTTTATGCCTCACCAGTTTTCAATTTATCGTCCCTCATATCCTAATACAGCTTTATGATACTGAATCAGGATCCTGTAAGCATTCCTCCTTTGCCAGCTAGTTGAAAGTTAAGCTTCATCAATAGAGGACACTCGAGTGATGGTGAGGTGCTTGATGCAGGAAGGTGCATCCCTTCCAAGACTCACACTTTAGTTATTCAGTAATGTTTATCATTAATATTGGAGTTTAAGAATATGAATGTTAAAGAATATATTTAAGAATACTAAAGAATATACTTTAAGAAGGCAAGAGGAAAACTTCTAATAGCACATTTGTTTTACCTTTTATTAAATATTGCATTCTGCATAGAAATTAATTCAGAAAACTCCTACATAAACCATTTATATGAGTCTTTTGTAATCACTGAAAGAAATAGACTGTTGACAGTCACCTTTTAAAAGGGTGTATACCATTCAACTCTTAGGTATACCATTTATTATTTTGTTTCCTGCAAACTCAAAGCATCTAGGAGTGAGATTACAAAAATAACAACAACAACAAAAAAGCAGTGTTGGCTAATTTGTCAGCATATGGAAGTTAAATTTCTTACAGACACACAACTTCTGTGTAAATGTAAATCACTTGGCCATTCTAGCTCTATTATCAAATTTATAGTTTCCCAGAGACAAACATTGCTTTGGCTTTTGTCTGGTTTTGGATAGTTGGTTGTCTTTTCTCTTCATGCTTCCTTATCTCCTTTATTTCATTTATTTTTAATTAAAAAACAAAGAGACAGGAATTACCTATATTTCATTGTTGAAGGTTAAATTTTGTTTGTATTTGTACCTTAGTTCCACACTTTTTTCTTTCTGGAAACGTATATGATAAACATATGCTTGAAAACAAAGGATTACATGGATATTCTGAACTCCCAAAAAGAGAATCTCATGACTAAGCCAATTTCACATTTCTAATTAGCATACTTGCTTTCATTGAGTGTTTTGAAATTTAACTAAACATAAAATTAAAAAAAAAAAAACCTCTAGGCTAGTGTATATATAGCACTAACTAAAGAGAGGAAAACTAGAATTACAGTAATAACAAAATTAATTGAATATCATAAAGAATTACATGCAGGTTGTTAGACTATAATATTAAAATCATAATTACCTTTTAACTATAGGAAAACTCTAGTTTATTAGAAAGACTACATAAATCTATGCTTCTACTTTTATGTTCAAATACACTGAATAGAGTTCCTATACAATCAAATACGTGGAGAATACTATTGAGCATGAATCTTCTCTTTCTTATATCATTCCCCAATTTTTATGTTCATTTGAGCTAACGTATTTAAAATGTTTCCTTTGGAGTCATCAGAATATGTCTCAAGATTTCAAATCCTGCAATGTGGAATAGGGACTTAATGCACTATTTTTATTTTATTATTAACAAATGACAAGCAAGGGATATGTTACTAAAGCAATAGAAAAGATCACTAGGCAAATAATAAGTTGTGTCCACATACACAACCATAATGCTTTCCAAATTGTTATGTAAATCTAATGCCTGTTATGCAAATTGAAAAATGAGATTCAAATTCCAAATGGAAAGCCATACTTTCTCCATTGTGTGAATAGCTTCTTATAAGGATTGGAGGTTCTACTGACTTTTTGTGGAATCTGAGCCAGGCCTGAAGTGATAAGATCAACCTTTTCTTCTGTAAGGTTTTGCACAACTGACTCCAGAGAAAACACAACAACACCATCCTCATCAGAGCTCTGGACAAATTCTTCCATTTCCTACAGAGGAAAAACTTTCTTCATTATAAAGATGCAATGCCACATAGAATAATATAGTTTATGTATACTTCTAAAATAAAATTTTGAAGTTGACATATATATAGTTATATCATCCCTATTTTCTGAGGTGCATTTTAGAATAGAAATGTTCAAGTTTGTGTTAGAAACATATGGCTTCAGTACATAATAATTATTTACTAGAAAAAGCACACAACCAAATAATTATAAAGAACATTTAAGTGAGAAATGTGCAGCTCATTTAATATTTAATAGACATCAAATTCTAAAAACATAATGGTTTGCAAACTCATAAAACTATTTCAACAATATCAAGTGTCAATTTGCTGGCATTTTGTGATGTCAACAAAATAATAAAATTTTAAAAACCCCACATCAATTCCCCCACAAAAGTACAACTAGTAGCTATCCAAATACACAAATGTCACTCTGAATTCACCAGATCTCAAGAGAGAAGGAGAAAACCCCAAGACTCACGGACATGAAAAACTTATGATTGGTAAGATGAATAATTATTTTGGACTGTACCACCCCCCTTCCACACACCAAAATGATACCACTGTGAGAGAATTTCCTTTTACCTGCGGTTACTGAAATGGGAAGAGGGAATTTCAAGTGGACATATATTCTATGCATAATGATATGCATATCTGGTCAAGAAAAGCAAAACTACGTAACACACACACACACACACACACACACACACACACACACACACATATTCTATGTTCCAAAGAAGCTGAGATTACAGGAGTGGGCCACCACACCCAGCTACTTTTTGTATTTTTAGTAGAGATGGAGTTTCGCCATGTTGGCCAGGCTGGTGTTGAACTCATAACCTCAAGTGATCCTCCCGCCTTGGCCTCCCAAAGTGCTGAAATTACAGGCATGAGCCACGATGCCTGGCCCCTATCTAACCCTATTCTTGAAAGGTTTTCCCATTCTCATTAAGGAAAATGATAGTGCCATTAGGAAGGCAAAGATAGTAGGTGGAGAAGGAGAACAAGAAAAAGAATGACTAGTAGTACACTCATGATAATTACTGATAATAGCTGTTATTAGCTTGCAGAAAGAAGATTTGAATCCAAGTCAATAGTTGTGAAACCTGTTCTCTAATTCTTTATTACATAAATCAATTGTTACTTTACCCCTAATTGCTTGCTTTTCAATTGAATATGAGTTTCTTTTAAAATTTCTGTATATTTTAAAAGAATAAGATATTTGGCAAAAAGTACCAAGTGTTTTAAAAATGCATTGGAGTCATAATATGTTATATAAAAGCATGCAGAGAAAACAATAAATCAAGATGTATATATTCAATATTTATGGAGGATATTCATAATATAAACATTGGAAGTAATCCAAACATCTTAAATTAAGGAATACTTATACTCTGTGTATGTCATACCATCACAATCATTTTATCAAACAAATATTGTTATTTAATTACACTGGCACCCATAATACAAGTTTAGCTGGAAACTGAGGATCTAAATGACAAATATAGCAAAATGTCAACTTATTTTAAGATGAAAAGGTACATGCAATAATATTAAAATTTTCTTAATAAATGTCACATATGTACATTATATTATATAAATAAAATAAAAACCATAATGAACATATACCATTTTTACATTGGTAATGCCTCTGGGACAGAAATTATAGGAGCATTTTATTTTCTTTTTAAAACTTTTCATATGTTTATAAAATTTCTTGCATTGATCTTTTTTTTTTGAAATGGGGTCTTGCTCTGTCACCCATGTGGGAGTGCCGTGCACGATCTTGGCTCACTGCAACTTCCACCTCCCACGTTCAACAGATTCTCCTGTCTTAGCCTCCCGAGTATCTGGGATTACAGGAACTCACCACCACACGTGGCTATTTTTTTTTTTTTTTGTATTGTTAGTAGAGATGGGTTTTCACCATATTGGCTAGGCTGGTCTTGAAATCCTGACCTCAGGTGATCCACCCACCTCGGCCTCCCAAAGTGCAAGGATTATAGGTGTTAGCCACCGTGCTCGGCTCTTGCATTGATCTTGTATTACTTTTGTAAAGTTTTCACAGAATGGGAAAAAAATAGCCCACATCAGTGATGAATCTGTAAACAGAGGATATATTATTTTAACACTGGGTAGATGAAGAAGGCTCTGGGCATCAGGCCAGTGAGACAAAACACTGAATACAAGTTACATTAAATGTGGCTACAAGTTACTGCAATCACATGCAATACCTGAATATACCATGTATTACCTGGAATAGTACTACAATGACTCTCGTGTTGACATTGAGGTCTTAAGATTAAAAATCATATTTTAAAAAATACTCAGCAATTTGTGGTCTGCACAGTCAATATTTTCTTTCTTCATTTGTAAGGAACACTTAAGAAAAAGTTTTACCCCAATCATTACATTTGAAAATATTTAAATTTAAAAATTGGCATAGACTGGGAACCACAAGTCAGAATAATTGTCAATCAATTCCAGGCAAGCACATCTTCACCAAGAGTTGAATATAATGTGAGAAAGCTACTCAAGACAGTTACCATAACTCCTCTGGAGAAAGGCCTGGAAGCCTCTCCCACTAAGGTGCAAGCACTCCCTGTGAGACATAGTAAAGGGATGATGAGAATTCCTCACACCCAGTTACAAATAGCACATCAATTTAGCTGTGTGATTTCAGGGCAAAATGTGTCCTACCTAAACCTTGACCTGAGAAATATGATCATTCAGCTATGTAACCATTTACTGTATAATTCTGTATTACAAATGGGAGTCTCTGGCCCATTTCACAGAAATTCCAACTACAATACCAAACACCTGAATGTCAGTGATTCTTAATCACCAGCTTTTAATAACGATTTTTTTTGGTAAAAATACTGGAAATTTCTGACAAACTTTAAGTGAAGTATGAGGGATATAGTCCAATATGAAATTTGATGGTGTGTGTAAACAGGAAATTCAATGAAAAATGGATAATAATTATAAAAAATGACAAAAGTTATTGATGTTTAAGAAAACAAAAATGAGGTCAATAAATCATTATCCTACAAAATATTTGCAACCTATAAAAACCTGAGAAATCTATTCTTGAAGAAGTATAATGTAAATTAATCTTTTCAAATAAATTTAAATATATCATTTGAAACTGAAGTTCTACATCTAGAAATCTGTCATGCAGAAATCCTTGCACGTAAGCACATGTATGAACAGGATGTTTCCTCCAGCACTTAAATGGCTATAAGTCAATATCTTCAAGATATTTCTGGGATAGTATTTATTTCCTCTATGTGGGGCCCATTTGTGAACATCTATTTTATATTTAAACATCTATAAATAAATATATTTAAAAGTTTTAAAAAATATTAGCAGTTATAGAAATCTAAATTCACAAAATTTTAGTAATTTTTCTGATTTCTATGTCAATATACAATAAATATTACAGTAACTTAGTGACTGCTGCTGCGTACTTCAACAGGTTTTATATATGGTGATTTTGAGATATAATTCAAATACTTTGACAATACTTCTGTCAAGTCATATTGTTTTTCTTTGAACTTTGGCAAACCTTGTGGCTGTTTCAACAAAGAGAATGCAGTAGAAGTGATATAGCTTAACTTTCAAGGCTCTCTTAGAAAAGCATACATTCCTTCTTTGTCTCTTTGTCTTGTCTCTGTCTCTTTTCTATTTCTCCATCTCCGTCTCTTTCTATCTTGCTACTACCCATACCTCCTCAACTAAATGTAAAGCTTGGTGCCATATCTGAAGTCCCTATGATAAATAACATTTTGTGGAAAAACAAAATAAATGATATACATATATATCACATAGACTAAGAAATCCTGATAGTTTTAGAAACTATGTGGAAAAAACACATAATTGTTCCAAGCCAACGCCTAAACTGTAAGAGATAATTAAATATTGTAGTTTTATGGCTTAAATTTAAGGGCAATTTGTTATTCGGTGGTACCAATATTTCTATATATTTTACATTTGTAATAAATTACTTTTAATATATAGCTACATAAATGGGAAAATGTAGATGTTATATTTTAAAACTAACTGTAACCCAGATAGAAGAGTCAGCATAACATGGTGGTTAAGAGTTTCCACTTTGGACCCAAAGATGGCTTGATTCAAGTCACTGCCAAATCCCACTACAAAATGATGTGGGATTGGGCACATTAATTAACCTTTCAATGCCTCAGCTCCCTCATCAATGAAATGATAAGGATTATGATGACATTATCAACCTCATGAAGTTGTTAAGAGAATAAATTCATTAATATGGCAAAGCACCAAATACAGTGACATATATAGCAAAATATAATGTAAACTAATTATCATAATTATTAGACAGAGAAAAATTTCCACAATAATGTTATTGTTCAAATAATTGTATGAATTTATTTTTAAACATGACACGTTTCTAATATAAATTTTTAAAAACAGCATTTACTATTTCAAATATGTGGAAATTAAATTTATCATATCAACCAAGTGCTGGCAAACAATGGCCTCTGGGCCAAATCTGGTCAAATCTGACCATCTTTCTTTTTCAATTAAGGTAGAAATTATAAACATAAAAATCACCATGTTAACCACTTAATTTTTGCAATTTGTTGGCATTTAATACATATGCAATGCTGTGCCACTATCACCAGTATCTACATCTAGAGCATTTTCTTTATTACAAAAGGAAACTCTAAATCCATTAGACAGTCATGTCACATTCCCCATTCTCCAGCTTCTGCAGCTTGACATTATGTATTTTCATCATTCTATAGCCCATTAGGTAATGCAAAGCATATAAAATAAAATAGAATGAAATAAAATATAAAGAAGTTTCTAACATCAACCAAGAGTGTTGCTTCTTTATTTCATATATGGTATTTGTTCATAATTAACAATTATCTGATTTATAGAAATTCTACTTTAATTACATAATTAATATTTTCTCAAATATACACAGAAGTGTTGTGATATATACTGTTGTAGTTTCTTTCTCATTTGGTATTGAAGTATCTTTCTTGAGACTGGCCATAGCCGAGATAGCCACTCCTTAGGAGAGTGCTGACCAGAAGAGAGGAGAAGTGGGTTCAGGTTTATGTGTTAGGTAAGACACATTGAGGAAGTAAAACCAAAATGCATCAAATAAAAGAAATTTGTTCCAGGTCCAGGGGGGTTGGGTTGATGACAGAAAACTAACAAGGCATTCATAGGAAGGAGGAAATTCAACAAGCGGTGTGAAAATAAGAGTCAGAAGGCCTATGAAGCCATTCCTTTATTAAGTTCTGTGAGTGTTAACCCTTAGATTTTATGAGGGAGTTTTAGAATGGCTAATTTAAAGAACATGTAATTATAAACTTAAAAAATATGTAAAGGGAGGAGGCTAATTATACAACTCTCATGTTGACAATAGGTTATATCATGATCATCAGTTATAAAGTGTGCTTGGTTTTGGGGTCAGTGGAACAAGAAACAAATGAACTATATCACAAACAACACATGAGAAAGAAAAGAAAAACTGCTATCACTAGGTGTTAAACAACTTACGTCAGGCCTAAAATTGGATGCTGAGTTAGTAACTATGTTAAGCAAATTTATCACAAGAAGGAACAAAAAGTGTTAGGAGAAAACATTGATGTAGCCCCTTCCTGATTGATAGTGTGAGAAATGCTATGAACCCATGAACCAGCTCCCCAGTATAAGAATAACTAGTAAAAAATTATTGTCAAAATAAAACTATTTGAAAATACTAGGAATTATCCTCATCATATGTGGAAAAAAAATTCAAAAACTTCTGCCAAATCTTGGTAAAATAGTAAGAGCCTGTGGCATTTAAACAATAACCTTATTTTTCCTCACTCACCCTCCTAATTCAGTGTGACTAAATCTCCATTCCAGATAGGTGCAGACAAAGATGATAGGGCTTCAAATCTACAAAACTCCAACAAGAGGGAGATGTATCTTCTGTAGAGAGGAAATCATCCTAAACTCTTCCACTCACACCCAATCGATGTGTTATAGAGGGTAAATTCTAGGCTAGTTAAGTCAAACGGGTTATCTCTTCTTCTATCCAACCACAGTCATAAGCAAAAGTTTTACTTAGGAATGGCATACTGAGAATCTGAGTACCAAATAATTATAGCCAAAACTTATTTATAGGATGGTGGTTCCATGATGGAGATGCAAACTAAACGTAAGGGCTATTATTTTTCTGTTTGAGCACAGATGTCACTCAGAGAGAAGTGTTCCATTGTCCCTGCCCTCCAGTTCTAACACCAATGGGAGATTTTGCCCAAGGAAGGAGTCAGACCATTCAAAAGAGTGTTGTAAAGCACTTGCAAGAGTAATTTACTTTACTTGAATCAATATGTAGAAGTTCAAGCCTAAGAGTACTTTCAAAATATGGAAAGTTTTGTTGGTAGGCAGTTATTAATATAAAGAAGAACATAGCTTTATGAAAGATGCAAATTAGCTGATTATACAAAACTAGAGAGAGACAGACAGATAAAAAGAGTCTTTCTGAATCCAAACCAACCCATAGTTTTGTGAAAACTGTATTGGGGTAAAAATAAAAACAAATGGTAACCTGAATACAAAAAAAAGAGAGAATCAGAAATGGTAAGTAAAAAGAAATTGTGACCAATGATATAAACAAATATCTGCTTTCTAATTATTTTTTGCTTCTGAAAAGACATAAAATTATATAAAGTGATAATAATGTAGTGTGAGGTTTGTAACACATGTAAATGTAATATAACAATAGTCGCACAAATTACAAGAGGGAATGGAGTTATGTCTAGGTAATATTTTTATATAGGAAGTAAGGTAGTATGAGTTTAAAGTTTATTCTAATAATTTAATGTGTATATATGGCAAGTCCTCAATTACTCACAAAGTAAATAACGGAAAAAATATAAAAATTATTAAAGAGATGGAAATGTTACATTTAAAACATAAATTAATGTAAAAGAAGAACATAAAAATATAATGTATTAAAAAAGACAAACAACACATAAATCCAGCTGTATGAGCAATACTAAATATAAATTAATTAAAAAATCCTATTAGAAGTTGAATATTACAGACAATATTTTAAAAAATTCCAAGTATATGCTACCTAGAGAGACACTGTATAAACTTACAGATGTAAGCAGTTGGAAATAAAATGATGTAAAAGTATATACAATGCAAATAGTAACAAAAATAAATGAGTGGCTATAGTAATTTCAGACATTAAAGGTTCTTGTTCAATGTTATTAAAGAGGAACATTTTTTATTATGAAAGTGTCAACTCATTATGAATATATAAAAATTATAAATACATATGCACCCATCATCAAAACCTCACATACATAAAGCAAAAACAGATAAAAAGAGACATAGACATTTTAACAATGACACATGCACCTCATTCCTTCATTTTTTTTTAAAACTAGGGTTACAGGTGTGAGCCAGTGTGCTCGGTCTGCATTTGTTTTTATTTTATTATATTTTTTGTAGAGACAGAGTTGTCCAGTGCTCCACAGATTGGTCTGGAACTCCTGAGCTCAAGCTATCCACCAGTCTGGGATTCTCAAAGTGCTGGGAGTACAGGCATGAGCCACACACGTGACCAATCCTCTTAATTTAAAATAAAGTATGACTTTAATTTAGTCAGTAATGTATTAAGCTGGGAGGAAAGTGATCTGGCTGTTCCTTAAGTTCTTCTCCTGTTGCCTAAGAGGTAAGATGGAGGTATCCTAGAGCATCCTTGGCCAAGGAAATTGACATGAAGGCTTTTTGGAGGTAGTGTCTTCTAGGGAACCTAAATTTTCTTTTCCTGTTCTTTTTTTCTTTTTTTCCAAAGTTTAAGTTCTGGGGAACATATGCAGGATGTGCAGCTTTGTTGCATAGGTAACAAAGCTAGATTTGGTGTTTAGAAGTGGGACTAGCCTCGGAGAAAAGAGGCAAGAAGAAGTTTGTTTGACAGGCATTAGGACCCAGGAGGCAAGGGTCAGGATAGATAGGATAGATGGGCGAGTCTTGCTTGGGAGACATAACTTTGAGAGTTACGCTTATAGCTGCAGGGTCAACCAACTTTTTTCAGGACCCTGGAGCTGAATGGCTTTCCTGTCCGTTGACTCTCAGCTCAGCCCAGAAGTACAGGAAAAGCAGAAGCTGGTTCCCAGCAAACCAACACTCCTGCCTCTAAAGAGTTGGGGGTTGTTAGAGAGCTCTTTCCCAGAAAGCCTGACACTCATGCCTTTAGTCTGGTGGCTGAGCTAGTCACTTTTAACTGGCCGACAGGTGCCCGGTGACTAGCCCCCAAACTCTAAGGAAAAATAGGACAGAATACCAAGCAAAAGGGGTCTGATGGCACTCAGTGTGTGGCAACATCCTGGATGAGCCCCCAAGATGTTTCTGGAGTTTCTTCCTGCTGGTGGGTTCGTGGTTTCAATGACTTCAAGCATGAAGCTGTGGACCTTCACAGGGAGTGTTACAGCTCTTAAAGGTGGCACGGACCCAAAGAGTGAGCAGCAGCAAGATTTATTGTGAAGAGCAAAACAACAAAGCTTCCACAGCGTGGAAGGGGACCCAAGCATGTTGCTACTGCTGGCTGGGGTGGCCAGGTTTTATTCTCTTATTGGCCTCTCCTATGTTCCATGTCTGTCCTATCAGAGTGCTCTTTTTTCAGTCCTCCCTGCGATTGGCTACTTTTAGAATCCTGTTGATTGGTGCGTTTTACAGAGCACTGGTTTGTTCATTTTACAGACTGCTGATTGGTGCATTTTACAGAGCACTAATTGGTGCATTTTACAATCCTCTTGCTGGCTACAGAGCACTAATTGGTGTGTTTTTACAGAGCACTGATTGGTGTATTTTACAATCGGCTTGCTAGCTACAGAGAGCTGATTGGTGTGTTTTAGAATCCTAGCTACAGAGTGCTGATTGGTGCGTTTTACAATCCTCTTGTAAGACAGAAAAGTTATCCAAGTTCCCAATCTACCCAGAAGTCCAGCTGTCTTCATCTCTCAAGTCTAAAGTTTTTCTAGTAGATTTCTAAATGTTTTCTCAATATAAAAGCATGTCATATGCCAATAGTTTAAATTTTTTCTTCCCTATATAGATTACTTTATTTCATATTCTTGTCTATTTGTCTTAACTAGAACCTCTAGTGGGATGTTGATTAGGAGTAGAGAGAGTGGATTTAGCCTTTCTACATTAAGTATAATGCTAGCTATGTGTTTTCTTATAGATGTCACTTATCAGGTTTGTGTCAGGCTAGGTTTCCCTCAACAATTAGAGCAGTCAGTTTTCACTAATCCTTAACTATAATTTTAATGAATCCATAAGTTAAGCATTAAAGAACTAGACAAAGTTTTACCTGAGTACAAGGACTAGGATGAGAAAACAAACCCATTCAGACCCCACCTTGGTTTTCACAGCCCCTACAGTCTGATAGAATAATAATAGCATTTTTACACATACACCTCATAAGATTAGATGGAGATTGAATAAATCACTCCTTCTTGTAGGTGCACTCCCACACATAGGCATGCAGCTTAAAGTGTATCTAAGCACTAGAAAAACACTTGTAACTTTGAATTGATCTGGTGAGTTACTGCAACCTTCTCCCTGTAACCAATTGCATAAATAAACTCCCCTCTTTCTGACTTTGTCTGCTTCTTGTTACTGGACCATGAGAACAAGCAGGTGGACCTTGTTCTGTCAGGGAACAGTTTGAGGAAGTTTCCCTCTATTCCTACTTTATTGAATATTGTTATGATGAAAGATACTGGATTTCATTAATTTTTTTGTGCATTCATGGAAATGATAATGAATTTCTCATTCTTCATTATAATTATATTGTGTAATACATTAATTGAAAGTGTTACAGGATCTTTGGGGTGTTGCTTTTCTGCTCAGAAACATCTGTGGCCAGTGGCACCTTTGCCCAAGTTCTTGTCATGCAGCCAGGAATAATGAGGTACACAGAAAAGTGAGGGGTGAGCAAGACAAAGAGGAGCTTTATGGAGCGTTAGAACAGCTCAGAGGAGGTATGCAGTGGTTAGCTCCTCTCTGTAGGCAGGTAGTCCCATCAGTTTTCAGCTCTCAGCAGAGGGGAGGCCCTGGAGAGGGTAGCTCCACATGAGAGAGATTATTTAAGCTATCTGGTAGAAGAAATGCCTAAGCAGCAAAGCATTCAAGAGGAAGCAGAGCATAAAATTTTAGAAAATTTGCAGCCTAGTGATGCAATAGAAAAGAAAACTCCATTTTCTTGGGAGAACTTCAACCCTGCTGCAGAAATTTGCATAAATAATGAAGAGCTGAATGTTAATCAACAAGACAATGGGGAAAATGTCTCCAGTGTATGTCAGAGCCCTTCATGGTAGCCTCTCCCATCACAGGCTCAGAGGCCCAGGAGGGAAAAATGATTTTCTGGGCTGGGCCAAGAGACACCCTGCTGTGTGCAGCCTAGCAACTTGGTGCCCTGTAATTCAGCTGTTCCAGCCATAGCTAAAAGAGACTAAATTAAAGCTCAGGCCATGGCTTCAGAGTGTGCAAGCCTCGAGCTTTGGCAGCTTCCATGTGGTGCTGAGCCTGCAGGTGCATAGAAGTCAAAACTTGAGGTTTGGGAATCTTTGCCTAGATTTCAGAGAATGTATGGAAATGCCTGGATGTCCAGGCAAAAGTTTGCTGCAGGGGTGGAGCCCTCATGGAGAATTCTACTAGGGCAGTGCAAAAGGGAAATGTGGTGTCAGAGTCCCCACTGGGGTACTGCTGAGTGGAGCTGTAAAAAGATGGCCACCATCCTCTAGACTCCAGAATCATAGATCCAATGATAGCTTGCATCATGTACCTGAAAAAGACAGGCACTCAACAGCAGCCAGAGAAGGCAGTTGGATAGGGGCTGTACCCTGGAAAGCCACAGGGACAAAGCTGCTCAAGGCCATAGGAGCCCACCTCTTGCATCAACTTAACCTGGATGTGAGACATGGAGTCAAAGGATATCATTTTGGAACTTTACATTTTAAGGACTGCCCTATAGGATTTTGAACTTTAATGGGGACTGTAGCCCCTTTATTTGGTCCAATTTCTCTAATTTAGGATGGGTGTATTTATCCAATGCCTATACCTCCATTGTATCTAGGAAGTAACTAGCTTGCTTTTGATTTTACAGACTCATAGGTGGAAGATACTTGCTGTGTCTCAGATGAGACTTTGGACTTGGACTTTTGGGTTAATACTAGAATGAGTTATGACTTTGGGGGACTGTTGAGAAGTCATGATTGTGTTTTGAAATGTGAGCACATAAAATTTGGGAGTTCCCAGAGGCAGAAAGATATGGTTTGACCGTGTCCCCACTGAAATGTATGTTCCAAGGAAGCTGAGACGGGGTTTCACCGCATTAGCCAGGATGGTCTCGATCTCCTGACCTCATGATCTGCCCTCCTCTGCCTCCCAAAGTGCTGGGGTTACAGGCATGAGCCACCATGACCGGCCTAGTCAAAGCTGTTTTACAAGTCTCTAGAAAGTTCCAAACTTGTACATATCTTTCTGTCTTCTGAGCTCTCCAAGTCTCTAGGAAGTTCCAAACTTTCTCACAATTTCCTGTCTTCTCCTGAGCACTCCAAACTGTTCCAACCTCTGTCTATTACCCACTTCCAAAGACACTTCCACATTTTCAGGTATCTTTACAGCAACACCCCACTCTCAGTGGTACCAATTTACTGTATTAGTTTCTTCTGACACTGCTATTAATAACTGCCTGAGACTGGGTAATTTATAGAGGAAAGAGGTTTAATTAACTCACAGTTCTGCAGGGCTGGTGAGGCTTCACGAAACTTACAATCATGACTGAAGGGGAGGAAAACACATCCTTCTTCACATGGATGGAGGAAAGAGAAGAATCAGCAATAGCAGGGAAAGCCCCTTATAAAACCATCACATCTTATGAGAATTCACTCACTATCACAAGAACAGCATGAGGGTAACCGCCCCTATGATTTAATTACCTCCCACTGGATTTCTCCCAGGACATATGAAAATTATGGGAACTACAATTCAAGATGAGATTTGGATGGGGACAGAGCCAAATTATATCAGTGAACTTTCTATGTTCCAAAATATAATTATTTCTATTTTTCTGAAAAATAACATGATCGAAAAAATTAAAAATTTGACATCCAAGAAAGATATGATGCTGAGGATGGAAGAAAGGAATTAAGAATGAAAGTTGGAAAACATGTTCAGGGTGCCTGACTAGAAGGTACTAGTGTGCATGGCTCTCATGGAGAGTAATGAAAAGAGCAAGTAAATACAACACTTTCAAGTGAAACATCCAGGGACTTGCATTGAGAATAATCAAGAAAATAACTTGACCCACAGAGATTAAAGAAAAACAGGACAGGATAATGGTCCACCTGGGAGCAACAAGCAGCTAGGGGAACCCCACCCTCCCAGGGAAGCATTGAGTAATTGTGCAACCACAGGAAACCATACTTCTCCCAAGAATCTTTGCAACCCTCAAGTCAAGAAGTCTACCTGTGAACTCACATCAACAGGGCCTTCATTCTGACAGCCAGAAAAAGGTGGAGTCTCAGCAGAGCATCTACTCAGGCATGCGAGGTGACCCTGGAACCTTAGCTATGTGGGCTTTCTGGCAAAAGTAACTGCAGCTTTGGCAAATTAGGAGATTAGAACCACATACATATCCCTAGGAAAAAGGCTGAATCCAAGGGACTGAGAAGATACAGCCTGCAGGCCCCACTTTCACAGCACCTCACAGGTGAGCACCCACTGGCTTAAAATTCCAGCAAGCCACCAATAGCGGCATTGCACCTCCATAAGAAGGAGCTCTCAGTGGGAGTGGCAGGCTGCCACCTTTGCTGGCCTTTATTCTTAGTTTTTCTCTCCCATCACGGAAATTCCATCCTATGAGTGGACTGGGGCAATGGCTATTTGGTACTCAGTATTCTTTGTGCCGTTCTTGAGTTGAATCTCTGAGTTATGACTGTGGCTGAATGAAAGATGTGAGACCCTTCTTAGCCACACTTGCCTAGAATTAAGCTTCTGGAGCATATGCCTGAGTCTATATATATAAAAAAATCAGAGAGACACCTTTTCTCAACTGCATACCCTGACACTCAACTGGGAGCTTTGAAGAGTGAGAGCCCTGTGGTAGCATCAGCACCTCCCTGGAAGAGAGGGAGTTTCTGTCACTGAACTAGGAGGGGGGGCAAATGAGCATGTTGTGGCTTAAATGCCAAAGACACTTGCTGTTTTCACTACAAATTACTGGATTTTCTTCAGTGAATGTTACTTTATTATATGTCTTTAGGATTATTGCCAGGGACACCAAATGGTTGTTTTAAAAAACAATTTTCACCAGTTATTCCTGTTTCCCTTGAAATTTCCTCCATGGAACTTTTTATGCTACCATTTGAGAATGGTCTATTTCAGAATGTCTTGTAAAGTCTCTCTACTTTCCGCATATATTAAAACAATCAATCAAAAAGTAAAAAGTAATATTCTTTCTTTTAATTTTTATTTTATGTTTGGGGTACATGTGAAGGTTTGTTATGTAGGTAAACTTGTGTCATGGTGGTTTGTTGTACAGATTATTTTGTCACCCAAGTATTAAGTTTAGTACCCAATAGTTATTTTTTCTGCTCCTCTACCTCCTCCAACCTTCCACCATCTGAAAGTCTCTAGTGTCTGTTGTTTTCCTCTATGTGTTCATATGTCCTAATCATTTAGCTCCAACTTACAAGTGAGGACATGCAGTATTTGGTTTTCTTTTCCTGCATTAGTTCATTAATTTGCAAAGGATAATGTGCTCCATCTTCCATCATATTCCTCCTGCAAAAGACATAGTCTTGCTTTTCTTGTGGCTTCATAGTATTCCATGTTGAATGTGTACCACATTTTCTTTACCCAGTCTACCACTGATAAGCATTTAGGTTGATTCCATGTCCTTGCTAATAATTAGTGATGTTGAGCATTTTTCATATGCTTGTTGGCTAGGAAATACCATCCTATGCATAGAAATGGGCAAAGCTTTTATGAAGCAGATGCCAAAAGCAATTGCAACAGAAACAAATGATGACAAATGGGATCTGGTAAAAATAAAGAGCATCTGCACAGCAAAAGAAACTATGAACACTCTGAATATAAAACCTACAGAATGGTACCAAATGTTCACAAACTATACCTCTGACAAAGTTCTAATGTCCAGCATCTATAATGAATATAAACAAATTAAAAAAAAACAACTTTATTAAAATGTGGGCAAAGAACAGGAAAAGTAAATTTTTATTTATCAGAAAATTGCAATTTAAGGACTAGAGATAGGAGACAAATCCATGACAAGGTTCAGGTCAAGGCAAAGCTCATAAGAAGTTGGCATTGACCAGGAGTTAGTATTGTCATTATAACAGTGGGTTAGTGGTCAAAAGTATGAAAGCACATGGCCTCAGTTTGAATCCTGAGCTGACATCTACCTGTCTTATTAAAAGGATATGAAAAGACACTTCTCAAAAGAAGATGTTTATGCAGCCAACAAATATATGAAAAAAAGATCAACATCACTGGTCATTAGAGAAATGCAGATCAAAACCACAGTGGGATACCATCTCATGCCAGTTAGAATGGTGACCACTAAAAAGTCAGGAAATAACAGATGCTGGAGAGGATGTGGAGAAATAGGAATGCTTTTACACTGTTGGTGGGAGTGTAAATTTGTTCTACCATTGTGGAAGACAGTGTGGTGATTCCTCAAGGATCTAGAACAAGAAATATCATTCGACCCAGTGATCCCATTACTGAGTATATACCCAAAAGCTTATAAATCATTCTACTATGAAGATACATGCACACGTACATTTATTGTGGCACTGTTCACAATAGCAAAGACTTGGAACCAACCCAAATTTCCATCAATGATAGGTTGAATAAAGTGGCACATATACACCATGGAATACTATGCAGCCATAAAAAAGGCTGAGCTCATGTCATTTGCAGGGACATGGATGAAGCTGGAAACCATCATTCTCAGCAAACTAACACAAGAACAGAAAATAAAACACCGCATGCTCTCACTCATAAGTGGGAGTTGAACATTGAGTACACATGGACACAGGGAGGGGAACATCACACACTGGGGCCTGTCAGGGGGTAGAAGGGTAGGGGAGAAATAGCATTAGGAGAAATACCTAATGTAGATGACAGGTTGATGGGTGCAGCAAACCACCACGGCACATGTATACCTATGTAACCAACCTGCACATTCTGCACATGTATCCCAGAACTTAAAGTATAATAAAAAAAATTTTAAAAATAAAGAATAAATTGTCTCTACAAAAAACTTCTTAAAAAATTAGCCTAGTGTTGTGGTGTTCCTGTAGTCCTAGCTACTCAGCAGGCTGAGGTGGGAGGATCCCTAGAGCCTAGGAGTCAGAGGTTACAGTAAGCTTCAATGTCACCACTGCATTTCAGCCTGTGCAACAGAGAGAGAGACCCTGTCTCAAAACAAAAGAAAAGGATTACCAAACCCAAACATAAAGCTTTTAGAGAAAAATAGGAGCCATCTCCCTTGATTACTTGGCAGCAGGCAAAGCTTTCTTAGACAGATTACAGAAAAAGCATAAAAGAAAAAATAATAAAATAATAAATTAGACTTCATAAACAAATGACAACAGTGAAAACTCCCACTCACAAGACACTGTAGAAACAATCCAAGTATCCACCAATTGGAGAATGAATAAACAAACGAGGTGCAGAATATGCAGTATACTCATATACATCTGTGACACGCAACAATACAGATGAATCCAAAACATGTTAGGCTGAGTGGAAACTAGCCACAAAAGAGTACATACTGAATGCATAATTTCATATATAAGATATTCTAAAACAATCTCCTCTGGGAAGCAAGGGCTGAGTTGGACTGCAAAGAGGCATGAAGGGACATTTGTGTGGTCATAATAATGTCTTATGGGTTTGGGTTTATAGAGGTGTAAGCATTTGTTGAAACTCAAAAAATGTATAGTGAAGATACATGCATTTCGTTGTATGCAAATTTTATAACGAAATACTGAAAAATATACTGTAGTCAATTATATATATATATGCTGACTATGAGTAAAAAAAGCACATCTCTTCCTAGATTTTACTGTTAAATTGAATGAATAAAAATCATATATCTTTCTTATCTGGTTATTGTGAGTAGCCATGCAATGGTTCTTAGAATACTTGCTGAAATTATTCTCATCATAAAGAGATTCTTAGTAAATGTTTGCTACTATCACCGTTTTTTCTTGTTGTATTTTGATTTTAGAATTTAAGAAGAGTTCAATATTTTACTTTGAGACATTGCATTGAATGCTTTGAGGCATTTAGTGTTAAAATAATTATGGACTAATAGACAAATAATAAGGATGGATATAAGTATATGCTTACCAAGTTAAAATTATGAAGTGTTAATGCATAGCACTGTAGCAATAGCAATGGAGGTAACTTCTGTTCTTGTTATTTAAAGATCACAGTGGGAAGACTGTGTTTTTCAGAGGGTGACATTAATCCTGATTTATGTTTTTAATACAATTGTAAAAAACTATAATCAAGAAGTTACATAATACAAAGAACCAATACAATGCATGTCATTTCATATACATTCAATATGTGTTAACTATTCAAAAATTATCTTTATTTTTCAACACCAGAATGAGTTTATTAAAATTAATATTAAAAACATAATAGTAAATATTAAAATTATTTAATTTTTGTTAATGTAACTATTAATAAAATAGCATAACTAAAATTATTGTGTGTACTGAAATAATTTAAAAACAACAAATTTCTGGTTTCAGACATTTTGGCTGTTAAACAGAAATATTCCAATTTATCTCTTTCAAGCCCGTTATTTTATAATTATTTCAAATGAGACAAAAGCAACCACAACCACAATAACAAAGAATATGGTCACTTTTATACTAGTATCTTATTTTTTTCAATTGTTTTAAACAGGTAAATTTGAAAGGCGTAGTGGTTTACAATTCATCAGTGATGGGATTAAAAATATTAACATCATAATTATTTCCTTATAATTAAATAGAAGAGGAACTAGTGATTGATTATGTCATGCCAATTTACTGAAAATAAAGCATTTTGGAAGAGTTTTAAAAACAATAAAAAAATTGAGTAACTAATGTGAGATGATTGACACATGCTTACCTGCTTCATTATAGCAACCTTTTCACTACATATTTGCATCTGATGATAGCATCTCGTATACATTATATATACCAAATAAAATTTATCCAGAAAAATAACATTTGATGAGCTCTCATGCTGAAAGACTGGCATAAACATGGTGAAAACTAGACAGTACTCTAATAATATTTATGTTTCCCTGCTTCAACTTTGTTCTCAGTCTTCTTTATAATGTGTTGTTACCATCTTCAGCAATTCCTATTTCATTTTTGACTATTTTAAAACTTATGCACTAGCCTAGAACCTCTGATAAACATTTCCACTAAAACCACCAAAGTGAAGTATAGGCGACACTCCAGTATGAAGTGTGTTACCACTTCATGATAAAGACTGGGGATTTTTTCCCATATAAAATGCTGTCACTGGAAATAAAAGACAGGCTGTTATTTTTCAGTTGCAACTGAAATATCCCTACATAAGGAGAAAGGGTGTTTGTAATGATTGAATTAGGAGACAGACAACCTAGAAAATTATTGAACTTTTATTGTTTAAGAGGTAACTACAGTTGAAATAGAAATAAAGATAATTTGTTCTAGCCATAAAGAACGTAACTGTGTATAAAAAAAATGGTAACTGTTGTAATTAATTGTATTTTTCCCCCAGGACTGGAACATAAATATAAACATGCTAGATTTTATTTTTGAGTTTTTAAATAATAAATGGTGAATCTGTTTTTTTTCTGTTGAAGTATTTTCATCATGATTGGCTGTTAGCCATGTTTTCAATCTTTGTTCTTCAGAGTCTCACCAAGGCCATTCTGGACTACCCACTATACAGCGAAGTATTGATACTAAGGTATCTGATTTCCTGTCATCAAATTTCCATGTGATCATTTATATAAAGAAAATACTTTGTTCTGAGTCAAATTCAAATTAAACCATATTTGTTAGAATTCTAAAAAGACTGAGAACCCTACTAAATGCCTTCTATATAGCAGACAAAGAAAACAGAATAGGACAGGTTAATTAATGAGAACTACTAGAAGACTGAAGTAAGCAGAACAACTATATTTCCTGGACTTATTTTTACATTAGATCAGTTTAAATGCAATCATAATATTTCATACATAGTGACTTAAACAATTGAGATAATAAATGAAAAATTCAAGTATTTAATTGTTAGACAGTCATAATTCTGGTGTGAAGAAGAGTAACAAATTAATAATGGTCCACACTTTTTAAATTAATGTTTGTACTATACTCACTCTCTTCTTCCAAATTTATTATTAAGCTTTTTTATTTTTAAAACAATGAAATGGGAGACAGTTTACTTATATCCACTTGTTCCATAGTTACAGTCTGACATCTTTTGATTTACAAACAAAGCAAATCTATGTAATCCTCTCTGTATGAGAAATAAATTAATTCTGCTTAGGAATTACATATAAAGATAAAAAATTTCAAGTGGCATTTTTCATGTATATCCATAATATTATTACATTTGTTAGCATGGACATTTTTAGATATGAGAAAGAATGATTGGCATCTTATAAATAATAGTGCTGTTGAAAAAAATTCTAAAATGCAATGATGCTAAATTTTATTCAAAGACTGTTAAATCTTCGATGACATACTCCAAAGCATTGACAGCAGTGTTTAATATGGTTGTCTATAGCTAAGCCATTTGGTACATGCCTAGTACCATAATGAGGTACTGATTTTGGAATTACCAGGAAATCATCATAAACTAGTGCATAATTTACAAATTTTTAAAATTTAGTTTTTATGTGAGTGTTAAAAATAACTTCAGGTTTGCAGCCAAAAATAGTATAGGTAATTATAAAAAGCTACGTAGAATAAAAAAATAAAGAGTATTTCATAAGTATTCAAAGATCATAGTTGTGTTGTACATATTAGAAAGTTAGTTATTATTATATTTTAGGGGTTGGAGCATCTGAACTTCTCTCCTTGCTTGAGTTTTCCTCTCTTTCTTCTTCTTCTTCCTTTTTGTTTTTATTTGAAATAGTCTCACTCTGCCTTTCAGGTTGGAGTGTGGAAGTGTGATCACAGCTCACTGTAACCTTAAACTCCTGGGCTCCATCAATCCTCCTGCCTCAGCCTCAAGAATAGCTAAGACTACAGGCATGCACCTCTGCACACTTCTATTTATTATTATTATTATTACTTTTTGTAGACACAGGGTCTCTGTATGTTGCCCAGACTGGTCTCGAACTCCTGGGCTCGAGGAATTCTCCGACTTTCCTCTCTGCAGCTGGTTGTCCTGATGTCTGCTCAGCTCCTAGCTGAAAAGAGGCCTTAGAGTGGGTTGCTCCTCTCTGCAGCTTGTTGTCCCGATGTCTCTGCAGGTCTCAGAAGCTCTCCACTGAGAAGGTAGTTCCTCTCTGCAGCTGGTCATATTGTCATCTGCTCAGCTATGGCTGAACCCATAGTTTTAATGGGCCTCACTAGGGAGAAAGTGCAAGTTAATTGGTCTGTGAGCAGCCATGGGTGGGCCCAGAAGAGGCACCACAAGTTCCCACTTCGGTCCATGGGACAGACAGGCAACCTAGTCCCCAGCCTTCAGGCTTTCCCCGGTCCTGAAGATGGGGATCACTGGGGACCCACCCCCTTTTGCCCAGGAATCAGTCTGCCTCCTGCTGTCACTCATGGTGCCTAGGCTCAGTCCCAACTTTGCTATGAGATCAAGTGGGCACTGACATCAGGAAGAAGCCAGGCAGTAAGATCAGGCACTTCTGAGCCTGTGAGGGCAGAGGAGTTTCCCAACAGGTGCTATCAATAATTTAAATGTTAAAGTAACTTTGCATTGCTGAGATTAATTTCACTTATTTGTGGTATATAATAACTTTTGTATGTTCTTATATTCAGTTTGCTAAGATATTATTGTGGAATTTTGTGTCTATAATTACAAGAGCTGTTGATCTGTAGTTTTCATTTTTTGTGATGTGTTTTTTGTGGTTTTAGTAGAAGGGGTCAATGAAATATGTTGGTAGTGTTTTCTCCTCTTCTATTATTAGGAGGATTGTTTTTTGAAGAATTGTTATGTTTTCTTCCTTGAATGATTTGTAGAATTCTAAAACAAAGCCTTCTTGGCCTGGGCTTTTTTTTTGGTGGGTTGTCTTTTGATTAGTAATTCAGTCTTTCCGTTTTTTATGGGTCTATTCAGGTTTTCTATTTCCTCTCCGGTTTATTCTATAGTTGTTCTTGTCTGCATCTACCTGTAGTAAAATTCTGACACGCTGAGTTCGGAGGGGATGAGGGGGCAGTTTTTGTTTGCAAGGTAAGAGGCGATCCCTGTTTTTATCAAGTCTTAGGAAATTTACTTGAATAAGTATTGCTTTGCATTGTGCTTTATATTTTTAGAACAATACATGGACAATTAAATTTTTTATATTAAAGCAATTTTTAATACTAACAAGGTACTTAAATTTTATCATTTTCACAATCATGATGCTCTATTGGGATATTAAAATTTGATAAGACAATAGACTTAATTTAAAAACAAAGGTTTATGATATATTCTCAGTGTACTTGTGTAGTGTTAAATCAAGTTCAGCCTAAAGCTACCTCCTACATGTTTTAAGTTTGGCCTAAAAGTTTCTCTGTACATCATGAACTTTGGCAAGTGGAGGTGTAAACAGACCATAGCCTACACTTGGGCCAGTCGCCACGTTTTGGCCAAATAAATGTAGCCAGTTATTTGAGCTTTGTTTAAATAAGGTAAGCACTGAGCTTTAACCAATTCAGTTGTTCCTTTACCTCACTTCCACTTTTTGTATGTCACTTTCCTTTTCTTTCCATAAATCTTATTTCACCACGTGACTGCACTGGAGTCTCAGAGCCTACTCTGACTCAGGAGGCTGCACAATTTGTGAGTTGTCCATTGCTCAAGAGTTTAAACTCTTTTAAATTTAATTCAGATGAAGTTTGTTTTTTTAATCAGTGTATTTATCAAGTCAGCTCTGAGTTATCTTTTGTTAACTCTCATATTTATATATACACACACACACACCACGCACACACACACACACGTATTCCTTCTGTCATTTTGCTTTGTTTTATTGTGCTTCACAAATATGGACTTTTTTTTTTACAAGCTGAACCCTTGTGGCAACCCTACATTAAGCAAGTCTACCAATGCTATCTTTCCAATAGCTAACACATGCTAACAATGTGTCACTGTGGCATATTTTGGTAAATCTCACAAAGTTTCAAGCATTTTTGTTTTTATTATATCAGTTTTGGTGTCCTGTGGCCGTTGCTTCTTGATATTGCCATTGTAATTTTTTGAGGGACATCACAAAATGCATGCATATAATATGGTAAACAGAACTGATAAGTGTTGTGTGTATTCTGACTGTTCCACCAACCAGCTGTTTCCCATTTATCTCTGTCTCCTCAGGCTTCCCTGTTTCCTGAGACACAACAATACTGACGTTAAGCAAATTAATAACCCTACAAATGGCTTCTAAGAGTTCAAAGGAAAGGAAGGGTCTCATGTCTCTCACTTAAAATCAAACTAGAAATGATTGAGCTTAATGATGAAGGTATGTTTAAAGCTGAGATAGGGCAAAGCCCATACTTGTGCCAAACATTTAGCCAAATTTTGAATACAAACAAACTGTTAATGAAGGACATTAAAAGTGCTACAACAATATACACAAAGGATAAGAATGTGTAACAGCCTTATTGCTTATATGAAGAAAGTTTTAATCTTCTGGATTAAAGATAAAACCAGTGAAGATATTTTCTTCTGCCATATTCTAAACTAGAGCAAGGCTCTAACTCTGTACAATTCTGAAAAGTGTAAAAAATTTTCAGAAAAAAAGTTTGAATCTAGCAGAAGTTGGTTTATAAGGTTTAAGGAAAGAAGCCATATCCATAAAATAAAATGCAAGATAAAAGAAGCCTGTGTAAGTTATCCAGAAGATGTAGCTAACATAATTAATGAAGGTGGCTACATTAAACAATAGCTTTTCCATGTGGACAAAACAGTCTCCTATCGAAAGAAGATACCATCTAAGACTTTCAAAGCTACAGGGAAGTCAATGCCTTGCTTCAAAGTTCCAAAGGATAGGATGACTCTTTCATTAGATGCTAATGAAGCTGGTGACTGGAAGTTGAAACCAATGCTGATTTATCACGTGGAAAATCCTAGGGCCCTGAAGAAATATACTAAATCTATTCTGTACTCTATCAGTGGTATCAAAAAGCTTGGATGGCAGCATAGCTGTTTACAGCATAATTTACTGAATATTTTAATCCCACTTTTGAGATCTACTGCTTACGAAAAAATGTTCCCTTCAAAATATTAATGCTCATTGACAATAGGTCTGGTCACTCAAGAAAATGAGATATACAGAGAAATTAATGTTGCTTTCATGCTTGCTAATATAACATTCATTCTATAGCCCTGGATCAAAAAGTAATTTCAACTTTTAAGTTATTGCATTTAAGAAATACATTTTGTAAGAATATAGCTGCCATTGATAGCAATTACTTTGTTGGATATTAGTAAAGTAAATTGAACATTTTATAAAAAAGATTCATCTTCCTAGATGACATTAAGAACATTTGAGAGTCATGGGAAGAGGTCAAAATATCGACATCACCAGGAGTTTTTAGGATGTTGATTTCAACCATCACGAATAATATTGACAGGGTCAAGACCTCAATGGAGGAAGTAACTACAAATGTGGTGAATATTGTAAGTAAAATGTAATTAGAAGTAGAACCTGAAGATATGACTGAATTGCTTCAATTTAATGATGAAACTTGAATAGATGAGGAGTTGCTTCATATGAATGAACAAAGAAAGGGGTATATTGAGATGAAAAATACTCTTGGTGAAAATGGCTTGAACATTTTTAAAATGAAAACAAAGAATTTAGAATATTACTTAAACTTATTTAATGAAGCAGCAGTAATGTTTGAGTGGATTGATTGCAGCTTTAAAAGAATCTCTACTAAGGGTAAAAAGCTATTATACAGCATTATTAAACAGCATGGCATGCTACACAGAAATTTTTCATGAAAGAAAAGATCAATGAATGCAGTAAACATCATTCTTGTCTTATTGAAATTGTGATCCTCTGCAAGTAAAAAGAGTACAGCTCACACAAGGATCAGATGATTGTTAGCATTTTTCAGCAGTAAAGTATTTTTAATTGAGTTATGTACATTTTTATACATAATGCTATTTCTGACTTAATGGAATACAGACAGTTTAGACATAACTTTTATATGCCATGGAAATCCAAAACAATTGTGTAACTTTCTTCTTTGCAATATTTGCTTTATTGCAGTGATCTGAACCCAAACCTGTAATATCTTGAAGGTATGCCTTGCATTAGTGTAAACACTTAATGTGAGATCTACTCTTTTAAAGATATTTTAAGTGTATAATACATTATTGCTAACTATGGCCACAATATAGTGCAGCAGTTCTCTTAAACTTACTCATCTTATTGGGAACTGGAGTAAAAGCCAATCATTCTATTCTTTAACAAAGATACTGGCAGTCCCTGCCATAGAGATATTTGGAATTTTGAGCTTGAGAGAGATAATTTAGGGTATCTGGTGGAAGAGATTTCAAAACAGCAAAGCATTCAAGATGTGACCTGGCTGTTTCTAACAGCATACAGTCATATGTGTTCAAAAAAAAAGGTCTGAAATTGGAACTTATGTTTAAAAGGGAATCAGAGCACAAGAGTTTGAAAAATTTGCAGTCTGACCATGTGGTATAAAAGAAAACCCCATTGAAATTCAAGCTGGCTGCCAAAATACATAAGTAATGAGAAACTGAATGTTAGTAGCCAACACAATGGGAAAAATGTCTCCAGAATATTTCAGAGACCTTCATGGCAGCCACCCTCATCACAGGCCTTTAGGCCTAGGAGGGAAAAATTGTTTTTTGCTATAGGCCTTGGGCCCAGCTGCTCTGTGAGGCCTCAGGACATTGCTCCCTGCATCCCATCTGCTCTAGCTCCAGCTGTGGCTACAAGGCATCAAGATACAGCTTGGGCCATGGCTTCAGAGGATGCAAGCCCCATATTTTGTTGTCTTGGATGAGGTGTCAGCCCTCCAGGTTCACAGAACGCTGAAGTTGAGATTTGGGAACTTCTGCCCAGATTTCAGGGTATGTATGGAAATGCCTGGATGTCCAGGCAGAAGTCTGCTGCAGGGGCAGAACCCTCATGGAGAACCTCTACTAGGGAAATACAAAGGGAAATGTGGGGTGGAGTCCCCACACAGTTTCCCCACTGAGGCACTGAGTAGTGTAGCTGTGAGAAGAAGGCCATCATCTTCCAAAAACCGCAATGGTAGATACACATACAGCTTGCTCTGTGCACCTGGAAAAGCCACAGGCACTCAATGCCAGCCCATGAAAGCATCCATGGGGGCTGTGCCCTCCTGTGGAGCCACAGGGGTAGAACTGCCAAAGACCACTGAATCCCATCCCTTGCATCAGTGGGAACTGGATGAGAGAAATTGAATTATAGGAGATTTTTTGAAGCTTTAAGATTTAATGGCTGCCATATGGGGTTACAGGCTTGCATGGAGCCTGTAGCTCCTTTGTTTTGGCCAATTTCTCCCATTTGGAATGGGAATATTTACCAAATTCCTGTACCCCACTGTATCTTGGAAGTAACTAACTTGTTTTTTTTTTTTTTAATTTTACAGGCTTATAGGTAGAGGGTCTTGCCTTGTCTCAGATGTGACTTTTGACTTAGACTTTTGTGTTAATACTGAAATGCGTTAAGACTTTGGTGTACTGTGAAAAGGGATATTGTATTTTGAAATGTGAGAATGACATGAGATTTGAGAGAGGCTGAGGTGGGGATAATATGGTTTGGCTTTGTGTCTCACCCAAATTTCACATTGAATTGTAATCCCCACGTGTCAGGAGAGGGACATGGTAGGAGGTGATTCGATCACAGGGGTGAATTTTCCCCATGCTGTTATCATGATAGTGAGTGAGTTCTCAGTAGATATAATGGTTTAAAACTGTGGCACTTCTCTCTCTCTCTTTCTCTCTCATGTTGCCATATAGTACATGCTTTGCTTTCTTTTTGCACTCAACCATGATTATAAGTTTCCTCAGACCTCCCCAGCCATGAGGAACTATGAGTCAAATAAACCTCTTTTTCTTATAAATTACTGAATCTCAGGTAGTACTTTACAGCAGTGTGAAAACAGACTAATACACCATGTTATTTTAATTACACTAGCTCTAAATATAATTTGAAATAAGGAAATATGATGACTTCAGCTGTTTCTACATTTTGCATATTGTTTTGGCTATTTAGAGTGTTTCCAGGATCATAAATTATAGTTTTTTTTAATAGAATATGTCATTGGGATTGTGATAGGGATTACACCGAATCTGTAAATCACTTCAGGTTGTATAGATACTTCAACATTATTAAATATTTCAGTCAACATAATATATCTTTCCAAATTAGTGTATTCTTTCCTTTCATTCATCAATGTCTTATAGTTTTTAGTACAGAAGTTTTTTTAATTACTTGGTTAAGTTTATTCCTATATATTTTTTATGCTATTATAAATTGGACTGTTTCTTGATAGTTATTTGTTAGTATACGAATAATAATACAATTTTGTATGTTGATTTTATATCCTGCAAATTTACTGAATTTGTTTTACTTCTAGTAGTATTTTGTAGAGTCTTTACAGTTTTCCACACATACTATAATGTCATCTGCAAACAGAGGTAATTTTACTTCTTTTCTTATTTAAAAACTTGTTTTATTTTTATTTTTCTTGCTGATTTGTTCTAGCTAGGACTTACAGTACTATGTGAAATAGAAGCAGCAGGAGTGAGCATCATTACCCGGTTCTGATATTAGATAAAATTTTTTCAGATTTTTTAATTGAGTATGAATTTAGCTGTGAGGTTTTCATATGTATCATTCCTCATGTTAAGGTGATTTTCTTATATTTCTAGGGTGTTAAAAGATTTTTTTTTTTTACTCATAGAAACTGTTGAATTTTTCAAATGCTTTTATTTGCACCTATTGAGATAACAGTTGCTTATTATTCATTATTTTGTTAATGTGGTATATCATATTTGTTAATTTTGAACATTATCTTTCATTCTAGGGATAAACTTGTAATGTCTTTTAGGAAAGCAGTGACACTGAGTATGGATGCATAGAAGAAGCCAAACAATACTACTGTTCCTGCAATATCAATAGGAAGAATAGGAAGAGTGAGACTTCTTGCCCAATTTAATTATTGAATAGTTTCTTTGGCAACAGTAAAAAAAAATAGAAATCTGCTCAAAATGAAGCCAAAGTATTCTGAGCATATGAAAAACAGTACCTGCTCCAAATGAAGCCAAAGTATTCTGAGCATATGAAAAACAGTACTGACACTGTAAGTGAACTTCTGAATATAGTAATTTCCATGCACAGTGTGTGAAACATCGTTAAGCTCAGTAAAGTTTTTTGTGTCATTTGTTAATTAGAATAATAACCTTAAAACCCCACAGGGTTTTTTTATTATTTTTATTTATCCTAGTTTTTAAATATTTGACTTGGAATATTTCCAACTTAAATAGATACTAAGTCTCTGGAAAAGAAGTTTTTCACTTAACAGGGTCAATTGTGAAATGATGTTTTGTCACAGGGGGAAGGAAATTTTCCATTTCCACCACTTCATGCTGCAATAAACTGGACAACTCCTAATTTTTGGTCATTCCAGCTTCAGGCCTTTGATATAACTAATCCTTTTTCTCCTTCTTTCCTGTTTTGACAAACTTTCAGAAACAAAACAGGCAATATTTTGTGATGATGAATATCACATTTGCCACACAGGCCAGCAGGAACCCAATCACATCCAAAGAGTGGTACTGAAACCAGGTGAGGTCACGGGCTGCAACCCGAAGGTGCTTGGCTCCTTTGTGGCGCATGACAAACTCAATCCAGAAGACCGCTTGATCCCGGGGCTTCGTTGGCTGATCATGATGAATCCTTGATAATTTCAAAGCATTCTCTTCATAGCTAAGGATAAACAGAAAAATACCAACATAGAAAGTAATTTTTTTCCTAAATATATCAAGTCTATGGAAAGTCTTTGAAAAATGTTACACAAATAATTCAAAGTAAATATTATAGAATTGACATAGAAATTGAATGTTTTAAATTGGGTCATCATAGAAAGTTTGGTTTTAAATTATAATTTTATCATAGGCAAAATTTTTTAAAAGTGAAATGGAGTCAGGTGGGAAAGTTAACATCTTTCTACCAGAGGAAATATGATGAGCCACTCTAAGTGCTATAAGTAAGATAATAGAAATGCAATCTGAGAATGATCATTTTGATACACATAGTTTTTGAGAGACGGTTGTGCTCTCTTGCTCAGGCTGGAGTTGTTCCCTTTATCAGGGCTCACAGTAGCCCTGATCTTGTGGGCATAAGCAATCCTGACAACTGAGCTTACTGAGTAGTTGGGACTACGAGCTCAAACACTCTGCCTGGCTTATTTTTAAATTTGTTTGTTCTAATGGAATCTCGTTATGTTGCCCAGGCTGGTCTTAAATTCCTGGACTCAAACAGCACTCCTGATTCACCTCCCAAAGTGCAGGGACTGCAGGCATGAACCACCGTGTTTGGACTATTTTGATATTTTAAGAAATAATTGTGTTCAGTGGTTGAAATGCCCTCTAACTAATCTCTCTGCTTCTACTCTACTCTTCTGTCTTCTGCTATATTTTCCTTCCAGAAGCCAGAATAATGTTTTTTTTTGAAATTAATGTCAGATTATGACACTCCACTGATTAAGATTTCCATCTGGATTCTCATCACATTAAGAAGAGAATCTGTAATGGGAAGACATGAATGAACACATGGAGGGGAACTACACACACTGGGACCTAGCAGAGTGTAGAGGGTGATAGGAGGGAGAAGATCAGAAAAAAATAATTTGTGTTTACTAGGCTTAATACCTGGGTGACAAAATAATCTGTACAACAAACCCCCAAGAAATAAGTTTGCCTATATAACAACTTGCATTTTTTAACCTGAACATAAAGTAAAAGTTAAATAAAAAATAAAATAAAAAAGAATGACATGCTTTTTAATAGAAAAAAAGGGAATAAGATCTGTTTTTGGTCTACAGAACTTGACATGGTCAGGCACTGGCAACTTCTCCTAACACTTTCCCCCTGCATACTCTCTTCTAGGGACACTGGGCTTCTATTAATCTTGAAGCTCTCAAAGGCATTCTCACCTTAGCCCCTTTACACCTTTTGTCTCCTCTCTCCCTTTTCAGAGCATTCTGTCTTGCAATAAAATGAGGCTTGCTTCTATCTCTTTTTGAGGCTTCCCCTTAAATGATACTTGTTAGAGAGGCTTTTCCTGGCCACACTATATAGTACCTGTAGAATTTTCTCCAGTGTTTCATGCTTATTTTGCTATTTAATTTCTAGAACTTTAAAATATTTTATATATCTTCTAAAATAAAATCTTAAGTATGAGATACATAAGATAAATATACACACACTAGTGAGTAACTCAAAATTTTAAGATTATGTTAAATATTATCCTGAAATAAAGACACCTACTTCTTAGGTTCTGGGTTATTAAAACCTGCCTAGAGGAACTCTCTCCTTTTGGACCATTTTAGTCACTGTTTTCATTCTCAATTTAAGTATTAACCTGAATTCTAATTTAATAAATTAACATTACTTGTTTATATAATTGAATTATATAATATATACTTGTGTCTTTTTTTGTATAGCAGTTATTGGTTAATTACATTGCTGTATAGTATTCTGTTGATTGACAAATACCACAGAGTATTTCTTTATTTTATAACTGATGGACACCTGGGTTGTTTACATTTTTGGACATTATTAGTTATTCTGGTATAAATATATTTATCTATATGTATGTCATTAGTTTTACATATTAATTTCTGTTAGATATATAATTGGGAGAAGAGTTGCTGAGATAAATGTGCATGTATAATTACAATATTTTGTTGACTGAATTTTTTAAAAATGTATTTTTAATTTCCAAAGTTTAGAGAATTTTTTAGTTATCATTCTTTGTATGATTTCTAATTTATTTCTAGTATAGCTAGACCACATACTTTTTATGATTTTGAATCTCAACAAACTAATTGAGTTTTGAGTTTTTGCCCAGCATATGATCAGTTCAGGTCACTATTTCCTATACTTTTAAAAAATGTTTATTTCCAGTATACACACATGCACACACACACTATATGTATATGTCTACACATAGAATATAGAATATTTGAAAATATTTGAAAGTATAGAATATTTGAAAATCATTCCAGTGAGTAGTGATCACAGAGAAAGGTCAGGGCAGGACATTACAGAAGAAAGTTAGTTTGAAACAGGGGAACTTAGTTTTAAATAAACAATTATGAGTTTGAATGATAATTTATTGGCAAATAATTCTTCACTCAAGTTTTAAAAGACAGTCACAAGATCAAGCCTTTCTTTAGCAAGAAATTCTTGCATCTCAACATAGAGTGGTATGTAAAGGTAAGAGTTTAAAAGCAGGGAAAATGATAAAATTGTATATTAGTTACTGAGACATGCCAACCTAATGGAATGAAACACAAATTGTTAATAGTAACTGCAAGAAATTAATTTAAAATTTGTATTTACTGATAATATCTGAGGTAGGAAAAAATGTACAGGAGAAAAGACATGGTTGTGGTTTCTGTCTTAATAAGCAGAAGGCTGATAATGACATTAGGTAAAATGAGTTTTAAAAAGCTCATCTAGCAAACGCATAAAGAGCTGATCACTCGGTGTTTTGAGCCCTCATGGAGGTGATAGATGTCTGGAGAGAGAAACTAATGAGAGAAGAAAGAATAAGTAACCAGTTAGGCAGATAGTTAGGACAGGTTCTTGGTAGAAGTCCTCCCCAAAAAATGACAATGTGGAAGAAATCAAGCTGCAAGCACAGATAAGGAAGCAAAGTCCAAAGCCCTTGTCTTCTGTGCAACCAGTGAGCTCCGCCTACACACGGTGGCCTTTGGTGAGCACATTCCTTTTCTTTCTGGACACACTCAGGTAAAGGAACTTGCACAGGGTGCTTGCCTAAGACAGACCTGTAGCTGTATAGATAAGGAAACTTACACAGAACCAGACACGTCTGCAGTGACACATACGCAATAAGCAAAATAAAACAATATGCAGTAACTCAGGCTAAGGACCTGCATGCACACTAGAGAGAAGAGGTGGAGCTAACAAGAATTTGTATGTATGCAAATAAGACATCCAGTCCTAACCTGTTTTTCGTGCCTTATGTGAATGAAACACTCTGCCCTATTAGCTTTTTTTTTTTTTTTTTTTTTTTTTTTTTATAAAAGTCTTTGGATTCAACTGTGAAATGAATGACAACCCTCTCAAGAACTCCTGGTAATACCTCAAACAACAAGACTGCTCCAGTGACCCTAGGCTGCTTCGGTGTAAAAAGTAAAGTAGAGATTCCTCTTCAAAGACTTCCCCTCCATCTAATTAAGAATAAGTAGTAACTTCTCTTACAAGCAAAATTTATTCAAAGACCTGTGCTAACATTCTTAAATATCTGCTAACCATAATAAAGAAATCAATGTATTTTATGTTCTCAGCTCCCACAATTTAGTGTAAATATTTGCCCTGGCATGCTTACACTGGTCTAAGCAAGCATTAGGTCATAGCCTGTTCCTCTTCCTTATTTGAAGGTGTTTTTACCTTTCTCAGTATACCACAAGTTACTTCTGCCTTCCTTTGTTCTCCTCTGCCTTTGCCTCTTTTAAAAAGTTCTAAGTTGCTAGCCAATCAGGACAAATACACAATGTGATGTCCTGTTCCTTCCAATAGAAACCCCGGACACAGCAGTAAGCTTGACATGTCAAGTTATAAATGACCGTCTCCTTTATTTGGTGTACTCTCATGGCAAAACTGCTGATGTGTGCACCCTTTCTGCATAAAGTAAAAAAAAAAATTGGCCTCGCTGAAGAAATTAAATTTATGTTCCAGTGCTATTTCTTTACGGCACTGAAGAACAAGGATTTTAAAGATTCACTAACACATGTAACAAGGCAGAAACAACTCAACGTTAAAACATGTGGAGTCTCACTTACAATCAGCACACATTGATGCACCACACAAAAAAGCCTAGGCTACAGCTCGGTTCCTCCTTTTAAGAAAAGAAGTGTGAAAGAATTTAAGAATGAGGAAAGACAATGAGAAAAACTGCTTTGGAACAATTTTTTGGTTTCATGGGTCTTCCATTTGAAAGCATTTGTGTAAAATGGAGAAGTGTGAGGGCATTCCACGTCTAATGGTTTAGGAACACCCCCTAGTGCTGTGTTGCCATGGAGCTTTCAGAAGATGTGGTTGTTTAAAAGTGCGTAGCAGCTTCCCCCACCTTCCTCCTGCTCCAATCAGGTAGGTCATGTTGACTTCCCTTCACTTTCTCATAATTATAAATTTCCTGAGGCCTCCTCAGACAGGGTACCTATACAGCCTAGGGAACTGTGAGTAATTTAAACCTCTTTTCGTCATAAATTACCCAGTCTCCGGTAGTTCTTTACAGCAATATGAGAACAAATGTGAAAACAAAGTAATACAGAAGATGTGAGAACAATGTGACAGCAAACTAATACAGAAAACTAGAGAGGTGGGGCATTACTGTAAAGATACCTGAAGATGTGGAAGCAACTTTGGAACTGGGTAATGGGCAGAGGTTGGAATAGTTTGGAGGGCTCCTAAAAAGACAGGAAGATGAGAAAAAGACAGGCAGATCCACAGGGCCAGAGCTTCCCAAAGCCTTGAGAGCCCTCCTATTGCCCTGGTATGCCCTGGATGTGAGACATAGAGTCAAAGGAAATTATTTTGGATCTTTGAGATTGAATGAGTGCCCTGCTGGGTTTTGGACTTGCCTGGGGCCTTTGTTCTGGCCATTTTTTTTCTTTTAAAATGGGAACATTCACTCAGTTGCTGTATCCCCACTGTATCTTGGAAGTAACTCACTTGTTTTTTATTCTCCAAGCTCATAAGTGGAAGGGACTTGCCTTGTCCCAGATGAAATTTAGGATTTGGACATTTTGGGTAATTCTGGGATGTGCTAAGACTTTGGAGGACTGTGGAGAAGGCATGATTTTGTTTTAAAATGTGAGAAGGACATGAGATTTGGGAGGTTTGGCTCTATGTTCCCACCCAAATCTCATTTTAAAATGTGATGTGTTTCAGCTGTGTCAGCATCCAAATGTCATCTTGAATTATAGTTCCCATAATCCCCATGTGTTTTGGGAGGGACCAGGTGGGAGGTAATTTAATCATGGCACTGGTTATTCCCATGCTTCTGTTCTCATGATAGTGAGTGAGGTCTCATGAGATCTGATGGTTTTATAAGGGGCTTTTCCCCCTTTTGCTCAAAGGACACGTTTGCTTCCCCTTCTGCCATGATGGTAAGTTTCTTGAGGCCAGCCCAGCCATGCTGAACTGTGAGTCCATTGAACCTTGTTTTCTGTATAATTTACCCAGTCTTGGGTATGTCTTTATTAGCAGTGTGAGAATGAACTGTTACAAATTGTTATCTTCAGTGCTAGAGGTGGAGGCTGGTAGGAGGTGATCGAATCGTGATGGTGGTTTCTAATGTTTTAGCACCATCCTCCTAGTGTTATCTTGTGATACAGCTCTCATGAGATCTGGTTGTTTAAATGTGTGTGTCACCACCCCCAGCCTTCATGCTGCTCCAGCCATGTAGAATATGTTGGCTTCCACTTTACCATCTGGCATGATTGTAAGTTTTCTTAGGCCTCCTCAGTCATGCTACCTATACACCCTGTGGAATGTGAGTCAATTAAACCTCTTTTCTTCATAAATTACACAGTCTCAGGTAGTTCTTTTTAACAATGTGAGAATGGAGTATCAGACTTTCTAGTGCTCCAAATAGTTACATATTATGTTCTGTTTTGCACATTTTAAACTGATGGCCAAATTACGTTAAGTAAAAATTTAGACCCAAAGGCTGACATGTACTAGAAAATTTCTATGTTCTCTATTTTTCTATTTTTTTCCCCTACTTGCTTTAAGTCTACTGTTAGTTTTCTACTGATAAAAAAAAATCACTTTTTGGCTAGGACCATTGTTTTGGTGTTTTTTTCTTTTTATTATTATTATTATTACTTGTAAACCAGTGAGTTTGTATCAATATCTCATGTCTGGAGTTCTAAAGTAAAAGCTCTAGAATCTTTGTTATGAGTGTGTATGTGTCTGTTTATCTGCACATACGTGTATTTTTTGTGTGTTATAGCTACAAGGAACCAAATTAAATTAAAGTTAAGGAGACCTCATAAATTAAGGAAATAATAAGCCTAATGGCTTTTCAAGTCCATGTGACTTAAGTAAAATTTTTAATGAATAAGCTAGCTTTAAAATTATTGGTAAAGTAATACTAGAGATGTCTTAAGAATTGTCAGCATATTTCTTTCCACTTATTGATCAAGTGGTTTCATACTTATTCCTGCCAAATATTTTTTTTTCCTGCCAAATATTGTAAGGTGCCAAAATTTGGCCTAAGGTTTGTAATACTATGAACCCAGCCCAAAACAGAATGATCTTTGCTTGTGTAATTTTTAGTAAAGAAGACATTTAATATTATTGGTTTAGTGAAAGCAACTAAATCCTGAGTTATTGGTAAAATACCCATGTATTTAACCTTAAGTTTCTTAGTTAGGTAAATTCCTGAAATTCATAGGGTATAAAAATGTTTAACAGCAACAAAAAAATAATTAAATGATGACTGTCACAGTTTTTATAAATAATCTAAGTAAACTATTAAATAAATGTATTACGTGACTATACTAAAATGAATGTCATATAATTTGGAATCTAAAATTATATTAAATAATAGATATATGTTAAATGTATGGGTACTTTTCAATTTCAAAAATTATAAGGAAACTTTAAAAAATGGTTTTTTATTAAAAGACAATTATTTTTGTAGTTCAAAGTTTATTTAAACATTATTTATAATACAAGGCAAAAGACACTAGGGAATAAGAGAGATTTAAAGAAACATAAATATAAATAGGTACCTTTGGTAAGAAAGATTACAAGAAAACAAATCTTGTACGAAAAAATAAAATAACAGGTTAAGAAGATGTATGTTTAAGACAAACCCCAAAGCCGAAGTATGTTATGAAGAATCTGTTAAGTCATAGTAAGTTTAGTAAAATGAAATTTATTTAAAAAAATGTATAAAACATATGATTAAGTAGGCTATAATTAAAATGAGATTATAATAGTCTTCCTGGTAATTGGATATTAATATTAAAATTAGACAAATACAAAACTAATGAATTGGTTATAAAAATTTGTATTAAAATATTGAGTTATTCAATGCAAGAATCTTTCAGTTTTTAAACTGTATAATCAGTGTAATAGAAATTTAGTTTCTGCTGAACCCTGCTGCTTCAGCTCTTTCTCTGTTTTGAGAAGGCCTTGGATGGTAACTCTCTCCTTAAACTTTTGTTAAATTCTGTAACATTTCTTTTTATTATTAGTCTAAAGCAAAGGAGACAGTTTTTGAAAACAGGCAAATGAAAAACATTTTTCAATCTGCCTGCTGAAACCAGCTCAGTCGTGGAGACACTAACCCAGTGGTGCTAGAGGAATTAAAGATACAAACACAGAAATATAGCGTGTGGAGTGGGAAGTCAAGGGTCTTACAGCCTTCAAAGCTGAGAGCTTCGAACAGAGATTTACCCACACATTTATTGACAGCAAGCCAGTGATAAGATTTACTAAAAGTATTCCTTATGGCAAATAAAGGGATGGGCCGAAATAAAGGGATGGGCTCTGGCTAGTTATCTGCAGCAGGAACATGTCCTTAAGGCACAGATCGCTCATGCTATTGTGTGTGGTTTAAGAATGCCTTAAGCGGTTTTCTGCGCTGGGTGGGCCAGGTGTTCCTTGCCCTCACTCCGGTAAACCGCAAACCTCCCAGCATGAGTGTCATGGCCATCAAGAGCATGTCACAGTGCTGCAGAGACTGTTTCTGGCCAGTTTTAGGACTAGTTTATGGCCAGATTTTGGGGCCTGTTCCCAACATTTGCCTTTGTATGTCTGTTATGTCTATATATTACTTGTGTCATGTGGAAGTGATATTTCAATATCAAAATATATGAAAGAGCTCTAACCAACTGACTTAAAGAAAAGTTAATTGCTTATCACACTAATAAAAGCTAGCTTGGATACCTTTGAGTTCACATGACTATAGCAATATTTGGTAACATTAATTTGGAAAATTTAATCTCAAATTTCTCTCCAATAGTTTAAAATCTGAGTCATGTTATGTTAAATTAAGTAATCCTCAGTATGGTCACTGAGAATTTAGGTTACAAAGAGTTAAAATAGTTGTAGAATAAAAAGTTTTTTTGGGTGAGGTTTATAAAAACAGAAGGATGTGATTTTTGCTATTGAAAATGTAATTTTTTTTCTTTATGTTTTATTATACTTTAAGTTCTAGGGTACATGTGCACAATGTGCAGGCTCATTACGTAAGTATACATGTGCCATGCTGGCCCACTGCACCCATCAACCCATCATTTACATTAGGTATTTCTCCCAATACTATCCCTTCCCCCTCCCCCTACCCCACGACAGGCCCCAGTGTGTGATGTTCCCCACCCTGTGACCAAGTGTTCTCGAGGCTGAGTCAACTTAAAATTTATATATATACATATATATATATATATATGTATATATACACATATATATGTGTGTGTATATATATATGTGTATGTGTGTGTATATATGTGTATGTGTGTGTATATATATGATATATATGATATATATGATATATGATATATATGATATATATGATATATATGATATATGATATATATGATATATATGATATATATGATATATATGATATATATGATGTATATGATATATATGATGTATATATGATATATATATCATATATATATATGACCAGATGGATAAAGAGAAAAGTGAAAACTCAGGAAATAAGAAACTTTTGACTCTCAGGTGGCTACATGGTCTCCCATCTTCAAAAGCTGCAGCTGGGCTGCATTCAGTTACCAAAGGTAAAAGTTACCAGTGGAATTTAGAGATGGATGATAGACATACTCCCAGGGAGTTAGTTCAGTGAATGCATAACAAAATGGAAACTAATAAGAAAACTACAAAATGTTAATTCCCTTGGTTATTGCTATCTGTAATCGCTAAAATGAAAGTAAAAGAGTGCGGAGTTTTGCCTTAAGGCTTGACCAAATTTACATGTGGACTCTCAGCTCAGGCCACTAGCTTCAAAGCTAGACACACACACAGGCACACACACACACACACACACACACACACACACACACACACACATCTTAAGCCAGGGCAACAAAGTTACCTTTGAGACCTGTAGTTACCAAGAAGATAGCCAATGCACTTAAATAGAAAAAGAAGTTAACTATTAAACCCAGAGGGTATAATGTAAAGAAATTGCTCCTTTGTAGAATAATATAATCAGTTTCCTGAGAAACGTTTACTATAATGGACTGGAAAAATAGCTACTTTAAGGGCAATATTTTTTATTTTAAATGCTACAGAATGAAAAAGCAGGGGTTTATGCAGGTCCCACAGCTCACGATTAAGCAATCACTGAGGAGTATATGTGACCCAGCTTCACAAGCAGCCCAGTGGACTGAATAATTGCCACCATAAGGTTTGATTACCCTGAGAAATGGACTGCCCAACTCACCCTGTAAAATTCCAGGTGGAGTTCCCCAGATGAAGCACCTGATATGCTTCATATGCAAACCATATGGAACTGGCTTTATGATGACCAGAATATTATTCAATTAAATATACCTATTACCCTGGTCATAGTAAATGCTATGGTTTAGGGGGACCCTTCTACCTGGGCATCCCAGGTGACATTACTCCTGCAGAATCAAAGAGCTGTTTGAGAAGCCTTCCCAAATTTGCTGTCCCCCATGGATCTTACCGATGTTATTAAAACATTAGGGTAATTAAAAAATTGGGCAAGGTAAAAGGGAGTCAAAGGACTCATCTATCATGGTGGAAATCTTTAGATGATTATTAAGAAATAAAATAAAATAAAAATTGATAGGGTAAAAACAAAGGCTTTTACAATGCTATAAAAGTGGGGTGAACAAAAGGGAGCCCCTGCTGATCTTCAAACATTATAGGGACCTACACCAGTTTTTTTGTATTTGCCTTAGATTGGATTTTTTTTAAAGCAAAGTTTGTAATCTAATGGGAAAGCTGACATTGCCTGCGCAATGTTGAGGCAAGTTTAGATAAAAAATTGATAAAAGGGCTTGAGTCTCTTGGATCAACCCTCTTCTGGGAGGGTTAATTTTTTACCAGAAAGGTAAATTGGTTTGAAGATAAAGAAGAAAAGCTCCTGGGATCAGAGCATAAAATTGTAAATGTTGAGAGGATTATGAAATTTGAGATGTTTAAACAGGTTATATGTAAGGTGGTTGTGATTCCTTTACCTAAATGTTTTATGAAAATGGGTATTCTATCTGAATGGGGGAGATTTTCCTGATGTAGTTGTATAAAGTTGAAGGCATGTAAACCTGCTCTTTGAAAAATGCTATTTGGACAGCTAAGTGAGTACTAGCTAAAGTGCTGGTTGAGACAAATCCTTCACTTCATAGCCCTTTGTGGAAAGTTTATTTGGGCTTATGGCAAAAGCCTGTGAGCACTTTCAAATGACAATTACTGGGACTTTGGACTAGAGAATTTCCACTTGAGAAGTATTTACAGCTTTGCTATGGGATGTTAACTGAAACTACTTCTATGCTAGCAGAAATAATGGTGACTGAAAGAGTTCCATGATAAAATAAAAATGGTTTATACAGAATCTTGCTACCTGGGATGCAAGAAAGACATATTTATGAACAGGGAGCCTCTTTTTCTCCTTAGGATGGACTCTGACTATGCGAGGAGCTGTTATATTCTACAGTGCTTAATAAAAAGCTCTCATATTACAAGAGCTGCTTATCTTGTGAATGGCAGTTCAAAGGTGAATACATGCCTTCTTGTTTGGAAAGCTGCTGCTCCAGTTAAAGAGGAGTCAAAGAAATATTTTTCTTTTGAGTTTTTTATAGTTTAGAGCAATTGGGTAAAATTTGCTTTTGTAAGCAAATTTACCTCTCTGAGTTCTCCAAAATTTGCAAACTGTTCATGAGTCTTTTGATTGTGTGGTAATATTGTTATTGGTATAAGTTTAGTAAAAAATATATATTTTTAAAATAGGACAATTGGAGACACCAGTTATTTTACCAAGGCTTTGACTAGAATAACGTTTTTACGTAAAGTTCCAGTAAAGCTAACTTGAAAAGAGCCTATGTGGCCAAACAATTCTTGCTGAACTTTATGTGAATAATAAGGCCAAGTATAATAATCCTGAAACTTATTTTGCACACAAATTGAACTTTTTTTTAGTATGAAAAGCAACTAGAGAGAGAGACATTGTTTCAAAAGAAAAGTCACTTTTGTTTTTGAGTGCAGGTTGAATCATGACTCATTTCTTGGCTGCAATAATCTCCTAAAGAATACCAGGTTATCATTTTTCTTCATGTTTTTGTTTGGCACCCTAATGGAATAGTTTTTTTTTTTCTCCTCTGGCACCCACATTCTCTTTTGTCAAATTATTAATGTTATCAATGTCTCCCCCTAGTTTTAGTTCTGAGAAAATCAGAATCATGCTATTCCGAAGACTAGAGATGATTTGACAAAGCCTGTTAATCTCCTTCATTTGAAATCCTATTGGGATTGATTTGTTTTTTACTGCAAATGGCCTTCTGTAAAACAATACAAGTACCTTCCCTCTATGTCCAGGGACTACCACAGAAATGGTGGGACCATGAGATTGTAAGGGCCGGTTTTGAGGGATAGAATTAATTCAGACCCTCCAAGTCAAGAAGGGGAGATAAACAGCTGGAAAAACTAGGAACTTTGCTTTCTGAGCTATTATATGACACATTTTTATTTATCCCAACCATAAAGAATTTTCTGTTTCCTGTAGAACTAAAATAAAATTATTACAGAGGGAATATTATGATACCTCATGACAAAATGTCCTGGATATAATACTCACAATTATGAGATTTTATTTAGATAGATACATATTTGAAACAATTTTTTTAAGCCACATTAGATTAAATTACTAAAAGACTTCATAAAGTCTTGCAGCACAGCAAAAGCCTCTAAATTGCAAAAAAGCATTTTTAACAATGTTCATGTATTGTATAGCTAATTGGTATAGGTCAGTAACTAAAACAAAGACTACATTAGCTATGCATATAACAATTTAAGATAAGTTAGTTTTTTAACCTCAACTTTGGCTTTCTGTTTCTTGGGTTTTATATTACTTTAAAAATTTTAAGAGTTAATTATAATGCTTGTCCGTATTCATTCCTGTCTGGTCTAGTACATTTAAGTTGACTGTAAATATGTTGGCTCTAAGTCTCTTAGCCATAGGTGTCTCAACCACAGACAGTAGGAACCCAGGGCACATGCCATCCCAGCAATGCTATGGAACAAAATAAGAGTTTGCTGGCCATTGACCTTGCCTCTGGCAAACCCTGGCAAGAAGGGGAAAAATGTTAATGAAAAATAATATTCTAAGGCCCGCAATCATCTGAATGAACCCTTCCGCTCACAAAGGGCATTCCAAAGTTAACCTGAAAAGCTAGTTCAGGCCATTTTGGAAATGGGAGAAATGAGACGAGCTCCATTAGAGCCTCCTCCATTTTGGAATTCAGAAAAAGCTGACAGCATTACATCACCACAGAACAAAATACTGATAGAATACACTGTTTAAGTTTGAAAAGAAACATTTTTTTCTATTGATTCTAATGCTTTAGACAATAAGATAATTCTTTTAACCAACTGCCAATCAGAAAATCTTTGAATCTAAATATGACCTTCAGAATCTCACTTGCAGTTGCCCCACCTTTTCAGACCAAACCCATGTATCATTTACATGTATTGATTGATGTGGAACATCTCTCTAAATTGTATAAAACCAGGTTGTAGCCTGAGGACATTGGGCACATGTTCTAAACAGCTGAAGGCTGTGTTATGGGCCATTAGTCACTCATATTTGGCTCAGAATAAATCTCTTTGAATATTTTACAGAGTTTGACTCATTTCCTCACAATAATTTGACACTTGAACATGTGGGAACTCCCAGAAAACCCAGGACCCCCAAAATGTTTCCTGAACTTGAAACTAAAGTACCAGAAGGGGCCCATTGAAGGCCTTTCAAACTTTAAGCTCCTCTGATGGAACTGGTCAGTCCTCTTGAGCCCTGGATCTCCCTTTGGTTGACAGACATCAATTTTTCCTGAACTTATTTTTTTCCTAGGAAGTTGTTGTTTAGGATTCTAATTCTAGTTCTGGGGTGCATTCTGAAGAGTCTTCTCCATTGCCTTTTATCCAAAAGATAAACTCAATTGGCTTGTCTGCACATTTGCATGAAGATAGAACTGTCATTTTATAGATAAATGAGGGACTGAGCTCCTCAGCTTTGAAGAGAAAGAACATTTTGCTCCTCCCAGAAAATGAGCCCTGGATGACCAGAGGCTAAGTGGGAACATCTAGATGTTTGACTCCCATTCCCGTTATGTGCAGTGCCCCTACAGAAGATGCCCCAACATAATTAGTTTCTTCTGTGTTTAAATGTTTTTAACTGCTGAGATATTTAAAAGCTTGTAGAATCAATCTCTAAGAAGCAGACACATCATATTATTGCAATTTTTGTAGTTCAATTTACTATGGAATTTTTATGACTCTCCATCAAGTATACCTTCATGTTCATATATTTTCCTAAGTATATATGTACATATCACTTTATGTAGAAAGTCTTCCTCAAATTAAACTAGTGAAAATATTACTTGTTCACTCATGGATAGACATAGATTTATGTATCTGGATATATGGTCTAAAAATTTCAAAGAAGATCTATTTTCATAACATACCTTATTAGGAAAGTATATTCTGATATATTCTGATACATTTTCAGAAGATACTTCATTAAGAAAATATAAACAGACTAGAATTTAGCTTTTGTAGTACATGTTGAGCATCATTATTGCCTCAGACTCATATTTATCTATAAGTTTTCCCTCTTTAATAAAAAGACATTACTATAATTAAAAGTGCACGAATGCATTACTTTTTTCCTTTCTTACACTTTGTTATTTTTTCTTTCTAGTGGCATGACTATATGTTCAAAGTTTAATAAAGTAAAATATTCAGTGTATATTCCTTTTCTAGATATTAAAATGATTTGTTTTATAACCAATTGTTGATAAAAATATTTTTTATAGAAAAGAGAACTATAAAAATCTTTTTCATGTGTTAGAAATGATCATTATGCCTCTCTTCCATCCGATTGTTCAGGCACATCTCTTGTCAGACAGAAGAACTGCTCTTAAGTTGAGTTCTTTCTTCTCTGTGACTTGCTTTGCAAACCTTTTTCTGAATCCAGAGGCTGTAATGACCAATATTTAAAGGCAGGATTTGGAGATCTTTTGCCATTTATTATGCTTTCTTCAACATAGATTTTAAAAATTATTGCACAGGATATTTGGCTCTTTATTCCATCTGCAATTTATTTTTTCATATTATGATGGGAGAACAAGTAAAATGATTATATATATTTCTGATTTGTGTATCCTCAGTATTCCCGGTATTAAAGAAGTCAGAAATGTCTGGCTTAACAAAATAAGGCCAAGAAATAGTGAGATCTTGTTGCAGGAGAGAAATCATGTAACATTATAATCTAGAGAGACTGGGCTAAACCTGCGGGACCATGTCTATAATGCCTAACTAAAGGGAACTAGCCTCTTCCTTTATTTTGTGTATTATTATCCAGTTACAAAGGGTCATTACTAAAGTGAAAATAGTAACTCAAGCATATTTAAGGCCTCATGTGGAAAACATCTTTAGTCTTTCTAACCAAGGATTTTACCAGGTTGCATAGTTTTGTATAGGAAGTCAGTTACGACCACCTATAATTTTAAAGCAAAGAACATTTCCATTAAGAACTATTTTGTATTTCATGAAGGATTTGAATTTTAAACTCCCATGTAGCACAAAAGACTTGCCTAAACACCATGTTAAGAGACTTGGCCAAGTTTAGCTTAACTTATACGTGTACTAGGTCAGGAATTTGTCTTTAAAGGTCACCCTAACTTCCATGGTAGGTCTTGGCTCTAAAGAATATGATCCTGCCAAACTGCAAAACATACACTGTCTAACCCATGTTGCCTCATAATTTTCAATTATTTCCCTCTTAATTTTTATGTAATTTTTCATTTCCATGTAACCCACTAGTTCCTTGTTTTCCTCATTTTTATTCATATCAGTTTTCTCTTTAAAAGCCTCAATTACCTTTGTCTTAGTTAGAGTTCAGTTCAATTTATACAGTAGTCTCTATCTCCTACTTCAGTAGTCAGAATAAAATCTGTCTTGCCATTTTTAAGAAGGATCTTGCTCTGTTTTTCTTTGACAGGGACACATATAATACACATCATTGTGATTTGTTTATATAGAAGAGTATTCTTTACCTACGTAACAAACCTGCACATCTTGCACATGTATCTCTGAACTTACAATAAATGTTGGAAATGAAAAATAAAATAAAATAAAAATAAAAAAGAGGTTTCTAAAAATGCACAGTAGAAATGCACTATTTCTGACCTTCATAAATAAACAGCCTGAGTTTCCAGTGCATCTCATTTTTTTAGCTTAGAAATATACATGAGTAAGCATTAAAATGGAATTATTTTAGGTTTTCTGAAATTAAAATTGTATATTACTTAATATTTAGCAAAGAATAAAATATTTGAATAAATCAGGAAGGCACAAGTCTTGTGAAATATAGAGGAGAATTTTGCCACACCTTGATGAATAGTGGTGGCATTAAATGTCATGACCTTCCCTATCATGCCTGCCTGCCTTAGATATCAAACAGTGCTACCTTCTTTTTTTTCTTTCTTGTCTTAACAAACTTTTGATAATCAAACAAGGAACATATTATGAAAAAAGAGTAAAAATTGCCTCGCAGGCCAGCACAACCAGAGAGCAGTGCTGGAACCAGATGAGGTTTTTCGCAGGTGGCGGCAAGTACTTGGCTCCTCTGTGGCGCATGACAAACTTGATCCAGAAGACTTTTTGGTCCATGGGCTTCATAAGCTGATCATAATGAATGACCGATAACCATATAACATTCTCTTTACTGCTAAAGGAAAATCAAATAGACATAAACTTATGGAATATAAAATATAAATATGTGAAATTTTTGTGTAGATGTTAACAATTAGTGCCACATAAAAGTAGATGAAAAATAAAATATTTTATTTCCTGGTGGTTATAGAGATTTTGGTTTATGGGTTAGAATTTGTTGGATGCATAAGATTTCAAAATGTGAAAAGAGAATTTAAGAGAGAACAAGTATTTCCATCCTAGAAATTAAAATTAGTTAAGTCTGAAGGATAAAAAGAAATCATTTGAGGGTACAGAGGTTGAATTAGCCATTAATGAAATTGTAACGAACCTGATGTGCGTGTTTCAAAATAGTATCAAAGTCTAGAGATAGGAGACAAATCTGTGACAAGGTTCAGGTACATGTCAGGGCAAAGCTGATAAGAAGTTGACATTGATCAGGAATTAGTACTGACATTACATCAGTGAATTAGTGATTAAAAATATAAAAGTAAATGGCCTTAGTTTGAATCATGACCTGATATCTACTGATCTTTTTTTTTTAATGTATCTGTTCCTAGTTTTTTTTTTATTGTTAAATTGAATGAATAAGAATGGTACCTTACTTATTTGATTATTGTGAGTAGTAATGTAATGATTTTTAGGATACTTGGTAGAATTATTCTCATCATTAAGAGAATAAGTAGATGTTCACTATTATTACTGTTTTACTTGCATTGTGATTTTAAAATCTAAGTGGTGCTTAATATTTTACTTTGAGGCATTGTAGTTCCATTTATTTAGAGTGTTGAAATAATTATTGACTAATAAGGAATAAGGATGAATATAAGTATGAGGCTTACCAAGTCAAAATCAAAAATTGCTAAAGCATGGCACTGTAGCAATATCAATGGAGGTAACTTCTCTCTTTGATATTTAAAAAACAGAGTAAGAAGACTATGTTTTTTTAGAGGAGGGCATTAATCCTGATACATATTTTTAATACAATTGGGAAAAACTATAACCAAGAAGTTACATAATACAAATTACCAATATAATGCATGTCATTTCATATACAATGTTCATTAACTAATTAAAAATTATTTTTCAACAGAGCATTAATTAAAATTTATTCATATTACCAATATAATAGCAATAGCATAACTGAAATTAATATATGTATTGAAATAATTTTAAAATCCTCTATTTCTGGTTTCAGACATTTTGGCTATTAAATGGGAATATTCCAATTTATCTCTTTCAAGTCAATTATTTCTCAATTTTATAAATCTTCCAAATAAGCAAAAGCAACCACAACCATAAGAGCAAGAATATGGCTACACTTATAAAGTATTTTCTTTTTTCAATAATTTTTAAAGGCAAGTTTGAAAGCTTTAGTTGCTTGCAAGTTATCAGTGATGGGATCAAAATGTAAGCATAAAAATTTGGAAAGCATTAAATATAATGGGAATTAGAGATAGATTGTCATGCTGATTTACTGAAAATAAATTATTTTACAAGAGTTTTAAAAACATGGAAAAAGGGTAAGTAAAGTGAGATGATGGACATGTTTATTTACTTCATTATGGTAGTCTTTTAACTAAGTATTTGTATCCCAAAATATCACTTCACATACCTTCAATAGACAAAACAAAATTTATTTAAAGACTAATATTTGATGAGATCTCATCCTAAAAGACCCTCATAACTGTGCTGAAAATTAGTCAGTGCTGTAATAATGTTCATGCTTCTTTCCTTCAACTTTGTTCTCAGTCTTCCTTATCATCTTCCTGTTACCATCTTCAGCAATTCCTCTTATTTCACTTTTTGGCTATTTTAAAATGTATGTACTATCCTAAAATCTCTGACAAATGTTTCCACTAAAACCACCAAAAAAACAGATTGTGATACTCACAGTGGTTTATTGACAATTGTCTTTAAGCATTACCAAAAAAAAAGTACTCAGTGCTGTGTTCCTGTTTAAAGTCACTGCTGCTTCCTTGGCCTTCATGTGAGAAGTTATCAACACATGCTATGTAGTTAAAAAAATACATTCATGAAGAGTCATTAATGACTGCTTTTCATGCATTGATCAAATCTATAGTTGACATTGTTTTTGAGTCTACTCTAACAGCTTATGCCTTAGCCTTCATGTGAGCAAACTTATCAGGTTAATTTACAAACAAAGAAGGCCCACCACAGGGATCCCATGGTAGATCCTCTCATAGGTGCCATTGGCTCCACCATGAGGTATAAAAGCTTTGGTTTTTAGATGACCTAGGATTACATAAATTTTTGAATAATTATTTGTGGTGAGTCTTAGAATTAAAATGAGCAATGCTCAATATGAGGCAATGAAATGGGCAGTGTTCTCTAGATAACAAATTACTGCAACAGTAAAACTGCATTAAAATTACTTTCAGATCTCAAGAAAGAAGCACCAAGTTCTCTGGGGCAATAAGTGAAGGCTACACATTGAAGAAGTGGTATGTGACTTGAGACTTGAAGAATGAGTACAATATTGTCAAGTGGACAAATAGAAAGAGCACACTGTGGATAAAGAAAACTGCATATCCCCTACTATAGCCCCCCAAAAAGCAGGATGCATGCTAGAACATCTACTTGCTATCTGAGTTGTAAAAGTAACTCCACATTTGCATCAAAAATATTAGTATAGATGATTACAAGAATGCTATACAGGATATAAAACTAAAAACTGCTTTACAAATATTCAAATATCAAAGTTGTGATGTACATATTAGAAAGCTAGTTATTACTATATTTTATGGTGGAAGGAGCATCTGAACCTCTCTTCCTGCCTGGCTTCCTTCTGCCCGGTATGCGATGCTCTTTTAGTTTAGCAGTCCATAGATGGCTTGTGTTAGTCAGCTCAGTTAGACACCTGCCTTATCACAGGAAAAAAGGGCTTTCTATATCAGGGGTTCTTGCCTTGGTTTATCAGAAGAATGGGATTGTCGTGCGCTTGAAGAATGAGTGCAAGGTTTTATTGAGTAGAAGTAGTTCTCAGCAGATGGGGGAGCCAGCAGGCAGACGGATTTCCCCTAGAGTAGGGCTGCTGAGCAGCCTGACTCTTCTTCAATTGCCCCAGCCAAACTCCGCATTGTTCTGCCAGTTGATGGCCTGCCTGCGTGCTCCCCTGGATGTCCTTTTGATGTCCAGCCACTTGTTTCTTCTTCTGCTAATCCACTCGTTTTGACGTCCAGCCACTTGTGTGCTTGCCTGCTAGAGTCTCAGGAGTTTTATAGGCATATGATGGGGGTGTGGCAAGGCAGAGTGATCTTGGGAAATGCAACATTTGGGTGTGAAAGCAGGAGTGCCTGTCCTCACCTAGGTCCCTGGGCACAAGCCAAGGGTGGAGCCCTTGCCAGGGACCCACCCTTCTCCTCCCTGCAGTTCCCTGCCCCTCTTCCATATCATTTCTTTCTCCTCTTCCTCCTCCTCATCCTCCTTCTTCTTCTGAGAAAGAGAGAGAAAGAGAGAGGGAGAGAGAGAGGGTCACATTGTGTTTCTGAAGTTGGAATGCAGTGAAGCAGTGGTGCAATCATAGCTCACTTCAACCTTAAACTACTGGGCTCAATCAATTCTCCTGCCTCAGCCTCCTGACTAACTAACCCTACAGGCATTTCACCTCAATGTCCTGCTTTTTTTTTTTTTTTTTTTTTTTTTTTTTTTTTTTTTTAAAGAAATGGGCTCTCTCTAAGTCATCTAGCTTTGTCTCAAACTCCTGGGCTCAGGGGATTCTCCCACTTAGGCCTCACAAAGTGCTGGTATTATAGGCATGAGCCACTGTGCCTGGCCTTGACTCCTGCTTATATCCCCCTTCTTTCTCAGATGGGAGGTAGCATCAATATAGGTGTTAGAAGCAAAGTCGTTTTGGGGAAATGTTTTATACTGTACAGGATCAACTTTAGACTCTCCTTTCTGTTACTTCTTTCTTTCAGACATTGGCAAAGTCCAGTCACCAAAGCAGTTTGGTTTTTCTATTTTGCTAAATATACTTGGCTGAGTGGGTACTTAGACTCAAGAAAGGTGAGCCTTGGGTTTCCATTCTCTGAATAGCCCTCTGAACAACATACTGAATAGGCCTATTTCAAAATTAGGGTAAGTAAAACGGCCCAGGTTACATGGAAAGCCTAAACTCCATGATACGTTTCAGATTTTTTTCAATACCTACTTCTTGTTATTGTGCTAGTGAAGTTACCCATTAATACATAACTTCTTTCTGATAACATTTATAACATTTGTAGTGTGTATTCTTCAGTCATCCTGTAAACAAAAGTACTAAATGACAGGGCAGAATTTGTTGATATCTGTTACCTGCCTCCAATATCATGATAATATCAAAATGCCACACTACACCTCCTCATTACCATTCTTTTTTGTTCTTATAAATTCAAGTTATCATTTGGTGTCATTCATTTTTTTTCCAAATTATAGTTTATAACTATTCATATTAAGCAGAATTTCCATATCATCCACAATGTTATTACAGTAACTGAAACACAAAGAAATAAGAGATGGGTGGGGATGCTCATGGTGTGTGACCTGATATACTCTAAAGTTTCTCTCTTTTTGTTTGCATCTCCCACAGGCAAGTATCAGTTCTCTCTCTCTCTCTCTCTTTTTTGTTTGAGATGAAGTATCACTCTTGTTGCCCAGGCTGGAGTGCAGTGGCGCGATCTTGGCTCACTGCAACCTCTGCCTCCCCGGTTCAGGCAATTCTCTTGCCTCAGCCTCACAAGTTCCTGGGATTACAGGCATCCACCACCACGCCTGGGTAATTTTTTGTATTTTTAGTAGAGACAGGGTTTCGCCATGTTGGCAAGGCTGGTCTCAAACTCCTGACTTCAGGTGATCCACCTGCCTTGGCCTTTGGTTCAGGTTTTGAAGGAGAGTAGACTATCCAAGATTCATTTATTGTTAGATGTATTTTCCAAAGTGTGAAAAACAGGAGTAAATTCAATAATGAATATCTGCAATCCAAAACTATTTAATACAATCAAGAATATCTTTCTTATTTATTATCCCAAACATCCCAGTTGCCTCCTTTTAAAAATTTCTTTCAAGTATTAAAACACAATTAATTCTACCTTATTAATTATCTCAAAAGCAAAAATAAATATGTACCATTCAGCATACAAAGTTACACAGTAAAAATGAAAGTGTGTATATACATATTATGTATATATATATATCTTTGCTAATTGACCCACTCATTAAATTTACATTTGGTCATACTTACTCTTAACATGTACATATAAATGTAGGTCACTGTAAATTAAAAAAAAACTAGTTCCACACAATACATGCTTTCTTCATGATATTTAAACCTCATTCAATTCTCATATATTGTAAACTTAGATAAACCCACAGTTTATTGGACAGTTAACATACAAGACAAACATCACAATTTTCACTAAAAATCTGGGCCAACTCATTGTTTATTTGCCCCTTGAAATAAAAAATAAATTAGAATTGAAGCAGTGTATTGCTGTAACTTACTTGGAAGGTAAGTAGGTTCTCTCATATTTATAGAACTTAGATTGAAGACATTACTGGTAAACTCCAATACGAGTGCTTTTAAAGAGAATTTAATCTTAAACCTTGAGACAGCGTAGGACAAACCCTATAAAATTCAGTTTTATTTTTCAAAATAAAAGATCCTTTTGAAACTTAATATCTTCACTTATCAATATTACTGCATTATAAAGCTAGTTTATATAATCCTGCATAGCATTGGTCAAAATGACAAGGCACAATAAAAAAATTAAAACATTATATGAACAAGAGAAGTCATTGAAAATAATTTAAGGCCTTGAAGTGATTTAATCAGTCTAACTTAAACCTGAAAAATAAACCATTAATTATCCACCTGAAATTCAAGAAATATGCTTTTTAAGCTTCTGTTCTGTGGACCAAATAACAGAAACAACTCTTTCTTATGGTTTATGTATTAGAATCCTTCTGGACTTGAATGACTAAAAGTCAATTCCATTTTTCAATTGTTCATGGAAGATTTAGGACTGTTTTAGCCGTGTGTGTGGAATGCCAAACTGTGGACACTGTGCAGATGCTAGTGCTCAGAAGGCTTCTGCTGCTAAGTAAGGGTGAGACTGAATCGTGCACTTTCACCTTGATGTTTCCATTATGTTGGTTGCTTCGTTGACATTCCAGTTTTTCTTATCTTTACAGCGAAGTTGTCGAAGTACACTGCACCTATTAATAATGTCTATGGTTTGTGCTTTCAACTGTTCTGCAACATGCAAATCTGCAAGGACAAGGGGATCAGCAATATTTTCTACTGAGAGATTACTACAAAGCTTCCTCACACATGACCTTTAGCTGTTCCCAGTGCATGTTTGTCTGCAGCTGCCAACAAGTTGTCCGTCATTTTGTCAAGGTTTAGTTCTTTCCCTGTGTTAATGAATGTCATCATTTCTTTAAAAACATCAGGGTCTAAATCATTTATTTCCACTCAATTCTTTATGCTTTCTTCCATTTCATGTTGAAACACGGCATTAAAAACGGGATTGAGGTACAAGCAGATTTATGAGCTTTAAATTCTTGTCCTCTCAATAAATTAGGTATTGATGGGACGTATCTCAAAATAATAAGAGCTATCTATGACAAACCCACAGCCAATATCATACTGAATGGGCAAAAACTGGAAGCATTCCCTTTGAAAACTGGCACAAGACAGGGATGCCCTCTCTCACCACTCCTATTCAACATAGTGTTGGAAGTTCTGGCCGGGGCAATTAGGCAGGAGAAGGAAATAAAGGGTATTCAATTAGGAAAAGAGGAAGTCAAATTGTCCCTGTTTGCAGATGACATGATTGTATATCTAGAAAACCCCATTGTCCCAGCCCAAAATCTCCTTAAGCTGATAAGCAACTTCAGCAAAGTCTCAGGATACAAAATCAATGTACAAAAATCACAAGCATTCTTATATACCAATAATAGACAAACAGAGAGCCAAATCATGAGTGAACTCCCATTCACAATTGCCTCAAAGAGAATAAAATACCTAGAGATTAATAACCAGAATATATAAGGAGTTGAAACAAATCTATAGAAAAACATCTAATAATCCAAGTTACAAACAAGCAAAAAATCTGAATAGACACTTCTCAAAAGAAGAGGTAGAAATGAAAAACAGGCATATAAAAAGGTGCTCAACATCACTGAACATATGAGAAATGCAAATCAAAACTACAATGAGATATTATCTTACCATAGTTAAATGGCTTTTAGCTATGTCAGACAATAACAAATGCTGAAAGAATGTTCAGAAAAGGGAATCCTTGTACACTGTTTTTGGTAATGTAAATTAGTACAATCACTATAAAGAACTCTTTGAAGTTTCCTCAAAAGACTAAAAATTGAGCTACCATATGATCTAGCAATCTCACTGCTGAATATATACTTAAAAAAGGAACTCAATATATTGAAAGGAAATCTGCACTCCCAGGTTTGTTGCAGCACTGTTAAAATAGCTAAGAATTGGAAGCAACCTAAGTGTCTATCAGTAGATTAACGGATTAAGAAAATGTGGTACAAACACATAACACTGTAATACTAAGCCATAAAAAGAAAAGAGATTCCATCATTTCTGACAACATGGATAGAAGTGAAAATCATTATGTTAAGTGAAGCAATCCAGGCACCAAAAGACAAAGATTTTATGTTACCCCTTATTTATGGGATCTAAAAATCAAAACAATTAAACTTGTGGAGATAGAGAATAGAAAGGTGGTTACCAGAGGCTGGGAAAGATAATGGGGGTGTGGGGTTTAGGTGGGGATGGTTAAAAGGTTAAAGAATAAGTAAATAAGACCTATTATTTGATAGCACACCAGAGTGACTATAGTCAATGATTTTATTTATTTATTTATTTATTTATTTATTTATTTATTTATTTATTCATTTATTCACCTTGAGATAAAACCCCCATCTCCCTGGGACAGAGAGCACCTGGGGGAAGGGGTGGCTGTGGGCACAACTTCAATATTTAAATGTCCCTGCCTGATGGCTCTGAAGAGACCAGTGGACCTCTCAGCACAGTGTTCGAGCTCTGCTAAGGGTCAGACTGCCTCCTGAAGTGGGTCGCTGATTCCTGTGTATCCTTACTGAGAGATACTTCCCAATAGGGGCTGAAAGATGCCTCATCCACGAGAGCTCTGACTGACATCTGGCAGGTGGCCCTCTGGGATGAAGCTTTCAAAGGAAAGAACAGGCAGAAAACTTTGCTGTTCTGCAGCCTCCTCTGGTGATATCTAGCCAAACAGGGTCAGGAGTGGACCTCCAGCAAACTCCAGCAGACCTGCAGCAGAGGGGCCTGACAATTAGAAATAAAAGTAACAAACAGAAAAGAATAGCATGTCCACTCAAAGACCCCATCTGAAGGTCACCAACATCAAAGACAAAAGGTAGATAAATCCACAAAGATGGGGAGAAGCCAGTGTAAAAAGGCTGAAAATTCCAAAAGCCAGAATGCCTCTTCTCCTACAAAGGATCACAACTTGCCAGCAAGGGAACAAAACTGGATAGAGAATGAGTTTGATAGGCTTCAGAAGATGGGTGATAACAAACTCCTCCAAGCTAAAGGAGCATGTTGTAATCCAATGCAAGGAAGCTAAGAACCTTGAAAAGAGGTTAGATGAATTTCTAACTAGAATAACCAGTGTTTGACTTCTTCCTGGTTTAAGCTTGGGAAAGTGTACGTGTCCAGGAATTTATCAATTTGTTCTAAATTTTCTAGTTTATTTGCGTACAGGTGTTTATAGTATTCTCTGATGGCAGTTTGTATTTCTGTGGGATCAGTGGTGATATCCCCCATATCATTTTTTATTGCGTCTATTTGATTCTGCCAATTCATAGCACATACAGCATTCTGGAGAACTTTGGCCCAGCCATGAAAAGTACTGTTACCTAGCTGACACTGTAACTATAACTTCTAAAGGCCATTTCACTATAGTACAAAGGCAGTTGCTTCAGGAGAATGAGGAACATGGTAAAACCAGTAAATTTCATGAGCATGAGCTCATTGTTGCACTTCTTTGTCAGTAAAGCCAGTTCCTTAGTCAGAAACAATACTGTGTGGAAGACCATGATAGAGAATTAGGCATCCAGTAAATTTATGGATGGTAGTTTTGACAGATGTATATGTTCAGAGAAGATAAATCCATATTCAAAATAAGTATGTATTCCAGTAAGAAAAAAATGCAGCTCCTTCTATGATGGAGGTGGTCTAAGGTAATCAATCTGCCACTGGGAAGCTGGTTGATTATCTTGGAGAATGATGCCATATCAGGGGCTTAGCATGGCTCTCTGTTCCTGCATATTGGGCACACAGTGGTGGCTTTAGCCAGGTTGAACTTAGTGAGTGAAAGATTATGTTGCTTAACCCATGCATAACTTCCATCAATGCCATCATAGCCACTTTGCTCATGAGCCCATTGGGTGATAACAGGGGTAGCTGAGGAAAGAGTCTGACCCCAGATCTACAGGAGGGGTCATCCCATCCACTTTATTATTAAAATTTTCTTCTAGTGATGTCATTCTTTGAAGAACATTCACATGACTCACAAATGTCTTCATATATTTTGCCCCCTCAAAGAGGTTTATCCAGATAGTTTTTCCTTAATTTTCTTCATCATCAATCCTATAATCCCTCACAAATCCTTAACCTTCCAGCCTAATCATTGGCTACATCCCAATGTACTATATTAAATGCAGAATCTCTACTTAATGAGACCACATATATTAATTTGGTGTCATCAAACTTCGTGTCTCTTCTATTGTTATTCCCACACCCTTATTATCCATTTTCACATATGTTTACCCGATTTCTGATTATATAAATTAGAACACTCAGGTGTTTCTTTCAGAGTGCAGTGCACCTCCTCATGGGTGATATCTTGAATCTCCCTTTAGGGACCTGCTGAGACTTAAGTCTAGTTATAGGTTTAGAAACCAAAAGGGGTCGTTAGGATAGGTCCTGAGGAAAATCAGCCTTGCTTCACCTGCCAACTGCTTCAGGAGAGGCCATTACTGTTACTTCCGGCAATGCAGTTACGTTGACATAGGTGGAAAAACCGATGACACTGTGGGAATGGGTGAGGAATGACACTGTCATTGAGGTGGGAGGTCACTTGCCTAGGCAAAGAACAAACGAACAAACAAACAAAATTACTCAAACATTAGGCTAAATGTCCCTAGCTTCATGAGGGTCCTCCCATAGATCCCCATTTCAACTTACAGGGTCCCATTCTTTCTCAATCAATGCCCTCATTTTAACAGCAGACTCCCAGTGAGGTTGAAAATCCATCTTTTCTATACGTCAGCTAATTAAATGACTAGGGTTTCTCTTTGATTTTCAGCCATTTCATCCCTATGGCTAAAGGAGAGATGCTTCTCCTTTAGGGAACATGTAGAAATGCTTAGGCTATATCCATTTTCAGCTAAGAATTTGAATCTCTGAGCTCATCCTTTTCTTTCAACATTGTCCAGCAATGTTAGCAACAAACCAACATCATTATATTTATTGGTTTTCCACAAATTTCTGAAAGTATCATGTATAGTGTCACAAAATACCCTGCCTCTTGTAAGTGGTAAATTAGGTGTATAAAATGCATTTTTTAGCATATCTTTATAAACAGCTTAGGCCAAAAACTATCTATGGTCTCTGTATTATCGGAAGTAGGGTTCTTAGGACTTTTAGGTCTAATCAGATTATACAGCCAATTCCAGAAACCCCAACAACAATTAAGGAAATTCATCCTTAAAATTCCGTTCCTCTAGAATGACTCCTGGTACCAAAATCTGTATTAGTCAGGGTTCTCCAGAAGGACAGAAACAATAGAATATAAATGAAAAGAATTTTTAGGAAAATTGGCTCAGAAGATCAATAAAGTGAAGTCTTAAAACAAGCTATCTGCCAGCTGGAGAACCACAGACACTAAAAGCCTGGCTTAGTCAAAGTATAGATCCAGGAAACCAGACAGTGAAGTCCCCGGTTTGAGACCAAAGTCCTGATCGCCTGCAGCGGGCCACTGGTTTAAGTCGCGGGATCCAGAAGATGAAGATCCTAGAGTCTTATATCCAAAGGAAAAAATGAGAAAAAAGATGTTCCACTGTGGAATAAAGAGAGAGGAGCAAAGGCATGAGCAGAGTGTTGCCCTTTTTCCACCTGCTTTGTCGTGGTGGGACCCCAGCCAATTGAATGGTGCCTGCCCACATTGAGGGTGGGTTTTCCTTTCTCAGTCCACTAATTCTCATGTCAATCTCCTCTGCAAATATCTTCACAGACACACTCAGAAACAATGCTTCATCAGCCATCCAGGCATCCCTCAATCCGGTCAAGTTGACACCATCAAATTTAGTATATTGTGAAAATTAGTAGTAATCATTCAAATTTTTAAAAAATGTTTAAGTGAAAGTTTTAAGTCCTTGTAAACCATGGTTTAAGTGACGGTAAACGAAGCACAATCATCAGTTTTATTTAATGTGAAACTGAATATTGTGTTAAAGGAAAGTAGGCTATTCACAGGTTGGCTGGGTAGCGATAAATATGGAGAAACTGGTTAGAGAACTTTCTATGTCCCAAGATGTAATTATTACCACTATTTTGAAAACTAACATGATCATGAAACTAACAAAAACTGATATTCAAGAAGAATATAATGCTGAGGATGGAAGAAAGTACTTAAGAAAGAAAGGTAAATGATGATATTTGTTTTACTGACTGAGCTTTAAAAGAAGATTTTAAATATTTAAAAGAATATTCTAAAAAGGAGTGCTTAGAAAGTACAATAATTACAGTTTATAATGATTTTTTTTTCTTTTACTTTTTCTGGGATGGAGTTTTGCTCTGTCACCCAGGCTGGAGTGCAGTGGCACAATCTTGGCTCACAGCAACCTCCACCTCCCGGGTTTAAGGGATTGTCCTGTCTCAGCCTCCAGAGTAGCTGGGATTACAGGAGTGTGTCACAGAGCCCAGCAAATTTGTATATTTTTAATAGAGATAATGTTTCACCATGTTGGCCAGGCTGGTCTTGAACTCCTGACTTTGAGATCCACCCAACTCGACCTCCCAAAGTGCTGGGATTACAGGCATGAGAAATCGCGCCCGTCCTGAATTTTTTTTCTATGCCACCAGTGCCCCAGCTTATACTGAGTGAGGCAAAACTGGAGAGGTTTGTGGCGTTGAAGAAAGAGAAGTGTTGTCAGAGTTAGAAAGTCATATTTACAAAGAATATCTAAAAATTAAGAAGAAATTTACTCAGTATGTGAATTAAACTAATATATGTTTCATAGTGTACTTTAAAAGAATCACACTGATTATGGGAATATATTTTGAATACATATGTTGGCATCAGGTGCAGAAGGTGTTCAGGAAAGTGTATAGAGGGACTGGTTGAGACAGCTTTAGACAGTAAGATGCTCACCATATGCAAAAGAATTGCTACAAGACATGAGTAAAAGCTTCCTAATCAGTTTAGGGGAATTTATGAGGTGAGAGACCATACCTTAAATTAGTCAGATTGGTGTATGTCCCAACGCACTAAGCAAGGGAAGAAGAAGAATGTGGATATGGACATTAATGGGTATTCACTCATTCTCCCAGATGACTATATATTAAATATATTAGACAGTGAAGACTGGAAATGAGGACAAGTGTAGCCTGGATTTAAAGGTTAGTAAAATTATTTCCAGATGTGGTGGAATTATTTTCTAAGCTATAAAGAACACCATTCTAATGGTGATCCATTAAACATTAACACATGGATCAACTTCTTAGAATTTCTGCTTGAAATGTTAACTTCATACAATATAGTAAATGGTCACATATCACTGTTCCTGTTATCTTTACTGGGGGCTGGAAAAAATGGGAAGAACTGGGCCTCCAGACTTTTCTTGGATGCCTCATTGTCAAATGTTAATAAAGAGCACAGTGGGACTTTGTGTTTTCTATTTTTGATGGTGCCCAAATGGTCTGTACTTTCAGATGTATTGCACATTTACATTCTCAATAAAGTATATTAATGATAAAAGACTTGTAACATGGAGAATAACTCAAGGAGAAAGTCTTTTATTAGTTTTCTGTTGCTGCATTACAAACTACCTCATTTCTTAATATCTTAAAAAAAAAACTGTTTAACTCATGGTTTCATGGTTCTTCTCACAATTTTGATCTAGGCTAGTATAGCTGATCTCAGCAGGTCCTGCCCACTTTCAGGTGCATATGAAACTATAGGAACCTGGCTGATCCTAAAAGCCGTTAGTTGCATGCTTTGCATTTGCCTGAGCCGTGTCTTTGTAGGTATATGTCATGTGGGTGTCTCTCATCATCACAATGTGTAACTGTAGTACAAGTGCTAATAGGAAAGTCTCATACACTAAAGTAAACAACATTAAGCATACTATATTTATGTAATAAATGTATGATTGTGCACCATATGTCCTACTGGAAACAATTTTTAAAATTCTCAAACTACTGCCTTTCAATTTAAGACTCTACTGGGCTACATAATTTAAAGAAATTTAGAAATTTCTCTCATGAAAAAATATACATTTCGTGAAAAATATCCATACACGTTAAATAAATATGAAGAGTGTTTTAATAGGCCCCAGATTTTTAGGACAGTCCAGATTACACCTTTTCTGCTTGAGTCACTTTAATGATGCCTCAAAAATTGGATAATTTTAACATTCCACATGAAACTTTGTAATAAATTATATATATCGCACATATTTTACATACATATAACTTTATATAAAAACTTTAAAAATAGTAAATATACAGATAATTTCTGATATTAGAGATTACCAGTGTTAGTTTCTGCCTTCTTTATACTTTCTTTATACTTCATGTTTCATACATATCAGTTATGCCGTTTTCACATATATCTTTATATTTCTAAAATTTACATTTTTATTTTGTTTTCATTCTTACTCTAATAAACTCTCACCAAATCTGTACTCTTTGTCTACGATCGACTCACTTTCACTTTTGTACACTCAACTTTACTAGTTACTCCTGGTGTATGCAATTCATGTAAAGTATGTAAAATCAAAACAACATTTTACATTTATCATACTTTATGTAGAAATTAGGTCATATGTTCTCAATCTTTGCATAAAGGATGTGTGGTGATATATTCAAACTCTGATAATACATGTTATAGCAATATATTATTATTATAATCCAGTTAGCATTATGAAGTAACATGAGGGCCTATAATATGCCTTTTAAAGATTCCTAATTATGGCACGATGACAAATTCTAACTCTAGTCAAATGAAAATAATTTCATTATACAGCAAATTTTGTGAATAAAAGTTTAGTTGATAATAACATAGATCCCATCTTATTTTGAGAGCTCAATAGCAGGTACCTATAATCTCTAAAAATGCTTGGTGTGAGAATAAAAAAGAATACTGTACAGAAACTAAAGAAAGAAAAGCTTTTTCTTCTGGCTAACAACATAAACTTTAACATCTGTCTGTATATAACAATCAACCTCAAGTATAAACTACTTACAAAGTTGAAAAAATTTGACTTGGACTAAGAAATATGAGGTAAATTCAATAAATGATAAAAAATAAAAAGCAAAAATCTTATCAGATCAGACATAATTCAGGCCAAAGTATTAATCAAGAAAATGAAAAATTTTATATTTTTAAACATACACTTAACAAAAAATAAAAATAATTATACATATGCACCAATACCTACATTTTTAGAGCACTCTTAGGCTTCTCACATTTTTAAACATAAAACTTCTCATATTTTCAAAAATAAAACAGGTTTCTTTGGGAACAGATTTGGAGCTATGTGTTTATGGCTTGACTCTCCTGGTGCAGTTAAGTCTTGACCTTGGCTATACAGCTGGGGACAGAGACAGTGACACACTTCTTTCTGAGCAACATTCATGCCTTAAGAGTAAGGCTCTGACCTTTATTCTTACTTTTCCTCTCCCATCATGGTAACTTCATCCTATGAATGAGCTGGGGCAGTGATTATTTGGTACTCAATATTCTCTGTGCCATTCTTGAGTTAAACCTCTGAGTTATGACTGTGGTTAGATGAAAGATGGGAGACCCTTCTTAGCCACACTTGTCTGGAGGAATTTAGCTTTTGCAGCATATGCCTTAGTGTGTGTAGATAAGAAATTCAGAGAGACATCTCTCCTCAACAGCATACTCTGGCCCTCAACTGGAAGCTTTGGGGAGTGGGAAGCCTGTGGTGGTGTCAGCATCTCCCTGGAGCAAAGGTAGTTTCTGTCACAGTGAATTACGAGGGTGGGCAAGTGAGCATGTTGTGGTTTAAATGCCAAAGACTCTCACTGTTTTCACCACAAATTAGTGTATTTTCTTCAGTACATGTTACTTTGTTTGTTGTATGCCTTCAGGGTTATTTCCAGAGGCATCGACTGGTTGTTTTAGAAAACAATTTTCACTAGTTATCACTGTTTCCCTTGAAATTTGCTCCATGGAACTTCTAATTCTACCATTTTTGAAGGGGCTGGTACAAATTTTTTTTGTAAAGTATCTCCACCTTCTGCATATATTTAGGAAAAATTAAGCCAACAATCAAGGAGAAAAAAACATTTTTTCTTTAAACTTTTATTATAAGTTCAGGGATACATGTGCAGTTTGGTTACATAGGTAAACTTGTGTCATGGGGGTTTGTTGTACATATTATTTCATCATCAGGTAGTAAACCTAAAACCCATGACTTATATTTATTTATCCTTATTCTCTCTCTCCTCCCACCCTCTACCCTCTATTAGGTCTGTTGTTTCTCTCTATGTGTTGATGTATTCTCATTATTTAGCTCCCAATTATAAGTGAGAACATGTGGTATTTCATTTTCTGCTCCTGTATTAGTTTGCTAAGAATCATGGCATCTAGTTCTATCCATGTTTCCACAAAGGACATGACCTCATTTGTTTTCATGGCTGCATAGTATTCCACAGTATATATGTACCACATTTTCTTTGTCCAGTCTATCAGTTATGGGCATTTAGATTGATTCTGTGTCATTGCTATTGTGAATAGTGCTTCAATGAACATACATATGCAGCTGTCTTTATGATAGAATGATATCTATTCTATTGGGTATATACCCAGGGATGCAATTGGTGGATTTAATGGTAGTTCTCCTTTTAGGCCTTCAAGGAATCACCACACTCAGTTTTCCATAGTGGTTGAGCTAATGTACACTCCTATCAACAATGTATAGGCACTCATTTTTCTCTGCAACCTCACCAGTACCTGGTGTGAGATTGTATTCTGACTGGTGTAAGATGGAATATCACTGTGGTTTTGACATGCATTTCTCTAATGATCAGTAACATTGAGCTTTTTTTTCATATTTCATATGCTTGTTGGTTAGGCTCTACCATTCTAGAGATAGAAATGGGCTAAGTTTTCATAATGAAGACAGCAAAATCAATTATAACAAAAGCAAAAATTAACAAATGGGATTCAATCAAACTAAAGAGATTCTGTACAACAAAGGAAATTATCAACAGAGTAAACAGACAACCATAGAATGGGAGAAAATGTTTGCTAACTATGCATCTGACAAAGGTCTAATATCCAGCATCTATAAGAAATTTAAACACATTCACAAGAAGAAACAACTTCATTAAAACTTGGGCAAAGGACATAAAAAGTAAATTTTTACATACTAGAATATTGCAATTTAAGAACAAATGGGACACGTGAAAATTAAGAAAAAAAAATTTAGTTGAAAATGATATTGCTGTATACCTTTTAAAAAAATCTCCTAATATACTACAGGATGATTTTAACAGACAGTTCGAGGTTACCAGGCTATGGGCTGCTTGAATGGCAAGTGACTGTCTAATGTGTATACACATCCTTTTAGGTTGGTGACAGTTTTGGAGCTAGATTGCAATGGTAGTTACACAATACTGTGAATGCCACTGAATTGTTCACTTTTAAATAGTTAAAATGTACATATTATTTTATGTGATTCTTACCTCAAATATTAAAAAAACATGTGGTTGGCCAGAGTTTGCCCAGAGGCACTGATTTGTTATCCTTTGATTAATTAAATTACAATAAATGTAATTCCTACATATTTAAAAATAGCAAATGCTGTTATTTTTATCATTTACATTTGAAACATTTACATTTTAAAAAATATGTGAAGTAATTTAGGTAAGGACTCATATCATTGTGGAAATTTTTCTGTCTATTTAATAATTATTATAATTAATGCAAATTTATTTTGCTACATACAGCAACTGTAGAGCTTTACCAAGTTAATGCATCCATCCTTTCATCAGCCACAGGAGGTGAATAATGGCATTACTCCATCTCCGTTTCACTGATGGAGAAGTTGAGGTGTACAGGTGAGGCAACTTGCCAAACCCCACATAATTCTCTAGAGGTTTTGCAGGGACTTGAATCCAGGCTAACTGGATCCAGAGTGCAGGAGCTCTTAACCACCATGCTACGCTGACTCCCCTTTCTGAGTTAGTTATTTTCAAAATGTCACATTTGTAGTTTCCATTTTCTTGTCTCTATATTAAGTGTATATTATTATGAATGTATAATTAAATTTTTAGAAATATCCTTGTAGCTATTTATCACTTCCTAACAAACTACCCTCAATCATGGGGACTTTGAAAAACAATTAGCATTTTATTACAATTTCCATAGCATGAGTGTTGGGTAGGTTCAGCAAGATGGTTCATACACAGTATTTCTCAGGTCATTACTTTAATAGGGTGGCTGGGGATGTAATCATCTGAAGGTCATTCATTCACGTACTTGGTGATGGATGTCAAAAGACTCAAATTCCTGTGGGACTGAATAATCATGACTTCTTAGTCTCTTCTTTGCATCATTCCCCGAGTTGTCATTTATCATCAGGACTTTGGGTGTAACACTGGGCTCCAAAGTATATAGAGGGAGAAAAAGGGAAAGAGGGAGGAGAGAGAGAGAGAGAGAAAGAGGTATAAGTAAAAGACATAGACAGACAGACAAACGGAGACAGACTGCCTTTTCTAACACAGTCTTCAAAACTATGCTGTCACTTCCAGTATACTTTCTTTGCTGAGAAAGCCACGAGTCTTGCCAAAATTCAAGGGGAGGGACCACGGTTTGATAAGAATGTCAAAGTGTTTGCAGTGATGTCTCAAAATTCCACAAATATAACCTATTGAGTTAGTCAACAGAAGCCTCTAAGCAACTATGAAATTCATTACATATGGACATTAAAAACACAATAAAATCCTAAAAAGTGTGAATTTATATTTTTTACAACTACTGAAACATTAAGCATTTTAAAATATTTACTCATAGATTTTTATATATGAAATAGGTGTCCTAAAAACTAGCCTCAAATAAATTAAAAAATGTAGTATAATGAGGTGATCATAAGTGACTCAACTTTTCCCACTTCTGCTCCAGACACATACACATGCATAAGAAAAAATGATGTTGAACAACATATACAGCCTAGTATAAAATGAAAGAAGGATGTCCACCAATTGTTAAAATTGGAGGGAATTCTCTGAATACATGCTTATGAGAACTATGAGAAAGTGACTTTTGGGAGGAAACCAAATGAGACATAGTACCTAAGTAAGGAACAAAAATTTACAGAGAGCAGTGACTTTTGTTAAAAAAAAAATAATAAAATATGTGTGGAACTGTAGATGTCCCTAGCCTGCAGGAGAGGAAATTTTAAATATTGTGAAGGGATGCTCTCAAAATACACAATAAATATGAGCGATAGTGCAGAAATCAACACCTGTTGAATATTTCCCCAAGAAAACCACATGAGGAAATAACCAGTTTTACACAGTTGGAAGATTTTTACCTAAGGATTGTAGGTAGAGGAAACAATCAGAATGAGACTTTGATTTTTGATTTATATATTTATTCCTTTAAGATAAAAGCTCTCTTGTTTCTAGTGGATTTCTTGGTCTTATCTACAAGTTGTATGCTTTGTTAAAGCATTTATGACCTGATTCAATGTGTTTGTCTCAATTTTTATTTCATTCTGTCCTGCCTCTTTCAACCTGTATGTCCTCATTATGATTGACTAATCCAACAGCAAAGTTTACCTTATCTGACTAAAGATTATTCGTTAATTTTTACTTGTTTATCTGACCTTTAATTATCTTTTTTTTTTTTTTGGCAATCACTCTGAGCCACTGTTATGATGAGTCAATGTTCTAGTTCTTTTATGAAGAGCAAATTCATCCTTAATAAAGTCTCTATACCAAAGAAGAAGCTATAGAAAAACATCCTTGAAAAAATCAGTGCAGTATGTGAACAAAATTTTCACTGGATCATAAACCCAAAAAGTGATTCATCAGATTAATATTTGGGAACTTACAGTGAAATCAATGATACATCTCAATATGCTTGGAATTAAAGAAAGCTAATTTCCATCATAGGTAAAGCACCAAATAACTGGCTACTCCAGTGTTGATTTGTTGGGAGTATGAATAGAGTGGCAATAGGTGAAGGATACACATGGGCCCAGCACAACGAGACTCCCTCTAACCAAGTCTGAGGATGCTACTACCGAAATAACAAATCCAACCTGCTAGTATCTCAATGCTTACTATACATTTGGACATTAGGGAAGTGACCACCAGTGGGGTGGTAAACCCAGTGGGACAACTCTAAGCTCATCTTTCTCAGAACCTCTACATGCCCCCACTTTCAAAAATGTTATTTTCAAAAGAAAGCCATGTCTCCTACTCATCCGAATTTTACCAAGATTCAGTGTCCAAAGGAACAACAACTTTTAGAATGATAACAAATGAGAAATTTGAAATTTTATGCTTTACTATTTTTCAGTTTATTGTTCCTTGGGTGCAAATATAGCTTTATGATACTGAATCAGGATCCTGTAAACATTCTTCCTTTGCCAGCTAGATGAATGCTAAGCTTCATCAATAGAGAACACTGGAGTGGTTGTGAGGTGGTAGATGCCAGAAGACACGTCCCCTCCAAGACGCTACTCTTTACTGTTATTTAGTAATTTTTACAATTATTATTGGGTTTTAAGGATTTGTATGTTAAAGAATATATTTAAGAATATTAAAGACTATACTTAAAGAATATAAGAAGGAAACTTCTAATTATCACATTTGTTTTATCTTATAAAAAACATTACATTTTGCATAGATATTAATTCAGAAAACTCCTATATAAAACACTTGTCCTTGACATCGATAGACTCAGCTTCATATGTTATTTTCATGACTAAATTCACAATTATTTCATTTTTGTCTTCAACTTCTGTGGTGCTTGCATATTTCAGTCCTTAAGGAGCATATTCAAAATTTTATAGAAAAAGATGAAGGATGAAGAATGTTATTTCAATTCAATGATTCCATGTGACTACTTAGAGTTTCTTTGTTTAATTTTTTTTAACTGCTGAGATATTTAAAATCTTGTAGAATCAATCTCAAAGAAACAGACACATTCACAATATTGACATTTTTGGAATTTAATATACTATGTGATTTTAGGAGTCTCTATAAAGTAAATCTTCATATTCACATACTTTCCTAACTGTGTGTGTACATAGTACTTTATATGAAAAGACTTCTCAAAATTAAAACAAATGAAAGTATTCTTTGATAACTCATGAATAGACATAGATTTTTGTATCTGGCTCTATGGTCTAAGAATTGCAAAGAAGATCTATTTTGGCAAGGTCCTTGGTACACTTTCAGAAGTTGTTTCATTAAGAAAATATAAATAGACTAAAATTTAACTTGTGTAGTACAGGTTGAGCTTCATTATTTCTGCATACTAATATTTATCTATAAGGTTTTCCCTCTTTTATAAAGAAGACATTACTATAAAAAGCACTAATACATTACACTTTTTTTCTTGTACTTTGGTATTTTTTTCTTTCTAGTGGCATGACTATATGTTCAAAGTTTAAGTGAAATATTTAGTGTATATTTCTTTTCTAGACATTATAATAATTCATCTTATTAGCAATTATTGCTACAATATTTTCTCATAGAGAAGAGTACTATAAAAATCTATTTCATGTGTGAGAAATAATCATTATGTCTCTCTTTCATTCAACTGTTTTAGACACATCTCTTGTCAGATGGAAGAATTGCTCTTAAGTTGGTTCCCTTCTTCTCTCTTATTTGCTTTTCAAACCTTGTTCTGAGTCCAAAGGCTGTAATGAACAATAATTTAACGCAGGTATTGGAGAGCTTTTGCCATTTATCATGTTTTCTCCAGCATGGACTTTAAAAATTGTTGCACAGAATATTTGACTCTTTATTCCACCTACAATTTATTTTTCAATATGTTATGAGGAGAGAATAACTAAAATAATTATATACATTTCTGGTTTGTATATCCTCAGTACTCCAGGTATTAAAGTAGGTGGAAATATCACACTTGACAAGGTAAGGGCAAGAAATGTGAGATCTTATTGCAAGAGAGAAATCCATGTAACATAATCTAGAGGGACTGGACTACATATCTATAATTCCGAACTAAAGGAAACTAGTCTCTTCTTTTATTTTGTGTATTACTATCCAATTACAAATGGTCATTACTAAAGCAAAATAGTAACTCAAGTGTATTCAAGGCCTCATGTGGAAAACATCTTTAGTCATTCTAACCAAAGATTTTACTAGGTTGCATAGTTTTACATAGGAAGCCAGTTATAAACATCTAGAGTTTTGAAACAAAGAAATTTTTATGAGAAAACATTTTGTATTTCATGAACGATATTATTTGGAAACTTCCATGTAACAGGAAGAATCTGCCTAAACACCATGCTAAGAGACTTAGCCAAGTTTAGTCCAGCTTATATGTGCACTATGTCATGGATTTGTCCTGGAAGGTGACCCTAGCCTTCATGCTGAGGCTTTGCTCAATAAAATGTGACGCTGCCAAATTCCAAAATTACCCTAACTAATCTTGTCTAATAATCAATCATTTTACACTTAATTTTTATGTAATTTTCTACTTCCATATAGCCCACTACTCTCTTTTTGGTTTCCTTATTTTGATTTCCTCATATTCCCTTTTTATTCATAAACAGATTTTCTTTAAAAGTCTCAGTTACCTTTGTCTTAGTTGGAGTTAAGCTCAGTTCATACTGTAGTCACTATCCCCTTCTTCAGTTGTCAAAATAAAGTTTGTCTTGCAATTTTTAACAAGGATCTTGCTCTGTTTTTCTTTTTCTTTTTCTTTTTCTTTTTTCTGACAGGGACACATATATTCCATATGAATGTATTTGTTTATATAGAAGAGGGTTCTTTACCTATGTAACAAACATGCGCATCCTGCACATGTACTTCTGAACTTGAAATAAAAGTTGAAATAAAACAATAAAAATATGATATGTATTTATTATATATAATATATAAATATATAAATGTATTATATTCTATAAAAATATATACATATATATAAGAAGAAGTTTCTTAAAATGCACAGTAAAGCAAGTCTTTCTGGCCTTCTCAAGTAAACAGACTGAATTTCCAGTGAAACTCATTTTATTTTCAGCTGAAAAATATACACAGATAAGCATTAAAATTGAATTATTATAGGTTTTCTGAAAATAAAATTTTACAATACTTATGTTTAACAAAGATTAAAAAATTCAAACAAATCAGGAAGGCACAGGTCTTGTAAAATGTAATAAAGAATTTAGTCCATACCTTGATGCATAGTGGTGGCATTAAATGGCACAATTTTTGGTATCATGCCTGCCTGCCTTAGATCTCAAACAGACCTACTCTCTTTTCCTTCTTTCTCATCTTAACAAACTTTTGATAATCAAGCATCATAGTATGACAAAGAGAGTAACAAGAGCTGTGCAGGCCAGCACATCCAGAGAGCAGTACTGAAACCAGGTGAGCTTGTGGGCAGGTGGCAGCAGGTACTTGGCTCCATTGTGGTGCATGACAAATTCAATCCAGAAGAGTTTTTGGTCCAAGGGCTTCAGAGACTGATCATAATAAATGATTGATAACTACATAACATTCTCTTTACAGCTAAAGGAAAATCAAATAGACACCAGCTTGATTAATGAACCAGAAAAGATAAATATGTGAACTTTTTGTGTAGATGTTAAAAATGAGTGCCACATAAAAGTGGATGAAAAATAAAATATTTTATTTCATGGTGGTTATAGCAATATAATGAATAATACAAAGAAGATTACTGGGACTAAGACTTCTGGCCACATTTGCTCATCTGATGATGATTCTTCAAGCTTCAGCCATGCACAGACTAGTCAGCTCCCAGTGTGACTAGAGCAGGGCTTGCTGTTTCCTCAACCTTCTTCCGTGCATAGACGGGTCAGCTTCCGGAGTGACCAGAATAGGGCTGTTGTCATCTCCACTGGCAACGTGGTCTCATTGCATGATCAGCCAGGTCAGATGGTCTGGGTCCTACTGGCTGGTCCACTGGTCCTGGGCTGCCGGTTTCAGCCAACTGTGGTGGATCCAAGGTATGATACCTGCAACAGCAGTGGGAGTGGACAAGACCACAGTATGGGGCCCATCCCATATGGGTCCCAGAGTAGGTGGATTCTATTTCCTAACCTAAAAAGAGTCTTCAGGTTTGAAAGGGTGTACTGGGTCTGTCAGACTTATAGGCATTCTTTCCTGTGTTCAGCCATTCACTTTTTGCATGGCCATACCTAAAGCCTGCATTTGTCTTCTTAAAGTTAGTTTTTGTAGCTCACGGAGATTACCTTTAATCTGCCTTATGATTGGGGGTGGCCAGCCAAACAAAATCTCACAGGGCAAGTACCCAGTTTGTTTTTTTTTGTGGGGGTGCACCTGACTCGGGGGAAGACCATGGATAAGACCTGATCCCACCTCAGATGAGATTCCTGACCAAATTTCTTCAGCAGCTGCTTGAGTGTCCGGTTCATGTGCTCCATCTTTTCTGAGCTCTGTGGCTGGTAGGCCGTGTGCAACTTCCATTTTATCTTTAATAGTCAAGTTAAGTCCTGAACTATTTCAGCCACAAATGCCAGTCCATTATCTGACCCCAGATTTAGGAGCAGTCCAAATCTGGGAATAATGCCTCCCTTGGTCACCTCTTGTGCTTTTTATGTCTAGGTGGGGAAGACCTTGACCCATCCTGAAAAGGTGCAGACAAGCACCAACATGTACTGATAGCCCCCTGCTCAGGGCAGTTTGGTGAAGTCCAAAAGCAGGTTATCACAGGGCATGGCCACTGTTTTCTGAATTCCCCGGGGGCCAAGTAGGCCCTTGTCGAGGGTTGCTCTGAGTACAAGTTAAACACTGTTTACAAACGGCTTGAGTAATAGCAGTGAGCTGTGGCACATAGAAATGATGCCCTAATAATGTCTCTAGTGCCATTTTTCCCATGTGAGTTCCTTGGTGGAACTGTTTTACAAATCTGGGGGCCAACATTTCAAGTATGGCTAGCTTCCCATTGGAGAATTTCCATCATCCTCCTTCAACGTAATTCCCATTTTCCTGGGTAAACCAAGCCCTTTCATTTGAGTGTAGCTTGGGGTCTCTGGAAGGGGAATCTCTGGGAGGAGAGTCATAGCTAAGGCTTCTTGTTTAGAAGGTGGAGTCGCCATTGCAGCTTGCTTTGCCTCTTTGTCTGTCTTTCTGCTTCCTTTAGCCTCTAATGTTCCTGCCTTTTGCCTACATTGCATTACTGCTACCTGTTTGGGGGCTTATACAGTGTCTCAGAGTCATAGAATTTCTTCCTTGTACTTTATTTCTTTACCTCCAGCAGTTAAGAGTTCTTTTTCTTTGTAAATAGCCCCATGAACATGCAAAGTGGCAAAAGCATATTTGGAGTCTCTGTAAAGATTTGCCTTCTGGACTTTTGCTAACTGGAGAGCTCTTGTCAGAGCTATCAGCTCTGCTTTCTGAGGGGAAGATCCTGTAGGCAAAGACTTCGCCTCCACTACTGAGTCCAAAGTCACCACTGCATACCCAGCTTGGCGGACACCCTCTAGTATGAAGCTGCTCCCATCAGTAAAATATCCAATGTCGGGGTCCCCGAGGGGCTGATCTGTCAAATCTCTCTGGCTTAAGAACACTTCACCTACCACATCCACACAGCATTGAAGGGGGCTTCCTGGCATTGACTCAATGGTAAGCAAGGTAGCTGGGTTTAGGGTATTCACAGTCTAAAATTATGCAGAGATTTTCACATAGGAGCCCTTGGTATCGAGTTATTCTAGGATTTGATAACCAATGGTGCCCCCTTTGGTCCATCAAAGTTACAACCGAGTGTGGTACCTGGATCGTCATTTGCTGTCCTAAAGTCAGTTTATTAGCTTTCTGTCCCAGCAGAGCAGTGGCAGCTAATGCCTTAAAACTAGGAGGCCATCCAAATGCCACAGAATCTAATTGCCTGGATAAGTACGTCGCTGGGCAGTGCCATGATCCTATGGATTTAGTTAGAACTCCTATGGCCATTCCCTTTTGCTCGTGGACATATAAAAAGAAAGGCTTCGTTAGATCTGTCAGTCCTAAAGCTGGGACCAGAGTCAAGGCTTCTTTGATTTCCTTAAAGGCCTTCTCCTGGTTGGCCTCCCAGAGGATGGTCTCCTTTTCCCCCACTTTGTGGTTTCATATAATAGCTTAGCCATGAGTGAGAAATTTGGGATCCAGATGTGGCAGAGCCCTGCTACCCCTAGGAACTCTCTTATTTTTCACCAGGTGGTTGGAGTAGGAAGTGCACAAACCACCTGCTTCCATTCACAACCAAGCCATCTTTTCCCTTAGCTTATATAGAAGCCTAAATATTGGAAACTTTCAAAGCAAATTTGAGCCTTTTTCCCTGACACTTTATATCCTGCCTTCCATAGCAGGTGCAGGAGGTCTTGGGTCCCTTGGAAGCAGTCCTCTTGAGTTGGGGCTGCTAGAAGAAGATCATCAATGTACTGGAGCAAGACACAGTAACTATTCGGTGGGGTGTAGACTTTAAGATCTGAGGCCAGTGCCTCTTCAAAGATTGTAGTGGAGTTTTTAAATCCTTGTGGGAATCTTGTCCAAGTGTACTGTGATTTACCCCCATTGAAAAACAAAACTAGCCTGACTAATTGGTGCAAACTGGAGACAGAAAAATGCATTCTTTAAATCTAGGACTGTAAATCAAGTGGCACTTGCTGGAATATGTCCCATTAAGGTATGCAGGTTTGACACCACTGGGTGGATGGTCACTGTGGCCTGGTTTTCTGAATGCAAATCCTGTACTGGCCTATATTCCCCAGACGGCTTCCGCACTGGCAAGAGAATGTTGTTCCATGGTGACTGGCATTTGGCTATGATTCCATGCTTATGAAGCCACTCTAAATGTTTGTGGACACCCCGTATGTCCTCAGGGAGTAGCGAGTACTGTCGGACCCGAACCGGAGTTTCTCCCAGTTTTAACTCTACCACCACCGGTGCCTGATTTACGCTGGCACCAGTCCAGGTGGATTACTTTCAGCCCAAACTCTGGGAATTTTAGTAAGTAACCCATGCATTTCATTTACTCCTGGTTCCGGAGTCTTTTTTGCATAGTCTCCATTTCTCAGCCTGCAGGACAGTGAGGGTTAACATCATAGCCTCTGGGCAAACTACGTTTAAAGTTACATTCCCTTGCGGCCCAAATGTAATCTGTGCCTGCAGTTTTTGAAGTAGGTCTCTTCCCAGCAAAGAAACTGGACAATTTAGGAGGTATAGGAATTCATTTTGGACTTCTCATCCTCCTATAACACACCTCTTTGACCGACAGGCCACTTTTCAGAGACTCCAGTGGCTCCTACAATAGTTGCACAGTTCTTGGATTGTGGCTCTATAGGTCAGGTCACTACTAAGTGTTTAGTTCTGGTGTCTACCGTAAAGTCCATTAGCTGGCCTCTAACTTCTAATCTGACCATGGGCTCCTCGGGTCCCAAAGAGAAGCAGCCTGGTCTGTCCTACCCTCATATCCTTCAGCCCCTGCCAGTCCAATCAGATCGATGTCTGGTTCCTCCCTGGTGTGGCAGCCACCAGTAGGTGGCCTTCCTATACTACTGCCCTGGGGTCTCTTTTCCCTCCAGTGGTTCTTGCAAAATTGGTTTTTCCTGTGGCTTTCTTTTTGTCTCTGTGTTTGCCGGAGAAGCTTTCACTTTTTGCTCAGCTCAACCTACAAGCTCCTGTGACTTTCCCTTTAACTCTGTGTTTACAGGCGAAGCTTTCACTTTGTCTTTGCAGCTGCCAGCACAGGTGATTTCTCTCAGCTCGACCTGCGAGTATCCTGCAATAAGCTGCTAAACAGGGCTGCATTCAGCCATGAGTTAACATAAGGAAATTTGGTCTGAATGCCCTGACTGTCCTCCTTGTTATTATTCTCTGGACACTCATCCTTCCAGTGTCCTTTTCTTTTGCACCGCTCACACTGATCTCTTTCCAGCCTCGGCTGGCCCTCAAATCCCTGTCCAGACTGGCCTCTTCCATGCCCATGTCCATACCCACATCCATGAGGGATGCTGCCAGCAAATCAGCCTTTTTCTCAAGCCTTCTATTAGCCTCCCTCTTTGCCTCCTGATCTTGGTTAATGTACACCTTCGTGGCCACTTCAATAAGCTGAGTAGCATTCATCCCTTTAAAACCTTCCATTTTCTGCAATTTTCACTGGATATCCCCCTGGGCCTGCTCTACAAATGCCATGTTCATCATGCACTGGCCTCACCAAGTCTTTTATAAAAATGGCTGGGGCTTTCATCTGCACCCTGATGCCCCTCTGAGATTTTTCCTATATTGATTGCCTGTCTCCCGCCTTCCCTTAAATTTTGCAGGAGTGCCTCTTGGTATCTTGGCAGCTGCTATAGTTGGGCTGCCTCATTCCTTTGGGTTCTAGTGGGGGTCCTCTAGTTTCCAGGAGAGGCATTTGCATAGCCCTAACACAACCTGACTGGAGGTGGCTTGCCTGTTTTTCCTAGCATTTCACCTTAACTTCCTGGAGTGAGGGCTCAGATTTTTCCCTCTCAAGAGAGACTGGGGGCATGTATCCATTTGAGCTTGACTCCTCAGAGGCAGTTAACCTGGGGAAAGCGGGGGTAGATTGGAACATATGGAGGAGGGGTCTCTTTTCCCTCCAGTGGTTCTTGAAAAACTGGTTTTTCCTGTGGCTTTCTTTTTGTCTCTGTTTGCTCACGCTACAAGCTCCTGTGACTTTCCCTTTAACTCTGTTTACAGGCGAAGCTTTCACTTTGTCTTTGTAGCTGGCAGCACAATTGATTTCTCTTGGCTTGAGCTGTGAGCATTCTTCAATAAGCTGCTAAACAGGGCTGCATTCAGCCATGAGTTAATATAAGGAAATTTGGTCTGAATTATCTGACTGTCCTCCAACTCAGGTCACCACCTTAAACACACGGCCAATTTTCTCCCTATCTGTAGCACATTTGGCAGGCCAGCCAACACCAAAAAAGGGCTATTCTAATTCACAGAGAGCTCTCAGCATCTGAGGGGTTAACTTGACTCCCTCAACCCCTGCAAAGCCTTTCTTAAAGTTCTTTAACATACATTCCAATGGGGTGGGTTTCCACGATTTTCCTCCCATTTCCTCCCAGTTATGATGCAGCACATTCACCTTTCCTTTTGTTTTAGACCGATTGGACCCGGTTGGTCCTACATTTTGCTCGGAGCGTACAGCCTACACTAAGAGATCAGCAGCTCCACACATGTCATTCCCGTTGGTTCCTCCCAGAACTGTCTCTTTCACACGCACTCACACACTTCCCCGCTCCCAGTTCCCTATCCTGGTTGGGGCAGTGAACCGCTCTCACTGCATCCAGTTTCCTTCTGAACTAACTTAGCGAGCCACTCTCGCGTCCTGTGTTGGTTGGGGTGTGAGTTTCATCCAAATTTGTGAGCCACTCTCACCGTCCCCCAGCCTCTCTGTGTTGGATTAGTTGTCACTCCCTGGGAGGTGATCAGGCTCCCCTTCTGTCCTTATGGGATAGGTCCTGCCTTGGGCCCCAAAACTTTACCATGGTTCTGAAGAAAGGGCGCCATTCCTGGAACCGTCCTGCAACCCCTCCGGGTTCCCTTGTGCTGTCAGGGGAGGGGCACCGGGGACGCGGGAGAACAGCTCCTTTCTCTGGGCTTAAGTTCCCTTGATGGGTCCTGAAGTTAAGGGTCTCCCACAGCCGAGGCCCCAGACCGCCCACAGGCAAAGAAGCCAGCCAAGCTGCAGTCTCTCAGTCCCATGTGGGTCACCAGGTGTGTAGCGGATCAGGAGGACCCGAGAGAGACCTTGGGGTATATAGAGGAGGATATCTTTATTGAGTACACTCAGACCCAACGGACTTACCATCCAAAGATGGGGCCCCCAACAAAGACAGCACTTGACTTTTATACACACTTTAAAAAAGGGGTGGGCTAACTTGGTGCAGGCTTACGGTGGCACGAAAGCAGGGATACAGAAGGAGAACAATTAATAAAATTGTGACAGGTTCATAACCCAGGATTACACATGACTATTGCTATGCAACCTAGATGACTGTTATCTAGGTTTTGCTCAAAAGAGCCTTGCACTGGTTTATCTTATAACCTTCACTATGGTGCCCAGACAGCTGTAGTTCAGGCGTACTCAGACTTCTCAGGACCTTTGCTGTGCTTTTTAGATAAAGCAGAAATCTTGAGGTTACTAGTTACAGAGAACAAGAATCTGTAAAGTCATACCATAAAACAGAGGAAAATTTGTTTTTCTTCTCCCTATGTTGAAGGAGTGCTGAGAGAGTCACCAGACCACATTTCTTTGGTGTGTGTCCTGGCTTTTTAGATAGTATTAAGAATTTCCCTGGGTCTGGGCTGCACCCATTGCTGCCTCTGGGACTAGTTAGCCTAATACAGGAAAGCCTATTTCTCTTTTTAATTTTATTTTTCTTTCTTTCTTTAATTTCCTGCCTCAATCTCAGTAAATTAAATTATCCTAAATGTTAACTTTTCAGGGAGAAAATTTTCACCCTTTAACTCTTTATAGAATTTAAGACTCTTAGTTTTCCAACATTATGGCACTGTATTTAATATTTTGTGGGATCTGGGCAAGGGCTGATGCAATCACATCAGCCTTTTCTTCTGTAATGTTATCAACCATCGATCCCAGACAAAACACTGCAATGCTATTTTCTCCAGAGCTCTGGGAAAATGTCCATTTCCTATGAAGAAAGAATTTGCTCCATCACAAAAGAGCAATAACACAGCAAACACTATTGAAAAGAATGCTATGAGCAAATAAGGATGAGATATCAAATATTAGCTGGAATTGCTGGAGTAGAAGCTATGATAAAACATACATAATATGAAATTTTCCAACTTAAGCACTTCTAAGTGTACACATAGTACTGCTAGGTACACAATCTTAAGCAACCAATCTCCAGAACTTTTTCTGCTTTAAAGTTAAAACTCTATGCTGATTAAACAACAACTTTTTATTTTATGGAGTCCTTTTCACGTGGTAGCCACCATTCTACTTTCTTTTCTTTTCTTTTTTTTTTTTTAATGAATTTGACTAGTTTAGATACCTTATAAAGAGGAATTACAGTGTTTGTCTTTTTGTGACTTATTAACTTAGCCTAATGATACCAAGTTTCATCCACATTGTAGCATAAACCACATAGTGTCTGTCTGTTCATTCCTTGGTAGATGCTGGGATTGTACTGTTATGAATATGGATGCGCAAATATGCCTTTGAGAGCCTGATTTTAATTCTTATGGATAAATATCCAGAAGGGGGATTGCTGCATCATATGGTAATCTTACATTAAATTTTTTGAGAAACTTCCATACTGTTTTCAATAGGACCAATTTTTTAAACAAACCTCATCACTCAGTTCCTTTGGAAGGAGTTAGGTGCTACAACATACATTTCTTCTATTATTAATGCATAGTCATGCAACTGTGTGTGTGTGTGTGTGTGTGTGTGTGTGTGTTTGACTTAGTACATATAATAATAATTAAAATAGCATCTTATACAGTAATGGGGAAAGATACTGTTAAAAAATATGGGACACAGACTCTTCATTTATAATATTTTAAACACTAATATGGATTCTTAGGAAGACTAATGTTATTTGTTTATTTATCTTTAATTTTGTATTGTTATAGTTCTGCCAAATAACTTGTGCTCATTCCAGGCAGCTTTTCTGTTTAGTCATGAGAATTTATTTCTCTGCCTATGAGCACAAAGGAAAAGTTACTTGTGATTGAGAAGACGTTATATATTTCTCTCAACTATATAATCCAACACAAAACATTTTTTCATGTTCTTATTGGACATTTAAATATTCCTTGGTAAAATTCCTGTTTAGATCTTTTAAACATTTTTTGATTAAATTATTTGTCTTTTTAACATTGAGCTGTAAGCTTTCTTTATATATTTTTTATATAAGTCACTTATCAGGTATGTAACTTGTAAATATGTACTTCAAACTCTGGTTTCTCTTTTGACCTTATTGATGGTGTTCTTTAATGTGTAAAAATTTTAATTTTGATGAAATCTAATTTATCAATTTTATTTTGGTTGCTTCTTCTTCTGGTGTCATATCTAAAAACCTTGCCACATTCAAGATTACACAAAATTTTACTTTGCTGTATATACAGTTGTTTTGGTGCTTTGAAATATTAATGAATTCATTCTTTCAGCAACCCCATGAGGTCGGTAATGCTATGACAACCACTGCCATTTCATTGGTGAGGAAGTTGAAGCAAATAAAGTCCAAGTAACTTGTCCAGCCCCACATCATTATGTAGTGGTTTCTCAGAGGCTTGAATCCAGGCCATCTGGATCCAGAGTGCCAGCTCTTAACCACCACGTTATGCTGACTCTTCTATTTGGGGTACAGATATTTTCAAAATATAATATTCCCTATTTTTCACTTATGTAGCTATATATTAATTGTAATTTTATTACAAATGTATAATTTAAAATGTTTAGAACTATTATTCCAGTTATGTATCACTGCATGAAAAATTGTTTTCAAATGTCAGGCCTTAAAATAACTGTAATCATTTTATTACCATCTCTCAGAATCTGTGTGTTGGTTGGGCTCAGTTATGTGTTCCTTCCACAAAGTTTCTTAGGTAGCTACTTTCCTATGGTGCCTCGGTCTATAATTATCTGAAGATCATTCACTTACATACTTAATGATTCAGGTTGAAAGGCTCAAAGTACTAGTGGGCTACCAGGATTTCTTAGGCATATATTTGTGTCTCTCTGCCAAATTGTCATTTATTATGGGGACTACATATTGAATTGAGGAGATGTGGAGAGAAAAAGAGACATAAAAACAAAAGATAGAAAGAGAGAGAGAGAAGCGGAGAGGGAACATGTTGTTTCCAACAGAACTTTGAAAGTTAATCTGCATTATTTCCACTGCATCTTTTTTGTTGAGGCAGCTACAAGGTCTGCCAAACTTCAAAGGGAGGGGATATTACTTGACAGGAAAATTGTCAAAGTATTTATAGTCATGTCACAAAATCACAACCATTCTAACATTTTGAAGAAGACAGCAGAAGTTATTAAGCAATTGTAAGATTTATAAAATATTAAATATAATAAAAGAAAATACAAAAATTTTGTGAATTTAGATTTCTACAGTTCTTGCAATTTTTTAAACATTGTGTTATATTTATCCATAGGTATTTTAAACATGGAACCAGTGTTCTAAAAAAAAAGCTGCAAATGAATGAAATAGCATGTGAGAAACCTGATCAATTCAAATTTTTTGAATAACACTAATGAATTAATAAAGAGATGTTAATTTTTAGAGCTTCCTGTATTGATTTTATGTATTTATTTCACAAATTAATTTTTGAACCTCATAAATAATATATGAAAATATTGTAAAAAGTTAAATGCTGCAGAATTCTGTAGAATAAAATCTAAAATTCCCATCCTTGGATTTATGTGTACTCTGCTAGATTTGTTTTTCCTTGTACAAGTTTACATATATTTTATTTTATTTCATTGCAAGGAAGGCTTTTTTTTTCTGGAAACTATTTTTTCTATTTAGCAGTGGAATAAACTGTTCCCTACAATGGCTACACTCACACATTTGTTGGAGGTATGTGTGTTCATTGACTGGAGCCATTTAAGTGCTGGAGGAAATATTCTGTTCATACATGTGCTTATATGGAAGGATTTCTGCATGACAGGTTTCTAGATGTAGAACTTCAGTTTCAAACTGTATATTGACATTTTATTTTAGAAGGTTATTTCACATTATACTCCCGCAAAAATAGATTTCTCAGGTTTTTATAGGTTGCAAATCTTTACAGCATTAATTTTCCATTGTTTCTATTTTCCTGAGCATCAGGTACTTTATAATCTTTCATATGTTTTCAGTGATTTTGCTTTGAAGTGCCTATTTATATTTTCATTAAGTTTTTATATTGGAACATTTCCCTTTTTTGGTTGGTGATTGTAGTTCTCACTAAACAATAGATATCCATCTTTTAAGTATGATGTAGAATAGGTTTAATGTGAATTAATTCAGGCTTATAAGAATGATAACAAAAATTATTAACATTTACCACCTTATTATTTCTGTTTTTCTTTATAAATGTATCAATAGCTAGATAATTTGTATAAAATATTCTCTTATCAATGCTTCCTATAATTTCTTTAACATCAATGTTTTAGTGTGTTTGTGTATAACATGATTTATATATATATGCATACAAATACAAATCTACATATATAGTGATATATATGTGTGTGTGTTTGTATGTGTGTGTGTATGTGTGTATATATATATATATATATATAGTGATATGTATTTAAATCATGACTTAGGCTCAAGAATATTTGTTGTGAGTCTTGGTTACTTATGGGACTTCTGATCAACAAAGACAACTAGGTTTCTGTCAATTTGGACCAGTTTGATCATAAAGTGCTTTCCTGATGTGCAGATTAAAGGAGGTTTATGTCTTGATTTAGCTATTTTCCACAAAATTTATAAACTTTTTGTATTCTTTGTAGATATATTTTTGTTATGATAAAAAATTTAGTGTTGCCATATTATATTTATAGGAGGGAAGGATCAAAAGACTGTGGAAAAAAGAAAAAAAATTAATCATGATCATTTATAGTTATGTAGAATAATAATTATTATTTCAAACTGTCTTCAATAAACACATTTCACGACATACCTATTAGATAGTTAAGTGATGCTGTGTTGTGTTTCAAAAGAAATGGACATGTATATGTACATGCATGTTTAACAGGATTGAAAATTCACTAAGTACCTTTAGAATGCATTTCTTATATTATCACAAACTAATATTAAGAACTTATATTTTCTATTAAAGGACAAAAATGAGAATAAAACCTATATGAAATTTAGGATTTTTTTTCTAGTTCTGTTAAGAATGATGATCGTATGTTGATGAGAATTGCATTGAATTCATAGATTGCTTTTGGCTGTATGGTCATTTTCATAAAATTGATTTTACCCATCCATGAGCATGGGAGGTGTTTCCATTTGTTTGTGTCATCTATGATATTTTTGGGAAGTATTTTGTAGTTTTCTTAGTAGCGGTTTTTTACCTTCTTGTTTGGGTATATTTCTAAGTATTTTATGTTTTTCTTTTTCTTTTTGATTCAGCTGCTGTGAAAAGGGTTGAATTCTTGATTTGATTCTCAGCTTGAAGTCTGCATAGCCAAAGCAAGACTAAGCAAAAAGAACAAATCTGGAGGTATCACATTACCCAACTTCAAACTACTACAGAGCTGTAGCTACTGAAACATGATGGCAAAGGTATAAAAACAGACATGTAGACCAATGGAACAACATAGAGAATCCAGAAATAAAATTGAATACTTATAGCCATCTGATCTTTGACAAAACAAACAAAAACATAAAGCGGAGAAAGGACAGCCTATTCAACCATTGGTGCTGGGATAATTGACAAGCCACATGTAGTAGAATGGTACTGAATTCACATCTCTCACCTTATAAGATAGATGAAGGAATTAAATCTAAGACCTGAAACAATAAAAATTCTAGAAGATAACATCAGAAAGTCTTTTCTAGACATTGGCTTAGACAAGGACTTCATGACCAAGAACCCAAAAGCAAATACAACAAAAACAAACATAGATCGACGTGACTTAAACTAAAAATCTTCTGCACAGCAAAAGAAATAATCAGCTGAGTAAACAGACAACTCACAGAGTGGGAGAAAATATTCACAAACTATGCATCTGACAAATGACTAATATTCAGAATCTACAAAGAGTTTGAACAAATCGACAAGAGGAAAACAAATAATATGATCAAAAAGTAGGCTAAGATCATGAATTGACAATTCTCAAAAGAAAATATACAAATGGCCAACAAACAGAAAAAAATGCTCAACATCACTAATTATCATGGAAATGCAAATCAAAACCACAATGCAATACCACTGTCCTCCTGTAAGAATGGACATCATTAAAAAACCCCAAAATAATATAATATTGGCATGGATGTGGTAAAAGGAAACACATAAACTAGCACAACCACTACAGAAAACAGTATGGAGATTCCTTAAAGAACTAAAAGTAGATCTACATTTTTACCCACCTATCCTATTACTGGGTATCTACCCATAAAAAAAGAAGTCATTATATGCAAAGACTCATGCACACACATCTTTACAGCAGTACAATTCCCAATTGTAAAAATATGGAACAAACCTAAATGCCCATCAAGCAATGGGTGTATTAAAAAAATGTGGTATACACACACACACACACCGTGGAATACTACTCAGCCATAAAAAGGAACAAAATAATGCCATTCATAGCAACCTGGATGCAGCTGGAGACCATTATTCTAAGTGAAGTAATTCAGGATTAGGTAACCAAATATTTTAACTTCTCACTTACAAGTGGGAGCTAAGCTATGAAAATGCAAAGGCATAAGAATAATACAATGGACTCTCAGGACTCAGGGAAGGGTCAGAGTGAGAAGAGGGATAAAAGACTACACGTTGGGTGCTGTGTACACTGCTCGGGTAATGGGTGTGCCAAAATTTCAGAAATCACAACTAAGGAATTTATCCATCTAATCAAACACCACCTGTTCCCTAAAGTCTCTTGAAATAATTTAAAATGTAAGAATAAAATCGACCAGATGAATATTTTTAAATGACCAGAAAAAAATGGGTAAACTGAGGCTCACGGTGAAAGACTGGCTCAGCAGAAGGGTGGGACTGGACCCCAGCTTTCCTGACTTTTAGCCCCGTGTTCTTTCCACCACTCACTCACTCATTTCTTCATTTTTAATTTGTTTTATTTTTTGGACAAACATGTATTGATTTTCTTGGTATCATATGGAAAGTCTGAATTGGTTCATAGAGCAAAAGACTTTGTAAAATAGTTCAATATTACCGTAGGAAGCAGGTAGCAGTTGCTGTATTTCTAATTCCATATACATTCCACTGCGAAATGACTAAAGCTCTAAAAAGTTAAACATTTTGCCATAACTTTTAGGAAAAAAACTGACACTTAAGCAGTATGCACCGTAAGAGCCAAGCAGCAGTACTCATCTCAAAATAGCAAAAGCAAGAGAGACATTTTTTATACAATTCAATTGTTTAACAGTTCCTTTAGCAACAGTTAAAATATGAAAATCCTGCTTAAAATGAAGCCAAAGTATTCTGAGTATTTGCAAAACAGTACCGATACTCTTAATACTCTTGTGTTTAAGTACAATATGTGAAATGTACTTAAGCTCAGTAAAAATGTTTTCATGTAACCTGTGAATGGGAGCAACACATTTCAATATAAGCTCGACAAATTTAAATACAAGTTCATATGGCTTTATACTATTTTATAATTTCGCTAGTACTTTCCTTCTCAACAAAAAGTATTTCTAAGGTATTAAATCTCTGAAAAACAAATTTTTATTTGACAAGGTAAGTAAGTTTTGAAGAGATTTTCTGTCACAGAAAGAAAGGAATCTTGCTTCATAACCTTTCTTGTTAGAATAAACTGAAGAAGTCTCGTCTATCAGGTTTCCTAGCTTCAAGCTTCAAATACAACTACAGCTAATCTCTTTTTCCCTTCTTTCCAGTTCTAGCAAACTTCCAGACACAAAACATACAACATTTTGTGATGATAAATATCACAGTTGCCACATAGTCCAGCAGGAACCCAATCATATCCAAAGAGTGGTACTGGAACCAGGTGAGGTCACGGGCTGCAACCTGAAGGTGTTTGGCTCCTTTATGGCACATGACAAATTCAATCCAGAAGACTGCTCGATCCAGGGGCTTCACTGGTTGATCATGATAAATTCTTGATAACTTTATAATGTTCTCTTTATATCTGAAGGATAAATGTAGAGATACCAAAATTGAAAGTAAGTTAATTTGCTTGAGCATATCAAGTCCATATAAGGTTTTTATTTTGCTTATTTATTTATTTATTTATTTACTTATTTATTGAGATGGAGTCTTACTCTGTCGCCCGGGCTGGAGTGTAGTGGCGCAATCTCGGCTCACTGCAACCTCCGCCTCCTTTGGGGTCAAGAGATTTTCCTGCCTCAGCCTCCCGAGTAGCTGGGATTACAGGCATACACCAACACACCTGGCTAATTTTTACATTTTTAGTAGAGACGGGGTTTTTCCCTGTTAGCCAGGCTAGTCTCAAACTCCTGACCTCAGGTGACCCATCCATCTCGGCCTCCCGAAGTGCTGGGATTACAGGCGTGAGCCACTGCATCCAGCCCATGAAAGGTTTTTAAAGTGTCAAATGATTCAAAGTAAATGTCATAGAATTGACATAGAATTTGAGTAATTTAATTTGAATCATCATAGAAACTTTGGCTTTTAAATTGGAATTTTATCATTGACAAATATTTTTAAGGTAAAAATGGAAAGCCAAGTGAGAAAACTAATTTCTTTCAGGCAAAGCAAATATGAGCCATTTCATTATTATTTGTTAGTTTGTTAATTTTCAGTTTTTTTGGGTACTTAGTAGGTGTATATATTTATGGGTTGAGTGAGATGTTTTGATACAGGCTGCAATGTAAAATAATCACACCATGGAGAATAAGGTATTGTTCCTTAAGCATTTATCCTTTCTGTTATGAACAATCCAATTATACTCTTTTAGTTCTCAAACAGGCAAATGAGAACGTGCTCAACATTGTGAGCAATTTTAAGTCCTTTAGGAAAGATAGTGAAAATACAATTATCATTTTTAAGTTCCAAAAAGGAATTGTGTCATGGTGAGTGAAATGCCTCATAGCTAGTCACTCTGCTTCTACCCTACCCTTTTCTCTCCTACTGTTTCCTACCCAGCAGCCAGAATTATATTTTTGAAATAAAAGTCAGATTTTGCCACTCTCCTGATTAAGATTTTTGCCTGACTTCTTATCATATTAAAAATAAAATCCAACTCTGTTATTTGGTCTACAGGACCCTGCAATGTCAAACACTGGCAAGCTCTTCTCCTAACACTTTTTCCATGCACACTAGGTCTTCTAGAGACATTGCCCTTCTATTTTTCTTTAAGTTCCCAAAAGTATCCTCACCATAGCATCTTTAAACATTTTGCCCCCTCTGTCACACTCTTGGAGCATTCTTTCTTGCAACAACCCAAGGCATGCTTCTATCTCTTTTTGAGGCTTCCCTCTAAGTGTTACCTCTAAGCGAGGTTTTCCTGGCCACACTATGATGGAACCTCTAGGATTTTCTCTATTGTTTTATGCTTATTTTGATATTTGATTCCTAGAATTTTAAATACATTATATAACTTATAAAATAAATCTTTGAATATTAAAACCAAAAGATAAATATACACACACTAAGTGAATAGGTCACAAGTATTAGATCATCTTGAACATTATCTTGAAGAGAAGATACCAATTTCCCTACTGTTCAGATCATGATATATGATACCACAACCTGTCTAGAATAACTCTCTTTTCCTGAACCATTTAGTCACTACTTTTATCCTTCAGTTAAATATTAGTCTGACTTCAAATATAATACATTAGTTTTCTTTATTTATGTAATTGAATTATATAACATACATTCATTAGAGTCTATTTTTTAAAATTTTGTATAGCAGTTGTTATTTAATTCCATTGCTGTGTAGTATTTTGTTGATTGCTAAACCACAGATTATGTCATCATTTTATGACCAATAGACATTGGGGTTGCTAACGATTTTTGAACAATATTAATAATTCTGTTATAAACATTGTTGTATATGAAATGCAAGAGTTCTGCGCCTCCCCTCACAAGATGTGCGACAGCTGTGTGGCTCATCTGTTCAGCCCCCATTCATGTTCAAGCCCGTTATGGGAGGGGGAGCATGCAGACAGGCAGGTGCGGGAGCCTGGGCAAGCGCCCCTGGACTGTGTTCCCACGGCAGCATCCAGGGGTGGTTGTCTGCAGCTCCTGAAGCCCAAGTGGGTATGTGTTAGTGTACTCTTTTAGCCTTGCCATGTACTGATGGCTTAAGTGTTAACCAGTTCAGTGCCCTGTTAGTACTCAGGTCCTTGTCCAGCATCCAGGAAGAATCAGGTCGCACACGGACTTGAAGGATGAATGCATGGGTTTTATAGAGTGGTGGAGGTGGCTCTCATTGAGATGAATGGGGAGCTGGAATGGTGATGGAATGGGAAGATGATCTTCCACTGGGGTTTGGCCATCCAGCATCCAATCTCCTCTCTTTTCCAACTGTCTCCAGCTGAACTACTCTTGGCATTCAGAAACTCCTTCTCTTCTCTCTGATGCACCATTCTGCCATCCTTCTGCTCTTCTGTTCATGCTGGGTGTTTGGGGTTTATATGGGTACAGAATAGGGGGGCATTGTGGGCCAAAAGGCAACTTTTGGGGGCTCAAAAACAGAATGTCTGTTCTCATTTATGGCCATGAGTTTTCAGGCTTGAGGGTGGGACCTCTGCTGGGGAACTGACCTCTTCTACCCAGTATTTTCCTGTTTCCTGTCCATGTCATATATAGCACAAGGTTTACATATTTATACATATCTGTTGGGCATATAATTAAAAGTAGAATTGCTGAGATAAAAGTGCATGCATAATTATCATTCACTTCTTGACTTTTTTTTTATTTTTAATTCTTTAAACTTTTAAATTTATTTTTATTTTTATTTTTTTGAAACGGAGGTTTGCTCTTGTTGCCCAGGCAGGAGTGTGATGGCATGATCTTGGCTCACTGCATCCTCTGCCTCCGAGGTTCAAGCGATGGCTCACGCCTGTAATCCCAGCACTTTGGGATGCCAAGGCGGGTGGATGATCTGAGGTCAGGAATTCGAGACCAGTCTGACCAACACAGTGAAACCTCATCTCTACTAAAAATACAAAATTGGCCAGGCATGGTGGTGCATGCTTGTATTCCCAGCTACTCAGGAGTCTGAGGTGGAGCTTTAAATTTTTTGAAGTGTATATTTTTAATTTCCAAAATTAAAAGTATTTTAGTTATCATTTTTCCAATATCCCTTACTTCCACTTAGGCTGAATCATTTACTCTTTATGATATTGAATCTTTTCAAATTTACTGAGTCTTGATTTATGGCCCACCACAAGTCACTTCAAATAACTATTAATAATTCAACATGCTCTAAGAAAATGTGTCTTCCAGTTGACATATATAGTACATATGTGTGTGTGCATATATATATATGTATATATATGCGTGTGTGTATCATGTTACATTATAAGTTTCCATTTGTTAACTGTGTTCTTCTAACGTTTTATGTCCTTATTCATTATTTGCTTCTCTTTTTAAAGTCTGTTTAGATTTAATGGAAGTATCTGTATATTCACATTTAAATAAACCACGTTGTTTGATGTTTCTTTTATATTGGTCCAACCTGTTTCATGGTACAACCTGTTTTAAAAGTATTCCTTTAGGTGACATCTTTCTTACATAAAAATATTATTGACAGCAGTTATAAATGCTGAATGGATGGTAGCTGGACTGGGTAGGCATTTTGCACATTGCATCCTATGGAGTATAAATAAATCAATTACTAAAAATTTAACTTATTAAAATTAAAATTTTTGTTCTTCAAAAACCATCAACAAAAAAGTAAAATGTTAGCACACCCAGAATGAAACGAAATATTTGAAAATTGTATATCTGATATAAGATTATATCCAAATATAAAATAGTTCTTAATACTCAATAATAAGATGAGTAGCAAAATTTAAAAATGTTCCAAGGATTGGAATAGGCATTTTTCCAAAGAAGAGATATGGTCAATAAGCACATATAACGATGCTCAACATTTTTAGCCGTAATCCACCTAAAATCCAATCCAAAACCACAATGAAAGATCATTTCACACTCATTAAGAAAGCTATAACAAAAAGATAATAACAGGTGTTGGCAACAATGTGGAGGAATTTGAACCCTCTTGTACTGTTGGTGGTAATGACAAATGGAACAAGTACTTTGGAAAACAGTTTAGCAGTTCTTCATAAACATGCAGTTCCCACATAAGCCAGCAATACCACTTATAGTATCAACCCAAAAGAAAGAAAAGCATGTTTATGCAAAAATATGTGCAGCAATGTTCCTAATAGCCACAATTGGAAACAATCAAAAGGCCAACGAACTGATAAGTGAACAAATAAAATATGACATATCCATACTGTAAAATATTATAGTGCTGTAAGAATAAATGAGGTATTAATGTACACTACAACATGAATTAATCTAAAAACTATTTTAAAAAAACAAAAAATTATGCTCAGTGAAAGAAGTCATTTACACAACACCCCAAACTGTATGATTCTCAATGGCTTCATGACTCATAAGCATTCTAAATATATTGGAATTTTACACTTTAAATAGGTGGGTTTTAAGTCATGGAAATTATATCTAATTATCAAGCCAGTTACAATAATGAAAACAATAAAAATGAATTTTTCAGCAAGAAAACAGTTATACTGTTAGACATTTTAGATATTTAATTAAAGTATTTTATCATATTTCTTCAAGTTTATCCTTCCTTTCTACTGTGGATTGATCATATAATTTCTTTAAAACTGTCTTTTTTATATTCTCTATATTACTTTAAAATTATTTTTGTGCAGAAAATTGTTTCACTAATTGGATACCCATTAAATGTGTGGAGTTGAAAACACAATTCTTTAATAACTGCTCAAAAATAAAAGAAGATTTCAGATTGGTTACATCATTTAAATTCTTTCAAAATTAGTCTCTTGAAAAAAGGATGAAACTCATACTATTGAGAAGATAAGGTATCTATAAATACCACCTAGTGAAAAAATATTGTTATACTCACAAAGGGTCATTAATTATTGGCTTCATGCATTGAACAAGTCTGTACTTGACATCGTGTGGAAGTCCAATCTAATAGCTGTGCCCTTGGCCTTCATGTGAGAAATGTTATCAGGTTGATCCGCAAACAGTGGAATCCCCATTATAGGAATCCCATGGTAGGTCACCTCGTAGATGCCATTGGATCCACCATGAGTTACAAAAGCCCTGGTTTTTGGATGACCTAGGATTGGATGAATTTTAGCAAAATTATTCATAGGAATAAAATGAGAAATGCACAACTAAAGACTCAAGTGACAGTATTTTCTAGCTAAAACATTGAACTAAATTAAAATTTCTGTTTCAGACTTCAGAGGAAGGAGCACTTATGCTGGAGATGTAAGTGAAAGCTGTATGGTGTGTGTGACTTCAGACTGAAAAATAGTTAAACAAGATTACCAGTTAGACTAAAGAAAAAGCGCAATCTAAATAAAATGTGCAAAAAAAAAAAAAAAAAGAGCAGCAAAGAAAAGAGATGGACATGTAAGAATGTGTTCTCCTAAGTGCAGTCATAGAATGTGATATGTGAGATGTGCAAGGCAGCAGGCAGTGGGGTGGTGGTGGTGCTAGGATTGAGGAAGGACAGGTCACACTTCATCACAAAATGTGTCATCACTTTATGATTAAGATTAGGAATTTAATACTACAGAAAATGCAGAGTCACTGGTGATAGCAGAAGAGCTGTTATTTTTGAAATAACCCTGCATAAAAAGAAAGAACAAGTGTAAAGTTATAGAAATAGGAGACAAAGACGATCTATGAAGTTACAAAAAATTCTGTGAGACATAATAACACCTGAAATAAAAATACTCTGATTCTGACCATAAAGAAGGTGAATGTATATCATAAAATGCCAACAATTATAGCTTATTATTTTCCCCATAGGACTGCAAAATAAATATAATGTAGTTGCATTTTATTTTTAAGTTTTTCCATAATGCATTTTCAATAAGCTTATTTCATGATTAATTATTAATACTCTAATGGGATATTACTAATACATTCAGTATTTGTACTCCAGAGTCATACCAAGAAGGTCATTCTGTGGTATCCACTTGTACACCCAAGTATTGAGTCCTAAAGCATGTGGTTTATTTCCATCAAATCTCCACAGAACCTGTTACAGTAAAGAAAATGTCTTATTCCATGAGTAGAACTCCAAAGTTATAGAATGTTAGAACTCTAA